>NC_000022.11:21209564-22459564 GCF_000001405.40 Homo sapiens
TGGCCTGAGGAGGTGGGGAGGGAGGGTGGGGAGGGGGCACAGGTCTCAGAAGGCCCTTGACTGTGACTCTGACCGCAACCCTCTGGCACCCACAACCTTCCGTGGCTCCCCAGGACCCAAGGGCAGGCCCAAGACCTTGCATGACCAGTCTGACTCCCTGTCTCTGTCGCGTTCCAGCAACTCTGAATGTCTGTCTGCCTGGTCCTCAGCCTCCAGACCCTTGCCGCATTCAATCACTCATTCCTTCATGCAAAAAATATTTCTAGAATTTGCACTGCATGCCTGGCACTGGGGAATCAACAGGGAACAGACACTTAAGTCCTGCCCTCATGCCAAGAAAAACAAACACACCCAGGGAAAGTGCTGAAACCACAGGCCAGGTAAGGGGAATCAAGAGGCATGAGGTATGGGCAGAGTGGTCAGGGAGGGCTTCTCAGAGGAGGCAACGTGTGAAAAGAGCCTGGAATGTGGCCTAAATGGTCAGTGCAAAGGCCCTGAGGCAGGTGGTATAGGCTGGTGAGCGATAGGCAGAGAGTGAATGGAGTAGGGTGGGGAGAAGAGGATGAAGATGCAGGCTGGGGCCCATCCCACAGGACCTCCTAGGTCCCATAACAACTGGCTTTTTCTCTGTGCCATGCAGGCTTAGGGCAGAGGAATGAGGAGGCTGGGGAGTGTTTTCACAGGGTCCCTCTGGCAGCTATGACGGGGATAAGGATAAAGCCCAAAGGGGAGGCTGTGGGTATCAACCAGGCAAGAGATGATGGCCTGGGTGGGAGAAAGAGAAGAATCAAGGATGGTGCCGACTAGCGAGGCCGGCAGAAGGGGCCGGTTTGGGGATGGTCAGGAGCTTGATTTTGGATACTTCATCAGACCCAAAGAGCATGGGTGCACGTATAAAAAAAATAAATAAATAAGCATGGGTTCACGGGCAAGGGCGGGCTGAGAGATGAACATGGAGGTATTGACATTGAGTGGCTGCTGGATGCCATGAGCCTGGCCAAGGTCCCCAAGGCAGTGGCGAGGAGGAGATGAGGAGGTCAAAGAGGAGACAGAGAGGATGGACCCGAAGGCCGAAGAAAATGCCTCAAGAGAGTTTCAACACCGGGCGCGGTGGCTCACGCCTGTAATCCCAGCACTTTGGGAGGCCGAGGCCTGTAATCCCAGCACTTTGGGAGGGCGGATCATGACGTCAGGAGATCGAGACCATCCTGGCTAACACAGTGAAACCCCGTCTCTACTAAAAATACAAAAAATTAGCTGGGCGCGGTGGTGGGCACCTGTAGTCCCAGCTACTTGGGGGGCTGAGGCAGGAGAATGGCGTGAACCTGGGAGGCGGAGCTTGCAGTGAGCGGAGATCCTGCCACTGCACTCCAGCCTGGGGGACAGCCTGGGGGACAGAGCGAGACTCCGTCTCAAAAATAAAATAAAATAAAATAAAATAAAGTTTCAGCAACACCCCACGGATTAGTTGACCAATCCCAGGGAAAGGTGTTCTGTCTGAATCTGCCCTCAAGGAAACAGAAAGGCAAATCCACGATGTGGGACATTTTCCAAGACTACTGCCCTGGGCTTTAAAAATCAACAAAACAGGCCAGGCACGGTGGTTCATGCCTGTAATCCCAGCACTTTGGGAGGCCGAGGCAGGCGGATCACGAGGTCAGGAGATCGCGATCACGGTGAAACCCCGTCTCTACTAAAAATACAAAAAATTAGCTGGGCGCAGTGTCGGGCGCCTGTAGTCCCAGCTACTCGGGAGGCTGAGGCAGGAGAATGGCGTGAACCCAGGAGGCGGAGCTTGCAGTGAGCCGAGATAGCGCCACTGCACTCCAGCCTGGGCAACAGAGCGAGACTCCGTCTCAAAGAAAAAACACACCTGTAATCCCAGCGCTTTGGGAGGCTGAGGTGGGAAGACAGTTTGATCCCAGGAGTTTGAGACCAGTCTGGGCAAGACCCTGTCTCTAAAAAAAATACAAAAATTATCCAGGTTTGGTGGCACGTGCCTCTGGTCCCAGCTGCTCAGGGGGCTGAAGTGGGAGGATTGCTTGAGCCCTGGAGGTTGAGGCTGCAGTGAGCCAAGATCACACCACTGCACTCCAACCTGGATGACAGAGACTCTGTGTACAAACAAAAACACAACAAAAACAAAACAGCCAAGGGAGCCTACTGTAGGTAAAGAGAAGGGACAGCAGGTTGTGTCACCCCGACATCCTGCTGTGCTATGTTCAAGTCTCACTTTTGAGACACACCCTGAGGTGCGACATCAGTAACCTACTGTGGAATCCCTCAGAAAAACACGAATCCCAATAGATGTGGGTGGAGACGGAGAGAGTTAGGAAATCCGGCAGAAATGTCCACACTGCAGAATCCAGGAAAAGGGAACATTGATGCTTGGGCAGTTTTGGGTTTTTTTTACATTTTTGTAGGTGCGAAAATTTGCAAAATGAAAACTCGAGGAGAGTGTGGTGAGCTGTGTGAGATGCTGCTGAGTGGGGCCTGATGGGGAAACTGAGGCTGGACATGGCGATCTGGTGGCATGGGGATAGAGCAGGGGAGGGGATACCCTGAAGGGAGAGAGGACATAGCCCAGCCATGTTTGCTCTAAGAGGAGCAAAGGACAGAAGGAGGCAGCAGATAGAAGTTTCTAGAGCAACAACAGCTGCCTTTCTTTCGGGAATAATCCGTGATAAAGAAATAAATCATCAGAGGCAGACAGGAGCATTGTAGGAACAGCACCCCGAGCCAGTGAGTAGATGAAGGAGCTGGCCTTAGCCAAAAAGGAGGGCAGAGGGACACGCTGCAGTGGCTCTGTCCCCTCAGAGAGACAAGACACCAGGTCACTGGCTGCAGCGGGAGTCAGAGGTGCAGAATGCTCACAGGGAAAGAGAAGACACCACCCGGGCAGCTGACGCCCCTCCTGGGAGGTCACTGGTCAGTGTGGGGGGGTCTGCAGATCCGCCCAGGAATGCCAAGGACCCAAGTAGGTAAGGAGGGATGTGAGGATCCTCAGTGGGAAGGGATATGACAGGGTCTTATAGGGACCCAGCATGGAGCTGGGGCAACTACTGGGTGAGTGGGTCAGGTGGTGCAGGGCTGAGGGTGGCATCTGGGAAGCATTAGTTTGGAGTGACAGGGAGTGGGTGGCCGAGGTCTCTGTTCACCTGGCCCTCTCCCTTTCACCCATCCATCTCACCATGCCCGAGGGCTGCAATGCCCCCATGCATTCCTCATCTCAGCACTGAGCACTCAAGAACCACAGCATGTGCAAAGGACCTGAGGTAGGAGGGTGGCCACTAATTCCCCGCACTGTCAGTTCTGTGGGGCAGAAGCCAAGACTGGGGGTCACCCACGAGTCCATCCGAGCACACAGTAGGCCCGCAATCGAATTCTGTGGCAGGAATGGATTCATAAAGCATATGTGAGGCTGTAGCCACCCTGGGGAGCCCACCTGATGCCTCTACGGCAGGCCCCACACCCACAGTGAGCCAGCCCCTGCCCCTTACCTCAGTCACATCCACAAACTTGGGGTCCCCAAGCAGGGTCCTCTTGGCGTAGGCAAACCGGAAAGCCTCTACGATGCGGTGGTACGTCAGGCCCTTCTGCTCGGGGGTCTCCACGCTCTCCCGGGAGAAGTTGTACCCTGGTTGATCAGAGCCAGGTGCATGTTGCTGAGCCCCAGAGGCTCTGAGGGGCTCAGAGGGTTAACACCTGCCTGAGCCACTTTGCCCACCTCAAGGAGCGTTTAATAACCAATAGCAGCAGCTGCTTCAGAAGGCTGTGGTGAGAGTGAAGTAAGGTGAGGGCTCCCGAGCCTGGACCTCACGTCACGCATCAGCTCTGGCCATTCAATGACCAAGTGGCAGGGTCACCCACTGGACCGGGGTACCCTCTGGACCGGCCCTGCAGCCCTGAGCTCCTGCACCTCTCTCCCTCCTGATGACTCCTGTTCCTCCTCCAACCCTTGAGCATTGCCCGCTTCAGCCCTGTTGCTCTGCACTGCCTCCTTCAGGACATGGTGAGCTGTGACGCAGGGACACACCTCAGGAGCTCAGTGATGGAAAGACGTGGCATGGGGGGCGAGCAGAGATGCAGGAGGGGTGGGGCGTGGGGAGAGAGAGGCAGTGTCATGGGTCCTACCACACGGCTGTGGTGCGACCACTCACCTTTGAGGATGTTGAGGATGAGGGCCAGCACGGGCCCGCTGAGCCGCGCACTGGGCATGTACAGCACCGCGTCTCCCAGGCTGATGTTCAGCGGGTGCTCGATCAGCTCAGCACGGTAGTTGTTCAGGTCCTCAGCTGTCACAATGCCCCCTGCAATGGGACAGCAGCTCGAATGGGTGCTGGGATGGGGCTGCACCACTGCGTGGAGGATGGAACTGCACCAGTGGTGTTGGGGGCAGGCATGGCTGCACCATGGTGGTGGGGAAAAGCCTGTACCTACCAGGGAGGACAGAGTGCACTACTGGAGGGGTGGGACTGTGCCCTGGGAGGGGGCCACAGGCAACCTCACCTCCTTGGGAACCTCACCAGCTCCGGCACTCCTGTCTCCCTGACACTGCTCACCACCCGACAGCTGGGCTGGGGCCACCTGCCCTCTGCCTGCTTGGCTTACTGGCTTCCTGTCTGCCTTCTCTCATCTGTGGCCAGAGAGTGTTTTCTTTTTTCTTTTTTTTTTTTAGAGATACGATCTTGCTCTGTTACCCAGGCTGGAGTGCAGTGGCTTAATCACAGCCTTGAACCCCTGGGCTCAAGTGATCCTCCAGCAGACCCTCCCCAGTAGCTGAGACTAAAGGCACAACTACACCCAGCAAATTTTAATTTTTTTGTTGTGTTTTGCTATATTTCTTTCTTTCTTTTTTTTTTTTTTTTTGTGAGACGGAGTCTCGCTCTATCGCCCAGGCTGGAGTGCAGTGGCGCGATATCGGCTCACTGCAAGCTCCGCCTCCCAGGTTCACGCCATTCTCCTGCCTCAGCCTCCCAAGTAGCTGGGACTGCAGGCACCCGCCACCACATGTGGCTAATTTTTCTGTATTTTTAGTAGAGACAGGTTTCACTGTGTTAGCCAGGATGGTCTCGATCTCCTGACCCCGTGATCCACACGCCTCGGCCTCTCAAAGTGCTGAGATTACAGGCGTGAGGCACCATGCCCGGCCGGGTTTTGCTATATTTCTTTTCACTATGCTTTGAATTTTTTGTTTTCTTGTTCCCCACCCCCACCCCCACTATATTTATGTAGATTCTCAATATTTTTTTTGTAGACTCACTATGTTGCCCAGGCTTGTCTTGGACCCCCTGACCTCAACTTCTACCTCAGCCTCCCAAAGTGTTGGGATTACAGGCATGAGACACCAAGCTTGGCCTCAGAGGGCCTTTTCTCTCTTTTTTTTTTTGAGATGGAGTCTCACTCTGTGGAGTGCAGTGGTGCAATCTCGGCTCACTGCAACCTCAGCCCCACAGGTTCTAGCGATTCTCCTGCCACAGCCTCCCAAGTAGCTGGGATTACAGGCACAACCCACCATGCCTGACTAATTTTGCATTTTTAGTAGAGACAGGGTTTCACCATGTTGGCCAGGCTGGTCTTGAACTCCTGACCTCAGGTGATCCACCCGCCTCGGCCTCCCAAAGTGCTGGGATTACAGACGTGAGCCACCGCACCTGGCTCAGAGGGCCTTTTCTAACTGGAGAATTCCTGCCGGTGTCCCTGCTGCTTGGCCTCTTCTCCTCACGATGAATGGATAGAGGGAGGGAGGGAGGCTCTTAATTCTCCTGGAGTCAGCTCCAGACAGGGTATTGGCATGCCAATTTCCAGCCTCAGTGGTAAAGGTCGACACGCTAATCACCCTCCTCCATGAAACAGTGACAAAAATTACCTGAAGAAAGCCACAGCCAAGCTCCAGGCCCCTGCCCCACAAATCCCCTTCCCCATGCCTCTCTCAAGGCGACCCTCATCCCTTGTAACCCTCTTGGTGAATCAAAGCGCCCTCTACTGGGCCTTAGCCCAGCTGTTCCTCTGCTAGGAATCCCTTCCTCTCTCTGCCTAACGAAGTTATCTGCAGCCCAGCCGCCACCTCCTCCAAGAAGTCCTCCTGGATCTTCAGGCTGTATTCTAGTGCTTCCCTAGCCCTGGCTCTTGCCTACACCTGCATTTACCCCAACAGGGACTTGCTCTCCTGGACTGTGTGGCCTCTCTTGGTTTTGATATAAGCAGGAGCTGTGGACCCACATGGCCAGTCACTGACCCTCCTCCACCAGGAACTTCCTGCAGGCTCAGGCAAGACAGGAGGACCCCATGGCTCTGGGCTACAGCTCAGGGTTTCCACTGCAGAGTTCCTCACCCAGGTCCTTGAGGTTACCCACTCACCAGCCGCCTGGATGTCCTTCACAATCTGGGCCATGAGGCTGCCGTTGTAGAAGGCCTGGGCACCCTCGATGGCCAGCATCTCATAGGTGTCAGCCAGCCGCGGCAGGGTCAGTCTCTCCCCCTCCCGAAGCACCTTTCTATCCCGGCAGAACACCTCACCGGGGCAGAGGGGGCTCATGTGAGGCAGCAGGTGGGGTGGACTCAGCTAGACCACCCCCCACACCTGCCCACACAGGAGACCAGCACAAAGCAGGGGCAGCACCTGTCACAGGTGGGTGGCCCTGTCACTCAGCGCTCATCCTCCTAGTGTCCCTTCCGGGAGCCTCCTAGTGTCCCTTGCCACTCAGGACACGTGGCCAGCCACAGTGGCCACTGGGACCCCATGCTCAGAATGTGTCCCCACACGTGGTGGGAAGGGTCTGTATCTCCTCATCCCATTATCAGCACAGGGTCCTGAAGGCAGAGGGCCGCTCCACTGCTGCTACGGCCTGCAAGGTCCTTGGGCTGTGCCTGCCCTGCCTGTGTCAGGGGGCCGCACCCACAGACATACCACAAGACAGGCTGCTGCTCGATGACAGTCCGCTTGTTTTCCAGGACTGCCGCCAAGCCCTTGCCCACAGGGAAGCCCTGGCGGGCCAGCTGGATGCTGGGCTGGAAGAGGCGAGCCCAGGGCAGCCGCCCATGCCGCTGGTGTGCCAGCTCATAGCCTCGGATCTCCCCAGGCACCGCCACCGACAGCCCTCCTGGGGAGAGAGAGCCACAGTTAGTGACCCTGAGTGGGGGACATCGGGATCTCTAGCAGGCAGCATCCCAGGCACAGTCCCTGACTCATTTTACAGATGGGGCAATGAGGCTTAGGAGGAAAGATTTTTTTTTCTTTTTTGAGTTGGGGTCTTGCCATCTTGCCCAGCCTGATCTCGAACTCCTGGATTCAAGCAATCCTCCCACCTCAGCCTCCTGAGTCGCTGAGATTACAGGCGTGAACAGCACACCTAGCAGAAGGGGATTTTTAATTTTTAAATTTATTTTTTAATTTTAATTTTTTTTTTTTAGGAGGGGATGTTTAATTTTTTTTTTTAGGAGGGGCTCAGCAGGTAGGAGTGTACATGGACCAGGGATGTCTGAGGAGGGCACAGCAGGGGAAGCAGTAGCATGCGGCTGGGTTTTGCTGTCCCAGGATGAGGTGTCTGTCTGTACAGGTGCCTGCATGTCTAAAATCCTGTGCCAGGCCAGACCCCCTCCCATCTCGCTGACCACAAGGCCTTATCCTGTAAGACTCATGGGCTCCACCAGAATGTGCCAAAACAAGAGCAGATCCCACCCTGACCCAGGTCAAGCACAGGCCACCTTCAAGACACAGCCAGCCCCAAGAAAGGGCTCCCTTCCTCTTTTCTACTGCCCCAGAGAGGCAAGACTGAGCCTTAACCTCCATCCTGTCCCCTCTCCCAGCCTCAGTTTCTCCAACCAACTATAAGGGTTTTTGTTTGTTTGTCTGTTTTGAGACAGGGTCTCACTCTGTTGTCCCAGCTGGAGTGCAGTGGTGCAATCATGGCTCACTGCAGCCTTGGCTTCCCAGGCTCAAGCGATCCTCCCACTTCAGCCTCTGAAGTACCTAAGACTACAGACATACCCCACTGCACGTGGCTTTTTTTTTTTTTTTTTTTTTGAGATGGAGTTTCACTCTTGTTGCCCAGGCTGGAGTGCAATGGCACAATCTTGGCTCACTCCAACCTCCACCTCCCGAGTTCAAGTAATTCTCCTGCCTCAGCCTCCCAAGTACCTGGGATTACAGGCATGTACCACCACGCCTTGCTAATTTTTGTATTTTTAGTAGAGACGGGGTTTCACCAGGTTGGTCAGGCTGGTCTTGAACTCCTAACATCAGGTGATCCATCCTCCTCAGCTTCTCAGAGTTCTGGGATTACAGGCGTGAGCCACCACTCCCAGCCTAATTTTTTATTTTTATTTTTTGTAGAGACAGGGGTCTTGCTACATTGCCAAGACTGGTCTCAAACTCTGGCCTCAAGCAATCCTCCCACCTCAGCCTCCCAACATGCTGGGATTACAGGTGCACTCAGCCTATAAGGGGTTTTGCCTTCCAGTTCTGACTTTTGAGGAGGTCATTGGAAACAGACCCCTGGGCCTGCTTCCCCCCTGAGCCCCACTGCCCATATGGACACTACAGACACTGACCCTTTGCCCAGAAAGGTACAACTATGGCCTCTGCCCCCAGGGACTCTCCTGCTCTTGCGAGAGATGATGGGGCCATTTGCCTTGGCTTGGCGGCTGTGGCTCTAGAACTGCCTCTCCCACCCTGAAGCCTGGCACAAGTTTCCAAGAGCTGGTGGTTTCAATTCCTAGAAGCTGCACATATATCCCGGAAGGTCTGACACCCAGCATATGATTCCTTCCACCTTGTAGTTAGACAGAAGTTCTTTTTTGTTTTGTTTTGTTTTTCTTTGTTTGTTTTTGAGATGGAGTCTTGCTCTGTCTCCCAGACTGCAGTGCAGTGGCATGATCTCAGCTCACTATAACCTCCGCCTCCCAGGTTCAAGCGATTCTCCTGCCTCAGCCTCCCGAGTAGCTGGGATTACAGGCACAGGCCAGCACGCCAGGCTAATTTTTGTATTTTTAGTACAGATGGGGTTTTGCCATGTTGGCCAGGCTGTTTTCAAACTCCTGACCTCAGGTCATCCACCCACCTCAGCCTTCCAAGGTGCTGGGATGACAGGCGTGAGCCACCGTGCCCAGCCAAGACAGGAGAAGTTCTAATCTTTGATAGCAGACCAGGGTGACGATGCTTAGCAACAGTATTTTGTATATTTCAAAGTAACGAAGAGAGGACTATGGTGCTAACACCCGGAAATGAAAAATATTCAAGGTGACGGAGACTCCAAATACCCTGCCTTGATCATTATACACTCTATGCATGGAACAAGCACTCACATGTACCCATAAATATAGAAAATATCATGTATCAATATCAGAAAAAAATCTCCTCCTGACCTCAGCCCAATCAGGCTCTCATGCCACCACACTTGCCAAGTTCTCTGGTGACCCCCACACTGCCAGACCCAGTGCCCCCTCTCAGCTTTACTGGGCTCATCACTCTCCCTGAGAGCCGCCCCTGCATCCCAGCACCTGGCTCCACCCGAGTCTCCCCCGCCTGCCATCCTAGCTCCTACTCTCCCCTCTGTCTTTGCTCTCTCTCCTGGTGGTCTGCTTGACATCTGAGCTTCAGCCTCCATTTATGCACTGACAACTCTCAAATTGACCTGCTGGCCTGGACTGCTCCTCCGATCACCAGACCTGAGGATCTACCTGCCTGCTCGAAGAAAGCATCTCAAACTTCAACGTGCCCAAAACCGAGCTCCTGAGTGTCTGCTCAACCTGCTTCCTGAGAACCCTGCCTGTCTCCATTAGGGTCACCCCATCCTTCCAGGTACAGACAAAAGATCAGGGGTCCCCGGGGACTCCCTACACAAGCGTCACACCCAACCCATCCTCAAATCCACAGGCTCCACTTCCAAGTGTGTCTGTGCAGCGTCAGCCACTTCCCAGCACCCTCTCCACGAATTACTGCAGTGACCTCCGGACAGGTCCCCACATGCTCCCTGCCCCTTACACAGCAATCCAAGGGGTCCATAGACCAGATCCATCCCCTTCCAGTCACACACTCCACGAGCCCCCACTTCCCTCAGACAGGAAGCAGAGGCTTCACCATAACCTAAGAGATCCCGCACAACCTGGGCCATTCCCCTTGGATCACTTGCTGCAGCCTCCCCAGCTCCCCACAGGGCTCTGTCCCTGCCATCACACCTGGATAGCAGACCAGGAGATAACTCCCCTGACCCCATCTCTGCCTCTGGGTCTTTGCTCAGATGTCCCCTTCCCTGACTAGGTCACCCTCCATAGAGTCCCAGATTTTGAGGCCCTCCAGGTCTGTTTTTCTACAGCCCGTAACACACCCGCACTTGCCTAGTTTCTCCTCCCACCTGGAGTGTCACAGATTTCATCTGCCGTCTTTGTTTTTCACCCCAGCTTCAGGAACAACAGCTGATTCTTTAAGACAATGCTCAATACATTCTAGTCAAATAAATGGTTTTAAGCGTCCACAAGGTGCCAAGCCTATGGTTCCCGCATTCTCTTACCCTCAGCAACTTCATGTCTACAGATGCTGAGTTTCTCAATGAGTATTAAAAACAAATGAAAGATTGGTCGGGCACAGTGGCTCACGCCTGTAATTCCAGCACTTTGGGAGGCTGAGGCAGGGGGATCACGAGGTCAGGAGATCGAGGGACCAGCCTGGGCAACATAGTGAAAACCCGTCTCTACTAAAAAATACAAAAAATTAGCCGGGCGCGGTGGCGGGCGCCTGTAGTCCCAGCTACTCGGGAGGCTGAGGCAGGAGAATGGCGCGAACTCAGGAGGCAGAGCTTGCAGTGAGCCGAGATCGCACCACTGCACTCCAACCTGGGCGACAGAGTGAGACTCTGTCTCAAAAAAAAAAAAAGAAAAAAAAAATCAAAGATTGAGTATGTTGCAGAAGACTCCAAAGGGCACCACCCAGGACCCCCACCTGAAGTCTAAGACCTGCTATGGTGAGTGTGTCCTGCCCCTCCATCCTCCAACTTTTTTTTTTTTTTTTTTTTTTTGAGACGGAGCTTCGTTCTTGTTGCCCAGGCTGGAGTGCAGTGGCATGATCTCGGCTCACTGCAATCTCTACCTCGTGGGTTCAAGCGATTCTCCTGCCTTAGCCTCCTGAGTAGCTGGGATATTACAGGCCTGTGCCACCACGCCCGACTAATTATTGTACTTTTAGTAGAGAAAGGGTTTCACTATGTTGGCCAGGCTGGTCTTGGACTCCTGACCTAGGTGATCCATCTGCCTCAGCCTCCCAAAGTGCTGGGATTACAGGCGTGAGCCTGTGAAAAAAAGGCCCAGCCTTTTTTTTTTTTTTTTTTGACAGGGTCTCACTTTGTTGCCCAAGCTAGAGTGTAGTGGTATAATCATGGCTGACTGCAGCCTCAACCTCCTGGGCTCAAGTGATCCTCCCACCTTAGCCTCCCGAGTAACTGGGACCATAAGCACACACCGCCATACCTGCTAATTTTTTTTTCCATTTTTTGTAGAGATGGAGTCTTGCTATGTTGTCCAGGCAGGTCTCCTGGGCTCATGCGCTCCTCCTGACTTGGCCTCCTAAAGTGCTAGGATTAGAGGCGTGAGTTGTTGAGACCCTCCCATCCTCCAACTTTTATCTCACAATCTATTGTGCCTCCTTTGGGGACAGACAGTGGCTTCCTGGATGGACAGTGGCTTCCCCTCAGGTACCTGGGGAATTTGGGGGCCTCCTCCCCACTTAAGACCAGATTAGAAAAGAGAGACTCCACCTCACATTCTAGAGCGCCATCCCCACAAATGAACAAATGAGTGAATGGGATGCCTGTTGAAAAGGCAGGATATAGACAGCCTGGGTTCAATTTTAGCTTCACCACCTCCCAGCTGTGTGACCTCAGCTGATTTGCATGACCTGTCTGAGCCTCAGCATCCCCACCCTGTAAAATGGGAATCCACACAGCATCCCCTAGCCCAAAGGAGCAGGGAGGGTTGTGAGAGGCTCGTGGGTGAAAAGCACAGAGCAGAGCATGGGCCCCAGTGAGCCCTGATCCATGAGGTCTGCTAGCATAATAATTATTCTTTCCATGTGCTGCACAGAGTGGCCCCGGAGGCCTTAGCAGAAATAACAGAAGCTCCCGGCCCTTTACCGTGGTGATGATGGTCCTGACCACTCATTGTGGGAGGGTGCTATGGGGCCAGGAAGGGATGGGGGGTGACAGAACTGCCCCTGAACCCTGACGGGAGCAGGCTTCTGTGGGCAAGGCCCCTTCCCGGTGGCTCAGCCAGCTCTGCACCCATGCCCCAAGTCTGCAGCATGGCTTACCCTTCTGGGACTGCTCCGAGCTGTTGAACATGCTGGCAAAGGCCAGCCTGGGGGCCACCTCGCGGGCATTGATGACCTCAGCTTTTCCTAGAAGAAGCAGGTAGGCAGGCCCACCCACCAAAACCCTTTATGCCACGTGAGCCTGGGGGCCACCCAGCTGTGCCTCGGCCCAACCCACACCCCCTGCCCCTCTCCCTCTCCTCTTCTGAGGCACTCATGAGTGGTGCTGTTGTAGATGGTGAGGAAGAGGCCAACCCCGATGCCCATGCTGTGGGCATTCATGAGCCCCACACACAACAGGGCTGCAATGGCTGCATCCACTGCAGAGCCACCGTCCCGCAGTGTGTCCCTGCCATGTGGCACATAAAGGCATGAGAACCTGCAGGCTTCCACCCTGGCCCCGCATACACACCCTGCTGCCCACCTGCCCAAAGGAGGATGGAAGAGAAGTCCATTCGAGTTTTGGGGTTTTTGTTTTTAGTTTCTTTCTCTTTTTTTTGAGATGGAGTCTTGCTCTATTGCCAGGCTGGAGTGCAGTGGCACGATCTCAGCTCACTGCAACCTCTGCCTCCCGGGTTCAAGCCATTCTCCTGCCTCAGCCTCCTGAGTAGCTGGGACTACAGGTGCATGCCACCACGCCCAGCTAATTTTTGTATTTTTAGTAGAGATGGGGTTTCACCATGTTGGCCAGGATGGTCTCTATCTCTTGACTTCATGATCCGCCTGCCTTGGCCTCTTTTTTTTTTTTTTTTTTTTTTTGGAGACAAAGTCTCTCTTTGTTGCTCAGGCTGGAGTGCAGTGGTGTGATCTTGGATCACTGCAGCCTCAGTCTCCTGGGCTCAATTGACCCTCCCATCTCAGCCTCCCAAGTAGCTGGGACTATGGGCACATGCCACCATGCCCAGCCAATTTTGTTTGTTTGTGTATTTTGTAGAGATGGGGTTTCATCATGTTGCCCAGGCTGGTCAAGAACTCCTGTGCTCAAGTAATCCACCCACCTTGGCCTCCCAAAGTGCTGGTATTACAGGCATGAGCCACTGTGCCCAGCCTTTGTTTTATGAGACAGGGTCTCACTTTGTCACCCAGGATGAAGTGCAGTGGCACAGTCTTGGCTCAATGCAGCTTTGACCTCCTGGGCTCAAGCAATCCTCCCACTTCAGTCTCCTGAGTAGCTGGGACTACAGGTAAGAACCACCACACCGGGCAATTTTTTGTCTTTTTTGTAGAGATAGGGTCTTTCTATGTTGCCCAGGCTGGTCTCAAACTCATGGTCTAAAGCAATCCTATCGCCTCAACCTCCCAAAGTGCTGGGATTACAGTTTCTTCTTTTTCTTTTCTTTTTTCTTTTTTTTTTTTTCTGAGACAGAGTTTCACTCAGTTGCCCAGGCTGGAGTGCAGTGGCATGATCTTAGCTCACTGCAACCTCTGCCTCCTGGGTTCAAGCGATTCTCCTGCCTCAGCCTCCTGAGTAGCTGGGATTACAGGCGCACACCACCATGCCCGGCTAACTTTTTATATTTTTAGTAGGGACAGAGTGCACCATGTTGGCCAGGCTGATCTCGAACTCCTGACCTCAGTGGTCTGCCCGCCTCAACCCCCCAAAGTGCTGGGATTACAGGTGTGGACCACCTTGCCCAGACAGTTTCCTCTTTATTAAGCAAACAAATGTACATGACTTTTATAATTGGGACAAAAAGGGAAATTGCTATACTTTATTAATAACATTTTTTTTTTCCCTGCTAGAGATGGTGGCTTACACCTGTAATCTCAGCACTTTGGGAGGCCAAGGTGGAGGATCACTTGAGGCCAGGAGTTCAAGACCAGCCTGGGCAATAGAGTGAGACCATCTCTACAAAACAGTCTTTTTTAATTAGTCAGGTATGATGCACGCCTGTAGTCCTAGCTACTCAGGGGGCTGAGGTGAGAGGATCGCTTAAGCCCAAGAGTTCAAGGCTGCAGTGAGCTATGATCATGCCACTGCACTCCAGCCTGGGTGACAGAACAAGACCCTGTCTCAAAATATGAAAAACATAATATTTTTTCTGTTTAAGTCTTTAGGAGGGAACTTATCTTTATATATAACATGAGATAAGAGTCTAAAATAGAATAACACAGTAGAAGCCAGGCACCATGGCTCACACCTGTAATCCCAGCACTTTAGGAAGCTGAGGCGGGAGGATCACTTAAACCCAAGAGTTTGAGGCTGCAGTGGGCTATGATCGCTCCCCTATACTCCAGCCTGGGTGACAGAGTAAGACTCCACCTTAAAAAAAGAATAAGCCCTTCATGTCCCTGTTTGGGCAACAGCGTTCCTTGGGGGGAGGGGGGAGGGGGGAGGGATGGCATTGGGAGATATACCTAATGCTAAATGACGAGTTGGTGGGTGCAGCACACCAACATGGCACATGTGTACATATGTAACAAACCTGCACATTGTGCACATGTACCCTAAAACTTAAAGTATAATAATAAAATAAAATAAAAAAAAGAAAGAAAGAAATTGTCTCCTAACCAAAAAAAAAAAAAAAAAAAAGAAAAGAAAAGAAAAGAATAAGCCGGGCGTGGTGGCTCATACCTGTAATCCCAACACTTTGGGAGGCCCAGGTGGGTGGATTACCTGAGGTCAGGAGTTCGAGACCAGCCTGACCAACATGGTGAAACCCCATCTCTACTAAAAACACCATAATTAGGCCAGGCGCAGTGGCTCACACCTGTAATCCCAGCACTTTGAGAGGCAGAGGTGGGAGGATCACAAGGTCAGGAGTTCAAGACCAGCCTGGCCAACATAGCAAAACCCTGTCTCTACTAAAAATACAAAAATTAGCTGGGCATGGTGGCACATGCCTGTAGTCTCAGCTACTGTGGAGGCTGAGGCAGGAGAATCACTTGAACCTGGGAGGTGGAGGCTGCAGTAAGCCAAGATTGCACCACTGCCCTCCAGCCTGGGTAACAGAGCGATACTCTGTCTCAGAAAACACACACACACACACACACACACACACACACACACACATATACACACACACAAATTTGTTGGGCGTGGTGGCGCACTCCTATAATCCCAGCTACTTGGGAGGCTTAGGCATGAGAATCGCTTGAACTTGGGAGGCGGAGGTTGCAGTTAACTGAGATTGCACCACTGCACTCCAGCCTGGCAACAGAGCAAAACTCCATCTCTAAATAGATATAGATAGATAGATAGATAGATAGATAGATAGATAGATAGATAGATGATAGATAGATAGATAGATAGATAGGAAGAAATAAGTAAAAATAACAACCAAACAACAAAACAGTGGAGTTTATCCAAAGAAACAGAGACTCTTAGAACTGAGAAAAGGGGCCCTGTTTGGCTCTAGAGACCCACACCCTGCTCTCGGAGTCACCGTCCCCTTCCCAAAGGCTACTGAGAGAGTCCAAGCGAAGCTTGCATGTGGGGAAACTGAGTCTCAGAGGGGTGAAGGTATTGCTCAGGTCCACTTGCCCAGTTTTCAGGGCCCATGTCCCATGCCCTGCCCCGCTCACCTCCCAATCTCCAAGCACTGCTTGGCATCCGCGGCCATGGCAGCCCTGGTGTACACATGGTTGTCAGGTTCCTTGGAGGCCGAGGGCAGCCAGAGACAGAGGCCGACAATGACCAGCACCAGGACCACGGCCAGCAGGCCCAGCACCACTAACTTCTTCTTCATGGCTCTGCTGCACCCACGGGGTAAGGAGCAGGGTCAGGCCCAGCCTCAGACATGCCCTGGCCCCTCCCCAACAGGGCACAGTCTAAAGTCGGGCCTCAGAAACACAAGGCCGGAGTCTCCTTCCCGCTTCCCAGAATACGTGCAGGCTGTCCGGCCCCCAGACCTTTGCGCAGGCCATGCCCTCTGCCAGAAGCTCTGGGCCTCATCTCTGCCCTCCCAAATCCTCCCTGCTTATCTTCAGAGCCCATCCTGGTAAGAACCCCATCTCCAGCAGCGGCCCTTCCTGGGAGCCCCCAGATTTCCACACCCCTCTTTCTGCAGGGCCTGGCCTACCTCCTCACAGTGGCTGAGCCTCCACTGCTTAGGGAGAAGCTCCAGCAGGGATGGGCCTGGCCTGGTTTCTCCTGCGTCCCCCACCCCAGCCTAGAGCCTGGCACTGTCCAGGAGTCCTCTGAAGACCCTCCACCCCACCTGGAGCATGGGGTTTAGCTTCCATAGTGCCCACAATCAGAGCGCCCCACAGATTCACTGCCACGGGGCCAGGACTTACCGTCCAGCAGCAGACGGGGGCCCCAAGCCTTGCCTGGGGTGTTGGCCACGAAAGACAGGAGGATTTGGTGGAAACAGCTGAGGAAATAACCGGGGTCTCCCTCACACTCTGCTGAAGCCTGTAGCCACAGAATCTTCTTCAGAGACTCTCTGATCAGGCAGCCTTCTCGTTCTCCTGAAGGTCAAGGGAGGTTACCTGAAGCACGCACAGCCCAGACCTTTCTGGGGGACTCCGTGTTACCTCCCTCTGCCTCTAGCTGGTTTCTCTGTCTCCAGTTGAACTCTGGAGGCAAAGAGGCTGTCAGTAACACATTTGTTTCCATGAATTCTCTCAGCATGTCTCCCAGGCACAGGGTTTTGCACGGAGCAGGGCAGGTAGGGGACAGGGCATTCCTGCACAAGCCCAGGATGTGCATGCGGTAAGCATGGCAAAGGGGGCTCAGGAGGCACCGCCAGCCTGCCCTGCTCTGACGCTGGACTTGCCACTCACCTGCTGTGGGGCCTCAGGCAAATCACTGAACTGTCCAGCCTGGATGACGGCAGCACCTCACTTGCCTTGCTGCTGGGAGTGTTGTGAATAGAGTAGGTTAGACTGTGGGCAGGGCTTGGTGAATGGTAGCTGTGATTATCATCATGGCTGCACTGGGGACACCCCCAGGAGGCCTGAGTGGCACAGGTCTCTTGCTCACTGTATGTCCCCTGTGGACTCCCTTCCAGGCTGTGCAGTGAGTGGCAGCAGTGACCCTTGGGAAGTCTCATGGCTACGGCAGCAGGTGACAGGTGTGACAACAGGGAAGAGGGATGTGGTGACAGAGGTTGGGGTTCCCCTCTCCCACAGTCAGTTTCCCACAAAGGGCGGTGTCTGCCAGCAAGCCCCTCCAATGAGCCCCAAGCTTGGTTTCCCTCCACTCCACGCTGTCCCAGTGCAGAGCATCTGACCTCAGAGGCAGACACACTGTCCCAGAGGTGGTCTACGAATGGAGTCCCCGTGCCCTCCCCACACACAGGGAACATCCAAATGCCATCGTGGAAGGGTGGCCACCTCCCCAGGCTTGGTGGGCCTGGGGCCGATAGTGTGATACATTTGACCCCCTCCCAGCCCTGGATGCAGACACCAAGAGCAGAGAGACCTGGCAGTAGCCATGCAGCAGCGCACCACCCCACATCCCCAGCACAATCCAAAGCAGCCCCTCATCCCCACCGTGACCACCACAGCCTGAATCCAGGCGCCACCTGTTTCTGACCTGAACTCCCTCACAGCCCCTGCCTGCACTCCCTCCCTCCAACATCACCTGCCCTTCAGTCTTCCAGAAAGCAGCTAGAGGGCTCTGTCTGTCCAACTGCAGAACAGGCCCTGCCTCCTCCCTGCCCTGTTGGACAGCTCACACCCTTCACCAGGCCTGACAGCGCTCTTGCCACTCCAACACCCCGGGTCCCAGCCGGGAGTCCGGGTCAGGGTTAAGGGTTCCTGGTAGAGACACCGATTCCTGGAGGTCCAAAGAGCCTCAGGAGCTGGGCCAGCAATATGCAGCATCTATTATGGACACAGAACATTCCCATCACATGGCCGGGTGCAGTGGCTCACGCCTTTAATCCCAGCACTTTGGGAGGCAGAGGCAGGTGGATCACCTGAGGTGAAGAGTTCGAGACCAGTCTGGCCAACATGGTGAAACCCCCATCTCCACTAAAAATACAAAAAATTAGCCAGGCATGGTGGCAGGTGCCTGTAATCCCAGCTACTCAGGAGCTGAGGCAGGAGAATTGCTTGAACCCGGGAGGTGGAGGTTGCAGTGAGGCAAGATTGCACCACTGCACTCCAGCCTGGGCCACAAGAGTGAAACTCCGTCACACACACACACACACACACACACAAAAAAAAAAAAAAAGAAAAAAAAGGTCTCCTGCTGGAACACAGACTAGTTAGAGAAAGGAAAAATAAACAAATGATAGTATGTGTATTAATAAAAGAACTAGCAACACCCACTGCTTAGTTGTGATAATAAAAACTGGACATTAATATAGGCAGAAAAACAGAACAGCCTTGATATGGTTAACCCTTTGACACTGGCAAACACTGTGACCAGTGCTGCCCACACTGGAAGCTCCTGCATCCCTCTTCCTCATGTTTCCTTCAGCATTAAGGAGCAACAAGGGAGACAGCCAGTTCATAGTTCCTTACGCATGGAGCCAAAGGACCTTCAATGTACAAGGTCTGAGCAAGGACCCGCAGCCACATGTGCTTCCTGCTTCAGCAGTGCCCCGTGGGTCTCAGAGCTACCCAAAGGCCTATCCTTCCGAGAGGTTTCTCCTCTCTCCCAACTGATGTCATACGTCTCATCTTCCTTGTCATTCAGATCATCAACCACAAACGTCCTTGCCTTATATTTTCATATCCCTTTTCACCAGTTACAGGGTTAGTTAACTTACGAAATTCTTAACATCTGCATTAGATCTTTTTAAAGTTTCACCCTCAACCACCTATTATTTAGAAGTGAACACAGAAATTTAGTTTCCTTGTGCTATCTGTTGACCCCTAAAATATGCTGGGAGTTTTGGGATTTTTTTTAAAGTCAAATGCATGGCATAAAGCAAAATTACACTACTAAAGAACTGAGTCAGGCCAGACGCTGGCAACGTGAAGACAGCTTCTCCTTACCCACTAGGTTCATCTTTGCACTGTTAACTCCCAAAGTATTGCTTCTCGGTGCTGGGTGTGTGGCATTCATATTCCCCGGCATCCCGGGCCTGAAGATCTGTGATGTGCAATAGGGTTGGGTTCCCCTGGACTCTTTCTATGAAGATCTTCCCTCCGCGGACGCGCTGGGTGTAGATGGCATAGGGGAAGGAAGAGTCCATGGTGCTGACGATCTGCACCTCTCGCTCTGGCGACGAAGGCAGGTAAATGGACCACTGGAAATTCTGTTCAGAAGGTCCCTGGTAGCCACTCACATTGCACCAGATAGTGATGTGGGAGCCCTCCGTGCGGTACAAGGGTCCTTCCTGAACGGTGACCTGCCGCTGTGCTGACACCACACCTACGAGGGAGAGAAACACACGCAACATGCTCACTTACTTCTCAGACCAAAATGCAAAGTAGGCAGCAATCTCCAAAGGGTTTGTTATTTGTGTGACATGATAATAATATAAACAGCTTACTGGCCCTTTCAAAGGCACTCTGTGATTTATAAATATTAATTAAAACACTCTGTGGTAAAGCACTGTCCCTAATTTGCATATATGGGAATTTGATCATGCCAAGATGTGCTTTTGTTACTTATTCAACAGCTGACCCTTGGGAATTTCATTTAGCCCCTCTGTTTGTCATGTATACGGCAGTTTTATATCTATTTATTAATGCTGTGTATAAAGTTTTTAATAAAATAAGCAGGAAAAGTTGAATCCTTGGCACAAATTCAGATGAAAACAAATAAAAGCAACCATCTAGGAATCTGGCTGAAATTAAATGCTTCTTCCTTGGTCCGAGTGCTGGTGGGAGGGAGTCCTGGGAGCACCTTTTTACTGGTGCTGCACCCTTCATTTTCCCATGTAGCTGCTCCCCAACACCACCCCAAGGAGCATTCCTTAGTTTCTCTTCCCTCCATAAATGGAGGCAGAGCTGAGCTCCTGCAGGCTGCTATCGTTTTAAGCTGAGCACACCCAAATACAAATGTGAAGGGCTGAAACAGATCCCTGATGCCCAGATTCCCACAAACTGACAAAGGGGGGAACTAACAGTGCCCAGCTAAACCTGTGACAAGGACAGTCAGGCTACCCTTGAGTTTCCCACTCAAGACTCCCCCGCTGACCTCCTGCCTTCTGGCTCAGATACTGTTCTCCAAGGTCACTTCTGCCTGCCTTCTCCATGTTCTTCTTAAAGTGGCATGGTGAGTTTAATTTCTCATTTCGTGCCAACTCAACATTGATTGTGCCTGAGCCACTCAGAAGGTGGGAGGGGGCACACCCCTGCCTCTTCATTTCGGCAGTGGTCACGTACTGCAGGTTGTGAAAAGCGCAGGTGAGTTATAGGCGCAGCTTTGCCACCAATTAGAGCTGGTTGTGTCATCTCAGACAACTTGCTTTTCTTCTCCAGACCTTGATCTTCTCATCTATCACATGATTTCTAAGAACGCTTTAGAGAGCACTAGCATGGGTTCCGATGCTGGCTTTGTCACTTATTAACTGTGATCTTGGATAAGCTGCTTAACCTCTCTAAGCCTCAGTTTTCTCATCGGTAAGATGGGGATAATAATGCCTGTCTCATAGGGTTATTGAGAAGATTTAGTAACATCTGTAAAGACCCTAGCACAGAGCCTAGCCCACAATCAGTCCTCAATAAAGAGCTGCTGGCTAAGACATATTTCTGCTGGAACATTCTGTGGCTCTGGATCCATAGAGGACAGGATTTGGCCAATGACTGCTTAAGGACATTTCAACGGCCCCTTGACAATGACACCATCACTGGGCTGCCCACCTCATCCCACAGCTGCAGCCCATTCTTGTGATAGCTTCCCTTTTCCCCCACAAATGGGAATGGCGGCTGCCCTGGCTATGCCTATCTGAAGTGGATCCAGCTGGTGAACAGCCGGGACAGCTCAAATACTAGTGGAGTGCAGCTCTCTGCCCAGCCCAGCAGGTGACTGTGCCTCAGTGTAAGCTAATCTAATCTGCAAGATGACAGACCTCAAAACGGCCCATACAATGAAATGCCCATGGCTTGCAAAACTTTAATTCATGCAGAACCTTTCCTCACAAACAAAATCTTACACAGCACCCCATCTTGGCTTCAGCAGAACCAGGAAAAATAAAAAATTGGCAGGGGAAGGAAATAAACAGAACAAGTGGTATCTGAATTTATTTGATATATTCTGGTTGATGGCATTAATTATGACATTTAAAGTCACCATGAGGACAACTCATTAGTAATATCAGTATGTTAAAATATGGTGCATAACATTTTTAATATATGTACAGTCATGCACTGAATAACATTTCAGTCAATGAGGAAACACATGTGCAACAGTGATCCTGTAAGATTATAATGGAGCATATATAGAGATCTAATATATGGCACTTAATGTTGGCATGGCAGATCAAGTAGGGGAAATGACTGATATTTAGTAACAGTGCTGGGACATTTGATTTTCCATAATAAAATATATAAATGAAAATATATATCCCATCTAGGTTTGTTGAAATACACCCTATGATGTTCACACAAGAATGAAATTGCCTAATGATGCATTTCTTAAAACATGTCCCCATCATTAAGTGACCCATGACTGTATACACACACACATATGGTGACACTTAAATCAAATGATTGCAGTATTCCTGAAACACAGAACATTTTGCAAACAATTTACCTACATTCATAACATTAGGCATCCTTAGAATTGCAGTGTTCTATGACAGAGCAACTACAACCAACCCCCATCCATCTCCTGCAAAGAAGGCTGGAGGCAGGTCAGGGTACACCAGCATCTTCAAGAACTGCTTCTCAATCCTGGACCTACACTGGAATCACCTGGGGAGCTTTAAAAAAAATAACAGTGCCTGGACCCCACCTGACATAACTGGTCTTAGGATTAATTAGGGTTTTTTTTGAAGCTCCACAGATGATTCAAATCAGGTGTAGCAAAGCACTGTTACTTTAAAGTGTCTCTACCTACATGGTGCCAGCCAAGTGCTCAAATGAAATATCTTAAGGCTCTCACTGGCTTTAAGTTTCTCTCTTTGGTAGAGACCCAATCACTGGTTCAAGGAAGTTTCATTCTCCTCCAGTCTTCCCCAGTGCAAAAGAAAACAGCTGAGACCCATCAGATACTGGCTTTTGTGATGCAATAATGAGTTTAACCAGAATGCATCCGATTTACAGACCTTACAAAGGCACTAGGCCAGCGGATCATGCACGTCCTCCCCACCCAAAGGTAAACAGTGTTAAGTGGCCTGAATGAGCCAGGACAGCAGGGTCAAATCAACTTGTCTAGGCTGGAAGCAGGTTATAAACAATCCGGACAAATAAATAACTACTGGATTGCACTTTAACCACACACATTCAGCTGCACCTGTTTATTAAATACCTCCTTAATTTCCCTCTGCCCCACAAAGGGCTTCTGACCCCTGAAAATAATGCTTCTCAACATAAAAAGAATTGTTTTCTTCTTGGCAGTTTAATTCCCCTTCCACACATCCCACCCCACCATTTCCCTATAATGGTAATACCCCGCTGTGCAGACCTCTGCTGCCTCCAGAGAGACACAGGCGCCCAACCCTGACCAGGGCATCCTCTGACCCACAGCCCCTCTATCTCCCCTCTCAGCCTACAATAGAAAGTTCCTCCCAGGCAAGGATCATTTTTTTTAAATAACTTTTTTAACTTTAGACATTCTGTACTCTTTGGATTACTCTGCAATAAGCAAATATGACTTCTGTAACATAAAAAGAAAGATCAAAATGTTATATATAACTGCATGAAAAGAACTAGAAAGAAAATACTAGGTGACAGGATGGCAAGTGATTTTTATTTTTTTCTTAATATTTTACTCCTTCCCCCAGTCCTCTGCAATGAGTATGTACCAGTTTTATAACTAGAAAAAAATTTTAGCCAAAAAGAAAAATAATGCATGTTTGCTATATAAAATTCACTACTGTAGTATATATATATACATACATACATATTTGGTCTTTGTCCCCAGTTCCTGGCACTGAGCTCCTAAACCCCTTGGAACTTCCTAAGCAATGGGAGTACCTTTTGTTATTTATAAGAAGCCCCTTTTGGCCATCCCAGAGTTTATGCTAACGAGGTGACTGAAGGTGAGCACGGAGGCAGTTTCAAGGAAGGAGCTGGCCACGCTTAGAATTGTGGAGTTTTCAGCCCCGCCCTTAGACCTCCAAGGACAAGAGGGGGACCGCAGATTGATCCAATCAGCATTGGTCAGTGATTTGATCAGTCATACCCACGTAATGAAATCCCATATGAAAACCCTAAATAATGGAGTTAGGAGAGCTTCTGGGTGCTGGAAGCGGCGTGCACCAGGAGAGGGCATGGGCAGTGAGCACTACTCCCCTCTCAGACCTTGCCCTATGCACTAAATAGGACTGACCTATGTGACCAATAGGAAATGCACAAATGGTGGAATGTGACTTCCAGGGCTAGGTCATAAAAAGACAAGCACGATGTTATGAGGACATCAAAGCAGCCATATGGGGAGGACCCCATGAGGCCTCCTGCCAGCAGCTAGCACTAACTTGGCTAGCATGTGACTGGAAGTAGATTCTCCAGCCTCAGTCAACTCAGTCAAGCCTTCAGATAATGTCAACCCCAGGCATCTTTTTGTTGTTGTTGAGACAGGGTCTCACTCTGTCACCCAGGCTGGAGTGCAGTGGTGCAATCATAGCTCACTGCAGCCTTGACCTCTGAGGCTCAAGTGACCCTCCCACATCAGCCTCCTGAGTATCTGGGACCACCAGCACACACCACCATGCCTGGCTAACTTTTTTATTTCTTATAGAGATGGGATGATATGGTTGGGGTCTGTGTACCCACCTAAATCTCACGTTCAATTATAATCCCCAATGTTAGAGGTGGGGCCTGGTGGGAGGTGACTGGATCACAGGAATGGATCTTTCATGAATGATTTAGCATCACCCTTTTGGTGCTGTGCTTGTTAGAGTTCTCCCAGTATCTAATTGTTTAAAAGTGTGTGGCACCTCCCCCCTCTCTCTCTTGCTCCTGCTTTGGCCATGTAAGGCGTGCCTGCTTCCCCTTCACCTTCCACCATGATTGAAAGTTTCCTGTGCTTGCCCCAGAAGCTGAGCAGATGCCAGCATTATGCTCCCTGAACAGCCTGTGGAACTGCGAGACAATTAAACCTCTTTTCTTTATAAATTCTCCAGTCTCATGTATTTATAGCAATGTGAGAACTGACTAATACATAGGGTCTCACTGTGTTTCCCAGGCTGGTCTCAAACTCCTGGGCTCAAGTAATCCTCCTGGCTTTGCTTCCCAGAGTGTAGAGATTACAGGCATGAGCCACTGAACCTGCCCCTTTCCCCCCAACAACATCTTGATTGCAACCTCCTAAGAGACTCCGAGTCAGAAGTATCCAGTTAAGATGTTACTGACTTTCTGAACTACAGAAACTGTGAGATAATAAACATCTATTGTTCCTTTAAGCCTTAAGTTTGGGGCTTTTTTTTTTTACACCAATATATAACTAATGTAGACACCTGCAGTCCCTAAGATTGAATGCAAAATTGTGTTACATACACATGAGTGTGTTCTTCTGGGAAAAGAGTCCATAAACTTCAAAAGATTCTCAAAGGAATCCAAGACCCAAAAAGATTAAGAAACATTGCATCAGACAATAAATTGTCAATGAGCAAGGTCCTGTCCTTTTAGATTGGGTTTTGAAATCACCCATCCCACAAATATATGATACCACTTAACTAGTTTTTCAAGATATTCCTTGTTCAAAGATGCTCCCACTTTTTCTTTGTGCTCAAGTCCTAGATAAACTTGGCTAGGGGCAGGAGGTATGATTCAGGAGTTAGTGAGCCGGGAGGGCTCACTGTGCCTGGGAAAGCCAGCTTCTCATGAATTTTTGGAATATGCCTTGGCTCAGAAACCTACCTCTCTAGGCACAGGATCCAACTTATACGTTCAAGATGCGTGACTGAGCATGTGAAAGTGTCAGAGGGATCGACCTCACCATTTTACATCTACTTTTCCAGTTGTGGCCCCTACAATCATCAAGGCTCATTCGGCACCATGCTCCTCCAAATTCTGCATGCGACTCAGCCACACTAATATCTTTCTTCATCTATAAGATGAAAGTAATACAACGCACCATGTAGCAAACTCACAGGAGACCCTAGAGATCAAATAACACTGTGAAAGCCACCAAATGAATATTTTAAAATTTTATCTCATTTCTGCCAAGGTGAGATATCAATCTAAAAACAGGATAAATCTTTGTAAGTACAAGAACATTAAAAAGAACATTAAGTTTGGGTTAAAAATGCAAAACTGCATATGCAGGAAAATTACGTTAAAAAAAAAAAAATCCTACACCTACAAAAACAACCAAACAAAACATTGATGATACTGGGCTGATTCACTGAATGGTGAGAATATGAGTGATTTTCTCCTCTCCTATTTTTCTCAATACCTTTTCTCTATTATCTCCTTTTTTAAATAAACAAGTATATATTGTTCTAAACCGAAGATAAATGATCATGAGCAGCACTTTCCCAGGCACTGTCCTAGTTGCTCTGCATACATCATCGCATTTAATCCTCACAACAGTGAATGGGGTCGATTTCATTACAGCCACATTTACCAGACAAGGAAATGGTTTTCAAGGTTAAGTAACCTTCTCATGACACAGAATGTGACTAAGAGTTTTCTTATTCCATGGCTCACACTAAATGTGCTCTGTGAATATCAGTGAGAAGTAATAAAGCACTGACTGGATTTTCTTGGTCACCGGGTCCTAAAAGAAATGTTGGGGAATCTATGCAGTCCCAAGTTAAAAATGGGAACTGAACTGAGCTGCCACAGCATGCTGAATAGGTGGAGTCCAGGCCAACTAAGTGCTTCATGGAACTTAAAGGCTCCAGAGGGAAAGCAATCGGGAAGGCACTTCCACAGGCACATCGGTGACAACTTCTGGGGATTCTTACCTGTCAGCCTTCAGCCAAGGAAGGACAGGAAGTGGCATGGGCTAAAAGATCCTTTGTTTGACCTCTTTCCAGATCAGGTGACAGGAAAACACAACACTTGAACCTTTCCAATAAGGACAGCCAGCACTTACTGAGCCCCAGCCAGGTAACTGACACTGTTCCAAGTACTCTGCTTGTATAACCAGCTTTAACCTTGCAACAGCCCTCTGAGGTAAATACTCCTAGTGACCTCACTTTACGGATGCAGAACCTGAGGCAAGGAGTTAGGGAGTAAATGAAGCTGGCTAAAGGCACTTGCACTGGCCAGGCACAGTGGCTCATGCCTGTAATCCCAGCACTTCCAGATGGATCACTTGAGGTTAGGGGTTCGAGACCAGCCTGGCCAACATGGTGAATCCCCAGCTCTACTAAAAATACAAAAATTAGCCGGGTGTGATGGCACAAGCCTGTAATCCCAGCACTTTGGGAGGCCAAGGCAGATGGGTCACTTGAGGTTAGGGGTTCGAGACCAGCCTGGCCAACATGGTGAATCCCCAGCTCTACTAAAAATACAAAAATTAGCCGGGTGTGATGGCACACGCCTGTAATCCCAGCTACTCAGGAGGCTGAGGCAGGAGAATTGCTTGAACCTGGGAGATGGAGGTTGCAGCAAGCCGAGATCGCACCACTGCACTCCAGCCCACTCGGTCAATGTCACTGCCATCAAGGGACAGTCTAACCAAGGTCCAGATGGCACAAGTGGAGCCATAAAACCAGGACAGCTTGAGGTTCAGCTTCCTAAGCCCACAGGTGCAAGGACCTTATCTGGATCCATACTTTCATCAAAAATGTCCCTTGAGGCCAGGCACAGTGGCTCATGCCTATAATCCCAGCACTTTGGGAGGGCGAGGCAGGTGGATCACCTGAGGTCAGGAGTTCGAGACCAGCCTGGCCAATATGGTGAAACCCTGTCCCTACTGAAAATACAAAAATTTAGCCCAGCATGGTGATGTGCGCCTGTAATCCCAGCTACTCCGGAGGCTGAGGCAGGAGAATCGCTTGAACCCAGCAGGTGGAGGTTGCAGTGAGCCGAGATCATGTCATTGCACTGTGGGCTGGGCAACAGAGCAACACTCTATGTAAAAAAAAAAAAAAAGGTCCCTTCAGGATTCCTCGAGCCTGGGAGGCCGAGGCTGCCATGAACAATGATTGTGCCACTGCACTCCAGCCTGGGTGACAGAGCGAGATCTTGTCTCAAAAAAAAAAAAAAAAAAAAAAATGGCTCTTGAAACAGCCATCAACTCCCATGTGATAAATGCACTGCCACAATCCAGCAGCAAACCTAAAGTTCGGAGTGAATTCCTAAGTCTTCGCCTTCACTGACTTCCCACAGCATGGGCAGTAGCTGTGAGACCTTGGGCTGGTTACTTAACCTCTCTGCACCTCAGTTTCCTCATCTGTAAAGTGGTATAATCGTCACAGTGTTATGGAAGGATTTAATGAGTTGCTACATTTAAAACTTAATTCCTGGCACACAATAAGTGCTCAATAAATGTTTAGCCGCTAGTTGCAGTAGTAGCAATAGTAGTGATATTAACTCTAGCTGTGGAACTAATTTCTCCCACACACCGTGGCAGGTTGTATTCTCCAGACACAGCAGTAACAATATCTCCTTCCCACACGCTCTTTTGCAATGTGACCATGCCACACACTCCCATCAAGAGGTGGAGTTTAGAATAATTCCCTCCTCTGTGGATCTGGGCAGGAAGTCACTGTGTGACTTCCAGTCCTAGGTCATGACAAGTGATGTAGCTTCCATTTCACTCAGGGTGCCCTGAACCACCACATAAGAAAGCCAACGGTCCTGAGGCCATGCTGTGAGGGGGCCCAAGGCACATGGAGAGGCCCAGGGCAGGTGCTCCAGTCCAGAGCTGGCTCCAGCCAGGTCCCCCTGCCACCATGTGAGTGAATGAGCCAATCACCACCCAGCTCCACCTGCCACCATGTGAGTGAACAAGCCTCCCCTGTGAGCTGCCCCCAGCCTTGGAACTTCCAGCCATGCCTGCCGTGCCTGTAAATTCTCAACCCCCAGATTCTGTGAGCATAACAAAATTGTTGTTTTAAGCCACTGAGGTTGGGAAACATTTGTTACATAGAAAGGTAACAAGAACATATGCTATGGCTTCAATCAACATTTTTTTCAGTACCTATTATGATGGACACTAGGACAGAAACTGTGAGGGAGAGATTAATAAGACATAGTTGACAAGTTGTCCTAAGCTGACAATCCTAAAATAAATACACATAACTAATCATTTTAATGGTATACGATAGCAGTGAGGTGCAAAGTGCAAGGTTAAGCCCTTTCAGAAAGTGAAAGCATTCAAAAAGCCTTCAAAAAAGTAGTGTCATCTGAATTGGATCCCAAAGCGCAAGGGAAATATATACCACATGAAAACACCGCAGTGCATTCCAGGATTAGCAAGAAGTTTGCGGAGGTCGTTTTGTCACATGACTGGAGGGCACATCAGTGCCAGGCGGAAAAGGGCACCGAAAGGCACATTAATAAAGTCAAACACCTCCTCTGGGACAGGGGAAGTTGAGAAAGAGCCTAACAGAGGTAAGGAAGAAGACGGATCAGATTTACACTTTCGAATTATCACTCTGGTGGCAGGTGAAGGACAGAGCAGAGGGCAGGACTGGAAGCAGACAGACCAAATTCACAGTCAAATGCGACAAGATGAGGGCCTGGCCTGGTTTTAAATCCAAGGACAAAAATATCATTCATTCACTCTTTCATTCTTTCTCTTATCTGAATCCCCAGTGGTACCTAAAATAGAGCTGGTCTAAAGATGATGATTAATGAATGTTAAATTATTGATACTACTTCTAAGAAGATGTAACTGCCAGCTACAGAACCAGCCAAAAGGACTGCAAACCCAGTAATTCATTTCATCCCAACCTGACTGATCTCTCTGATGTCTGCACTGCTGTGTCACTAGACTGCCCGATTGTCCTAGGTTGAGACATTTACCTACTGAGCCCCAGGGATGGGTGGCTGCTTCTAAGCTGCTGCCTAATTCCCTCATTACTAAATGTTGACGCTGCTTCCTTAGAGGACTGCTAAACCATAACTCAAAAATGTTTTAAACATGCTACTATTTACTTAGATTAGAATATTTACTTAAATGTTTTAAAAAATACAGTATTTTAAGTCTTTTATCTCTTCTGACTACTACCACTAACCCTGCTTCCCCTCATTTTTCCAGAGATTAGCACTACTGTGATTTAAGGATAGAGCTCTCCAGACTTAAAAAAAAACCAAAAAACTGCTTTTATATCCAGATATATGTAACCACTGAAAAATATACATTATTTTTCAGCATTTTTTACATAAACATTATCATCCCTTTCATTGAGTTATGTTCCTCAGTTTTCCTCCTCAAAGTTTTTGAGATCAAATATAGTTCCCATTTTTCTTCTTTATATAGCTGCACAGTATTCCATCATAGGATTACACCACATTTTATTTATTCCAATATTAATGAATATTTAGGTTATTTATACTTTTTTTTCTATAACCAACAAGCCCATGCCTTCTACTGCTTATCCTTTCCCCACCTGAATTTGTACAATCCCCAGCTTCTCTTATCCATGACCACTGAAACCCCAGGGAAGACCTTATCACTTTCAGGATGTCCATGGCTCTTTCACCCTATGCCATGCTTGGAACCAGGAAAGCCCAAAAGACCCCACTTCCTGCCCTTCTATTCTGCTCCTCCTCTCCTATCGCTCATTTCTTTGCCTCTATCCTCCACTCCTCCCAGCAAAGGTAGGGATAGCACCTGAGTCCTGCCACCCTCTCACCTGCATTCCCCCTCACTCTCATGCGAAGGACAGCACAGAAGCAGCATCAAAAAAGAAAGGCAGCGAGGGAGCCCTGCAGCCTGCCCTAGGCCAGCCATGCCCACAGCCACAGGAATAGACACTGTTTTCAGCCCCACCTAGATTCAAGGCAGCATCTAATAGAAATGCTTATAAGTAAATATAAGTGCCAGTATTTGCCTTCTATTTTCTAGAGGGGAAAAAAATTAAAAGGCAAGATCAGATTACTTGCCTGGAAATGTTCTCCCTGTAATTACTCTGACCGCTCTTTCTTTCCCTCCGGTTTTGGAGATAATGGAAATAGGCTGAGTGTTGGGCATTTTTTTTTTTAAAGAGGGCAGCTTCATGGCAACACTCCCTCTGAGAAGTCCAGAGGCTCAGTGAACCGCAGCTTAGAGTGAGTTCCAGTAAAAGGACCATCACTTGAACCAGTAAGTGCCTCATTCCTTCTCACAGCATACATTTCACAGCAATTACTGTTGCTATTATTTTACGCTTCATTTCTGGACCTAGGATACCTCAGTTTCTCCAGACTCTCAGTCTGGTCCCCAGGTTTTCAGTCTGGGAGAAAGGTGTCTGCTGGATTTCAAACAGTCCCTCTACTGGCCGCCACCACCACCCTCTCCTAAAGAGGACTGGAATAACTCTTCCACAGCTCCCGCCACACTCAGCACTGCCTGCACCTCCTCCTGGAGCTGGCAGGGCCCCAGCTGTGCACCCCTCAATGCTCTCACAGCTTCAGGAAGAGGACTGCTAAGCCCAGGGCCCTGCTGACAACATGCCGGGAGCGCATCTGCAGGCAGGGTCAGAATGTCAGCTACCAGGCAGCAGAGAGATGCGGGGCGCCAACAGCAAAAGCACTTGGGGGGCTTTTTCAAGTGGCATCAGAACTAGACCTGGATACAAAGGGGTGGCCCTGGCTTCAGGAAGCCCATGATAAGTCAGTCTGCTGTGTCCTTCAACACAGTGTCCCCACCTTCTGTCTCCCAACACTAGGCCATGGAGACACAAAACTAGAAAATGGGGCTGCCTAGCTACGAATGCCCAGGCTGTGAATTGGGGTCTCCAAAGGAACCTCAGTGCCGTGTCCTACTCAGAGCAGCTCCTTCAGCTCTTCACCCTGGAAAGCACTCCGGTACAAAACAGGAATATTCCTCTTCTCCTGACTCTGCCCAAGGCACTGCTGTGACCCTCTCAGCAGTGGAAGCACTAGCCAATGTGCCATCCTCCTGGACGATAGCTGGATAATCGCAATAAGCAGAGCCCCAACAACTAGCTCTAGTGTGTGGGGAGAAGTGGGGAGGATGGAGAAAGGATACAAAAAGACACTGTGGGATTTCAGGGCAACCCATGAGTGAGGATCACAGCAGAGCTATGCCTTGCAAGGACCAGAACTGGAAAACCTTTGTGACTTAGACCGCCCTCCTCAGGACAGCTCCCGCCACTCTTCAGGGACAAAGTTCCTTTACTCAGCCATAGTTTCTGTGCTCCAAATACTCAGCTTACACATGCCTGTTGCTGCTGCACTCACCACTGTGGTTCTCAGTGCAAATTCCCCAGAAAGCAGTCTGACTGGCTGGGAGACCTTTTTTCTTTTAACCAGGCCCCCAAAGTTGTAGATTTTGGGGTCATTTACAATATGCATTTCCCCAACACACTCAGATCTAGGTGGACTTGACCAGATGGGCATCTGTATTCCATTACCCAGCATATAACCACTTTGGGCAACAGGGAATGTGAAGGGCCCCAAACCGTTCCCCACCAAGAGTGTGGGTGGCAGGCACCCTGAAATATGTCTAGCACACTCATAAAGCATGAACATCTACACACAACTAAAAATAAATAGTGAGAGCCCTGACACTGCTTCTGGGGGTTTTCCCAAGCACCTGTTACGAATGGTAACAATGGATGGCCGCTCCTTCTCCCTCAGCTTTGACTTTCATTGCTGGTGGCTCAGGCTCCTGTGCTTGGCTGTCATCGGTGGGTAGCCCTGGATTGGACATTTTCCCTATTCAATTCAAGGACCATGTTCTTGAGCATAACTATGACCAGGCAGTAGGCAGTGGGCCCTGCTCTTTCTTTCCAGGGAGGCACAGATAAGCCAGCATCACAGATGCAAAAAACAGAACCGTGGAGGTAGAGACTAATTCTTCAGCAGCCCAGAGAAGAGAACTGGGAAACAGGGCCCTCGCAGATACACAAGACCAAGCTGGAGAGTTCAGGGACTTCCAAAAGAAGGTACAAGAATGAGCACTATACCATAGTGGGGTGGGTCACAAAAGCAGGAAAAGGTCCCCAAACAAAGAATCCATCAGTCAGTTACAGCACTCTCCACATGTGGTGAAACAGTATGCAACCATTTAAAAACTGCAGAGAACAATATTTATGAACACCTAAAAATGCTGAAAGCACACTACTAAGTAAAAGGGGAGAAAGGCTATAAAAGGATTTGAAAGTATTTTCGTAAAGATAAACACCCACACACACCCACACACCTCTATATATGTGTGGAAAAAGGACTGGGCTAGTATATTTAAAAAACGCTAAAGGGAGGTCGGGTAATAAGGGATTGTTTTTTCCTTGCACTTTGTGTTTTCTAAGTATTCTATAGTCTGAATGAATTAGATTCATAATTAGGACCAACAGTCATAAGCAATTTCTCAGACCACCTGCCTCATAAAACCCAAAAAAAGAAGTCAGAGAGGGGTGAATATTTTGGTACAGATGAATTCAGGTTGTGTAAGTGGAGAGGAGGGAGGTGGCCAAGGAGCCTGAAGTGGGGGAGGGGGGCTGATGGTGAAATAGGGAATGGGTGGAGAGAGAAAATGATTGCAAAATTGGCTGGAGCCAGCCTGGTCAGGTCAACTTTGCAGGTGTGTGAAGTGTCAAATGGTTAATCAGTTGCCCTCTGTTTGAGCTGCTTAATGCACAAGGGCCTGGTTGAACAGGTTTGACCTCATTTACTTTTTCTTAAAGCTGTTTAGCCACTTTCCTAAAAACTCCTATTTTCTGAGTTATTAAACTTTCCATTCCATGTTGATCCCTTCCGAGCCCTCTAACGCATCTCTTCTCTTGCTTCTTCCAACTGGATGCCTTCATGAGGCATTAACAGGTACTGTGAGCCCTGATGAAAATCATCCTTTCAGGGTACAAGGAAGGCACCTGAATGACAGATGGTTGGAGGAATCTTGAGAAAGCAGTTTAGGCATTAACATGCAGGCTGTCGCTGACTTACACAGAGCCAAGGACGTGACATACAGCATGGGGCCATTTCTAAATCCCCACTGAGGACAAGGGTCCTGGAGGGAATGGGATTTGGAACAAGATTTGGGCTTTGAACATTCGCTACAGGCTCTGACAAAGCAGTGATGGTTCAAAAGCCTCTGCCCCCTGGTGGCAAGCCCTGCCCAGATGCTGTTAAGGGGCTCTCCAGGCACGCCCTCCTAATTAGGGGCAAAATCAGAGAAGCCTCTTTGGAAGAAGACAAAAGGCACAATGAGATGCGGTCTCCTGAAGTAGAGGCTTTCTCTCTGGTTATCACCTGAAACAGGAAATAAGGACTGAGTACCTGCTCAATTCCAGGCACTAGCCAAATCTGCAGCAAACTAGCATTTCCAAAGGTGTCTTCTTACTTTAATCTCACAGCCACCCTGTGAGGGAAGTGTACATTCCCCATTTCGCTGATGAGATGAGCAAACTGAGGCTCGGAGAAATTGTCAGTGGGATACAGAGTTGGCATCCAAACCCACAATCTCTGACTCTAAGCTTCTGTTTCATTCATTCCACAAATATATATGGTGTCTCCTCTTTGCTGGACACTGTACTGGGCTGATGAGCTACAAGACCCAATCTTTACAGTCTAGGAGGCAGAGATAGATAAGTAAACAGAGGCGGCAAAGCGTGGCACTGTGAAAGATGCACTGAGGACACCGAGCTAGGTGTTCCACAGGCGTCAGGAAAGGCTTCACACAAGAGAGGTTGCTTGTGCCCAGTTCTAATTAGGATGAGTAGGTATTTCTGCTAGATCGTGGTGGGGTGGGGAGGACATCACATAGGACCTCAGCAGAGAGCAGCTCGAATCTATGCAGAGCTGCACGAGGAGCCGGAGGTCCAGAGTACTGCAGCAGTTTGACATTGATGGGTGGTAGGGTCCATGAAAGTAGAGGAAGACCAAGAGGAAGCAGCAGACAGGGGCCAGGCCAGGGCAGGGATAGGGTGCTCTACTAAAGAGCATGGGCTTTGAACTATGAGCAGTGGAGAGCCACTGGGGGTGTAAATAAGGAAACAGATATTCCAAATCCTGCCTTGGGAAGATTGTTCTGGCAGGAGTGATGGGAAAGGGGCCCTGGCAGAAGATTCCTTCATGCTCCTGCGGTGATCCAGGTGAGAGCTGCTGAGGACCCCAACCAAATCAGATCACTGGACCTCCACTGGGAGTGAAAGGGGGTGGTCTGGCCAGAGAGATAGTAAAGAGATGTAGTTAACAGGCAAGAGAATGTGGGGATATCCAGGGAGCTGTCCACAATTCGCAGGTCTTAGGCAACTGCTTGGGAGAAGTTGATGAGGTCATCACTGGACAGAGAATCTATTCCCTGGGCCCAACCAACTCTCTAGACCATCCTGCCATGTGCCTCTGAGAAGTGAGCTTCCCCAGCCAAGCCCACAGGAGGACATATGGAGCAAAGGTCAACAGTCACTCAGCTGATGGATGGCAAGCATTCAGATGGGAGGTGCCTCCACAGGCCATGATAACCCATGGATCCATTTGAGAAAGATGCCAAAAAACAGTTAATTCAAGGCCACTTTAAAATACCTGGCATTCAATCCTCCTCAATGTCTCCATCAACTGTAGACCCTATAACTACCAAATGAGCTCCACTCGCCACAAAGGTCAAGACACAGAAACGGTCAGAGAGCAGAGCCTATTCCTGAAAAGCAAAAGACTCCAAACTGCCACAACTCAACCAGTGAAGGGCTGGGGAAGACTGACAGGTTCACTAAGAAATGAGAGGAAGGACAAACAAGGTGTTCAAATTAGAAAATGATTCCATTAATGAGGGCTCTGATGATATAGTTGTGGAGGTTATCAGTTTGCCAGAGCTGCAGATTTAAAATACTTACATGGTCATCGAAACCAAAAAATGCTGACCATCCCCCAAAACCTCCCACCCCACCTAGTGCTGATAACAGGAGTTATCAGTTGCCTTTTGTGTACAGCTAGATGAGATATGGATCTGTGGGGGGAAGAAGGGGTGGGCGTGCTAGCATCTCTCAGCTAGACTGTCATCGGATGGTGACATTCCCCAGGACTCAAGCAGCATCTGAGAAGCCACTTTCAGTATGACTATGGAACAGCTAACCACACAACACAGCATACTGAATGAGGAGCCTCGCAGGCTGAGAAGAAAGCAAACCCGGAAGGCAACAAATGGATACGTGCATGCTGAAGGACTCGTGTTTAATTCTTCCCGGTAATCCTTTGTCAGGCATATATTTTTGTCTCCTCAAACTTAAGAAAGAAATCCATGCTCTGGAGGGGAGAAAGAGAGGCTGTACTCATTAACTCAGAGCTGACCTCGTCTGGCAGGATTAACTCGCCATACCTGTCCAGCCCACAGAACCTGGCCTGGAGCATGGAGGGAGAACCACAGCCAACTCCAGAAAAATAAAAGGCTGCAGCGAGAAACAAGTGGGGCCACAGAGAGAAAGGGGTTTTGAAAAAGTTCTAAATCCCCATGGCTAGGGACAGTGACATCAGTGTGTTTACCAAGTATTTGATTTACTTGCTCAGGCAAAATTCCAGAAGAGACACTGGGACCTGTGTGGAGAGTTTCTTCACTGCAGCTATCCTGCCAAGCTCATTGTAAAGTGACGAATTTTGTGGACACTTACAGAGAAAAAATAGCTTCAAATGCTATAGACCAATGCTGCACGCTGCAGAGACACAGTCTTTGGGTTCTGTGAGCTGTATTTGGGCATTACGCAGAGTTCAGCTGCCATCTGTCCCTTTGAAGGCCAGCTAAGAAGTTGGTCCCAGCCTGGGCATGGTACCACTGTCCTACATTCCAGCCATTTGGGATATCCTGGGTTCAAGCATTCCCTCCCATTGCTGGATCAAGCACTTCCCACCTCCTGCTCTGGGAAATCAGATCTCAGTAGGTCATCAACCATCCCAGAAAGTCCAGCAGAGTTGGTTTTGGTTTGGGGGTGTTTTTTGAGTTGGGTGGAAGAAGAGACCTTACATAATCTTTTAACTTTTTCTCTAAGGCTGAATTCCCTATAAGCAAAATTTTAAAATTTTTTTTAAAGAAGAAAAACACCCAGACAATCCTTAAAATCCCCTTTCAGCTCCAAGACTGTGTAATTCTGTGATACCAGTATTGAAAGCCCCTGCATTTCCCTAACTATATATTCCCCTATGCCAGGGAAAGGTGCATGTAAGTGAGAGAACAAAAAATTTCACAATCGTGGGGACCTCTTCTTTCGGCTTTGGAGCCCCCTTCCCTCTGTCTCTGTACGGGGCAGCTTTTTCCTTCTGTCTTCTCCCTTCCTTCTTGTCTACTAAACTCTCTGCGCCTTAGAACCAAAAATAAAAATTCAAAATCATGATCTTAGGGGTGAAAGAACACTGAGAAACCATAGAAAGCAAAAACGAAAAGCCAACATAGAAAAAGTCTGACTTGAATTAGAAGCAGCACTTAAAATTACAGGTTCAGAAAAAGCTTGAACAGAATCCAGGGCTGAGGTCAGCCCTGAGTCTGCAGGCTCTGCCCTCTCACAAAGGTGAGTAGATGGGTCTGGAGAGGGCTGTTCATGCTATGGAAGGGCCTCTATGCCATCGAGGCTAAAACCAAAGCAGGAGCAAATCAGCCCTGCTAGTGTGTACAGTCGGCATCAAAGAGGCAACAACGGTAGAGAATATTTTCTGAAAGACACACATGAAACCAGTAACGGCGATGGTCTCTGGAAGAATTAGGTCAGAAGCAGACTTAATTTGCACTGTGTACATTCTTTGGTATCCTTTTTAATTGAACGCATGTGAATGCATTACCTATTCAAAAATAAATGTGTAAAAACACATGCCACGACAAAGCAAAATGAGGAGACAGTATAAAAAAGACAAGGATAATTTTAAATTTCTCCTAATAAAACGCTGTTTAAAAATCTAAGAGGAAAAAAGGGTAGGCTCCAGCTAGTGGAGAGAACAACTGAAAAACAAGAGCCACGTGTTCCCATGGTCCTGGCCAACCCCACTTCTTTCCCATCCTCACTCGTTCACATCTGCCTTGGAGCACCCACAGCAAGCCTGGCTTCATGCCCAGAACATCACCTGGCTTTCCTCCTCTCTCCCTGCCCACATCTCCTCAGTCACTCGCTGCCTCCTCTCTTGCTTCTCTCCCAGTTCTCAGTTTGCCCATCAAATCTCAGGTGGTACTCTCCATTCTCTGCTATGAGGGAGTTCATTTGTTCATGCAATTTCCCCACCGGAGACAAAATGTATTTCCCAAAGTTGGCTTGCAATGACATCTCCCATGCCTGCTCTGCTTACCCATGACTTTGACACTCCTTCCATCGAGAGGGCAGAACCTGTGTTTCCTCTCTCTGAATCTAGGTGGGCTACAGCTCTGGTAGAAGTGACACTCTGTGACCTTAAGGCTAGGTCACAAAAAGGGAATGCAGCTTCTGCCAGCAATCCTGGGACACACACTTGGAGCCCGAGCTGCTGTGTAAGCCATCTGCCTGCTCTGAGCCCACCACACTATAAGGAAGCCCAAGCTAGCCCACAGGAGAGACGAGGTGAAGAGAATGAGATGCCAGTCTCCACTGCTCCAGCTCTCTAGTGTCCCAGCCCCAGCCACTATCTGACTGCAACCCCATGAAAGACTGAGCCAGAACCACGAGCCCAGCCCTTCCTGATGTTGACATACAGACTTCATGAAAGAGAATAAACTAATTTTTGCTTTAAGCCACTATGATTTGGGATGATTTGTTATGCAGCACTGGATAACTGCAACACCTGCTTCTAAACAGTAGAATCCCAAACGTCTAGGCCCCATCTCTAACTTACTTCATGTTCCTGTTCTCACTGATTTTTTGCCACTGAGCTTGACCAAGCCCTTGAGTCACCAATTCCAGATATTTGTTTAAACAAATTCACTGTGACTGTCTACACTATCCATTCCTCCAAAACAATCCCTGTTATAGTTGGCCTTCCCCAGTTCTCTTCCTGGCATAGAGTAGTCTGTGCCCTTCTCTCATTTCTTAATATGACCCTCACCCATGGAGTGTTCCTAGATTCTGCTCATTCATAATGCTTCTTCACCCACCCTAACCTCTCCCTCCTGTAGCCACAGATCATCCACTTTTCCAGGCCTCTGCACTGGAGGCTGCATCAGCCACCTCCCAGTACGTCATCCTTTCCAATGCCCTACAACACGGGGCAGAAAGGACTCTTTTTTGCTGCACATCCAGGCTGTTTAAGAAAAGGCTTAAGGCAGCTTAAGCACAAAGAATGTCATCTTCAAACATTGTAACGGCATCTTCTTTTTGGGGCACTGAAGTATTCCCATGATTCCAAGAATCAAATGAACAGCATCTGGTTATGGGGTCTCTGGTCTCTGCCAAGGCAAACTCATAAAGCATTTCAGAGCCCTTCATCTGGAAAGGCCTTTTCTCCACCCCACGCCCAGCCAATGCCCACTCATACTTTAAGGCCTAGCTCATCCGTCATCTCTGCTAGGGAACCTTCCTCAGTGCCTTATGCAGGCAACCATTCCTGCCTTGTGTTGTGTTGTGTTGTGTTGTGCCTTAAGTCAAATCCTTAACTCATCTTTGTGTGTCCCCTTGCATTTCAGACAGTAGGTGCCCAATAAATGTTTGTGGGATGAATCAACTGGTTATTCTCCTGGAACACCCTTTCCCAGTACACCTCCACTCGCCAGAACAACTGTCTTCCTCACAGGTGCCAGCCATCACCCCGACCACACCCTCTCAAAAGGCCTTTGCCAGTCATCAAACAAAGCCTCTTGTCTCCTGAGAGCCGCTCCACAATCACCTTCCCAAGAAGAATTCCCCATACCGAGTCCACCATTCCTTCCCTGATCAAAGTTGCTTTCACAGGCATCTTTTCAGCTATCCACTCTTCACGGCTTGGTTTTCATGCACTCTGAGTTGGCCCTATCTCCCCTTTTTGGCCTCAAGCACGTCAAGAGGAAGGCTGGTGACAGCCTTTCCCGAGCTCAGGACAGTTTTCATGCAAACTGGTTCTTCCAGGTTCTTATGCCTGGAAGAACTGCTGCTCTCCAATAGCATGAAGTAGACAATGATGTTCTTAGCATCCAGTCTTAAAACTAGAAAAAGTATTGGCACTGCTGGATCCCCAGCTCCTAGAATGGTGTGTGGCACCTAAACAGAGCTCAAAAAATATTAGTTGAATGGAGGAAAGAATGAACAGTCATCTGGCCCAGACTTGGAGAAGCTGTGATCTGTCTAGCCCTTCTACACCAGGAGCGAGGCCTGAAAAGCTGCATGACTCACCCAAGGTCACAAGCAAGCCAGTGAAGAGGGGCTGGAACCCTGTCTTTTGCCTCAAAGCACAGGGCCCTCCTTCTGTCCCACCCAGCTTTCTCACCACCCACCCCACCCCTTCCACACTCCAAAGACAGCATCTCCGTGAGAAGTGTTGGGCAGTGTCCAGGAGTGTTTTTCTTCCTGGCTTTAAAACAAATTGTGACAAATGGCTCCACAGATCTACCGGGCCATGGAGCTGAGCAGATGGGACTGCAATTCACGCTATTAACTCAAATTCTACTTGACTTTCTTTCAAATCAGGGCATTTTATCTAGAAATTATAAAAAATTGTTGGGGGAGTGCCTTTGTAAGGAAGTTTGCCAGCACATTCATTTACAAATCGACTTGCTCCTGGCCACCCTCACTGATCACGGACTTTTACTCACGCTCCCTTACTCTCTCCCATCAAAGAGTCCAGCGCATGGAGAGAGTGATGGAATCTTGAGGCCCACCGGTCTAACCACCCACCTAAGCTTGACTCCCCTGTGCCTGTGGACATCCTGCGTGCAGATGCACATTCCCACTAATGGCAGCCAGGGGAAAGCACTATTCGAAAGTTCTTCTTTACTTTGAACTCAAATTGGGCTCAGGGGTCCTGGATACAGGACAACCCCAATCTCTTATTTATTCAATGGACAACAGGTGAGCACATACTAGGCCTGGACACTGATGTAGGTAGGCACTAAAGCTTCAGAGAGATGCAAATGAACAATCTTTACCCTGAAGGAGCTCATGTTCTATGGGTTCATTTCCTTTCCCTGTGTCTTACAAACAGGTTCCAGTTTGTTTCCGTCCTTCAGAGTGTACTGCCTAGAACTGCATGCTATACTCCACAAGTGGCCTGACCAGCTTGTGGACAAGGATGAAGCAAGCAGACCACCTTCTTTCAGTGCAGACAAGATGGCTGTTTAGAGGCCACATCACGTGGCAGACACCTGCCAACTAAAACCCTCCATCCTTCCCACAGCCTCCCCCTCCTACACTTTGCAGCTGGATTCAAAACCTTGCATTCACCCTTGTTCCATCAACAGGGCCAGGCCATCAGTCTATCTCATCCGGACTGTTTTTTATCTTACTTGCCAACCTACACACTTGCTGTTCCTTCTTGCCTTAAAGTCATACAGATGACTTTAGGTGATTCAGATGAGTGTGACCTCTACTTTCACCAAACACAATAGTCAATTCAGAAAGGTCAAGGACAGAACCCTCCAGCATGCTAACGCAGCCAAAGAAGTCCGAAAACAATACTTGGCCACACTGTTTTCCTGCTTACGGATGTGGACTGCTCTTGTCCTGCCTGTAAATATATCGGATCGCTCTCCTTCTTGCTGGCATCCACAGTAACTATACTCAATAAACACACCAACTTTGATGCCAAATCCTAGGCCATCCCACACATCTTAAAAATAAAACAAAAATATGCTATTCCAGCTACCCTCACTCTTTTTGTGGTTTCCTGCAGTCCAACTAGCTACAAATCTCAAAGCCAAAGATTGTAGCTCCCTCTCTTTTGTTCTTTCATCAAGCCAGGGAGTCCTGCTCCTCTCTCTCTAGTCTCTCCTGTGTCAGTGCCACTTGTCAACTGCCTAATCCAGCCACGCTGCTCTTCAATATTAAAGGTCTTCAGCATATTTTAAAGTTAGTCTCCTACTGCCACTCTTTTCCCTACTCTTGCCAGTCCACTCAGTAAACTACTGCCATACAGGTCTCCCACAGCAGTTTCTCACCAGATAAACAATGGCCGGAGATTCCACTTTGCCAATCACATCAAGTCCAAACTCCGTGTCTTGGTATCCAAGGCTTCTAAAGTCTGGCCCCACTCCACCTACTCACTCTGACACCCACCACTCCCTCCAAACATCCCCGGTACGTCTTACTGGATTTTGCCATTTCCTCCAAGTTGACCAGGAGTCATTCACACCTAAAGGCTATGCTTACATCGTTTTCCATCTCTTGTGTTGGTGAGCTAAAAACAAGATGGAAAAGAAAAAAGAAGAGGAAGAGAGAAAAAGAGAAAAGGAAGAAATGGGGAAAACAGCAATAGGACCAGCTAACTCCTACAGCAGAGTCTTGCCAGGCCCTCCCCTAATTGCTTTATATGTGTTACAATGTTTAACCCTCACAACTACAACAGGAGTTGGGTACCATTCCATCCCCACCTGCAGATGAGTGTGGCACCCCAAGATTAAGTATCTGCCCAGGGTCACGTGAAAAGTCTGCATGCATGCTGAACCATTCCAGCTGCACCACTGCCCAGGAAAAAAGTCACAGGTAGGAAGACAAGCATAGAATTAAGAACAAAGCAACTAACTGTACCAGGTGCTACAGAAGGGTGGTCAGCCTGGAAAATCAGGAGGTGCATTCCTTGGGAGATTGCCGCAATCAGAGTCTGGGAGTATGCAGGAGACTGGCAGGCAGCCCAGGGACAGGTGAGGCACAGGCACTCATTCCCTTCCATGTGAGAAGTCAGGGCACGTGCAAAGCCAAGGCCAGAGGACAAAGGTGAGCTCGCCAATAGGGCCAATACTGGGTCTGGCTGGAAGGGGAGGGTGGACAGAGATGGGTACTAAGAAGTGAAGATGGACAGGCAGGACCAGGTCTTAAAGGGTTTGTGTCTTGCTAAAGATGGACCCTTAATTCCGTGACACATCTATTCAACCACTCCTCATTATCTACCTAAATTCTACTGTGCCTTTGCAAAGCCCAGCTCAAGTCCTTTTTCCTCTCAGGCCTGTCCTCCCTACTCCTGAGCAAACCACGGGTGTGGAGACAGGTCCCAACCACCTGCAGATGACAGAAGGAAGCTGCATCTAGGATCGGTCTACACAGAGGCAAGAAGGGATCCTCCTCCTCTGCCTTCTCCTTTCATGCTGTTCTTACTTTCTCTCAAAAAGAAAGAAAATACAGTGTCATTGCTTCTTCCCTAAGCTTGTTAAGTCAAAGCAAGTCAAAGCATCAGAGCTTCATTACTTGGCTTTTTCTAGCTATAAGCGTCTGGAAAATATCAGGAGTCACTGGCCTCTAGGAATCCATTAAGTTAAAGGAGCTCCATGATCTACTATCATAAGATGACAAAGAAAATATGCACTTTCTTTGGGAGGTCAAGTTGGGCGAATCACTTGAGGTCAGGAGTTCAAGACCAATCTGGCCAACATGGTGAAACCCCGTCTCTACTGAAAACACAAAAATTAGCTGGGCTTGGTGGCAGGCACCTGTAATCCCAGCTACTCAGGAGACTGAGGCAGGAGAATCGATTGAACCCTTACCCAGGAGACAGAGGTTGCAATGAGCCGAGATGGCACCACGGCACTCCAGCCTGAGCAACAGCGTGACTCCATCTCAAAAAAAAAAAAAAGAAAGAAAGAAAGGAAGGAAGGAAGAAAGAAGAAAATATGCATTTTCTCAGGATTAAATAACAAAAAATGCCAAGTTTCTTAGCTCCAGTCAAGAAAATGACATCATGTGACAACAGCAGCCATTGCAAGTTTATCAGAAGATGAACAATTACAGATTTTTCATTTCTGAATAAGGAACCATTTACACAGACACATGTATAACAAATGTCTGTGCACATCCAGGACTTGTCAAATCTTAACATTTTGCCACACCTGGTTTAGTTTTTTTATTTTTCCTTTCAAGAAAGAAAGCATTACAGGCTGTGCTTCAATCCCTATTTCACCCCCTTTCAAGCCCCACTATTCCACCCATCCCAGAAATGACAACATCCCGAATTTGGTATTTACCACTCTTGCACATTTATTTTTATGCTTTTACTACCTATGTATGTAGCCATAAACAATATACAGAGTTTTTGGATGCTATAAAACTGTTTAAAATGGCATCACACTGTATGCACCCTTTTGCATCTGTTTTAATTGACAAAACATTTTTGAGGGTAATCCTTGTTGACATATGTCACTCCAGGGCATTCCTTTCAACTGCTTTATACCATGGTCCACTGTCTGGATAATCATTATCTATAGCACAATGTATTCATTTTCCTACTGATAAATTTTTAAGTGGTTTCCAACTTTTCATTGCAATAAATATTCTTGTAAATCTTCGTCCAAGGTTATCTTCAACCACACTAGGCATTGCCCAAATTGCTCTGCAACATCAGTGCACCAATTTACATTGCCAAGATCAGTGTTTAAGTGTTTCTATTCTTTGATGTCTTTGTCAACCTTGGTACTATTTGACTACTACACTTTTCACCAATCAGATATAAGGATGAAATGGTGCCTTCTTGGTATTCTGAAAATTAATTTTAAATGGGAAAATAAATTACTAATAAGTGCAGCTTAATCAACAAGAGTTTTCATTAACATGTGGGAATACACCAGGTGTTCCTTGGATTTTCTTGAAAATTCTACAGGGAGGGTACGGGAGTGACGGTACAGATAAGATTGGACATGAGCTGATAATTGTTGGAACTAGGTGATGAGTGTATGAGGGTTAATTATTCTGCTCTCTCCACTTTGGTACATATTTGAAATTTTTCACAATAGAAATTAAAAGAAGAACGGGGCGTGGTGGCTCACGCCTGTAATTCCAGCACTTTGGAAGGCCATGGCAGAGGATCACTTGAGGTCAGGAATTAAAGACCAGCTGGTCAACATGGGGAAACCCCACCTCTACTAAAAATACAAAAATTAGCTGGGTATGGTGGTGTGTAATCCCAGCTATTGAGGAGGCTGAGGCACGAGAATCGCTTGGACCCAGGAGGCAGAGGTTGCAGTGAGCCAAGATCGTGCCACTGCACTCTAGCCTGGGCAACAGGGCAAGCCTCTGTCTCAAAAAAAAAAAAAAAAAAAAAAAGAAGAAGAAGAAGAAAGAAAACAAAGAAGAAAGAAAGAAAGAAAAAGAAAGAAAGAAAGAAAATTAAAAGAAGGAAATGCCATAAAGCATCTGGAGCAAAGAACATCCAAAGAAGAGCACTGATCACTGCAGCAGACAGCCATTCAGAATGGGCAGAGAGCAGAGCTGGCAGGAAGAGAGGACAAAAGGAAGACCAGGAAGGGAAGCCAGGAAAAGAGATTTTGCATTGTGTTATTATTTCAATCAGAAGACTTAGGAACATTATTTAATTATCAAATTTGTGTGTCTGATGATCCTTTACAACACTGCAGCATCAAATAAAGTGTTATCAGATTTCTTTCTTTTTTTTTTTTTTGAGACTGGGTCTGATTCTGTAGCCCAGGCTGGAGTGCAGGGGTATAATAATAGCTCACTGCAGCTTCAAACTCCTGAGTTTGTTTGTTTGTTTGTCTGTTTGTTTGTTTGTTTGGAGAGACAGCGTCTCGAACTCCTGGGCTCCAGTGATCCTCCCACCTCAGCCTCCCAAAGTGCTGGGATTACAAGCATGAGCCACTGTGCCCCAGCCCAACATCTGATTTCAAAAGTACTATTGATATTATAATCACCATTAAAAATCACTGAAGTTTTTGTCACCCAAAGTTTTACGTTGAAATATAGAACATTTCATTTTTTTCCCACACACCTCACATCTGCTTTTGATTTTTAACATGTGCATGAATTACCTCTTATTAGAAAAAAAAACACAAAATTTTTTGGTAAAAGAATTTTCCTTAAGTGGGTATTTTTTCCCTAAGTCTGAAATGACTTAGTAAGGATAAGAGGTCAAACCATATGCTTTGTAGTGAAACTGCAACTATGATGAATAACATTAGAATTCTGGATGCCTTCCAGCAGCTGGAACAGGGCAGACCTGAGGCGGGAGTCCTCATGCTTAGGGGAAGGGGCTCAGGCACTGGGAGTCGGTCAGGGCTCCCAGGATGTAAAAGATACACATGAAAGAAACAAACAGTGGGACTCGGGCCAGTGCAAAATTTGGCCTGGAACTGAGCTAAAAACTGTCATACTGGTGGGAAGAAGCAGATTGGTTCAACAGGGTAACCAAATGTGAAAAAGAAAAGCCTCACAAGAATTAAAATTGATGGTTGGAACTGGGCGCTCCGAGGCTGTGGGCCGGTGTCCTGCCCCGAAGGGTTTGGCTGCCAGCAGGTGCAGCGCTGCCCTGGGATACCAGCTCCTGGGATGCGCTGTAGTATCATCAATCACCGGTGCTGCTCGCTGGGCCTTGGAAGCACACAGTAGTAGCAGATGTCAGCAGGGGGCCACCAGGGCCACCTGCCAGTGAGCCCACTGCTTAGCTGAGTCATGGTCAAGTTTCTCTGCAGATTGTTGCCTGAAAATATTTCACCACCTGGAACCTCCCTGTCCCACCCATCTTCACTTGCAATACTCACTCCCCTCACCTCTGCCCCTAAAGCAATTATTCATTAACCACAGGGATCCACCATCCAGGAACAAAAGAGGCTTGAAAGCTCTATCTGTGCCTGCACTTCTTGGTCCAAAAGGCGCAGGGGGATGGGGGAGAGGCACCGGGGTCATGGTGCAGGCTCGGCTGTTGAGCCTCATTCCCCAAACACAATGTGACAGGTATCAATAGTTCTGGAGTTGATCATTTCACAGAAAGGAAACTGCTGTCAACCTGCCCAAGGCCACACAGCTAGTCCTGGATAAATTGACTTAAAGAACCCAGGTCTCTGATTCCCAAATCAGTGCTCTTACCCCTCCCACGCCACCTCTCTCTTCTAAAGATCCACCCAATGGAACTGCCCCAGGGCTGGTATCCCAGCTACTTCTCCATTCATGCCGCAGGTCAATGATTCAGGGCGGACACTCCTCAAGTGACCTTCAGAGGCCCTGACTCACTCCTCCGACAGTCCTTTGTGTCTGGACTCCCAGCCGCTCCTCAGCAGCTCTGTCCTCTTTTGTACATTTATTACTGTCAGCCTGAGGCTAGCAGGAGGTCTCAATGCCTGGTGATCTGAGGCCAGCCTGTCCCAGGCCCTCCCAGTCCCGTGAGGTCCTCCTGGGGATGCAGGCACAGCGACTGACAAGGATAAGGAGCAGAAGGGCAGGTGGCTTTCTGGGTGTGAGCTTGGCCTTCTGCCACACCCATGTTCAGAAAGGTGTCTACGGGCACATCTTGTGTTGTCACAGGTGTAGAAAGGGCTTTGACACGCGGCAGATCCTCCAATCCCTGTGAAAGAGGGATCATTCTTTCTATTATACAGTGAGGACGCTGAAGTCCAGAAAGGTCAGGTGACTGATGAAAGGTCATAAAATTAGCAGGAATCAGGGAAAGGGCAGGAAAGCAGAGCTTCCAGTTGCAAGGTCAGGACTCTTCAGCCCAGCAGGCGAGTTTGCCAGCCAGTCTGTGCCCTGGTCTCTGCCCTCCCCAAACACGTGCACCAATTTGGAGGGGCTGCTCCCAGCACGCATGCTGCAAGATAAACTTCAGTGCTCAGCCCTCTCACTGTGACAACAATCCCTTAGAAAGGGGTCCACGCTGTCCATCTGGGCCCCTACACCAAAGAACACCTAATTATCAGTGGTCCTCACTCAGGAAACATGCCCACAAATAAAGACAAAAGTAAACCCAACTACACATTCCTCAAAATCCTCCTCTCCATTTCACAGAAACACCACAACAGAGCAGAACTGCAACCTGATAGCATCCCTGTCTGGTTTTGGCTCTTTCAAAACATCAGGGACCTCACAGGAAAGCAATGCAGAAAACTGCAGTCATTTGGCCGCTTGTTAAGGAGAGCCCTGAGCAGCAAGCTCCAGACCGGAGATGCGCATATAACAGCAGCAGTTCCACACAGCCCTGCACAGCAGCAATTCAGCCTCTGGCAGCTGTGATGATGCTGAGGCAGTGTCCCCACTGCCCCAGTGGCTTCTGCATGCAGGTTCATTTGGGACAGGACACCTCTAACTCCATCTCTGGCCAGGAGCCAGCATAGTAGGTGCCGTGAAAGCCAGGAAGTGAACTGCACAGAATGGACTGTTCCAGTGTCCATGGGCTGCAAGTGGGTCCCACGTCACCCACAGGTGAATCTTAATTATGAACCAAGGTGACGGCAGAAAGGATGGGCAGCAAAGGAGGGTGTGTGTGGTGATCAGCCATCAGAGGAGACGGCCCTGTGTGATGAAAGGACCTCCTCAGGAAACCTCCCCACCAGCAACTGGCTCCAAATGGTCAGACTTTCCAAGAAATTCCTGTGAAAAGGACAGGCTCAGGGCATGTGAATGTGATAGTCAGCAATTCGCACCTCAGCAGCCAGTGACACTATGGTATAGGGAAAAGAACTTAGATTAGGCATCAAAAGTACCCGGTCCCCTTCATACATGGCTGGTGGGGAGGTAGGATGGTGCAGCCACTTTGGAAAACAGTCTGGTAGTTTCTTTCAAAGTTACCAAATGACCCAGCAATCCCACTCCTAAGTATTTACCCAAGAGAAATAAAACCTGTGTCCACACAAAGACTTGTACACATCCTAATAGCTGTATTCATAGTAGCCCCAAACTGGAAACAACCCAAATGCCCATCAGTTTGTGAAGAGATGGACAAAATGTGCTATATCCATAAAACGGAACCCTACTCAGCAATAAAAAGGTGTGAACTAGATACACACAAGAACATGGAGGGATCTCAAAAGCACTGTGCTGAGCGAGAGAAGCCAGATTCAAAGGGCTACACACTGTAGGATGCCATGTGCATCACATTCTGTACAGTGCAAAACTGTAGTGGCAGGATTCAGGTCCCCTGAGGCTGGGGTCCTGGAGGCAGGAGAGGGGCTGGTAGCAAGGAGGCACAAGGGAACTTTTTGGGGACAGAGGAGTGGTCCATATTTGATAGGTGGTGGTTGTGTGGCTGCTCATGTTTGTCAACAAAGAATTACATATTTTAAACTGGTGAGTTCCGTTGTATGCAAGCAAATTATACCACAATGAAGCAAATCTTTAAAACACTAGGTTCCTTTTCTTTATCTAGAGCTCAAAGTAGTGGCCCATGCTGGCTATGACTTGGAGAAATCACACAAGCTTACTGGGTCTCAACTGCTTCATTTGTACAGGTGGCTGCATAACACTCCCCGGGCAGGGGAACTGTAGGGATGAAATCAGCAAATGTGAGTGAACACACAGAGGAAGCAACACATAGGCCTTCCCCAAATACCCACTTCTGTTTTCTTTCCTCAGTGTGAGTAAGTGGCTCTAATGATCCACAAACCTTCCAACCAGCCAAGTCAAGGACCAGCAGGAGGACTCAGGAAAGTACTGAAATGCTGGGGAGAACCAGGACAGCGGCTGAGCACAGCCAGACAGGGAGGGCAGCCTGGTGGGGCCCTGGGAGCCATGGACGCGACTGCGCTGGGAGTGGGGATGGGAGATAGCAGGAGTTGGTGGGTGGGGCACAAAGTGGGAGCCAGGGCCAAATTGCTGCTGATTTGACCATTTTGCAAAAGGCCAGCCTGGCTGTGGCCTCAGGCCTCTCATTTCCTCTACCATAATGAGGGGTCACGGAAGTGCCTTCCCACAACTGCAGCATCTCCCTCCACATTTGGGCTCAAATACAGAGTGGGGCCGGAGACAGAAAAAGTCTCCGTGACACACTGTGATTTGTTTCTGCACTGTGTGAACCCTTGGCTCTGTGACACAGAACACAGGTTTCAGCAGTTCCTGTCACTTCCCACAGGCGAAACAGACAGAGCATTCTTTTGTCCGGCTTCTGGTGAAACGCCATTATCGTTATTTTTAGGAGGAAGATGGAGAATTGGGGTGGGTCCCCACAAAGAGGATGGATTCAGAAGACTTCCAGGAACCTTAAACGGCTTGGAAACTAATTGTGCCAGTTCTTTTTGATGTCTAATTTTATTCTAAAATTTCCTCTCAGCACAATATATTAATACTGATCAGCCAAGAGAAGGTTAGGTTTTGGCTCACAAATAGTCAAGGAGAGAATCTCCTTCATTCATTGAGAAGGCAGAAGATGGCGTTAAAGAGTATTCACAGGTAACTAAGATTGCCAGAGGGAGAATCGAGTGAGTTGTCAGTGGTGAAATACAGAGGAGGTAGAGAGAGCTACACTGAGACAACAAAGGCAGCTTAAGGGAACAAAGCCAGCTAAGGGAACAAAGCCGGGGTCCCTCAGGTCTGTGGCCACCGGCTCCAGCCAGGACAGCCTGGTAGCTGAAGAGCACATCCTTGCCCGTTACATGCCTGTGTTTCAAGTGATGCTAACTTGCTAATGCAGATATCTCCCCAAACCCTGCCCCTGGCTCACCACCCAGTGAGCAATCACTCACTTTCCCCAGGACACCTTCAGGGAGGTACTCTGCCAGCACCGCACACTTAAACAGCTACTGCAGGTTCTTCTCTCAGACGCAGCACGGTTCCTGAGATGACGTCAGCGCTGCTCGCTGAAAGCACCAGGCAAGGAGGCAAAACAAAGGAAATCCTAAAGAGCAGGCGAGAGAACAGTGGAACTGGCAGAGAGAGGCACTGGTGCGGATGGAGAGGGCAGCAATAAAAACTGGGGGACACTTAGAGGCAAAGGTATGGCAGGTGACAAAAAAGATGAGCTGAAGCTCAGGAGAGACCCAGGCAGCGATGCCCAAATGACCGGCTGAGGAATCACCTCACTGCTGCTGATGCCCTTGACAGCGATGTCTGAGGCTGGCGTGAGTGCTCCATGCTCAGAGATACCTAGAACCCAGCTACAATGGCCTTATCAGACTGAAACAAGAACACCAAGATATTCCAAGGGAGGTGACAATGGGGTCCAAAGGTTGTGCATTTATGGATCACAACTATGTGCTGAGTGTGGCCCAAATCCCAGCTCCATATGGTCACACCATGTCTACAGCCAATCAGCTGACCGGGGTGGCAACCCCTGGCTCTGCTCAACAATAATGACAACCATCATTTACTGAGCACTTACTATGTGCCAGACCGATGCTAAGTGCTTTCCTCAGATGTTTCCATTTAACTCTTAGAATCACCCTAATGAGTATCTCCTATTATTTTACAGATGAGGAAATGAGAGTTTAGAAAAGTAACTTGCAAAATCATACTGCTGGCTCCATAACAAATGTTGATTGAATGTTGTCTGGGTGGACAGAGGCAAGGATGACCGGAACGAGACAAACAAACAAAAGGCTGACTGACAGACCATTCGGGTAGCACTTTTCCTGGGATTAAGCTTAGACCTTGTAGGCCTATCAGCCAGAAGCAGTGTGTAAAATAAGAGTGGCTGACTGGGCACGGTGGCTCAAGCCTGTAATCCAAGCACTTTGGGAGGCCAAGGCGGGCGGATCACCTGAGGTCAGGAGTTCAAGACCAGCCTGGCCAACATGATGAAACCCCGTCTCTACTACAAATACAAAAATTAGCCGGGTGTGATGGCACACGCCTGTAATCCTAGTTACTCGGGAGGCTGAGGCACGAGAATCGCTTGAACCTGGGAGGCAGAGGTTGCGATAAGCTGAGATTGGGCCACTGCACTCCAGCCTGGGCGACAGAGCAAGACTCCCTCTGAAAAAAAAAAAAAAAAAGAGTGGCTACCCAAGAACGCAACAGCAGCAGCAAACACTGATCTGATGACACCCCAGTTTTGCAGAAGAGGAAGGAAAAATAAGAATGTCAACTCTCCATTCAACAGAGAAACAGTGCCACCACTGTCTTTAAATTTTCAAACTTATCGAGAAAAGCTCCAGAGAGGCCAGTGCCAGCAATGCCGGCTGTCTCCCAAGTCTGAAGGGTTTTCCTCTGGGTATTAGGAGTTGAGGTGTTTGGTTACAGAAGGAAACAGGATGCACGGGAGATCACACACAGAGTAAGAGGTGCCTCTCAAATGCCTTTCCCACGTTTCTAACTCTGCTTTTTTTAAAGCACGATCAGACCCGCCATCTGCACTTTTACCTGCTGCCTGACGAAAACCAGATGCCAAAGGCCTCCCAGCACTCACGGGGCCCTTTACCCTTAGGAAAACACCGTGATTCAGCCAGGCGAGATTGATGCAACATTGTAACAAAGCGTATGCAAAGTGCCTAGCTCCGGACTGCTTGCAGAAAAGGCACATTTTGACTCTTCTGAGAGTGGGAAAGATTTGAAAGATGGGATTTGCACCTTATTCTTATTCAAGTCTGGAGATCTGGAACTTCTTCCTGAAGCTCCATGTTTAGCCAGATAATTGAGACGCTCCACCTGGTCACCACTGGACACCAGCCACCCAAACATTCTCCTCTGCAAGGCACTTGGCATTCTGGTGCCTGTGGAGAGAGCAGCCTTCTCACTAGCACAGCTCATGAACAAGGATCCCCTTCCCTGGACAGCCAAGATGTAAACCTGCCCCCAGAAACACTGAGAGTCCTAGAGGTAGAATGAGTCGGCCAGCAAGCTCCAGCCCATTGAATGCAGACCCCTGAGCAAATCAAGTCAGGAGAAGGTGGACAACTGTACCCTGAAGACCACATACCACCCAGACCCAACACAAATAGCTGTCAGCACTGCCACCCATTACAGCTTCAGATCTCGCTTCTACCAGCATTTCCCAGCTGAGCAACAACCGTCAAAGTCTGGTCCTGGAAGGACAGCCCTCCCCGTCTTGGCAGCCACACTTTCTGGCCCTAGCCCAAGGCTGCTGTGGCATGGGAGGAATCAATGGAGGAATACATGGCTCTTCCCTGGTTCCTTCCTCTCCCACTTCATTGACTAACACTAGTCACATGGCCCCAACTGAACTGTGAGGGAGGCTGGAAAATCTGGAGTATGTGCATGCCTAGTGAGTTGCCTCTACCACATCCTCTTAACCCTTGGCCTCTCATTCCCAAAGTCTAGCCCTATTTTCAAATGAATTCAACGCCTCATTACTTAGATCTTTCCTCATTACCTCAAAGCCATAGTGGCAAAAAGCAAACAGCATCTTCCTAAAATCTTCCTCTTCCATCTTCCTCTCCTAGATATCCATCTTACCCTTCTTTGCCAGTTAATTTATTACAATCTTCCTTTGACAGCTTCACTCCCTCCCCGCACTGCTATCAACTCAAATGTGAGTTATTTCAGTAGCTTGAGCTTGTCACTGGCCTTTTACTTTTTTCCCCTTCCAAAGAACCTGGTACCCAGCTACTTAATCCTTATCCTTCTTCCCAAGGCCCACTTTCATTCCTTTCTCCCCCATTCATGAGCCTGCAATACTTTTCCCGCTGCATAAGTCACGTGTCACCATATAAACTCACAATTTGAGGTGCTCTAGAATCTGTCCACGGAATTAGTCAGGACATAATCTCCCTGTTTTTCGGCAGTGCCACATCCATACCTGTCTTCACAGGTTTGCTCATGCCACCATTCCTTTCCCCAGAACGCCCTTCTGCTCCTCCCACACAAATCCTAATCCTCCCTCAGGACCCATTTAAAATACAATCTCCTCACTCAACTCTTTCCTACCAACTTGCTTTCCCCTCTCCTTTCTGCCTTACCACAAAGCTAAGCTCTGTCTCTGAATAATGTGCTTTTTGATGATAATCTGAATGGTACAAGAAGAAATCCTATTTCATGCTCCTTTGAGGGAGTGTCTAATATAGGTTGCCTTCGACTATAAGTAGTAGAAAATTCCCACTCAACTGGCTTCAACAGTGAGGACAAAATGTATGGAGATTGGACGCTTCAGTCTTCAGGGGCTTGGCCCTCAGGGTTTTTCCCATCTCTTCCCGTCTGCTGGCCTCAACAAACCTGCTTTCCTCATTGCAACAAGATGGCTGCTTCACGTCCGAGAATCTAGTGAAAGAAGCTGTCCCTTCTGCATTTCCTTTTACAAGGAAAAACATCTTTCCCAGCATCTCCCAGCAGACTTCTCATACCTCAGTGGCCAAAACCATGTCTAAACTACGGGCCTCCAGGATGGGCTCAGCTCAATCAGCACATACCCTAGAGCTGGAGGCAGGGTCACCTTTCCTTGAGTGGCGTGTGGGAGAGGTGTGGCATCCAACCCAACTGGGTCCTGCCAGCAGGAAGAGAAAAGAAGAGCCACTGTAGGTAACCAATCACGTCTACCACAGGCAGGGACCAATACCACATATCTGTGTTTCCCCTCACTTGCCACCCCCATCCTGTGCTGGCAGATGAGGATGCTCAACAAATAGCTGTGGAACTACAAATTATCCTGTGGGTGTGAGAAAAGAGTGTGCATTATAATAGGGTGGTACAATTGGACATGTGTGCACGGAAAATGGAAAAACAGCCATGAAATCCAAACAGATGCAAAAACGTTCTTAACACAGAAGGTTTGGGAAGCTCTGATCTAAGCCCTAGCCTGGGCCCTACTCCCAGTTCCACAGATAGGGAGCAGGCCCCAGGCCAGAGTGCTGGGCTTCTCCCAGCAGGATCCAGCTGGGGCTTTCTCCTCAGTTCAACCCTTGCCTCTGAGGACCAGTGGTCTACAGTCCAGCCCACCACCCTTCAGACAGAAGTTCCAGGCACAAAAAGGAAGCTCACAATAAGGAACGCCCATGCCTAGCCATAACTGAGCGCATCACAGACTCACACAAATCTGTGGAATGAGTGCATGATCTCATGAGCTCTGGTCTGGAAAAGTAAGTCTCCCTACACTAGGACTTAAAGGGAAGGCTTCTTTGGCTATGCCAATATCTTTCCTGCCACTTTCTTCTTCAGGCCAAACAGCTCCTATCCCTGCCTTCCATCTTAGCTTTCCAGCATACTCTTCCCAGGTTCTTTGGGCTACTGACAAGCACTCCAGACCCAAATACACATGCTCCCACCTGAGGCTGGGAAATGTACCAAGAACTGCATAGAAAATATACTGGACAAAAGGCACTCCAGTCTCACAGATCTCCAGTCCCACAGTCTATATCACCAGTTTTAGCTGTTTGAAGTTTTAGAATTCCTTTTCAAAACCATAGCTAGCATTTCTTTGGCTAGAGAAAACTGTGTGAAATGCAGCCTACCATAGGATCACTGATTACAACATGCATTCAACATTCAATACATATTGACTGAGCAACTATTAGGTTGAACTATGTGACATTATTGACATTCGACTGCTTCTGACCTATCAAAATGGCAATAAAGCTCAACTTAATATTTACTCTATGCCAGGCAGTAGGCTAAGGAAGGATTTGGGACACCATGACAAACAACACAGAAGTAACCCCTATCTTAATGGAACTTAAAATCTAGTTGATTAAACCATTACTTACAAAAGTACAATCTAACTTCAGGATTGTAATTAATTATAAATGCATTTATTTGTTTACTGCCTGACTTCTTTGCTAGCCTATAAACTACACAAAGATGAGGGTTATGTCTCCTCCATTTCACACACTGGCAAAGCATATAGCAGAATACATCATATATTTGTTAAATGTATTGATTAGTGTTACAACAGACAATTGCATGTGCTATGGAAGCGTTTGGCAGAGAGATCTAATCTAATCTTGGAAGGTGAGGATCCTGGCCATCACTAACTTGGAATTTCTGATACTGATGATATAAGGTTGAGTTATGTCTTCGTGAAACAGGTCTCTATACAGCATATAAACAACTACCAGCATGCACAGGGGTTCCGTAGGGACTATTTAAAATACTTAAGGGAACAAACGGTTTTCAAGCTCAGTCTAGTATTTCAGAAATTCCATTTACATAAACAATTGGTGCACTAATTGCAAATCATTCTTATTTCTCTCCTAAAGCAGGATCCCCTAAGGATCTTTATTAGGCATTCTATTAGCCTAGTTTGAGTTACAGTATTTACTTAAAAGTAATAACAGTGAAGTTCTTGAAAAATATTTGGTAATTCAGACATTTTACTAATTCAAACTAATCTTCCTCATTAGTCTACGTTGTTAGAGGTTTAACCATTGTATTAAGAGAAAGTATCAAAGGCTTCACTTAGAGTAATAGTCACCAAATTTTTTTGCAAGACACCTTGGTAGCAGGAACCTGAGCTAACATCAGGAGGTAGGTAGAAATAGAAAATAAAGGAATGACAATTTGAAGAGCAACTGCAATCCAATTTAGTCCAACAGATGACACACATATGAAGTCACATTCAAATTATAAGCAGAGCACAAAAATATTTTAGATCCTTATCTTTTGATTAACCTGGTATCATTCAGGGAAAAATGTCAGGGAACACCACTGACCAGCAGTCCTCTCTTATCTATTTTGCAGATCTTATCTATTTTTCTCCCTGAGAACCAGCCCTGGACACAAACTGCATAAACATCAATGAGCCTAGACAGGGTCTTCATGTGTGTTTGGCCTGCCATTGTTCTCTGTACCAGTACGGAGATTTAGTAACACACTGGTCACATTCATGGGGCATCTTGAACTCTCTTGACATGGTAAATGAACAGCAGGTCCTGTTCCCATGCCAAAAGCAAACAAAAACCTGTCACCAGCAAGGAAGACACCCAGTCTCTCCAAAGGATGCCAAAGTCCACATCCAGCCTCCTTTGCAGAGCCTCACAAATCTCTCGGATGCAGGCAGGATGATCACGGGCTAGGGAAGATTATGCTCTGAATGTCTTAAGAGATTAGTTACTTAAAATCCTCCACATGACTTCAGTCATCCCCGTTGCAGATCACAGAGTAAAAAGCCTACCTGATTAAAGCTGAATGCCTATACATTTGCAAAAGGGAAAATATGCAGAAGAAAACGAGAGTCAGATACTGATGGGCATAGCACCAGCTCTAGGACATCAGAGGTGTTGAATAAATGATGACAAGGAGGCACACATAGTTCTGATATATTCACCATAAATACCACAGTCCTCAAGGCTCTCTCAATTACTTACTTCCCCCCAAATCAGAGACTGAATCTGGCCTTATCTTCAAATGAGGCCCAGCTCTCCCCAAATTCCAAATATGGGAAATTACAGCTCCTCTGTGGTAGGGGGAAGAGTGGGAAGGCGAATGTTTGTATTGCATAACGTTTTAATTAAAACAAAGATGACGTGCACCAGAGTCTCTTTCTCATCTCCTGTTAGGGGCGTTTTCCAGTACTACTTCCACCCTTTACCCACCCAGGTCACCATGGTCTTTTTCTTCCCTCTAGGACAATTCACCTTTAAAATAAGAGGATTGGGCAAGAAATCTACAAAGATTTTTCCAAAATGAACTCAGGCCTAGAGGCATATTAGTTCTCTATCTTGTTGCTCCCTTCTAGAAGTGCACAGTTCAGAGGGATGCCCAGCCACAGAGGTGCCAAAACGCAGAGCTGGAACCAATCACCTGCTCCAACAGAGACAAGGTGAAAGCACTGGGCAGGGTGCTCAGAATGTGCTCTTGCTTCTTTGTAATGAAATATCAGAAGACAGATTGTAACATTGTTCAGCAAGCTATTTTTTGTACTGAAACATCAGAAGGCATTATGAAACTGTTCAGCAAATCATCTCTAAACAATGTCATAAAGGGTTACCTAGTTTGGGGTAAGCCCGGAATGAATATCTGCACCATCATTCCTCCCGCTAACAAACATGTCCATCTATGTGAAGCATAATTCCCAACACACCACCATCTCCAAACCAACACCAAACCACTGCCAAACAAAGCTGAAGAGGAAAACCAGAAAGGTCTCCGAGAAGTGCTGCTTGCAGGGAGAAGAATGGCCCTGCACAGAGGCTCCTGAGGGCAGCAGGTGCCTGCTTTGGAGCCTTGGCAATTTCCACCAGGCAGAATTTACAACCGTCTGGGACCTGCAGTCTCAGAGGGCTCACGGAGAAGGGGGAAGCTCTTGGCTACCCGGGAGGTCACCAGTGACTCTGAGCAAAGTGCAGATCAATGCCTGCTTAGGGTTACCCCCAGGCTGGGAGAGGGCATCTGGCAAGGAACAGACCTGGAAGAGCCTGCCCCTCTTTGAGCTGCTACAGCAGCTTCTGGGAATTTGTAAGAGCCATACTGATGAGGGTCCCACACCCTCCCTTGCCAGGGCGCCCTCAGGGAGGCCACACTGCAGGAGGCAGAGTATGAGGTGGGGAAGATGGATCGGCCTTATCCTCACCACCCCCCATACGAGTCTCCTCTGGTATGGATGGTGTCTCCTCTCTGGTGGGAAGTATGTGATTTCTCTATTTCTATTTCTCTTTTGTTCGGGCTTCCTAGAAATTCAGAGCTAGGTGTGAAATTCCCAATTCCCACAGACAAGCAACATCCCCAGCAGTAATAAGGACGTTCCACACACCCAGGACTTGGGATATTTGTGTATTTTCAAGAATAAAAGTTTGCCCTTTAGCCTCCTCAGAGCCCCCTCCCTTCTCCTCGCTCTCCCCTTACCACTGCTATTCATCATCTTACTCCTACAGATACCCCCTCTTCGTGGTGGCACCGGGCACTAGTAACTCATGGCTGTAAAGAAGAGCTGAGAACAAAACAGGAAGAAAAGAGGTTAAGTAATGGCAAGAAAAAAGATGTACCTTAGGAATAAAAAAGAGTTCCCGAATGTCACAGTGTATTTAATTAATGCTTCTATTTATTAAAGATTAAAAATACATATCAGGTGACGACTTAAAATGTTAGTCATGATTTTAACTGTGAATTCTGTGGCACCGGAGATAACAGAACAATGAGTGCTTGTAGAAGGCACTCGGTTATTTGTTGAATGAACTTCTTGGGAAAGCCTTCTTAGGAAAGTATTAGAAGTAGATTCTGCTAAAACAGGGGCTACCCTCAGAGGTCTCAGGACAAGGGATAGAAAGTCAAACACTGATGTTTAAGAAGGGATGCCTATGACACATGAATCCCACAGCCATCTCTCCAGAAGAGCAACTATTTTGACTGCGCATGCGGGAAGATGGCGGGCCGGGCGACTTGAGATCCGCGGGTCTCCCTGCTCCTTTTCCGTCTGCGTCGGGAGCTCCCGGGCACGTGAGGCCGTGCCGCGTTTACTGGCGGGAGGGACGGCCTAGCCGGGCGACGCCTCGGAGGAGGCCGCGGACCCCTTAGGTGCTGGGCCCTTGGAAATCGGCGCGTGGGGGGCGGTGCTCGAGCTGAGCGCGAGAGGGCGGGAGAGCTCGTGGGGTGCGAGGGGAGCAGGACGCCCGGCCGGGCAGCATGAGTCAGCAGCGGCCGGCGAGGAGATTACCCAGTCTCCTCCTGCACCCGACGGAGGAGACCCCATCAACGTGGAGGGCCTGCTGCCATCAAAAATAAGGATTAATTTAGAAGATAATGTACAATATGTGTCCATGAGAAATCTGCTCCCGGGGGTATTCTTGACTTAAACAAGGTTGCAACGAAACTGGGAGTCCGAAAGCGGAGAGTGTATGACATCACCGATGTCTTAGATGGAATCGACCTCGTTGAAAAGAAATCCAAGAACCATATTAGATGGATAGGATCTGATCTTAGCAATTTTGGAGCAGTTCCCCAACAAAAGAAGCTACAGGAGGAACTTTCTGACTTACCAGCAATGGAAGATGCTTTGGATGAGTTAATTAAGGATTGTGCTCAGCAGCTGTTTGAGTTAACAGATGACAAAGAAAATGAAAGACTAGCATATGTGACCTATCAAGACATTCATAGCATTCAGGCCTTCCATGAACAGATCGTCATTGCAGTTAAAGCTCCAGCAGAAACCAGATTGGATGTTCCAGCTCCCAGAGAAGACTCTATCACAGTGCACATAAGGAGCACCAACGGACCTATCGATGTCTATTTGTGAGAAGTGGAGCAGGGTCAGACCAGTAACAAAAGGTCTGAAGGTGTCAGGACCTCTTCATCTGAGAGCACTCATCCAGAAGGCCCTGAGGAAGAAGAAAATCCTCAGCAAAGTGAAGAATTGCTTGAAGTAAGCAACTGATGGCATTTGAGAATTTATGTATCACTGAGTTTTTTGGGAATATCTTCCTGGAGAATTACGCATCAAATTTGATTCTCAGAGCAATAAATTATCCATGAAGTGCTCTCGTTCTCAGTAGCGGCATCATGGCCAGTAGTGTCTTTGAGGAGTTCACCACTTAGATTACTGAGTAATTGTGGTTTCCACATTTGAAAACAACTCCTTTTATAATTATTCACTGCTTTTTGTCAGTGAAATAGACATCTTGCCTCCTGAAGTAGCTTCATCACAGAGTGTCATGAAGACAGACAGTCAGGCTGAAAAGGACAGTTCTTTGTGGACTCTACCCTTCCCTTCAAGGAGTATGTCATATGTCACAAAAGAAATTGCCTTACACTGGTTCATGTTTGCAGTTACTGTTGTACATTGCATAGATGTACACACGAATTTAAATGTGATGTCTTTGTATATATCTGTATAATGTTGAGATTACTTACGAAATATGTCTGAGTGACACTTTTCACTCTCGTACAGCCAAAATAATGTATATATGGAAAGTGACAGACAAATTCTCTAATCTCTTTGGTATCTATAACTTATTAGAATCCTCTGGATGAGGGTTAGAAGAGACTTTTTCCAAACTTCTACATGTAGAAGTATCATAAATGTGCTACACATTTATGTTTGTGGATTTAATTAAAGTATTTTAATATGGTTTTCAGTGCTAAAATTGGAGTCAGATACTTCTTGGTTTTAAGCTGTCTACCTAATTGCTGTCTCCCAGCAGATCGGTGGCATGCCCAGTGGCTTTGGGGGCAAGGATAGAAATGTCATCAGGAAATAGCTGAATTCATTGTGAAACATGAATTCAGTCATGGTGATAATTGGAAACTCCTTTCAGGTTTTTGCAAGTAGATTTTGTAATGTTTGTGTATGCAGCCTTGCTGTTGAGTCAGTCCAAGGGGTTTTACTTAGGACAAGTTGTACCTTGCCCTCTCTCCAGCTCTGCTCCCACATTTTCACATACCTAGCTATTTCTACCTCATTGGGTAAGTCATTTACCACTCTGTGCCTCAGTTTACTCTGTAGTTTACCATTAGACTGTGAGCTCCCTGAGGGACTTTGTCATAATCACTGTTACATCCCAGTGCCTCACACCATGCCTGGCCCTTAAGAAGTGCTCAATAAATGTCTGAACAAAAAAAAAAAAAAAAAAAAAAAAAATCAGGTCTAAAGATGAGCCATCCAAGAAACTGCTCTTGCTCCCAGAGGTTTTAAAGAAAGTCATTCCCATGAACGTGAGAAGTAACCCAACACTTTGAAATGATAATCTTTTTACAGCAATAACTGTTGCTGCAGGGCTTGAGAAAAAAAGTTCTCTTCCTTTGGGTTAAAGTCTTAAATGCTGAGCCCGTAGCCAGCAACCTTAAAGACTACTCGGGTCCAGTTCATTCTATCTGGAGGAGTCACTTGGGAATTGAAAACACAGGAAAACTTTTTTTCTGGTCCATGAACAAACAAGAACGCTTAACTGAATTAGACACAAAACTAAGTATTTATGGTTGTCATCTTAACAGGTTTCAAACAGGCTTCATTTTAATTTAACATAATTTCAAAATTATAGCAAAATAGTCAATAAAATACGAACGTGCTTAATTTGATGAATTTATGTGTTTTTTGAAGAAAATATGCAGAATAAACAAGTCAATTATTCTCACTAAATACATTAAAATTTAAGGGTAATATTTTTATTATGACTTGCTCTCCTGATATAGCAAAATTTATTGTTATATAGTTATGGAAGGAGGCTCACTACTCCCCAATGATTTCACAAATTACAGCTTCAGCCAGCTATAAAATAACCAAATCAGTTCTGATATAGCCATAAAATTAAGCCTGAAAAAATAGTGAAGTAAATCATCCCTTTAAAATCAAGTTGTTGAACAATATGTTCTGCATGATTCCATTTATGTCAGAAAAAATATATTTGTGTAAGTATATACACAGAAAAGGGTCTGGGAGAATATATACCAAACTATAAAGAATCTATATCAAAGTCAATAAGGGGCATAGACAAGGAGGGGAACTTTCACATTTTACTTTCCACATTCTTTTTTTTTTTTTTTTGACGGAGTCTCACTCTGTTGCCCAGGCTGGAGTGCAGTGGCGCAATCTTGGCTCACTGCAAGCTCCGCCTCCCGGGTTCACACCATTCTCCTGCCTCAGCCTCCCGAGTAGCTGGGACTACAGGCACCCGCCACCACGCCCAGCTAATTTTTTTATATTTGGGGTTTCACTGCGTTAGCCAGGATGGTCTCAATCTCCTGACCTTGTGATCTGCCCACCTCACCCACCTCAGCCTCCCAAAGTGCTGGGATTACAGGCGTGACTTTCTACATTCTTGTAACAGAATTATAGTCACCGTTACCTCCATCAAAAAATTAAAATTCAAAAATTAGGCCAGGCACGGTGGCTCACGCCTGTAATCCCAGCACTTTGGGAGTCTGGAGCAGCAGATCACCTGAGGTCAGGAGTTGGAGAGCAGCCTGACTGGCCAACATGGTGAAACCCCATCTCTACTAAAAATACAAAAATTAGCCGGGCGTGGTGGAGGGCACCTGTAATCCCAGCTACTTGGGAGGCTAAGGCAGGAGAATCACTTAAACCCGGGAGGCGGAGGTTGCAGTGAGCCAAGATTGTGCCACTGCACTCCGGCCCGGGTAACAGAGCGAGACTCCATCTCAAAAATGAATGAATTAATTAATTAATTAAAGCAAACAAATATAAGCTACCTCCTGAAGTAGAAACCAGTATCTCTTCACCTTACCTTTACATAATACTTTACCCTAATGCATTTTATCTGCTGTTCTAAATCATGACTTACTTCAAATCAAATCTTAAGTGAAAATCAAGATTTCCTTTTGGGGGCATTATACAAAAAAGACTGTAAAATTTCATTCTCTGAAAGTCTTTTTAAAAAGGGATAGATTGTATCTGGCTGGGATAGGGTAGGTGTGATCGGACCCGGAGGAAATGACGGCTGCTCAACTGTGCATCTCCTTTCCTCACCCTGCTGAAAAGTGCCACCTAGCATGGTCAATCAAGGTCACCAATGCAAAGCAGTAGTGGGCAAACACCACCCAGGTTATCCAAAGCAGCACATGGGGTTGGGAAACTGATGACCTTGGAGATTTCAAAATCACCTAACAATAACCCCACCTTCCCTAACCACAGGGCTAAGCAACCTAATGGATGGAACATATGTGTGCTTTGGTCATCCGCAACCCAGACCACTAGACTAATTTTGCTTTAGAACTGGACTATATCAAGTGTGAACGATCATACTTGTTATCATGTGGGAAAAAAGGTTTAATTACTCCCTAATTGTCTGGGAAACAAAAGATTTCAAAATATGGAGCTCCTGGGGGAAGGAGAGTTAATAAAATGGGTCCTTGAGAAGTGAAGTGGGAAGCCTGCCTCATGCCATGGCACCAGCGATGCCACAGGTGTACCCAGTGCCCTGCCGAGAGCAGAGACGGTGTTCTCAGAGTTGCTATCAAAAAGGAGGCAGCAGACTGCATTCTGAAGCATCAGACAATGGGTCACATGCGGAAACAGAATTAAATACACAAAAATAGCACCAACTTAAGGCAAGCCTGGGCAAACTGCACTACATCAAAGAAAGAACACACAACTGGTATCAGATTTTTTTTTCTGTTTTAATAAAGAGAAGGCCTGGACACCTGAAAGTTGACGGGAAGCAGGCATCACTAATTTCTCCGAGTTCACAGTTTTGTTAGAATGTCTTTGCTCTGATTATGGTTTTATTTATTTATTTTTTTGAGATGGAGTTTTTTTTGTTTTGTTTTATTTGCTTTTGTTGCCCTGGCTGGAGTGCAGTGGTGCAATCTCGGCTCACCGCAAACTCCGCCTCCCAGGTTCAAGAGATTCTCCTGCCTCAGCCTCCCAAGTAGCTAGGATTACAGGCACCCACTACCACGTCTGGCTTCTTTGTGTTTTTAGTAGAGATGGGGTTTCACCATGTTGGTCAGGCTGGTCTTGAACTCTTGACCTCAAGCGATCCACCCGCCTCAGCCCCCCAAAGTGCTGGAATTACAGGCATGAGCCACCACGCCTGGCCTGATTATGTTTTGATGGATATACAGAAGCTCTTGCTTTGGTACAGAAACAGGCCCCGCTTTGCTTCGACCTCTGGGCCCCCCACCTTCAGAAATGTCTGGTGCCATTCCTGGCTCCTCCTCTCAGTGGTCTTCCAGGATATCCACTCACAGCTTTCTGATGTCACCCACCTGTCTCTAGCCCAGATACCCAGTCCTCATGGCAAGTGACTGCAGCAATTTTTACAAATCTACGCCCTTAGGGTTCCCATCCCAGGACGTTCAGGTTTCTCCACCCCTTTAGAAGTGCCCAGAATATCCCCTACCCCACGATTCCAACAGGACGTCACTCTCCTCTTACTTAAGAAAAATGCCTAAAATTCCAGCCCTTCCAAAAGGCCTTTCTAGATTGACCACTCAGGAGTTACTCTGGCCTCCCCTTCACTCCTGCTAGACTGAAAACAAGGACAGACTTGCCTGGCCTCTCTCCCCCAGTAGACACCTACCCCCAGTGAACACATCCTGTCAGTGTCCTCCCGTCCATTTGCAAATTGATTGACTGTTTCATTGCTGGCCTTGGATGACCTCTCCTAGAGGGCAGGGACGGTGGTGTTCGGCAAAGCCTTGGTCGTCTGGATAATGGGAAATGGGGTCTTCTGGTGAATTTAATTACAGGGTTAGGTGGAAACTTTGCTTCAACTCTCATTATTAGAAAGTCTATTGTAAAGCTTTTTAAAATACAACTGACCACTTTCCAGCGAGGGTAGAGTTAATATGCCTTAATCTTTGATTTAGGATCTTGCAGTGCCCCAGGCTCACCATTCTCTTCTGCTACTATAATTATAGATGCGGAAGACATACAGACTGGGCTGACAACTGCTTGGAAGCTAATTTCTAGAATAAACCCTTGCTACCACATCTTGTGATTTTTGCCCTTCTGAAGGTGGAGTTCCAAAATAAAAACAAAATCCCGCTTAACTGAGGGTTCCAGTTGAGGGAGGTCTGCTGCCATGGTCTTTGTTAAGTGCCTGCCACCATGGCCCACAATTAGTCAGTTAATAAAGGGTTCTTGATGAGAGAATTTGGCAACATGTGATTTTCCACAAATATAAGCTTGATTTTGATGCAACCACTCATTTCTTTGAAAATCAGGGGGCATTCACACACAGGTGTTCTAGATTTCCTTACAGTAAAACCAACCCTTTACAAGGAATAGCTGTGTTCACTTTGAAGCAGTAAAGAAGCAGGTGTCCACTCATGGCAAATGAGGAACTCCCTTTTTTTTTTTTTTTTTTTTTTTTTTTTTTTTGAGACGGGGTCTCGCTCTTTTTTTGTGTGTGTGAGATGGGGGCCACCCAGGCTAGAGTGCAGTAGTGCAATTACAGCTCACTGTAGCCTCAACCTTCTGGGCTCAACCAGTTCTTCCCACCTCAACTTCTGAAGCAGCTGAGACTACAGGTGTGTACCACCATGCCCAGGTAATGCTTTTGATTTTTAGTAAGATGAGGTCTCGTTATATTGCCCAGGCTGGTCTCAAACTCCTGAGCTCAAGTGATCCTCCTGCCTCAGCCTCCCAAAGTGCTAGGATTATCGGCATGAGCCACTATGCCCAGCCAGAAGCTAAAAATATTAATCAAGGAGTCACAACTAAGGATGCACTGCACACCCGAAGCCAGGGACCACAAGAGGTCAGCAACTGGGACTGCTTCCTCCAGTTCCCAGGCTGGGGCTCAGCAGCAGTGGCCTGGGCTCTGGGGACTTACTTTAAGCCGAAATCCCAAACTCATTATCATTCAAACCAATTTTCTGTGTCCAGCATCATCCCACCTAAACTGGTCCTTAAAACCACTGACAGTCATTTCTCCAATCTGTAAAAGGCCTGCTGAGGCCTTTGCATTATCAGGACTTAACTGGGAGTAGAATGCCCTCCCCATCCAAATCCTGACCATTTCTGAACACTCAGCCCATGTCCTCTTCCTGAGTGTCTTCCCCAACAACAACCACCTACACTGAACTTTACTTTGATCTCTGCAGGAAACTGTAGATAGAGATGGGGTCTCACTATGTTGCCTAGCTGGTCTTGAACTGCTGAGCTCAAGTGATCTCCCTGCTTCTGCCTCCCAAAGTGCTAGGATTACAGCAGTGAGCCACCACACCTGGCCTATGTATGCTTTTTTTTTTCTTTTCTTTTTTTTTTTTTTTTGAGACAGAGTCTTGCTCTGTGGCCCAGTCCGCAGTGCAGTGGTGCAATCTCGGCTCATGGCAACCTCCAGGTTCAAGGCATTTTCCTGCCTCAGCCTTCCAAGGAGCTGGGATTACAGGCACGCACCATCACGCCCAGCTAATTGGCCAGGCTGGTCTCAAACTCCTGACCTCAGGTGATCCACCCACCTTGGCCTCCCAAAGTGCTGGGATTACAGGTGTAAGCCACCACACCGGGCCACGTATGCATTTTAAAACGTTATGCTCAGACGGGGTCTATAGGTTTCACCAGACTGCCAAAAGGATCCATGACACAAAAAAAGTACTCTCAGTTGCATCCTTCGGAACCTTTCAACACATACACATATACCTCACTCATCCTTTTGTGAAGAGTGTCTATTAATCACTAGATTAAGAGGATTTGGATAAAATTTATAAATGTACAAACTTTGCTACCAAGGACTGACACATTTACTTTTCTAGCTCATCAGTTTATGTCCTAGAAAAATTCCAGAGCCACATTAACCAGCTGTTTCCTATTTTTCATTTTACGATGGTGTTTCCACTTTCACCTGCAAAGTGACTAATAGTAATACCTATTACAGTAATTTAAGTAACACCATTTAGAGTAATTTCATCTTTAGTACTGTATTTATACTACTAAGAAAGCCGCCAACGATTCAAGCTGCACTCACTGGTGAAACCCTATGCTATATATGTAATTAATTTATTTCCTAAATTCTTACCTCCCTCCACCCCCTCCATTGGAAAATAAACTCTAAGAATGCAAAAGTTTTTGTGTGTTTTTCTTCAACGCTTAGAGCAGTGCCTGGCACCTAACAGTCAATATCTGCTAACTTTGATGAATGAATGGTATATTTATATTATGCAATATTACTATGCAGCCATGAAACACAATGAGTTAGAGTGGTACCAGCTAATTTAATGGAATTTCCAGAAGTATGAAATTAAGAAAACAAGAAGAAAAGTGTCAAAAATATCATCCCACTTTTTTTTTTTCTTCCCTGAAACGGAGTCGTGCTCTGACACCCAGGCTACAGTATAGTGCTGCCATCATGGCTCACTGCAACCTCAACCTTCTGGGCTCAGGGAATCCTTCCACCTCAGCCTCCCATGTAGCTGGGACTACAGGTGTGTGCCACAACGCCCAGCTAATTTATTTTAAATTATTTTTTGTAGAGACAGGGTCTCCCTATGTTGCCCAGGCTGGTCTCAAACTACTAGGCTCAAGTGATCCTCCCACCTCAGCTTCCCAAAGTGTTGGGATTACAGGTGTGAGCCACTGTGCCCAGCCCAATCCCACTTTTTAAAAAGTATACCCCCAAATCCATACACTGGTGAGGAAGTGGAGAACGTGGAATCCTCACACACAGAATGTAAAATGGTACAGCTCTGGAGAACATTTTAGCAGTTTCTCAAAATGTTTAACGTAGCTACTACACGACCCAGCAATTCAACTCCCAGATATACACCTGAGAGAACTGAAAGGATATGTCCACACAAAAATTTGCAGAGGAACTTGTACACACTTGTTCACAGTAGCATTATTCATAATAGCCCAAAGTGGCAAAAACGCAAATGTTCATCAACTGATGGACAAATAAAGCATGAACAACTGATGGACAAATAAAGTATATCATTCAGCATATAAGAAATGAAGTGCTAATACATGCTACAACAGGAATAGACCTTAATAACATTTTGCTAAATGAAAAAAGCCAAACAAAAGGTCACATGTTGTATGATTCTATTTACATAAAAATACCTAGACTAGGCAAATCCATAGAGACACAAAGATCAGTGACTGCCCAGAGCCAGAGGGAGTGGTGAATGTGAAATGGCTGCTAATGAGTACAGACTTCTTTTTGAGGTATTGAACATGTTATGGAATCAGATGGTGGTGATCAATGCATAACTTTGTGAATATACCAAAAACCACATGAAAGGTACACTTTAAAAGCCTGAATTTTAAGGTATGTGAATTGTATCTCCATAAACCTGTGATTTTGTTAATATACGCTTATTTGCAAATGAATACATGGATAATGAGGAATAATATGAAAGGTTAATGACAACCTTGGTGATAGGGTACAGGAGACTGGGAGAGGAAGATAAGTGTTGAGGTAGAAGAAGACAAAAAATAAAAGGCTAAAACAATAATCCAGGGCCAGAGGCCATGAGTTGGGAGATGGAGCAAGACGAAGTGTACAAAGAAATGAGCATAAATCATAAAAATGAGGGAACTAGGGTTGAAAACTCCAGCAAGTAGTTTGTAATGGGGGAGATGAAGCAAACCTAAGTAACTGCAATGATTCAACGGAATTTGCAGAAAATGCAGAAGGGCGAGAAAAGCAATGAAAAAATGGATCAGAAGATTTAAAATTGGCTCTACCCCACCAAAGTTTTAAAAAGCAAGCAAGAAGAAAATTCAGTTGCTCCTGGGCAAGAATTCTTGGGCCCAGTGGGGTAGAACCAAACCATGATAAGGAGACACCAGTGTTTTGTAAGCAAGAGAATATATTAAGGAGAGAAAAGGGGCATTTATTGGGAGAAAAGGTCTCACTGTGATTGTTCTGGAATAAAGTAGCCCCATCGGACTGCCTCAGGAACTCATGGTGGAAGAGGTGCCACTGGAAAATGGCTAAGTCGGGATCTTCCCCAAGAACACTAGAAGAGACAGAGGAAGAATAGAAGAGCTTTAAATTTTAGCAGATATTTCTTTTTCTTGTTTAATTAAAATAAATCTTATTGACCTAATATTTTTGAGACTGGGCTCTTGCAATGCTCCCCAGACTGAACTCAAACTCCTAGGCTCAAGAGATTCTTCCACTTCAGCCTCCTGAAAAGCTGGCACTACAGGTGCACACCACTGGGCCCAGCATAATGGCTATTTCTTGACAAATCTTGACAATGCCACCAGTATGTTTTTCTTTAGAGACAGAGTCTCGCTTTGTAGCCCAGGCTGGAGAACAGTGGTGTGATCCTGGCTCACTGCAGCCTCAAACACCTGGACTCAGGAGATCCCCCTGCCTCAGCCTCTCAGGTAGCTGAGACTACAGGTGCGCACCACCACACTTGGCGAATTTTATTTTATTTTTTTTTATTATACTTTAAGTTCTAGGGTACATACACCTGGCTAATTATAAAATGTTTATCTGTACAGACAGGTTCTCGTTATGTTGCCCAGGCTGGTCTCGAACTCTCGGCCTCAAGCAATCCTCTCCTCCTCACCTTCCAAAGCCCCGAAATATGCCCACATCCAGCCTGCCACCAGTTTCTTTGCATACTTCTTTCCTAGGCTTGACCAAGACCTTTACTTTCTTCTGTGTACAGCTCAGCATTGAAAAAAAACAAAAAAGTTTAGGCTGGGCACAATGGGTCACGCCTGTAATCCCAACACTTAGGGTGGCCAAGGTGGGAGGTTTGCTTGAACCCAGGAGTTCCACACCAGCCTAGGCAAGATGGCAAGACCACATCTCTCCAAAACAATTTTTGTAAAATTAGCCAGGTGTGCTGGTGCGGGCCTGCAGTCTCAGCTAGTGAGAAGACTAAGGCAAGAGGAACCCTTGAACCCAGGAGTTCAAGGCTACGGTGAGCTGTGATCACCTCTCCAGCCTGGGTGATAGGGTGAGACCCAGTCTCTGAAAACAATTAAAAATAAAAAAAGTTGAATAATGAGTCTTCTTTTTAGAGGCAATGTATTTTTCCTCTTTTTGTTTTCCTTAGGCTATATGCACAATAGACAAAGTTGAAATTTAATCTTAATCTCGTAAACCCTTACTGTCCAAACACATCAAACTCAAAAAAAAAAAAAGACAAAAACAAAAAAGGTGAAAGGCGTACAAGAGAAAAAAGGGAAGTAATCTGTGCCAAATGTACATTCCTTCCACAATTTGGGACAAAAATGATGCCTACCTGGTCTCTGGGTGCCAAAATAAGACATTAGAGACACTCCCCTCCTTCAAGAAATAAAATTGGAATCAGACACTAAGATACAATTAAACAGACTTTGAAAGTTGGTATGCACTACTGGGAGGTGTCTCACAGCTGGCAGGGTCAACTGCAACTAGAAGAAAAGCTCCTAAGGGCAGAAACTAAGTGGCTCACTTCCTCTGTAACACTGCCGTGCCCAGCACTGTACCAGCACCCCAGCAGAGTCAACAACTTTCCGTCAAGCCACACACTTACGGTCTCATCGTCCAGTGGAGGCCGCAGATGAGACATAGTGTGCCAAATCCCAAATGCACAGGGTGCCAGACAAGTCTGCGGGAGGCAGGAGGACTAGGGAAGCCTTCCAGGCAAGGTGATGCCTGAGCTGAGTTGTTTTTCTTTTGAGTTTGGAACATTAATTTAATCGGAGGAAAACAAGGGACATGAAAAGGGCAAGGAAATAAGAAAATGAGCTGAGTTTTGAAGGCAATGATCAGATGAAGTGAGAGAAGAATATTCCAGCAGAGGGAGACAAGGAGACTGCAGAGATTTCAAGGGGCCAAGAGCTGTTCGGTGCAGCTCAGTGAAGCACCTAAACAGAGGTGGGGGAAGGAGAACAGGGGTCAAAGCCCAGTATTGAAGTGTTCTGGATACCAAGCTAAGGAGACCTTATTACGAAGGTACTGGGGCTGCTGAAGGGTTTAAATGGGAGAGTGATTGTGAACAGATTAATAGTTTGGAAAGATACAGGCAGAAGTAAACCTCTGGATTTAACCAAAAAATAAAGGACAGAACCACAATGAAGATGTTGGAAAAGATCAGGAAAAACACTGTTAAAAGATATTCACTCTCGGGGCCGGGCGCTGTGGCTCACGCCTTAAATCCCGGCACTTTGGTAGGCCGAGGCGGGCTGATCACGAGGTCAGGAGATCGAGACCATCCTGGCTAACACGGTCAAACCCCGTCTCTACTAAAAATACAAAAAATTAGCCGGGTGTGGTGGCGGGCGCCTGTAGTCCCAACTACTCCAGAGGCTGAGGCAGGAGAATGGCGTGAACCCGGTAGGCGGAGCTTGCGGTGAGCCGAGATCAGGCCACTGGAATCCAGCCTGGGCGACAGAGGGAGACTCCATCTCAAAAAAAAAAAAAAAAAAAAAGAGAGAGAGAGTCTGACTCTGTTGCCAAGACTGGAGTGCAGTGGCGCGATCTAGGCACATCACAATCCCTTCCCCGCCCCCGGGTTCAAGTGATTCTCCTGTCTCAGCCGCCGGAGTAGCTGGGACTACAGGCGCGTGCCACCATGTCTGATTAAATCTGTATTTTTACTAGAGACGGGGTTTCACTCTGTTGGCCAGGCTGGTCTCCAACTCCTGATCTCGTGATCCGCCCGCCCCGACCTCCCAAAGTGCTGGGATGCGTGAGCCTCCACGCCTGGCCACTAATTTTTCTTTCTTTCTTTCGTGTGTGTGTGTGTGTGTGTGTGTGTGTGTGTGTGTGTGTGTGTGTGTGACGAAGTTTCGCTCTTGTTGCCCAGGTTGGAGTGCAATGGTGTGATCTCAGCTCACTGCAATCCCCGCCTCAACAGGAGAGCAGGAATCTTCAGTGATCCACTGGCGGATCTGCAGCCATTGTGCGCGCCAGGTCTTCCCAAGTCTTTTGTGCGCGCGCCTCTCCTTCCAGTACCTATGCCGCCAGCGTCCCCTAGCCTCCCGCCATTGCCAGCAGGTGCTGAGATCGCGCCATTGCACTCCAGCCTGGGGGACAAGAGCGAAACTCCATGTCAAAAAAAAAAAAAGGATGAAAATTTTGGGAAAATATGGAAGAAACCAAATGGATTTCTAGCTCAACTAAATCGTAATTATTCAGTGTCTAGTTTTGGCAAGAAACCACATATTTCATGTCCACAATCAGGGACACAGTCCCAGCTCTCAAGTGTGGGTCTTTCCTAAGCAAATTGAAGAACACAGGCATAAAAGTACATTAAATCAATAAACCTTTTTCTCTCTGTCTCTCTCTCTCTTTTTTTTTTTTTTTTTGAGACGGAGGTTGGCACTGTCACCCAGGCTGGAGTGCTGTGGTGAGATCTCGGGTCACTGCAAGCTCCGCCTCCCGAGTTCACGCCATCCTCCTGCCTCAGCCTCCAGAGTAGCTGGGACTACAAGCGCCCGCCACGACGCCCGGCTAATTTTTTGTAGTTTTAGTAGAGACGGGGTTTCGCTATGTTGGCCAGGCTGGTCTCCAACTCGTGACATCGTGATCCGCCCGCCTCCGACTCCCAAAGTGCCACAGCCCAGGCCTTTTTTTTTTAAGACAGAGTCTCGGCCCGGCGCGGTGGCTCACGCCTTTAATCCCAGCACTTTGGGAGGCCGAGGCGGGCTGATCACGAGGTCAGGAGGTCGAGACCATCCTGGCTAACACGGTCAAACCCCGTCTCTACTAAAAATACAAAAAATTAGCCGGGTGTGGTGGCGGGCGCCTGTAGTCCGAGCTACTCCCGAGGCTGAGGCAGGAGAATGGCGTGAACCCGGTAGGCGGAGCTTGCGGTGAGCCGAGATCAGGCCACTGGAATCCAGCCTGGGCGACAGAGGGAGACTCCGTCTCAAAAAAAAAAAAAAAGAGTCTGGCTCTGTTGCCCAGGCTGGAGTGCAGTGGCGCGATCTCGGCGCATCGCAATCCCTTCCCCGCCCCCGGGTTCAAGTGATTCTCCAGTCTCAGCCGCCGGAGTAGCTGGGACTACAGGCGCGTGCCACCATGTCTGACTAAATTTGTATTTTTACTAGAGACGGGGTTTCACTATGTTGGCCAGGCTGGTCTCCAACTCCTGATCTCGTGATCCGTCTGCCCCGACCTCCCAAAGTGCTAGGATTATAGGCATAAGCCACCACGCCCGGCCTCTTTTTTTTCTTTTTCTTTTCTTTATCTGGAGACTGAGTTTTGCTCTTGTTGCCCAGGCTGGAGTGCAATGGTGCGATCTCAGCTCACTGCAATCTCCACCTCAGCAGGAGAGCAGGAATCTTCAGTGATCCACGGGCAGATCTGCCGCCATTGTGGGCACCTGTTTCTCCCGCAACCTTTGTGCCCGCCTCTCTCCTTCCCGTACCTATTGCATGACCCCCCACGTCCGCCTCCCGCCATTGCCAGCAAGTGCCTCGCGCGGGTACCTGGCTGCGCTTATTAATCCGTTAAGCTCGCTCTGTCACGGGCGCCGTGATGTGCTCACGCGCCCGCTCCCTCAGGTTTAAAAGGCGCGTTGCCCGGCAACAGAAGAAACTGCTGGCTTAGCCGTTGGCCGAGTTGGCGGCTGGACGAGGACGCTCAGAGCCCAGCTCTCGAGAGTTCAAGCAACCGACGGTTCCCCACTGCTCCCAGGAGCGGTTACCTGGGCACTCTGTGCCCCTCCTTCCTGTTCGGGCCCAGGCCGAGGACCTGCCAGTAGGGCTCAGTTGCCTGGAGCCCGTTCAGCCCATCCCCCAGTTCACTTTGCTTGTGGGATCTCCCCGTTGCTCCTGCCCGTGGACTGAGTGGCAGGCCATCCTACAAGCACCCGGACACTTGACATCAGTGGTGTCAAGACAACTCTAAGAAGGTTTTCCGTGATCCTGCAAGCCCTGCCTTCCTTCCTGGGATCCTGCCTTCAATTTGATTGCACAGGTACCACAGCAAGCCAGTGCTGCGTGCTCCGAGTTCCAGGGCGTCCTCCAGCTCAGCCACTGCACTGAGAACATGGACTCTCTGTGGGGCCCAGGAGCCGGGAGTCACCCCTTTGGGGTCCACAACAGCCGGCTGTCCCCAGACTTGTGTCCAGGGAAGATAGTGTTGAGGGCCCTCAAGGAGAGCGGGGCAGGGATGCCTGAGCAGGACAAGGACCCTAGAGTCCAAGAGAATCCTGGTGATCAGAGAAGGGTCCCCGAGGTCACCGGGGATGCACCGTCTGCATTTCGGCCCCTGCGGGACAATAGAGGCCTCTCTCCCTTTGTGCCCGGGCCCGGGCCTCTGCAGACAGACCTCCATGCCCAGAGGTCAGAAATCAGATATAACCAGACATCCCAGACCTCCTGGACGAGCTCCTGCACCAACCGAAATGCCATCTCCAGCTCCTACAGCTCCACGGGAGGCTTGCCGGGGCTAAAGCGGAGGAGGGGGCCAGCCTCATCCCACTGCCAGCTGACCCTCAGTTCCTCAAAGACAGTGAGTGAGGACAGGCCTCAGGCTGTCTCTTCAGGTCACACCCAGTGTGAAAAGGCAGCAGATATAGCACCAGGGTAGACACTCGCCCTCAGGAATGACTCCTCCACATCCGAGGCCTCTAGGCCCAGTACACACAAGTTTCCCCTGCTGCCACGCAGGCGAGGGGAGCCTTTGATGCTGCCACCTCCCTTAGAGCTGGGGTACCGGGTCACTGTTGAAGACCTGGACCGGGAGAAGGAGGCGGCATTCCAGCGCATCAACAGTGCACTGCAGGTTGAGGACAAGGCCATCTCGGACTGCAGACCCTCACGGCCTTCCCACACTTTGTCCTCACTTGCAACAGGGGCTTCTGGTCTGCCTGCCGTTTCTAAAGCACCCAGTATGGATGCACAGCAGGAGACACACAAGTCCCAAGACTGCCTGGGCCTACTGGCCCCCTTAGCATCTGCTGCAGGGGTCCCCTCTACAGCTCCCATGTCTGGGAAGAAGCACAGACCACCAGGCCCCCTGTTCTCCTCCTCAGATCCCCTTCCTGCCACCTCTTCCCATTCCCAGGACTCAGCCCAGGTCACCTCGCTGATTCCTGCCCCCTTCCCAGCTGCAAGCATGGATGCGGGCATGAGAAGAACAAGGTGTGGCACTTCTGCTCCTGCAGCTGCCGCAGCAGCCCCTCCCCCCTCCACATTGAACCCCACGTTGGGGTCACTACTGGAGTGGATGGAGGCCCTTCACATTTCTGGGCCTCAGCCACAGCTGCAGCAGGTGCCCAGAGGTCAGAACCAGAGATCCCAGACCTCCCGGACCAGCTCGTGCCCCAAACGAAATGCCATCTCGAGCCCCTACCGCTCTACGGGAGGCCTCCCGGAACGAAAGCGGAGAAGGGGGCCAGCCTCATCCCACTGCCAGCTGACCCTCAGTTCCTGAAACACAGTGAGTGAGGACGGACCTCAGGCTGTCTCTTCGGGTCACACCCAGTGTGAAAAGATGGCAGATACAGCACCAGGGCAGACACTCGCCCCCAGGGGTGGCTCCCCCAGATCCCAGGCCTCTAGGCCCTGTAGATGCAAGTTTCCCCTGCTGCCACGCAGGCGAGGGGAGCCTTTGATGCTGCCACCTCCCTTAGAGCTGGGGTACCGGGTCACTGCTGAAGACCTGGACCAGGAGAAGGAGGCGGCTTTCCAGCGCATCAGGAGTGCACTGCAGGTTGAGGACAAGGCCATTTAGTACTGCAGACCCTCACGGCCTTCCCACACTTTGTCCTCACTTGCAACAGGGGCTTCTGGTCTGCCTGCCATTTCTAAAGCACCCAGTATGGATGCACAGCAGGAGAGACACAAGTCCCAAGACTGCCTGGGCCTAGTGGCCCCCCAGCATCTGCTGCACAGGCCTGTAGTCCCAGCTACTCAGGAGGCTGAGGCAGGAGAAGGGCATAAACCCGGGAGGCAGAGCTTGCAGTGAGCTGAGATCGCGCCACTGCACTCCAGCCTGGGTGACAGAGCGAGACTCCGTCTCAAAAAAAAAGAAAAAGAAAAAAAGTTATTGTGACATTTCTGTATGAAATCAGCCTTCACTACATGGATAGGACCAGCAGGCTTCCGCGGCACGACTCTGCAATCATACTACATTTTTTTTTGTATTTTTTTTATTCCTTTTGAGACAGAGTCTCACTCTGTCACCCAGGCTGAAGTACAGCCGAGATCTCGGCTCACTGCAAACTCCACCTCCTGGGTTCAAGCAATTCTCCTGTCTCAGCCTCCCAAGTAGCTGGGACTACAGGCACACGTCAAAAGGCCTGGCTAATTTTTGTATTTTTAGTAGAGATGGAGTTTTGCCATATTGGTCAGGCTGGTCTCGAACTCCTGACCTCAGGTGATCTACCTGTCTTAGCCTCCCGAAGTGCTAGGATTACAGGTGTATGTTTATTTATTTATTTAAGATGGAATCTTGCTCTGTATTTATTAATTTATTTAGTTGAGATGGAGTCTTGCTCCATCACCCAGGCTAGGGTGCAGTGGTGCAATCTCGGCTCACTGCAACCTCTGACTTCCAGTTTCAAGCGATTCTCCTGCCTCAGTGTCCCAAGTAGCTGGGATTACAGGTGCCTGCCACCACAGCTGGCTAATTTTTGTATTTTTAGTAGAGACAGTGTTTCACCGTCTTGGCCAGGCTGGTCTCGGGCTCCTGACCTCATGAACCACCTGCCTCAGCCTCCCAAAGTGTTGGGATTACAGGCCTAAGGCACCATTCTCGGCCATATTTATTTAATTATTTAGAGACAAAGTCTTGCTCTGTCACCCAGGCTGGAGTGCAGTGGCGCCATCTCAGCTTACTGCAGCCTCCGTCTCTGAGGTTTAAGCGATTCTCATGCCTCAGCCTCCTGAGTAACTGGGACTACAGGTACTCACCACCATGCAGGGATATTTTTTTCTATTGTTTTATAGAGACACGGTTTCACCATATTGGCCAGGCTGGTCTCGAACTCCTGACCTTAGGTGATCTGACAGCCTCGTCCTCTCAAAGCACTGGGATTACAGGCATGAGCCGCCAAGCCCGGCCTCTCACTACATTTAAGTGACGCCATGGCTCATGCCTGTAATCCTAGCACTTTGGGAGGCCAAGGCAGGTGGATCACCTGATGTCAGGAGTTCGAAACGAGCCTGGCCAACATGGGGAAACCCCGTCTCTAGTAAAAATACAAAAATTAGTCAGGTGTGGTGGTACAAGCCTGTAGGCCCAGCTACTTGGAAGACTGAGGCAGGAGAATCACTTTAAGCGGGAGGCAGAGGTTGCAGTGAGCCAATCTCAAAAAAGAAAGAAAAAAAAAAAGAAAAACATATGATGCTGGAGCATCTCGGCCTCAATACCTGCATGAGCACAGTCATGTCCAGGCCAGGGCTGCTGGTCGAGGTCCGGCCCCATCTCTTCCAGCAGAAAGGGAGTAAGCTTGCAGGGAGGCTGGGGGACAAGATCCCAGGATCTCAGCCTCCGCTCATGGATCAGCTCTGAGACCCCGAGTGAGCTGGGGGTGCTCTGTGTGCACTGGTTTCCCCAGCTGTCAAGTAAAGGGATTGGATGAGGAAGTCTTGTCAAGGTGGAATGATCTCAGATTTGGGGCAGCAGTGAATGATCCCGCTCCCTGGGCCATGCCAGTGGCCTGGCCTCGGCTGAACACAGCCCCAACACTCTGGAATGGGGATGAGGGGGCAGTCAGCTCTTGCTCCTAGTAAGAGAGATGCAACAGGGCTCTGTGGCTGAGCTGGGTGCCTTGCCTCACACCTGTAATCCCAACCTTTGAGAGGCCAAGGCAGGAGGATTGCTCGAGGCCGGGAATTTTGAGAATAGCCTGGACAACATAGCCAGACTCCATGTCTACAAAATAATAAGAAAACACACAGCTATAGTCCAAGCTACTTGGCAGGCTGAGGCAGGAAGGTCCCTTGTGTCCGGGAATTGGAGGCTGCATTGAGCTATAATCGCACCACTGCACTCCAGCTTGGGTGACAAAGTGAGACCCTGTCTCTAAAAGAAAAAAAAATCGGCCTGTGAGCATGGGCTTGATTTTCAAACAGGACCCGGAGGGTAGGGACAGACAGTGCTGTCACCCTTAGGTGCTGAACACTCAGAAACGGGCCAGCGGCAGCCCTTCCCTCACCTGCAGACACCAGATTGGGCAGAACAGCACGTGGCACTTGCAGCTCTTGTAGTGAGGGCAGAACCCAGTGTCAACCCTTCTGCCTGTGGAAGGGGCTGCTGAGGCCTGCGGAGAGGCCAGGGTGGAGGCTCGTCCCCTTGTCCAGCCCTTGGCGTGGTCTCCACCAGGTCCCCAGCCCACCAGTGCAGGGTGCCCCTGAGCCTGCTGCTGCCACGGGCCCTGTCTCTACCCAGGACGTCCCCCCACCCTCGCAGTGTCAGGGAAATGATCATGGTGGCGGTGACACTCCGCAGGCAGGGCTGCTGAGAGAAGCTGAGAAGGGTCACACTGCAGGCAGGGGCCCGTGTGACAAGCCCCTCTCACCCCGAGAGAGCTGACCAGGCAGCTCACGAGCAGAGCCACATCCCGGGAGTCCGAGAAAGGTCCTGGCTGGGCTCAGCCACCTCATTGGCCACGGGCAGCCTTTGTCGTGTGAGCCTTGCTCTCCTGGGGAGGCTCAGGCTGACGGCTGATGTGGGCATTGCCGAAGGTAACCTGTGGCCCAGTGTATATGGCCGGGTCTCCTCAAGCTGCATTCATTCAAGTAGGACCCAGGGTGCGTGCCCATCTCCAGCCCAGGGCAGCTCCCCTGTAAGCTGGGTGAGCTACTGAAGCCAAGGCGGGAGGCAGCTGACAACACCCACAGCCCATGCGGAGGTGGTGGAAAGGCTGGACTCAGCAGCAACACCAAATCCTGGACCAGGCAGAAACCACCCAAGACTGAGGGGCTCATGCCAGAGCGGTGGCCACAGGTAAGAACCCGGGCCCAGGCTGTGTGGCAGGAATCCTCCATGTCCCAGGGCTTAGCATAGCAAAGGAAGACCAGCCGGGTCACCCTGGTGGCCATCTGTCCCTGTCCCACCTGCAGAGTCAGAACAGCCTCTCCCCAGTGGGGATCATCTCTCTCTGCCAAAATAACAGCGGTCCCTGCCCCAACCAGACTACCCCACTCAGTGGAGTTACGGATGCTGCTCCAGCATCCTAACACTGCCCAGCTGGTGCCTGCCTGTGCTCACCCACACCCCCCAGGCCGGCCTTCCCTGCAGCCTGGGCTTGGCCACCTTGGCCTGATTGAGCACTGAGGCCTCCTGGGCACCCAGCCCCATCACTGCACCTGCTGCTTCCAGCCCCACCCCACCGGCTCAGGGGTTCTTCCCAGCGGCGCTGATCATGAAGTCAACATGCACGCAAGTCGTCTCAGGAAACTTCTTAATGAAAGTGTCGGCCACGGTGGTGTGTAGGTGGCTGAGCTCAGATTGCAGCTGCTAAGACACCAGCCACTTACCAAGAGAAAGCCAGGCTGCTTCAAACCCAGGGCCCACGGCAAAAAAGCATCACTTCCGGCCGGGGAGTCTGGAAGCCACGCCTTGTGGGAGGTCACACTGGCATCTAGGCCTTCGCCTGCATTGCAGAAGGAGAGCCGGGTCCCCCTCCTGGAGAACGCTGCGTTCCCCAGCCCCACACCGGCTTTGCCACCACACAGGCTGTTGAGGCAGGAGGCGGGTAAGACGTAGCTGTAGACCCAAAGCAACCACCAGCCCTGGGACCCTGCGGGAGAGGAGCACTTTTAGAACATGGAAAAGTGTGGTCATCCCATCATTAGACAGCACACATCCTACATAAATAAAAAGTCGTATGGGGAAGGAGGTTGGGGAGGGAATAAAAAATTGGCACAGACATTGATAGACTGGTTTCCAGTTTCAAGGTAACAGATGCACATCATGAGACCAGAGGAGGCAGAGACAAGGCTGGATTTGGCTTTTCTAAGCAACATGTGTTCCTGCGCAGGGCTGAATGGTCGCTGAGACAGAGATGGAAGCCAGGACAAGGGAGCCCACCGGGCCCAGATAGGTACAGAGAGCAGAGGCTCCTGTTCTGTCCTCGCCACCCACGAGGGTGACACTGCTTGTAAATGGTGGCTGTGCTCTCCCAGCAAGAAAAAAGCACAACTAAATCCACACTGCACACAGACGCAGACAGAAAGCCTTCAAGTGGCTCTGTTTTCTGCTCCCTGCCTTGCCAGGTCCACAAGCAGAGAGGAGTGTCAGGCACATGGCCCCGCTGTCAGGCTCCCCAGTGAGCTGCGGGCTCAGCAGGAGCTGCCCACTGACACACAGGGGACACCCACTCCTGCCACCTTGGGAGCGGTTGCCAGACAGAGCCGCACTGGGTGCTGGTGTCATCCAGGGACTCCACACACTTCCTTAAATGTGATCCTGCTTCCCTCTGCGCAGCTGCATCCTCTCCTCCTGCAGGACTGTCTGGAAACTTGGCTCTCAGTTTGCTCTCCCTTCTCTCCTCTGCCTGCCCCAAGCCCCTCTTTCTAAAAAAGTGATGCCATGTTCATGGGGTTATTTCTTGAAAATACTTGGCGGCCTCCATGCTTCTGTTTTCTTTGAGCCAGGTGGTCAGGAGGGCTTACAAAGAATGCCTGGGCTCCCCCGCAGGTGCCGGCAGATGGGGTAGCGAATGGTCCTGTGCCTCCACCTGCTCCGGGAGGGAGTCTCCCGTCTCTAGGCCTGGCCCCTTCCTAACCCTCCACGTATCCTGTTCTCCAGAGACTTCAGAACCCACTCCTGAGAACAGCGGAGCCAGGCGCTTAGAGGAAGACCAAATGCTGCCAGGACACGGATTGTCCAGGGATTACATTCCAGCATCTTATTAGGTATCTGGATCTGTTGGGGAAAAAATTAGAAACTATGTATAAAACTTACAAATATTCAAGTATCAAAAGGTTATTTAGGATGAAAGTTTTAAAACAAGTCATCAGCAAGCTGCTGCCACCAAGTGGAGACTTATACAAAAGTTGAGCGAGTCCACTGAGCTGAGAGGACAGAAATGAAGTCACCTGTGCTGGGGCAGGGGCAGGGACACTGGGGGCAGGGAGTGTGTGGGCAGAGAAGCCAGAGAAGTCCAGGCCTGTGGAAGCCAAACAGGAGAGCGTGGGCCGGAAGGGCGGTCAGGATCGGGGGACGAGGTCGCTCTCCCTGGAGAACGAACCCTAAAGTGCGTATCCTGGGATTCCCTCCCTGGGGGTCCTGTCCCCCGACATTTCACGGGCCTTCTGAGCTGCCTTCCAAGGAGGACTAACACGGCAACAAAAGACCCATTTCTGCACAAAAATCCTTCTGGGAAGAAAAAGAAGAAAGCCAAGAATGGAGTCAAAACGCTACCCAGTGCTGACCAAGCCTCTCAAACCCTGTTCTAAGTGGACTGTGGTTTCTAAGTCAGGGAAATGGAAGAGGCCCCACCCACACAGGGACAGGGCCACGGCCCCCACAGGATGAAGCAGCAGCGTTTATTCAAGATACAACAGTGAGGGAATCCGGTCACGTTCCCTTCTCCCCAGAGAGGGCGCTTCTTGACAAGTGATCCAGTAGAAATCTTTTAGACTCTATAAGTTAAGTTCATAAAAACCACTGCTTTCACCCTGTCTCCCAGGGCCAGGCCTGGACTCCGAGATGAACTGGTTTGGGGCGCCCTCGGGTGGCCACATAAAAAACCCACAGTCTGAGGCCAGCCTGGGGCTTTCAGACCTGGGCGGGATCTGCCCAGGCCACCTGTCCTTCTGCTTTGGGCCGCTGTCTCTTGGCAGATGGCCTGACACCTGGGGGTGGCCCAAGGATGCCTCAGAAAATCTTGATTCCCACTCTACAGATGGCCTGATTAGCCAGAGGTTTCCAGGCCGTCTGTCCGCCTCCAGGAGATGGACTGGGACCTTTAGACATCGGTGGAGAACAGGATGCTCTGTCCCTTGCTGTCCAGGGCAGGGATGGCCTCCAGCCGCAAGAAGTACAGCAGCACCTCGACCTGCCCTCGCGGAGTGGGGAAGAGGAGAGTGGCTCGGAAGGGGGCGCACAGCTGCTGGTGGGAGGTCTTTGGGGCCCAAGATCCCAAGTCCACCTCAGGTGCTAGAAACCCCTGCTGGTGTCATGAACCCCTTACAGTGAGACGGGGGTGGGGTGGGGTCCTGACAAGGCATGACTTGTTGGGTGGGGGGTGGTTATTTATTTTAGAGATGCACAGGGCCTTGCTCTGTCCCCCAGGCTGGAGTACAGTGGCTCCATCATGGATCACTGCAGCCTCTAACTCCTGGGCTCAAGCAATCCTCCTGTGTCAGCCTCCCAGATACCTAGGATTACAGATATGTGCCCCAATGCCTGCCTAATTTTTCTTTGTATTTTTTCTGGAGATGGGGTTTGCTACATTGCCCAGACTGGTCTCAAACACCTGGGTTCAGTTGTCCTGCCTCGGCCTCCCAAAGTGCTGGGATTACAGGCATGAGCCACCACACTCGAACACTTGGGGTGGTTTTAAGCCCCCAGCAAGGTGCACCAGCAGGACCAGGAGGTGGCCTAGGCACCCCCTATCACTCCCATCCATGCAAACCTAGGCAAGTCCCTGTCTCTGAATCTCAGCCACCACCACATACAATGCAAGTCGGAAGATGGGCAGGACTGGGGGTGGGGCAGGCAGAGGCCACCTCTGTCAGGCTGGGGTTGCATGGGCTGGAGGCTGTCTTCCCATACCTGGGACATGACCTCCAAGGACCAGCTGTCAGTCATGGTGATGGGCTGGCTGGGGTTGGCAGGGAGCTTGCTCTCCTTCTCGGAGGGCCGGAGCAGCGTGGGGCCAAACACCGTGCCAAGGTTGTGCAGGGACATCTTATTGACTGCCTCCTTCTCTGCCATCCTGTAGAGGACCGAAGCAGAGGGTGCTGTTTCAACGCCACCACCAGGAGAGAGGCAGAGGGGCTGTGCCGTGCTAGAGTCCTCAGGGAGGGAGTGACCTCGACCCTGGCTGTGCTGCAAGCTGACTCCAGCCTTGGTACTTCTGGGTCTCAGTGGCCCAGGACAAGGGGCCAGCTCTGGGCTGATGGGGAGGTCTTCCTGATGTGCTTGGGAGGGAAGGGGGGGCGGTCCAAATGCACTGCTGGCCACGGCCAAAGCTCTGAGCTCTTTGTTAAGGCCACAGTGCAGAGGGAGGAGGGTGGCAAAGAGGAGAGGCAGGGGCGGGGGTGGCAGTGGTGCTAGTCCTTAGAAGCAGTGAGTTACTGCAGACAGGGGTCGGGGGAAAAGGTCCTTGGTGCTGGGGGTCTGGTGGGAGCAGAGGGGCACCCCACGGCCTGGAGACCTGGAGTCCTGGGCAGCCACAAGAGAGCTGGGCTACCTTTCCAGGTGGTCTAGAAGGAAAAGGAAGGTGAGCAGGTTGGCCTCCGGCAGGGACGACAGCAGGTTGAGCATGCAGCTCTTCTTTGCAACTGGGTCTGAAAGAGCTGCAGGAGGCAGTGGGTCACTCCCCTGGGTTACGACAAGCCGGAGACCTCTCCCGAGGTGGTCACATGGAGCGCCAGGGACACGAGTCCTTGCGCAGTTTAGGCTTGTCATCATCGTCACACCCACAGCGCTGGCCGCCAGTGAGGACCCTGTGAGGGGCACCTGTGTGGGGTGTGAACCACCTGAACGCCTTTTCTCTACCTCGCAGGGGTCAGCAGCACCCGGCGAACAGCAGCAGGAGGAGCCGCTAGAGCAGCTGCTCATGGGCAGAGCTGCCCTCGGGCAACTCCTGCCACCACCCCCTCCCCAGGGAGCCCAAGGCAGGGGAGGCTCAGCATGGAATGAAACAGGGGAGTGAGGGACACAAGGAGGTGGGAAGTGGGAGGGTCCCAGCCCCACCAAGTACGCAGAGACCCCCTCGACATCCTGGACACCACAGGGGCACCTGCAGGCTGGGAGACCAGGTCCTCTGTGCATGGGCCCGGGAGGCAGACCTGCCCTAAGGGTGATGCACAGGCTACAGGTGCTGCACGCTCCAGCGCCCACTCTAGACATCAGCCTCCAGGTTGACTAAGGGTCAGGTCATGTTTGAAACCATGCTTGGCTGGACCAGGACCCATGGCAAGAGCACCTGGGCACCAGTGTTTAGCCCTGGTCTGCAGGAAGGAGGACAGCAGACTTTAGGACCCCACAGCACGGCAGTGCTGACCATTTCACCCACTTGGCCTCCTTGAGAAATATGGATGGGGAGCCCTCTGGGGATGGGCAAGGCCTTCCAGGATAGGCTCAGTTTTGGTCCCCTGCTTTTTGAGGTTGGGTTAAAATTCCGACCATGGCAGAGGAAGCACAGCTCGGGTTCCCACACCTCACTTTTCACAGCCTCTGAGGGCAGCAGTGCACGTGGAGGAGACGTCTCCCATGAGGCCAAGGCCTCCAGTGCTCACCGATGCCCTCTGCGAAGTTGGGGTAGAACTCGTCAGTGAAGAGGGGCTCGGGCAGCTCACGGAAGTACAGCTTCAGCATGCCTGCGATGGCGTTCACGTCCATCTCGCTCATCATCACTGACACGTCCTTGTTATCTGGAAAGAGCACGGAAATGCAGCGGCCTCCTTGAAGATCCTGAGTGAGTCACCCACCATCCCTGCCTTGGCTAAAGCACCGTCCCTGCCATGCTGACCACTGTGTGGGTCCCTCCTGGGCTTTGAGCAGCTCATCTGACTCCTCCCAAGAGCTGTGCATGGTTCTGTGTCTGCAGAGTTGATAGGGGTGCGTGGGCATTCCCATTCCTCTCCCCTGCTTGGCCTGATGTGATGGCCAGGAGGAGGCCAGCATGGCAGGACACAGCGCCTGCGTGGGGATTGGGTGGCTCTGCCCTGTACATAGCAACCACCCCTGCACCAGTGTCTTCTGATAGCAGGAAGGCCGTGGGAGAATCTGATTGGTTTCAGTGTTTGAACCGGTGTCTTCCTTTGGACCCAATTGGCCATTGGTGCTTACATCCTCACCACAGGCCAGGTTCATTCTGGGCCCTCAGAGGGAGCTGAAACTACCACAGGGCCCTCCCAGGGATGCTGGGCATTCTAAGGGTCCTGGTCAGGGTGGGTGGTGTGTGCTGCAAAGAAGGGTCTGCAGGCACAAAATCCTGTTGCTTTGAAGATGCTGGGAAGGACCCTCTGGGGTCTCAGTGCCCTCCCCTGGCATTTGAGGCAGGTCCGGGTCCTTCAAAGCCTGTGAGGGTTGGTGAGATGGAGGCGGAGAGGCTGCAGCCCCGGCCTGCGCTGAATTTCATCAGTGCCCTCTGCCCACCACATCCTCATACAGGGCAGTGGACAGACCGCACTGAGTCCTGGGCTTCCACCTCCTGTCCAACCCCAAGGCAGGAAGGCCAAGGCCCCGCAGAAGCCCCTGGTCCACTGCACCAAGTGGCACGAGTGGGTACGATGGTGTAAAAACTGGCTTCTATAGAAGCTGTTTGTACAACTCTTGTTTTCTCTTTTTTAAAAATAATAAAACAGTAAATGAAGAAAAGACACAGAGAAGGATGTGACATGCCTGGGCCATGGAGCACTCTGAGATCTCATCGGGGACACCACTGCCCACACCTCCATCCCGTCCTGCGCAGGCCGACACTCACTGACGTTGAAGCCTGCCTTCAGTGCCTGGATGTCTGCGGCCACCCCAGACATGCGGTAGATGCCCACCTCCTCCATGCCTCGGCGCTCGATCTCCTCCATGCACTGGCGCACGATGTAGGGCACCTTGGACCTCTCTCTCCTGCGGGAGGAGGGAATGTTCTCAGTGTCCTAACAGCCCTGCTTGGGCCATAACACAGGAGACCTGCTCCCTATCTGCGCACCCGGAGGTGGGGTGAGGACGGTGACGAAGGTACCCAGGTCTGGGGCTGCACACAGAGCCTTCTGCATGCCTGTCCTCCCTCTGCAAGCTCTGTCCTCATTGCATGTACTTTCTCAGGAACCTTTCAAGCGGCCAGAACCCCTGCGAATCACACATGACCTTTGCGGGAAGGTCAGGAGGCCTGTCTAAGTCAAGTCAGCACGGGAAGGGCATCTGACAGATTCCAGGCCTGGGGTTAGCAGCCTGTGCCCCCGGCTGGGAGGTCAGACCCGGTGTTGGTCCTGCCACCCACGTGCTGTGTGAGAGGAGAAACCCTGACCCCTGCCCTGGGCCTTAACACACATCCGACGAATGAATGAAGGGTTGCCTCAGCACCGGTGCTCCAAGTCCTGCGATGCTAAGTGCTTTTCTCCTCTGAGTCTTAGCAATGGACAATTCCAATACCTCCACACAGGACACTAGAGTAAGAATCCTTCACAGTTAGAACGCAGTGCTGTGCGGAGGCCTTAACTTGAGTTCTGTTTTGCACCTGGATTTACCAGCACATCAAAGCTGCTTCGCAAGCCCCCTCATCAGCAGGGCTTATGTGGGGGAGCTGCTGATGGAGTCCTCGCTGCTCATGCCCACAGCCCTCCCAGAGTGCTATGCGAGTGGCTGCCGTGCAGTTGGGGGTGGGGCGTGTGTTTAGACACAGATAGGAGTCCAGGGTATGACTGATGGAGGCCCCGGCCCACGTGACCAGCAAGGTCAGAGGCCCAGCCAGATTCCATCCTGGGGAAGCAAATGAATTCTCAGAGGAAGTGGTCTGTGTCTGCATGAACTGCTCTCAAACCAACAAATAGGCTTCTCTTGGCAACTGACTCGTGACAAAGGGTTCAAGATTGTTTGAAAAAAAAAAAAGGGGGGGGGGAACAGGGAGGCAGTAGGTCCTGGAAAAGTAAATTCTTTATTTTACAATAAGAAAGTGATTACATATTTTATTTTTTTTACAATGGTGGAAAATTAGAAGTGATTGTGAAAATGATGTCTACCCGCCTTGCTGATGAGTAGGATGTGATTTGGCTCTTTAGGAAACTGAATTTGCAGAACTTAAGAATATTGATTTATAAAGGGCATGGCCATTGACCCAGTCCATCTTATGCAAATCTGGATGCCATAAATAATATTTAAAAATGAAAGTATTGGGGTGGAGGTTGCAGTGAGCGGAGATCGCCCCACTACACTCCAGCCTGGTCAACAGAGTGAGACTCTGTCTCAAAACAAAAAAAAAAAAAAAAAGAAGAAGAAGTCATTCCCAACATTGCTCATCAAATTATGACCATAAATTTCCAGGATCAGACTAACGGCTAAAGAGACTGATGCATCAACACCAGGCAGAGAATAAAGCAGATTTTTTTTGTTTTGTTTTGGAGAGCCTCTAGGAACTTGAAAAATACATATGGCACACTCTTAAGACCCGGTGGTTCTTAATCAGGGATGTTCATTAAAATGCTGGAAAACTGTAAAGACTTCCAGGTCCCATCCAAGGAGATTTTGCTTCTGATTGACTGGCTAGTGGCCTGGCCATTGGTATTTTGAAAAATCCCTCCAAGTGATTCTTTTACATCCCAGCTAGAAAACCCTAAATTAAAGGTGAAAAACCAGACACCAAGTGGCATTTAAATAAATGTCAACTTTAACTCCACAAAGCATCTGGTTGCACGTGGACAGAAAGAGAAGGAAAGAGGGCCCTATATCTGGATAACTTGGAAATGTGCTCCCCCTAGCAAGATATCTACCAAAATTAAAACCATATTTGAGGATGCTGGCACTGCGAGCAATATATAAATGATGCATGTAACATCATTTAATATGATCTTATTTTTAAAAATGAGTAGAGTGGTGTTTTCTAGCTGTTAGTGTTTCCAAATATCAATGTAGAAATTAGCCTTCTGCAGCTGCAGAGGCAATTCAGTTTGCAGCTTGCTTGCATGTGGCCTAGAGCCACCCAGCCTGATATGTACTAATTTTTTGTTTAACTTGCCAGAGTAGAAACTCAGTTTCTGGGCCAGGCATAGTGGCTCATGCCTGTAATCCCAGAACTTTGGGAGGCCAAGGCAAGCAGATCACAAGGTCGGGAGTTCAAGACCAGCCTGGCTGACATAGTGAAACCCTATCTTTGCTAAAAATACAAAAATTAGCCCGGCATGCTGGCAGGCACCTGTAGTCCCAGCTACTTGGGAGGCTGAGGCAGGAGAATCACTTGAACCTGGGAGGCAGAGGTTGTGGTGAACTGAGATCATGCCCCTGCACTCCAGCCTGGGCAACAGAGTGAGACTCCATCTCAAAAAAAAAAAAAAAAAGAAACTCAGTTTCTGGTTACATCTGATCTTTATTTTTTATATATCATCTAAGCTATAAAGTTATATTCCCTATTTGTGATCTTAAAAGAAGGACTCCAGGAAAGTGTTCAAATATTCATATATCTAAACTGGAACATATGTTTATATTTTTAAAAGTAGCCTGAGAGGTTGGCAACTAAAGTCATATGTTGAATGATCATTTCTCAAGAGTTTCATTTTATGGTCTTTCTCTTGTTCTGTAAAATGTGGGCATGGATAGATATAAAGTGCCTGGTGTCCATGCTTTTGTGAAATCCCTTCCTCTTCCATGTGAATGGGACCTGTGACTTTCTTCTAACCCAGAGAACACAGCAAAAATGATGTGATTTATCTGAGTCCATTGATGACATTGATTACGACTTCCCTTCACCACATTATTTAGGACTGCGTCGTAGGAGACTGGGACACATATCCACTTTGCTGGCTTGATGAAGTAAACTGCTAAGTTGAGGAAGCCCACATGGCAAGGAACTGTGGGCAGCCTTCAGCCAACAGGCAGCAAAAAGCTGAGCTCCTCGGAGCTACAGCCTCAAGGAAGTTACTTCTGCTAACAACCTGAAAAAGCTTGGAAGCTAGTTTCTCTCTAGTGGAATTTTTAGGGAAGAGCATGGCCCAGGCAAGATAAATAATGTAAGTGGAAAAACCTGTCAACAATAAAGGTTTTAAAGGAAAAAACAAAAAACATGTAATTTAGAAAGTAACTGCCAGGAAAAAAAAAAAAGAGACTGGGCCAGTGGCTTACTACACCTGTAATCCCAGCACTTGGGGAGGCTGAGGCGGGTGAATCACAAGGTCAGGAGATCGAGACCATCCTGGCTAACACGGTGAAACCCCGTCTCTACTAAAAATACAAAAAAAAAAAAAAATTAGCCGGGCGTGGTGGTGGGCGCCTGTGGTCCCAGCTACTGGGGAGGTTGAGACAGGAGAATGGCGTGAACCCCGGGACGTGGAGCTTGCAGTGAGCCGAGATCATGCCACTGCACTCCAGCCTGGGCAACAGAGCGAGACTCCATCTCAAAATAAATAAATAAATAAAATATAAGGTCTCAGGAACGTAAAGATTGACATTTACTCCCAAACTATTAATATATGTCCACCCACCTTTCTTGTAGCAAAATCTTAACTTGACGTTTGTTTCAATAGTTATTAAATTTAATTATAATGTCCTAGCCCAAAATACAGTAGAGGTAAACATCCAAGGTACTGGCTTGAGGCCACTGGCCCTGTATCTATAAAGGAGAGGGAGACCATCAGGGGAGGGAGGGTAAGAAAGGGAGGAAGAGGGCAAACAAGTTATCAAAAAACAACAGTAGGCAGGGCACTATGGCTCATGCTTGTAATCCTAGCATTTTGGGAAGCCAAGGTGGGCAAATTGCTTGCACTCAGGAGTTCAAGACCAGCCTGGACAACATGGCAAAACCCCATCTCTACAAAAAATCGGCCAGGCCTGGTGGTGTACGCTTGTAATTCCAGCTACTTGGGAGGCTGAGGTAGGAGGATCACTTGAGCCTGGAAGGCAGAGGTTGCAGTGAGCCGACATCATGCCACTGCACTTCAGCCTGAGTGACAGAGTAAGACCCTGTCTCAAAAACAAACACATCAGTTATTCATATTTCAGAGTAAGGACAAAACATTTTTAAGTAGCTGGCAAAGGACATCACTATATTTCAGAGTAAAACAAATAGGAAATGCTTATCATTTGACATATTTTTAAACATTGTATCTGAAAAGTGAACAAAGAAGTGAATGTGCTTATGATTAAATTGACTTTGTTACTTTGTAAACTTGTAGCTTTAGACCTGTCTCTTAGCATCACCAAGCCTTGATCTTTTCATCTATAAAATGGGCATGGTAATGCCAGCCTTGCTATGTTTATAGGTCACTTAGGAATGAGGTATGTATGGTGTTGACCATGGTTTCTGGCAAGTGGCATATATTCATTATACCATAGCTCTTTTCAGAAAGCTAAGTCACCACGTACATGTTAATGCAACCTGCTGAAAATAGGCATGGAAAAACTAGAAAATCTAGAAAAATTAGAAAATCACTGAAGAGGATTTTCTTTAAAAAAATACATACTTTAAACTCGGGAGGCTGAGGAGGGAGAATCGTTTGAACCTGGGAGGCGGAGGTTGCAGTGAGCCAAGATTGTGCCACTGCACTCTAGCCTGGGCTACAGGGCAAGACTCCATTAAAAAAAAAAAAAAAACCAGCAAAAACCAAACAAAACATAATGCATGTTCTCTCTTATAAATGGGAGCTAAACATGGGGACTCATTGACTTAAAGATGGCAACAACTGGGAACTGCTGGATGGGGAGGGAGGGGAGGGGTGAAAGGCCAACTGTTGGGGAGTATGCTCATATCCACGTGACAAACCTGCACATGTGCCCACTGAATCTAAAATAAAAGTTGAAAGTAGATTTAAAAAACCCCAAGAGGGCTGGGTTTGGCTTGTGTGTCCATAGCTTGTTAACCTCCGCTTTAGATATTAACTAATAGAAACATAGTGCTTATCTTCCCAGGCCACCTATTTTGTTCCTCTCCAAGGTGATGGATAGATGAAGGCCTAATCCAGCCGCCTGGAAGTTTGCTGACGCTTGTCCTGTCACGGATTAATGAAGCATTGTTTTCTGATGAAGGTTTCATGCCGCTGTGCTGATGTGTCTTCTCTTCTCTCTAGGCAGGAAACTGCATATCTTCTGGTTTACATGAAGATGGAGTGCTAATGGAAATGCCCAAAACCTTCAGAGATTGACACGCTGTCATTTTCCATTTCCGTTCCTGGATCTACGGAGTCTTCTAAGAGATTTTGCAATGAGGAGAAGCACTGTTTTCAAACTATATAACTGAGCCTTATTTATAATTAGGGATATTATCAAAATATGTAACCATGAGGCCCCTCAGGTCCTGATCAGTCAGAATGGATGCTTTCACCAGCAGACCCGGCCATGTGGCTGCTCGGTCCTGGGTGCTCGCTGCTGTGCGAGACATTAGCCCTTTAGTTATGAGCCTGTGGGAACTTCAGGGGTTCCCAGTGGGGAGAGCAGTGGCAGTGGGAGGCATCTGGGGGCCAAAGGTCAGTGGCAGGGGGTATTTCAGTATTATACAACTGCTGTGACCAGACTTGTATACTGGCTGAATATCAGTGCTTTTTGTAATTTTTCACTTTGAGAACCAACATTAATTCCATATGAATCAAGTGTTTTGTAACTGCTATTCATTTATTCAGCAAATATTTATTGATCATCTCTTCTCCATAAGATAGTGTGATAAACACAGTCATGAATAAAGTTATTTTCCACAAAAGGACTTTGCAGTTTTAACGGGGGGCAGTAGGGCTTGTGCTATAGAAATTCAAAGGCAAGGGAAGTCACTTCTGTTGTGGGGCCCTGGGAGGAGCCTCCAGGCTGGAAAGGCTTAAGGTGGAGGTCTCCGATAGGGGCAGCGTACACAGTGGACTGGCTGCAAAAGGCCATGCTCAGCATTCAGACAGCATCACACACTCCGCTTTTCTCTACCAGGGAGGCAGGTGGGGAAGGATAGCGATGGGAAGGCAGGCGGAGCTCAGAATGTGGAAGGGGATCCAGTAAGGCTTGGAAGTTTGCACCTGATCTGGTGGGTGGTGAGGAGCCCTTGAAGGGGCAAGGAGGCGAGGAGCACTCAGCTGTGTTCTTACACTGATCTGCCACTGGGGTTAGAGACAAACGTGGTGGGAATGGAAAGCCACGCACAGTCACTAGCGCCTCTGGGGGGAGAATGGATGTGGCTGGTGAGAGAACAGGGGGGCCCAGGGAGAGTCCGGCACCAACCTGGGCGGGGGAGCCCAGTGGGTGTGAGCACCCCCACTTTAGAGATGAAGTGATGGAGACATTCAGATGTTTAACCCCTTGTTCAAGATTCCATACTTGATAAATGGCAGATCAAACTCCCAACATAAAATGTGGGTCATTTCTTTATTATTTTATTTGTATTGGTTAACAATGATCAGCCATGCAAGAATAAATGATTATTGTAAAATCTGCAAACAATGTAGATATGTAGAGAGTCCCTTCCTTGGAGCTTGACCTTGTCAGACAGGTATAGATGAGTGTTCCGGGGCAGCCGTAAAAACTGCCAGAGACTGGGCTGCTTATAACAGAAACGCATGGTCTCCCAGAAGCCCACATTCAAGGTGGCCAAAGGCCTGGCTCCTGGAGGCTCTGGAGGAGAGCCTGTTCCCTGTCTCTCAGCTTCTGCCGGTTGCCAGCAAGTGTTGCCGTTCATTCACTCCAGCCACTGCCTCCATCTGCACACAGCAAAACAGCGTATCCTGAAGTGCTCAACCTTATAGCCATTATTTTAAAATATCCGGAACACACAGGACCGTGGGAGTGGCTGTTGGAGAAATTTTCATGAAGGAAGAAAGATTACAACTAAGTTTTAAAATGCTAGTTTTGTTTGTTTTGTCTGGGAGAGGAGGTAAAAGTGGGAGTAAAAATAGGGAGTTTGGTGTAAGGTGGGAAAAGCAAAGGAACCCCGCATGGATGGGCTGAAGGGTGTGATGGGAGAACAGTGAGAAGTACGTTTGGGGAAGCAATTGGAAATAGTAGCTAAGCTTAATCACAATCTATCAAAAGGGACTTGTTGAAGAATTAATGTGTGACTAGGAACAGGGAGGTTATGGGCTTGTCAGCTCGACAGCGGGCACTCAGTTCCACTAACGAATGATGCCCGTGTGGACAGACAGAATGATGGACAGGCAGATGAATGCGTGGGCTTTATGTGAAACAGGTCCTCTTGGTTGTTGACAAGATACTGTTTTAAAGTTCCATTTTGCCATACTGCGAACAGCTTGTCATTAGCTCAATTTAGCCACATGTAAAATCACTAAGGCGGACTTCCAGAGTTCCCACATGAAAATCAAATGTAAACCAGCAGTGACCTGCTTCAACACCATCATCGGAAGTCAGAAGTTGAACTCTTTTTTGATGTTTAAAGCCTGCATAATATTCGCTGTATTATTATTCAGCATATTACTATTTCCTTCGTGATGGAAATTTGGTTTATCCCAATTTTCTATTCCATCAAAACACCGCTACATAGAAAATCCCCATGCACATATTTCTCCTAATTGTGGAAATATTTTACATAAAAGACTCTAGACATGGGATGAAATTCCCAGGTTATTGGAATTTTAAAATAGATAGGTACTCCCAAATTGACCTCTTACAAATTATATGAATTCGTAAGCTTCCAACTGTTATGGAGTTACCCATTTTGAGAAATCTGTGCTAAAAGGACCCAAACAATGCTGATGACAATGATCAGGATAATAAGTACGCTGGGAAGACAACAAAATGATTTAGATCTTAGACAAGTCATTCTAGGTGTCTCCACTGTTTCAGTTCTTGCGTTCGTTCATTCTTGTGCTTTTTCGTTTTACCAAATAAAATAGCTCCTTGATGTCATAGGAATCCACGCTATGCTTAATGAGTATTGGTTAGTAAAATGCCTATAACTAGTAATCTTCATCTATGCAATTAAATATTAATTCATAAAACACTTCAAATGTAAACAATAATTAGTAAATGAAAAGTACATAATACCTCAATTAGAAAAAAATCACTCCATTAAAAAGACATTATTTGTGTGATAAAAGAGATTGCCATTTTTGTATTTTTCTACAAGGTTAAAGAAAACTAAGTCAACTTATACAAGTGAATTTTAAAAGACTTTAGGGCAGGCGTGGTGGCTCACGCCTGTAATCCCAGCACTTTAAGAGGCCGAGGAGGGCAGATCACCTGAGGTCAGGAGTTCGAAACCAGCCTGACCAACATGGTGAAATCTCATTTCTACTAAAAATACAAAAAAATTAGCCCAGTGTGGTGGCATGTGCCTATAATCTCAGCTACTTGGGAGGCTGAGACAGGAGAATAGTTTGAACCTGGGAGGCGGAGGTTGCAATGAACCAGGATCGCACCATTGCACTCCAGCTTGGGCAACAAGAGTGAAACTCCATCTCAAAAATAAATAAATAAATAAATAAATAAAATAAGTAAAAGCCTTTAACCCAGAATGCTGAGTAAATTGGCCAAAAATGCTAACCTATGCATTTCAATACTATAGGAGTCGCATGGGTAGAAATAACCAGATGAAATACTTCTGGTATTTCACCTTCCCAACCCACACGAGCCAGTGTTTTTCTGTGAATAACAAAAACAGCAGAATTTACTTGCCTCTCCATAAGAGGTTACCACTTCTGTGTGTTCCCCCGAAACAGGTGGTGGCTGGGTGAGAAGGTGGACAGCACTAGGGCAGGAGATGGGGGCTCCAGTATCGTGGGTGAGCTTCCTAAACCTCTGCAACTTTCAGCCCCTAAATGGGATGAGCCATCAGAATTTTTAGCACAATGCCCAGAACAAAGTAAGGATTTGACAAATGACGCCTCTCTCCACATTGTTCTGTCATCAGCCACCGCATCCTGTACCTCCAAGCCCACTGGGCTCCGGCTGTTTCCATCACATGGAGAATGACTCAGAGCCTGGCCTCCAGCCACCCTCCTGGCCTTTCTGCTTCTCACTCTGCCACTGGCTCCTCATGGACCACCAGCCTGGGTGTCCTCAGACATACCACACACTTCACTGTGGGAGTCACGCAGCCCTCAATGCTCCTTCTCCAGGGAGCCACGGGGCTTTCCTCCTCAGGAGGACTCTGCAAGCAGCTGGATGAAGGGCCCTCCCGTCTCTCATCCTTCCTTAATTTTTGTCACAGTTCTCCTTCCTTCCACTCAGTGCAGTGCACACTGATTGATCCTCCATCTTCCCCAAAAGACAGGAACAGCATGAGCAGTGGAGAGTAGATTCCAATGATAGAAAAAATAGTCAGTGATTTCTCATTTCCATTGATCATCAATGAAGAAAATGTATCCTGAAGGTCATGTACCTCCTATGGGACTGCTGCATCCTCAGCCTCCTGAATTTCAGCCCAGCACCTTCCTCCCCAGCACAGCAACAGGTCAGCCCTTACCAGCATCCCTCTCTTATTGCCTTTGTGCAGAGCCAGCACCAGGGCCAGGGGAGGCCTTGGGATTGTCCCTCCCCAACAATCTGTGAAACAATCCTTTATGTCACCAACAAAGCACAGCCTTATGCACTGGTGGTCAGTCCCTCTCAACACCTCTGTCACTGTAAAGCTGGCAGGCAACCCTCCAAGGTTGGCCTTCCCAAGCACTGCACCTCTAGGTGACAGAGCACGTCCTTACCTTGAAGCCTGGGCGCCCAGTCTATCCTGTCCAATGAGCGAGCTGTGGAGAAGGGGGGATTCCGGGTTAAGGGGAGACTAGCAGGGCTCCTGCTTTTATGTTGCCCTGTTGGGAAGGCTATTAAAGAAACACAAAGTGCTAAGCAGTGAGGATAGAACATGTTTTCATTATTTCAACCAATACATTCCACAGATGGAATAATAAGAAATGCTACAACCAAGCTAACTGAATCCAACAGCATATCAAAAAGATAATCCACCATGATTCAAGTGGGTTTCATACTAGGGATGCAGGGATGGTTTAACATACGCAAGTCAATAAATGTGATACATCACATCAATAAAACTAAAAACAAAAATCACATGATAATCTGAATAGATGCAGAAAAAGCCTTTGACAAAATCCAGCATTTCTTTATGATTAAAACCGTTCATCAAAATCAGCGTAGAACGGACATACCTTAAGGTAATAAAAGCTATCTATGACAAACCCACAGCCAACATTTTCCTGAATGGGGGAGAGTTGAAAGCATTCCCCCTGAGGAAGGGAACAAGACAAAGATGCCCACGTTCACCGCTTCTCAACACAGTGCTGTTCACTACAGCATTGGTTATAAGAGCAAGACTGGAAACAGAACAAATGGATACCCATAGCGGGGTGCTTAAGTAATTTTGGGAATAGTCATGGGGTGCAGTACTTTATAGCTCTGAAACAATACAATGGATTTACATTTGAAATGTGGAATGATAACTAAGGTGCATTGCCCAGTGATATATGCAGAGGTGCAGAGGACTTTGTGTAAACACGATCACACATCAGCCTGCATTCCAGGTGCATGCTTCTATTTGCACATAGATTGCAGGGATGATATGCAAACAAAAATGTTGACTTGGTGTTTGGAAGTTCAGAGTGGAAGGGAAACTTCCTTGCTAACCTTTTATGATATTTAGAGTTTCTAAATGTGAATACGTAATACATTTAGAAATCTTAGTTAATAAGAAAAGCCTCTGTTCCTGGCCTCTTGCTGGCACATGTCAGGTGGAAATGGGGCTGTCATGCTAATGTGTGCAAACTGAGAAAAATCCAAGAATGGGAGTCTGCTTTTTTCATCATACAAATAATTGTTAATAGAAACAGTATGATAATTGCTCATTGATATACCATGCATATTCTATTAGATAATAATAAATTTCTGAAATTTGAACTATACTTACACATGGAAATTGAAATATATGGATGAAACATTGTGGCTTATATAGGCAATTGTTTTATTGGCATTTTACAAACTGATCATCATTCCTCATGGCACGGGTCCATGTGATATTAAGTAGCTTGTTATGCTTGGGAAAGGCAGTGATGACCACAAGAATGACTTCAACTACTAAAGTACAATGGAGATTTCAACAATGTTTTGTTTAATATTTAAATATTTCATTGTGCTCCCAGGCTTTTTCTCACCCTAATAGCTCTCATCCATATCATGTGGGTCCCATTAATACAGATACCTCCGAATGCACCACTCTTCCATTATATCCAGTCAATTGCTGGTTACCTTGGGCCTACCAACTGGGGGAGGGCAGGGGCTGCTGGCCACCTCCTCATCTACAGTAAGAGTCAATGAGCAGTTAAATGGATACTGAAAACCATTTATCCTGCTGGAGTGAGAAATAAATGGTTTCTTTCAATAGCGTAGTAAAATGCATCTTTTCCAAACTATTTATATGACTCAAGGCCCATCTCAATTTCAGATGTGGTTAGCCTCAATTCCTGATTCTCACCAAGGTGTGTAATGTCATCCACGGCCCAGTGCAGAGGAACACAGGTGCTGCCGTCAGACTGCCAGGGTCCGATCCCGCCTCCTCACTCACCCCGGGAGATCCCTTTAAGCCAGGAGTCAACAGTGAGGATGGAAACATGAGTGCTTTTTAAAGTCCTGAAAGTTCAGAGGCAGACTGTCAATTTCTCCTCCACCCCTGGGCACACACCAGGAGAACTCTGTCTCCAGGTTGGAGGAAGTGCCTGTGAGAGAGTTGTGTCCCTCAGATTCTGTTCACCACAGGTGACACTCGATGCAACCCCAAACCTCTTCTGCACAATCCCAAGGGGTGCTGACTAATCCAACCCAAAGGCTGTGATGTTTGGCAGAGGCAGAAAAGAAAAGGCCAGGTGTTCTGGGAAAGACCACCTTTAAATAACACAGCACCCTCATAGCCCAGAGAGACAGTTCCAACTATTATGCCAATAAACCCGGAAAAGACCAAATCCAATATGACACATATTTCCTGTTTCGTTTTGATTTCATGCCCCCTCCCTTAACCTCCCAAGCAGCATGGATACCCCGAAGGCCCCTGGGAACTCTCTCCAATTGGATCTTACGTGGAAAGCAGTTACCTACCTACAAATCCCCATCATCAGATATGCTCTCCACAATCAAATCTTTAGAAACACAAACACCAGGATAAGTCATTAGAGAGAGGCCCACCCACTCCTCCCACCCTAGCTGAAGCCATGGTGCTTCGCACAGGATCCCCTGGTGTTTCCTCTGGGCTCACAGATATCCCTACAGCCTCTCTGGACATGGTTTTATACTTGCAAAATCATTTGCTCTCACCAGACCCCAAATCCTCCTTCCCAAAAGGAGCCCAGAATCAGGTTTCTGTACCCTAGAGATGGCGCTTTTTCCTCAGGAAGTGAGTTATTTCAGGGTACGTATCATTCTCCAGTGTCAATGGCTCCTGCAATTATAGAAAAGAAAACATTAGGAGGGTGAAATGATGCCATACACGTCACACAGATCTGATAGTCTCTCGACAACTTGAGAGAGAAAATAGGAAGGGGTATAGTGATTGAGTCAAAGGTCGAAGTCCCCCAAAACTGGCACGGAAGACACCTGTGGAAAAGACAAGACCTTTTCCCACAGAATTTATCTTTAAAGTGTATCTAGATTGGCAGTTTCACAACTCTTAATCCATGGGGGAAAACTGCTGTGGAGGGAAACACCTCTGCATTGCAGTGGATCGTGGATGCTGCCATCTACCACACCCCAGTGTGCCTGGCATGGGTTGGTGAGAGGCTGCCAATCAATAGCACCACACCAAGGGAATTGCAGATGTCATAAATAGTCCACATTGGCAGATGTTCATGTCTACATTTGATTAAACTGCAGATGACATCGATAATGCACACTGGCAGATGTTCATGCCTACATCTGATTGGAAAGAAGCCAGGAAAGTAACATTTCTGTTCAAGACAAAGAAAAGTGTCTTACATTGGCAGCATCTTCTTTTTTACAGATGTCTTGTACAGTGTCCTCATTAGCAATGTCATATACAGCGTCCTTATTAGCGAATTCGTATACAGCATCCTCATTAGCGATGCCATATACAGCGTCCTCATTAGCGATGTTGTATACAGCGTCCTCATTAGTGATGTCGTATAGAGCGTCCTCATTAGCGATGTCATATACAATGTCCTCATTAGCGATGTCATATACAGCAACCTCATTCGCTATGTCTTGTAAAGCATCCTCATTAGCGATGTCATATACAACGTCCTCATTAGCGATGTCGTATACAGCGTCCTCGTTAGCGATGTCTTGTACGGTGTCCTTATAAGCAATGTCGTCTACAGCGTCCTCGTTAGCATGCCTTGTGGGTGCCATTAGCGATGTCATATACAGCATCCTCATTGGTGATGTCTTATATGGTGTCCTCATTAGCGATGTTGTGTACAGCGTCCTCGTTAGCAATGCCTTGTACAGTGTCCTCGTTAGCGATGCCATATACAGTGTCCTCATTAGTGATGGCTTGTACACTGTCCTCATTAGTGATGTCGTGTACAGCATCCTCGTTAGCGTGCCTTGTACGGTGTCATTAGCGATGTCGTATACAGCGTCATAATTAGCGATGTCTTATACGGTGTCATCATTAGTGATGTTGTGTACAGCGTCATCGTTAGCGATGCCTTGTATGGTGTCCTCATTAGCGATGTCGTATACAGCGTGCTCACTAGCGATGTCTTTTTTTATATATATATACTTTAAGTTTTAGGGTACATGTGCACATTGTGCAGGTTAGTTACATATGTATACATGTGCCGTGCTGGTGCGCTGCACCCACTAACTCATCATCTAGCATTAGGTATATCTCCCGATGCTATCCCTCCCCCCCCAACCCCACAACAGTCCCCAGAGTGTGATATTCCCCTTCCTGTGTCCATGTGATCTCATTGTTCAATTCCCATCTATGAGTGAGAATATGCGGTGTTTGGTTTTTTGTTCTTGCGATAGTTACTAGCGATGTCTTATACGCTGTCCTCATTAGCAATGTCGTGTACAGCGTCCACGTTAGCGTGCCTTGTCGGTGCCATTAGCAATGTCGTATAAAGCGCCCTCATTGGTGATGTCTTGTACAGTGCCCTCATTAGCGATGTTGTGTACAGTGTACTTGTTAGCGACGGCTTGTAGGGTGTCCTCGTTAGCGATGTCGTATACAGCTCGTTGGCGATGCCGTGGGCGGCGTCCTCTTTGGCGATGCCCTGGGCGGCGTCCTCGTTGGCGATGCCCTGGGCGGCGTCCTCGTTGGCGATGCCCTGGGCGGCATCCTCCTTGGCGATGCCCTGGACGGCGTCCTCGCTGGCGATGCCGTGGGCGGCGTCCTCGCTGGCGATTCCGTGGGCGGCGTCCTCGTTGGCGATGCCCTGGGCGGCGTCCTCGTTGGCGATGCCATGGGCGGCGTCCTCTTTGGCGATGCCCTGGGCGGCGCCCTCGTTGGCGATGCCCTGGGCGGCGTCCTCCTTGGCGATGCCCTGGGCGGCGTCCTCTTTGGCGATGCCCTGGGCGGCGTCCTCGTTGGCGATGCCCTGGGCGGCGTCCTCCTTGGCGATGCCCTGGGCGGCGTCCTCGTTGGCGATGCCCTGGGCGGCGTCCTCGTTGGCGATGCCGTGGACGGCGTCCTCCTTGGCGATGCCCTGGGCGGCGTCCTCGTTGGCGATGCCCTGGGCGGCGTCCTCGCTGGCGATGCCGTGGGCGGCGTCCTCGCTGGCGATTCCGTGGGCGGCGTCCTCGCTGGCGATGCCGTGGGCGGCGTCCTCGTTGGCGATGCCGTGGGCGGCGTCCTCGTTGGCGATGCCCTTGTCGGCGGCCTCGTTAGCGATGTCGTGTACAGTATCCTCGTTAGCGATGTCGTGTGTGGCGTCCTCGTTAGTGATGTCGTGTACGGTGTCCTCATGGGGAGCTAGAAAAACACAGAGTTAAGGTCAGTGCCCTGGTGGTGGAGACTGTGAATCACCCAGGGGCTTGCTTGGTGTGATGTATGGAGGTGGCTGATCACAGCATGGGTCAAGCTGATGCTGGGACATCCTCCCAGGTGGACCTGCACTAGTGAAGCTAAGGGATGTGGCTCAGAACACTTTCTGCAGTGGGAATCAGTTTCCAGGTTCAGGTATGCATTATCTGGTGAAGTGGGGAAATATAAAAAATAAAAATTGACAAATTCATGAAAAGCCTTCCATGAGTGCAAGTGTGAGTTTTTTATCCACTTTACATTCAGTATGCATTCACACATACAAAATATTTTTACAAGAAATCAGAAATTTTAATTTTTGTCAGTTATGTGAAATCTAACTTAGCTGCCAGCATAAAGATTCTATCTCATTTACTTGGTCTCGAGAAAATCTAGCACATAGTAAGTAGACCAAAATGTTTATTAAATGAAAACACAGAGCAGAGATAGGGGGGCTGCTAGGCAGACTGGGTTGCACCTGATTACCCGGATGATAATAAACTGCACAAAACCTCGGTCAAATTAATATTGAAACTGCCTTTTGCTTGGGCTCGTTTCCCTTGCGGAAGAAGGATGACCAAGAAGATGAACAGGAAAGAAATGAGAAACAGAGGCCTTTGCTTAGTAGCTAAAGGCCACCTTCTGTAACATGAAATAGTCTACAAGTGGCCTTGAACTCTGCCGTGATTTAGTGACAGAGTTCCCTCATGTCTTCTACCCAGGTTGAAGTCCAGCAAAATTGCGACTGTCCTCTTTACAACTTGCGAGACCACACTGCTTCTGCATTTGCCTGTTGTATGTATGAGATTTACACGTGTTTTAAAGCAACATTTTGTTTCAGTTGGGCTGGTGGCCATACCCGGCACTAGCCGGTCAATAGTGAGATGGCTCCTCATGGAGGAGGCTTGGCTTGAGGCTGAGGGTCTTTAACCCACATATACAAGAGAGTTGCCACTAAGGGATGGAAGCCAGGCTAATAACCAAGTGCCACACAGAGTTCCTATCTGTCCCTCCTCACCATTTTTGGCTGGCAGGATTTGAGCATTTTAGGGCTTGGGAAGATAGTATTACTAAATCTACTAAAATACATCACCCATCCTTATAGACTTTGGCCAGTTGCTGAGCAAATTAACTTCACAACTGAAGTGGGCCACACTGGCCTTTGTGGTCCCCCACTCCTCTTAGAATTTGTGAGCGTGGGGCCTACTGGAGGGTGGGAGGTGGGAGGAGGGGGTGGATCAGGAAAAATAACTGATATTAGGCTCAATATATGGGTGATGCAATAATCTGTACAACAAACTCTCATAACACACATTTATATATGTAGCAAACCTGCACATCCTGCACATGTACCCCTGAACTGAAAAGTTAAATAAAAAAAGGGATCTGTGAGCTGAGCCAAACACCTGGGGATCTTTGTGCTTTTGACACACTGATGACTATGCCGGTCCGTGGGGAGATGAGCCTATAACTGCCCTGGGTTGTGTGACCACGGAGGCCACTTTATGATGATGGGCAGTGTCTGGGGCCTCTTGGGCTCGTTGCTTTAGGGCTTATACATGAATGCTGGACTCCGTGTGTGGTGGTGAACACCCCATGACTAAGTGCATGTCAGCGTCAGCACTGGTCCACACTCCTGGGTTCGTGTTTTCACTGTTTCATTCAGGAACTCGGGAGCTGGGGCCACTCCCTTGGCCCTTCACGTTCTCCACCTGAGCAGTGGGGATAATAAGGCAGACCCGGGGATGGCTCTGGTGAGGGTGGAGGAGTCACTGTACAGAGAGAGTAGAGCGGGGGTGGATTTTATTGTTAGAAGTGGACACTGGTGATTGGGTTGTATAAGTGGGAAATCTCTCCTGAGAAAACACACAGCCTCACCTGTACAGAAACACACACATTCACACCACACGATGCAGCCTCACACAAGACACCACCAATCCTCAAGCACCCAACTCAGCACCACCCAAAAGGGAGCACAGCTGCTTCCTCAAAATTTGGCCATAATTTTTCCCTGGGGAATTCAGGTTTTAAAAAAACACTTCCCCTATACTTATTCCTATCACAATCCCAGGATCAGGGAGGCTCTTCACATTGAAACCAGGCAAGGATGCCACACCTTTCTTGGCATCCAGATTGTTTTCTTGGCAAGTGATTCCAGAATACTTACTAGATTCAAGCCTCAGAGGGGCCACCTGCACCACCTGCAATACAGAAACAAAGCTTTTTCAGGGGTATGTCATGTTGTGGATTGTTTGCACAAGGCTCTGTTTCTCTCAATGAATACTGAAAACTTGATCAGAAAGTGTAGTCAACTTCAAGGCCTCCAAAACAAGGGTAGGATACACACTGGAAAAGACATCAGCTTCTGGATGGTGGATCTCTCAGGTCCACGTAGGTTGGCAAGTGCAAAATCCTGAATCCAAGGAGAAGACATTGCTTCCAAGGACAAGGACCCCAAGGATACAGTCTACAACCTGAAGCCGTCATAGCTAAATGCCATTTTGGATTACATATCAGTTGCTAAGAGTCACTTCTTCCTCCCCCTCAGAAAACTGCATTTAATACCTGTCATGGACATTGTCATTTTTTCACATGTAAAGTCAGTTGAAAAAGAAAGACACCAAGAAAGGAACATTTCTATTTCAGAGAAAGCAAGGCAACCTTACCCTCGCGTTGACTGGCCTCTCTCCATCTCCTCTGTCCTTGTGAACTAGAGACTCCTCAGAGGCTAGGAGGACACAGAGCAACAGTTAGTCATAGATGCTTTTGTTCATGAGTTATTCAGGGAGCTCTGCTTAATGTGGACAACAGGACAGTGTGTGTGGATGTGTTTCATTAAAAGCACAGCTTGAGCTCCTGCTAGAAAATCTTCCCTCGTGGAAAGACAGGCAAGAACGAGGAGCTAAGGAGCAAGAAATAGAGTCCCTGGCATTTTGCTGATGGCAACTTAAGAAAATGGGAATGAGTCAGTCTACAAATGGTACTGAAGCACATGCTATAGTTTGATGAGAGTCCCACTGCTCACACTGTGAGGTTTGAAACCCAGCTAAATGGTTTTCTAAACCTGTAAAAACAATATTAGCTTGCAGGATTTATGTCCCAAGACTACTTTTACCTCTGAGGATCCACAGTGGCTGTCACTGCAGTTATGTGTTTTAGCATTTTGCACTTGAATAAAAGCAAAGTTTAATAGATAGATTGGATTCAATTCTAGGCAAAACAGTCTATGGTATTTATTCACTAATCCTTTGTTATAACTGCTGATGGGAGAATTAGAAGTACTGAAATTATATCCTTTAAAATTAATTAAAGCATAATTATTAATCACACAATATTTTTTCATCCAGGCCTCCTTTTCTTTGTCATGCATGCATATTAATTGAGGATGGAGAATATCTACGCTTGTTCAGGCCAGCCAACATACGACAGTTTACTTCAAGAGAGGAGACACGGGTTGAATGCTGGTGTGTTTTAACTCTGCAGCGCAAACAGTTGCAACAAGTGTGGTGAACTAATCACCAGATGGCCCTTTGCTGCCTTATTTGTCATTGTGCCTTACATGTAGCTTGCAGGATTTGATTACGCTTATGTTTTGTGGTGATCATACTTTCAACTATTCCTAAAATACTGCTTCAGTCTTATCTGTTTGGGGTCAACTGCTGAGGATTTCATACAAATTAACGAAGTTTGTGAATCTAAAGTTCTACACAAAGGTGGAAATATTTGCAAATCATTTCTCTTGTAAGAGACTAAAATTTAGAATATATTTTAAATATATTTAAGATATATTCAAAAATCTACAACAACAAACTAACTAAATAAAAATCAGACAACTCTTTAAAAATGGGCAAAAGACTTCAACATATATTTCCCTAAAGAAGATACAGCCACAGATAGTAGCACAGGAAAAGCTGCTCAGGATCATTAGTCATTAGGGAAATGCAAATGAAAAACACAAGCAGCCACCAATATACACCTACTAGGATGATTTAAAGGAAAATAAGTGTGAAGAAGGACGTAAAGAAATTGTAACCCTGATACATTGATGGTAGAAATGGATAAAGTTGCAGCCACTGTGAAAAACAGTCTGCAGTGGCTCAGAAGGTTAAATATAGAACCCCTGTTGGACCCAGGAACTCTACTCTTAGGCACCCCAAAGAATAGAGAACAGAAATCAAACAGATGTTTGTATACTAATGTTTGTAGCATCACTTTTCACAGGAGCCAAAAGGTGGAAATAATCCAACCATCAGTGAACAAATGAATGTAATAAAAGCAAGGTGGTCTGCATGCAATGCTACATCATCCATCTGTAAAAAACGAACATCATTTTGATAGATGATACAACATGGGTGGACATTGAGAACATTATGCTTAGTGAAATAAGCCAGACACAAAAGGAATATATTGTATAATTGTAATTACATGAAGTGCCTAGAATAGTCAAATTCATACAAGAGAAAGTGGGATAGGAATCACCATGGGCTGGAAATAGGGGGAAGGTGCTATACTGCTTATTGTGGACAAGGTTTCGTAAGAAATCATCAAAATTGTGGGTGTAGATAGTGGTGTTGGTTATGCAACCCTGTGAATATATTGAATGCCATGGAGTGCACACTTTGGTTAAAAGGTTCAAATGATAAATATTGTGTTATATATATTTCCCCACGATAGAAAACACGCACAGCCAAGCCCACATGCCAGTCTTGTTAGCTGCCTTCCTTTACCTTCAAGAGTGGGCTGAAGCTTGTCCAATCTTTCAAGGTTGCTGAAGACTGTATGATGGAAGTCATCTGCATTGGGAAAGAAATTAATGGAGAGAGGAGAAAACTTGAGAATCCACACTACTCACCCTGCAGGGCCAAGAACTCTGTCTCCCATGCTTTGCTGTCCTGTCTCAGTATTTCCTGTGACCACCTCCTTTTTCAACTGAAGACTTTGTACCTGAAGGGGTTCCCAGGTTTTTCACCTCGGCCCTTGTCAGGACTGATCCTCTCAACTACTGACCATTTCACCTCCATTCATGTCCATGCCACATCAGGCTGTGTTGTCTAGATGGAATGAATCCATCCCAAATGTCCCTTTCTGGAGGAAGCCACCATTATGCTGTACCTCCAAGCATAATGGTACGTCCACACACACCAGGGCACCTCGCTCATGCAAGGTGCGTGTCCTCTAACAAAGTTTCACGCTCTAAACCCAGATAACTTTTCAAACCCAAGTTCTGTTGATTCCCCTACTTTGAGTGCTCCATAGATGCTCATTTGTCTACTAAACACTGCCCCAGGCAATTAAATATTCCAAAGTGACCAGCAGAATTTTTATGTTAATTCTGACATTGCGTTGTTAGTACAAGTGTTGTTCCCCCTTCAAATTTATGTCTTTGTTACTGATAAATGTAACTGATAATGCGTTTTTCAGCTATGTTGCCAAGCATATTTATATAAAAATATACTCAGATTGTTTTCAGAATTTGACAAAGATGATAGCAACAATGATAATCTTATTTGTTTTATACCAATCTTTATGTGTTATTTTCATCATTTCTTACATATTGGGGCCTACCATACATTGTACGGTGAAATTAGTGCTATGCATCATGGTAGAAATATAAATTGGCAAAAGTAATTTAGAAAATAGTTCCCTTGTTTCTTAAAAAAATTAGGCTGGGTGTGGTGGCTCATGCCTATAATCCCAGCACTTTGGGAGGCAGAGATGGGTGGATCACCTGAGGCTGGGAGTTTGAGACTAGCCTGACCAACACAGCAAAATCCTGTCTCTACTGAAAATACAAAAATTATCCAGGCATGGTGGCGTGTGCCAGTTGTCCCAGCTACTCGGGAGGTTGAGGCACGAGAATTGCTTAAACCTGGGAGGTGGAGGTTCCAGTGAGCCGAGTTTGTGCCACTGCACTCCAGCCTGGGTCTCAGAAAAAAAAAATTTTTTTTGACCGAAATGTCATTATGCATTACATGACTGTATATGAATGCTCAAAGCTACATTACTCATCAAAGAAAATAACAAAACAATTAAATGTCCATTAACTGATAAATGAATAAACACTATCTGTATGAGTAAACACAGCAGACTATGAAGGAAAACACATGACCAGCACGTGCTAACACGTCAATTAACTTCAAACATAGTATGCTAAATGAAGGAAGTCAGATTCCAAATATATATATATGTCCATTTCTATTAAGCAAATGGGAAATTTATGGAGATGGAATGTCACAGCAGTATTGCTTAGGGCTGGAGATGGGAGTGGGGATTAACTGCCAGTGCGCAAGAGAGAACTTGGGTGAGGGAAACATATTTAAATTAGATCGTGGTGATGGGTGCACACAGTATCAATTTAATAAAGCATCAAATTGTAGACCTTTTCAGTGGGCAAACTTTATGGTGGGTTCACACCCAATATAGGTGTTAAAAATAAATTAATGTTACGGAAATTCTTGTCGGGTTTTTAACAAGCCAAGAGATATGCTGTGAAAGCAGCATTAATTCAAATGGTTGTCACAGGTCACTTAAAGTTAGATAGTTGTCCTACAAATATAGGGTGAATGTTATTCATGAATTTCCTGAATCTATTGCAATAATCACATTTTTTTCCATTAAACTCTTGAGGTAGCTAATTTTATTTATTGCATTTTCAATGTTAATCTACTATTTCATATATTGAGATTAACTCACATTAGTCAGAATTTACAGTATTTTAAAATATCACAGAATTTAATTTACCTTATCTGGTTTTGGTTTCAAGACTATACTAGCCATTTCATTTAATTGTACATGTAGGGTATTCTAATTTATGGAAAACTATTACATCTTCCTTGATTTTTTTTTTTTTTTAGAAATTACTTCTAGGGATCTATATGGTAGAGTCCATGGAGAATTGTTTTAATTCTTCATTCATGTCTTCAGTGGGTATAGGATTGGTCATATTGGTCATAGTTTTCTGCTCGGATTTCAATAAGAAACTTGTGGAAGAACCTGAAGGGTGGGATCTTTGAGGGAGCCTAAGACAGAGCAAGACAAGCTAAGAAGGAGGGCAGTGCCACAGCAGAACTGCCGTTGATGCCCCCTCGCCTAGATTGCGGAAGAGACATCCAGCTGTAGACACTGAGGTGCAGGAAAACAATGGAGCACCATCAGAGAAAGCAGTGCCCAGGAACAAGGAGGCACTGATGGTGGCAAGGGGCAAAGACAGCTGCCACGAGGCTGTTCACATGAGGGTCTCAGGCTGCATAGACACCCACACCAGCTGAGGGGTCCTGGTTTTCATAAAGTGTGTGGCTCAGCCAGGCCACCAACAAGCAGTTCACAAACAGTAGTAATACGACACTTTCCAAAGACCTTACTTGAGTAACACGGTGATCCTCACAAATTTCCAATCAGGATGGTCGCACAGTTCCTCCTGCTTTAGGACTCAGAGCCTGCCCGTGGTCACAGTGGGTAGGTGCAGACTCTGAAGATGCACTTTGGTCAGAGACCCTGCTGAACTCTGTCTGATGAGGACCTCTGTCCTGTCTGCTGACCACCAGTCAGAGGTGCAGGCTGCAGTGGGGAGTAAGAATGCCACCTTCTCAATGTTGGGAAAACTCCCTGCCAGAACTGAGAATGGCCCTTTCTAAGCAGAAGGCAAGCTCAGACTAAAGAAGGAGGCCGAACACATCAGGTTGGCAGATTGCCAAAGATTCACTCAGGGAGAGCCCACATCCTGGGCCATCTTGGGTGGTGGCAAGATGAGGTAGACGACTGCTTTTGCAACACATACCTGACAACAAAAAATCAACAACTGTAAAAGAGCCACAAAATCCCCAAATATTTGCAAATTAGCAATGCACTTTTAAATAACTCATGGGTTAAAGAAGAAGTCTCAATAGAAAATTAAAAGTACTTTTAACTACATTAAAAGAAAATGTGACTTGGCAAGATTTCTGGATGTAGCAAAAGCAGTCCTTAGAGGGAAATCTATAGCATTGGATGCAATATACTAAAAATCACAAGACCTAAAATCAGTAATATCATGTTTCAATTAGGGAACTATAGAAAATAGAGGAATGCAATGGAAAGCAAGTAAAAGTAATAAACAACATCACAGAAATCAATAAAATTAAAACACTGAAATCATCAGAAAATCAATAAAACCAAAAGCTGGTTCTTTGATATGCTCATTACAATGAATGAATTGATATGCAGGCTAACCAAGAAAAAGAAGATAACACAAATGACCAATTTCAGAAATAAAAGAGGAGCCATCTCTACTGAACTGTTAGGCATTAAAAGGAATATCATGAACAGTTCTATGACCGCAGTTTGATAACCTCAGTGAAATGTATCAATTCCTTGAAAGGCAATCTTCCCAAGGTCATGCTAGGATCCTAATTTGAATAAACTTATGTCTATTAAATAAGTTGAATTCACATTAAGAGCATTCCGAAAAAGAAAGCACCAGGCCCAGATGGTTTCTCTCATGAAATCTACCGAATTCTTCAACAGGTGAATAAAAAGACAAAAATTCATTGAATGCAATATTATTTGGTGATTTAATGTGCCATTTTTTGCCATTAAGGCATAAAAAAGACATGAAAGCAGCTAAAGCGTACATCAATTTAGTGCAATAAATTCATCTGAAAAAACTACATAATATATGATTCCAACTATATGACATTCTGGAAAAGGCAAAGCTGAAGCGATAGTAAAAATATTAATAGTTGCCAAGGTTTCTGGAGAAAGAGGACAGAGATTAATGAGAAGAGAGGATTTTTAGGGAAGTGAACATTTTCTTTATGAGACCATAAGGGTGAACATAATGTTTTAAATATTTCAAAATTCATATATATGTATAACAGAAAGAATGAACATTATGCAAATGTAGACTTCAGATAATAATGTGTCAATATTTTCTCATTATTCTAGCAAATGTACCACAGTAATGTAAGATGTTACTAATAGGTGAAATTAGGAAGTGAGGGTGAGGAGACAGAATAATATGGGAACTTCGTGTATTATATACTCAATTTTTATTTATGTATTTATTTATTTATTTATTTATTTTGAGATGAAGTTTCACTCTTGTCACCCAGGCTGGAGTGCAATGGCATGATCTTGGCTCACTGCAACCTCTGCCTCCTGGGTTCAAGCGATTCTCCTGCCTCAGCCTCCTGAGTAGCTGGGATTACAGGCGCCTGCCACCACACCCGGCTAATTTTTTTGGATTTTTAGTAGAGATGGGGTTTCACCATGTTGGCCAGGCTGGTCTCCAACTCCTGACCTCAGATGATCCGCCTGCCTTGGCCTCCTAAAGTGCTGGGATTATAAGTGTGAGCCACCACGCCCGGCCATATGCTCAGTTTTTATGTCAATTTAAAACTCTCTAAAGAAATATATTAATTGAAAAATAATAATATAGCACCACTCTTTCAGGGAGATCTATGCTTATGTTTAACAACCAGGTAAGTTCTAGACATTAGCTTGAAACATTGTCTATCATTAAACATGAACCAAAATTGACTTTTAAGTAGATATTTACTTTTGTGGTGGTAGCAATATTTACTGACCAGGCAAATTAGAATCCTGACACATTAAAAAATATGGCTTAGTCTCTTCATAGTTTCCTCTTACATATGGGACACTGAATACTCCCCGCAACTGCAATTCTTGAATCAACTTAATTAATGAACTTCCACAGTACCTTCTTGTGGGTACCTCTTCTTCTTTACCCGGGAGCCATGAGGTCTCCTACACTGGTTGGTGTGCACAGCATATCTTCTTGTATTCTCTATCAGAGAAGATGCTGGTTAATGCATTGACAATAGATAGGGCTGTTGACATCTTGCTGACAGAAGACCAGAGGGAAAATAGTGATAATCTGTTCTAAGTTTAAACTTATGATCCTTTTCTTTACAGGCTTCCAAGCAGAGCCCACTGAATCAAAGTTGGGTTTCAGGAAGATCACGGAGTTCAGTGAGCACTCAACACCTCTATCAGACAGACTGCGTGGGCAGTGCCTTCCTGGAGAGGAGAACACAGCAGGATGACTGTGAGTGCAGGGCTGGTGCAGAGTGGGGGCCCGGATTCAAATTCCACTAAGCCATGTGGACCTGGCAAGCTCATGTCCTCCCTCTGCCCTCAGTTCTCTGCACTGTCATAATGTAATTTTAGCAATACTTTTTAGGCCCTATTTAAGCCCTACTTCTTAGTATCACAGTACAGGGCTAAAAAATCACTAAATACAGGAAAACCTTAGAGAGGACTGGTACTTCAGTAATGTTCTCTAAGTGTTTACTACATGCCAGGAGGAATAAGCTGGACACTTAGCAGTGGCGGAATATGGAGGGGGAACTTGCATGACTCCGGGGCAGTGGAGCATGCTTTCCTGTTCGGCTTTTCCGTGGGCATGACGCCTTATGGTTTATGGAGAACATCAGCCCTGCAGGGGGTGCAGAGGAGGGGCTGTGGCTGAGATTTTACACTTGAGGGTGCTGACATTCAGAGATGATAAGTGACGAGCAGAACCTCAACCCCGCTGAGTGAAGGACCTGAGATGGGAAATGTATTTGGTTCCCTAGAGAGAGAGATTCCTGAAAAACTGCCACCTCTTCATCACGCCCTGTGCCAGAGACCCAAGAGACCCCTCACTGTCTTTCTCCAGTCCTCCTAGCCCAAGGTGTGTGGGTGGACAAAGGTGATGCTCTGGAGGAAATGCCTGAGATAAGGACAGGTCCTTAATGATAAAGAATTCTCCTTCCTCTTTCAGATCCTTGACCTCCCAGTATGACAGCTTAAAGGCTGTCATCTCTGTGGCCTGCCTCCCCTTTCCCTTCACCCTGCCAGCTGCCTCTCAGTGACTGTCTCCTCCAGTGACTACACTGAGGGACCAGGGACTGCTTGCCTCCCGAGGCTGCTCAGACCTTCCGACACCACAAAATGATTGTCAAAAGATGGGTCTGCAAAGAGTAACTTCCCTTCCACTGATCAAACCTGAATATGCAAGCTACTGTCAATTAACTGGAAAAGTGGCCGTGTGGGCTGGTGCTTTGGTGATTTAATGAATTAAGTCTGCAAGCCCCACTGCCTCCTTGACTATTGATCAGAGCTGCCTGCAATAAGGTCTGGCTAAGAATGGGCAGTGGCTGCACCAGCTCTGGGTAAAATTTGACCTAAAATGACCAATCTCATTCACTAACCACACCATAGTCTTATGGGTTCAATGGACCTGTCCAATCCTTTGCTCTGTTCTCTCCATCACCTTCCTGTGTAATTTTCCTCCACCACGCACATAATAGAAACATGGCACAGGGGAGCTAATCGCCTCTTTTATCCCCCACTTCAGGCTCACACGTAAGTTTATAGTAAAAGCCTTTTCAAATGACTGCTTTAACTGCTGCTACAGCATGTGCCATCAGTTGAATGGAATCTGTCACGTGACTTTAAGCAACCCTTTGCTGAGAGACAAGATTCAATACTAGGGACAGTATTCTAGTGTACTACATCATTGATTTTATGTTATGAAGATCATCATTTATTGAAAATGTATAAATAACGAAGCCCAGCCTTACTCTTCAACGCTGTGTGTGTAAATCCACTGAGTGTGCTGACCCCCACGCTTGTACCCACCTGCTAACACAGAAAGGGTCCACTCAGAAGGCAGGCACAGCTCCAGCACTGAGGCTGTCCACACCAGCTTCACAAGAGGGTTGCCACAAGGACGACGGATACCCGGATAACAACCAAATGGTAATTTGAGTACTTAATGGTCATGATCCCTAAAGTGTGTAGCTCAGAGGGCTTGTGGTGATAACTCCATCAAGACTCTAAAGCATCTCCCCAATTCTTACTGGACTTGATCCATGTCTTGAGGAGACCCAGCTATGACACGCAGGCACCACATTGTCCTACTTAGTGCCTCCCTTAGTGTTTCAGAACCTGTGATTTGATCAGAAACATGGGCTTTCTATGTTGGTTTCACACTAAGGACTATGTGACACCTGCAGGAAGATGTCTACATAGCTACCTGGATTATGAGATCATGAGGCTGTCTTATGTGAGGGATGGCATTTGGGATCTCTGCAGGTGTGGGTAATTCCAGGCATAGAGGGTGCTGGAACTCCCTTGCATGGTGAATAGTGATCTCTTCACTGGCTGATAAATAGAGGTTGTAGTTCAGGCCTTCAACATTAGCACTGTATGAGGAAACATTTTGACTCTTCACTATGCAGCAAGTGAACCAGGGCACATTTATTTATGTGGCTTAGTTTCTCCATCTGGCATGTGGGCTCAATAAACAAGCTCACAACATATGGGCATGATGATGATGAGGTGTGAACTAATGTAAGTAAAGTATGTGGTCTGATTTGTTAAATTAAGAAAAATGGCACTGAGAGTTGTGCTGGGTAAACACAACATTTTTTTCCTAGGGGAAACACACATAGACACACATTCACAAGCAAATCATGCAGACTTGCACACAGACCACCTCACCCCACCCCCGCCCTAATACACACATACCCACACACAACCTAATGTGAACATGTTCCCAGAAACTATACATAGATAAAAAGAGTATGTCACCAGGAAAACCAGTTTCTTTTACTATACCCTACATCCTCATTCCCACCAGATGTCTTGGATCATGGAGGCTCTCCAGACAAAAGCCAGCAGTTAAGCTCCAGATTTCCTGTAGAATCCTTTTCTAACAACCAGTGAGTGATTCCAGAATACGTACCATTGAATGTGCTCCCTGAAGTCACCTGTAATTAGAGAAGGAAAACACTCTGAGAATCAGGCTATGCTATGGATGGCTCACACAGGTCTTTTGTTCACTTGGAAACTCTGGGTAACCAAGACTGGAAATAAGGTTCAAGTCAAAAGCCCCAACTGTAGAGTAGAGTTCCCTTAGGAAAGCACAGGAGCTTTTCTTGAAGAATGTTTCTGTCTAGGTAATTTTTGAGTAGCAATTGCAGAATTCTTATCTAAAGTGGAAAGCTTGTTCCTGAAGAAAACATCCCTTAACACCCAGTGTACTATCTGACACTGCCAATTTTGCACGTCCTCTGGAATCAGGTGTCAGTTGGTAAAATACACCTCCTCCATCCCCAAGGAAATATTATCTAACACCTATAATGTAGTGGAGAATTTTCCCATAGCTGATATCAACTGAAAAATAAAGGATCCAAGAAAACAACATTTACATCTTAGGCAAAGACAGGCTACTTTACCTTGGTAGTAGAGTAGGGCTTCCTTTTCACATGCTTTTTGGAAGGCTTCTTCGAGTCACCTAGGGGATGTGGAGGGACACAGCATGGCTGTCAGTTCATTGGCAGTGCTACTCATGAATGACTCAGGGACTGGAACTTAGGGGCGTGCCTGGTTAACAGGCATGGAATGAGCTTCTCCTGGACCATCTTCTTCACGGACCAAGGAAGGCAAAGAAAGAGCAGCAAGGAAATGAGAGTAGAGCCCTTGGCTTTCCAGGTAATGGCAAATGAAAGCAACGTGAAATAATCAACTCCAAATGAACAAATGCTAAAATACATGCTAGGATTCAACCACAGCATCCTGTCACTTCTTCAGACCCTTTAAAAGCCCAGCAGGACTGCCACTAGCTTCTTGACATCTACCAAGTCCCTTTCAACCTCCACAGACCCACATACACTGCTACTGCATTTATCATGGAGGGTATAGGGTTCTGCCTTGTTTATGTGTGAATTTTTTAAAAACTAGATTTAATACCATGCACCAGCATTAATTGTATTTATTTCTTTTCTTGGTTATGAAAATAATCAGTCAGGCATAGTGGCTCACACCTGTAATCCCAGCAGTTTGGAAGGTGGAGGTGGGTGGATCATTTGAGGTCAGGAGTTCGAGACCAGCCTGACCAACATGGTAAAACCCCATCATTGAAGATAAATGTTTTATATCCATGGTTAACAGATGAGATGACTATGAAATGAACACCAGTGTACTGGGTGGAGCAGCTTATCTATTCAGTCTTCGGCACTAAAACCTGTGAAACAATATCATCTTGCCTTATTTACTAACAAATACAAGTGCCTCTAAACTTAGACAGTTTCCAAGTCATGGAACTGATGAGCACTTAGCTCCTGCAGAGAGCTCTGGACGATGGGTCGGGAGAACAAAGACACAATACATCAAAACAGCATTCACAAGTAAACAGGTTTTCAAAGCCCTCTACATGCAAATTTACACAATTATCCTTTTAATTTTTATCTTCATATATATGTACATAATCTACTTGCTTCTGAGTATAAATAAAACTGTATGTTCTTAGTTAATAGTCTCTATAAATTCACTCTATTTATCTTTCTGAGTTGAAATACTGCATCTCATTGGATAACAAAAAAAAAATTTGACTAAGATTACACTGGAAAGGTGAGTAGGTTGGGTGATTGACTGTGATTGACAATTCCATGATTCTGGATAACTTCCAAAGCATAAAAATAAATGTGTGTTTTCTTTCACACGTAGACAATACACATACTTATTACTTTAAAAAATTAATATGTGCATGGAAGTGACTTACTACAAATATATTAAAGTAAATACACATTTCACAAAAAAAGAAGAGAGGAAGGGAAAAACATGTTAAAAACAAAGAGAGGTACATTTTATTGTGTGAAAAGCCTCCAACGGATCCATACTACTGTGGCTTTGTTCCAAAGTTTTGGAAAGTAATGATTTCATAGGTTCTTAATTGGGTTAAAAACTGCATTAAAATAGACTTTGCCATATTCTCCCCTGGGGAATAACTTAATCTGTGGGGTGGGGGATGGAACGTTGAAGGATGCAGGATGTAAAAGGAAATTATATATATATATATAATTTGGGAATTTGGGAATAAACTGAATAAACTGAATCCCAATTCACACTGGGACTACACCAGCTGCCACCATGCCTGGCTAAATTTTTGTATTTGTAGTAGAGACAGGGTTTCACTGTATTGGCCAGGATGGTCTTGATCTCCTCACCTTGTGATCCTCTTGCCTTGGCCTCCCAAAGTGCTGGGATTACAGGCCTGAGTCAAGATACATATTTTTTAAATGAAGAAAAATTTCAAAGATACTCTGCTTGGTACAATAATCAAATATATAAATTGAGGAATAAAACATAATCATGAAACATATTTATAACTGCATATGGAAAATACAGAGGCTAATTTTTTAAATAACATATTTTGAAAGCATTAACTAGTAATTTGAAAAGATCGCATTTGACAGGCCAGTATGAACATACCTTGAATGCAGCCACACAGGTTCCCCATAAGAAAAATCAAAATCAGGGAAAATGAAACCACAATGGTTCAATCTGCTCTGACCTTTGAAAAACTCAGCACAGATAGTGGCACTTAGGACCAAGGGCAGAAGATCCCTAATCCCATCACCATGGCGATAGGGCATAAACATTCCAGGGTGAAGGCACAATCCACACTGTGAGGTCCAACTGCTGCCATGCAGACAGGTGGGCTTTTACAAGTACAGGAAGGTCATCAAAGGCTCAGTGTTTTGTTTCAAAAACTGAATCCCAAGCCCACACATTATTATGCTGGCTTCTTAAAATAAGTTATGAGACAGGAAATAGGGCACCCACAAATATATATATATATAATTATATATAATATAATATATATTATATATATAATATATTTAATATATTATATATGTATTTTATATGTATATATATATAATTTGGGAATTTGGGAATAAACTGAATCCCAATTCACACTGGGACTACACCAGCTGCCACCATGCCTGGCTAATTTTTTGTATTTGTAGTAGAGACAGGGTTTCACTGTATTGGCCAGGATGGTCTTGATCTCCTCACCTTGTGATCCTCTTGCCTTGGCCTCCCAAAGTGCTGGGATTACAGGCCTGAGTCAAGATACATATTTTTTAAATGAAGAAAAATTTCAAAGATACTCTGCTTGGTACAATAATCAAATATATAAATTGAGGAATAAAACATAATCATGAAAAATATTTATAACTGCATATGGAAAATACAGAGGCTAATTTTTTAAATAACATATTTTGAAAGCATTAACTAGTAATTTGAAAAGATCGCATTTGACAGGCCAGTATGAACATACCTTGAATGCAGCCACACAGGTTCCCCATAAGAAAAATCAAAATCAGGGAAAATGAAACCACAATGGTTCAATCTGCTCTGACCTTTGAAAAACTCAGCACAGATAGTGGCACTTAGGACCAAGGGCAGGAGATCCCTAATCCCATCACCATGGTGATAGGGCATAAACATTCCAGGGTGAAGGCACAATCCACACTGTGAGGTCCAACTGCTGCCATGCAGACAGGTGGGCTTTTACAAGTACAGGAAGGTCATCAAAGGCTCAGTGTTTTGTTTCAAAAACTGAATCCCAAGCCTACACATTATTATGCTGGCTTCTTAAAATAAGTTATGAGATGGGAAATAGGGAACCCACAAATATATATATACATAAAATTATATATAATATAATATATATTATATATATAATATATTTAATATATTATATATATATTTTATATATATATAATTTGGGAATTTGGGAATAAACTGAATCCCAATTCACACTGGGACTACACCAGCTGCCACCATGCCTGGCTAATTTTTTGTATTTGTAGTAGAGACAGGGTTTCACTGTATTGGCCAGGATGGTCTTGATCTCCTCACCTTGTGATCCTCTTGCCTTGGCCTCCCAAAGTGCTGGGATTACAGGCCTGAGTCAAGATACATATTTTTTAAATGAAGAAAAATTTCAAAGATACTCTGCTTGGTACAATAATCAAATATATAAATTGAGGAATAAAACATAATCTTGAAACATATTTATAACTGCATATGGAAAATACAGAGGCTAATTTTTTAAATAACATATTTTGAAAGCATTAACTACTAATTTGAAAAGATCGCATTTGACAGGCCAGTATGAACATACCTTGAATGCAGCCACACAGGTTCCCCATAAGAAAAATCAAAATCAGGGAAAATGAAACCACAAAGGTTCAATCTGCTCTGACCTTTGAAAAACTCAGCACAGATAGTGGCACTTAGGACCAAGGGCAGCAGATCCCTAATCCCATCACCATGGCGATAGGGCATAAACATTCCAGGGTGAAGGCACAATCCACACTGTGAGGTCCAACTGCTGCCATGCAGACAGGTGTGCTTTCACAGGTACAGGAAGGTCATCGAAGGCTCAGTGTTTCGTTTCAAAAACTGAATCCCAAGTCCACAAATTATTATGCTGTGCTTCTTAAAATAAGTTATGAGATAGGAAATAGGGCACCCCCAAATATATATATATAATTACATATAATTATATATATATAATATATAACATATATATAATTTCCTTTTACATCCTGCATCCTTATATATAATATTATATTTAATATAATTATATAATATTATATTAAATATAATATATAATATTATATATAATATTATATATAATTATATAATTATATATGAAATGTAATAATGTATAATTATATATGTAATATAATAAAGTATAATATATAATATATATTATATATTATATAAAATATTGTATAATGTAATATGTAATATATAGTATATCATAGTATAATATATTTTATAATATAATATATTATATATTATATATGATTATATTATATTATATTATATATTATATAATACATGATATATTATGGTATATTATATATAATATATTTAATGTAATTATATATAATATACCATAATATATATGATATATGATATATAATATATAATATATATCATAAATTATATATAATACATAATATATATCATAAATTATATATAATATATAATATAATATAATTATATATAATATAATATATAATATATAATATATCAGATATAATATATAATATATATCAGATAAAATATATAATATACAATATATAATATATATCAGATATAATATATAATATATATCATATATTTTACATAATATATATCATTTATTATGTAATATATATCTTTTATTATATATAATATATATCATTTATTATATAATATATGATATATCATATATGATATATATCATCTATATCATATATGATATATATCATCTATACCATATATGATTTATCATCTATATCATATATGATTTATCATCTATATCAGCTATGATATATCATCTATATCATATATACGATATATCATCTATATCATATATACGATATACCGTATATGTCATATATACGATATACCGTATATATCATATATATGATATACCGTGTATATCATATATGATATATCGTGTATATCATATATACTATATAATCTATATCATTTATATTGTATATAATCTATATCATATATATTTTATATAATCTATATCATATATTGTATATAATCTATATCATATATATTGTATCTAATGTATCATATATATTGTATATAATCTGTATCATATATATTGTTTATAATCTGTATCATATGTATTGTATATAATCTGTATCATATATATTGTATATAATCTCTATCATATATATTTTATATAATCTCTATCATATATATTGTATAGAATCTATATCATATAGTATATAATATATATCATATATTGTATATAATATATATCATACATATTGTATATAATATACATCATACTTATTGTATATAATATATATCATACTTATTGTGTATAATATATATCATACATATTGTGTATAATATATATCATACATATTGTGTATAATATATATCATACATATTGTGTATAATATATATCATACATATTGTGTATAATATATATCATACATATTGTGTATAATATATATCATACATATTGTGTATAATATATATCATACATATTGTGTATAATATATATCGTATATATTATATACGATATATGTCTTAAGTAATATATACGAGATATATCATATATATTATATATGATATATATCATATATTAAGTTTGGGGATAGCCCAGAATTATATATGGATTTTCAACTGCACAGGAGCTGGTCCCCTAACCCTTGCACTGTTCAAGGATCAACAGTATGTATAATACTATAGATTTTTTTCATATTTTAGAGTGTAGTACTTCTACTCATTAAAAAAAATTAACTATAAAACAGCTTCAGGAAGGTCTTCCACGAGTTCTTCCAGAAGAAAGCCTTGTTATCATAGAGAATGACAGCTGCATGTATGTTATTGCCACTGAAGACCCTGAAGTCCTTTCACTTGGACAAGATTTCGAGATGGAAGACAGTGATATTGATTATCCTGACCCTTACAGGGCTAAGCTAGTGTGTGTGTTTGTATCTTAGTTTTTAACAAAAATGTTTAAAACATAAAAAATCAAAATAAATGAAGCTTATCAAATAAGGATATAAAGTATTTCTGTACAGCTGTTCAATGTGTTTTTGTTTTAAGATGTGTTATTATCAAAGAATCAAAAAATTAAAAAAATTAAAAGTTTATAAAGTTATGATAAGCTAAGATGAACTTGTTAAAGAAAAAATTTAAATACATTTAGTGTAGCCTAAGTGTACAGTGCATATAAAGTCTATAGTTATGTACAGTAATATCCTAGGCCTTCGCATTCACTCACCAAGTACTCACTGACTCATCAGAGCAACTGCCAGTCCTGCAACCTCTGTTCATGCTAAATGTCCTTTACTGGTGTACCACTCTCTTTAAATTTTGTAATATATATATATTTTTTTCTTTGTTTTTTTTGAGAAGGAGTTTTATTTTGTTGCCCAGGCTGGAGTTCGATGATACGATCTTGGCTCACTGCAACCTCTGCCTCCGGGGTTCAAGTGATTCTCCTGCCTCAGCCTCACGAGTAGCAGGGATTACAGCCCCACGCCAGCACGCCCAGCTAATTTTGTATTTTTAGTACAGACGGAGTTTCTCCATGTTGGTCAGGCTGGTCTCGAACTTCTGACCTCAGGTGATCCGCCCCCCTCGGTCTCCCAATGTACTGTGTTTTTACTGTATCTTTTCCATGTTTAGATATTACTACTGTGATATAACTGCCTACAGCAGTGGGCCCCAAAGTTTTGACACCAGGGACTGGTTTTGTGAAAGATAATTTTTCCACGGAGTGGGGATGGCTTTGGGCTGAAACTCTTCCACCTCAGATCATCAGGCATTAGTTAGATTCTTTTTTTTCTTTTTTTTTCTTTTTTAGACTGAGTCTCCCACTGTTGCCAGGCTGGAGTGCAGTGGCACAATCTCGGCTCACTGCAACCTCTGCCTCCCGGGTTCAAGTGATTCTCCTGTCTCAGTCCCCCGAGTAGCTGGGACTACAGGCATGCGCCACCACACCCAGCTAATTTTTGTATTTTTAGTAGAGACGGGGTTTCCATGTTGGCCAGGATTGTCTTGACCTTGTGATCCACCTGCCTCGACCTCCCAGAGTGTTGGGATTACAGGCATGAGCCACAGCACCCAGCCTAGTTAGATTCTCATAAGGAGAACATAACCTAGATCCCTTGTATGGGCAGTTCACAATAGGGTTTGTGCTCCTGTGAAGGTCTAATGCTGCTGCTGATCTGACAGGAGGCGGAGCTCAGGCAGTAATGCTCGGCTGGCCAGCCACTCATCTCCTGCTTTGTGCCCAGTTCCTAACAGGACACGAACCGGTGCTGGTCCATGGCTTGGGTGTTGGGGACCATTGGCCTACTGTATTCAGCACAGTGACATGCTGCACAGGTGTGTAGCCCAGGAGCAATAGGCTGTACGATATAGCCTAGGTATGTAGTAGGCTACGCTGTCTAGGTTTGTATAAAGTACACTCTTTGGTGTCTGCACAGCCACAAAATCACCTAATGATGCATTTCTTGGAATATATTACCATTAAATGAGATTTACCTGTATTAGTGTCATCTCAGGTTTATTGTCTAGTAATTTTAAAAGTATTTGTATATTCTTTCCCAGACACATCATCATACTCTGGTGCATATCTCTATTTTATTCCCTAGACCCACTCTTAATTTTTCTGCATTCTGCTTTGTTCCTTAGGAGGCTCACCTGAATTGGATACTTCAGAGATCTCCCTTACCCTCATGCTTTTATTGGGGTTCAGCTAATGGAGGGGGTGGCAGAAGATAGGTGAGAGAAGAGTGTGTTTATCCCCCACCTCTGCCCCTGCAGGGTCAGCACAGGCAGACTGTGTCCCTTTGCTGAAGATCACAGCTTCTGTCTGGTGCCTTCTTTGGCAAGCTGGCACTGTCTCTAGTCAGATGACTGCTTGGCCCCTTACTACTTACACTCTTCTGTCTGGTTTCTTTGTGACTTTCCTGCTGTGCTGTAAGTAGTCCCTTTATTAGAATCCATCCACATTACCCAGTTATATAAAGACAAATAGTTGGTCACTGATGTAGTTCACTCCCTGAGAATCAGCCTTCATCAAAGATTCCTAACAGTCAGATATTCTGTTGGCCGCTCCATTCCTGCTCCCCATTATTCTAGTTGTGTCTTCCTTGTCTCTAGTGCAGTCACAAAGCATAAGCGCCTCCACTGTCACTTGTTCTTTGCAACTCTAGGATCACATCATTCCCCTTGAAATCAGAGAATCTGCAATCTCCCCAAGCCCACAAAATTCAGCCGTCACAGTACTTTTCAAGCATGCCAGCAGCCCTCCCCAACAAACGAATCCTTAATTTCTTACAGAAACATCTTCTGGGCTTCCTGTGGGACACAGTGCGGGTCGGCTTGGCATGTGGATCACACCTGATATTTTTACCCCCACCTCCTACTATTCCTATTCCTTTGTATGCACCTCTCTTTATTATGCTAGGAAAGCTCTGGCAACACAACCTCAAAATAAGCAGGCCAGTGTGGATTCACAGTTTCTGTCAGACAAACAAACTTGAGCACCACTTCTAACTTCTTGGGCTAAGACTTTAACTTCAGAATCTCTATGTATCTATGTTGATAAACTCAGCCTATGTCAAGATTATATTCTGCATGCCTTAGTCAAACACCATGTAAATCTATGCCTCATATATTCTCTAGGCTTTAGCTGATAGGGATTAGCAAAGTAGTGTGGTTGTTTTGGTCTTTAAACAATGTCCATTTTCTACCAGCTTTCCATTGCACTCTTTTTTTTTTTTTTTTTTTTCTGAGATGGAGTCTTGCTCTGTCGCCCAGGCTGGAGTGCAGTGGCGCGATCTCGGCTCACTGCAAGCTCTGCCTCCCGGGTTCACGCCATTCTCCTGCCTCAGCCTCCCGAGTAGCTGGGACTACAGGCGTGTGCCGCCACACATGGCTAATTTTTTGTATTTTTAGTAGAGATGGGGTCTCACTGTGTTAGCCAAGATGGTCTCGATCTCCTGACCTCGTGATCGGCCCACCTTGGCCTCCCAAAGTATTGGGATTACAGGCGTGAGCCACCACACCGGGCCGAATCCATTGCACTCTTACAGACCATGTTGACAAAATTATAACTGCAACAGTCAACTACAATAGCAATTTTACCTCTCATGTACCACTTTAAAAAACACATCATTCCCAATAACCACATTTGATGATTTAAGTAATCATGATACCACCGTACACTACAGATGATCAGGTTTCTGTCTCCTCCCGACAAGAAGGTCAGGAATTCATTCAGACTGAAACAGGTCAGCAAACCACTTCCAGATTCTCATCTATAAAGATCTATTTCTAGAACCATTTCTAGTACCTATACAATATTAGAATCAAGTCAGGAAGCAGAAAACATTCTAGATATTTTAAACAGAAAACAATTCATGGAGAGATCAATTACAAGAGTATGTGTAGCAAAAGATGAAAGGGTCAGGTTGTTTAAGTAACTTGATAAATCTCTGCTTCTTTTGTGTTGGGTGATAAAAATGTTGACCAGAGATCAGTGGCAGATGATCCAAGGCGTCAGCTGTCCAAGCTCAGCATCTGGAGCCGGTGCTGAGGAAATGTGCATTTCTAGGTCTGGGCGCCATTGGACCATCACTACTGTCCTTGAAGCTGCCACCGTGAGAACTCACATCTCAGCTGCTATAGCCACAGCTGATATTGTCATTGCTTCCAGAATTATTTCCCTTGCTCCATCGTGGGGATCCCGCAATACTGCTGCTGCTGAAATCACTGTTGTTGCTCCTTCCAGAACTGTCGGCACCGCAGCATTATTATCACTGCAGCTACCACTGGAGATGGCTACAGACACCAGAAACGGAAGAGCACCTCTCCCCTCCTCCGGCAGTGTGACTTTCAGTCGGCTCCTCTCGTAGCCAGATGGTATAGAAATGACACACCAATGTCCTTCAGAACATACATGCAAAATATTTTAAATATATTAGAAATTCTATTCCCCTTAGAAAACTAAGTCCACCTACATATTTTTCAAAAATCCATCAGCAATACAGAATAAAGGCATTGGTTCTATACAGCGTTGCAAGAATATTTTAACAATAGAAGGTATTTTAATGTCATTCACCACATTAGGAGATTGAAAAAGGGAAAACACAGGATTACCTTAGCAGATGTAGGAAAAAAATAAGATGGTAAAATACAACATTCATTTATATTAAAATCTTTATACCAAACTAGGAAAAGCAGACAAATTTCTTAACCTGATAAGCTTATCTATAACAAAACCATCGACACCACCATATGTAATGTTGAAGCATAATCGTTATTTTTTATAAAAGCTAGGAAAGGGAATGAGATGTCTGTTGACACTGCTCGTATTTATCATTGTCCTGGGGTTTCTGGCCAGTTCAGTTAAGATAGGACAAAGAAATATTATAGAAAGAGGAAGAAAAAAAGAAAGCACATACGTTGTCATTGTGTGGAGTTTCTGTTTGTTTGTTTATGTGTTTTTGTGAGATGGTGTCTCACTCTGTCGCCCAGGCTGGAGTACAGTGGTGTGATCTTGGCTCACTGCAACCTCATTGTGTGGAGATTTGTAATTACCCATAGAAAATCCAAGAAAATTTGTGGATGCACTAATCAAATCAGCAAGGTTTTCAGATATGAAGGCAAAGTAAAGAGAAAATGAAATTCTTATAAACAGTAGCAACCAATTAAAAATATTATATTATAATATCACATTCATGGTAACATAAAACATTAATGTATCTAAGAATTAATTCAGAAAACAAATACATGATCTTTCATTTAATTTTATTAAAGTTATTTCAATAAATATACCACCAGTATTTTTTTAGAACTTGATTGGAAAAGTCATATTAAAATAATCAATGGAAAGGAAGAACCAAAGTTATTCTGAACAATAATAGCCTATCAATATTTAAATGTGTTTTAATTATAATAATTAAAATGGTTTGCTTTGGCTCAGTGATACACCGTTAAACAATGGGAAAAAATGGAAGCACCAAGAAATAGATCCATAGATATGCTGAATACATTGGACTTGTAATAAAAGATATGATACTAAAAGTCAGTAGAAAAATTATACTATTCAATAAATGATGTCAGAAAAAACATATAAATTTTTATCCATATAGAAATAAAAATCTGTATATTACAGCATATCACAAAATCCTGTATCTATTTAGGTTAAAGACTCAAATCTTAAACTACTTGTGAAATTACTTATGAATATTACATGTTTAAGATATTTAAAAGTATATACAGAGAACTAATGACGTTGGGCAACAAATGGCTTATTAATCAAATGCCAGAATGCATGAAGAAGAAAAGAAAAGAAAAATAAATTAGACTGTATTAAAATGAAAAATCCTAGGCATCCTAAATAAAGGTTAAATGCAAGCCAGAAAATTGGGTAAAATATTTACAAAATATATAATTGAAAAGTATAATATCCATTATATAAAGAGGATTTCTACAAATTAATGATATAAAATAAATAATATAGTAGAAAAAATGATTAAGAACTACTACACAATATTCACAACAGATGATAAATAGTGAATTATTGTGAAAAGACAACTGAAAAGAGCAAGGTACAATTCAACAGCAATAAGACTTTATGCCCTTTTCTATAAAAACACAAAACTATGCCAAGGGCTTTAGGAACCGTGAATTTATATACGGCGAAGGGGAGTTTAAATCTGCCACTTTGAAGAGTTTTTTGGAAATATATAGTAAAGTTGAAAATATATACATATGTGTATATATATATACCCACACACATACACATACACACTAGAAATTCCACAAGGTAAACCTTCTCCAGGAGAATACACACACATTTGCAGAAGAGATGTCCAAAGGTGTTTGTTGAAACATTATTGGTAATAGCTAAAAATTGGAAATAATCTTAAAGCTCATTACTAGGAAAATGGAAAAGTGAATCGTGGTATGTGCATATAATGTAAAACTATACATCAGTTAAAATTAATTGTCTGAATTTATATGGATCAATTTTTATATATTGAAACATCGTTGCATTCCAGGAATAAATCCCACTTGGTCATGGTGTATAATCCTTTTAATATGATGCTGAATTCAGTATGATAGTTTTTTTTTAGACAAAGTTTTGCTCTTGTTGCCTAGGCTGAAGTACAATGGCATGATCTCGGCTCACCACAACCTCCACCTCCCGGGTTCAAGCGATTCTCTTGTCTCAGCCTCCCGAGTAGCTGAGGTTACAGGCATGCACCACCACACATGGCTAATTTTGTATTTTTAGTAGAGACAGAGTTTCTCTATGTTGGTCAGGCTGGTCTTGAACTCCTGACCTCAGGTGATCCACCCACCTCAGCCTCCCAAAGTGCTGGGATTACAGGCATGAGCCACCGTGCCCCACCCAGTATACTAGCATTTTTAGAGTTTTTGCATCAATGATCAGAGGCATATTGATCTGTTGTTTTATTTTCTTACAGTGTTTTTGGCTTTGGTATCAGGGTAATGCTGGCCTCATAGAAAGAGTTAAGAGGTATTCACTCCTCTTCCACTCTTTGGAAATGCTTGAAAAGAATCAGTGTTAGTTCTTCTTTAAACGTTTGGCAGAACTCACCAGTAAAGCTATCAGGTCCAGGACTTTTCTTTGTCATGAGATTGTCTTATTACTGACTCAATTCCCTTACTAGATTAGGTCTATTCTGACTTTCTGTTTCTTTATAATTGAGTCTTGGTAGGTTTTGTGTGTCTAGGAATTCATCTATTTCATCTGGGTTATCCAATTTATGAGCACACAATTATTTATAGTAATCTTTTATAATCCTTTCTAGGCTGGGAATGGTGGGTCATGCCTGTAATCCAACAATTTGGGAGGCCGAGGTGGGAAAATTCCTTGAGGCCAGGAGTTCAAGATCAGCCTGGATAACATGGCAAGATCCTGTCTCTTAAAAAAAAAAAAAAAAAAAGAGCTGGCATAGTGGCGAGCCCAGGAATTCAAGGCTGCAGTGAGCCGATTGTGCCACTGATTGTGGTTGCATCTGATTGTTGCCAGGGCAATAGAGCTAGACCTTGTCTCTAAAACATAGACAGGCAGATAGACAGACAGACAGACAGAAATATATAAAGATATTCTCAAATACATTTCTGTTTTAAGTAATTTAGATTGTTTCCCTTTTCCTTAGTCTTGTCAGTTTTATTAATCTTTTTGAAGAACCAACTTTTGGTTTTGTTTTTTATTGTTTTTCTATTCTCTTTTCCATTTATCTCTGCCCTGATCTCTATTGTTTCCTTCCTTCTGCTAACTTTGGGTTTAGTTTTATTCTTCTTTTTCTAGTTTCTTAATGTGTAAACTTATGTTGTTGAATTGAGGTGTTTCTTTTTTTAATGTGTTTATAGCTATAAATTTCCTCCTTAGCACTCCTTTCACCACAACTCATAAGTTGTGTTTTTTTGTTGTTTCTTTGTTTTTTGAGACAGAGTCTCATTCTGTCACCCAGGCTGGAGTGCAGTGGTGTTAGCTCAGTGGTGCAACCTCTGCCTCCTAGGTTCAAGAAATTCTCATGCCTCAGCCTCCTGGGTAGCTGGGACTACAGGCACGTACCACCACTCCCAGCTAATTTTTGTGTTTTTAGTAGAGACAGGGTTTCACCATGTTGGCCTGGCTGATCTTGAACTCCTGACCTCTAGCTATCCACCTCCCTCAGTCTCCCAAAGTGCTGGGATTACAGGTGTGAGCCACCACAACTGGCCACAGCCCATAAGTTTGGATATAGTGTGCTTTCATTTTCATTTGTCTTTAAGAATTTTATAATTTCTTTGTGATTTCTTTGATCCATTGGTTGTTTGAGAGTGTGTTGTTTAAATTCTACTAATTTGTGAACTTTTTAAAATCTTCTGTTATTGATTTCTAACTTTATCCTGTTGTGGTCAGAGAAGACACTTTGTATGATGTCTATCGTTTTAAATCTACTGAGCTTTTTTCCTTTTTTGGGACAGGGTCTCGTTCTGTCAGTGGTACAATGGTACATTTTCTTTGTCATGAAGTACAGGCTGGAGTACAGTGGTACAATCTCTGCTCATTGCAGCTTCAACCTCCTGGGCTCCTAAGCAATTCTCACGCTTCAGCCTCCCAAGAAGCTGGGATCACAGGCACACACCACCACGCCCAGCTAATTTTTGTATTTTTAGTAGAGATGGGGTTTCACCATGTTGGCCAGGCTGATGTCAAGCTCCTGGCTTCAAGCAATCCACCCGCCTCAGCCTCCCAAATTACTCTGGGATTACAGATGTGAGCCACTGCACCCAGCCCCTATTGAGAATTAATTTGTGATGTGTTATATGGTCTATCCTGAAAATGTCCCATGTATACTTGAGAAGTATGTGTATTATGTTGTTGGGTAGAATATCCTGTGTATGTCTGTTAGGTCTAGTTGTTTTTTCAGGTGTTGTTCAAGTGCTGTATTTCCTTACTTATGTCTGGTCTGGTTGTTTTATTCATTTGTGAAATGAAGACAAGGGACAAAATCCTAAGACATCCCCCTTAAAACGGAAGGACCACCCACAGAAAAGGACTGAGAGACCCCCAGAATCTATAGCTTAGCTAATTGATGGTCTTTCTCTCCTGAAGTTAGTAAAGAGTGGAAAAGATGACTCCTTCTTCAAACATGAAGAAAGCAATCTAAGTCTTCAAAGAACAGGAAGCATGAGAAAATATGACACCACCAAAGAAACAAAATGAAACTCCAGTGGCTGACTCCAAAGACATGAAGATCTACAAATTGCCTGACAAAGAATTCAAATAATCATCTTAGGGTGACATCAGCAAGATGGCAGAACAGGAGGCCCTCCACTCACCTCTCCCCACACAAACAATGATCTGGCGGCCATTCATGGACAAAACTGCCTTTGCAAGAGTTTTAATATCCAGGCAGGAGGTGGCAAAACTCTAGCAAAGCCCAAAACCAAGGAGAGCTGCTTTGAGAAGGCAGGTCCACACACCAGTGACAGGTTCCCAGTTGCAGACTGAAAGCAGCTTTGTCCTCCTATGGACTTGGGTCCAGCTCCACTAGATCATGGTCTTGCAACTAGCCCCATCCACTAAGCACCTAGGAGGAACCATGACCATTTATGCCCCCAGTAACAGGCCTTCTAACCATGGTCCTGACTGCAGAAACTAAAGCAGCCCTGACCTGGCTTCAGCCCCACTCTACCACAGTCAGTCGTGCCTGCCCAGGAATTCAGTGATGCCTTTACATACCCTTGGTAACAGGCCTGCTGATCTCAGTCTCAGCTATGGACAGTAAAGTAGCCCTGTGACTCCATTCCAGTCTTGCTTTGCCACAGTCTGGGCACAGTCCAGCCCATCCTGGGACCTGGTGAAAGACATACCATCCATTCTCCTAATAAGAGGACCACCAATCTTGAACCCAAATGTGGTCACCAAAGCTGTCCTGTGACTTGGCTCTAGCCCTGCTCTACTGTGGTCTGGAGGCAGTCCTGTCTTCCCATGGACCTACCTAGTAAACCAGCAGGAGCTCAATCTGGGACCCACAGGGAGCTATACCAGTCCATGCCCTTGGTAATAGGCCTGATATCTGAAGACTTGACTGTAGAACTAGAAGTGGCCCCATGACCTGGCTCCAGTCCTGTTCAATCAGGGTATCAGAGGCAGTCCAGTTCTCCTGAGGATCCAGCAGAAACTGCATCACCAACCTATGCCTTGATAGCGGCCTGCCAATCAGAGATTCAGCTGCAGACCAGGCAGCAGCCATGTGATATGGCTCCAGGCCCACTTGACTGTGATCCAGTCAAGGGATCCAGCAGGAAAAGGTTTGTACCTGCTGAAACCAATCTATAAAGACAGAAAGAGATTGGGCATGGTGGCTCACACCTGTAATCCCAGCACTTTGGGAGGCCAAGGCGGGCAGACCACTTGAGGCCAGGAGTTTGAGACCAGCCTGGACAACACGGTGAAACTCTGTCTCTACAAAAAATACAAAAAAATTAGCCAGGCGTGGTGGCACATGCCTGTGATCCCAGCTGCTTGGGAGGCTGAGGCAGGAGAATCATTTGAACCTGGGAGGTGGAGGTTACAGTGAGCTGAGATCACGCCACTGCACTCCAGCTGGGTGACAGAGCAAGACTCTGTCTCAAAAAAAAAAAAAAAAAAAAGAAGAGGTATTTGCTTCTTCATAGACATTAATGAAAGTCTGTAGATCATGAAGAATCAGCAAATATGACACTACCAAAATAAACTCATAAATCTCCAGTAATCAACCCCCCAAAAATAGAGATCTACAAATTGCCTGACAATTCAAAATAATTAAGATAGCTCAGTGAAATTTACTAGAATGTATATATCAACTCAATAATATCAAGAAAATAGTAGATGAACAAAGCTAAAAGTTCAATAAAGATACAGAAATAATAAGAACCAAACAGAAATTCTAGAACTGAAGAATACAATGAATAAAATGAAAATGCAAGCTGGGTGCCATGGCGGACGCCTGTAATCCCAGCACTTTGGGAGGCCGAGGCAGGCGGATCACTTGAGGTCAAGAGTTCAAGACCAGCCTGGCCAACATGCCAAAACCCCATCTGTATTAAAAATACAAAAATTAGCCAGGCATGGTGGCATATGCCTGTAATCCTAGCTACTAGGGAGGCTGAGGCAGGAGAATCGCTTGAACCGGGAGGTGGAAGTTGGAGTGAGCCAAGATGGCACCACTGCATTCAAGCCTGGGTGACACAGACTCTGTCTCAAAAATATATAAAAATAAATAAATGAATGAAATGAAAATGCAATAGAGAATTTCAATTGCAGACTTGATCAAACAGAAGAAAGAATCTGTGAAATTAAAGACAGGACATTTGAAATATCCCGTCAGAAGACCAGAAAGAAAAAAAAGTTTATAAGTAAAAACCTTTGGGATTTATAGGACACCACCATGAAGTGGGTCAAACATATTATGGACTTCCTAGAAGTAAAAAAGATAGAAAAGGCCTGAAAGTATATTTGAAGACATAATGGGTAAAAACTTTCCAAATTCTTAGAGGCAAGTGGGCTTCCAGACACATGAAGTTCAGAGGCCCCAAAAAAGGCCAGCCCAAAGACCATAATACCAAGATGTATTATAATTAAAATATCAAAAGTCAAAGACAGAGACTTTCAAAAGCAGCAAGAAGAAAGGAATTCATCACATACAAGGAAACTTCAATAAGGCTATCAGTGGATTTCTCAGCAGAAACCTTATAAGCCAGGAGAGAATAGGATGCTATATTCAATGTATTGGAAGAAAAAAACTGCCAATCAGGAAGACCACAACTTGTAAAGCTGTCCTTCAGAAATGAAAAAGAGATGATAAGGTCTTTCCCAGACTCCCACCAAAAAAATTCTAAGGGAGTTCATCACCACTGCACCTGCCTTATAAGGCAGTTTTTCAAGTTGAAATAAAAGGATTCTGATTAGCAACATTAAAACATTAAGATATTAAGTTCACAGGTAGGCCGGGCGCAGTGGCTCACACCTGTAATCCCAGCACTTTGGGAGGCCAAGGCGGGTGGATCACAAGGTCAGAAGAGGGGGATCATGCTGGCTAACACGGTGAAACCCCGTCTCTACTAAAAATACAAAAAATTAGCCAGGCGTGGTGGCGGGTGCCTGTAGTCCCAGCTACTCGGGAGGCCGAGGCAGGAGAATGACTTGAACCCGGGAGGCAGAGCTTGCAGTGAGCCGAGATCATGGACACTGCCCTCCAGCCTGGGCGACAGAGCGAGACTCTGTCTCAAAAAAAAAAGTTCACAGGGAAAGGTAAGTATATAGTCACATTCATAACACTGTAATATTGCAGTGGTGGTGTGTAAATCACTTTTCACTGTAGTATAAAAGTTAAAATGTAAAAGTATTAGGCGGCCCGGGCGCGGGGCAGCTGCTGCGGGGAGGCGGGGAGGCGGGGGGCCTGGCCGGACACCCCTGCGCCCCCTCCCCGCACCCGGGCGGAGGGCGGCCTCTTCCCCCTCCCCCTCCCCCACCACCCCCGGCAGCCGCCTCCCCCAGGACGCAGGAGGCGGGCGGAGGCCGGGTCCGCGCAGCGGGCGACTTGCCGCATGGGCCGGGTCGAGGTGGGGGGGCGGTTTCGGGGGCTGGGAAGCTGGGGTGCCGGGGACAGGAGGGTGGGGGAGCTGGGGAAAGGAGGGCTGGGGGGCCGGGGACAGGAGGGCCATGCAGGCAGTGGCAAGCGGGCGGCGAGGGCTCCGTGGGGCAGGTGGACGGGGATCAGCGCCTGGGGCTGCTCCGTTCCCCAGGCGGGTGTCGTGGCTCTGGCCTCCATGCAACTCCAGGTCTGCGCGCCCCGCGCTGCTGGAGCCCCAGTCAAAAGTCTATTTAAAAAGCAGAGAGAGGATGCTTCCCTCTGAGTGGAGCGATGAAGACCTGATCCCTGGGCCATTTGGGAACACTAGCTGCCTTTCATCACAGTCAACCTGGACTCAGAGAATGTCAAGAGCTTGTTGGTTGGGTCAAGAATGAATCTAGGCATGACGTCATAGTTTATAGTCATCCTTTTAAACCTGCAAAGAAGCATTTGCAGGTTTAAAGTTATTTCACGGGTACTGCTTGCCAATCTTTGGAGGATGTGAAGCCTGCAGAGAAATAAAGTGTCGCCCCTCTGCGCGTCGCTCCCCATCTGCTAGAATGTTTCTCATGAATGCTCCTCCAGTGGTTGCTCTCCAGCCCAAATGGGAGGCCTCTGTCCCACCAGGGAGCTTTAGGTTCCCCGGGTGCTTCTCGGAGGCTGACAAGGGCGTGGAGAGCATGTCGGTGAGCACCCGGGTGCAGATGCTCATCAGCACGCTGCAGAGCGACAGGGCTGCTAGGGGCACCAGCGATGAGCGCACTGCGCAGAGGGGGCAGAGGGATGCCACGACGCCAGGCCTGCTGCCAAGCCCACCATGCACAAGGAGCTGCCTGCGTTGGCTGCCTGTGGTCTTGTTGCTGACTTTGACCCCGTGGGGGAGGAGGAAACTGCAGACTTTGGCCCATTGGTGCTAGATTCAGACAGTGACGATTCCGTGGACCGGGACATTGAGGAGGCCATCCAGGAGTACCTGAAGGTAAAGAGTGGAGCCGCACAGCCCGGGGCCAGCGGGGCCCAGCCATGCACAGCCTTCCAGGGCTGCAGGCGGAGGCAGTAGATGTAAGCGGGAACTGGCTCACAGCAGTGCCCAACTGCCCTGTGTTCCCCAAAACTTGTACCTGGCTCAGGTGGTGTGGCCCTGGCAGCCAGGTGGGATCCAGCAAGGACCAGGGCTCTGCCTCCCCAGTCAGCATGAGCAGAGCAGACTCCTTTGAGCAGAGCATCAGGGCAGAAATAGAACAGTTTCTGAATGAGAAAAGACAGCATGAGACCCAAAAATGTGATGGGTCAGTGGAGAAGAAACCAGACACACATGAAAATTCGGCGAAGTCACTCTCGAAATCCCACCAAGAGCCGGCTACAAAGGTGGTGCACCGGCAGGGCCTGATGGGCGTCCAGAAGGAGTTCGCCTTCTGCAGACCTCCCCCGGTTAGCAAAGACAAACGTGCAGCCCAGAAGCCTCAGGTCCAAGGTCACGACCACGACCACGCAGGAGAAGGAGGGCAGCACAAAGCCAGCAACCCCCACCGCCCTTCAGAAGCAGTACAGAATAAAAGTGGGATTAAAAGGAACGCCAGCACCGCAAGGAGGGGAAAGCGAGTCACGAGCGCCGTACAGGCGCCCGAGGCGTCCGACTCCAGCAGCGACGACGGCATTGAGGAGGCCATCCAGCTGTACCAGGTGCAGAAAACACACAAGGAGGCCGACGGGGACCCGCCCCAGAGGGTCCAGCTCCAAGAGGAAAGAGCACCTGCCCCTCCCGCACACAGCACAAGCAGCGCCACAAAAAGTGCCTTGCCAGAGACCCACAGGAAAACACCCAGCAAGAAGAAGCCAGTGCCCACCAAGACCACGGACCCTGGTCCAGGGGATCTGGACGCTGACCATTCCCCCAAGATCCCAAAGGAAACCAAAGCTCCACCTCCAACGAGCCCGGCTTCCAGGAGCAAGTTTGTGGAATGGTCCTCTTGCCAGGCAGACACCTCCGCTGAGCTGATGTGTGTAGAAGCAGTCCTGGACATTTTCAAGACGATCCTGCCGGCCCTATGGAGGGCAGCGATGGGTCCCTGTCCGCAAGCCCACTCTTCTACTCCCCCAACGTGCCTTCCCGCTCTGATGGTGACAGTAGCTCCGTGGACAGCGACGACAGCATTGAGCAGGAAATCTGGACGTTTTTGGCCCTCAAGGTGCAGTCTAGAAGTTTGCTGGCCAGAGGTGAGAGCTGCCCTCAGGCTGCCCAGGGCCCACTTTCACCACCTGGCCTCAGCAGCCAGACCGGCAGCCCCAAGGCCCCTCTCTCTAAAACACTGGACCCACTCCTGGCTGCAAAAGGAAGCATAGAGGCGGCTGCCAAGTGAGGCCATCCACTCCCAAGAACATGCGGGTGGTGGGGAAAGAGGGTTGGCCAGGATGCCGACCGCAGCCAGGGGAGAGCCGGGCCCGGCCATGAGGGGCGGGACCTTTCCATCCAGGGCACAGCCAGCGAGGCCCCGGGATGGGAGGGCGCCGCTAGGGTGGGACCTTTCCATCCAGGGCACAGCCAGCGAGGCCCCGGGAGGAGAGGGCGCCGCTAGGGTGCCCGGTGACACTCGCACGTCACAGGGCCAGGGTAAGACAGACGAGGCAAGGCACCTAGACAAGAAGAAGAGCTCCGAAGACAAAAGCAGTTCCCTGGACAGTGACAAGGACCTGGACACAGCCATCAAGGACTTGTTAAGGTCCAAGTGAAAGCTCAAGAAGAGGTCCAGGGAGCCCAGGGCTGTGTGCAGGAAGAAGGTCAGGTTCAGCACCTCCCAGACGCACTTCCAGGAGCAGCTGGGCAGGCTCCTGAGAGAGTGGAAAAACAGGCACCTGCAGGTGCTGAAGAGCTGCCTAAGTCCAAGAGAGACAGCTGCGAGGGCTCCAGGAAGAAACCCCCCAGTGTCTTTGGCAGCAGGGCCGAGAGGACGAAGCCCCGGCCTTCCTGGTGAGGAGACCCGCTTCTGCCTCCGCCTCCGAAGAGAATCTATTCCCCAGAGAGTCCCAGGGCCCAGCTCCCAGCCTTGGCTCCTTGTCTGACAACAGCAGTTCAGTGGACAGCGACGATAGCATCGAACTGGAGATTAGGAAGTTTTTGGTGGAAAAGGCCAAGGAGTCGGTGAGCAGTTCAGAAGTTCAGGCAGAGGGCCCCACCGCTCTCGGGACAGGGGGCCCAGCCAGGCCAGAGGTACCTTGCAGGAAGGAGCCGGCCCCACTGCCTGGCATGTGCACACGGAGCCAGAGGGCCGGGGGGTCCCACATTTGGCTAAAGGGCATCGAGGCGCAGGGAGCGCAGGAGCACAGGGCGCAGCGTGCCTGCTCAGCCAGGGTGGGAAGGGGCTCCCCACTGATCCGGCGGAGGGGATCATGCGCCACCCAGGAGGACCAGCGGCAGTGTCTCCGCCAAGGTCTCTCAGTGAGCAAGAGAAATGTTTACGTTTACAAAGACCAGAGCCCACGAGGGGCTGAGCCTGCTGCCAAAAGTGCTTTTGGTCAGCGGCCCAGCTGTGCCACAGCGGGCACCGAGGCAGGAGGAGCCAGGGGGACCTTTCACGTGGACTGCAGGAACCGGAGCTTCCTGACCCCCAGCCCGGGAGCTGAGAGGGATGCTGGAGCCCAGGCCAACCGCGCCCCGCCCTGGAGTGACTTTGCCCACCACAGTCAGCTGCCCAGCCCATGGGCACTGCGCTCCAAAGGTAGAGATGCGGCGTGGAGGGGGCGGCATTGGGAGAGAGAGACAAGGGGTCCGAGGGCCCCACCCGGGGCCTGCCCAGCCTGCCCCTTGCGGGCTTCTCCCCGCTGCTGTCCACCCAGCTCTTCCACTTTGGAAAGGGTGTCTCCTGGGGGGGCAGGGAGACCGGCCTCTTCAGCCCCTACCTGGGGCTGCCTCTGCAGGGCCTGTCCTTCTCGGCCTTCAGGGAGTCCCAGGCCAGGCCCAGCCCTGTCTTTGGAAGCCCACACTTGCTGGCGAAGAAGGACTGCGGTCACCGGCCAAGCAGGAAGGTACAGACGGGGCTGAGTTTGCACAACAGGAAGAGCTCTGGCTCGGAGGAAAGGATTTTAGACCTGAGGTATCCACGAAGGGTCAATCAGTAGAGTTGACCAGGACCAGGACACCTTGGGCAGGGACACCAGTGATTTCAGCAACACCTCCGCAGAGGTGTTGCTGCTGCAGTGGCGGCAGCTCAGTAGTGAAGGTATAAGACCTCGAGCTGTGGGTTCGCGTCCTGGGTTCCATGCATTCGTGGAAAGCGGCATAGCCGACGTGTATCTGTGCCTGTGTGTGATGGTTCTGTGGTTGCAGGGAGGGGAAACAGTCTGTTATACATAGTCTTGTATATATGTATACCAACACGAAACAATGCTTTTATTTAACAGATGTGTCCTGGTAAATATGATTTTTGTAGATTTTGTACATTATTTAAAGTGATGAAAAATGTTTTTGGAAAATACTGTTGGTCAATTTTGTAGGGTGTTCCTTAACTGCAGTTTTCTGTGTTCTGCATACAAGTCTTAGATTAGAAAACATTTGGTTTTTATCATCACAACCAGGTTTACAGGGACTCTGATGTTTTTTGGTTGGTTGCTGGTGAGAATGGCCAGCGCTGGCTGCAGGGGTAGCCTTAGGAAGGCCGAGGTGCCCTCCCCAGGAATCGCTCACATGCCCCAAAGTGTCCGTCAGGAAGTTCCTGGGACAGCACTTTTTATACAGAGGACACCCCCCCACCACCGCCTGGCTTCATGGTCCTTGGAGGCCAGAGCACATCTGAAAACTACAGGAATGGAAAACCAAACTCCGCATGTTCTCACTCATAAGTGGGAGTTGAACAATAAGAACACTTGGACACAGGGCAGGGAATATCACACACTGAGGCCTGTTGGGGGATGGGGGCAAGGGGAGAGATAGTATTAGGAGAAGTACCTAATGTAAATGATGGGTTGATGGGTGCAGCAAACCACCATGGCACATGTATACCTAAGTAATAAACCTGCACTTTCTGCACGGCTACCCCAGAACTTAAAGTATAATTAAAAAAAAAAAAAAACAGAAAAAATAAGTAGAGATTAAACCAGTAATGAAAAATCTCCCAACAAAGAAAATCCCAGGACCAAATGGTTTTACTGGTCAATTTCAACAAACATTTAAAGAATTAATAACAATCCTTCTCAAACTCTTCCAAAAAAATTGAAGAAAAGGGAACACGTTGAAACTCATTCTAAGAGGCCAGCATTATCCTGATATCAATGCCAGATAAGAACACTACAAAATAAGAAAACTATAGGTCAATATCCCTGGTTAACATAGATGCAAAAATCCTCAATGAAATACTAGTAAACCAAATTCAACAGTGCATTAAAAGAATTATTCACCATGAATCCAGTCTCTACCAAAAATCCAAAAAAAAAAAAAAAAAAAAATTAGCTGAGCATGCTGGCGGGTGCCTGTGGTCCCAGCTACTAGGGAGGCTGAGGCAGGAGAATGGCGTGAACTTGGGAGGCGGAGCTTGTAGTGAGCCGAGATCGCGCCACTGCACTCAGGCCTGGATGACAGAGCGAGACTCCATCTCAAAAAAATAAATAAATAATAAATAAATAAAAAACAAAAAAAGAATTATTCACCAGGATCAAGTGGGATTTATCTCTGGCATGCAAGGATGCTTTAACATACAAGAGTCACTAAATGTGATACACCACATCAACACAATAAACGATAAAAATCCTTTATTTTTATTATTAAAAAGCACTTGATAAAATTCAACATCCTTTCATGATTAAAAAAAACAACAAACTGAGCAAATTAGGTGCAGAAGGAATGTACCTCAACATAATGAAGACCACATGTAACATACTCAACAGTGAAAGACTGAACGTTTTTCCTCAAAGATGAAGAACAAGACAAGAATTCCTACTCTCACCATTTCTCCTCAAAATAGGACTGGAAGTCCTAGCCAGAACAATTAAGCAAGTAAAGAAATAAGAATGGAAGTAAAATGGTCTCCATAGATGACATATTTTTATGTATAGAAAACTGTAAAGACTTCACTAAAAGACTGTTAGAAGTAATAAATTCAATAAAGTAGCAAGATACAGAGTCAACATCCAAAAATCAGTTGCATTTCTATGCATAGATGGACTGGAGGGCATTATGTTAAGTAAAATAAGCCAGACACAGAAAGTGAAATATTGTACAATCTCACTTATGTGTGGAACCTAAAGACGTCAAACTCAGAAGAAGAGAACAGAATGGTGGTTGCTGGGAGCTGGGGAAGAGAAGGAAATGGGAAGTTGATGGTTAAAGTGTACAAATTTCAGTTATGCAAGATAAGTAAGTTCTGGAGAGCTATACAGCATAGTACCCACAGAAAATGATACTATATTCTTAAATTGTTTAATTAAAAACTTTTATTATTATTATTTTTTTTTAGACAGAGTTTCACTCTTGTTGCTCAGGCTGGAGTGCAATGGTGCTGTCTCGGCTCACTGCAACCTCCGCCTCCCAGGTTCAAGAGATTCTCCCACCTCAGCCTCCCAGTACTTTGCTCAGATTATAGGTACCCGCCACCACGCCCAGCTAATTTTTGTATTTATAGTAGAGATGGGGTTTTGCCATCTTAGCCAGGCTGCTCTCCAACTCCTGATCTCAGGTGATCTGCCTGCCTCAGCCTCCCAAAGTGCTGGGATTACAGGCGTGAGCCACCGCACCTGGCCATTAAAAACATTTTTTTATACAATAATAATAATAAAGAGGCAGAAGGAAATTTTAAAAGGTGATGGATATGTTTATAGGCTTGATGATAATGGTTTTATGGTGTAAATTTATCAAGATGTGTACGTTAAATATGTACAGTTTTTATGTAAATCATTCCTCAACAAAATGGTTTAAAAAGTAATAAAGTAATTACTGATAAGGGGGGACTTACTTCTGGCATTTTGCTATACATTTTCTATATGCCTTACAGCATTTTTGTCCATTTCCTGCATGATCTCATTTGTATTTAGTTGATTTTTTGTAGCGAAGTGTTTTAATTCCCTTCTCATTTACTTTTTTATGTTATATAATGTTTTATTTGTGGTTACCATAGGGATTACACTTAACATTCTAAAGTTATAGCACTCTAACTTGAATTCATACCAGCTATATTTCAATAATATGCAAAAACTCTCCTCACAGTTTTGCCACTCCTCTTTCAGTTATCAATGTCACAAAATTACATTTTTGTACATTGTGTGTCCATAAACATAAACTAATAATTGTTTTTAATGCATTTGTCTATTAAATTATGTAGAAAGCAAAACATGGAGTTTTAAACCAAAGTTACGATAATACTAGATTTAATATTTTCCCATATATTTACTTTTACTGGCATCTTTATTTCTTCATATGGCTTTGAGTTACTATCTAGTGTTCTTTCTTTTCAACCTGCATGATTCTCTTTAAGATTTCTTGCAGGGCAGGTCTAATGGTAGCAAACTTCTCAACTTTGGTTTATTTGGGGATTTCCCAATTTCTTCCTCACTTTTGAAGGACAGTTTTGCTGGATATAGGATTCTTGGTTGAGAGGTAGTGGTTGTTTTTCTTTTAGCCCTTTACATATGTCATCCCATTGTCTTCTGTTCTCCAAAGTGTCTGATGAGAAATCTACTTATAATCCTATTATATATTCCTAGCATGTGACTAGTTGCTTCTCTCTTGGTGCTTTCAAGAGGCCCTACTGGCTAATTATAATGTCTCAGTATGAGTCTTTTTTTTTTTTTCATCCTACTTGGAGTCCATTGAGTTTTCTGGATATTTATTTTCATGTCTTTCATCAAATTTGGGAAGTGTTCAGCTTTTTTTTTTCTTTTTTGAGACAGAGTCTCGCTCTGTTGCCCAGGCTAGAGTACAGTGGTGTGATCTTGGCTCACTGCAACCTCTGCCTCCTGGATTCAAGTGATTCTTCTGCCTCAGCCTCCTGAGTAGCTGGGACTACAGGTACGTGCCACCACGCCCAGCTAATTTTTTTTTTTTTAAACGGAGTTTCACTCTTGTTGCCCAGGCTGGAGGGCAATGGCACAATCTCGGCTCACTGCAACATCTGCCTCCTGGGTTCAAGCGATTCTCTTGCCTCATCCTCCCAAGTAGCTGGGATTACAGGCATGCACCACCACACCTGGCTAATTTTGTGTTTTTAGTAGAGACGGGGTTTCACCATATTGGCCAGGCTGGTCTCGAACTCCTAACCTTGTGATCCACCCACCTTGGCCTCCCAAAGTGCTGGGATTACAGGTGTGAGTCACCGTGTTCAGCCTCAGCCATTATTTCTTCAAATGATCTCTCTGCCCCTTTCCCTCTCTTCTTTTGGGACTTCCACAATGTCTGCTTGCTATTCAACAATCGTCTTTATTTCTGTTCCTCTGACTTGATCATTTCAAGTGTCCCATCTTCAAATTCACTGAATCTTTCTTCTGTTGCTCAAATCTGCTTTTGAATCCCTCTGGTGAACTTTTATTTCAATCACTACACTTTTAGTTCCAGAATTTATTTATTTTTTTTCTTTTTAGGTTTTCTATCTCTTTATTGATATTCCCATTTTGTTTACACATAATTTTACTGACTTTCTCCACATCTTCCTTCAGTTCTTTGACCATCTTTAAGAAAGTTGTTTTAAAGTATTTGTGTAGTAGGTTACCATCTGGTCTTTCTCTGGAACAGTTTCTGTTGTTGTTTTTCCTTTGAAATACCATATGTTCTTGTTTTTTGTATGCCTTGTGTTTTGTATTGAAAACTGGACACTTGAATATAATAATGCAGTAACTCTGGAGATGAGACTCTCCTCTTCCTCAGGGTTTGCTGTTTTGGGGTTTTGTTATGTTTTACATTGTTGTAGGTTGTCTCCATGCTGAGGATCAACCTGAGTTGTAAGCTTGAGGTCTTCTCAGGTCTGAAGCTGCTCCTTTCCCTGGGCACACACTCCTCTCTCCAAGGATGTGTGGTAACTTTAATTTCCTCTGTGTATGCCATTGCTTTTGAGTGTCCTAGTCTTTAATGTTTGGCTCCCAAAAAAGGAAAAGAGAACAATGAAGGGGAAGGGAAATGGGGTTCTGGCCTTTTCTATCTCCTAGAAGTTGCTTCAGTCTGGTAAGGGCTTGCAGCAGTGGAGTGGGGAGTTGTGAGCAATAATGGCTGCCGGCCTCTGTGTTTGCCCTTCCATAATCAAAAGTAGCAATCAACAACCAGAACGCAGATGCTAACACTTGGAGGACAGAGTGCTTATCGCCCATGATTGTTCCCACAAGCTTGGTACAAGCTGCTTCAGGAACACATGCAAAGCTTCTTGCCGTGAAGCTGGGGCATGGGGATTGGGTAGCCACTGCTGAGCTAAGAGCTGAAATTGACCAAAATTAAGTAAAAATTATAGTTTAAGCCTTCATTTGGAGGTTACAAGCCTCCTTTGATAGAGTCTAGAGTTCCAAAATAGTTATATCAGGCAGATTCTGCCAGTGTGATTATTTTCTAGGTGGGGAGATGAATTCCCAGTGCTTCCTACTCCACTTTCTTCCCAGAACCCTCTCTTGTAATAGTTTTTTACTTAAAATCTATTTTGTCTATACTTTTTTTCCATATATTTACTTTTTATTGAATTTGTTAACGTTACAGAGTTCTTGCACTGCCAAACCATGCCTGAGAATTCAAACAAATGGTACAATGGACAGCCTCATCCACCCATCATACAGTATATTAAAACTTGATTCATCTATATTTTGATATTTTCACAATCTTTTAAAAAGTTATAATAAGAGCTGGAATTTAAATCTGCTGCAGGTCTTCAGATTTTGAGTACAGTATGCCTTTACATAACACCTCCACTTACTCATCTCTGTTCATTCTTCAGTAACATAAACCCCAACAACTTGTACAGCCATAACTTGTACAGCCATTCCTGATCTGTTTTGGTTACTTTTTGCACGGAATATTCTCCATTCTCTCATTTTTCAACCCATTTGTATTGGATTTCAAATGAGTCTCTTGTAGACAGCATATATAGTTGAATCCCGTTTTTTTAAATCCAATCAGCCGATTTATGTCTTTTTATTGGGAGTTTAACCTATGTACATTTAATGAAATTATTGATTAGGAAGGACTTACTACCACCATTTTGGTCATTGTTTTCTGTATGTTTAGAGCCTTTTTGTCCTTCTTTCCTCCCTTATTGTCTTCCTTTGTGTTATAGTTGATTTTTTGTAGTGCTATGCTCTGATTTCCTTCTCATTTCCTTTTGCATATATTCTGTAGGTATTTTCTTTGTGGTTACTATGGGAATTACATGGAACATCTTACAGTTATCTTATTATTTTAAACAGATAACTTCAATCACATACAAAACCTCTACTCTTTACATCTTTGCCCCACTATTAAGTTACTGATGTCACAAATTAAACTTTATATACTTTGTATCCATTAACATAGATTTATAATTATTATGCTTTTGTCCTTTAAATTCCATTAAAGTATTAAAAATTGAGTTATTAGCAAAAATTACAATAATACAGGTTTTAATCTTTATGTATTTACCTTTATATTTTCATCAGGCTGAGCAACTGTCTAGTATCCCTTCATATCAACTTGAAGGACTCCCTTTATTGTTTCTTTTTTTTTTTTGAGATGAAGTCTCGCTCCGTTGCCCAGACTGGAGTGCAGTGGTGTGATCTCAGCTCACTGCAACCTCTACCTCCCGGGTACAAGTGATTCTCCTGCCTCAGCCTCCTGAGTAGCTAGGATTACAGGTGCGTGCCACCACACCCAGCTAATTTTTGTATTTTTATTAGAGATGGGGTTTCGCCATGTTGGTCAAGCTGGTCTTGAACACCTGACCTCAGGTGATCCACCTGCCTCGGCTCCCGAAAGTGCTGGGATTACAGACGTGAGCCACTGTGCCCGGCCCCTTTATTATTTCTTATTGGTCAGGTCTAGTGGTAATAAACTCCTTCAGCTTTTATTTATCTGGGAATGTCTTAATTTCTCCTTCACTTTTGAAGGACAGTTTTGTCAAATATAGTATTCTCAGTTGGCAGGCTTTACTCTTTCAGTACTTTCAATGTATCATCCCACCACCTTCTGGCCTGCAGGGTTTCTGCTGAAATATCCACTGATAATCTTCTAGAGGCTCCCTTGCACATGAGAAGTCACTTTTCTCTTGCTGCTTTTAAGATTCTCTCTATACTTACTACCACTAAATTCTACACTTAAAAATGGTATAATCTGTTATGTATATTTTGCCACAATAAAAACATTGGAAAGAGGTACCATAGAAGAGTATATTACATGCACCATAGGCTGGAAAACATTTTCAGAGATTAGGCTATTCTCAGTAACTCACATATCTAGTTCTGGTAAACACTGATTGATTTAAACAAATATCAATGAACAAAGTATTACATGCACCGCGTGCAGCTAAACAGTGTTTCGCTGACATAACACTAGTACCTAGATCTGATAAACTATCTAAACAGGCATCACTGAAACTATACTACAGAAAACACAGAATGCTAACCACAGTATTTCCAAGAGTCAACGCTACACCTGGGCAATCTTGCACCTATCTCTGTTAAACACAGGGTTTGAACTTGGAACAACAAAGAATGTAGTACCTGCACCACACACTTCTTAAAACAGGGTTTTGGCCGGGTGTGGTGGCTCACGCCTGTAATTCCAGCACTTTGGGAGGCTGAGGCAGGAGGATCACCTGAGGTCAGGAGCTCGAGACCAGCCTGGCCAACATGGTGAAACCCCGTCTCTACTAAAAATACAAAAATTAGCTGGGTGTGGTGGCAGACGCCCGTAATCCCAGCTACTCAGGAGGCTGAGGCAGGAGAATCGCTTGAACCTGGGAGGCAGAGGTTGCAGTGATCCGAGACCACACCATTGCACTCCAGCCTGGGTTGCAAGAGCAAAACTCCATCTCAAAATAAATAAATAAATAAATAAACAGGGTTTCATAGGGAAAACACTATGCTAAGTCATTCACAAACCTATTTCTAATAAACACAGATAGTGAACATGCATTAAAGAAGGCTATCTTAGATGAGCCACACCCTGCTAAACACATCGATTCTCAAAGATAATGCAAGGCTCATTCACTCATGGTAGACCTAACTGTTAAACTTAACATTTAAATATGTATCACAGAAGATGGTAGTACCTGAACCTCATGCTTCTAAATGGAATGCTTCACCAAGGTAGCATTATTCTCAATCACTCATGCATCTGCCTCACTTCAGTACGGAGCAAATATGTATCAGTGAACAATGTGCCACGTGCGCTATACACGGCCAAACACAGTGGCTCATACAGTTAACACAAGGTGTGGTCAATCACTGACAGAATGGGAATGAGGAATGTGTCCCACTCTCTCAGCTGTTGTATTATATCATACAAGGTGCAGTGACTAAGTTCATTCATGAACCCAGCTCTCTTAAACACAGAAATTAAACACATATATGGGATACAGCACACAGTGTGATTTGTGTCTGCATCTCCCTCGTGCATGTTGTATATTTCATATAATGTAGGTACAAAATGTAACTTTGGTCTTCACCCGCATCAGCTATCATCTATCACAGGTTACATAGCGACATAATACAACTCAGTTCTGCATCCCCCTCTGCTATCATATGGTATCATGTGTGACAATGTGACCCGAGGTGAGTAATGACTATCCCCTCTCACCTGCTGTATGGTGTCATAAGTGACATTTGTGACTCACATACACTGTGAATCAGGCCTGCAACCCTTCTGTCAGTTGTTGCATGATACTGTATGTGCCATAGTGACATAATGCAACTGAGGTCTGGGCTCCTTGATGTCATATAATATCATAAGTGACATGGTGTGAACAAGGCTGCCTCCCCCTCTTGGGTTATCATTGGCTATCATATAGGACATAGTGATACAAAGTGACAAGTGTGTGTCCCCCTCAAGTGTTATATATCACATGTGACATAGAGTAAGGTGAGCCTGAGTCCTTCTCTTGGTTGTCCTAGATTATTTTATTTTATTTTTTTGAGATACAGTCTCACTCTGTCCCCAAGGCTGGAGTGCAGTGGTGCAATCTCAGCTCACTGCAACCTCTGCCTCCTGGGTTCAAGCAATTCTCCTGCCTCAGGTGCCTGAGCAGTGGGGACCACAGGCGTGCACCACCTCACCCAGCTAATTTTGTATTTTTAGTTACACAGTAACAAATGTGACTGAGGTCTACCTGCGCTCTCAGCTGATGCTGGCACCTTTATTGCCTAGGTGTTTAATGCTTCTCAGGTCTGCATCCTATCTCCCGTCACACACTCTCATATGCTATGTAGGATGAGGACACAGCTGACACACTTAGTCACTGCACCTTGTATGATATAATACAACAGCTGAGAGAGTGGGACACATTCTTCATTCCCATTCTGTCAGTGTAACATAGCATATAGCAGCTGAGAACGGGGTACATCCCTGACTCACATGATGTCACAATGTCACATATGATATCATAAGTCATCCAGTGGGCTAGGCACGGTGGCTGACACCTATAATCCCCACACTTTGAGCCTGCCAAAGTGCCTTTTTTTGTGCCTTTCACATAAAGACTATGACACAGCTAAGCTATTCATGTACTAATAAATACCTGCCCTGAGCTGTGTGACCACGGACACCACCCTATAATGTGGCCAGTGTGTAGGAACTCTGCAGGCTCAGATCATTCCAGACATACATGCAGATGTTGGAACTCCCTTGCACAGTGACTCATGATCCCAAGGCTGAGTGCTGAGGGCAGGTCAGTAGTTCAGAGCCTCAGCATTGGGGCCGTATGCTTGGGTTCCCATCTTGGCTCCCACACTTTGGGAGCCCGAGGTGGGTAGATCGCTTGAGCTCAGGCATTCGAGACCAGCCTGGGCAACATGGTGAAACCCTGTTTCTACTAAAAATACAAAAATTTGCCAGGCGTGGTGGTGTGTGTCTGCATTCCCAGCTACTCAGGAGGCTGAGGTGGGAGGATGGCTTGAGCTGAGGAAGCAGAGGCTGCAGTGAACTGCCCTGCTGAGAGTGGAGCTCCTGCTCAGCTCCTAGGAAGGCAAGAGCCAGCAAGGCCACTGCCCAGGCCCCCGAGGGTTCTAGGGGGTCCCATCCCTGGGAAGGTGGAATCTGGGAGGTGAGGGGGACCTAGGACCCCATTGTGTGCACAGCTTGGGCTAAGGCATGAGATAAGACCAGGGTGACATTACAGGAGTATCCAAGAACTGACTTCACCTAACTTCTGCATTTGACTTCCCATCCCCAATGTGGGTAGGGCCCTGCCCTCTGGCGATTGGAAAGAGGCGCAGGGTGCAAAGAAGTCCCCTCCTCTGACCTCCTGCAGGGCTCCGTCTTGGCCTGGATCCGCAGGGGGGCCTGGGCAGGAGGGAGGCTGTGGTCTTGGGATGGGGTGGCAGTTCCAGGCCCACAGCGGGGCAAGAGACATCCTACACCTTCCTCCCATCCTTGCCCCGAAAGTCATGGGCGCTGGGGTTCAAGGTGCCCTCACTATTTGACCTTTCTTGCTGGTGGCTTTGGTGTGTCATTCTGGTCCCCAGCCTCTGTTTCCTGGACTGTAAGTGGGGATAATAATAGGTCACCCCTCCCCTGCAGGATTAACCTCAGCGATTGTTGCTGGCATCAGTGCAGCCCTGGGACCAGAGCACACCTGGGTGAGTTTGGAGCGCTCGCGCTCTTCCTGGTGGCCCTGCCTGGGCACTGACCCCTCCCATCCTCTCCTCAATAGCCACGCCCCTAGCCCAGCTAGCTAATGAATAAATATGTAGTAGCCAGGCCAGCATCCTGGCTCCGCGGTCTAGCCACTTTCTAGTCCTTCCTAGCTGCGGCTGCCACTGAGCCACGCACGCCCCTGGCATCATGCTCGCCTTGCGGTGCAGCTGGTGTGGTGCAGACTCTGAGAGTGAGCACCAGGACTCTTCCCGTCTGGTCTCCAATCTACCCTCTTGCCATGCTCCACCACCCCTTAGGTCTTGCCACTGGGAGTGGGGAGGGACTGGGGAGAGAAAATACTGGGGTAGGGGTGACAGGAGAGAAGGTTCTTCACTGGCCTCCCCTGGCCTAAGCCCCTGGCCTACTTCATTCTTGGACCCCAGCTGATGGGATGGGGCTTGGAGAGGGCCCAGATGACTGGCCTCTCAGCTCAGCCTCCTGCCCACTGTCTCTATAGGTGCCTGGTGCTACGACTCCCAGGACCCCAAGTGTGGTGAGGACAGAGTGTCATGTGAGGCTGAGTGAGATCAGTCTGTGTCCTGGGACCACCAGAGCATGTGCCAGTGGTGCAAGAGTGGCCAAGAGACAGTCTGCACCCTGCACTCTGTGGCCTTTGCAGGTTTCTGTCTGTAGTCGTCTGCCCCAGTAGACTGACTGGGCATCAGGTGCAAGTGTGTGACTGTCCCCCTGTGTGTGAGTCTGGGCCTGCTGTGATCGCCGGTCCCGAGTCAGTCAAGGCTGGTGTGCCTGTTACTGTGGCCAGCCCAAGTGTGTGCAGGTGATAGAGGTCCCAGTGTGGGTGTGCAACTGTGTGCCAGAGACTCTTTTGCCTTCATCTCACCATGGGGCAGCCAACCGGGAGACTAGATGGATAGGCCAGATGCAGGGTACAAGAGAAGGGGGATGCTGTGACCTGTTCAGGTGTGGGGGAAGCAGGGAGCTGGGTTTCCTGAGGCTGGGCTATCCTCTGGGTGTATGGGGGCCACTCTCTGCTGCACCCCCAGGCTGCCTCCCTGACCCCACCCCCACCCCAAAGGCCCCAGTCCTTGTTCCAGCAGTCCCCACCCACTGGAAGAAGCTGGCCCCTGCCTGTGGGGGCCCAGGCCAGTCCCTCATCGACATTGACTTTCACAGGGTCCGGCGGAACTCTACCCTAGGGCCCTTCATCTTCCGAGGCTATGACTCAGCACCTCCAGGCCCTTGGACCCTGGAGAATGACAGCCACACAGGTCAGCACCCTGTGGTCAGGACCCCTCCTAGGCAGGAGCAGGAGCCCCACACAGGGCATGAGAGCTCCTGAGTGTACACAGGGACCAGGACCCCCTACACACGGGAGCTGAGACACCCTACAGGGCCAAAAACCCTCCACAGGGGCTAGCTTCACAGGAAAGGAGCATCCTCACACAGCAGTCCAGATGCGCCCTCTGTGTAGGTGCCAGGTCCCACCCTACAAATCACAACCAGCCATGGCCCCTGAGGACCAGGAGTCAGGGTCTCTGGCAGGGCCAGGATCCCTGACCACACACAGCTGGGCTCAGAGCCCCACCCCAGGAGGGCTGCCCTCTGCCTTCTTCCATGCCATGCTGGGTGTGTGGGGGAGGGTTTCCCCTGCAGTCTGTGGAACTCTGCTCTGCTGACCAGCAGGAGCCATGGACACCATGGGTTCCATTCCATGGAGGCAATGGGGCCCCACTGGGGAGCAGCCTGGCCTGAGGAAGGGCCTCTGCTCGTACCCTGTGCCCTAATGGCACAAGGTGGGCAGGTGGTGAGGTAGAGAGGGTGTCGTGTGCCTCCTCCCCTTCATTGCTACTCTGAATGGACACTGATCCTCAGAACCACCTGGAGATTTGGGAGGCTGGGCTGCTGTTGCCTGTCTACCGCGCACTGCGGCTGCACATCAGCTGGGGGCGGGGGGGGCCCGAGGCGAGCAGACTCGGAGCACAGCCTGGACAGGCAGCGCCAGGCTATGGAGGTAGACTTGGGCACAAGGTGGGGTGGCCGGAGTGCTCCCACGGAGATGAGAGAGAGCAAGGTGGGGGCAGCTGGGTATCTCCCACATCTGTGCCTACCCCCAGATGCATGTGGTCCACAGTAACACAAAGTACCAGAGCATGGAGGAGGCACCACGCCACGGTGATGGGCTCGAGTGCAGGCCCTGCTGCTGGAGTTGCTGCTGGCGGTGAAGGCAGGGCTGTGATTCTATGTATGTTTCCAAAAAAGGGGTTCATGGGGATCCTGGAAGTGGACAGGCTAGGCCTGTGGAGTCCATGGGGGGATCTCTAGGGTCTATAGGATCTGTAGGAGGATAGGGCGGTGGGAATGCCTGAATCGGCAGGGCCAGTGGCGGCGAGAACCCTCCACCCCATTTCCCAGATGCCAGATGCCTCCTGCCACTGGGAACCTCCTGCTTAGAGTACCCCAGCTGAGTTCCCTCTTCAGAGACTCCCCCACTCAGAACCCCTTGCACTTGGAGCCCCTCCCAGGAGCAGGACTGTAGCAACACCAACTTCTGCGCCATAGTGTCGGGCTTGAGGAAAGTGCCTGAGCCAGGTGAGGAGCCACCGGGTCGTTTTCCGGCTCAGGGGCGGGGGGTTTGCTGGGGATGGCACCAGCAGGGCACGGGGAGGCTGGTTCCAATCCCCCTCCCTCTGCCGCCCAGGGCTCTCAGTGAATCTGAGGTCCACCTTCCTGCTGGCGTCGATGCGGCCCAACACCTCGAGCTACTGTCGCTTCGCTGGGTCACTGACCCCGCCTGACTGCGAGCCCACGGTGCTCTGGACCGTCTTCGAGGACCCCATACCCATCCGGTGGGTGCAGGTGGAGCCACCGTTCCCCCTCGCCCCCCACACCCCTCCCCGGGCCTTGCCTGGCTCCTCCCGCAGGCGCTGCCCCTCTCCCACCCCGTTTTGATCTCTTTGCCCTGCACCCTCAGATGACCCTGTTCCACAGCGTGCCCCAGGCTGGACCCTCCCACTTTCACCCCATACCGCTCACGGGTAACTTCCGCCCACAGCAGCCTCTTTTTTTTTTTGAGACGGGGTCTTGCTGTGTCGCCCAGGCTGGAGTGCAGTGTTGGAATCTCAGCTCACTGCAAGCTCCGCCTCCCGGGTTCATGCCATTCTCCTGCCTCAGCCTCCTGAGTAGCTGGGACTACAGGCGCCCGCCATCACGCCCGGCTAATTTTTTGTATTTTTAGTAGAAACGGGGTTTCACCGTGTTAGCCAGGATGGTCTCGATCTCCTGACCTCGTGATCCGCCCGCCTCGGCCTCCCAAAGTGCTGGGATTACAGGCGTGAGCCACCGCGCCTGGCCCACAGCAGCCTCTTAAGGGGCACGCAGTCTTGGCCTCCCCCAGAGCCTCGGTCCCCGCAGCAGCCCCCCGCTCTTCCCCCACCCTAGCAGGTGTGCACTGCGCTCTGATGCGCCTGGGGCTCAGCTTGTGGTTCTGTCAACCGTGGGCGACCCTCCATGTGAAATAATGAAATAATGCACAGAGTGACCTTAGCCTAATGTGGCCTGGAGGGGGTGGGTGCGTGACCCGGCGCGGTCCCCCACTGCAAGAGGGGCATTTCCTGCCCTAATCCCACTGAGGCCTCAGTGTGCCTGTCTGTTCCGTGGGAGCCCTCTGAGTGACCCTCTCCTACCTCAGCAGAACCCGGGCCTCTCCAGGTTCCTCTCAGAGGGAGAAGGGCCCCCACCCTCATCCTATACATTGTGTCTGAATCCCCTGGTCAGATGGAAGGAGAACATCTAGCAGTCAGAAATTCCACCATTAGGCCAAGATTACATTATTTTATTTTAAAACTAAGCTGGGTGGCCAACCCAGGGACACCGTGCTCTGCTAAATGATGACTCCAGCTACATTTCCCGAGGCCAAGAGATGAGAAGCTGCTGGCTCCAGGCTCCGCTGCAGGCTGCCCTGGCTGAGCGGGTGCTGGGCACCGCGGAGGGCTGCCTGGTGCTCTGAAGCCATGCCCCAGTGCCTCCCTGGGAGTTCTGCTGTGGAGTCTGTGTGGAGGGTGACTCTGGAGAGATGTTTGTGTCCCGGTGGCTGCCTGTGGTCTGGCTAAGTAAAGGGGTGAGTATTCTTGGTGTCACTGTCCAAAGCAAAGTTGTGTCCACGGGACACAGACTAGGTGAGGCTCTGTGTCCAGGTGATGCTGTCCAGTGAGAGGGGGTTGCAGTCAGAGTGAGGCTGACCGGAGGCCGCTGTCCAATTGGTGCCGTGTGGAATGTGATTACATACTGGTTGACACCGTCCTGAGGGCCATCACCAGCTGCGTGTCTCAGCCGCCCTGTGTCCCTGGGTTCTGTGCCCTTGTGTGTGGTTTGACACTATTCCAGTGCGTGGAGACCCTGCCTCGTCACTGAGACCTTGAAAGAAAAAGAACCTGCAGTCACCCCAAGGAAGAGGAGTCTCGGCTGTTCCCCTGGAGGCTGACCCAGCCCTGGCCCAAAGGCTGACCCAGACCCAAGGCCCAAAGGCCCAGCTCTAAGGTCCAAAGGGGCTCCACCCTGTTCTCTAGCCGGACTCAGTCTCTCGCAAGGACCCCGGCTCCCAGCCGCACTCCCCAGACGCACGTGGCCCACCCTCCGCCCGTCCCGCGCCCACCCCCTCCCTCCAGTACCGGAGCCCTAACTGGCGGCACCCGGGCACCCTTCTGACTCAGAGCCACGCTACACGAGGGGGACCGATCTGCTCACTTGCCCCGTCCTGGGGGTACCAGAGTAGCCAGCGCGACGCCTTCCGCACCTCGCCTAGGCTGCCCTTGTGCGGCCGCCCTCAGTCCCCGCCACCTTGCGGGGCCCCAGGCGGCACTGGCATCTTCTTGTGGTTCTTCCTGACCGGGGCTCGGTGCGCTCCGCATTCTGCTGGGCCGTCCGGGGCGTCGTCTGCGGGCCTGGAGGCGGCGACCAGGGCGCTCACGGTGCCGAGCGTCCGCAGCAGGGTCGGGCCGCGGGGCGTGGCGCGGGGGACGGCGCGGGGCTCGCGGCGGGCAGGCGGGGACGGCGGCGGCGGCGGCAGCAGCGCGCGCAGAGCGTCCAGCTCCGCTCGAAGCTCCGCGCGCAGCGCCTCAATCTCGGCGCCCAGCTCCTCGCGCACTGCCGCGAGTCCCTCCTGCAGCCGCCGCTCGCTGACCTCCAGGACCCCCGCCGGGTAGGTGGCCCTGCCGCGGGGCTCCCCGCATACTGAGCACACGGAGCCGCGGCTGTGCGCGCCGGTCCTCTCGCCCGCGCCCGCCGCCCCGGCCCCCGCACGCTCCACCAGCTTCAGCAGCCGCGGCACCTCGGACCGCGAAGCCGCTTCGGCCCGGAGCTGGCCGAGCAGGCGAGCCAGCCGGCCCGGGGCTCGGGCGTCTTCCTGGCCCGGCCCATTGGATTGCGGCCCCGGGTCCCGCCGGCGGCCCGTGACGCGCCGCAGCACCTCGCTGGCTCTGTACGCACTACGCGCCTGGGCCCACGGGCGGCCGGGCGTCGCCATCCGCCCTGCTGCCTCCACCGCCGCCAGCGCCCGGGATGGCCGGGAGCCCCAGGCTGCAGCCTAGCCATCGCTGGGGCCCAGGCGACGCACCGTGGAGGGGGCCCGCGGGACGGCTTTGGGAACGACCAAAGCCCTGGGGGTTCCGGCCTGGGGCGCAGGGAACCCTGGCAGGGCTGGGTCCCGGGCAGCCCGGTTCCCCGGGGACCCTGCGGGAACAACGACGTTGTGGGCAGGTCCTCACAAAGGGCATGGCCCAGTTTCTGGGCATAGGTGACATGGAGCATCGCCAGCCAAAGACCAGGCACCACCCGCTAGACACGAGTCAGGAACTGAGCTCACATTTTACACTAGAAGCTACTGTCTCCATCATAGTCAAGGGAAGGCCAGGAGTGGTCATGGACCCCACAGCCCTTTTCAATGGCTCAGGGCGACGTCCTTCCATGTAGTCCAGGCCATTATCTCCTCACCCTGTCCCCTAGTCCACACAGCTGGAGGAATCCATCCAGGTGGCATCTCCAGCCCCAAGCTGCTGGTCCTTCCATGCGAGCTCTTCAGGGTCTCCCTTACTCTCCAAGGTGGCCCGCCTAGGGCCTCTGGAAATCCCTGGCCATCTCAAGCTGGGTTTTTTGTTTTGTTTTGTTTTTATAAACAGGATCTTGCTGTGTTGCCCAGGCTGGAGTGCAGTGGTGCAATCATAGCTCACTGCAGCCTCCATCTCCTGGGCTCAAGCGATCCTCCCACCTCAGTCTGCTGAGTAGATGGGACTACAAGCGTGCACCACCATGCCCGGCTTTTTTTATTTTTATTTTTATTTATTTTATTTTATTTATTTATTTTTTTTGTAGTGATAGGGTCTCACTGTGTTTCCCAGGTTGGTCTTGAACTCCTGGCCTCAAGTGATCCTCCTGTCTTGGCCTCCCAAAGTGCTGGGATTACAGGCATGAGCCACCATGTCCAAGCCTGTCTGTGTCTTTAACCTCCTCTAATCCAACAGTCTTCTTCATCCTTCTGGGTCTTTGCACAGTTCCTCTCCCCCCAACCCCTGCCATTTTCCTGGTGGCTCTCACTTTTCCCACTTAGATAGGGAAATGTTCCATGACCACCCCATCCCACACTGGGGACCTCGAGCCCCTCCTCCACAGCACCCTTCACAGTTGTATTTAAATGACTCTGTTTTCCATCCACCCACTGTGGGGTCTCTGAGCCCAGGGCTGGGTCATTTCTCCTGGGCCGAGTGTGGCACTAAGCATGCTGAGTGCTAGCCTGCACAGAGGCCAGGCCCGGGTGGGCCCCAGGACACAGCTGTCAGTGGCTGTCTTGCCATGGAGTGAGTGGATGAATCAGCAGGGCTGGGATCCTCTCCCATTTTACAGTAGGAGGCTGGGGAGAGGAGCTGGCCAGCCCGTCCACCTCTGCAGCCTGGCATCTGAGGCCCTCATGGCATCCCTGCTGGTCTGCCTTCCCCTGCAGCCCTTCCACCCTCTGTGGAGCCCTCACTACTGCACCCTACTCCTTCTCACCCCAGTGCCTCTGCATAAGCAGTGCTGCCTGTGGCCGCCACAGGGCCCTAGGTATGGGCAGAGTAGTATCCCCCACACAGCATGCTGTTCTCCCTGTACCCCCAGGGGCTAGTTAGCACTCTGGGTGCCCTGGACCCTGGGGCCTCCCTCAGCAAATTGTGGAGGTTGGCCTGGCATGAATCCAGGCAGGTCTGGGAAGGGACATGGCAAGACAGCCCCTGGAAGCTGTGTCCCCGGGTCCACTGGGGTCTGGCCCCTGCAGATCAGTGCATGTGTGCATGTGTTGGGGGGGGGGATTGAGGGGACCGCTAATACTGTCCTCAAGCAGCTGCTGAGGAGAAGACTGGGTCCCTCTAGTCATGTTCATCCACTCAATCACTCCCTGCAGCTCGTCTCTCTGGAAGGTGCAGGAGGAGGTGAGAATTGGGCACTCTGTCAACCCCTCAGACTCCCCCATTCCTGCTGAGTCACCCGTCCTCTGGGACCTCCAGCAGCTGGCTCTGCTGATCCCTAGAGCCTCATTAGCCATTCTCTCCCTCCCCCCAGTCATTAAAACACTGCCAACAAGAGCGCCCTGGGTTCTTTTCCCCAGCCCTACTGGAGACGGGCTGTGTGACCCAGGGGCTCTGCCCTCTCTGAGCCAAGTCTTCACCTGTGAAATGAAGAGATCTCTGAGGTCCCCAGGAGGAGTGACAGGGAGGCCTGGATGGTGGAGAAGGTGTAGGAGAGAGTCCAGATTTGCAGAAAGAGCTGTTAGTTTTGTGATCTCTGCCTGGAGGTCTATGGACAGGCTGGAAGAGAACCTGAGCCATTGCAATGAGTCCAGATTAGGGCTTGTTCCTGCAGAGGCTACAGATGTGGGGGCTGGTACTTATGGCAGAGGGTCCCAAAGTCATGGGCATAGAGAAGACAGGTTGGCAGGAGCAAGGGCAGAATGGGAGCGGGGTCCTGGGGACCCTGTTGGGCCCTGAAGAGGACTGCAGAGGTGTTGGTGAGGGGTGGACAGGCAGGTGTGTCAGCACAACCCTGAGCCCCTGAGCTCAAGTGCAGGGATGGCCGTGAAGCAGGTGATGGGGACCCTGGCTTGAGCTTCATCGGTAGCGGGGCTGGGGTGGACACCGGGGACTGGCGGAGAGGAGATGGGGTGGGGGCTGGTCAAAGCAGTGTGTCCCTCAGGGAGCGTGGCAGAGCGGGGCGCGCACACAGGTCTGCTCTCCAGTTCCTCCGGGAAGTTCCTCAAATTCAGCCAGCTCCAGCTGCCCCTGGCACAGAGGAGCTGACTGAGGCTCCAGTGCAGGGCCTGCTCCTTCCCCTCCTGTTCCCCTCAGTGTGCCCTGGGCCGGGGGCCAGGCATGGTGGGGGTGGGGAGGCTGGCTGTGCCTGTGGGAAGCCACCGGCTCCCGGGGCTGTCCCTGGGCCCAGGCTGTAGCTCTGTGCATGCAGACGTGCAGGCTGGGTGGGCAACTGGCCACCTTGCCCGTCAGTAATGCATTCACAGTGGGGGGTCAGAGGAAACCCCAGGGCTCCTCTGCTTAGCTTGGCCAGGGGTCCCGATGGGGCAGTCTCTCCGTGTGACTTAATTGTCATCCCTTTTGTGCTCTATGGCTATTAAATAAAACTTGGCAGCCACCTTGGCTGGAGGTTTTATGTCCCAGAGCCCAAGGGCGGTTGGGAGCCAGGGGAGCGCTCAGACGGCAGGGCCAGGCGAGCTCTGTGTGTGGGAGGGGGTATGGGGGCCTCTGAGAGCTGCTGCAGGGACCCGGCAGGGCGGGGGTGGAGGCGGAGAGTGTGACTGTAGCTTCACAGTCATCAGAGTGGACGTGGAGATGCAGGCAGAGTCCTCGAAGCTGGCTCAGGGGTCTGTGTGGGGAGGGGGCACACCCAGCAGGGGCCTGAGGGTAAGCAAGGGAGGCAGCAGGGTCTTGGAGCTGCCTCCCAAAGGTGGTGGGGAGCCCCAGGAAGAGCAAGGAACAGGAGCAGCCGGCAGGTGCGGCTGATCCACCCTGAGGTCCCGGACACACTGGTGGGGACAGGAAGGCTCATCTTGGAGCTGCTCCTGGAGGGGCCATGTGGGTCACGGCCCCTGGCCCTCTGCTCAGACCACAGAGCACAGGACACTTGTCCAGCCTTTGCTGCGACTGTGCTGCTTGCTCTGGGAGCAGCTGCTGCTGGGCCTTTGGAGGAGGAGGAAGGGTGGCCTGGCTGGGACCCAGCCCCTGTGCCCAGCCTCTTAGAAGGGGAGGTGATGGTCCTTTTAGGCCCCAGGAGTGCAGGCTGCATAGTGGGGCCTCTGTACACATAAGCTGGCAGGTCTGGCTTGGGCTTTGCTCAGGACACTGGGTACTGGGTTCTGGGTTCAGAGGCCTCATGAAAACACCTAGCCTCAGTTTCCTCATCTGTCAGGACCAGCGGCTGGCTGGGAGGGTGTGTGTTAGCATGGCAGCGGCCAGCTTAGTCTACTCTAGGAGACCTTGCCTCCCCGACCCCTGAGCTGACCTCTTCTTTGAGAGCTTAGAGAGGAGAATGACTTGTTCCAGGTCTTACTGCAGGGTCTGGGGCTTCCTGTGGGGACTCAGGTGCACCTTGTCCCTGAATACCCCTGCCTTGCCCACTAGGCCCTGGAACTGTGCCCCGGCCTCCTGTGGCACTGGCTAGCCAGATCTCTGGGAACCGTCCCAGGGCAGGTGGCTCTGCAGGAGGCCAAATGATTACCCAGCAATGGCCTTGCCTGATGTGGGTAACGAGCTCATTACCTGGTGATGACCTTGTTTGTCTGCTCCTGGCATCAACAGCCTCAGCTCTCCCTGCAAGGAATGTCTAGCCTGGGGTGGGTCTGACCAGTCTGTGCCACAGGCACCAGCATCCCAGTCTGCACTGCATGGGGTGTCGGGCCTGACAGCATCTACCTATATGTGCCCTGAGGGCCCAGACTCAGCCCCCAGTGGGAAGACTCCAGGCTCCTGACGGACCCCTCCCAGTTGTACAACCTGAGCAGGTAAGCCCTGACCCACTCTGGGCCTCACTCTCACCAAGCTGGTGACAAAGATTCTCTGCTTGGTCAAGCTTTATTTAGGCTCCTGAGCCTTCTCCTAGGCACATCTGAGCACTTCCTTATAAACTCTAGTTTTAGCAAGAATTCTGCAAAGTCAGTTTAGCAAGAAGCCCCCCGTCCTTGACATCTGATCGGGTTCCCCCTCTGTCCCCCAGGTGCGGTCTGGCCATCCTGGCCGGCCTTCAGCAAGAATTCTGTTAGGGGAGTTAAGCCAGAATCCCTGGCTGCTGATGCTTCCTCTTAGTCACTTTCCATGCGCTGCCCCCCACCCTGCTCCTTGACTGTCCGATCGCACTTGCCCATGCTGTCTTCGAGGCTGAGCCCAGTCTCTTACCCACTGCAGAATCTCATCGCCATGGTCCCTTATGCCTAGTGACACGGTCCTGGATAGTCTTCCCCCTGCTCCTTGACGGTCCGATCCCACTTGCCCATGCTGTCTTCGAGGCTGAGCCCAGTCTCTTACCCACTGCAGAATCTCATCGCCGTGGTCCCTTATGCCTAGTGACACGGTCCTGGACAGTCTTCCCTACAGCGCTTTGGCAAGTGTCATTTTTCTTTTTTTCTTTTCTTTTCTTTTTTTTTTTTTTTTCTGAGACGGAGTCTCACTCTGTCACCAGGCTGGAATGCAGTGGCGCCATCTCGGCTCACTGCAACCTCCGACTCCCTGGTTCAAGCGATTCTCCCGTCTCAGCCTCCCGAGTAGCTGGGATTATAGGCACCTACCACCATGCCCAGCTAGTGTCAATTTTCACTGAATTATTTTTTTAACAGTGGGGACTAAAGAGGGTCCGCAAGCAGGGCTGCTGCTGGGCACCATGGAGGGCCACCTGGCGGGACATGCCCCAACCTACAGGGGTCCTTGAGGGCTCCCCTTCCCCTGCCAGCTGGGCTGGGGTCTCTGTGTCAGGAGTGTCCTCACCACCACCTGGGGATGGACCTCCACTGTCATCCTAGGGAAGGGGCCAGGGAGGGGAGTCTACATGCTGAGCGGGCCTGTCCGAGGCCTCTGCTATCCCAATGCAGCCCCCAGTATTTAGACCTGCCCCCAGTGACCTGCTCCCTCTTGCCCATCATTCCAGGAACTTCCTGTTCCACGCCTGCGCACATCCTGTCCCTAGGCCGGCTCCCCCTGCTCAGCCTCAGGACGCAGCCACCCACCCTCCCAGGAGCGCCTTCCCTGCCCCTGTGGCTTCCTGCTGGCACTCTCTGCACTGGGTTCTTCCTCCTGGTGTGTGGGGCCCTAGTCTCTGTCTCCTGTCGGGTTTGACTTCTACCAGAGCAGGGACCTCCCTGAGTCCTCATGGCCCAGAAAAGTGCCCAGCATGCAGTAGGCGCATCATAAATACCTGTCTACTATCATGTGGTGAACTGAGTGAAGACATCTCATTAAAGATGACATTAAAGAATAGGGCATAGGGCTTGGCATTCAGTAGGCACACAGTACATGATGGCTTTGTTATTTCCAGTCTGGGGTTGTGTTCATGCCTCAGTTTCCCACCTGGCCTGATAGGAGGGGCTCAGCTGCTGGGCTGGCTGTGTCTCTGTGCCCCTTGCCTGGAAATGCCTGACGAGGGGCAGGGTCCTCATCCCAGCCACATCCCAGGGGTTCCCAGCCCTCTGAACTTGAGGAGCTGTGGGAGGCGAAGGCTGCAGCCACCCTGTAGCACTGCAAACACAGGCTGGGGCGGGAAGGGGGGTACAGAGGGTGTGCACAAGGGGCAGGGGGAGGGAGAGGGTGGGCACAAGGGGCAGGGGGCAGGGACATGTCCCCATGCCCAGCTAATTTTTGTATTTTTAGTAGAGACGGAGTTTCACCATGTTAGCCAGGCTGGTCTTGAACTCCTGACCTCAAGTGATCCGCCCACCTAGGCCTCCCAAAGTGCTGGGATTACAGGCCTGAGCCACCGTGCCTGACCAAAAATGATTAAGTATTTTAAGGCAGCCACCACAGAGCATTAAACAAGCCCCTAGAGCTGGCCCCGCCCCCGAAGGCTCCAGGCCCATCTGTCTTGGGGATGCACAGGTTCCAGGGACCCAAACCCACCCTTCACAACTCTCTTCCCCTCCCAGCACCACAGGGGCCCTCCTGGCCCCTGGGACCTCCCATGGAGCAGGCTCTCTGTCCAGGATGGAGATGGGGACCCTCCTCACTGCCCTGTGCCCCTCATGGGCTGGACACACCCACCACCCAAGAAGAAAGGCCTAAAGGGCTGGGCACTGCCCTTTTGGAACCAGAGGCTTGGCGGCCCCATATGGGTCTGGCTGAACCCACCTTTGGGGGGCTGAGATGAGCCAGCCTCAGTTACTCAGCTGACGGCAGGGCCTGTGGTATGGAGCTTCCCAGACTGCACACCTAGCCCCTACCGGACTTCCATCGTCTCCAGACACGCGCAGCAAGGGTTCCCAGGCCAGAAACAGGAAGCAGCAGCTCTCCCTCCTCCAGTTCCTGGGAACTGTCTCAGACGAACCACCCGGAGCCTCACCTACAGGAGGATGGACACCTGCACCCAGTGCTGTAGGGAGCAACCTCAGCCCTGGGCCTGGGATGAATGCCCTCGCCAGCCTGGGGCCAGGAGACAGGCTCTCCGTGGCTCAGCGCCTGAGCATCCACTTACAGGACACTCACCTGCAGAGGTGCCCTGAGCACCGTTGTGGGTTAAGGGACTTTCTCCCCTCTGGAAACAGTCCTGAGAAGCTGAAGGTCTTGGGGGCCTCTCACCAAATGTCTTTGGGAGGTGGGAAGACATCAAATGCGGGTGTGGCTTCCCTGGAACAGCTCTGTGTGGGGACTCAGGAGCCAAGTCCCCCAGCACATGCCTCTAACACTTTCAGTAGGGGCCCACCTCTCTGGAGCCATGGGTGGCTGCCAACACCCTGTGGTTCCCAGCAGGCACCACCCAGGCAAGAGAGAGAACAGGCTGGGGAACAATGGGCTGGCCTGGCCGCAAGCGCTGGGGCAGATCACAGACCAGATGGCCTAAGCTCATGCCCTGGGGCCAGCTCTGACTCCCTGCAAGTGTGGCAAGGGTCCCTTTTGGACACCTTGAGAAGCTGCAGCTGGGAGAGGACCACCCGCCTGTCTGGACGTCCAGCCCAGGTGGCAGGGCCCAAGTGACCAGTCCCAGGCCACAGCCCTTACCACCCGCCCTGGCTGCAGGGGCTCCCAGAAGCCACCAAGGGCCTGGCTCGGCCTTGCCTGTCCGCATCTGAGCTTCAGTTTCCTCATCTGCTCAAGAAGGGAGGTGAACACTGATTAAATTATGCAAACTCTGAGCGGCAGGATTAGGTGTGGCTGGGACAGCCAAGGCTTCCCTGGGTGGTGGCATCTCTGGAGCCCGGGGATGGGACCTGTCTCCCTTCCGGGCCCCCAGCTGGGCACGCACCTGCCCCAGTCCCTCCCTGCAACTCTTCCTCCATGCCAGTCCCTGGAAATGTGGCCCTGCCGTGGGTCTCATGGCCCATAGGAGATGCTTTGGGCCCAGCACCCACAGCCCCTCGCAGTGTGCACCCCCACTTCCCTTTCCCCACTGCTGGGACACCTGCTTGAAATGTCCCTCCTCCCCCCAGAAAGGAGGGGAGCAGCCCTGGCCTTCTGCCCTGAGGGCGGAGCTCTCTTTGGGGTCTCAATTGCAGCCCCTGGGAGAGTGAGAAGGGTCAAGTTCAGACCCTGCACCATTCCCTACCAGGCCTCGAATGGGACTCTTGGCAGCTGTATCCCCCACCCCAGTCCAGGCAAGCAAAAGGGGTTCTTCTGCAGTCTTCAGGGCCCCCAGAAGGCGCACTGTTCACAGACACCCTGGGGAGCCAAGAGAGGTCGAGGGCTCCAGCTACCGTGGCCCTCTGAGGACCCCCGCCTGTGGGATAGAGGACTTGGTGGCTGAAGGGCAGTCATGCCCAGGGGGCTTCTCCTGACCCTGCAGGGCTGAGCGGGTGCAGCCTTTTGCCTCTTCTCGCTGCATTCTAGCCCATCAGTCAGGGCAACAGCCAGATGGTCTATGCTAAGATTCATCCCATCCCCACGGGCCCTGTGACTTTCTACCATATCAACGTGGTGGCCTGTGCAGTTCCCGGCCAGCATTTTCCTGGGGATGCTGCTGTCTAATGGGCTGTGGGAGAAACAGAGACAGGCCCTGCACATGGGGCAGCCAGTCCAGCACCCGCCAGGCCAGGCCCTCAGCATCCTCTCCTCCAGATGCCCAAGAGAGCTGCTCCATGCGCTGTGGCGCCCTGGACGGGCCATGTTCCTGCCACCCGACGTGCTCCGGCCTTGGTACCTGCTGCTTGGATTTCCAGGACTTCTGCCTGGAGATATTGCCCTACTCAGGATCCATGATGGGCGGCAAGGACTTTGTGGTGCGGCACTTCAAGATGTCCAGCCCCACAGACGCCAGTGTGATCTGCAGGTTGGGAGGCCCAGGAGGCCGGGCACTGGGGCCCCACGCCCCCATCCCTGTGCATGCTGAGGGCTCAGACCCACTGGCAGGCTGAATGGAGCCCCTCAGACCCAGGACAGGCAGGAGGGCACAGGACAGCTGGTTGGATGGGTTCCCCAGGGAGGTTGGGGGCCCAGACTGTCGAGATGCTCAGCCTGCAGTGGCCCAGCACCTCCTACCACCACCAGGCCCACAGGTTTGCATGCCACAGGAGAGCATCCAGACCCTCGGCCATGTGGACTCCTCCGGGCAAGTGCACTTCGTGTCGCCCCTGCTCTATGAGAGCGGCCACGTCCCCTTCACCATCTCACTGGACGATGGCCACTCCTTCCCTCGTGCGGGCACTTGGCTGGCTGGTGAGCCCTCCTCCCTGCCCACAGCCTGCCCCCACGGGGACTTTCCCCAGCGCTAATCTATGCACACCGAGACTTGGCCCGTCCGTGTCCTGCCTCTCTGGCTGAACCAATCCCTTGGGAGGCCTGCCCGCCTGCGAGAGTTCCTTCAGCTCCTTTCCACTCCCTGGCATCCAGACCACGGTCCCAGCCCAGAGTGAGTGGGAGCTGCAGGGGTCCCTAGAGAGGTGGGCCAGTGCCTATCCACTGAGCTCCGCCACACCAGGGCAGGGGAGAAGCCAGGTGGAGGCTAGAGGCGTGGGCAGTGGAGGGAGGGCAGGCCCCTGCCTCTCCGGCCTCAGCGTCCTTTTCTGCCATGAGGGCCGGAGAGACCATCACCCAGCTGCTGCCATGCATTGGCCCTGGAGGCTCCCACAGCCCTTGAAGCCTCAGGGCCTCCTCCCTGCTTCCCTGGGCCCAGCCCTCACTCACCCCTCACCTCCCCTGCCCAGTGCACCCCAACAAAGTGTTGATGAAGGAGAAGAGTGAGTTGATGAACGAGATGCATTGGCAATACTACGGCACCGCCAACACCTCAGGCAACCTCAGCCTGACCTGGCACGTTGAGGCGCTGCCCACACAGACACCATCAAGCTGTGGGGCTATGAGGAGACAGGTGAGGCCAGCTGAGGGCTAGGGTGGCATCCAGAGCTTTGGGCCCCCAGAGGTGGGAGAAAGGGAGTCCCAGCTGTGTGGGAGGAGGAGGAGAGTTTCCAGGTGGGGTTGAGGAGGGAAGGGAATTCCAGGCGGAGATTGAGGATTCGGATGGAGGGAAGTGCAGGCCAGGGGGGTCAGGCAGGTGGGAGGGGGCAGCTGCATGGGGCCTGGGTCCCGGGGAGGAGGCTCATGAGGAACCCCTCACGGCTGGCATGGCCCTGGGCCCGGCTTCCAGCAGGGACAGGGATCCTGGAGTGTGGCAGGAGGTGGTGGTCACCCAAGCCAGGGTCCCTGCTAGAACAGCCCCTCCTAAGGGGACCGCCTGGCAGTCCATCCACACATGTGTCAGGCTGCTCTAGGTATCAAGGCCTGGGGCCAGGCCTCGAAGGAGCCCCAGGGCTAACCAGGCCTTCTCTCCCTCAGGAATGCCCTACTCACAGGAGTGGACTGCAAAGTGGTCGCACCTGTACCCCCCAGCCACACACATCCCCAACTCCGGCTCTTTCACCTTCACCCAAAAACCTGCTCCTCCCAGCTACCAGAGATGGTGAGTGGGTGCACTTTGGATCATCAACAACAAAAATTACGCAGGGCAGGCTGGTTACGGTGGCTCACGCCTGTAATCCCAGCACTTTGGGAGGCCAAGGCGGGCGGATCACGATGATGTCAGGAGATCAAGACCATCCTGGCCAATGTGGTGAAACCCAGTCTCTACTAAAAATACAAAAAATTAGCCGGGCGTGGTGGCGGGAGCCTGTAGTCTCAGCTGCTCAGGAGGCTGAGGCAGGAGAATGGCGTGAACCCAGGAGGCAGAGGTTGCAGTGAGCCAAGATCGTGCCACCGCACTCCAGCCTGGGCGACAGAGCGAGTTTCAATCTCAAAAAAATGATAAAGAAAAAAAGAAAGGGCACATCCACTCTATGGAGTTCTCCCTCAAATCCTGTAACCCTAGTCTTATCATGGGCAAGCATCAGACAAACCTAAATTAGGGGACATTCAACAAAATAACTGTTCTTCAAAAGTGTCAAAGTCACAAAAGACATTGACAGACTGGGGAGTCACCACATATTGGAAGGGAGTAGGAGACACAGAGATTAAATGCCACCTGGTGTCCTGGGTTGGATGCTGGAACAGAAGCGGGGCATGTGTGGGAGACCTGGGAAATCCAGACGAAGTCTGAAGTTTAGGTAATAGGATTATATCAATATCTGACTCAGTTTTGACACATCAGCCTGGTTACTGCAGATGTTAAAATCCAGGGAAGCTAGGTGAAGGGTATATGGGAGCTCTGTGCTGTCTTTGCCACTCTCTGTAAGTCTAAAACCATTTCAAAAGAAAATGATTGAAAGTTGCTAGGATTCTCTCTCTGTTGCTGCACCTTATCCGTGGAAACCTCGTTTCAGGGATGATGCAGTGTGTGATTGCAGTCGCGGACAAAATATTCGATGCCTTCCTGAACATGATGGCGGTCCAGAAAAACAGATACACAGGGCCAGGCGCGGTGGCTCACGCCTGTAATCCCAGCACCTTGGGAGGCCGAGGCAGGTGGATCGCGAGGTCAGGAGATCAAGACCACAGGGAAAGCCCATCTCTACTAAAAATACAAAAAAAAAAAAGGCCAGGCGTGGTGGCTCACGCCTGTAATCCTAGCACTTTGGGAGGCCGAGGCAGGCAGATCATGAGGTCAGGAGATCGAGACCATCCTGGCTAACACGGTGAAACCTCGTCTCTACTAAAAACACAAAAAATTAGCTGGGCGTGGTGGCGGGTGCTTGTGGTCCCAGCTACTCGGGAGGCTGAGGCAGGAGAATGGCGTGAACCCGGGAGGCGGAGTTTGCAGTGAGCGGAGATTGTGCCACTGCACTCCAGCCTGGGAGACAGAGCGAGACTCCTTCTCAAAAAAAAAAAAAATAAAAAAAGAAAAAATTAGCCGGGCGCAGTGGCGGGCCCCTGTAGTACCAGCTACTCAGGAGACTGAGGCAGGAGAATGGCGTGAACCCGGGAGGTGTAGCTTGCAGTGAGCCGAGATCGCGCCACTGCATTCCAGCCTGGGCGACAGAGCGAGACTCCGTCTCAAAAAAAAAAAAAAAAAAAAAAAATAGAGGTACACAGGCACCACCTGCCCCCAAGGAGCTCACAGCATCTTGAAGAGGCACCAAGGAAAACACCAGACGGTGTTGAGGGTTTGATGAGGTGTGGGGGCTCAGAGGAGGGGCCTCGCAGAAGCTGGGGGAGGAACCAGGGATGGAAGGAGTTCCCCAGTAGGCAAGAGGACAAGGAAAAGAAAGTGCCTCTGCTGGGGCAGGAAATGGGCACTGGACACTTATACCCTTCATTGGCACCATAGAGCAGTGCTAACATGTTCCATTTGATAGGAGAGAAAACTGTGGCCCTGGGAGAAGTGGCCCATTACTAGGCTAGGAGCTGGGTACCAGGAATTGGACCTCATCTAGAGCATGCAGGTGAGGCTTTGCCTCAACCTCGCTCTGACTACCTGAAGCCTCATCTCCCACATCCCTCGCTTCCCACAATCAGTGCTGTGCCACATCACACCCCCCACTGTGCCCAGGCTGTTCCCTCTGCCTGTGGTGCCTTTGCCATTCCCTCCCACTACACTCCCCATGTCCATCGTGGCAGGGACTCAATTTATCATGCTCCCTTAGGTAAGCTGACAGGAAGATGCATGCTGGACCCCTTTGATTTTTTTTTTTTTTTTTTTTTTTGAGATAGGGTCTGGCTCTGTCACCCAGGCTGGAGTATAGTGGTGTGATCATGGCTCAGTGCAGCCTCAACCTCCTGTACTCAAGTTATCCTCCCACTTCAGACTCTCAAGCAGCTAGAACTACAGGTGCACACCTCCATGCCTGGCTAATCTTTGGGAAAAAAATTTATAGAGACAGTTTGTCTCTATATTACCCAGGCTGGTCTGTAACTCATGGACTCAAGAAATTCTCCCACCTCAGCCTCCCAAAGTACTGGGATTACAGGTGTTAGCCACCACACCTAGCCTGGACCCTTTTGAGTGCAAAGGCAGCACCCAGCATCTCTGTGACTCCCCCAACAGCCCGCTGGGTCAGAACTGCTATCAACCCCATTTACAGAGGAAAAAACTGAGGCTCAAGCTGTTCCTCAGCTTCTCAGTCATCTGGCTGGTCAGAGGCTCAAGCCCAAGTCTGTTCTTGGACTGTGAGGGCCAGACCAAGTCCTGAGGGGGCTTAGATAACCTAAAGGACTCCCTCTTTCTTTCCTTTCTCCCTCCCACCTTCCTTCCTTTCTATCCTCCTTCTTCTCTCTTTTCCTTCCTTCTCCTTTCCACCTTCCTTCTACTCCATTCTCTGTGCTTAGTGAATGAAGAAATTAACACATTACTTGGCCCTTGTCCTCCCCTGTCTAGATTGCATGCTTAACAAACATTTGATGAAGGACTGTCCTCTGACCTAGAGCTATGGCCAAATGACAGAACAAATGGTCATTGCTACTCGTGCCTTTGGGAAGTGGGCAAAGCCTCAAGTTTCAGGCTGCAGAGGAAGGAGGGTGATTGAAATAGATCCAGCCCGGGAGCGGTGGCTCATGCCTGTAATCTCAGCACTTTGGGAGGCTGAGGTGGGCAGATCACCTGAGGTCAGGAGTTTGAGACCAGCCTGGCCAACGTGGTGAAACCTCGTCTCTGCTAAAAATACAAAAACTAGCCAGGCGTGGTGGCATGCGCCTGTAATCCCAGCTACTTGGGAGGCTGAGGCAGAAGAATCGCTTGAATCCAGGAGACAGAAGTTACAGTGAGCCAAGATTGCGCCACTGCACTCCAGCCTGGATGATAGAACGAGACTCCATCTCAAAAAAAAAAAAAATAGATCTAAAGGGAAGAGAAATGGAGATGCTACAAGACAGAAGATACGTCTGTCCTGGCAGCAGTGTGGAGCTGGGAAACAGAGACGCTGACAGCAGCAATGGGGATCTCAGGAAGCAGTGCCTGCTTGTTCAAAGGCTCAGGGATTACAGTAACACTCAGGCTGCCAGAGCCAGAGGGCAAGACCCTGCAAGCACCAGTTCAGAGCCCAGACTCAGGTCACACAGACCTGCCCATAAGTCCCTGTGTGACCCTGGACAGTTTCCTTCTCTGGAGAGGAGAGTGCCAGGCTCCCTGGCTATGGGGAGGATTCAGCGATGAGGCTTGTAAAGTGCAGATGGGAAGGGGCTGACCACTCGCTGCAGAGGCACATGAGCTAGGGAGCTGGGCCAGGGCCACCAGGGCAGGAAGCCAGCCCAGTAGGCCAGGGGGCCCCAGCCAGAGAGCTAGAAGCTCGCACCATACTGCCCTCCTGGCCCAGGAAGATGTGGACCAGCCAGGCAGGCTGCAGGGCCCAGGAAGAGCAGCACGGTCCCTCTCCAGGTATCCAGCCCCATCCAGTGCTGGGGGATGGAAGGAACTCCACTGGAACTCAGCGGGTTAGGGTCTGGCCAGGTAACCCTCCCTCTCTGAGCTCCAGTCCTCCCTGCACCCTCAAACGAGGGTCATGATAGGACGGGAAAATATCAGTGCAAGAAGGGATGTGAGTGCCCTGAGGGTGGTGGGCATGGGTGAGGGCTGGTACAGATAGCCAGACTGCAGGAGGCTGGGGGTTTGCAGCTCCAGTTCCCACTGCCTGAAATCGCCTCCCAGCTCCTCTGGCAGCCCTCACTCCCTCTCCTTCAGCTCTCAGCTCTTGTGTTTCCTCCTTGCCTCATGCAGGAAGCCTGCTCTGATGCGGCTCTTCTCCCCATGAGCACCACATTCCTCACCCAGAGCACTCGCCCAAGCGCCAATGTTACTACATTCCATTGTTGTTTGTATTTAACCTTTGCATTCTCCCCCAAACTGAGCCCTGAGGAACCCAGTTTGAAAACCATTCATGTAATCCATCACTTTCATTTATTGTTTGTTTGTTTGTTTGTTTGTTTATTTTGAGACAGAGTCTTGCTCTGTCACCCAGGCTGGAGTGCAGTGGCACAACCTCAGCTCACTGTAACCTCCACTTCCTAGGTTAAAGCAATTCTCCTGCCTCAGCCTCCCGAGTAGCTGGGATTACAGGCAACTGCCACCACGCCCGGCTAATTTTTGTGTTTTTTAGTAGAGATGGGGTTTCACCATGTTAGCCAGGCTGGTCTCAATCTCCTGATCTCAAGTGATCCACCCACCTTGGCCTCCCAAACTGCTGAGATTAGAGGCGTGGGCCACCATGTCCAGCTTCACTTTTATTTCATAGGTGAGAAAGCTGGACCGGGAGAGGGTAGGAGCTTGGTGAGCCCATGCTGGGACACCTGCCTCCCAGTCTGCAGCTCATTCTCATAGGTCATGGACTGTCAATTCCCTAAGGACAGCAGCCACATCTGGCCTGTCTGCCTCTGTCTTCTTCAGTCCTGTATTTACTGAGCACCTATCATGTGCCAGGCACTGTTCTAGACATGGAGGAGACAGCAAAGAACAGACAGAAAACACATAGAAACAAAAATAAAAAATATGTGGCTGGGTATGGTGGCTCATGCCTGTAATCCCATCCCTCTGGGAGGCTGAGGTGGGAGGATCACTCGAGATTAAGAGTTTGAGACCAGCCCAGGCAACATAGGGAGACCCTGTCTCTACAAAAAAAAAAAATTAAGTGTTTTTTGTTTGTTTTTTTTTTTGAGACAGAGTCTCACTTTGTCGCCAGGCTGGAGTGCAGTGGTGCTATCTTGGCTCACTGCAAGCTCTGCCTCCCGGGTTCACGCCATTCTCCTCCCTCAGCCTCCCAAGTAGCTGGGACTACAGGCGCCCGCCACCACGCCTGGCTATTTTTTGTATTTTTAGTAGAGACGGGGTTTCACCGTGTTAGCCAGGATGGTCTCGATCTCCTGACCTCGTGATCCGCCTGCCTCGGCCTCCCAAAGTGCTGGGATTACAGGCGTGAGCCACCGCGCCCGGCCAAAAATTAAGTTTTTAATAAATAAAAATAAAGGATATGGAATGAAAAGCTGGGGGAGCTACTGTAGCAATGGGGGATGGGAGGCTTAAACCCTCCTGCAGGCTCTCAGGATGGAGCCCATTCCCCTCCTCAAGGCCAGGCAGGCTCTACAAAGCTTGGGGCTTTGGTAGCCGAACAGAAATGGAGCCAGGCCATGCCGGCAGGAGAAGGATGTGAACCAGGTTGCCCAGGAACCCAGACTCCATGGCCCAAAAGTCATAGACTGGGGTTGTAGAGAGAGGGAAAGTGGAATACAGAGCTGGCGATGTGGAGCCAACTGAGATGTAAGGGGGACATATCGCCTTCTCTCCGGGTCAGGGAAGTCATTACGTACTGGGATGGGGTATGTGTGTGTCGTGTGTGTGTGAGCACACAATGGGCAAGAGGTCCTCTAACCCAGGGGTTCTCAAACTTGTTTCAAGGAGCATAATGCTTTATTAAACCAAAACCCTTCTTCGAATCTGATAAGTGACACTTAAGAGTAGATCTGCCGGCCGGGTGCTGTGGCTCACACCTGTAATCCCAGCACTTTGGAAGGCCGAAGAGGGTGGATCACGAGGTCAGGAGATCGAGACCATCTTGGCTGGCATGGTGAAACCCCATCTCTACTAAAAATACAAAAATTAGCCGGGCTCGGTGGCGGGCGCCTGTAGTCCCAGCTACTCGGGAGGCTGAGGCAGGAGAATGGCATAAACCCGTGAGGCGGAGGTTGCAGTGAGCCAAGATTGCACCACTGCACTCCAGCCTGGGTGACAGAGCGAGACTCCGTCTCAAAAAAAAAAAGAGTAGATCTGCCCATTGAAGCAAGTAGGGGCACTGTCTCTCCCCATCCGCTTCCTGCATACCTCCTCCCAAAAGGCCTATGGTATTTCTGTTTTATTTATTTTTATTATTATTATTGTTTTTATTTTGGGGGGTTGGGTTTTTGTTTTTTTGGTTGTTTGAAACAGGGTCTGGCTCTTTCGTCCAGGTGGAAGTGGAGTGGCACAATCTCAGTCCACTGTAACCTCTGCCTCCCAGGCTCAAGGTATCCTTCCATCTCAGCCTCCCAAATAGCTGGGACTACAGGCGTGCACCACCATGCCAGGCTAAATTTTGTAATTTTTTTATAGAGATGCAGCCTTGCCGTGTTGTCTAGGCTGGTCTTGAACTCCTGAGCTCAAGTGATCTGCCCGTCTCAGCCTCCCATAGTGGTGGGATTACAGGCATGAGCCGTCACATCTGGCCTGTTGTTAATTTTTTTTCTTTTTTTTTTGACTCAGACTCTCACTCTGTTGCCCAGGCTGGAGTACAATGGCGTGATCTCAGCTCACTGCAACCTCCACCTCCTGGGTTCAAGCAATTCTCCTGCCTCGGCCTCCCGAGTAGCTGGGATTACAGGCACTTGCCACCATGCCCAGCTAATTTTTGTATTTTTAGTAGAGACAGGGTTTCACCATGTTGGCCAGGCTGGTCTTGAACTCCTGATCTCAAGTGATCCACCCACCTTGGCCTCCTAAAGTGCTGGGATTACAGGCATGAGTCACGGCGCCCAGCCTACAAAAAAAAAAATTTTTTTTTTTTTTGAGATGGAGTCTTGCACTGTCACCCAGGCTAGAGTGCAATGGCATGATCTTGGCTCACTGCAACCTCTGCCTCGCGGGTTCAAGCGATTCTCCTGCCTCAGCCTCCCGAGAAGCTGAGTCTACAGGCGCCTGCCACCACACCCAGCTAATTTTTTGTATTTTTAGTAGAGATGGGGTTTCACTATATTGGTCAGGCTGGTCTTGAACTGCCCAAAGTGCTGGGATTACAGGCGTGAGCCACTGCGCCCAGCCAGCACAGGAGTTTTGACCTGCTCCTTTTCGTTTTCCTTTTTCTTTCTTTCTTTTTTTTTTTTTTTTGAGATGGAATCTCACTCTATCGCCCAGGCTGGAGTGCAGTGGTGCAATCTCAGCTTGCTGCAACCTCCACCTCCCAGATTCAAGCAATTCTCCTGCCTCAGCCTGCCGCGTAGCTGGGATTAGGCGTGCATGCGCCACAATGCCTAGCTAATTTTTGCATTTTTAGTAGAGACGGGTTTTCACCATGTTAGCCAGGCGGGTCCCGAACTCCTGACCTCAGGTGACCTGCCCACCTTGGCCTCCCAAAGTGCTGGGATTACAGGCATGAGCCACCGAGCCCGGCCAACCTGCTCCTTTTCTAACCTGGGCCAGTTCACCTCTCCTTAGACAAGCTGGTGGTTTCCTGCTCCCAGGAAGTCACCAATTTATGCCAAATTTAGTGCAGACACCCCATCAGTATAGTACATTACAATCCAGAAGTCCTGGATCCAAGCAAGCCTCCTGCCTCAGCCTCCCAAGTAGCTGGGAGTATAGGTGTGTGCCCAGCAGTTCTATATTTCCAAGGAACCCTGGAGCCCTAAAGAACCCAGTTTGAAACCACCACTTTCAGGCTGGGCATGGTGGCTCATGCCTGTAATCCCAGCACTTTGGGAGGCTGAGGCCTGTGGATCACTTGAGGTCAGGAGTTCAAGACCAGCCTGGCCAACATGGCGAAACCTCGTCTCTACTAAAACTATGAAAATCAGCTAGGCATGGTGGCAGGTGTTTGTAATCCCAGCTATTTGAGAGGCTGAGGCAGGAGAATCACGTGAACCCAGGAGGTGAAGATTGCAGTGAGCCGAGATCATGCCACTGCACTCCAGCGTGGGTGACAGAGTGAGACTCCATCTCAAAGAAAAAAAAAAGAAACCATCTCTTTCATTTAATAGGTGAGAAAGTTGAACCTGGAGAAGGCAGCAGCATGGTGAGCTCATGCAGGGACTCCTGCCTCCCTGCAACTCATTCTCATATGTCCTGGGCACCAGTGATGTGCTAAGTCACATGCAGGGATGCAATAGGGACAAGGGAAAACATGGCTTCTGCTCTCCCCAAGATCAGAGTTGATGGGGGTGACAGGCAGGTCACTGGACAATCACTGCACAACATGATGAGAACAGGGATGGCAGAAACCCAGCCCTGGGGAAGCCTGGCTTTGCTCATCCACTCAACCAACATTCCCGAATGCTTTTGACATACTTTGGGGCAGCTGCTGGATGGTAACTGTGGGGTTCCCAGAGACCCATCCACCCCAGTGTCCTTTTTCTTGGTGACAGCCTACTCTCTTTTTTTAATTTTAATTTTAATTTTTATTTTTGAGATGGAGTCTCGCTCTGTCGCCCAGGCTGGAGTGCAGTGGCGGGATCTCGGCCCACTGCAAGCTCCACCTCCTGAGTTCATGTCATTCTCCTGCCTCGGCCTCCCAAATAAGTGAGACTACAGGTGCCCGCCACCATGCCTGGCTAATGGCTAATTTTTTGTATTTTTAGTAGAGACGGGGTTTCACCATGTTAGCCAGGATGGACTCTACCTCCTGACCTCGTGATACGCCTGCCTTGGCCTCCCAAAATGCTGGGATTACAGGAGTGAGCCACCGCACCAGGCTTTTTTTTTTTTTTTTTTTTTTTTTGAGACAGTCTTGCTCTGTTGCCCAGGCTGGAGTGCAGTGGTGCCATCACAGCTCATTGCGACTTTGACCTCACCTTGCAGGCTCAAGCAATCATTTCATCTCAGCTGGAAATGCAGACTGGGTCTCGCTCACTCTGTTGCCCAGGCTAGTCTCAAACTCCCGGGCTTAAGTGACCCTCCCATCTCAGCCTCCTGGGTAGCTGGCACTACAGGCATGCACCAGCACGCCCAGCTAAAATTTTTTTTGTAGAGACAGGGTCTCTCTATGATGCTCAGGCAGGTCTTGAGTTCCTGGGCTCAAGTGATCCTCCCACCCTGGTCACCCAAAGGGCTGGGATTACAGGTCTGTGCCACCATGCCCGGCCCAGCCTGCCCTCCTGACCTGACAGTTGAGGCCCTACTGGAGACTGCAGCAGGGCATCCAGGCTGTGAAACCCCACCCACCAGCTCTGCCTCAGTTGCCCATGTGCCCTGGCAAGCCAGTGGCTCTCACTGAGCCTCAGGTTCTCTTCCGTAAAACAAGGCTGTGATGAAGATTCTCTCAAGATAGTCCTCCCTGTGGCTACCATGTCCAGGAGCCCAGCACCAGTTCAAGGCTAAGGCCATCCCTGCATCTCACCTCCCCTTCCTCTCACATACACACTACATCTGCCTCACCTCTCATAAAGAACATCTGGGCTGGGCACGGTGGCTCACGCCTGTAATCCCACCATTTTGGGAGGCCAAAGTGGGCGGATCACAAGGTCAGGAGATCGAAATCATCCTGGCCAACATGATGAAACCCTGTCTCTATTAAAAATACAAAAATTAGCTGGGCGTGGTGGCGCATGCCTGTAATCCCAGCTACTCAGGAGGCTGAGGCAGGAGAATCACTTGAACGAGGGAGTCGGAGGTTGCAGTGAGCCGAAATCGTGCCACTGCATGCCAGCCTGGTGACAGAGCAAAACTCTGTCTCAAAAATAAAATAAAATAAAATAAAATAAAATAAAATAAAATAAAGGGCCATGCGCGGTGGCTCACGCCTGTAATCCCAGCACTTTGTGAGGCCGAGGCGGGCAGATCACAGGGTCAGGAGATCAAGACCATCCTGGTTAACATGGTGAAACCCCATCTCTACTGAAAAATACAAAAAAAATTAGCCAGGCGTGGTGGCGGGCACCTGTAGTCCCAGCTACTTGAGAGGCTGAGGCAGGAGAATGGCGTGAACTCAGGAGGCGGAGCTTGCAGTGAGCAGAGATTGCGCCACTGCATTCCAGCCTGGGCGACAGAGCGAGACTCCATCTCAAAAAAAAAAAAAAAAAAAAAGAACATCTGGAGCCATAATTCCCGATGTTCTTGTTACTTGACACTGCCTAAAGGCATGTTCTGTGGGTTCCGGGGAAACTGATTTGAAAAACTTGAGTGTTGTAAAGGAGGGCCATAAGCTGAGTGAACACAGCAGTTGTGAGAGGTCCCAGGTGCTTCCTGGGGACAGGGAGACACGACAGACCAAGAAGCAAAGGGGCCTCTGATGTGACTTCAATATCAAGGTCTTGTCGGGCACAGTGGCTCATGCCTGTAATCGCAGCACTTTAAGAGGCCGAGGCGGGTGGATCACTTGAGGTCAGAAGTTCAAGACCATCCTGGCCAACATACTGAAACCCTGTCTCTACTAAAAAGTACAAAAAATTAGCTGGGCATGGTGGCTCAAGCCTGTAATCCCAGCTACTTGGGAGGCTGAGGCAGGAGAATCTCTTGAACGTGGAAGGTAGAGGTTGCAATGAGCCAAGATTGCGCCACTGCACTCCAGCCTGGCGACAGAGTGAGGCCCCATCTCAAAAAACAAAATCAATGTCTCAATGCAGACTGCCAGGTATCAGGTGTCCATCCATGTCTCCAAAAAGCCACTTGGCACCAGGAGCAGACAGGAAGGGCAAAGAGGAGCCAGACTGAAGCAGGGCTTCTTAGCTCCCAAGCCACACAGGTGGCCACCAGTCAGAGAGGCAGTGTGTGTGTGTGTGTGTGTGTGTGTGTGTGTGTGTGTATTTCTTCAGTTCAGTGTGTGTATGTATGTTTCTTCTGCAGCTCAGTGTATGTGTGTATTCCTTCAGCTCAGTATGTGTGTGTGTGTATGTTTCTTCTGCAGCTGTGTGTGTGTGTGTGTGTGTGTTTCTTCTGCAGCTCAGGATGCCTCCAACATTTCTGCTGAAGCCTCACCCTCACTCCTGGCCCATCCTGAGGCCTCTACCTAAGATGCCAATGAGTAGCCCAGACACTGGGGCTCCAGTGTTTGTCACCAGGTGGTACCTGGATGTGGGAGGTAGACAGGCCAGATGGCCAGTTTGGGCAGTGCCCCCATGCCTATCTGGCCCTGGGTCCCTATGCCACCTTGCTGGGGAGGGTCTTTTCGCTTACACCTCCTCTGAGCCGACTCTGCGCAGTAACACAAATGTGTATCAGGCACATCCTTTCCTCAAAAGGTGGATGACCAGTTGGGTGATCAGGGCTGTTAGGGGGCTGAAGGGTCCTGGGGAGTCCAGGTCTAGCCAAGTTGAGGCCTATCCTGCTGCATTTTCCAGCCACCTGACCCAAATACACCACCTGAACCCACGACCAGGTATGCCCACACCCCATGGGTGGCCTTAACACACACACCCTGCCCCTTTCTCCAAGTACAGGAGCAGCAGCCCAGACTTCCCTCGGGGCACCGCGGCCTGCTTGGGACTGCACAGTGCCTGGGAGGGTGCCTGGGGAGGGTCACAAGGGACTTGGTGCTAGTAGCAGGAAAAGTGTAGGGACCGGAAAAGCCCCCGTGCATCCTGGAAGGGACATGGGCCAGTTTGAGCAGGGGTGTGGGAGTCCAGCCCTGGCCTTGCCAGGTGGAGAGGCGCCTGGGCCAGACATCCGCGGCAGGAGGCGGGGGAACATGCCAAGAGGCGGAAGGGGCACGCGGAGACCCCCAGGGGGCGCCGGAAGGGGCGCGCCGGGCGGTCGGCGGCGGCCGTTGGCGAGCTGAGGCCTGCCAGGCGAAGTCTGGAGACCAGCCGGGCCGCGGCCGCAATGGCCAAGGACTCGCCCAGCCCCTTGGGCGCGTCGCCCAAGAAGCCGGGCTGCTCCAGCCCGGCGGCGGCAGTGCTGGAGAACCAGAGGCGGGAGCTGGAGAAGCTACGGGCGGAGCTGGAGGCGGAGCGGGCAGGCTGGCGGGCGGAACGGCGGCGCTTCGCTGCCCGGGAGCGCCAGCTGCGTGAGGAGGCCGAGCGGGAGCGGCGGCAGCTGGCTGACCGTCTGCGCTCCAAGTGGGAGGCACAGCGCAGCCGGGAGTTGCGGCAGCTGCAAGAGGAGATGCAGCGGGAACGCGAGGCCGAGATCCGGCAGCTGCTGCGCTGGAAGGAGGCCGAGCAGCGGCAGCTGCAGCAGCTGCTGCACCGGGAGCGCGATGGCGTGGTGCGCCAAGCCCGGGAGCTGCAGCGCCAGCTGGCCGAGGAGCTGGTGAACCGCGGCCACTGTAGCCGCCCGGGGGCGTCCGAGGTTTCCGCGGCGCAGTGCCGCTGTCGCCTGCAGGAAGTGTTGGCGCAGCTTCGCTGGCAGACTGACGGCGAGCAGGCGGCGCGCATCCGCTATCTGCAGGCGGCGCTGGAGGTGGAGCGCCAGCTCTTCCTCAAGTACATCCTGGCGCACTTCCGCGGGCACCCGGCTTTGTCGGGATCACCGGACCCCCAAGCTGTGCATTCCTTGGAAGAACCGCTGCCCCAGACCTCCAGCGGCTCTTGCCACGCCCCCAAACCCGCCTGCCAACTCGGATCTCTAGACAGCCTGAGTGCTGAAGTCGGTGTGCGCTCCCGCTCGCTAGGCCTGGTGTCCTCTGCGTGCTCCAGCTCCCCAGACGGCCTGCTCTCCACGCACGCCAGCTCCCTTGATTGCTTCGCACCTGCGTGTTCCCGCTCGCTTGACAGCACCCGGAGCCTCCCCAAGGCCTCCAAATCCGAGGAGCGGCCCTCCTCACCAGACACCTCCACCCCTGGCTCCCGGAGGCTCTCGCCGCCACCATCGCCACTCCCGCCGCCACCACCACCGTCAGCCCACAGGAAACTCAGCAACCCGCGGGGAGGAGAAGGCTCTGAGAGCCAGCCCTGCGAAGTCCTGACTCCCTCACCCCCGGGCCTGGGCCACCACGAGCTGATAAAGCTGAACTGGCTGCTGGCCAAGGCGTTGTGGGTGCTGGCGCGCCGCTGTTATACCCTGCAAGAGGAGAACAAGCAGCTGCGGCGTGCAGGCTGCCCCTACCAGGCAGACGAGAAGGTGAAGCGGCTCAAGGTAAAGCGCGCGGAGCTGACCGGGCTCGCGCGGCGCCTAGCTGACCGCGCCCGCGAGCTGCAGGAGACCAACCTCCGGGCCGTGAGCGCGCCTATACCCGGCGAGAGTTGCGCCGGCCTGGAGCTGTGCCAAGTCTTTGCCCGCCAGCGCGCTCGGGACCTGTCGGAGCAGGCGAGCGCGCCGCTGGCCAAGGACAAGCAGATCGAAGAGCTGCGGCAGGAGTGCCACCTCCTGCAGGCGCGTGTCGCCTCGGGTCCCTGCAGCGACCTGCATACTGGAAGGGGCGGCCCCTGCACCCAGTGGCTCAACGTCAGAGACTTAGACCGCCTGCAGCGCGAGTCCCAGCGGGAAGTGCTGCGCCTGCAGAGGCAGTTGATGCTTCAGCAGGGCAACGGTGGCGCTTGGCCCGAGGCGGGCGGCCAGAGCGCAACCTGCGAGGAGGTGCGACGGCAGATGCTGGCGCTGGAGCGCGAGCTGGACCAGCGGCGGCGCGAGTGCCAGGAGCTGGGCACGCAGGCGGCCCCGGCGCGGCGACGTGGCGAGGAGGCCGAGACACAGCTGCAGGCGGCGCTGCTCAAAAACGCCTGGCTGGCGGAGGAGAATGGGCGGCTGCAGGCCAAGACCGACTGGGTGCGGAAGGTGGAGGCTGAGAATAGCGAAGTGCGCGGCCACCTGGGCCGCGCGTGTCAAGAGCGCGATGCCTCCGGCTTGATCGCCGAACAGCTGCTGCAGCAGGCGGCGCGCGGGCAGGACAGGCAGCAGCAGCTGCAACGCGACCCGCAGAAGGCCCTGTGTGACCTCCATCCTTCCTGGAAGGAGATACAGGCGCTCCAGTGTCGGCCTGGTCACCCTCCTGAACAGCCCTGGGAGACCAGTCAAATGCCGGAGTCCCAAGTTAAAGGTAGCAGAAGGCCCAAGTTCCACGCACGGCCTGAAGACTACGCAGTGTCACAGCCCAACAGAGACATACAGGAGAAAAGGGAAGCCTCCCTCGAGGAGAGCCCAGTTGCCCTTGGGGAGTCAGCCAGTGTCCCCCAAGTTTCAGAGACAGTCCCTGCCAGCCAACCTCTGTCCAAGAAAACCAGCTCCCAGTCAAACTCCTCCTCTGAGGGGTCGATGTGGGCCACCGTGCCGTCCTCCCCTACTCTGGACAGGGACACAGCCAGTGAGGTGGATGACCTGGAGCCTGACAGCGTGTCCCTGGCCCTGGAAATGGGGGGCTCGGCGGCTCCTGCTGCCCCCAAGCTCAAGATCTTCATGGCTCAGTATAACTACAACCCATTTGAGGGGCCCAATGATCACCCTGAGGGTGAGCTGCCCCTCACAGCTGGGGACTACATATATATCTTCGGGGACATGGATGAGGATGGCTTCTATGAGGGGGAGCTTGACGATGGCCGGCGGGGGCTGGTGCCCTCCAACTTCGTGGAGCAGATTCCGGACAGCTACATCCCAGGCTGCCTGCCTGCCAAATCCCCTGATCTTGGCCCCAGTCAACTCCCAGCGGGGCAGGATGAAGCTCTGGAGGAAGACAGCTTATTATCTGGGAAAGCCCAGGGAATGGTGGACAGAGGGCTGTGCCAGATGGTCAGGGTGGGCTCCAAGACAGAAGTAGCAACAGAGATCCTGGATACCAAGACGGAAGCCTGCCAGCTGGGCTTGCTGCAGAGCATGGGGAAGCAGGGCCTCTCCAGACCCCTTCTGGGGACCAAAGGGGTGCTCCGTATGGCTCCCATGCAGCTACACCTGCAGAATGTCACAGCCACATCAGCCAACATCACCTGGGTCTACAGCAGCCACCGCCACCCCCATGTGGTATATCTTGATGACCGAGAGCATGCCCTGACCCCAGCGGGCGTGAGCTGCTACACCTTCCAGGGCCTGTGCCCCGGCACGCACTACCGGGTGCGGGTGGAGGTGCGGCTGCCATGGGACTTGCTGCAGGTGTATTGGGGAACTATGTCCTCCACCGTCACCTTCGACACACTCTTGGCAGGACCTCCCTACCCACCGCTGGAGGTGCTGGTGGAGCGCCATGCCTCGCCAGGTGTCCTGGTGGTCAGCTGGCTCCCTGTGACCATTGACTCAGCTGGGTCCTCCAATGGAGTCCAGGTCACCGGTTATGCTGTGTATGCAGATGGGCTTAAGGTTTGTGAGGTCGCCGATGCCACTGCTGGGAGCACCGTATTGGAATTCTCCCAGCTACAGGTGCCCCTCACGTGGCAGAAGGTCTCAGTGAGAACCATGTCACTCTGTGGTGAGTCCCTGGATTCAGTGCCTGCTCAGATCCCCGAGGACTTCTTCATGTGTCACCGATGGCCAGAGACTCCACCCTTTAGCTACACTTGTGGCGACCCATCCACCTACAGAGTCACCTTCCCCGTCTGCCCCCAGAAGCTGTCACTGGCTCCTCCGAGTGCCAAGGCCAGCCCCCACAACCCTGGAAGCTGCGGGGAGCCCCAGGCCAAGTTCCTAGAAGCATTCTTTGAAGAACCCCCAAGGAGGCAATCCCCAGTGTCCAACCTGGGCTCAGAAGGAGAATGTCCGAGTTCAGGGGCTGGCAGCCAAGCCCAGGAGCTTGCAGAGGCCTGGGAGGGCTGTAGAAAGGACCTGCTCTTTCAGAAGAGTCCCCAGAACCACAGGCCACCTTCAGTCAGTGACCAGCCTGGGGAGAAGGAAAATTGCTACCAGCACATGGGCACCAGCAAAAGCCCTGCTCCAGGATTCATCCATCTACGCACCGAGTGTGGGCCCAGGAAAGAACCGTGTCAGGAAAAGGCTGCCCTTGAGAGGGTACTTCGGCAAAAGCAAGATGCCCAAGGGTTCACACCTCCCCAGCTGGGCGCCAGCCAACAGTATGCATCTGACTTCCATAACGTTTTGAAGGAGGAGCAGGAGGCACTGTGCTTGGATCTGCGGGGCACAGAGAGGCGAGAGGAGAGGAGGGAGCCTGAGCCCCACAGCAGGCAAGGACAAGCTCTGGGGGTGAAGAGAGGGTGCCAGCTCCATGAGCCCAGCTCGGCACTGTGTCCAGCTCCATCCGCCAAAGTCATCAAGATGCCCAGGGGTGGCCCCCAACAGCTGGGGACGGGGGCCAACACTCCAGCCAGGGTCTTTGTGGCCCTCTCTGATTACAACCCCCTGGTGATGTCTGCCAACCTCAAGGCTGCAGAGGAGGAGCTGGTCTTCCAGAAAAGGCAGTTGCTAAGAGTGTGGGGCTCTCAGGACACCCATGATTTCTACCTCAGCGAGTGCAACAGGCAAGTGGGCAATATCCCCGGGCGCCTAGTGGCTGAGATGGAGGTGGGGACAGAGCAGACTGATAGGAGGTGGCGTTCTCCGGCCCAAGGGCACCTGCCTTCTGTGGCCCACCTCGAGGACTTTCAGGGGCTCACCATCCCCCAGGGTTCCTCCCTGGTGCTCCAGGGGAACTCCAAGAGACTCCCACTGTGGACTCCAAAGATCATGATAGCAGCTCTGGACTATGATCCTGGGGATGGGCAAATGGGGGGCCAGGGGAAGGGCAGGCTGGCGCTGAGGGCAGGAGACGTGGTCATGGTTTACGGGCCCATGGATGACCAAGGATTCTATTATGGAGAGTTGGGCGGCCACAGGGGCCTGGTTCCTGCCCACCTGCTGGATCACATGTCCCTCCATGGACACTGAGCAAGCATCCTTGCCCAGGTAGTGGCCTCTGGCTGCTCACACCCTGCCAGAGGAGAAGCAAGCGTTCAGACCCTCACACCAGCACCCCTCCTCACCACCATAAGTAGCATGTGCTCCAAGTGCCACTGTGTTAAACTGATGGTAGTCCTTAAGCGTCCCCTAGGCTCTGAAAGTAGCAGGACTTAAGCCTGAGTTATTTGCAAAAGCAAACACAACAAGCCAACCCCTGAGAGTCTGAGAAGCCATTTCAAAGTTGCTGATAACTATGGCAGGTATACGGAGAAGCGCCTTTTTCTGTGGCCAATGTGTGTTTTCTCTGGGAGGTTAAGGTTATCTGTCCATTGCCTTGTACGAAAGTCTCAAGAAAAGTCTACATCTTAAAAAAGAAAAAGCAATCTGAGTGTTATTTTTGGGATGTGAGGGTGATCTGGCTGCGACATGTGTCACCCCATTGATCATCAGGGTTGATTCGGCTGATCTGGCTGACTAGGCGGGTATCCCCTTCCTCCCTCACCACTCCATGTGCGTCCCTCCAGAAGCTGTGTGCTCAATGGAAGAGGATGACCATCCCCGATAGAGGACGATCGGTCTTCAGTCAAGAGTATAAGAGTAGCTGCGCTCCCCTGCTAGAACCTCCAAACGAGCTCTCAGAATGTTATTTTTCTGTCTTATGTCCAACCCCTCATTAAAATGTTCATAGAAAAAACATATTTTAGAAGTTGAAGCACAACCAAGGAAACATGAGCCTGGCTTTCCTCCCTCTCACTTCTGCGCACTGGGTCCGCAAGGGCTACAGAAATGTTTTCCTGGCTGAGGAAGGGAGGGTGCACCCTTCTGCTTTTTTTTTCCTGGCTGCAGTCTATTCCCAGAACACATTCCATCACATGGTTCCCAGAACTCAGATTGTGCGGTGGCCACGTCATCATTGGCTGGGGCTCACAGTCACAGCAGCAGAGGCCTCCCTAAACCTCCCTCTCCTCTAGCCCCACCCGCTGTCCCCTGCTCCTCATGCCCCCATGCTGTGTCCCCTGGCCTCACTTCCGTTGCCATGTTTTCATAATCCTCTCAGGCTCTGGGCAGCAGCGCTGCCCACAGTAGGACCAGATCATGTAAGGAAAATACTGCAGGCTCATCTTGGGGCTGCACTGGGGACCTGAGAACACCTTATCCTACTGTACGTGCGGCACCTCATCTGACACCAGCTTCTCTGCTTTGCCCAAGGTCCCTAGGCCCTGAATGCTTACTTTTTAAGGTCAGCCTGGCTCAGGATATGCTAGTTTGGCTGCAGAGGGTCCTACTAAGAGCCAGGACTGAGGAGCAAGGCCCAAAAAACTCCTCTGGGCCACATCTTCCCCGAGGGCATCCCCGCAGGGAGGCCGTGTGCTGCTGAGCCCTTTGCTAGGAGTGGGTAGTCAGTGTCTCCCACATGACGATCTTGCTTCATTCAGATAGCTTTCGTAGCTCACTGCTTTTCTGAGTCACTTCCTGTGAGGGATCACCTTGGGATGGCATTTCTTTTCCTTTTTTTTTTTTCTTTGGAGACAGAGTCTCGCACTGTCACCCAGGCTGGAGTGCAATGGCACAATCTCGGCTCACCACAACCTCCGTCTCCCGGGTTCACACAATTATCCTGCCTTAGCCTCCCGAGTAGCTGGGATTACAGGTGCACACCACTACACCTGGCTAATTTTTTGTATTTTTAGTAGAGACAGTGTTTCACTATGTTGGCCAGACTAGTCTCAAACTCCTGACCTCGTGATCCGCCCGCCTCAGCCTCCCAAAGTGCTGGGATTACAGGCGTGAGCCACTGCGTCCGGCCTTCTTTTCCGTTTTTTTTTTTTTTTTTTTTTTGAGATGGAGTCTTGCTCTGTTGCCCAGGCTGGAGTGCAGTGGTGCAATCTCAGTTCACTGCAAGCTCTGCCTCCCGGGTTCACGCCATTCTCCTGCCTCAGCCTCCTGAGTAGCTGGGACTACAGGCGCCCGCCACCACGCCTGGCTAATTTTTTGTATTTTTACTAGAGACGGGGTTTCACTGTGTTAGCTAGGATGGTCTCAATCTCCTGACCTCATGATCCGCCCACCTCAGCCTCCCAAAGTGCTGGGATTACAAGCATGAGCCACCGCGCCCGGACCTTTCCTTTTTTTGAGACAGAGTCTTGGTCTGTTGCCCAGGCTGGAGGGCAGTGGCACAATCACAGCTCACTGTAGTCTTGAGCTTCAGGGCTCAAATGATTCTCTCACCTCAGCCTCCCAAGTAGCTGGGACTACAGATGTGCACCACCACACCTGGCTAATTTGGTGTGTGTGTAGAAGCAGGGGTCTCACTGTGTTGCCCAGGCTGGTCTCAAACTCCTGGGCCCAAGCAATCTGCCTGCCTCAACCTCCCAAAGTGCTGGGATTACAGGCCTGAGCCACCACACCTGATGCCTGGCTAATTTTTAAATTTTTTGGTAGAGATGGGGTCCCACTATGTTGCCCAGGCTGGTCTGGAACTCCTGCGCTCAAGTGATTCTCCTGCCTTGGCCTCCCGAAGTGCTGGGATTACAGGCCTGAGCCACTGCACACAGAGGGCATTTCTTTATTTGCCCCATTTTGCAGAAGAGCTTCCTGAGGCTCAGAGAGGCCCCTCATCTAAGGTCACATCATGGCTCAAAGTCACCTCCTCCATAGACTCCCCAGGCTGCCCCTCTGGGAGGGCGGGAATGAGGGGTGGTCTTTATCCTTCTCTCCCTCTCTTTGATACCCTTTTGTTTCCCCACGTCCAACAACACTGTCAGAGGAAAGACACTTCCAGAATACCCAGGTAAAAAAAAAAAAAGAGACAATAAGGAAAGGACACTGCCTTCTCCGGTGTCATCAGAAATGATTGAAAGAGGCCGGGCGCGGTGGCTCACGCCTGTAATCCCAGCACTTTGGGAGGCCAAGGTGGGCAGATCACGAGGTCAGGAGATCGAGACCATCCTGGCTAACACGGTGAAACCCCATCTCTACTAAAAATACAAAAAAATTAGCTGGGCGTGGTGGCGGGCGCCTGTAGTCCCAGCTACTCGGGAGGCTGAGGCAGGAGAATGGCATGAACCCGGGAGGTGGAGCTTGCAGTGAGCCGAGACTGCACCACTGCACTCCAGCCTGGGTGACAGAGCGAGACTCCGTCTCAAAAAAAATTAAAAAATAAATAAATAAATAGGCCGGGTGCCATGGCTCACACCTGTAATCCCAGCACTTTGGGAGGCTGAGGCAGGTGGATCACAAGGTCAGGAGTTCAAGACCAGCCTGACCAATACAGTGAAACACTGTCTCTACTAAAAATACAAAAAAATTAGCTGGACGTGGTGACATGCACCTGTAGCCCCAGCTACTTGGGAGGCTAAGCAGAAGAATCACTTGAACCCGGGAGGCAGAGGTTGCAGTGAGCCAAGATAGCGCCACTGCACCCCAGCCTGGGCGACAGAGAAAGACTCCATCTAAAAAATAAATAAATAAATAAATCACATTAAAAATAAACTTAATTTTTTTTAAAATTTAAGTTTAAAAAAGTAGGCCAGGTGCGGTGGCTCACGCCTGTAATCCCAGAACTTTGGGAGGCCGAGGTTGGTGGATCACGAGGTCAGGAGTTCAAGACCAGCCTGACCAACATGGTGAAACCCCATCCCTACTAAAAATACAAAAATTAGCTGGGTGTGGTGGTGGGTGCCTGTAATCCCAGCTACTCGGGAGGCTGAAACAGAGAATTGCTTGAACCCTGGAGGTGGAGGTTGCAGTGAGCCAAGAATGCGCCACTGCACTCCAGGCTGGTGACAGAGTGAGACTCCGTCTCAAAAAAAATAAAAATAAAAAATCACTGGGCATGGTGGCCCGCGCCTATAGTCCCAGCTACTCCGGAGGCTGAGGCAGGAGAAATGCTTGAACCCAGGAGGTGGAGCTTGCAGTGAGCCGAGATCGTGCCACTGCACTCCAGCCTGGGCGACAGAGCGAGACTCCATCTCAAAAAAAGAAAAGGAAGGAAGGAAGGAAGGAAGGAAGGAAGGAAGGAAGGAAGGAAGGAAGGAAGGAAGGAAGGAAAGAAGGAAGGAAGGAAGATTAAATGTCAATGGCTCATACTTGTAATCTCAGCACTTTGGGAGGCGAGGCAAGTGGATCGCTTGAGCACAGGAATTCAAGACCAGCCTGGGCAACATGTTGAAACCCCGTATCTACTAAAAATACAAAAATTGGCCTGATATGGTGGTTCACACCTATGGTCCCAACTACTCGAGAAGGTGAGGTGGGAGAATCGCTTGAGCCTGGGAAGCAGTGGTTTCAGTGAGCCAAGATTGAGCTACTGCACTCCAGCCTGGGTGACAGAGTGAGACCCTGTCTCAAAAGAAAAATAAAATAAAATAAATGACAATGTAAAGGCAAATTTTGTCTATAACAACATCATAATAGGACATTGAATTATTACAGTGCAGTTGTTATAATTAAGTTTACAATAGAATATTCATGGCTGAAACCCAGACAAACTAAAATCACCAACTGCTTACAAACCAACTGCTTACTAGTGAAAACCCAAATAGGTAAGGCTTTTTTTTAGCAGTGAGTCTCTGCTCAGTGAGGACCTGGGCACCCTCATTTTTTTGAGTCTTGGTATTTCTTTCCATCTGAAAGGATGGAGCGGATGTGTGGATCCCCAACGTTTTCAGTTCTTCCACCTGGTCCTCATTCTGTCATGGCGTGATCATGGCTCACTGCAGCCTCAACCTCCAGGGCTCAAACCATCCTTCCCGCTCAGCCTCCTGAGTATCTGGAGGCATGCGCCACCACACCCAGCTAATTAATGTGTGTGTGTGTGTGTGTGTGTGTGTGTGTGTGTGTGTAGAGATGAGGAATTCTCGCTATGTTGCCTAGCTTGGCTCCAACTCCTGGCCTGAAGCCATCCTCCTGCCTCTGCCTCCCATGGAATAGTTGATTGTTGTTGTTGTTGTTGTTTTGAGATGGAGTCTCACTCTGTCACTCAGGCTGTGGTGCAGTGGTTCGATCTTGGCTCACTGCAGCCTCCTGGGTTCAAGCGATTCTCCTGCCTCAGCCTCCTGAGTAGCTGGGCCTGCAGGTGCATGCCACCATGCCCAGCTAATTTTTTTTTTCTTTTTTTTTGAGACAGAGTCTCACTCTGTCACCCAAGCTGGAGTACAGTAGTGTGATCTCGGCTCATTGCAACCTCCGCCTCCTGGTGCAAGTGATTCTCATGTCTCAGCCTCCCAAGTAGCTGGGATTACAGGCATGCACCACCATACCCAGCTAATTTTTTGTATTTTAGAAGAGACGGTGTTTCGCTATGTTGGCCAGACTGGTCTCGAACTCCTGACCTCAGATGATCTACCCGCCTTGCTCCAAAACTGCTGGGATTTCAGGTAGGAGCCACTGCACCCGGCCTATGGAATAGTTTTCAATGCCTTGTCTAGCTAGGGATCATTGAACATGTTGTATGCGGGGTAGACTGCAGCTGCAGGATCTGTACCAGGGTGTTGGTGAAGACGCAATGGGGTTGCCCCAGCGTCCTTGAGAAAGACTACCACCTTGTGGCCGGGCGCGGTGGCTCATGCCTGTAATCCCAGCACTTTGGGAGGCTGAAACAGGTGGATCACGAGGTCAGGAGTTCGAGACCAGCCTGGCCAAGATGGTAAAACCCCGTCTCTTCCAAAAATATTTTAAAAATTATCTGGGTGTGGTGGCTCGCGCCTGTAATCCAAGCTACTCAGGAGGCTGAGGCAGAGAATTGCTTGAACCCGGGAGGCAGAGGTTGCAATGAGTCGAGATCATGCCACTGCACTCCAGCCTAGGAGACAGAGTGAGACTCTGTCTCAGAAAAAAAAAAAAAAGCAAAAACCTACCACCTTGCACTTCGTTCAACAGAGTGTCCAGTTGCTCCACAGAGCCTGCACTCCACAGTCTGCCGCCACCCGTGCCACACTCACAGCAAAGCAGAGTTCCCACTGCTCAGCCCAGGGACCTGCTCAATCCTGCTCGCTCACTGGAGCCCTTGACGGACTGGGACCTCGGCTGGCAGGTCTTTGGCTTCCTTCCCTTAGCATAATGTCCTTGAGCTTCATCCATGTTGCAGCATGTGTCAGAATTTCCTTCCTTTCATGAATAATTGTTTAAGGCCAGGGTGGTGGCACAAGCCTGTAGTTCCAGCACTTTGGAAGGCCAAGGTGGATGGATCGCTTGAGCCAAGGAGTTGGAGACCAGCATGGGTAACATGGCAAAACCTCATCTCTATTATTATTATTTTTATTTTTATTTTATTTTATTTTATTATTATTTTTTGAGGTGGAGTTTCGCTCTGTCGCCCAGGCTGGAGTGCAATGGCACGATCTTGGCTCACTGCAAGCTCCGCCTACCGGGTTCACGCCATTGTCCTGCCTCAGCCTCCCAAGTAGCTGGGACTACAGGCGCCCACCAGCACACCCGGCTAATTTTTTGTATTTTTAGTAGAGACAGGGTTTCACCATGTTAGCCAGTATGGTCTCGATCTCCTGACCTTGTGATCTGCCCGCCTCGGCCTCCCAAAGTGCTGGGATTACAGGTGTGAGCCACCGTGCCCGGCCTATTATTATTATTTTGAGACAGAGTCTTGCTCTGTCACCCAGGCTGGAGTGCAGTAGTATCATCTTGGCTCACTGCAACCTCCGCCTCCCAGGTTCAAGTGATTCTCCTGCCTCAGCCTCCCAAGTAGCCAGGATTATTGGCCGCCCGCCACAATGCCTGGCTACTTTTTTTGTATTTTTAGTACAGACAGGGTTTCACCATGTTGGCCAGGATGCTCTCTAACTCCTGAACTCAGGTGATCTGCCTGCCTTGGCCTCCCAAAGTGTTGGGATTACAGGCGTGAGCCACTGCACCTGGCCTTCATCTATTTTATTTATTTTATTTTATTTTATTTTATTTTATTTTTTTTTTATTTTATTTTATTTTATTTTATTTTATTTTATTTTATTTTATTTATTTTATTTTATTTTTTGAGACAGGGTCTTGCTCTGTCTCCCAGGCTGGAGTGCAGTGGCGCTATCTTGGCTCACTGCAGTCTCCGCCTCCCGGGTTCAAGCGATTCTCTTGCTTCAGCCTCTCGAGTAGCTGGAACTAGAGGCATGCGTCACCATGCCCAGCTCAGGTTTGTATTTTTAGTAGAGGCAGGGTTTCACCATGTTGCCCAGACTGGTCTCGAACTCCTCACCTCAAGTGATCCACCCACCTTGGCCTCCCAAAGTGCTGAGATTACAGGTGTGAGCCACCACACCCGGCCTCATCTCTATTATTTTAAAAAACATATTTTTTGGCCGGGTGCAGCGGCTCACACCTATAGTTCCAGCACTTTGGGAGGCCGAGGCGGGTGGATCACAAGGTTAGGAGTTCCAGACCAGCTTGGCCAATACGGTGAAACCCTGTCTCTACTAAAAATACAAAAATTAGCTGGGCGTGGTGGCGCGTGCCTGTAGTCCCAGCTACTTGGGAGGCTGAGGCAGAAGAATCACTTGAACCCAGGAGGCGGAGGTTGCAGTGAGCTGACATCATGCCACTGCACTCCAGCCTGGGCGACAGAGTGAGACTCTGTCTCAAAAAAAATCCCATATTTTTTAATTGTTTAAAATTATTATTAATATTTATTTATTTTATTTATTTATTTTTTTTGATGGAGTCTCGCACTGTCACCCGGGCTGGAGTGCAATGGCGTAATCTCGGCTCACTGCAACCTCCGCCTCATGGGTTCAAGTGATTCTCCTGCCTCAGCCTCCCAAGTAGCTGGGATTACAGGTGCCCGCCACCACGCCTGGCTAATTTTTTTCTATTTTTAGTAGCGACGAGGTCTCACTATGTTGGCCAGGCTGGTCTTGAACTCCTGACATCATGATCCGCCCACCTCGGCCTCTCAAAGTGCTGGGATTACAGGCATGAGCCACTGCACCTGGCCTATTATTTTTTTCTTGTTTTTTTATTTCCATATTTTTTTTTCTTCTTCTTCTTACTTTTTAAAAGTTTTATTTATTTATTTATTTATTTTTTGAGACAGTTTCACTCTGTCACCCAGGCTGGAGTACAGTGGGGTGATCTTGGCTCACTGCAACCTCCGCCTCCCAGGTTCAAGCCATTCTCCTGCCTCAGCCTCTCGAGTAGCTGGGATTACAGGTGCCCACCACCATGCTCGGCTAATTTTTTGTGTTTTTAGTGGAGATTGGGTTTCACCATGTTGGCCAGGCTGGTCTCGAACTTCTGACCTCAAGTGATCCACCCCGCCCCCACCTTGGCCTCCCAAAGTGCTAGGATTACAGGCGTGAGCCACTGCACCCGGCCTATTTCTTTTTTATTTTTATTTTTATTTTTATTTTTATTTTTTGGAGATGGAGTTTCACTCTTGTTGCCTGGGCTGGAGTGCAACGGCACAATCTCAGCTTACTGCAACCTCACCTTGCGGGTTCAAGCGATTCTCCTGCCTTAGCCTCCCGAGTAGCTGGGATTACAGGCACACACCACCGCGCCCAGCTAATTTTGTATTTTTAGCAGACATGGGGTTTCTCCATGTTGGCCAGACTGGTATCGAACTCCCGACCTCAGGTGATCCGCCCGCCTTGGCCTCCCAAAGTGCTGGGATTATAGGCGTGAGCCATCGCGCCTAGCCAATTATTATTTTTTAAGAGACTGGGGTCTCACTATATTTACCAGGATGGTCTCAAACTCCTGGCCTCAAGAGATCCTTCCGCCTCAGCCTCCCAAAGTGCTGGGATTACAAGCATGAGCCATTACGCCAGGTCTTTATCTAGGTTTTTCTATTGTCTGTATTTCATCATCCAACCATCCCCTACCAGAGTGTGCCTGGCCAATTTTCTTCCCTTCTTCCACCACACGTTTCTTTTTGTTTGTTTGTTTGTTTGAGACAGTGTCTCACTCTGTCACCCGGGCTGGAGTGCAGTGGCATGATCTTGGCTCACTGCAACCTCCACCTCCTAGGTTCAAGCGATTCTCATGCCTTGGCCTCCAGAGTAGCTGGGATTATAGGCATGTGCCACCACACCTGGCTAACTTTTGTATTTTCAGTAGAGAGGGGGTTTCCCCATGCTGTCTGTGCTGGTTTCCAACTCCTGGCTTCAAGTGATTCGCCTGCCTCAGTCTCCCAAAGCGCTGGGATTATAGGTGTGAGCCACCACACCTGGCCTCCTTCCTTTTTAAGGCTGAATAATAGTCCATTGTGTGTATGTAATGCATTTTGTTTATCCATTCATCTGTCAATGGATACTTTGGTCGTTTCTACCTTTTAGCTATTGTGAATAATACTGCTGCTCTCCTTTACACTTTTTCAAAGCACTAGATCCCTGATGAGCCCACAGCCTAGAAATGGAGTCTGAGCACAGCAAGCCACAAGACAGCTGCTTCTGCCGAGAGGACAGCCTGGGACCTTTTGGGTCAGGGGCAAGAGACTTGGAGGTTGGCAGGCTGCTCTCTGACTGAGAAGTGGGGACAAGTATGGTTCCCACACACTAGGGAAGCAATGACAGACTAGCAAGAGAATAGAAACTTTAATTCATGCACTCTCAGGCCAGGCATGGTGGTGCAGACCTGTAATCCCAGCACTTTGGAAGGCCAAAGTGAGCCACTGTGCCCTGTTGTGTTTTGATTTTTGAGACAGAATCTGGCTGTCACCCAGGCTGGAATGCAGTAGCACGATCATAGCCTCAACTTCCTGGGCTCAAGTGATCCTCTCACCTCAGCCTCCTGAGTAACTGGGACTACAGGTGCATGTCACCACACCTAGCTAATTTTTCTTTTTTTTGAAACATAGTCTTGCTCTGTCACACAGGCTGGAGTGCAGTAGCACGATCTAGGCTCACTGCAACCTCTGTCTCCCAGGCTCAAGCAATTCTCTTGCTTCAGCCTCCCGAGTAGCTGGGATTACAGGCATGCGCCACCACGCCCAGCTAATTTTTGTATTTTTAGTAGAGACGAGGTTTCACCATGTTGGCCAGGGTGGTCTCAAACTCCTGACCTCGGGTAATCTGCCCACTTTGGCCTCCCTAAGTGTTAGGATTACAGGCATGAGCCACCATGCCTGGCAATTTTTTTGTACAGATGGAATTTTGCCATGTTGCCCAAGCTGGTCTCAAATTCCTGGGCTCAAGCAATTCACCTACCTTGGCCTCCCTACAGGCATGAGCCACTGAGCCTAGCCTCCAGCTAATTTTTACATTTTTTGTAAAGACAGGGTCTTGCTATGTTGCCCAGGCTGATCTCAAACACCTGGCCTCAAGAGATCCTCCTGCTTGGCCTTTCAAAGCACTTGGATTATTGGTGTGAGCCACCACTTCCCACCTAGCCTGTTCCATCACTTTTTACTTAATTTCACAACTTTCCCTGACCATTGCCTCAAATCAGCTTTTTTTCTGACAGCTGCGTTGTAGTCTTTGTCAGAGTTATGAGGGGCACCCCCACTCTTCACTCCAGCCCCCACCTGTTTTATTTTCCTCCATAACCCTCATCACCCCCCAGCATGTTACCTAGGTTTTTATCTTTTTTTTTTTTTTTTTTAATTAAGACAAGGTCTCGGCCAGGCTCAGTGGCTCACGCCTGTAATCCTAGCACTTTGGGAAGCCGAGGCGGGTGGATCACGAGGTCAGCAGATCGAGACCATCCTGGCTAACACAGTGAAACCCCGTCTCTACTAAAAATACAAAAAAATTAGCCAGGCGTGGTAGCGGGCGCCTGTAGTCCCAGCACTCAGGAGGCTGAGGGGCGCCTATAGTCCCAGCTACTCGGGAGGCTGAGGCAGGAGAATAGCATGAATCCGGGAGGCGGAGCTTGCAGTGAGCCGATCGCGCCACTGCACTCCAGCCTGGATGACACAGTGAGACTCCGTCTCAAAAAAAAAAAAAAAAAAAGACAAGGTCTCACTCTGTCACCCAGGCTACAGTATGGAGTACAGTGGCGCAACCACAGCTCACTGCTCACTGCGGCCTTGACTTCCTGGGCTGTCGATCCTCCCACCTAAACCTCCCAAGTAGCTGGGACTGTAGGCATGAGCCAACATGCCTGGCTAATTTTTGTATTTTCCGTAGAGACAGGGTTTCGTTCAAGCCACTGCACCTGATCGTGTGTTTTGGGCAACTCTGGGAGCAGTGGCACAGGAAAGAAGAAAGGGACTGGGGACAGGTGCCAACCCATCAGCTGGTGTGGACCTCCTCCCCCTGGGAGGGTTACAAGTCCAGGGAGGAGGACCTCATGCTGCCGCCAGGGGGCAGCCTAGGTGCACTTAAGGGTCATTCTCCAGGGGCTGCACACCTGGCAGAGCTGCCTGGGCCACACCTGCCTGCCCAGTGTAAGGGGGAATAGGAAATACTGTATCTTTTTGACCAAGCAGGCCTGGAATCCACACCCCACCCGACCAGCCCCATTCTCTCCCTCCCTTCTCCCCAGAGCACCCTAGGCAGCCCACCCCCCACATAACCGAGAGGGGCTGTCCTTCCAGGGGAGCAGGGACCAGTGTCAGGCCCGGTCATTCTGACACCCACCCACAGAAAGATCTCCTTCTTCACCCCTCTGGCAGCCCTGCTCCCCTAAATCCTCAACTTCAGAGGCCATGGGCAGTTTTAAAGAAGCATAAGGCTGGAGAGGCAGGGCCACAGAGCCACTGGGCTCCAGAACCCAGTCACTGGATCCAAATGCCAGCCTGCTCACAGACAGCTGCAAGGCCTCTCTGAGCCTCATGTTCCCAGACTGTGGCAGAACTGGTTTTGTTTTGAGCAGGTCAGGTGTGCAGAACACTTGGCCTGGTGTCAGGACCCCGAGAAAGACCCAGACAGCTGATGAGAAGGGGGGCGTCATGGCTTGTGCCTGCAATCCCAGCTACGGCGGAGGCAGAGAGGGGAGGATCACTTGCGACCAGGAGTTCGAGACAAGCCTAGGCAACATGGTGAGACTCTGTCTCTACAAAAAAAATTTAAAACAGGCCGGGCGCGGTGGCTCACGCCTGTAATCCCGGCACTTTGGGAGGCCGAGGCGGGTGGATCACCAAGTCAGGAGATGGAGACCATCCTGGCCAACACGGTGAAACCCCGTCTCTACTAAAAATACAAAAAATTAGCGGGGTGTGGTGGCACGCACCTATACTCCCAGCTACTCAGGAGGCTGAGGCAGGAGAATTGCTTGAACCCGGGAAGCAGAGGTTGCAGTGAGCTGAGATCGCACCACTGCACTCCAGCCTGGGCGACAGAGCGAGACTGTGTCTCAAAAAAAAAAAGAAAAAAGAAAAAAAAAGAAAGCTGATGAGGGCACAGGTCGGGGGTGGGGGCAAGGGAGCACAGTTCTAAGCCCCAGCTTGGCTCCCCGTGCAGAGCCCTGAGAATCTGGAGACTTTCAGCAGAAGGGAAGGCCGCACAGGTCTAGCAAGTTGGCAGGCTGCTGGGGGGTAGGGGTGGGCTGGGAAGGAGGTGGATGCCTGGCTGTGGCCTGCACCAGGCCCCTTCCCTGACTGACTGCACGACCTGGAGGCCCAAAACCTGTCCAGTCCAGACCTGCCCAGGAGGGGAACGAGCGGGGATGGGCAGCCCAGCCGGCCCGAAGGCAGAGGAGCCTAACGAGTGGGCGAAGGGGCGGTGTCCGGAGAGTTCTGGTGCAAGGGTCACTAAGCCTGTCCAGGCCCCATCCACCCCTGCCCAGGCGCCTCTGGCCCATCTGCCCCCTCCACCTCTAGCTGACCTGCCCCCTCTCGCTCACTGCGGCTATGGATTTTGAAAGCATGAGGCTAACTGATCAATTTCAGAGTCATTGTAAAAAATCTGGAGAAGATTTCACAAGAACACGATATGAAAGATACGACTTTTTAAAAGCTCAGAGATATCTCTGCAGCCTATTTTAAGCTCATTCCACCTTCTGGTCACACCCTACTCTCCCTGTCTCACTACTGGGGTGGTTGAATTTGGAGGCTGGGTGGGGTGTGCAGGAGGTCAGGTGTTCCATCTGAGGCGGAACAAGATGGGCCAACTCTAGTCTTGTGAAACAAAGCACATTGCCAGGTGGAGCTGGCTCCAGGAACCTAGGCACAGAGGGTTCCACACACGGTGGCATTGCTGACACCGCAGCCGGCCGCACAGGTCCTGCCGGCCTCCAGGCTCAGCCCCACCTGTCCCTGTCTTCGGTGCTGGGTGGGGTCTATAATGGGTTGTTCCCCCAGGCTGGAATGCTCTGTTTGGAAGATCTCCTAAACATCCCCCGCCCACAGGGCCCATCCACCCTCCCCATAAAGCCCTAGCCCTCACTATCTATATCTGATATCCACAGGCTTCTGTGCCGTCTTTTTGCCCTTTCACGGGGTCCCTAGAAGCCCCAGTAAATCCTCCTGTCACTGACGGCCTGGCTGGTTGTACCTACCTTGGTGGAACTCCAGGACCTGGGCCTCAGTCTTAGGGTTGCCACGGTGCACAGCCTCTTGGTCAGGGTGCTTTGGGTCGAAGGTGCCCTCCTGAGGGCAAAGTACCTTCCTGCCCGGCCTGAGAATGGAGTGGGGGCTGAATGTGAACCCTGGCCCACTCACTTCTCAGTTGAGAGACCTCAGGCAGTTCCTTTGTTTTTTGACTTTCAGCCTCAATTTCCTCTTCCCTAAAATTGGCCTTCCAGCTGCCCTGTGCCTACAGCCAGCTCACTCCCAGGTATCCTTTGAAAGCACCCTCCACCACCTCTTGCAGGCAGCCTTCCCCATTCTCCCCTCCCTTACAGGATTTAGCTACCCCTCCCACGTGCTCGGACAGCCCTTAGGCATAATCCCAAAACGCACCCAGGAATTACTCATTCATCCTGCTACCTCTCCCTTCAGACTGTCTTACTCCACCCTGCACCCTGAATGCAGGTACCTGGACCTGGCATGGACCAGGCAACGGGATTTGTGGACTAACCCATTTCCAACTTAGGAAAGGCACCAACCAGCTCGTGAATGAGAAGCACTAGACTGAGGCTCTCAGCGGCCATACTTCCCCTGGAAAACTGACCTTTCCTGAGCTCACATATTGCTCAGCACAGCATACCCAGCTAGTTTAATTATTTCCCCCTTTTACATAGGGAATAACTCAGATTTGGAGAGGGGTGTGGTCATTTAGCAGGTTGGGGGCAGAGCTGGGGGCCCGAACCCAGGTGTGTCCCTTTGACCAATGCCCTTATCTATAGGATTCCTTCCCCCACCCTGGGGCAGGGCCTGGGTCTAGGGAGGAGGCCAGAGGGAGAGATAGGAATTCAAATTGGTGGTGCTGGTGGTGGGGGAAGGCGAGGCCCTGGGAGTGGCCAGCACTCAGGGCTTGGGCAACAGGGTGCTCTGCAGAGCCACTGGGTGGGGGGAACAGCAGGGGCAGGCACAGACCTGCTGAGTCAGAGACGCCGCAGGGACTCCAGGGGGAGGTGTTTGGCAGATGGCTGTGGGCTGGGGCCCGGCAAAAGCACCACAGGGTGGTGGGTCAAGGAGTAGAATTGGGTGCTGAGGCCCTAGCCAGGACCAGGGGATGTAAGAAGGAGGAGGCCTTGGAGAGGGCAGGGGGCAACGTTTTCCAGAAGGAGGGAGTGGTCAGTCTCCACAAGGTCAGGCGAGATAAGCGCTACTGCACCCAGCCTCCCTCATGACTGTGACCAGAGGCTGTTGCCCCAGCTCAGGGGCTTCCTAGCATCTTGGCCATGAGGGATATGTGTAGCCCCCGCCCCACCCCCCGCCATCTGAGGCCCTGCTGGGCCCTGGTGATGGAGGAAGGCTCCCCAGAGAAAAGTAGGAAGATAGAGTTTGCAAATTCCATGCCATTAGGCCTTGGTCCACTCCCACCCTCTTTTTATTATTATTATTATTATTATTATTATTATTATTTTATTATTTGTTTTTTTTTTTTGAGACGGAGTTTCGCTCTTGTTGCCCAGGCTGCAGTGCAATGATGTGATCTCAGCTCACTGCAACCTCTGCCTCCCAGGTTCGAGAGATTCTCCCAGGTCAGCCTCCCAAGCAGCTGGGATTACAGGCGCCTGCCACCACGCCCGACTAATTTTTGTACTTCTGTAGAGACAGAGTTTCACCATGTTGGCCAGGCTGGTCTCGAACTCCTGACCTCGAGTGATCTGCCTGCCTCGGCCTCCTAAAGTGCTGGGATTACAGGCGTGAGCCACCACGCCAGGCCCTCTTTTTATTTTAGACACAGGGTTTCACTCTGTTGCCCAGGTTGGAGTACAGTGGTGCTATCATAGCTCACTTCAGCCTCAACCTCTCCAGGCTCAAGCAATCCTCCCACCTCAGCCTCCCAAGTAGCTGGGACTACAGGTGCCACCACCACGCCTGGCTAATTTTTTAAAAAGTTTTTTGTAGAAACAAGGTCTTGCTATGTTGCCTAGGCTGTTCTGGACCTCCTGACTCTGTCTCCCAAAGTGTTGGGATTACAGGTGTGAGTTCATTGCACACAGCCCATCCCTTTCACTACAGGAGGCAAGCCAGAGCCCCAAAGAGGTTCTTGGTGCCTCAAGAACCCTGTTCCTCAGCCCAGATTGAGGAGGGGATGTGTTTTCTCCACTCCTGCCCCACCTCCAAACTGCTAGAGAGGAACCTCAGCAGGGAAATGAAGCATTGCTTCACCTTGCCTCTACCTCTGGCCCTGGGGTACCCTCTCTGTCCACTTGACCCCCACTCCTCCAACCACTGAGGCTGTGCTGACCTTCTGCCTGCTCCATCCTGTAACTACCTCACATTCACACAACCCAATGAAGTAGATATGGCTCTGAGTTCCATTTCACAGGTATGAAAACTGAGGTCCATAGAAGTCAGTTCTAGGGCGTCTGGCCTAGTGGCACAGCCAGGACTTTTTTTTTTTTTTGAGACCAAGTCTCGCTCTGTCACCACACTGGAGTGTAGTGGCACGATCTCAGCGCACTGCAACCTCTGCCTCCCGGGTTCAAGTGATTCTTCTGCCTCAGCCTCCGGAGTAGCTGGGATTACAGGTACGCGCCACCGTGCCCGCCTCGGCCTCTGAAAGTGGTAGGATCATAGGCGTGAGCCACTGAGTTCGGCATTTTTTTTTTTTTTAATTTTTGGACTTTTTTTTTTGGAGACTGAGTCTCTGTCACCCAGGCTGGAGTGCAATGGTGCGATCTTGGCTCACCGCAACCTCTGCCTCCCAGTTTCAAGTGATTCTCTTGCCTCAGCCTCCCGAGTAGCTGGGATTACAGGCATGTGCCACCACGCCAGGCTAATTTTGTATATATATGTATATTTTTTTTTTAGTAGAGATGGGGTTTCACCATATTGGTCAGGCTGGTCTCCAACTCCCGAACTCAGGTGATCCGCCCACCTCGGCCTCCTAAAGTGCTGGGATTACAGGCGTGAGCCACCGCGCCCGGCCGGATTTGGTTCCTGGTTCGACTATCTCCCCATGGGTTTCACCGAGAAACAGCCCTGCTGGCCCTTGTCTCCACCTATCACAGAAGAACAACTGGGTCCCCTCCTTTACCCATCCTGGGGCCACTGTATCCTACACACAGACCCCAGAAGACAGACCCTGCCAGTCTAATGGTGGAGACAACTCTGAGATCAAATGGCACGTGGCAGATTGATCAGGAGCAGGAGACCCAGGACCTGGGAGAGACAGAGCACTGAATTCACAAACTACCCCAAGCAGAGGGCAAGCAAAGCTCCCTAAGAAAGTGGAGCCAGGCCAGACACGGTGGCTCACGTCTATAACCCCAACACTTTGGGAGGCCGAGGCCGGTGGATCATGAGGTCAAGAGTTCAGGACCGGCCTGGCCAAGATGGTGAAACCGTGTCTCTACTGAAAATACAAAAATTAGGCCGAGCACGGTGGCTCACGCCTGTAATCTCAGCACTTTGGGAGGCCGAGGCCAGCGGATCACGAGGTCAGGAGATTGAGACCATCCTGGCTGACACGGTGAAACCCCGTCTCTACTAAAAATACAAAAAATTAGCCGGGCATGGTGGCGGACACCTGTAGTCCCAGCTACTCGGGAGGCTGAGGCAGGAGAATGGCGTGAACCTGAGAGGTGGAGCTTGCAGTGAGCCGAGATTGCGCCACTGCACTCCAGCCTGGGTGACAGAGCAAGACTCCATCTCAAAAAAAAAAAAAACACAAAAATTAGCTTGGCATGGTGGTAGGTACCTGTAATCCAGCTACTGAGGAGGTTGAGGCAGAGAATCACTTGAACCCAGGAGGCAGAGGTTGCAGTGAGCCGAGATGGCACCACTGCACTCCAGCCTGGTCGACAGAGCGAGACTCTGTCTCAAAAAAAAAAAAAAAATAGCTGGGCATAGTGGTGCACACCTGTAGTCCCAGCTGCTTGGGAGACTGAGGCAGGAGGATCCCTTGAGCCCATGAGTTTGAGGCTGCAGTGAGTTATGATTACACCACTGCACTCCAGCCTGGATGACAGAGTGAGACCCTGTCTCTAAGAAACAGATAAAAATACAAATAAAAAAGAAAGAGCATGGCCAGGTGCGGTGGCTCAAGCCTGTAATCCCAGCGCTTTGGGAGGCCGAGGCTGGTAGATCACGAAGTCAGGAGTTTAAGACCAGTCTGGCCAAGATGGTGAAACCCTGTCTCTACTAAAAACACAAAAATGAGCCGGGTGTGGTGGTGGGCGCCTGTAATCTCAGCTACTCGGGAGGCTTGAGGCAGAGAATTGCTTGAACCCAGGAGGCCGAGGTTGCAATGAGCCAAGATTGCGCCATTGCACTCCAGCCTGGGGGCGACAGAGTGAGAATCTGTCTCAACAAAAAAGAAAAAGAGGCCAGGCGTGGTGGCTCAAGCCTGTAATCCCAGCACTTTGGAAGGCCGAGGCAGGCGGATCACAAGGTCAGGAGATCAAGACCATCCTGGCTAACAGGGTGAAACCCCGTCTCTACTAAAAATACAAAAAATTAGCCAGGCGTGGTGGCGGGCGCCTGTAGTCCCAGCTACTCGGGAGGCTGAGGTGGGAGAATGGCGTGAACCCGGGAGGCGGAGCTGGCAGTGAGCCGAAATCGCGCCACTGCACTCCAGCCTGGGGGACAGAGCGAGACTCCAAAAAAAAAGTGGCCGGGCGCGGTGGCTCACTCCTGTAATCCCAGCACTTTGGGAGGCCAAGGGGAGTTGATCCGGAGGTCAAGAGATTGAGACCATCCTGGCCAACCAATATGGTGAAACCCCGTCTCTACTAAAAATACACAAATTAGCTGGGCGTAGTGGTGCACACCTGTAGTCCCAGCTACTCAGGAGGCTGAGACAGGAGAATTACTTGAACTCAGGAGGCGGAGGTTGCTGTGAGCCAAGATGGTGCCACTGCACTCCAGCCTGGGTGACAAAGCGAGACTCTGTCTCAAAAAAAAAAAAAAAACAAAACAAAAGAGCAGCCAGAGAAAACCACACTAGGAGTGACCTTAGAGCAGGCACTGAAGAACAGCAAGGCATGGCAGGCAGAGGGCATGGCAAGGGCACGGCCCCTTCCTTGGCTCCTCAGACCAGGGAAGTCAGTTCCCCTCTTATGACCAGACAAAGCAGCCTGCACCTTTTTGCCCAGCCCCAGCACCCTTGTGAGTATTCTGTCATCTTCTCCTTAGTCTGTGGGCTTCTGAGGCCAGGGAACACATCTGTGCTGTTCACTAGCCCAGTGCCCACCTCATCATTGCTGTCAGCATCTGTTGGTTGAATGACAGTTCCATGAGTGGCCTCCCTTGGGCTCAAGGTGCCTGGCTCTGCTAGGGGTGAAGGAGTGGTGACTTGACAGGGAGGTGTGTGGTGAGGAGCGGGGCACCCATCACAGGCCTGGCCTTTGCTATAGGGAATAGGCTTGCTGGGGATGCATTCTTCAGATGGTGTTCCTAAGAGGGTGAACTGAGCTCATGTCAGTCTGAGGGGCTGGAGTCTGAGGTTAGCTACGGACCTTGGGCAGGTGACTTAACCTCTCTAACCTTGGTTTTCTACTGGGTCTTGCCCTGTCATCATGGCTAGGCTGCAGTGATGCAATCTCAGCTCACTGCAGCCTTGACCTCCTGAGCTCAAGCTATTCTCCCACCTCACCCTCCTGAGTAGCTGGGACTTCAAGCACTCACCACCATGGGCCTGGCTTTTTTCTTTTTTGTATTTGTAGAGACAGGGTTTCGCCATGTTGCCCAGGCTGGTCTGTAACTCCAGGGCTCAGCTGACCCACCCACCTCAGCCTTCCAAAGTGCTAGGATTACAGGCATGAGCCACCACCCCTGGCCTCATTCATTTGACTTTCATTTTCGTTTTTATTATTATTTGTTTTAGACTCAGGGTCTCACTCAGTCTCCCAGGCGGGAGTGCAGTGGTGTGACCTTGGCTTACTGCAGCGTCAAATTCCTGGGCTCAAATGATCCTCCTGTCTTAGCTTCTGAGTAGCTGGGACTATAGGTACATGCCACCAAGCCCGGCTAATTTTTTTTTTTTTTGAGGCCGCGTCTGGCTGTTGCCCAGCTATAGTACAATGGCGCAAGTATAGCTCACTGCAACCTCGAATTCTTGGGCTCAAGCAATCCTCCCACCTCAGCCTCCCAAGTAGCTAGTACTATAGACGAGTGCCACCATGCCCGGCTAATTTTAAAAATTTTTTGTAGAGATGAGATGTCACTGTTTTGCCCAGGCTGGTATCAAACTCCTGGACTCAAGCAATCCTCCCGCCTTGGCTTCCCAGAGTGCTGGGATTATAGGCGCCAGCTACCATGAGTGGTCTCATTTGACTTTTTTTTTTTTTTTTTTTGAGACAGAGTCTTGCTCTGTAGCCCAGGCTGGAGTGCAGTTGCATGATCTCACCTCACTGTTACCTCTGTGTCCCGGGTTCAAGCAATTCTCCTGCCTCGGCTTCCCAAATAGCTGGGATTACAGGCGTGCATTACCACACCCAGCTATTTTTTTTTTTTTTTTTTTTTGTATTTTTAGTGGAGACAGGATTTCATATGCTGGCCAGGCTGGTCTCGAACTCCTGACCTCAGGTGATCCTCCTGCGTCAGTCTCCCAAAGTGCTGGGATTACAGGCGCGAACCACTGTGCCCGACTTCATTTGACTTTTTTTGTTTTTTGAGATGGAGTCTTGCTCTGTTGCCCAGGCTGGAGTGCAATGGCGCAATCTTGGCTCACTGCAACCTCTCCCTCCCGGGTTCAAGTGATTCTCCTGCCTCAGCTTCCCGAGTAGCTGGAATTACAGGTGCCTGCCACCACGTCTGGCTAATTTTTGTAGTTTTAGTAGAGATGGGGTTTCACCATGCTGGCCAGGCTGGTCTCGAACTCCCAACCTCAGGTGATCTACCCGCCTTGGCCTCCTAAAGTGCTGGGATTACAGGCGTGAGCCACTGCACCTGGCCCCTCATTTGACTTTTAATTGAGAACCTACTTTGTGCCATGTATAAGCTGGATACAAGAGTGAACAAGACCAAGCCTTCCTGCCCTCATGCCAACTGCTCAGCAGTATTTCAGGACTGTATCAGGGTGATTAGCCTGGGATCACAGGAGACTTCCTACAAGAGATGATGTCTGAACTGAGTTGTTCACCAGGCACAGGTGGGAGAAGGGAGAAGGCTGGCCTGGACAGGAGGAGCCCTGGTGTGAATGCCCAGAGATGGCAGGAGAAATCATGGCGTATATAAGGTGTCTTGAGCTTGGGATATGGGAAGGTGAGAAGTGATATTGTATGGGACATACTTTTTTTTTTTTTTTTGAGACGGAGTCTCGCTGTCACCCAGGCTGGAGTGCAGTGGCACGATCTCAGCTCACTGCAGGCTCCGCCTCCTGGGGTTCACGCCATTCTCCTGCCTCAGCCTCCCGAGTAGCTGGGACTACAGGCGCCCGCCACCGCGCCCGGCTAATTTTTTGTATTTTTAGTAGAGACGGGGTTTCACCGTGTTAGCCAGGATGGTCTTGATCTCCTGACCTCGTGATCCGCCCGCCTCGGCCTCCCAAAGGGCTGGGATTACAGGCGTGAGCCACCGCGCCCGGCCGGGACATACTTATATTAAGCATTATTGGTTGTTTATCCGAAATTCAAATTTGGGCATACTGTTAAATGCTAAATCTAGCTGTCATAGTAAGAAGCTGAAATTTACTGTTTGGGGGTATTTTGTATATTTGTTTTCTTTCTGTTTTTTATTGAAAACAGATAATGGTAAAATAACAGACCCTTCCTACATGACACAACAATCATAGTCACTGTACCAGGGCTCACCAGAGCCTGAGTTCCGTGCTCTGCCTGCTCAACCTCCTGTCATTCAAGCCTCCCAAGGGGGTGGTGCCCTGATTCCCAAATGGATGAGGAAAGCAGATCATAGTGGTTAGATCTTGGACTAGACACACAGAGAATCCGGAGGGAGTGAGGACACAAAATGAACCCATTTCTGGCGGGTCTTCCCATCCCTGCTAATCTGTAGTTTTTATATTTCCATATTACCTTCCGCCCAGATCTAGCTTTACTGGGTTGCTGCCAGGGAGAACAAATTTTTGAAATCTGCTATTTTATTTATATTAATTAATTAATTAATTAATTACTTTAAGACGAGGTCTCGCTCTGTTGTCCAGCCTGGGGTGCAGTGGCATGATCTCAACTCACTGCAACGTCTGCCTCCCTAGTTCAAGTGATTCTCCCACCTCAGACTCCCGAGTAGCTGGGATTATCCGTATGTGACACCATGCCTGGCTAATATTTTAGTAGAGACAGGGTTTCTTCATGATCACCAGGCTGGTCTCAAACTCCTGGCCTCAAGTGATCCACCTGCCTCGGCCTCCCAAAGTGCTGGGATTAGAGGTGTGAGCCACTGTGCCCAGCCTAAAAATATTTTTTAATAGCACCACAGTGTAGGCTGGGTGCGGTGGCTCACACCTGTAATCCCAGCATTTAGGGAGGCTGAGGCGGGTGGATCACTTGAGGTCAGGAGTTCAAGACCAGCCTGGCCAACATGGTGAAACCCCGTCTCTACGAAAAATACAAAAATTAGCCAGGCATGGTGGCAGATACCTGTAATCCCAGCTACTTAGGAGGCCGAGGCAGGAGAATTGCTTGAACCCGGGAGGTGGAGGTTGCAGTGAGCAAAGATTGTGCCATTGCACTCTAGCCTGGGTGACAGGAGCAAGACTCCATCTCAAAAAAAAAAAAAAAACAAAAAAAAAACAAAGAAAAAAGAAAACAAAAAGCACCACACTGTAAATAAACTGAACAACCATGGTTAACGAAGTGTGAATAAATTACAGAAGCTCCATACTCTGGAACATTTGTCAGCTCTTAAAGAATGAATTATGATCCTTTTGTAGTTCATAAGCATGATGATTATGTGTTCACACACGTTCCCATGTAAGATGTGCCACCTTCAAATATTTTTTTTTTTTTTTTTTAAGAGGGAGTCTTGCTCCGTCACCCAGGCTGGAGTGCAGTGGCGCGATCTTGGCTCACTGCAAGCTCCGCCTCCCGGGTTCATGCCATTCTCCTGCCTCAGCCTCCTGAGTAGCTGGGACTACAGGCACCCGCCACCACGCCCGGCTAATTTTTTTGTATTTTCAGTAGAGATGGGGTTTCGCTGTGTTAGCCAGGATGGTCTCAATCTCCTGAACTCGTGATCCGCCCGCCTTGGCCTCCCAAAGTGCTGCGATTACAGGCGTGAGCCACCGCGCCCGGCCGCCACCTTCAAATCTTGTTACGACATAGGCACATTACCCGTCTGACATGAAAAAAAAAAAAAAGAATGAATTATGGAAATGAACTAGAAAAATGTCTATGATTTCAAAATAGTAGGATCTTTTTTGTAAGGTGAGTAGATACATATTGATGTCAGAGAAGAGAGTTAAACTGTTAATGTTACTTCAGAAAGGACTGATTAGGGTGGAGGAGGAGGGAGAATTTAACTTTAAAAAATTGCTGGGCATGGGCTGGGCACGGTGGCCCACGCCGGTAATCCCAGCACTTTGGGAGGCCGAGGTGGGCAGATCACGAGGTCAATAGATCGAGACAACCCTGGCAACATGGTGAAACCCCATCTCTACTAAAACTACAAAAATTAGCTTGGTGTGGCGGTGCTCACTTGTAATCCCAGCTACTTGGGAGGCCGAGGCAGGAGAATCGCTTGAACCCGGGAGCCGGAGGTTGCAATGAACGGAGATCGCGCCTCTGCACTCCAGCCTGGGTGACAGCGCGAGACTCCATCTGCACAAAAAAAAAAAAAAAAAAATTACCAGGCATGGTGTCTCATGCTTGTAATCCCAGCACTTTGGGAGGCTGAGGTGGGAGAATTGCTTGAGTCTGGGAGTTTGAGATCAGCCTGGGAAGCATAGTGAGACCCTGTCTCTACAGAAAATAAAAAATTAGCCGGGTGTGGTGGTGCATGCCTGTAGTCCCAGCTGGGAGAATCACTTGAGCCTAGGAAGTGGAGGCTGCAGTGGGCCATAATCACGCCACTGTGCTCCAGCCTGGGCAACAGAGCTAGACTCTGTCTCAAAAATAAATAATAAAATAAAAATAAAATGTGCTTCAGCATCTCTAGAATTGTTCCGATTAGAAATGTTACTTTCATAAAATAAAAATAACACACACGCTAAAGTATACATGTGTAGAAAAAAAATTCCCAACTTCCAGAGAGAACCTCCGTAAATATTTTTGATTTATTTTCTTCAGTTGCTTTTCCATATATCAATATTTTTGCATGCATTTAAAAAATGCAATTAAAAAAAAAATTTTTTTTTGAGGCGGAATCTCGCTCTGTCGCCCAGGCTGGAGTGCAGTGGCGTGATCTTGGCTCACTGCAAGCTCCGCCTCCCAGGTTTTCACGCCATTCTCCTGCCTCAGCCTCCTGAGTAGCTGGGACTACAGGCATCTGCCACCAGGCCCGGCTAATTTTTTTGTACAAAAAATACAATTTTTTTTAAGACAGGGTCTAGCTCTGTTGACCAGGCTGGAGTGTGCAGTGGTGTGATTTTGGTTCACTGAAACGTCCACCTCCTGGGTTCAAGTGATCCTCCTGCCTCAGTCCCCCGAGTAGCTGGGACTACAGGGGTGTGCCACCATGCCTGGCTAATATTTTTGTGTGTATTTTTAGTAGAGATGGGGTTTCACCATGTTGGCCAGGCTGGTATCGAACTCCTGACCTCAAGTGATCCTCCTGCCTCAGTCTTCCAAAGTGCTGGGATTACAGGCGTGAGCCACTGCACCTGGCCTCTTCTTTTTTTTTTTTTTTTTAATTATTTTTGGCTGGGCGCAGTGGCTCACGCCTGTAATCCCAGCACTTTGGGAGGCCGACGCGGGTAGATCATGAGGTCAAGAGGTCCAGACCAGCCTCTTGTAAAAATACAAAAATTAGCTGGGTGTGGTGGTGGGCGCCTGTAATCCCAGCTACTCAGGAGGCTGAGGCAGAGAATTGCTTGAACCTGGGAGGCAGAGGTTGCAGCAAGCTGAGATGATGCCACTGCACTCCAGCCTGGATGACAGAGTGAGACTCTGTCTCAAAAAATAAATAAATAAATAAATAAAAATTTTATTTTTTAATTAAAAATTTACTTATTTATTATTATTATTATTATTATTATTATTATTGGAGACGGAGTTTCACTCTTGTCACCCAGGCTGGAGTGCAATGGCAGGATCTCAGCTCACTGCAACCTCCGCCTCTGGAGCTCAAGCAATTCTCCTGCCTCAGCCTCCCAAGTAGCTGGGATTACAGGCATACGTCACCATGCCTGGCTAATCTTGTATTTTTAGTAGAGACGGGGTTTTACCATGTTGGCCAGGCAGGTCTCAAACTTCTGACCTTGGGTGATCCACCCGCCTCGGCCTCCCAAAGTGCTGGGATTACAGGAGTGAGCCACCGTGCCCATCCTATTAATTTAATTAATTAATTTATTTATTTATTTTCTGAGACCGAGTCTCACTCTGTCGCCCAGACTGGAGTGCAGTGGTGTGATCTGGGCTCACTGCAACCTCCGCCTCCTGAGTTCAAGCGATTCTCTGCCTCAGCCCCCCGAATAGCTGGGATTACAGGTGCCCGTCACCATGCCTGGCTAATTTTTGTATTTTTAGTAGAGACGGGGTTTCACCATCTTGGCCAGGCTGGTGTTGAACTCCTCACCTCGTGATCCACCTGCCTGGGCCTCCCAAAGTGCTGGGATTACAGGCGTGAGCCACCGCGCCTGGCCTATTTATTTTTTTAAAATGGAGTCCCACTCTGTCGCCCAGGCTGGAGTGCAGCGGCACCACCTCGGCTCACTGCAACCTCTGCCTCCCAGGTTCAAGCAACTCTCGTGCTGCGCCTCAGCCTGCTGAGTGGCTGGGACTACAGGCATGTGACACCATGCTTGGCTAATTTTTTTTTTGAGACGGAGTTTCACTTTTGTTGCCCAGGCTGGAGTGCAATGGTGCGATCTCAGCTCACCGCAATCTCCGCCTCCCGGGTTCAAGCAAGTCTCCTACCTCAGCCTCCCGAGTAGCTGGGATTACAGGCATGCGCAATCACGCCCAGCTAACTTTTCGTATTTTTAGTAGGGACGGGGTTTCACCATAATGGTCAGGCTGGTCTCGAACTCCCGACCTCAGGTGATCTGCCCGCCTCGGCCTCCCAAAGTGTTGGGATTACAGGCATGAGCCACTACTCCTGGCCTAATCTACATTCCATTATGTGGACTATTTAACCCCATTGTGAGAAATTTGTATATGCTTTTTTCTTTTTTTTTTTTTGATACGGAGTCTTGCTCTGTTGCCCAGGCTGGAGTGCAATGGCAGGATCTCAGCTCACTGCAACCTCCGCCTCTGGAGTTCAAGCAATTCTCCTGCCTCAGCCTCTCAAGTAGCTGGGATTACAGGCATACGCCACCATGCCCAGCTAATTTTGTATTTTCAGTAGAGACGGGGTTTTACCATGTTGGCCAGGCTGGTCTCAAACTCCTGACCTCAGGTGATCCTCCCGCCTCAGCCTCCCAAAGTGCTGGGATTACAGGCGTGAGCCACCGCCTGTATATGCTTTCTTTCACTATTATACATGACACTTAAAAAATATTATCATATATTAGTTATCTTTTTTGTTGTTTTTTGAGACCGAGTCTCCCTCTGTTGCCCAGGCTGGAGTGTCATGGCATGATCTCAGCTCACTGCAACCTCAGCCTCCCAGATTCAAGCAATTCTCCTGTCTCAGCCTCCCGAGTAATTGGGACTACAGGCATGCACCTCGATATCCGGCTAATTTTTGTATTTTTAGTAGAGACGGGGTTTCACCATGTTGGCCAGGGTGGTCTCAAAGTCCTGACCTCAGGCGATCTGCCGGCCTTGGCCTCCCAAAGTGTTGGGATTACAGGCATGAGCCAGCCACATTAGTTTTCAAATGCAGATGAAACAAGGGACCGTGGAATGCCTGTTGTCTCAGGTGTGCTCCTAGGCATGGGTTCCAAACTTACAGGTACAAACTTACTTATGGGTAGAGAGACAGATAATAAGTACGTGGTCTGCAAACGTGGCTAATTTCCCCAGAACAGAATCCTGGAATACTGGTCTGAGAGGGTATAATTATTTTAAAATATTTTTGGGGCCAGGTGCGTTGGCTTATGCCTGTAATCCCAGCACTTTGGAAGGCAGGAGGATCACTTGATCCCAGGAGTTTGAGGCTACACTCCAGCCTGGGCAACAGAGTGAGACTCCGAGTCTCCAAAAAACAAAAAAAGACAAAAGAACCCCAAAAAAACAACTTTTGGCTCATACCGCCAAACTCATGTCCAGGAATTTTGAGGTGATTTATGTGCTTCCAAAAGTATATGAGAGTGATTACCTATCAGACCTTGTGTTTGAAGGTTATCACTTGAAACTGATTTTTAATTTGTTTAGGAGAAAACCCAGCTTCTTATAGTTTTATTTTATTTATTTATTTATTTTTTTGAGACGGAGTCTCGCTGTCGCCCAGGTTGGAGTGCAGTGGCACGATCTCGGCTCACTGCAGGCTCCGCCCCCCGGGGTTCACGCCATTCTCCTGCCTCAGCCTCCCGAGTAGCTGGGACTACAAGCGCCCGCCACCTCGCCTGGCTAATTTTTTGTATTTTTAGTACAGACGGGGTGTCACCGTGTTAGCCAGGATGGTCTCGATCTCCTGACCTCGTGATCCGCCCGCCTTGGCCTCCCAAAGTGCTGGGATTACAGGCGTGAGCCACCGCGCCCGGCCTATAGTTTTAATTTATATGTCTTGGGTTAGTAGAATGGTTGACTTTTTTTTTCAGTCGTTCCTTCAAATAGTGAGTCCTCTGCTAGGCTCTATTTGTGGAATATTCTTGTTCTTCTTCAGGGATGTTTGATAGCTCTTTTTTTTCCACAGATGTTTGATATTTCCTTTTTCATCTATTGTGTTCTTACCATTTCTAGGATGTTTCTAGGCTTTCTATTCTATTTCCTGTTCTGTACCACACTGAAATGCCTGCGGTAGCTTTACAATTTGTTTTGATATCTGTTAGGGCAAGTCTACCCTCATGCCTGCTTTTGTTCCCAAGGGGGGAAAACCATAGCTGTTTTCGGCTATTTATTTTTCCAGGTGAACTTAGAATTTTGTGAAGTCTAAGAAATGTTGTTAGGATGACATTAAACCTATACATCCATTAGGAAAGAAAGGTTGCATCATCAGCTTGGCGAAGGGTTATTGAAACTGGTTTTTGATCTTGACTGGAGCTGGGGCACAACTTCCCTGTAAGGCAGACCTGGGCTCCTCTTGGACTTGGGCGACCTCGATAGTGGTGTGTTCCTTTGTTTGGTGTTCAAAGTAGAGAGCGGTCCATTAACTAGCTCCCTAGAGAAGCAGTGGCGGCTCAGGCCAGCCCAGCCCCTGGGAAGGCTATCTGCATGGCGGCCGGGAGCCCGGGTCCTGGTGGGCCGGCTCGGGCAGGCGCTTGACCCCTGGGGCCTGCGAGGGGCTGCGGCCACCGGAAGGGGCTGGCTGAGCGCAGCGTGCTGGGTCCTCCGCGCCCTCGGAGCAGGTAGGGTTCGCGGGGGTGCGCCCGCGGGGGCCCGAGGGGCGCTGGGGTCACGGGAGGGGCGCCCCTTCTCTTTTGCACCCAACCAGCCCGGGCTTCCCCAGGAGCCCAGACCCCCGAGCTTGCAGTCACTGCTGGCTGCGCCTTTGAGCCTCGGGCAACCGCAGGGAGCGTCGAGCAGGGGTCGCAAAGGGGTCGGGGAGGGGGCGCGTAGGCCGATAGAGGTCCCTAATTCGGGGCTCCTAGGGGTCAGGGTAGGGCTAAAAGGGGGTAAGTCCACCAGAGTTTGAGGGGGTGGGCGTCAGCCTGTCGGGGGGGGCCAGGGTCCCTGTCCCGGGGGCCGGTATGCGGTCCGGGTATTTCAGGGGCGAGGTCGCGGTCCTGCCCTGGCGCTTGAGGTCGGAGTCCGGTTAGATGTCCGGGGTCTGGGTCCCCGGCTCCTCCCGCGCACCCCTCCCCCACGGCGCCGGACCCCGGCAGCCCGCCCCGCCTAGTGCTGGGACCGCTGTCCGGCCCGGCCCCGCCCCCGCAGGCCCCGCCCCTGTTCACAGGCCACGCCCCCAGCTGCCCCCTGTCCCCGCCCCGCCGCTCGCCCATTCAGATGTGGGTCAGGGGTGAGCGGGCGGCGCCGACGTCACAAGCTTCCAAGATGGCGCTGGGCGGGCGGCTGTGAGCGGCGCTCGGGGCGCGCTAGGCGGGGAGCCGAGCCGGGCTGGCGGCAGGCGGACGGGGCGGGCGCGTGCGGCGCGAGCCGGGCGCTGAGGACAAGGGCCGCTGGTAGGGCCGGCCGGCCGGCGGGCGGAGCGCCGCCGCCGACGCACACGAGGTGAGGGGCGGCCTTGTGGGGCGGGGGGCGCGGGGAGCGGGCGGGGGCCGGGGCCGCGGGCTGGGCGCGTCCCCGGGGAGAGGGGCGTGGACGCGCGCGCGCCCGGGCGACGTGGGACTGCGCGCGTGGGGGACGCGCTAGCGTCTGGCGGGCCTGGGCTGGGGCGCACGCGGGACCCCTGGCAGGCCCGGGCTTTGTGGGCCAGATGCCCGGAGGGGCGCGGGCGGTGGGGCACCCGGGGCACAAAGCCCACCGGGCCGCGCCAGGCCCAGGCGGCGCGGGTCTGCGGAGCGGGGGTCGGCGGGCGAGCGGGCGCCGGCTCTTTGTGCCTTTTCATTAGCAATCTAATCCGAACAGCGTCGGGCGAGCTGCGCTGCCTGACAGGCGGGAGGGCTCCCATTATGCAAACGGCCCTGCGCCCGCGTTCGCCCCCTCGCTAGAGGATTTTGCGATTTCCAGGACTGCGGTCCTGCACCGTCTGCGGTCTCCTCTCCTCTTGCCTCCTCCCCGCGGGAAGACTGGCCACGGCAGGGGCAGGGGCGGGCCTGGAGGGGCCGCTCCCAGAGGGCCGGGCTCTGCGGCTGGTGGGCTCGCTGCCCTGCCCCCAGACCTCTCCTGTAGGCAGCCGCTTGGCAGGAAGAGAGATGGGCTTGGGGGAGGGGGTCGGCTTTCAGGGGGAAGGGACCGGCTGGCTGAGGGAGGGGGCTGAGGGGCCCCAGCTTGTCACTCTCTGTTTATCTTCCAAGATGGTTCATATTCACACAGGCCTGGGTGTGTGCGTGGTTGGGGGGGGTGGGGGGGAATGCCTCTCCCTGGGGGGCAGTGACTTGCTGAGAGGAGGGAATGAGGCCAGATAATGCTCCCAACGGCCCCACCCAGAACTGCCTGGGACTGCCTGTGTAAGGGAGCCCAGTGCTGAGCCGGATGGGTTGGAGCGGTGTTAAAGTTATTTATCCATGTCTTCTCCTGTCCCCCGCACCCCTAGTCTTTTCTAGTAGGAGTTGCCAAGCACATCTGGAAAGCTGTGTTCCCCGACCCCCCACTCCCCCAACAGCAGGAGGGGTGTAACCCAGGGAAGCCACCCCTCTGACATATGTGCTGGGGGGAGGGGCAGAGCCTTGCCCCTAGGAATCCTGTGGCGGTGGGTTGTTGACTGATGTGGGATTGCTGTGTCTCTTGTGCTGTCGGAGAGCTGGCAGGTAGTGGAGGGGCCTTGGGAGCTCCTAGGCTGAACTTGGGGCTGTCCTCCAAGGATCCAGGATGGAGGGATGGAGCTGGGTCACTCAAACCTAAGGCCTTTCTGGGTCTAGCATTTATTGCTTCCTGGCTTCTGGCTTGGCTTCTTTTCGTCCATTCTCATCTGCCAGTGTCTGGACTCCCTGGGCCTTCAGGCAGGCATTTTCAGGAGCACAGGCCATGTGGTTGGTCTGGAGCCCTGTGTCAAGGAGAGTGTGCGTGCTTGGTGGAGCAGGGTTGCTGGAGTAGTGTGAAAAAAAGCAGATGAGCTGGCCTCTGGAGACAAAGCTGTGTGGCAAGACTGCTGGTTTAGTGGGCTCTGAACACCAAGAACAGGGCCGGGAGTCTGATACTTGGGGGCTGAACTGAGTCCTGTGGCGCAGGATTGTTGCCTGGAAGTGAACGTTCCGTCTTGTGCCATTGAGACTGTGAAGATCTCTGGGTCCCACAGGACGAGCAGTAGACTTGGAAGGCTGGGAAGAGGCTCCCCAGCTGCCTGCCTTGGGAGGTCAGAGCTCTCAGGTGGGTCGGCAGGCCAGTGTCGGGCTGGGGGAGGGAGGTTGTAGTAGAGTGCCTGTGGCCCAGCTTCTCTGGTCAGTTGGCTCTGAGTGCTGCTGTGTGCCCAGCAACCTCTCCCTGCGGTGTTTTTCTGCCAGTTGTTGGAACTTGTAGATTAGTCACTGAGTTTTTACGACCGATTCCTGAAAAGAAAAATCTCCCTCTGGTTGCTGCCTCTGTGTAGAGGAAGAAGCAGCCCGAGGGAGTCAGGCCTTTAATTAAAGCAAAACCGAAATGATTGTCGAAGTTGCTGGAAGGAGAAGAGAAGGCGCAGGTGGGGCAGGGGTGATGAGTCCTGTTGTGCTGCATGATACCTGCTCTGGGGACAGGTAGGCACGATCCCATCCTCGATCCTTGGTCTTGGCCAGCAGCCCAGCCTTCTCCACAAGCTGCAGTCGCAGATTAATCCTCACGTAGTGTTTTCTTTCCGTAGATCAGATTTCTCATTTTGTTAATAAGCGCAGCCTCCCATCCACTTGAAGTCAGCTGTTGTGGACGAGGAGCAACAGGGTTTTGCATTATTGAGCTGATAGCCTGCCGCCTCCCCTCAAGTCCTTATTGTTTGCGGGGTCAGATCTGAGGGGTGGGGAAGTGCCATTTAATCAGCAGCCAGCCCCTGGAGAAGAGCTGGCGGGGCAGTTCTGGAGAGTGAGAGCCGTGAGGAAGGAATAAAGTTCAGTTTACCCAGGGGACTTGTGGTTCCAACCTTATTGCTTGGTCTGTTGGCCTGGAGCAGTCAGCCCCACCCCATACCTTGTCCTGCCCGCTGCCCCCAGTACCTGATCCCTGGGAGAGTGGGGCACTTCTTCTGGGCTGCTCTTGCTGGCCTGGGAGGCAGCTTTCACCGCGGGAAGAAAGAACACATTGGGTTCCTCCCTTCTTGTCTCCTCCGAGCCTGGCCTAGGACGGACCCCTGTGGGGCAGTGAGAGGGGAACTGGACTTGGTCGGTCGCAAAGTCTGTAGTGCATTGCTGGCTCTGCCATTTACTCCCGTCATGACCTTGAGCAGTGATTGACTCTCCTGCCGGGTTTCTACAATGGGAACAGAACTGGAGTTTACATTCATGTATCGCTGTTTTCTGGAGCTCAGCCTAGGGAAGGCAGACACTCAACAAATGATTATAAGATGGGGTGATAAGGGCTGGCATCTAGCGGAGCGCAGAGGGCATAGCGGTGGCGTGGGAGGAGCCGGCCGTGGGCTGGCTGAGAACCCTGGATGCCATGTGGGTTGGGGTTGGCCTGGAGGGGAGGGGTTTTAACCAGGAAGTGACTGCTACTGGGTTTTAAAAGGCAGTGGTAGGGTAGAGGGTGGCAGTGGAGACAGCTGGAGAGCACTGAGGACGCGGACCCACGGGTACTGTGTGAGCTGTGAAGCCCGCTTGGGAGACCCCACTGCCAGCCAGGCATGTATGTGGCTCTTTTTCAAGCTTTTTATTCATTCCGCCACATTTTCTGAGCGCAAAGTCAGTGCCTGGCCCCCTTGGTTTAGACCAAGTCATGTTGGCCCCTGCTTTCTGGTGCTCACAGACTTGCCTGGGCGGGGTGATAGAGGCGCTTGCAGTTCAGCACGCGGCCCGTTCTCCTCTGGAGGAGGGAAGGAGCTGCTTTTGGAAGTTAAGTAGCTTGCTGGGGGCTGGAGGGTAAATGCCTTTGACTCCACCGCCTGTGGAGGCCCATATAGTGTGGTGTCTGGAGAGATCTGAGATCGCACTAGGGAGGATGGGGCTGAAAGCCCCCTCCCTAAGAGAGGTCCTGGCTCCCATTTAGGGGCTTCTGAACCAGCCCTTCCAGTTTGACTCTGCCTGGCACCGCCAGGGTTCGCTTCCTGCTGGGAGGGGCCTTGCCCTAAGGGTTAGGGACCTGGGCTGGGGGAGGGCTCTGAGGAGGGGCTGGGCCCCGAGGGACTGAGGGACTGCAGGCTTGCTTGCCTTGAGCCCAGTTTTAGCTGGGAGTGGCAAAGCGAGAAAAGCTGGTGGGGATGGGAGCTCTGTGTGGGCCCCCAGTGAGCTTGATAAGGGAGGCGAGGCTGGGAGCTGGTTCCAGCCCGCCAAAGTTCAGGAGGGAAGGGCCAGACTGCCTGAGAGGGGTGTGGCGGGACTGAGTGGGGAGAGGGACTCCAAGAAACTGCTTGGGACCCTCGGGAAGGTGGCCAGGCTTTGGGGAGCCCCTCCTTCTAACTATTCAATTTATTTTTTATGGTAATGTTAGTGGGTGGAGAGTGGGAGTGCAGCCTCGGTGTTAGAACAGGGGGACTTGGGGGTCCTTCTAATGGTGAGAGGGAACAGGGATGGGTCAGCTAGGTGCCTCTTACCTAGAGGCACCGGTTTTTTGTGAGGTGGGCAGCGCATCGTAGGATCTTAGGTGCATGTTTTCTGTTTAAGGGTGATCACACATGGGGTGTGGTGAGGAGGGAGTATGTGGAGTCCCCAGCCTTCCTGTGGCAGTTCCCAGTGTGACTAAAAGAAGGCAGGGATTGGGTTTGGTTAGGTGGGTGCTTCCAGGTGAGAGTTGGCCTGCTGTGGAAATGGAAGAGCTCCTGGCTCTGGCAGGGGTGTGGCTGCTGTACAGACTTGTCCCCTGCCGTCCCGGGCTGTTGCCCTGCGGCTTGGGCTTCGGCTTCATTCCACCGGGTGGGTGGGTTCTCTGACAAGTGTGGGAAGGGGCCGCTCCCATTACCACACTGAGGCCTGAGCCCCTTTGAGGGGGAGGATCTGTTGCATGGCCTTTGCAAGCCCTCACCCCTGCTGCGGGTCGGGCGGTGAGGCCGCAGCACTCGGAAGACGGTAAACTGTTGGTGAGCTCTCATTCACAAAGTAAGTGAGAAGGGAGAGTGGGGACTGGGACTTCGGTGGCCTGTCCTTGTGTGGACACAGTGGGGCTCTTCTGGGTGATGAGTGCAGGCCGCACATTCACCCAGCACACGTTGCCCATGCTGCCTGGCAGAGGCCTGCCTGCTGGTGCTCTGGTTCTCACCTTGAGCTATACCTGTCTCTGGGGTGGGCCCAAGGCACTAGCTTTTCCTGAAGCTTTTGAAGTGAACCTGATGTGCAGCCAAGTTTGAGAACCGCTCTTCTAGCAGGTGATGCATCTTTGTTGATAATAGAATCCACAGGCGGAGGGATGAGTAGCCCGCGCTTTTACCTGCGGTTCTCACTAACTGCTTTACTCCGAGGGCCTGGTGGGGTCAGCGGTTACCCAGTGAATGAGTTGGCAGAGTCAGTCATGCCTGTTCCTGGGTAGTTACTGGGCACAGAGGGTGAACAGCAGGAGGAACCTAGCCCATGTGCACTGCTGGCTTCTCCTGGGAGGTCCTCTGGAGAGCTGCCTATAGCCCTCAGCTGTAGGCGGGTCCTACTGACCCCGTAGCACGGGCTTTTGGAGTCTGCCTGGCCTGGTTTCCTGGCTGCATTCTTGGGCTCTCGTTGGCCTGTATGTAGTCTGGCGGGACCTCACATAGTGCAGTTTGGGTTGAGCGGAGGTGGCCAGTAATGGGGGCCCCTGGGACTCCTGGGACCTCTGTCTTCTTCTCCCTGGAAGAGAAGAGATTTGTCCCTGAGGTTGGTTTCTTGGGCTGTGTTATCTGGACAAGGTATATGAGGCCACTAATAGGGGCAGAGAAGGACGAGTGGGAGGGGACTGAAGGGGGACGGGAGACAGAGAGCTTCAGGTAGGGCCTGGCTGGGCCTGGCCCCCTTTGCTGGAACAGAACAATAGGTTGTTCTGGGGTTTTGTTTGTATTTGAGGGAGAGAGGCTATAAGACGGCTCCTGCCAGCTAGGAGCAGCCTATCATGTGAGGGGACGGGTAGGCCCCTGGGTGTGGTTTTGGTCAGCATCCTGGGTAGGAAATCTTGCCTCTTAGAGGTGGGACAGCAACCTGGCCAGGGGCAGTAGAGGAGATGGGAAAAGGGGCTCAGAAGGAAGGGGGTGGTGCACATCTTGGTAGCTGGGTCCAGGTGGTCCTGTCCTGAGTGAGTGATCTGGGGGTGGATTCCTGCCCTAGGTCTTGCGCCCCTTCACCCCAGCCCTGTCCGGGACCCCATGGCCCTTCCCCTTTATGGAAGCAGCTGCTATTATAGTTTCTGTCTGGCTTGTACCAGGGTACTTGGCTTAGAAGATGGGAAGAGGATGGTCCCCACGGAGTTCTGACAGAAGGCTAGGAAGGTAGTGGTGAAGAGGGTAAGCACTCATCCTGGGCTCGTTCCTGGGCTCAGCCTGGCAGTGGGCATTCTATGCCCGGTTCAGTTGTCAGAACACACCGGTGTGGTCCTCATCATCTTGTCAGTCCTCGTTGTACAAGTGGCTCAGAGAAGTTAGAGTCGTACATCTAAGAAGTGAGTGGCGAAGCTCCAGGTGAAGTGTGTGAAAGCCTCGGACACATTTGTGAGTGAGGACTCCTTACTCTGCGCAGTGCTTGGGCTGGAGGGCAGCTGAGGTGTTCATTTTGAGTGGGGTAGTGGGTTGGCTGCTCTGGACAAAGCCAGGGAATCTGGCTCCCAGAGTGGGAAGGTGGTCCCCTGCAGGTCCCCCATTCCTCCCCAAGGACCAGGGGCCAGAGAGCGTTCTCTGGGTCGTCCTCATCCTTCCAGTCACACGCAGCTCCTTACTGTCTGGTATGTGGGAATCTTCTGCCCCACGGCAGCCTGTGCCTTTGCCGAACACCTCCAGGAGAGCCATGTGGGGGATGGTCTGGACGTTGCAGGGACCAGAGCCGAGCTCTTGAGATTCTCTGAGTGTGGACAAACGAGGTGCTCAGACATGGCCCTTGGTGGTGTGGGGACACAGGCAGGATAGCTCCTCTCGGTGACTCTTGGTAGATTGTCTTCTGGTAGATGGGCTGGGGGTGCGGGTTCTGGTGCTTCAAGGTGGTTGTCCTCTGACTGTGAACCAGAGCCCAGGGACCAGGCGTCAGCCCCGTGCTGGCCGAAGGGAGAGGGTTGTTGCCAAAGTCCCACATTCCAGGCATGTGTTGATGCTGATAAGGCAGCCTAGGGCTGGCCTAGCCACTTTGGGCAGGAGGGGACTTTGACTTCATGCCCCCAGCAGGCAGCATGCACATCTTGCTTCCTGGTAGCACCCCTCCCCCACCGACCCCCTCTGCTTCCAGGTGCAGGGCCCCCGCCGGGTCCTGGTCACACAGCCTGCAGAGGCAGTGCCGCTTTCAGCAGCGTTGCTGGCTCTTAGTAGCAGGCCTCTGGAGGCCTATTGATGGATTCTGCCAGCCCCACCTCTTAGAGTATTCGAGGATGCCATTGGAAATGGCACTTCCTTTTATTTGCTGAAATTTGTTACTCTTAGGTTTGGCAGTGGGCTCCTTGTCCAAGAGTTCAGCTTTTGGGGAAGTGTAGTTTTGTGGAAAGATGACTCCTGCTTCCTCCGTGGGCCAGTCTCTTAAGCTCTCCAGGCCTCATTCTCCTTGCCTGTAAACGAGTTGTTAGAAATATTTGAGGCAGTGCTTGTCAGCTATTCTCAAAGTTGTTTGCAGACCCTGAGGGTCCCCGATACCTTTTTCAGTATATTTAGAAGTTACAAGGTCAGATGCGGTGGCCCACGCCTGTAATCCCAGCACTTTAGGAGGCCAAGGCGGGCGGATCACCTGAGGTTGGGAGTTCCAGATCAGCCTGGCCAACATGGTGAAACCCCGCCTCTCCTAAAAATACAAAAATTAGCTGGGTGTGGTGGCGCACGCCTGTAGTCCCAGCTACTCAGGAGGCTGAGGCAGGAGAATGGCTTGAACCTGGGAGGCGGAGGTTGCAGTGAGCCAAGATTTTGCCACTGCACTCCAGCCTGGGTGACAGAGCGAGACTCCATCTAAAAAAAAAAAAAATCACTGGCCTCTGCCCTGGGTGGACACTTGCACTGCCAGAGTTGTGTTCCCCACTGTTAGCCAGCACTGGGGGCTGAGACCCACCAGTTCTACACATGTCCAGGGGAGGCAGTACAGATGACTGAGTATTAAATCTAGACCTTTAATTACACATATTTTTACTTTTCTGTGTGATGAAATAGGAAGGATGCATGAGGCTTTTTTTTTTTGAGATGGAGTCTCGCTGTTGCCTAGGCTGGAGTGCAGTGGCGCAATCTCAGTTCACTGCAACCTCCACCTCCTGGGTTCAAGTCATTCTCGTGCCTCAGCCTCCCGAGTAACTGGGATTACAGGCACCCGCCACCACGCCTGGTTAATTTTTTCTTTTTTTTTTTTTTTTTGAGACGGAGTCTTGCCCTGTCGCCCAGGCTGGAGTGCAGTGGTGCGATCTCGCTGACTGCAACCTCCGCCTCCTGGGTTCAAGCGATTCTCCTACCCCAGCCTCCCGAGTAGCTGGGATTACAGGCGCCTGCCACCACGCCTGGTTAATTTTTTCTTTTTTTTTTTTTTTTGAGACGGAGTCTTTCCCTGTCGCCCAGGCTGGAGTGCAGTGGTGGGATCTCGCTCACTGCAACCTCCGCCTCCTGGGTTCAAGCGATTCTCCTGCCTCAGCCTCCCGAGTAGCTGGGATTACAGGCATGCGCCTCCATGCCCAGCTAATTTTTGCATTTTTAGTAGAGATGGGGTTTCACCATGTTGGTCAGGCTGGTCTCGAACTTCTGACCTCGTGATCCGCCCGCCTCAGCCTCCCGAAGTGCTGGGATTACAGGCATTAGCCACCGCGCCTGGTGTAATTTTGTCTAGTTTTAATAAAGTCTGGGTTTCGCCATGTTGGCCAGGCTGGTCTTGAACTCCTGACCTCAGGTGATCCACCCGCCCTGGCCTCCGGAAGTGCTGGGATTACAGGTATTAGCCACCATGCCCGGCATGAGGCTTTACAATTTTTTTTTTATTTTTAATTTTTTTTTGGCGATGTGGTCTCCCTCAGTTGCCTAGGCTGGAGTGCAGTGATGATGTAATCACGGCTCAGTGCAGCCTCACCTTCTGGGCTCAAATGATCCTCCTGCATAAGCCTCCCGAGTAGTTAGGACCACAGTCATGCGCCACCACAGCCAGCTATTTTTTTTTTTTTTTTTTTCCAGAGATGGGATCTTCCTGGTCTTGAACTCCTAGGCTCAGGCAGTCCTCCTACCACGACCTCCTAAAGTGTTGGGATTACAGGTGTTGAGCCACTGTGCCCAGCCTACATAGCAACTTTGTTTTTTTTTTTTTGAGATGGAGTCTCTGTTGCCCAGGCTGGAGTACAGTGGCACGATCTTGGGTCACTGCAACCTCTGCTTCCCGGGTTCAAGCAATTCTATTGCCTCAGCCTCCCAAGTAGCTGAGATTATAGGCACGTGCCACCACACCCGGCTAATTTTTGTATTTTTAGTAGAGACTGGGTATCTCCATGTTGGTCAGGCTGGTCTCAAACTCCTGACCTTGTGATCGCCCACCTCAGCCTCCCAAAGTGCTGGGATTACAGATGTGAGCCACCGTACCTGGCCTACATAGCAACTTTTATTTATGTTTTTCCTTGAAGCGGAGTCTTGCTCTGTTGCTAGTCTGGAGTGCAGTTGCGCAATTCTCCTGCTTCAGCCTCCTGAGTAGCTGGGATTACAGGCGCTTGCCACCACACCTGGCTAATTTTTGTATTTTTAGTAGAGACGGGATTTCACCACGTTAGCGAGACTGGTCTTGAACTCCTGACCTCAAGTGATCCACCTGCCTCAGCCTCCCGAAGTGCTGGGATTGCAGGCGTGAGCCACCGCGCCTGGCCCATAGCAACTTTTAAGAAACTCATTTGTCGAGCTTTAGTGTAATATCAATGAAGAATAGACAGTTTTCTGAAAAAGTTATTAAAATACTCCTTCCTTCTTTCTGTGTAAGGCCAAATTTCTTTAAAGACTTTAATCAAAACCGCATATCCTAACAGACTGAATGCAGGAGATATGAGAATCCAGCTTCTTCTATTAGGCTAGACATTAAAGAGATTTATAAAAGTGTAAAGCAATGCTATCCTTCTTTTTTTCTTTTCTTTTCTTTTTTTTTTTTTTGAGACAGTCTCGCTCTGTCGCCAGGCTAGAGTGCAGTGGCGCGATCTCTGCTCACTGCAACCCCCACCTCCCGGGTTCAAGTGATTTGCCTGCCTCGGCCTTCTAGCTAGCTGGGACTACAGGTGCGCGCCACCACACCTAGCTAATTTTTGTATGTATATATATATTTTTTAGTAGAGATGGGGTTTCACCTGTTGGCCAGGATGGTGTGGATCTCTTGACCTCGTGATCCGCCCGCCTCGGCCTCCCAGAGTGCTGGGATTGCAAGTGTGAACTACCGTGCCCAGCCCTTTTTTTGTTTTGTTTTTCGGATAGAGTCTCACTCTTATCACCCAGGCTGGAGTGCAGTGGCACAATCTCTCCTTACTGCAACCTCCGTCTCCTGGGTTCAAGGGATTCTGCTGCCTCAGCCTCCTGAGTAGCTGGGATTACAGGCACCTGTCACCACGCCCAGCTAATTTTTGTATTTTTTTAAATGTTGTTGTTTTTTTTTTTTGAGAGGGAGTTTTGCTCTTGTCCAGGCTGGAGTGCAATGGCGTGATCTTGGCTCACTGCAACCTCTGCTTCCCCCAGGTTCAAGTGATTCTCCTGCCTCAGCCTCCCCAGTAGCTGGGATTACAGGCATGCACCAACACATTTGGCTAATTTTTGTATTTCACCCTGTTGGGCAGGCTGGTCTCAAACTCCTGACCTCAGGTGATCCACCCGCGTCGGCCTCCCAAAGTGCTAGGATTACAGGCATGAGCCACTGCGTCCAGCCTATTTTTTTTTTTAAGACAGAGTTTCGCTCTTGTTGCCCAGGCTGGAATGCAATGGCACAATCTTGGCTCACTGCAACCTCCACCCCACACCCTCCCCTGGGGTAAAGCCATTCTCCTGCTTCAGCCTCCCAAGTAGTTGGGATTACAGGCACCTGCCACCACGCTTGGCTAATTTTTTGTATTTTTAGTAGAGATGGGGTTTCACCATGTTGGCCAGGCTGGTCTCGAACTCCAGACCTCAAGTGATCCACCTACCTCAGCCTCCCAAAGTGCTGGGACTACAGGCGTGAGCCACTGTGCTCAGCCTTTAAAAAAAATTTTTTTGGCCGGGCACGGTGGCTCACGCCTGTAATCTCAGCACTTTGGGAGGCTGAGGCGGCAGATCACGAGGTCAGGAGATCGAGACCATCCTGGCTAACACGGTGAAACCCCGTCTCTACTAAAAATACAAAAAGAAATTAGCCAGGCGCGGTGGCGGGCGCTTGTAGTCCCAGATACTCGGGAGGCCGAGGCAGGAGAATGGCGTGAACCCGGGAGGCGGAGCTTGCAGTGAGCCGAGATCACGCCACTGCACTCCAGCCTGGGCCACAGAGCGAGACTCCGTCTCAGAAAAAAAAAAAAAAAAACTGAATAAGAGGGCACTGTTGTAGTACATGGTAACATCAAATACAGCAACAGCCCAGATGCAGTGGCTCACACCTGTAATCCCAGCACTTTGGGAGGCTGAGGCTGCAGGATGGCTTGAAGCCAGGAGTTCGAGGTTGCAGTGAGCTATGATTGTACCACCGCACTTCAGCTTGGGTGACAGAGCAGGACCCTGTCTCAGAAAAAACCCCACAAAACAGTAATAGAGAAGCCACATAAGCAGATGCTCGTTAGGAGCCCTGACTATTTAAGAATGTAAACAACACAATTTTAGAACCAGTGGCAAGGAGGGTACTGGACATTTCCATCTTCCCCACGTGCCTCCTTATCTTTCACATGTTGTTTCACTCTGTCTCTTCTCAGCATTGGGTCTGACCAGCATTTGCTCACCTAATGAATGTTTATGAGTGCCTGCTGCATGCCTGCTGCTGTGGCTGCTTGGGACACAGGGTCTAACTTTGGGTACTGGTCTATGGGGTGGTGGGGGTAGGCAGGAGGGAAGCAGCTTGGCAGCTGGTGCTGACGTTGGAAGCGGGGGGACAACAGAGGCAGTTCTGGCTTCACAGAGGAGGGAGTCGTGAGGGGGCAGGCTCCTCCCAGAGTAGGGCACGGCCTGCAGGAGCTCTCAGGTGTGTCTGTGGAAGGGATGAGGTGGGCTTGATGCCCCTGTGGGAAGTGCTTTGCATGCCAGGCCTGAGCATGGACTTTATGCTAGGCATCAGGAATTTATTGAAAGCTTTATTTATTTTTTTAATTTTTTTTTTTTGTATTTTGAGATAGAGTTTCACTCTTGTTGCCCAGGCTGGAGTGCAATGGCGCGATCTTGGCTCACTGCAACTTCCTCCTCCCGGGTTCAAGTGATTCTCCTGCCTCAGCCTCCTGAGTAGCTGGGATTACAGGCATGCGCCACCATGCCCAGCTAATTTTGTATTTTTAATAGAGATGGGGTTTCTCCATGTTGGTCAGGCTGGTCTCAAACTCCAGACATCAGATGATCTGCCCGCCTGGGCCTCCCAAAGTGCTGGGATTAAAGGTGTGAGCCACCATGCCCGGCCCATTGAAAGCTTTAAGCAGGGGAGTGGCTTGATGAGATGGGTGTTGAGAAAGATAACTCAGGGTTATTGGACTCTGAATTGGAGGGTACAGGGACTAGGCGAGGGTTGGCTGGAGGGGTTGCAGGGGGGTGATTGTGTTCTAAACGCTGATATTTTCACTTAGAGTGGCTCTGATTCTGCCCTTCTTTCTCCTGTAGACCTTGGGAGGTTGCCTGGGATTTCTCCCTCCTGGACAACTTCTGTTGAGTGAAGCATACCTGCTACCCCAGGTGTGGAGGCCCCAGGTTCTTTTGCTTTGTATGATTAGGACAGGGTGATATTTTCTGGGTTATCTCTTGTGGGAACTGAGCCCTCCAAAGCCCTCATTTGTGCATTGTTGTCATAGCTGCCCAAGTGTGTGGCCTTGCTGAGTTTGACGGCTGTGGACCAGGTGATCTCTCGGGTGGTGAAAGGGAGGTGCTCTGTGAGTGCACCTCAGCTTTAGCCTCTTGGCTTCTCCCTGGATTGGGATTTCCAGGGAGGTCTCTTTCCTCTTTCTTTTTTCTCTTTCTTTTCTCTCTTTCTCTCTCTCTGTTTTTTTGTTTGTTTGTTTGTTTGTTTTTTAAATGAGACAGGGTCTTGCCGTGTTGCCCAGGCTGGTCTTGAACTCCTGGGCTCAAGCGATCCTCCTGCCTCAATCTCCCAAAGTGCTCAGATTAAAGGCATGAACCACCACACCCGACTTTCCTTTCTTTTGAGACTTCTGCACAGAGCAGGCTCAGCTTCCTTAGTAGACTTAGCCATTGAACTCTAAGAAGTTATTTACAAAGGTGTAAATAGGCCGGGCATGGTGGCTCACGCCTGTAATCCCAGCACTTTGGGAGGCCGAGGCAGGCGGATCACTTGAGGTCAGGAGTTTGAGACCAGCCTGGCCAAGATGGTGAAACCCTGTCTCTACCACAAAAATTAGCTGGGTGTGGTGATGGGTGCCTGTAATCCCCAGCTACTCGGGAGGCTGAGGCAGGACAGTCGCTTGAACCCGGGCAGCAGAGGTCGCAGTGAGCCGAGATTGTGTCACTGCACTCCAGCCTGGGCGACAGAGGAAGACTCAAAAAAAAAAAAAAAAAAACAAAGGTAAATTACATGTATATATGTGTGTGCACAAATCTTAAAGAATAGAGAGATAAGTAGTGGTAAACCTACTATTGGTTGAATCGTGGGTGTCCCACTAAGCGTGACACCGTTGTTCCCTCATGGCCACATAAGAAATAGCCTCCCAAGTTCCTGGGACACCTCATGCACTTCTCCCTGGCTTATTCCCACTTCCCTCTAGAAGCCAACAGTCTTCTGAATTGCGGGTCAGCCATTCGCTGGCTTTTGTCGGTTTCCCACCTTTGTCTGGATCCTGAAACTGCGAATGATTTTGGCTCAGTTCGCTGGGAGCCGGGTGTCCTGCACTCTTGGGACACCAGGAGCAGCAGTTCCTGTGTTCCCATTCTCCATTTCAGTGTCCAAGGTGGCGCCATCCACACATAATCACCTGTCCTGCTGGCAGTGAGCATTTGGGTGGGTTTCTGGGTTTTGTTTTTGCTGCCTTCTAAGTAGCTGACTTTTCACCCCCAAGCTATGCTTCTTGAGGCAGAGAAGTGCCAGTTTATTTTGTTTTCTGTCTCTAAATCCAGTTCCTTAATGCACCACTGAGACTCAGTTTAGAAGTACAGTGAAACTTTGTGAGCATTTTTCTCCCTGAGTTTGAATGGATCCCTCTCTCATTCTTTGAGTTCTTGGGCACTTGTCTCTTAGACACTTTCAAGTTACCTACTGGACAGGAGAGACCTCTTCTCTATAAAGTATCACACTTGGAGGCTTTTCAGGCACAGGACCATAGATTGTAATATTTTCCATAGCAGTTGCCCAATTTTATCTGTAAAAATTGCTTTTTAAGGCCTGGCACAGTGGCTCACACCTGTAATCCCAACATTTTGGAAGGCTGAGGCAGGAGGATCACTTGAGCCCAGGAGTTTGAGGCCAGTCTGGAAAACATAGTGAGACCTCATCTCTACAAAAAATTTTAAAAATTGGTTGGGCATCGTGGCATGCACCTTTAGTTCCAGCTACTCAAAAGGCTGAGACGGGAGGATCCCTTGAGCCCAGAAATTAGAGCTATGATCGCGCCACTGCACTCCAGCCTGGGCCACAGAGCAAGACCCTGTCTCCAAACAATCACAAAACTTCCAATGGATGCCGAACGTATAACTTTTTTTTTTTTTTTTCTTTCTTGGAGTAAAATAACTTGATCCTTGATCTTTGGCTGTAGCTCCTGAGCCATTTGAGGCACTGGGGGGTTTGTGTGTTGATTACCTATGAAGGAGCAAGTGGGCTGTTTCCTTCTCCCAGCGGCTTCCTTTGACCCCAAATCCCTGAGAGTCTCGCCCATTTTCTTCTTGGCTTCCTCCCTTTGATATGCCCAGCCGGCTCCTGCCCTACCTGGCTGCCACCAGGACCTGCTGGAGGCGGTTGCTGGGAATTATTTGGTGTCCTGTTTGAACCTCGCTTGCCGTGCTCCCAGATTTCCTGTTTCTCCTGGGCTTGCCTTTCAGGATTTGCAGAACCCCTTCTCCTTTAGAAGTGTCAACTGGGGCTGGGTGTGGTGGCTCACGCCTATAATCCCAGCACTTTTGGGAGGCCGAGGCGGGCGGATCACCTGAGGTCGGGAGTTCCAGGCCAGCCTGACCAACATGGAGAAACCCCGTCTCTACTAAAAATACAAAATTAGCCAGGTATGGTGGTGCACACTTGGAATCCCAGCTACTCGGGAGGCTGAGGCAGGACAGTCGCTTGAACCCGGGAGGCGGAGGTTGCGGTGAGCCGAGATTGCACCATGGCACTCTAGCCTGGGCAACAAGAGGAAAACTCTGTCTCAAAAAAAAAAAAAAAAAAAAGTCAATTGGACCTTAGGACAACTTAAAAACATTATCAGGTTTTTATCTTTTAGATAGCAGAGATGAGTCTGCTCTTAATAAGGATTTACAGTAGTCTCTCTGTTTCCTGTGGGCTCCTGGCTGGCTTGTGTGAGCTCCCTCCTCTAGGATGGGCACTCCATCCTGGACATTGCCGCGTTGCCAGCTGTCCTGCCAATATTTTGCTTCCTGTGTTTTTGTTATTGGTTGGGGGTCCAGGAGAGGTTGCTGCCTGGACTGAGTCTACTTGCTGATCAGGATGAAGTTGATCTCTGCTTCCCTTCTGAAGGTTTCTGTGCACGTATTGAATTCAAGGACAGCCTACGTAAGAAGTGTGCACAGCTCCAAGAGTTCTTCACAAATGATTATGCCCTTGTAACTAGCATCCAGAGTGCGAAACACAACCCTGGAAGCCCCTCACGTATCCTGAAGCTTGTAGTCACTCTCAACCCCCACCCATAAGATTAGTGCTGCCTGCTTTTGAATGTATGCAAATGGAACTGTAATAGTCTTTTTGGCTCTGGCATCTTTGCTCAAAAGTATATTTGAGAGATTCATCTGCGTTGTTTGTAAGTCAAACCATGTGAAATTATCAGCAGCCAGCTGTTTTTTTACCCCTAAAAGGTAAATTCATACAGTTCAACCTAAACGTTCTGTCCTGTTCACTGCTGGCTCATAGTCTTTTATACCTGCAGCTGTCCCTTCTCAGGGTGGGCATAGTTGTTTTCCATTGTTGGGCCTTCATGAGTGTGCCTGCCTGTTTGGTGTGCATTACGTGTGCATTCTTGTTGGCGTATACCTTGGGTGAGTTTTTGGGCCCACAGCTAGCTAGCTAGCTTGTTGGCTTTATTTATTTAGAGACGAAGTTGGCTCTTGTCGCCCAGGCTGGAGTGCAGTGGCGCAGTCTCAGCTCACTGCAAGCTCTGCCTCCTGGGTTCAAGTGATTCTCCTGCGTCAGCCTCCCAAATAGCTGGGATTACAGGAGCCTGCCACCACGCCCGACTAATTTTTGTATTTTTAGTAGAGACGGGGTTTCACCATGTTTGCCAGGCTGGTCTCAAACTCCTGACCTCAGGCGATCCACCCACCTTGGCCTCACAAAGTGCTGAGATCACAGGCGTGAGCCACCACCCACGGCCTTGGGCCCACAGTTTTAGATTGTGCCATCCAAGGGTTTTCTAAACCATGTGAGTTTTCTGGCCAGGTGCGGTGGCTTATGCCTGTAATCTCAGTACTTTGGGAGGCTGAGATGGGCAGATCACTTGAGGCCAGGAGTTGGAGACCAGCCTGGCCAACATGGTGAAACCCCATCTCTACGAAAAATACAAAAATTATCTGCGGGTGGTGGCGCACTGCACTTCTGTAATCCCAGCTACTCGGGAGGCTGAGGCAGGAGAATTGCTTGAACCTGGGAGGCGAAGGTTGCAGTGAGCCATCTCGCCACTGCACTCCAGCTTGGGTGACAGAGCAAGACTCTCTCTCAAAAAAATAAAAAATTATAAAGTATGTGAGACTTCTGGTTGCCTTACTGCCTGGCCAACATTTGGTGTTACCTTTTTCCTGATGGGCTTTGACGTTCTTATTGTTTCTGGAACAGTCCTGGTCTTGTTTAAAAACATCCCCATTTTCCTTTCATCCCTGGGAGATACTCTTTTAGTCTTTGTTTGGCTAGTCAAAATCCCGTCTTTAGTATCTGTTGTTGAATTTTTGTGTTTTTGTTTTTTCTGATTCCCTTTCAGCATGTCATCTCAGTCTTGTCCCAGCCCGGGGGTCAGACGGTGTTGCGTACAGACGGTGCAGTGGCTCCTTCATGCTGGTTGCCTCAGAGCCTTTGCCAGGCCTGGAGAACTGCATAGGTGCAGGACTGCCAGTAGTTCTTCCTGCTCTTTGATCATTGAAATGTTTTCTTTTGTGAAGTAATGATGGTAGAAGATGATAGGGTTTCTGTTTGTTTCTAATTCTAGTCTTTACTTGGCATTAAGAAATTGTTAGCTGCTAGGGTTGATTTTGAAATTGTGAAGTTGGAGAGTCCCTCCTGGAGCTGTGGGTTGGATGGCTGCAGCTCTGTGACTCAGCTGTGCTGGGTGCCTCCCTTTGGGGCTCAGTTACCTCCTTTTAAGGTGTCCCTAGGGTGAGAGAGATGATCACGATAGTCCCTTCCACCTGGGCGGCCCAGGCTTTCCTCGCCCATTTAGTGCCTTTCATGTAGAATTTCCACCTGTTGTCTGCTGTGCTGCCACTGCTTGTCCTCCCTCCCTGCCACACAGAGCTGTGTTCTCTGCCTGCCACTCACGCCTACTTCTCTGATCAGGGTTTGTGGAACCCTCCAGCGTGGTCACCATTCTGGTACCTGTGGTAACACGCTCAGCCTTGGTGTGGCACATTCTAGGTCTACCGTTTGTATTCACCAGCCTGTGAGCTTGTGTACATGGGACATGTATCTTCGTTTTGGGGGCTTTCTCCTTCCACTTGATGCCCATCCCTTGAGCGTTTACTACTTGTGGAGCGCTTGGCTTTCAGGCCGTAGAGAGCTTTCCAATCAGTGGTGTCCAGGTAAAAACAAAAGAAGGAAAAAAAGCTTCTAACCTAGCCCTTCTCAGACTTGACTGTGTGTTTGAGCCCCCAGGGTTCTGGTGGTTAGGGCTGGATGGAGTCTGAGCCTCTGCGTGTCTAACAAGATCCCTGGTGGTGCTGCTGCTGTTTCTTGGGTCATGGCCAGTGAGCAAGAAGAGCAGGGAAGTGGGCTGGAGAGGACTGCAGAAACCAGCACAGGGCCTGTTTTGCCTCCTGACATGTGTGGATGCCAGATTCCTGCTTTTTCCTCACCTACTAGGAACAGCGGCTGCACATCCTCTGGTGGTCTTGCGTGGGCTCCTGCTCTGTGGCTGTCAGCGAGCCTTTTACCCCATGCTCAGGCCCCTCTTAGGGGGCAGGGTAGTGTTGGGATGGAGTTTGGAGGTGAGCACAGCATTCGTAGTCACTATCACAACCTTAAATTGTTATTCTGCTTCTTTTTTTTGAGACAGAGTCTCACTCTGTCACCCAGGCTGGAGTGCAGTGGCGCGATCTCGGCTCACTGCAAGCTCCGCCTCCCAGGGTCAAGCAATTCTGCCTCAGCCTCCGGAGTAGCGGAACTACAGGCGCGTGCCACCACACCCAGCTAATTTTTTGTATTTTTAGTAGAGATGGGGTTTCACAGTGTTAGCCAGGATGGTCTTGATCTCCTGACCTCATGATCCACCCATGTCAGCCTCCCGGAGTGCTGGGATTACAGACCGCACCTGGCCGTTATTCTGCTTCTTAAAGCAATGTTCCCCTGCCTGTCTCCAATATCCTGTCTCAGAACTGTCAGCCAGACTGTGCCAGGCCTGGGGCCCTCCTTGGTGCCAGCACTAGCAGGGGAAATCAGCTGCAGGTCTCCAAGGTCTTCCTGGCCTCATTCCTTGCTGGCTCCAAACCCGGAAGTGATGAGGAGAGGGAGGGGACTGAGGCTGTACCTTCTGGGGGAAGCACAGTTTGGAGGCACTTTCGGTCCAGCTCTCCTCTCAGCAGCCCATTCCAGCCTTTTCCTTGTGCTGGGGTGTTAGCCCGGGCTTCCTCACCTCAGAAGGGACAGTACCCATGGGCGGGTGGCTCGGACCATGCAGGGCTTGGCCCTGCTGTGGGCAGTACGAGGTCATCAGTAGGTCCCATGGGCATTTCAGGACGGGCTTGGGAAAGTCACTGGGCTGGGGTGGATGCTACCTCCCTCACTTTAGGCCACAGGGCTGGCCTGAGGAGCAGAGGAGGAGGAGGCCAGCCTCAGGTCCCAATCGCTGCATCACCAATGTGTTGAGTGGAACCCGAGTGTTTATTTTGTAGAAGCTGCGTTGGAGAGAGCTGGGCTCCTGGCATTTGTGGAGCCTGTTGCTTTCCAGGAGGATGGTCTGGGAGGAGAGCCAGGAGCTGCTGGCCGGCATCCAGGTCTGGGCTGGATTACATGGCTGGGCTTGCCCAGAGCAGTGAGCCCCACCCACCACCAGCCCATTCCTGAAGGGACAGGGAAGGAGGTCATGGAGGGTGGGGGTGTTCCCAGAGGAGCAGCAAGCACAACCTGGGCCTCCAAAGCAGGCTGCATGGGGGCTCCACCTTGTCACTTCTGGTGGAGGAGCTGGGCAGACCCCATGCCCTCACAGTGAGTTTGGGAGAATACACCCAGGTGGGGCCCTGCTGTGGATAGGCAGGTGGTGCTGGGGGGTGGGGGAGTGAGGGTGGAGGTGCAGACTGGAGTCCCTGCTCCTGGCACACCAGTGCATGGAGGGCGGTGCCTCCTCTAGCTCCCCCAAGCAGCTTGGCAGTTGGAAGCCATGTGTGAGTGGCATCCCTGGCCCTGCCTGCGTTGGGCGGGGGGGTCATCAGACTACAACTCTGGAGTCAGGCTTTAGGTCCTCACTCTGCTACCTACATGCTCTTGTGACCCTGGGCAAGTTGCTTAACCCCCAAGAACCTTTAATTTCTTATCTGAAACTGCAGAGATAACGCCCCGCTCACTGGGCCTGTGGGAAGATTGAGGAGATCAGACCTGCCCACATGTAGGCTGCCATCTCATACAGGGCTGTGGCGGTGGGCGAGGTGCAGCCTTCGCCCCTTGGAGCTATCTCTTGTCTACCAAGGCTTCCTCAGGGAGGACTCCAGGCCATGGGGATAGGATGAACAAAGTCCTGGGCTTGTGACTGTGCAGGGCTGGTTGGTGTGTCCAGGGGCTGGGCCTTGGGGCACTTCTGGATACTGGCTGCCTCCTGCCTGGCTGCCTTGTGCCTTCCAGGCAGTCTCTCCCATGGCTTAGGGGCTCCTGGGAAGAGGCTGAGCTCACACAGGGCCACCCGTTGCAGCTGCATCTGTCCCGGCCACACCTGAAGTATGAGGTGACTATAGTTGGGGGTTGGTCTGGAACCAGGGCCGATGCTGACCTTAGACTGAAGTTTGGGAGCAGTGGCAGCAAGTCTGGGGCTCTCTCTGACCCTGGTCAGATGTACTTAGACCTCTGGGTTGTGGAAGTTGCCTGGTGGCCCTGCCCTGCCTAGCATGGCTTCTCAGCCTGGCATGCTTGTCCCTCCCACCTGACAGTGGAGCTCGGGCGGGCCGTGGGCGGCCCTGCTCACTCTCAGCTGTCTTGGCGTCAGCTGGAGGGTTCTCATTTCACTGTTACTTTTGTTTAGGCTGGGAGGTGGTTAAGGTGCTGCTCCTTGGGAGTGGGCTGGGGGGAGCTTCTCCTCAGTCCTCCAGCATAGCTCCAGGCCTCCTGCAGGAAGCCCCTTTCTTGGTAGTAAAGGATAGCTTCCAGGGAGGAAGGTGGATGAGAAGGATCCTAGGAGGGCTAGGCGGGATGGCCTGCTTGGGGTGGCGCCCTTTCCTGGTCTTCACCCTTCTCCCCAGGCCTCCCTCCTGGCTGGGCGTGAGCCAGAAGTTTCAGTCTGAAGGCAGGGTTATCATGTGGCTGAGATGAGTTTGACCCCCGCCTGTGGGCCTGGACGTGGGCGTGAGATGTGTTCCTGTCTCCCAGAGTCATGGCCTCCAGAAGGAGCCATGTGGAGGCCCAGCACCTGGAGCAGTTCTGAATGCCTGGCTTCTTGGAGGCCAAGGTTCTAGGCAAGGTGGGTATCCAGGCTGGGTTGGGGCAGTGCCTCTCAGAATTGGGGCTGGAGTTTCCTGCTTTCTGCCTCAGCAGGGATCACTTTGATCTGAAAACCTCCTCTCTCCTGGCCTTTGAAAGATGCTGACTAGAGCACACTCTCCTGCCCTTTGCTGGGTGCTTAGAAGAAAGGCCTTGAGGTAACCCTGTTCCAGCCTCCCCACAGGCCCCTGCAGCCACGTGGACTGACCAGAGGCTCCACACACGGGCAGGTGTGGCCTGACCTCGCTCGCGTAGGATCATGGGCTAGTGGGTCCCCCAATGGGGGGCTGCTTCGAGTGTCAGGAGGCAGCGAGGGGTGCACAGTGCCCTGGCCTCTGCCATCCCCGTTGGTTATTTGGCTGGTCTGTGTTTGGTGAGCGAGTAGAGGGATCCAGAGTGCAGGGTGGTCTTGGCCTGGGGCTTTTGACTGCCCTCTGGAGATGCACTGAGGGCCACCCAGCTGGGGAGCAGCCGGGAGGGATAGGAACCTGTTCCCACTGTGGCATCTTTGCCCTTCCAATCTGCTTCACCGTCGCCCTTGATCTCTGTGCCAGTTGGAAAATTGAGGCAGAACCAATACCCCTGGGTGATCTGGAAATCATCAGTGGGAAGGGTTGCCTTTGCCCAAGGCTAAAGATGACATGTCCCTGCACACTTTCAGCCCCAGGTTTTCCTACCTTGTGGGGAGGTGAGAGGTCAGGGTGAGTGCTGGGTTTGAGGCTCAGCTGTGCTGTGTGAAGATTGAGAGGAGCCCACCTGATCACATGGACAGAACGCACAGGCTCCTGGGTGGCCCTGCGGCTCCAGTGACATAGCACATGGTCGGGCATACAACAGTGCCCAGGAAAGGTTAGCTGGTGGTGTTTCCAGGGTATCGTGCTGAGCTTCTGAGATGAGAATGTCCTGTGAAAGCCTCTGTCTGGAGGTTTCATTGGAAGTAAAGTTTACATACAATTAAGGGCCTAAAATTGTATTTTCATTTACCTTAACCCAGATTCCCAGCAAGCTAGAGAGCTGCCCTCACCCCAAAGAGTTCCTCATGCCCCGTCCTGGATAGGCCTGTCAGGGCCAGGCAGTGGGCGCTTGTCCCTCGCCCCATCCTGGACAGTCCTCACCTGTCGCTCACAGCCTGTTCTGCTCTGGTTTTTACCCTCAGTCCGTTTTGCCTATTCTAGAACTTGATGTAAATGGAGTCATGCAGTCTGTACTCTCGCAAAAGTCTTCTTCCACTCAGTGCCACGACTGTGAGGTTCATCCATGTCTCTGCATCATTTCTGCCCTTTGTATTTTTAGGGTTTTAAAAGTAATACTTTTGGCTGGGCACGGTGGCTCACACCTGTAATCCCAGCACTTTGGGAGGCTGAGGCAGGCGGATCACAAGGTCAGGAGGTCGAGACCATCCTGGCTAACACGGTGAAACCCCGTCTCTACTAAAAATACAAAAAATTAGCCGGGCGTGGTGGCAGGCGGCTGTAGTCCCAGCTACTCGGGAGACTGAGGCAGGAGAATGGCATGAACCTGGGAGGCAGAGTTTGCAGTGAGCCCAGATCGCCATGGCACTCCAGCCTGGGGGACAGAATGAGATTCCATCAAAAAAAAAAAAAAGGTAATACTTTTTAAAATGTTGAGTATTACAGAAATGAACATAATATACAGATACTATGGTTTTTCTGTAATCCCGCTCCCCAGAGATAATCTTACTTAGCAGTTGGGTATGTGTGTCCCCAAGGTTTTTCTTGCCACAGAATGGACTTGCTGGGCCGGGTAGGCTCTGACTGGGCCTTGCAGAGCAGCTGCCTTACTGTAAGTTCTTTGAGGGCGAACAGAGCGGGGGTGGGGCTGCTGTGGCTGGCCCAGTTCTACAGAGCTTGGGCATGTGCCACCAGTGGCTTGAGAGGCTGGAGTATCTGAGTGCTGTTCCAGCCCGCTAGCACCTGCCTGGGCCCTGGGCCTGCCCTCAGTGTCTGGGGACCTGGCTTTCTGGCTTTTTTGTGGCGGGGACTGGGAGGGGAAGGAAAGGAGAGCAGTTGGCATGTTGGCTGTTCCGTAAACAGGGCCGTGTGTCTGCTCTAACAGATGGCCTGGGAAGGTAACCCCGAGGCTTTGTGTTCCTTCCTGCAGACCTTCAGGATTCCGCAGAGAGAGCTGGCCCTCCCTCCAGCTGCTGGGGCTCTTGTCCTTCCCAGCTGGGGCCAGTCCACCTACAGGGGGAATCCTGGAGCTGAGGGATCCTAACTTGGGAGATAGTTTCTGTGCTACCCTTCTTGCCTCTCCCCTGGACCCCTGAAGGCTCTGTCCTAGGGAGGGGATGGGTCACAGCCTTAGGCGAATGCCCAGCTGGCCCCGATAGCCCAGGCCTGCTGCCCTACTGCCTCAGATCCTGGGCGTCCTGGGAGCCAGCGTTTCTGGATGGGCAGTAGGCCAGGGCTGGGCGTGCTAGCCTCGGGGCTGATAGGCGTGCTGCCCGGGCCTGCTGCCAGGGGCTGCTGGGTGCTAGGTGGCATTCTCATCGCAGCCTGCAGTCAGCTGCTTCCAGGGCTGAGCACCAGCATCCGGGCCAGCACCCAGAGCCGTGTTTCTAGTTACCTGGCACTCCCCAGGCGGAGCCCTCCAGGATAGGCACTTGCTGTTTCATGTCCAGCGGTGAGCGGGTAGGGCAGAGCTCTGTGGCTGAGAAGGAAGGAGCAGTGCTTAGTAGGCGTTTCGCAGCAGGATGGCGTGTGCCACCCCCCTGCCCCGCCATGGGGTGAGGCTGCATTGCTGCTCGCAGACACAGTGGCGGCCTAGATGTGGCCCAGACTTGGCCCAGCTGGTGTGGATGGCACGCATGGTGGCATTGTGCTTGCTGTGAACTTTCTGCAGGTGGCTCTGACACCCCCTAACTCAAGTGGAGGGTTCAGGGAGGAGCCCTGCCCTGTTCTACATCACAGCTGACCCAGCCTGGGGCCATCCTTCCTTGGTGGGGAGACCTAGTGCTAGCCTTGGGCTTGTAAAGTGCCCGTCAGGGCCAGGCAGTGGGCACTGACGGAGGGTGTTCCCACCCCCATGGCACTCAGGTGCCCCCCAGTCCTATTCTGCCACCCACTCCCTGCGCGGCATCCAGTAGCTGGCCTGGCCTCTGGCAAGGTCAGGTGACCCCTGGCTGCAGAGTTTGGCATGCGCTCTACCCATGGTTGACTGGGTCCTGAGGGGCAGTGGTTGGGGAGCAGATGAAGTGGCACAGGGCTGGATGGTGGTATCTGATTGCCTCCAGTGTGCCACCGAGACCCTCTACCCAGTTTTTCGACTGCTCCCGCCAGTGTTTCAGTGGCCCCTGCCCTACTGGCCTCATCCCAGCATTAGCCCACTGGGCCCAACCCTTGCTAACTGTGGACGCCCTTGGGCTTCCTACCAACAGAGCTGGTTCTGCTGCCCTCTGGGCCTTTGGTGGGGTCCTGGACCAGCCATGCACCCCCTCCCCTCACACCCCCCACCCAGAGGGGAGCTGCACTAGGGGCTGGAGAGACAGCTGGCCAGCTGCAGCCTAGGCCTCCCAGCTCTGGGCCGGCACCCCGGGTCTGGTCACATTCCTGAGGGACCTGCTGAGCCTCCCTGGCCCTGGGGGTGGAGTGGGGGAAGGGGAAACGGGGACGGGCCGCTGCACGCCCCTTCCCCGACCCCGGCTCTATTCCGTGGGGGCCCAGGCTGGCAGGTGTGGGGTGCAAGGACCCACCACCTCAGGATCCCCCCTCCTGCAGGACCCAGAGCTCTGGGGGTGGGAGGGAACCCCTCGTTTCCTGGCGGCAGCTGCCCAAGGCTTTGGTGGGCCGGTATTGAAAGCCCAGGCCTGCAGCTTGGGTGAGCCCTTAGGCAGTGAAACCTCTGGAGAGGGAAGGCCATGTGGTCAGGCCAGGCGGGCTAGGGGGCTGGGCCCTCTGGGCAGGGAGGCGGTGAGAGCAGATCAGGAAGGGAAGGAACGGGGGAGCCAAAAGCGGTTGAGACTGGTTCTTATAAATAGCCCTTGCACAAGTGGCTCCAATTTTGACCTTTTGTTATGTAAATGTGGCCAGCTTGGGAAGGGCCCTGCCCAGGCCTCCTGCTACCACACCCGCAGGCCAAGAATTGTGTGTCTGCCACCAGCGCCCCCTGGCCTAGGTGGCCCCTGGGTGTCCTTAATCTCCTGTGTGTGTTAGAGGGGCAGGCATTGCACCCACCGAACTCCCTAGACCTGTTCGCTGGTCCTTACTCTTCCTGGCTGTCAGATCCAACTACCAGGCTCTGTGGCCACAGTCTCCTGCTGGGCTGCCCCTGGTGCCCCAGCCAGAGACCCCCAGGTGCGTCCCTTCATCGCCCTTCCCTCCCTTCTTCGCTGATGGCTGTCTGGGTGACTGTGTTCGTCTTCTCTTCCCCAGGTGACCAGGCATTGATGCACCCCCAGGAAGGCCACGCGCTCAGGAGCCCCCCCCGCCGCTGGCTGCTGCTCACATGGTGTCTGGGCCCTTGGCACTCCGGTGAGGCGCAGGGGAGGGGGGACCGCCACTGGCCCCTTTCCCCGGAGTTTCTGGGTGGCACACAGCCCCACAGCTCGGCCTCTATCTGTCTGACCCGTGGTCCTTTGTGTGCACACAGCACTGGGCAGTGTGGAGGGAGCCTGGAGGCCACTGCCCTCTTCCAGTCCCCTTGCCAGTCTCGGGGTACCAGGTGTCTGGGTGCTGGCAGAGCCGGCACTGATGTTTTCTGGGGGCTAGGTTACTGGGGCCAAGTGTGGAAGCCACACCTTGGGGGCTCTTTGTCCCTGCCTGGTGGGTTGAGGCGGGCAGGGAGTGGAGGAGGATTGGTTCACGAAGTCTCCAGCCCATGAGCACCCTCCTGAACTGCTGTGGGCTGGGCTGCTAGGCAGAGAGCCGCTGGCGGGTGCTTGCTGCCTCTTGCTGTTAGGCTCTGAGTGCCAGCGGTGTTCCAGGCTGTGTTGCACCCTTGCGTGTTCACATTGAGCTCTGGCACCTTCAGGGGCCTGTGAATGTTAGGGTTTTTCTTTGTCTTTGCAAACAAGGGTAGGCATGAGGCTGGGGAGAGTTTCTGTCATGAGAAGGTTGGGTAGGGTGGGACCCTTTCCAGGCCTCTGCTCTGGGAGGCAGGGCTGGACACTCTGGGAGGGGCAGTAGATCCCAGAGGGCGGTGGGCTCAGAGTAGTTCAGCTGCTGAGAGACTGGACCCTGAACTGCGAGGCTCAGAGCTGCCTGTGGGCCCCGCTGCTCGGTTGTCCGTCAGCCATGAGGAAAGTTCATGTTTTCACTGGCCCCCTGCCCTGTGGAAGCCTGTGAGCCTATCCGGGGCACAGGTGGCCACCTGGACACTGGCATGCCTTCCCCAGCACCCTCCTGCTGAGCCATTCTCTGAGGGACTCTGGTAGGGGTGAGAGGATGGAGCTGGGAGTACTGCGTTTTGTACTGGGGAGTTGGGCTTAGGGCTGAGGATGGCTTTGAGTCATTCAAAGCCTTCCAGAGTCATTCTTTATACCGCCGGCCACAGTCCTTGCCTCCGCCCTTGGAGGGACATTTCCCTCCTCCCCCCGGCGTCTATCTGGTGCCCACTGTGCACCCATTTGCCCTGCCCTTGTACTCCCACTGTGGGGTGCCTGGTCCATGGCAGAGGAGGCTGCTCAGTGGGGATGGGAAGCGTGGCGAGGAGCACCCGCTCAGAACCCCATGTCTTGCTGCTGCATAAGCAGGAACACACCTGGGCCGTCAGAGTTCCTGCAGAGACCAGCGGCGTCAGTGTGCTTCTTGCTTACTGATCTCAGTTAGTGCCTGTGCCATTCTGTGTGATGGAGGCCAGCTGTCCACCTTTCCTAGGCCCAGATGGTGCTGCCCTTCCTAGAGAGGACGGAGGGTTCAGGTGGTGCCAGGTGCTTGGCCTAAGCTACCTTTCCTCCTTGGCAGCTGGAAGCCCAGGCTGGGGCAGCACTTGGCGCCCGCCCAGAGTGCGAGGCAGCCCAGGGCCTTGGGGAGAGGCAGGGCTGGCTGCAGGCTGACTGCAGCATCTGGGAGGCAGCAACATGACTGCTGGCAGTTTGATTTGGGCCCTGCCGTATTTCAAAAGGAACCACCATTTAGTTTTGGGGGATTTTTGCCAGCTTTCAAGACAAGCTCCTCTCACGGAGTCCTCTGCTTCCCGAAGTTTAAAGCCATCTGGTCATTTTTGGGTCCCCTTCTGGTCCCTGAGGGTTGACTTCATTTAGTGTAGAGACAGTAGCCCGGGCTGTGAAACCAAATGCAAATCCCAGTTTCTCTATTTGTCCCCTCATCACCCTCCACCTCCATTTTCTCATTAGTGCAAATGGGGCAGGGGCCTCTGTCCCTTCTCAGTTTGAGTCCTCAGTGAGGTGACACGTGTACTGCGCCTGCATGTGGTGGGCATTGTGGGCTTATGTGCCGTGTACTGTGCCGCAGGGGCTCCTGCCCTATGTGGGGTCAGTTCTGAGGCCCTTTGCCTCGTCGAGCCCCACCCTGCCCCAGAGCCCTGGTCCGAGTGTGCCAGTCATCTGACGCATGCGTGCCTGTTCTTGCCCACAGGTGGTGCGCGTGGGCAGGGCGCGGGGACATGGGGCCCGACATGGAGCTGCCCAGCCACTCGAAGCAGCTCCTGCTGCAGCTGAACCAGCAGAGGACCAAGGGCTTCCTGTGTGACGTCATCATCATGGTGGAGAACTCCATCTTCCGGGCCCACAAGAACGTCCTAGCCGCCAGCAGCATCTATTTCAAGTCCCTGGTCCTGCACGACAACCTCATCAACCTGGACACAGACATGGTCAGCTCCACAGTGTTCCAGCAGATCTTGGACTTCATCTACACAGGCAAGCTGCTGCCCAGCGACCAGCCAGCCGAGCCCAACTTCAGCACCCTCCTCACTGCCGCCAGCTACCTCCAGCTGCCCGAGTTGGCAGCCCTCTGCCGCCGCAAACTCAAGCGAGCCGGCAAGCCCTTTGGCTCTGGGAGGGCGGGGTCCACTGGCATGGGGCGGCCCCCCCGCAGCCAGCGGCTGTCCACGGCCTCTGTCATCCAAGCTCGGTATCAGGGGCTCGTGGATGGGCGCAAGGGGGCCCACGCCCCCCAGGAGCTCCCCCAAGCCAAAGGCTCAGACGATGAACTCTTTCTTGGTGGCTCTAACCAGGATAGCGTGCAAGGTCTGGGCCGGGCTGTCTGCCCAGCTGGCGGGGAGGCGGGTCTGGGGGGCTGCAGCAGCAGCACCAACGGGAGCAGCGGGGGCTGCGAGCAGGAGCTGGGCTTGGACCTGTCCAAGAAAAGCCCACCCTTGCCCCCTGCCACCCCAGGTCCCCACCTCACTCCCGATGACGCAGCCCAGCTGAGCGACAGCCAACATGGCTCGCCCCCTGCGGCCTCTGCTCCTCCCGTTGCCAACAGTGCCTCTTATTCTGAGCTGGGGGGCACCCCTGATGAGCCCATGGATCTGGAGGGGGCCGAGGACAACCACCTGAGCCTGCTGGAGGCGCCTGGTGGGCAGCCTCGGAAGAGCCTCCGGCACTCCACTCGGAAGAAGGAGTGGGGCAAGAAGGAGCCTGTGGCTGGCTCCCCCTTTGAGCGGAGAGAAGCAGGGCCCAAGGGTCCCTGCCCGGGAGAGGAGGGTGAGGGGGTCGGGGACAGGGTTCCCAATGGCATCCTGGCTAGTGGGGCTGGCCCTAGCGGGCCCTATGGGGAGCCCCCCTACCCCTGCAAGGAGGAGGAGGAGAACGGCAAGGATGCAAGTGAAGACAGTGCGCAGAGCGGGAGCGAGGGGGGCAGCGGCCATGCCAGCGCCCACTACATGTACCGGCAGGAGGGCTACGAGACGGTGTCCTACGGGGACAACTTGTATGTGTGCATTCCCTGCGCCAAGGGCTTCCCCAGCTCTGAGCAGCTCAATGCGCACGTGGAGACTCACACGGAGGAAGAGCTGTTCATCAAGGAAGAGGGGGCCTACGAGACAGGCAGTGGGGGTGCCGAGGAGGAGGCCGAGGACCTGTCAGCACCCAGTGCGGCCTACACGGCTGAGCCCCGGCCCTTCAAGTGTTCGGTCTGCGAGAAGACCTACAAGGACCCAGCCACGCTGCGGCAGCACGAGAAGACGCACTGGCTGACACGGCCCTTCCCCTGCAACATCTGTGGCAAAATGTTCACGCAGCGCGGCACCATGACGCGTCACATGCGGAGCCACCTGGGCCTGAAGCCCTTCGCCTGCGATGAGTGTGGCATGCGCTTCACCCGTCAGTACCGCCTCACGGAGCACATGCGTGTGCACTCGGGCGAGAAACCTTACGAGTGCCAGCTGTGCGGGGGCAAGTTCACCCAGCAGCGCAACCTCATCAGCCACCTGCGCATGCACACCTCCCCCTCCTAGAAGCCAAAGACCCGCGGGCGCCCTCTGCCACCTTGCTCCCCGGGAACCCATGGAAGGAGAAGCGAGGTGATGCAGCAGCAGGGGCAAGACCCTGGGTCCAGTGGAGGCTCCGGGTGGCCCCTCTGGCCCCCACTGCCCACACCCAGAGCTTTAATGGACAGTCCGTACCAAGCAGAGCCGAGAGGAGGGAAGCCAGGGGTCCCAGCCCGTCTACCTCCCCATCCCACCCAGGCCCCCAGCTCCCCGCGGGGGCCACCGCAGGGCCTGTGGGCTGGGTCACGTGGGTCTCGCTGGGACCTGGTCCCTTTGTTGCAGGCGGCTTGGAGAAAGGGCAGTGGGACGCTGGCCACGGCCAGGGTGGTGTCGGGAGCAGGCCTCACCCCGCTGGCCGTGTCTGTGTGTGTGCACGTGTGCTTGTGTCTGTGCGGGCGCGTGCAGCCCTGGTTCTGCAGGGAACAGGTGCTGGGGGTGCAGATCCCTCCCTCCTTGAGCCAGGGTGGCACTGTTCACTGGCGCTGGGACAGTCAGGGTGACCCCACCGCCTACCTCTCTACATCTAAAGAGCCCTCTGGGCCTGTGTTGCTGTTATTCCTACTGATCTGTTCCTCTGTTTTTCTTTTTGATTTTTGTTTTTTAAACCAAAACAGACAATAGCTTATTTTCTTTCCGCCCCCTCCGGGGCTGAGCCTGGGTCTGAAGACTGAATGTAACAGGGGCCGCTGGCACTCCTGCGCGTCCCCCGGCTCTGGCGCTGCAGGGGTGTCGGCGCGCCACCTCTCCAGGCCCCAGAAGCCCTTCTTGCCCAAAGGCTTCCCTGGTCCCTGAGCCCTGCCTCGGCTGCCTCAGGGGAGAGTGCTTTTCCTGTAGTTTCCAAGGAATATTCTTTGTTTAGAGGTACTTGTTTTTTATTAAGAGAAAAACCAGTGTAACGTTTATGTGACTGTTTGAACTGGAAGGTCTGGGGTTCCGGGGGGTGGGGGGAGGCTAGACTCAATGCCGGGGCCGTCGGTACTCTTGTTTTCATTTGTGTGTGCGTGCGTGTGTGTGTGTGTATGTGCGTATGTGTGTGTCTATGTGTGGTGTGTGCCGTATGCATGGGCAGATGTTTCGCTTTCCCTCCTTCCTCGCTGAACAAGGTGGAGACTTCTGACCTTTTGCTACCTCTTGAATTCATGACAACGATATGTTGGTGACTGGCAGTGGAAGCCCTTGACACTCTTGTTTTCCTTCGCTTAGCACCTAGGAAGTCGTGTGCAGGAGCCAGCAGGGCGCCAAGTGGCCCAGTGCCTGCAGCTCACCTGTGGGTTTTCCCTTTGAGCCTTTGGCCACATCCACCTCGAGGGGACCCTGGCACCCCGGGCACACAAACCTCTGTGGTATAGGTGAGGGGTGTGAGGCCCCAGCCTGGAGCCAGGCACTGGGTGCTGACAGGGGAACCATGAGGAGGGTGGCAGGTCTTTGCAGCTCCCGGCCAGGGTGAGGCGGAAGTGAGCCCTCATCCTGCCACTCCTATCCTCCATTCCTGCAAGAGTTTTAAGCTTGAGAGAGCTGACCACAGGGCCCCCCGGGGAACAGGGATGGCACTTCCCTGAGCAGTCCTGGCCCCCGGCCACTGTCTCGGGGCCCACCTCTCGCCCCTCATCTTGGTAATTAGCCAGCCTCAGATACTTCTGTGGGCCCTGAAGTGGGCTCTCAAGGTCAGACCAAGGTTGCTGATCTCAGTCCCACTGTCTTCAGCCAGCTGAAGCTGTGGGGCTGGGCTGGCAGCCTTTATTGTCATCTTGCTTCACCATTTTTTTTTCTCTCTCTTTTCATTCTATTTTAAGTTTAGACCAAAAAAATACAGAGTCATCCCCTACCCCCACCCCTCTAGAGACCCTCCAGCTAAAAACAGAGCCTGAGTTCAGGGACCCAAGTGGTGAGCGGCGTCTTTTGGGGGTGAGGGAGCTTGGGTAGATGAGGCTCCTGGCTGAGCCCTCCCTGTGGTGATCCCAGCCTAAGATGGCCCCTCTTCCCTCCTGGTGGGAGACAGAGGACTGGACCCTGGGTCTCAGGTTCCAGCAAGTCAGGCTAGGGACCTGGGGGGAGGAGACCCATGGACTTCACCCATACTCAGTGAGGGGGCTCCTGCCGTCCTGACGCCACCCCGCCCCATCAGCACTTAAGCCACATGACACAAAGTCTGTACCGCACGGGAAATGTTCACGCGCCTGGCCGTGTGCATGGCCTCCCGGGCTGTGGGCAGCCGCATCTGTGAGGTGACTCGTGAAAGTAGGTGATTCCTTTGCAGAACTTCAGGGACTGGGAGCAGAGGCCCCTCACTCAACGACGTTTGTGCGACATAGTATTGTATCCACCTTAGTATTGTATCGAGCCTTTTCTGTGTTTTAATGAGAAAGCAGAACACTAGTTTCCTATTTAAGACTTTAAGGGTTTGTGGGGCGGGGCGGGATTAACACAACATTTGGCTTTGTTTTCTTTTTCCTTTGATTTCCACATCAGGTGTGTGCGAGTGTGTGTGTGTGGAGATGTTAAGAGCCTCACAAGGAAACTGGGTTATTGGAGGCCAAGGCGGCTTACAGTTCTCTGCGTTCGTCACTTAATTCCTGAATGTTTCAGAGAAACAGGAATCAGAAAATAGCAGATATCATGTAGGAAAGAGAGGATAAACAAAGAAAAAAGAAAAAAAAATAAGCTCATACCCAAATTCACAAAGCCTATTTTTTAAACCAAAGCACATTTTGAATGAGTATGGAACCTCCATGGGCTCAGAAAAAAGATGCTAATATATTTATCTCATTGTTTACATAAGCTTTTACAGTTTCAGACCTCAGCAGCTGTAAGGCCAGTCCAGGGAACCCTCCCCTGCTGCTGGAAACCCTTCTGAGTTGGCCCTGGAGTGGCTCACGGGCAGAGAAGGGTAGCCCTGGGGCTGGGGGAGGGATTGGAAGCCTCCCTGGAGTCACCTGAGCCCTCGTCCCCATTCCCAGGGCCCCTCCAAGCCCAGCTGGCACCAAAGAGCTTGGGCCCGTGCTGACCAGCCCCCAAGGCCCTCTGGCCGGACCATGCTGGTCCTGACCAGCTAGCCTACGCGGGGATGGCCGTCAGTTCTGGCCACAGGACCCGAGTCTGGGCTTGGGTCCCCCTGCTGCTCTGCCCGTGACCCTTGGGGATGGGTTGATGCGAGGGTCCCACTCAAGCCAAAAAGCCGGGACCTTTGCGCAGCTCTGTCGACTCTGGTGGGTCCCCACTCCTGGGGCCCCCTAACCCCACCCCAGGCAGCGGAAGGGGCTGACTGGGTCTGGTCCTTACCAACATAGACGGTGCAAACACTCTTAACAGTGTTGTTTTTGTATCAATATGTTTGTGCAGTGATGAATGTATTTATTTCTCAGACTTGGGGCGAGTGAGCGGGTGGCAGGCCGGGCTCCGCCACTGCATGCTCCCGCCGGACCGAGCCCCAGCAAGGGCTCCTCCAGGATTGCAAAAAAAAAAGGAAGAGAAAAGATGAACCTTTAAGCAAATAAGAATCTCAGAGACTCGCAGCATAGCCATACACCTCAGCCTGTGAAATGAACGATCCGGACCCTCACCAACTTTCCCCACCTCAGGCAGCCCTGTGTGTTTACCGTTCATCACCACTCGGGGGCACCGGGCCGCCCACCCACTCCCAAAATCCGTCAGTATTCACTGGACCTCAGGCCCTGTGCAGGAGTGCGATCCGGGCTGGGCCGCTGGGCAGGCTGACCCCCTGCCCTCCTGCGGCCATCCTGAGTTGGGGTGAGGCCTGGGCAGCCGGAGGGCAGGGCTCAGGGAGCAGGAGGCTGCATCCGTCCACCCCCAGGCGTGGGGGACAAAAGCCAAAGGTGCCAGGCCTTAGAGCAGACAAGGGCTCTCAGCCCTGGCATGCCCCCTAAAGGGACCAAGGTCCTCCTATTTCCCAGAACCCCGTTGGGGCAGATGTTACTGAACCTGTGAATCAGACGCCAGGAGTGAGGGCTGGGGAGGGACCTAACTGGAGCCTCAGTCTGACATTCCACGCCGGGGTGGGGGTGGGCATGAGCGGTGGGAACTGAGGCTGCCCAGGACCCCCTTCCTAGGATGCCCCGGCTTCAGTCACCCCACTTTAACTTTCTACCAGGACCCCCTCCCCCTACCTCACCTTGCTATTTATTGCTGTAATTTATTGACCTCAAAAATGCTGCATAACAGACCTCACTGGGGCAGGGAGGATCCCCAGGGCTCCCACCCTCCACTTGGCGGGCCCCGTGGGGCCAGGTGCTGAGGGGAGCCTCTCTACCCCACCCATCACTAGCTTCCCTCTGCCCTCTCCCACCCCGGGGGGGACCCAGGTTGGGCACTGGCTCATTTCTCGCAAATACCTCGAAGGGGAGGGGGGAGGGATGGGGTTATAGCTGTTTTGTTTAATTGGAACTGGAAGAGGGATCATGTTTTGTTTTATGCCCTTCCCAGAAGGGGGGAGGGACACCGGGATCGCACTCCTGTACTGGCCACCGCCGCTGTCACTTGTCACATTGAGTTCATGTCCCTTGAGAGTTTGTATAAATTCAGGTCAGAGCTGCAGCTACACAGCTGCCCAGTGTCATAGAAAAGCAATTCACCAACGACTGATCTCTCCATTCAGAAGTGTGCAGTCTTAAATGTACAGCGATAAGAAACTGTTATTTTATGATCTTTTCATTAAAAGCTTGATTGAAAACTCTGGTGTGGGACCTCCATATTCTGCTTTGGCTGTTCTCTCTAGCAAAGTGACACGGCTTCTAAGTCTTAGAAGGGTGGGGTCTGGGATGGGCATCTGCCTGCCACTGTTCAGTGGTGCTTGGTGGGTCCTGGGGGTGTGCACCGTGCCAGGGAACTAGCACTTTGGGGTCAGCATCCTCTTGGGCAGTGTTGGCCTGAGTTAGCTGAGGCTGTCTGGGAAGCAGCGATGTGTGTGCAGTTACAGCAGCATGGACCTGGTGACTGGGGAGAGGAGGATGGCTGCCCAGTGCCTGGGACCCCTCATTGGAGTGGCTCAGTTGGGACTGAGGAAGGGCTGGGGCAAGGCGAGGGCTGCTCCCTTCTGCCCACTGCTGCTTCCTGGTGCTTGGCCTGAGGGGAGGGGAGGGAGGAAGGAAAAGGGGTAATGTTAATCCCCAGGGACCACCCGGAATGGGGATCCTCGTGTGAAGACCTAGGAGGAGGAGCAGGGGTGGAGGGTGATTGCCACTTTAGACCTCTGGCATGGACTGCAGACATCTGGTGGCTCCTGGCAGCCGGAGATGAACCCAGTGACCCCAGACTCCAGAAGAACTTGAGCGCAGCTACTCTAAGTCTTGGTGAGTTCTGTTCAGTTGCTTTAAAATGATTTTTTGGCTTTATCAAAGTAATTCCTGAATAGAATTTAAGTAATTAAATGGTTCTCAAAAAGGCTTAAAACAAAAATAGTTTATCTCCCCAACTCCATCCCATACTATACAGCCAATCACTTTGAATTATTTTAGCACTTTCTTCTGCATTTATCTCTATGTGTCTAAGTAGTATTCTTACACTGCTGTCTTATTCCATTTTGGAGTCTGGACTTATTATCAATAAGGATTTTAGTTCATTTATACTCTCTTCTCCCTAATTTATATCCACCAAATACTTGTAAAATGTGTAGTTTGATCTAGAGGTTGGCAAACTTTCTATTAAGTAGATTGTAAAAATATATATATTTATATTAGATATATAAAATCTATATTTACATATAGATTTACATATATATATATTTACTCCAGCTTTTGTCTAGGCTGGAGTGCAGTGGATCATAGCTTACTGTAACCTCAAACTCCTAGGCTCAACTGATCCTCCTACTGCCGCCTCCCATGTAGCTGGGACTGCAGGTGTGAGCCACCACATCCAGCTAATTTTTTTTTGTTTTTGTAGAGACGGTCTTGCCATCTTGTCAGGCTAGTGTTGAACTTCTGGCTTTAAGTGAGCCTCTTGGCCTCCCAGCATGCTGGGATTACAGGTGTGAGCCACTGCCTCTGGCTGCCAGATAGTAAATATTTCAGGCTCTACAGGTAACACCATCTCTGTTGTGACTACTCAGCCTTCTGTCATAGTGCAAAAGTAGCCATCAGTGGGGCCAGGCGCAATGGCTCACGCCTATAATCCCAGCACTTTGGGAGGCCAAGGTGGGTGGATCACCAGAGGTCAGGAGTTCCAGACCAGCCTGGCCAACATGGTGAAACCCCTTTTCTACTAAAAATACAAACAACAACAACAACAAAAAACTAGCCAGGTGTGGTGGTGGGTGCCTGTAATCCCAGCTACTCGGGAGGCTGAGACAGGGGAATCTCTTAAATCCAGGAGGCAGAGATTGCAGTGACCTGAGATTGTGCCATTACACTGTAGCCTGGATGACAAGAGTGAAACTCTGTCTCAAAAACAAGACAAAAATTAGCTGGGCATGGTTGTGGGTGCCTGAATTCCATCTAGGCAGGAGAATTGCTTGAACCCAGGAGGCGGAGGTTGCAGTGAGCCGAGATCACGCCATTGCATTCCAGCCTGGGCGACCAGCAAAACTCTTAAAAAAAAAAAAAAGTAGCCACCAATGATATGTAAGCAGATGAGCATGGATATATTCCAGTAAAACTTCATTTATGGCCAGGCACGGTGGCTCATGTCTACAATCCCAGCACTTTGGGAGGCTGAGGCGGGTGGATCACCAGAGGTCAGGAGTTCGAGACCAGCCTGGCAAGATGGTGAAACCCCGTCTTTACAAAAAAAATACAAAAAATTAGCTGGGCTGCCGGGTGCGTTGGCTCACACCTGTAATCCCAGCACTTTGGGAGGCTTAGGCGGCTGGATCACGAGGTCAGGAGATCGAGGCCATCCTGGCTAACATGGTGAAACCCCGTCTCTACTAAAATACAAAAAATTAGCTGGGGGTGGTGGCACGCCTCTGTAGTCCCAGCTCCTTAGGAGGCTGAGGCAGGGGAATCGCTTGAACCCGGGAGGCAGAGGTTGCAGTGGGCCGAGATTGTGCCACTGCACTCCAGCCTGGGCGACGGAGCGAGCCTCCGTCTCAAAAAAAAAACCTTGCTTCTTTGCCAAGCGTGATGGCTCACACCTGTAATCACAGCACTATGGGAGGCCCGAGGTGGGCTGATCACCTGAGGTCAGGAGTTCAAGACTAGCCTGGTCAACGTGGCGAAACCCTATCTCTATTAAAAATACAGAAAGCAGCCAGACATTGTGGTGGGCACCTGTAATCCCAGCTACTCGGGAGGCTGAGGCAGGAGAATTACTTGAACCCGGGAGGCAGAGGTTGCAGTGAGCCAAGATCGTGCCACTGCACTCCAGCCTGGGCAACAGAGTGAGACACCTGTCTCAAAACAAAAACAAAAACCAGCTTTTCAGCCAGGTGAGGTGAATGCATCTATAGTCCCAGCTACTCAGGAGGCAGAGGCAGAAAGCTCCCTTGAGCCCCAGGAGTTTGAGGCTGCAGTGAGCCATGACTGCATTACTGCACTCCAGCCCGGGCAACAGAGTGAGACTCTCTTTTTTTTTTTTTTTTTTTTTTTGAGACAGAATCTCGCTCTGTCACCCAGGCTGGAGTGCAGTGGCACGATCTCAGCTCACTGCAAGCTCTGCCCCCCAGGTTCATGCCATTCTTCTGCCTCAGCCTCCCAAGTAGCTGGGACTACAGGCGCCTGCCACCACGCCCGGCTAATTTTTTTGTATTTTTAGTAGAGACGGAGTTTCACCGTGTTTGCCAGCATGGTCTCGATCTCCTGACCTCGTGATCCACCCACCTCGGCCTCCCGAAGTGCTGGGATAACAGGCATGAGCCACTGCTCCCAGCCAAGACTCTATCTTTAAAAGAAAAAAAAATAAGTCGTTTTCCAAAAGCCATTTGAGGTGGATTGCAGTAAAAGTCTTCTATGGAGTGGAGAATGTTTGACACAGTAAAAGAACAGGAATAGGAGAAAGCTGCCATGCTTTCCAGGGGGCTAAAATGTGTGGCTGAGCATCCTATTTGGCTCTGCGTGCCCAAGGTGTCCCTCTGCCCTGCTCCCAAAAAGAGGAGGGATGTGAAAAAGCAAAGGTCGGGAAGTGGGAATTGGAGGTGGTTTTCATCTTAGTACAAAAGGAAGTGTCCCCATGCTAAATATTCCAAGAAATGTTTCCCACAGGACTTACTTTTTTTTCTTTTTTTCCGAGACTGACTATCACTCTGTTGCCCAGGCTGGAGTGCAGTGGCGCAATCTTGGCTCACTGCAACCTCCGCCTCCCAGGTTCAAGCAATTCTCCTGCCTCAGCCTCCCGACTACCTGGGACTACAGGTGCGTGCCACCATGCCCAGCTAATTTTTGTATTTTTAGTGGAGACGGGGTTTCACCACATTGGCCAGGCTGGTCTCGAACTCCTGACTTCAGGATTTGCCGACCTCAGCTTCTGAAAGTGCTGAGATTACAGGCGTGAGCCACCGTGCCCAGCCTCCAATAGGACTTTGTAAAGGACATTCACTAAGTTGCACAGCAAATGTAGAAGGAAGCTTGTGAAAGGCTTTTTCTCGAAATGACCTGGGTAAAATCAGACTGTGTCATTAAAGGTCCCTGGTGTTGTGCTGTAAAATGTTACTTTTGCCAGTGGCAGGATGCTGCCCCTGCCTCCACCGTGCTGTAAGGTAGTGTGCAGCATCCATACTGATCACCTTTCCACAATCGCGTAAGAGTGTGTGGACACGTGTAAGCCCTAGGCTTGGGTGGCTGGGACTTGGTCTTGCAGCCCCCTGGCCTGGGCCGCATTCATCTGTCCACCCACGCGGCACAGGCCGGACTTACCCTTTCCACTGCTCCAGGCTGGGGCGGAAAGAGCCAACGGGGAGGTGGCAGGAAGCCCCCCACAGAGCAGGAAGCTGCACAGACCCCATGCTGAAGGAAGAAGTCATCAAGGGGCCACATGGGGACCAGGGTTGGGAAAGGCAGGCAGGGCTGCAGGCTCCCTAGGAGGCCAGAACTGGCCAGGGGTGCAGCAGCCGAGGCCTCTCCCTGCAGTGCCAGGCTGCGTCCTTTCCCACGCAAAGGCTAGCCTCTGTGCTGTGGAGACCAGACGGGAGGCTGGAGGGCCTTGGTGGCAGTGTAAGAGGCTGGGCCACCAGCAGGGCCCAGGTGTCTTTCTCAGTGCGCCTGGTGCTACCAAGAACCGTGCCCTGGGCAGATGGCTGAGGAGCGCTCACCTGTCCCTGTGCCCAGACACTTTCTGAGCCAGGTGGCCTCCCCTAATGCCGCTGACCAGTGGATTTAAGAAAATGTCGGCCCCCATGGCCAGGTGCAGTGGCTCATATCTGTAATCCCAGCACTTTGGGAGGCCGAGTTGGGCAGATCACTTGAGGTCAGGAGTTCAAGACCAGCCTGGCCAACATGGCGAAACCCCATCTCTACTTAAAATACAAAAAATTAGCCAGGCATGGTGTCAGGCACCTGTAATCCCAGCTACTTGGGAGGCTGAGGCAGGAGAATTGCTTGAACCCAGGTGGCAGAAGTTGCAGTGAGCTGAGATTGCGCCACTGCACTCCGCCCTGGGCGACATGGCAAGACTCCATGTCAAAAAAAAAAACAAAAAAACAAAAAAACTCAGTCCCCAGCGATTTTGGGATTTGGAATTTTTGCCTATTCATGTTCAGCTCCTCTTTCTGGCCAAGGTAACAATGAGTTGCCTCCTGCAGGGTCCCTGCTGTGAAATCAGGCCATCCCGTGCTTCTCGATCAGCAGGCCGCACCTCCAGGTCAGCTGAAAGGAGCCCAGAGCATTTGAATCCCAGCCCCAACTGGCAGCGGCCTTTGCCTTGGACAGATGCCATGTCTCTGAGGTGCAGACGGGCTGGCTCTCCATTCAGGTGTCAGAGCATTTGAGTGTGTGTGGTTTTCCAAGCCCTGGGTTTGTCAATGGAGGGAAAGGTGCACAAGATGTGGTCCGTGAGCTCTTGGATCCTAGAATGCTTGGGGAAGACAGGCCAGCCTCGGAGGCTCAGCCTGTGGTCCCAGCTACCTGGGGAGGCTGAAGTGGGAGGATTGCTTGAGCCTGGGAGGTGGAGGCTGCAGTAAGCTAGGATTATGCTACTGCACTCCAACCTGGATGACAGAGTGAGACCCTATCTCAAAAAAATAAATAAATAAAGGAAAGCATCCTTGGTAGTGCTGAGTGCTGTGGGGACACTGTTGCAATTGGGGATGAGTGGCCTGGGAAGGCTTCCCAAGAAATGGCATTAGGGTGAGGCCATAGGAAGTGAGGGAGGGGCTAGGCAGAGGAATGAGCAGGCACAGAGGCCTGTAGCAGCAGACTGCACAGCGGCAGGAGCGGTCCTGGCGGCGCCGGGCCTAGGAGCCATGTTGGGGTTTGGACTTGTGCTCTCTGAAGGTCTGAGAGGCCCTACTGGCTGCTGGAGGAAGACAAGGTGGGGGCAGCCAGGCTCCTTAGGAGCTCTCGGAATGGTGCAGTCCAGAGCCATAGTGTTGAAGGTGGTAAGCAGGGGTCAGAACTTGGAGGTTCACATTTTATTTAAAGCTGTTTAGTGAGCACTTGTGAGTCACTGACACTTTGTAAACATCAGCTCGTTTACTCTGTGTGGCAATCAGGCTGAGGTGGACAGCATCTCCTGAGGAAGTAAGGTGCAGATGGGCCAGCAGTTTGCAATGGAAGAGCTCGAGGGCTTGGGGACAGGCTGGAGGAAGGGTGTGAGGCGGAGGGGAGGTAAGGAGAGCATCAGGGTTTCTACGCCTACACGGAAGAGTGGGAGAAGAGCAGGACTCACCCAGGGAGCCGTGGGGGTGCCGCGTTGAAGAGGAATGGCTGCGAGGCCAGAGGGGACAGTGTCCAGGAGCGCAAGGGTCACTTGGCTGAGTGTGGCAAGTGGGCAAGTCAGGGACAGCTGACCCCCAATAATGCTAAAACAAAAATCAATAAGTGCGTAAATAAAACACAGTTCATTCTGGCTGTAGTGGAAAAATGGCTGAGGTCCGTGAGGCTGGCAGGGCCCGAAGGCTGGAGGACTTTGACTGCCCTAGGCAAGGATTTTGGATTTTATTATTATTTTTTTTTACTGTTTCTTTTTTTTTTGAGATGGAGTCTTGCTCTGTCTCCCAGGCTGGAGTGCAGTGGTGCGATCTCGGCTCACTGCAAGCTCCACCCCCCGCGTTCACGCCATTCTCCTGCCTCAGCCTCCCGAGTAGCTGGGACTACAGGCGCCCACCACCACGCCCGGCTACTTTTTTTTGTAGTTTTAGTAGAGACGGGGTTTCACCGTGTTAGCCAGGATGGTCTCGATCTCCTGACCTCGTGATCCACCTGCCTCAGCCTCCCAAAGTGTTGGGATTACAGGCGTGAGCCACCGCACCTGGTGTTTTTTTTTTGTTTGTTTGTTTGTTTTTTTTGAGACGGAGTCTCCCTCTATCACCCAGGCTGGAGTGCAGTGGCACGATCCCGGCTCACTACAACCTCTGCCTCCTGGGTTCAAGCGATTCTCCTGCCTCGGCCTCCCAAGTAGCTGGGACTATAGGCGCCCACCACCACGCCTGGCTAATTTTTGTATTTTTAATAGAGACAGGGTTTCACTGTGTTGGCCAGGCTGGTCTTGAACTCCTGACCTCGGGATCCACCCACCTCGGCCTCCCAAAGTGCTGGGATTACAGGAGTGAGCCACCGCATCCAGCCCCTATTTCTTTTTAAGACACGGTCATGATTCATTGCCCAGGCTGGAGTGCAGTGGCACGATCACGGCTCACTTCAGCCTCACACTCCTGGGCTCAAGCAGTCTTCCTGCCTCAACCTCTTGAGTAGCTGGGACTACAGGAATGCCGCACCACACCTGGCTAATTTAATTTTTTTTTTTTTTTTTTTGTAGAGGTCTCACTATATTGCCTAGGCTGGTCTTGAACTCTTGGGTTCAAGCAGTCCTCCCACCTCAGACTCCCAAAGTGTTGGGATTACAGTTGTGAACAACCATGCCCAACCAGATTTTATTTTTATTTTTATTTTTGAGACAGGGTCTCACTCTATCACCCAGGCTAGAGTACAGTGGTATGTTCACGGCTCACTGCAGCCTTGACTTCCTGGGCTAAGTAATCCTCCCACTTTAGCCTCCCTAGTAGCTGGGACTACAGGCACACACACCATGCCCAGCTTTTTATTTTTTTATTTTTTGATTTTTTGTAGAGATGAAGTTTTGCCATGTTGCTCAGGCTGGTCTGAAACTCCTGGGCTCAAGCGATCTGCCTGCCTCAGCCTCCCAAAATGTGGGGATTTCAGGGGTGAGTCACCACACCTGGCCCAGATTTTATTATTTAAGTTAATATTTTGTTACCATTGCTTAAAGCCACCTGGTCCTTTTCATCAGATAGTTTCTTACAGCCAGGCACAGTGGCTCACACCTGTAATCCCAGCACTCTGGGAGGCTGAGACAGGTGAATTGCTTGAGCCCTGGAGTCTGAGACCAGCCTAGGCAACACAGTGCAACCATGTCTCTACTAAAAGTTTTGGTCTCGATCTACTGACCCCGTGATCCGCCCGCCTTGGCCTTTCAAAGTGCTGGGATTACAGGCGTGAGCCACCGCGCCGGCCTAAATATTTTTTTTTAATTAGCTGGGTGTGATTGAGGCTGGGCACTGTGGCTCACGCCTGTAATCCTAGCACTCTGGGAGGCAGGTGGATTGCCTGAGCTCAGGAGTTCAAGGCCAGCCTGGGCAACATGGCGAATCCTCGTCTCTACTAAAAATACAAAAAAAAAAAAAAAAAAAATTGGCCAGGTGCAGTGGCTCACGCCTGTAATCCCAGCACTTTGGGAGGCCAAGGCGGGTGGATTACCTGAGGTCAAGAGTTCAAGACCAGCCTGGCCAACATGGTGAAACCCTATCTCTACTAAAAAATACAAAAATTAGCTGGGTGGTGGCGGGTGCCTGTAATACTGGGTACTCGGGAGGCTGAGACAGGAGAATTGCTTGAACCCAGGAGGTAGAGGTTGCAGTGAACCGAGATCACGCCATTGCACTCCAGCCTGGGCAACAAGAGCGAAACTCCGTCTCAAAAAAAATTAGCTGGGTATGGTGGCATGTGCCTGTAATCCCAGCTGCTTTGGGGGCTGAGGCATGAGAATTGCTTGAACCGGAAGGCAGAAGTTGCAGTGAGCCAAGATCGTGCCACTGCACTCCAGCCTGGGCAACAGAGTAAGATTATCCAAAAAGAAAAAAAAAAAATTAGCGGGTGTGGCTACACCTGTAGTCCCAGCTATGTGGGAGGCTGAAGTAGGAGGATCGCTTGAGTCCAGGTGGTGGAGGCTGCAGTGAGCTATGATTGTGTGACCGCACTCCAGCCTGGGTGACAGAGCCAGACCCTGTCTCAAAAAGAAAAGGGTCATGATGCTTCCCCAACAGGATATGGTGGGGACGCTCCAAGACCATGGGAGAAGAGGATACGAGCCGGAGCTATGGAAGAAGTGAACATGTAAGACTCCAGAGGCAAACTGCCCGTCTAGACAGCTCTGGCCTGCAGAGCCCACCACTCCCAGGCCAGCGCCGTGAGGTCCTGTTGAGCCACCCACCTCACTGTGATCATCCCCAGGTAAACCCTCGGACGTGGGCCCGGTGCCCTCCTTGCTGAGGCTGAAGCCACGTGGCCATGAAAACCTGAGCATCACAAGCCGCTCTCTGCGTTTGTGGTGTGATCAGGGCCTTCTACCACAAGCCATGTGCCCAGGCTGATCCTCTCTAATGTGGAGAGGCGGCTGCGCTGGAAAGGCCTCAGTAAGAGCAGCTGGGCCCTTGCAGACAGACATCACGGTGTGACCCTCGGGACTGGCTCCCTGCGGCCACTGCAGCACAGGTGTTCACATCTCACAGTGGAGGCAGTGGACACCATGCTCGCCTGCAGGCTCTCGGCGAGGCTCTGAGTCTGGCCCCTTGCGTAGCCCCTGGTGACTCCTTGGCTTCTGGAGCGGAACTCCATCCTTCACATGGCGCTTTCCTCGAGGGCCTGTGTGCGTGTCGTCTGTGGCCAAGTTCCTACTTCATAAGGACATCAGTCATATTGGATGGGGTCCCACCCTGCTCCAATGAGACCCCATCTTTTTTTTTTTTTTTTTTTTTGAGACAGAGTCTTGCTCTGTGGCCCAGGAGGGAGTGCAGTGGCACGATCTTGGCTCACTGCAAGCTCCGCCTCCTGGGTTCACGCCATTCCCCTGCCTCAACCTCCCAAGGAGCTGGGACTACAGGCGCTCGCCACTGCACCCGGCTAATTTTTTGTATTGTTAGTGGAGACGGGGTTTCACTGTGTTAGCCAGGATGGTCTTGATCTCCTGACCTTGTGATCCACCCTCCTCGGCCTCCCAAAGTGCTGGGATTACAGGCATGAGCCACCGCGCCCGGCTGAGACCCCATCTTAATCACACCTGCAGTGACCCTGTTTTCAAGTTAAGGCCACATTCTGAGGTATTGAAAATTAGGACTCCAATATGAATTCGGGGGGACCCAATTTAACCTGTAATATGTATATCCCAAATGCAATTTTCTCCTTTTTTCTTTTAGACAGTTGCTCTGTCACCCAGGCTGGAGTGTAGCTCTTGGCTCACTGCCTCTGCTTCCCGGGCTCCCGCAATCCTCCACCTCAGCCTCCTGAGTAGCTGGGACCACAGGCGCACACCACCACACCCAGCTAATTTTTGTATTTTTGATAGAGATGAGGTTATGCCATGTTGCCCAGACTGGTCTTGAACTCCTGAGCTCAAGAGATGCACTCACCTCAACCTCCCAAAGTGCTGGGATTACAGGTATGAGCCAGCATGCCTGGCCTCCAAATGAAATTTTCAGAAAGGCCTTTTCATAATAGTAACGGGAAACAAGTGACATAGGCATAGCCTTGATAAATGTGCCAAAAGCCCATTTGGAAATAGCACATTTGTAGGAGGCCTGAGGCAAGACTTGTGGGATTGGACGGGAATGCTCTGTTCCTGGGACCAATACCTGATGATGGAGAGTGTCCATTCTTCCCTTTAAAATTTTTATTTTAATATTTTATTTTTAAAAAGGGGTCTTGCTATGTTGCCCTGGCTGGTCTGGAAGTCCTAGGATCAAGTGGTCCTCCCACCTTGGCCTCCCAAAGTGCTGGGATTACAGGTGTGAGCCACTGTGCCCAGCCCATTCTTCCCTTTTAATATATACGCTTCACATACAGGCTTTGTTTTTGCAACTCCTATCAAATCCCAACAATGTATTTGGGAGAATTTGACAAGACAGTTCTAAAGTTTATCTGAAAGAGAAGCAGCAGATCCTAAATGGCTTTCCCCAGGCCCAGCACTGGCAGATAGCACCTTTCTAACCTTCGGGTGTGAATCCAAGGGTGGTGGTGGAGCTTCAGGACACATGCACCCTCGTGTCCCTCCTCTATGTAAATGGAAGCCTTCAGTGCCAGCTCCTTTAGGTTGTAAGGACTGAACACGCTCACAGAAGTCGTGTGCACAGTGAGGTGGGGGCTGAAATGCAGCAGCTCCTCTCCCTGTGTTCTGTCCCCGCCCCACCTCTCCCCCACCTCAACTTTGACCACTAGGGGACCAATTATAACATGAGATGGCAAGAATAGCTCATGTAAAGCCACCCCACCCCAGTCACCTGGTTGCTGCATAGTGTCACATTCATAGGAGTACAATTTAGTCACTAGTAATCCTTTGCGAATAATACAAACGTCCAGTAATTCTTTGCTGCATAACAGGCCTTGTGCTCAAAAGGTTCTGCAGACCTTGCCTGGGTGCTCTGGCCAAGCTGCAGTCATCCCAGGGCTGGCTGGGGGCTGGGGGTTTGCCGGCATGCCTGCTGGTTGGTGCTGCTGCCAGTCCCAGCTACTCGGGAGGCCGAGGTACGGGGACGGCTTGGTCTCAGGAGGTTAAGGCCGCAGTGAGCCATGATCGTGCTATTGCACTCTGGCCTGGGCAACCAAGCAAGACTCTGTCTCAGAAAAAAAAAAAAAATAAGGGGGTGAGAGGGGCTATAAAGGCTCTGAGGTCCACGCTCTGGAGGCCCACAAAGTCTTTTCTGCATCATCTTGTTTGTCAGAGCAAGACCCAAGGGTGAGCCTAGATTCCTGAGCTGGGGAAACAGGCTCCACCTACTGGTGGTGAGAACTGTAGACAATCTGTGGTCGTTTTGAGTCCACTATAAGTAACCAAAATACCTTCAGTCTTGCTTGCATTTCTCAACATTAGTGAAAGGGGACCCAGTGCTTGGTTGTAGCAGGCGTCCTAAACTCTCCTTCTGACCTGCAGAGTTTTCATCTGCAGAATGTCCCCTCCTGGTGCACAGCATTCATGTCCCTTGTCCTCATCCCTGGTGGGTGCTCTCGCCGCCTCCTTTCTGATCCCATCCTCCTCCTTGTCCTACCAACCGTCTGTACTCACCCTGTGTATTTAGTTTATATAAATGTTAATGCCTGGCCAGCCGTGGTGGCTCACGCCTGTAATCCCAGCACTCTGGGAGGCTGAGGCGGGCGGATCACCTGAGGTCAGAAGTTCGAGACCAGCCTGGCCAACATGGTGAAACCCCGTTTCTACTAAAAATACAAAAAATTAGCTGGGCATGGTGGCGAGTGCCTGTAATCCCAACTACTCGGGAGACTGAGGCAGGAGAATTGCTTGAACCCTGGAGGCGGAGGTTGCGGTGAGCTGAGATCATACCATTGCACTCCAGCTTGGGCCACAAGAGTGAAACTCTGTCTCAAAAATAAAAAAATTAAAAATAAATGTTAACACCTGTAGTCCCAGTGCTTTGGGAGGTCAAGGCAGGAGGATCACTTTAGCACAGGAGGTCGAGGCTGCAGTGAGCTGGGATGGCGCTACTGCTCCCCAGCCCGGGCAACAGAGTGAGACTCGATCTCAAAAAAAAAAAAAAAAAAAAAGACCAGCGGGGGTGGTTCATGCCTGTAATCCCAGCATTTTGGGAGGCCAAGGTGAGTGGATCACTTGAGCCCAGGAGTTTGAGACCAGCCTGGTCAACATAGTGAGACTTCATTTCTACAAAAAAATAATCAGCCATGCTGTAGTCCCAGCTACTGGGGGTGCTGAGGTGGGAGGATTCCTTGAGCCCAGGATTTCAAGACCGCAGTGAGCTAGGATCAAGCCACTGAAGTTCAGCCTGGGTGACAGAGCAAGATCCTTTCTCTCTAACAAAAAATTAAAATTAAAAAATATTGGCCAGGTGTGGTGGCTCACGCCTGTAATCCCAGTAACTTTGGGAGGCTGAGGCAGGTGGATCATTCGAGGTCAGGAGTTCGAGACCAGCCTGACCAACATAATGAAACCCTATCTCTACTGAAAATACAAGGATTAGCCAGACGTGGTGGTGGGCGTCTGTAGTCCAGCTACTTGAGAGGCTGAGGCAGGAGAATCACTTGAACCACCACGCCCAACCTAATTTTTTTTTTTGTTGTTGTTGTTAGTAGAGGCAGGGTTTCACCATGTTGGCCAGGCTCATCTTGAACTCCTGACCTCAAGTGATCCACCTGCCTCAGCCTCCCAAAGTGCTGGGATTACAGGTGTGAGCCACCGCGCCCGATCTGAAGACATTTTTGATTGGTTGATTGAGTTGGGGGTCTCACTGTTGCCCAGGCTGGAGTGTGGTGGCATGATTATAGCTCACTGCAGCCTTAAACTCCCAAGCCCAAGAGATCCTCCCAGCTCAGCCTTCTGAGTAACCGGGACTACAGGTGCACACCAGCACACCCAGCTCATTTTAAATTTTTTCTTTTTTTTTGAGATGGATCTTGCTCTGTCACCCAGGCTGGAGTGCAGTGGCGCAAGCTCCGCTCACTGCAAGCTCCGCCTCCCGGGTTTATGCCATTATCCAGCCTCAGCCTCCCGAGTAGCTGGGACTATAGGCACCCGCCACCACGCCCGGCTAATTTTTTGTATTTTTAGTAGAGACGGGGTTTCACCGTGTTAGCCAGGATGGCCTCGATCAGGAGATCGTCCATCTTGGCCTTCCAAAGTGCCGGGATTGCAGGCGTGAGCCACCGCGCCCGGCCCCGTAGTTTCTTACATGTTCACAAAGAGACAAACTTAAAAGAGCAAAGCATTACGAACTTTAAGAGGCCAGTGCAGGAGGATCACTTGTAGCTAGAATTTTGAGACCATCCAGGGCAACAAAGTGAGACTCTGTCCCTACAAAAAAAATTTTTTTTTTTTTTTTTTTTGAGACAGACTCTCGCTCTGTCGCCCAGGCTAGAGTGCAGTGGCGTGATCTTGGCTCACTGCAACCTCCGCCTCCCGGGTTCACGCCATTCTCCTGCCTCAGCCTCCCGGGTAGCTGGGATTACAGGCACTCGCGACCATGCCCAGCTAATTTTGTATTTTTAGTAGAAATGGGGTTTCACCATGTTGGCCAGGATGGTCTTGATCTCCTGACCTCGTGATCTGCCCTCCTTTGCCTCCCAAAGTGCTGGGATTACAGGCATGAGCCACCGTGGCCAGCCTCTTACTATTTTTTTTTTTTTTTTTAAGATGGAGGCTCACACTGTTGCCCAGGCTGGAGTGCGGTGGCACGATCTCGGCTCACTGCAACCTCCGCCTCCTGGTTTTATGCGATTCTCCTGCCTCAGCCTCCTGAGTAGCTGGGATTATAGGCCACCATGCCCAGCTAATTTTTTGTATTTTTAGTAGAGGTGGGGTTTTACCATGTTGGCCAGGCTGGTCTCAAACTCCAGACCTCAGGTGATCCACCCACCTTGGCCTCCCAAAGTGCTGGGATTACAGGTGTGAACCACTGTGCTTGGCCTTTACTACTACATTTTTTTTTTTTTTGAGATGGAGCCTCCCTCTGTCACCAGGCTGGAGTGCAGTGGTGCAATCTCGGCTCACTGTAACCTCTGCCTCTCGGGTTCGATTCCCCTGCCTCAGCCTCCCGAGTAGGTGGGACTACAGGCAAGCACCACCATACCCGGCTAACTTTTTTTTTTGTATTTTTAGTAAAGACAAGATTTCACCATCTTGGCCAAGCTGGTCTTGAACTCCTGATCTCATGATCCACCCTCCTCGGCCTCCCAAAGTGCTGGGATTACAGGCGTGAGCCACCGTGCCCGGCCGTCTACTACTTCTTAAAGGGTGAGAGGCGGGAGGATCACTTGAGCCCTGAAGTGTGCGGCTGCAGTTAGCTTTGATCGTACCACTGCACTCCAGCCAGGGTGACAGCAGGACCCTGACTCTAAAAAAAAAAAAAAAAGCAAAAAAAAGCATATACTATTAATACTTCCTCCTTACTATAATGTTTACTGTGGCCTTTATCAGACTAGAGAGTGCTTTTATCTCTCCCTTTTGTTAGAGCTTTTAGAATTATCAATAGATGGTCAGGTGAGGTGGCTCAGGCCTGTAATCCCAGCACTTTGGGAGGCCGAGGTGGGTGGATCACGAGGTCAGGAGTTGAAGACCAGCTTGGCCAAGATGGTGAAACCCTGTCTCTACTAAAAATACAAAAAAATTAGCTGGGCGTGGTGGCGAGTGCCTGTAATGCCAGCTACTCTGGAGGCTGGGGCAGAGAATTGCTTGAACCCAGTAGGCGGAGGTTGCAGTGAGCCAAGATTGTGCCACTGCACTCCAGCCTGGGCAACAGAATGAGACTCTGTCTCAGAAAAAAAAAAAATTATTAATAGATGGTGACCCTCATCTTCATGTTTTCTGCATCTATTGAAGTGCGCCATTGAGATCGTGGAGTTCTTCCCTGTTTGTCCATATGGTGAACAACACTGATTTTCTGATGTTGAACAATCTCTGGAATAAACTCTGTTTGGTTTCCATGGATTTCTGTTTCCCTTTAGATTTTGTTAGTAATGTATTTTGGATTTTTGCATCCAAGTTCATAATTGTAACTGGACAAATAAAGGCAGATTTTAAAAGGACAAGTTGGGAGGCTAAGGCGGAAGGATCACTTGAGCCTGGGAGATTGAAGCTGCAGCTAGCTTCGATTGTTCCACTGTACTCCAGCCTGGTGACAGCAGGACCTGCCTCTAAAATAATAATACTTAAAAGGACGAGTTTACCTACAGTCTCACCAAGCAATGAAAGAGCTTATCTTCCTCCTGTTTCCTTTACGGATCTTGCTCATGTATTTTATCTTAGTTACTTTAGCATAAATGCTAAATCAAATTCTTTTTCACTAGACATCATCATAGCTCTAGGCATACCACATAATACCCAAGCACATTTTAATCATTAAAATTGTTTCCTTTTTTTGTGGCTACTGTAACCACTTCAGCGAACCATTTAGTGTGTAGTGGGTTTAAATTATTTTTTCTCCTTTCTGGGATAAATTTCCCAGGAGAAGGATAATTGGGTCAAAAGCTACGAACATATTTATGGGTTCTTTTCCACAAGAGATCGATCAGTTTGCAAGTGCCATCTGCAGTGTGGGGGAACCAATCTTCAACTTGCCTGCATTTGGTATTAGTATTTTATTAACCTTTCATTGATCCAATTACGGCTCTTTGACACAATTTTCATCAGTGATGGACTAAGTGTGATCCGGCCTGACCCGCCTCCGGCCGGCGTGAGAAGGGGCATGTGTCGGGCTACGCTCGGGCTTCCCCTGCCGCCCATTGTGATCCAGCCCGCTAGGCGCTCCCTGCCGCCCATTGTGACGCCTGCCAGCCGCAGGCTGGGTCCCCGAGGCGGGCGGCATTTAGGCTCGGTCTCCACAGCCATGGCCGCGACGCAGGAGCTGCTGCTGCAGTTGCAGAAGGATAACCGAGATGGTCGCCAGCGGAAGCAGGAGCTAGAGAAGCTGATGCGCGGGCTCGAGGCCGAGAGCGAGAGCCTCAACCAGCGCCTGCAGGACCTGAGCGAGCGGGAGCGGAGGTGCGCGGGGAACGCCCCTCTACCTGGCGGGCGCGCGAGGGTCGGTCCCGCAGGCAGCGCCGCGAGGTGCTTCGCAGAGTACCAGGCTGATCCGCCCAGGCCCGCATCTCTGCTCTAGGCCCTTGGGAACGGGTGATCCACCCAGCGGACCCAGGTGGGGGACTCGGCCAGGACTTCCCAGTCCTCAATCATGAGCCTGCGGCTGGTCCTTCCTGGCGACTGCGGGATCCTGAGCGACCCAGTCCGCCTTGTAGCGCCAACCTCAGTTTCCCTCTGCAGCCTGCTGCGGAGGCGAAGCCAGGCAGCGCAGCCTCTGCAAGGGGAGGCGCGCGAGGCGGCGCGGGAGCGCGCGGAGCGGGTGCGCAGAAGACTGGAGGAGGCGGAGCGCCACAAGGAGTACTTGGTGAGGAAGAGTCCTGGAATGGGGCTGGACCCAGGGTGGGGTGGGGCAGGGCGGGCGGAAGGGGGCAGGATCCGGGGGTGGGGTGAGGTAGGACCGGCGGAGAGGTCGGCACCGCCCCAGGACCCCGTCCGCAGGAGCAGCACAGCAGGCAGCTGCAGGAGCAGTGGGAGGAGCTGTCGAGTCAGGTACGTGCAGGAGATGGGAGGGCCTGTCTCTTGGTTCCTCTCGGAAGTCCTGCCCTTGTCCTCGCCCTTGTTGCCTCCCCGTCCCTGTCTCCCCTGACACCCGTTCCTCCAGAAGCCCGGTAAACCCCGCCCTTACAAGCCCCGCCCCTAGCTCTTCTACTACGGAGGGGAACTGCAGAGCCAGAAGAGCACGGAGCAGCAACTCGCAGCCCAATTGGTGACGCTGCAGGTGCTTGAGCGGGACCCTGAGGTGTTTAGTAGGGGCGGAGCAGCAGCATGAGCTGGGCCGTGACCACCTGGGGGTGTGGCTTAAGGCAGGCCCTGAAGGCGTGGGCGGGGCGGGGAATGTGGGCGGAGCACAATCGCATGGGGGCGGGGCTCTGAGGGCTAGAATAGGGGCGGAGCGCGGAGGGGGCGTGGCCATGACCAGCTGGGGCGTTGCTTACGACTGGTCCTGAGGACGCGGGCGGGGTCATGATCGCCTGGGGGCGGGCACTGAGGGCCGGGGGCGGGGCCCGGAGGCGCAGCGGGTTGCCGGCCTGCGGACCTCCTGACATTCCCTGGGTCCTTCTCAAGAATGAACTGGAGCTGGCGGAGACCAAATGCGCCTTGCAGGAGGAGAAGCTGCAGCAGGTGAGGGCAGAAGCGGGTTCTGTTGGAGGAGGGTAGGCTTTCGAGTGTGGATGGGGAAGGGCCTGTCGCCCCGACGCCGCCGAGTCTAACCCGGGTGTCCACACCCAGGACGCGCTGCAGACAGCGGAGGCCTGGGCCATATTCCAGGAGCAGACCGTAGTCCTGCAGGTGCGGCCCCACTCAGACGCCAAGGTGCCTCCCGCCTCTCCTCCCCCAGACCTGGGGCGGTAAGTCTCCCAACCCACCGCCAGGACGCCTCCCCGAGGCCTCAGTCCGCACTCTCACCCGCTCCAGGAGGTGCAGGTGAAGGTGATGGAGGCTGCGGAGGAGCTGGACGCCTGGCAGAGTGGCCGGGAACTGTAAGGGAGTTGGGCCTGCGGGCGCGGCGGGGCACTGTGGGGCCGGGATGGGCTCCCACCTGCATGCCTGTCCCCGCAGGTGTGACGGGCAGCTTCGCGGAGTGCAGTACAGCACCGAATCGCTCATGGAGGAGATGGCCAGGGCGGACCGAGTGAGCGCCTGCGCGGGTCCGGGCGGGGTGGGCTGGAGCGGGACAACCCTCCCCGTCCCCCCCGCGGTACCGCCTCCCCCTCCTCCTGGAAACCGGGCCGGCGCCGCGGGCGCGGAGGTAGCTGGATGCGGCCCTCTCTCCCCGCAGGAGACGCGGCTGTTCGGCGGCCCTCGCGCGCTGGCCATCAGGTGAGCCGGGCGGTGGGCGCGGCCGCGGTCCCCCAGGTGCCCGCCCGAGTTGCCGCCCACCTGCCCGCCTTTCGCCCCGCAGGCGGTGCGTGCTGGGCGCGCTGCAGGTGCTGCTGACGCTGCCGCTCCTCTTCCTGGGGCTGTCGCTGCTCTGGACGGTGCTGTTGGACCCCGGCGCCGTCTCCGCGTGGCTCTGGAGCCTCACCTCGGAGACGACGCTGCGCCGCCTGCGCTACACGCTGTCCCCGCTGCTGGAGCTGCGCGCTAACGGGCTTCTGCCAACCTAAGTGCAGCGCCCCGCGCCTGGCTCCAGGTGGACTCCAGGGCACCTGGCTTTATTTCTGGTGCACTCCTCTCCTGAGAGTGTAGACCAAGGTTGCCTAATAAACTCAAGGGATGAAGCTCGTGGGTTCGTCGTCTGTCTCCCATGTCATGTAGGAGCTTGACTGGCTTTTCAGCCTCCAAAGATTCCTTCCTTCCTTACAGCTCATGGATTTAGAGCCACTCCCCAGTATTGTAAACAGCATTTTTAGTTTTTCAGGATACATAATTTGCCGTATTGCCAGAAACTTGTACATAGCATTTGACACTTTGCCAATCTGACAAGCTGCCTTTTCAAGTATTGTGATTTGAAATTATTTCTACTATATTTGAATTTATTTCTACCATTTGTAACATGTTGATCCTGATTTTTCAATGCTCCCCTTTCCTTCTGTTTATTTGGGAAGTCACACTCTGTATTCTGGTATTCTTACTACTTGAGCTCAGCTCATCGCTGTCATCTTCCCCTAAACCGCCTTAAAGCATCTTAGGTCTTTTCCCTCTGATCACATGTGCTACTTTTTTTTTTCTTTTCTTTGGAGACGGAGTCTTGCTCTGCGCCCAGGATGGAGTGCAGTGGCATGATCTCGGCTCACTGCAAGCTCTGCCTCCCGGGTTCCAGCGATTCTCCTGCCTCAGCCTCCCAAGTAGCTGGGACTTCAGACGCCCGCCATCATGCCCGTTTAATTTTTTGTATTTTTTGTAGAGACAGAGTTTCACTGTGTTAGCCAGGATGGTCTCGATCTCCTGACCTCGTGATCCGCCCACCTTGGCCTCCCCAAAGTGCTGGGATTACAGGCATGAGCCACCGTGCCTGGCCAACATTTTCTCCAGATATCTTACTGAGTCCTAATTTCCACTGTGGCCAGAGAATACACTCTGCATGATTTTAATTCTATCTCATTTACTGAGACTTGTTTTGTGGCCCAGCACAAAGCTTGTAATGAACACTGAGAAGTGTATTGTTGCTGTTGACAGAGTGATTTTTTTTTTTGAGACGGAGTCTCGCTCTGTCGCCAGGCTGGAGTACAGTGGTGTGCAATCTCGGCTCACTCCAACCTCCACCTACTAGGTTCAAGTGATTGTCCTGCCTCAGCCTCCTGAGTAGCTGGGACTACAGATGCATTCCACCATGCCCAGCTAATTTTTGTATTTTTAGCAGAGACAGGGTTTCACCGTGTTGGCCAGGATGGTCTTGATCTCTTGACATTGTGATCCGCCTGGCTTGGCCTCCCAAAGCGCTGGGATTACAGGCATGAGCCACCGTGCCAGGCCAACAGAGTGTGTTCTAAATACCCAGCAGGTCCAGGTGAGTGACAGGCTTGTTCAGGGCTCCTGTGTTTACTTTCTTGTTGGTAGCGCCGTCAATTGCTTATTGTGAAATGCCCCTTCATAAACACCCATACACATTTTGATTATGGATGGCCAGTCTTTTTTCTATCTGTTATTTTCATCTTACATCTGTCTTCATATGTAAAGTGCTTTGGTTATAATCAGCACATAACTGGGTCTCACTTCTTCAATTCATGTTTGTAATCCCTGACTTTTAAATTGGGCTGGTAAGTCTATTATGTTTCTCCTTTTCTGCCTTCTTTTGGATTAGTATCTTTTAAAACTCCTTTTAACTTATACGCTGACTCATATTTTTTATTAAGACAGTCTCACTCTGTCATCCAGTGTGGAGTGCAATGGTGTGATCTTGGCTCACTGCAACCTCCACCTCCCGGGCTCAAGCGATCCACCTCAGCTTCCTGAGTAGCTGGGACTACGGGCTTGTGCCACCATGCCCGGATAATTGTTGTATTTTTTGTAGAGATGGGGTCTTGCCATGTTGCTCAGGCTGTTTTCAAACTGCTGGACTCCAGCAATCCACCCACCTCAGCCTCCGAAAGTGCTGGGATTACACATGTGAGCCACTGTGCCCAGCCTATATTTTTATTTGTACTGCTCAGGACTCAACTGTGCTTCCTAAAGCTGAATATTTGTGTTTTTCAACTCTGGAAATCCCATTAGAAGTTGATTGGGGCCGGGCACGGTGGCTCCAATCTCAGCACTTTGGGAGGCCGAGGCGAGCAGATCACCTGAAGCCAGGAGTTCAAGATCAGCCTGGCCAACATGACGAAACCCCTTCTCTTCTAAAAGTACAAAAATTAATTAGCTGGGTGTGGTGGCGTGCAGCTGAAATCCCAGCTACTTAGGAGGCTGAGGTAGGAGATTTGCTTGAACCTGGGAGACAGGTTGCAGTGAGCAGAGATCACGCCACTGCACTCCAGCCTGGGCGACAGAGTGAGACTCCGACTAAAAAAAAAAGAAAAAGTTGACTGGAGCTTTTCATTCAACTTTTTTTTTTTTTTTGACCCTGTTACCCAGGCTGGAGTGCAGTGGTACCATCATAGCTCACTGGAGTCTTGCTCTTCGGCTCCAGTGATCCTATCTTTCTTACCCTCCTGAGTAGCTGGGACTACAGGCATGCACCACCATGTGGCTAATTTTAAATTTTTTTGTAGAGACAGGGTCTTCCCGTGTTGCTTATGCTGGTGTTGAACTCCTGGACTCAAGCAATCCTCCTGCTTTGGCCTGCTGAAGTGCTGGGATTAGGAGCCACCCCGCTTGGCTTTCCTTTCCTTCACACTGCATGTTTGGTCATTTCACTATTCTGATCACTGATTTTCTCTTCTTACCTGCTGCTGTTTAGCTGATCTTTTGGAGTTTCTCTTTTGTTTCAGGTCTTTATTCCTATCTGCTTCAGATGCAGGGCCTCGGTGGGTGGGAGTAGATGCTTGCTGGGTCTAGTCACACAAAGATTTTGGAGTTCCAGAGCACAGCACTTGAAAACAAGCAAGAGGGAAAGACTAGAGCAGTGGGAAGATGCTGCGGAGAGCCACAGACAGGCCCCCACGGCAGCCCTGAGGGAGACAGTTTTGGAGCGGGCAGACAGCAGTCAGGACAAACACAATGTGTGTTTTGGTGCACCTATGCCGTGGTGAGATTATGGGAATCTCATGTTTGTTAAGCCACAACCCGTGCTCCTGGGCCCCAGCCTATGAGTGCAGCCAACACTGGGCCCCCCTCTCTAGGGGCAAATCCAGGAACTGCCCTTTGGCTGAAGGTGGACTTAGGACTTGACACAAAACCTCACAGATTCCAACACAGCACTATTTTGGGTTTTTATTTTGTTGATGTTGGTTAAATCTTATCTCTTTTTTTATACACAATACTTCATGTACCTATGAAATAAAACAGGTAGGGAATATGTCCAGTGCAAACAGAGGACTCACACCTGTGCATAGACAGCACCATCCACTGATTGTCGCTGCAGTCCACGGCGTTACTAAGCCTGCGCCACCCACGTGCTGCCCCAGGAGGCGCTACCAGGCTCTTCGGGCCACAGGCCTCTCCTCCACTGCATGTGGCGGCAGGGCGGGTAGGTCGCAGGGCTCCATGATTGTGGGGCAGCTTCAAGGGCACATGGGGCAGAGGCCCTCGAAGGTCCCCTCCTCAGTAGGGGATGTCATTCTGATAGTACTGGATCATGTTGTAGGTCCGGCTCCTGAAAGGCCAAGAAGAGTGAAGGGAGATTCGAGGAGCCAGCAGGGTCTGGGGTCCCTCCCCACAGGGAGCCCTACCTGTCCAATCAGCCCCTTATGGCTGCCCAGCACCTGAAGGTACAAATGTCCCAGGCGTGCCCTCCCCCACCCAGTGACCACATCTGCTCCAACCCGGGGGACTCTGAGGCCACCTCATGCTCCTCAGCCAAACCGCTTCCATCCGTGGGAGCCACTGCTCTGCCCCATGGGCCTCGGGCCCCTTGGCTCGTCCTGGCCAGATGCCTCCAAGGGGTCTGTACGCTCTCCTCGCACCTCTGGAGAGCCCCTTCTCGCCCTGCCCCAGCCCCTCTTGAGGTCCTGGCCGCCTGGCTTCTCTGCTTCCTATCAGCAAGAGCTCCTTCCGTGCCCAGCCTCCACAGTGCCCTTGTTAGGGTGCCGGACCCGGGCGCCACCTGGGGGCAGGTCTCAGCTTCCTCTCACGCTCCTCCGGCAGTTCCCCATGCAGATGGCCACACCTGGGCCCCTCCTCCTAGTCTGGATGTGGTCTGTCCCATGGCACAGCCTTGGGTTCCCACATGCCCCTCAGGGCCTTACCAACCCCACATGTTTAAGTGCTGCCCCCTTCGGGGATGGCTCACTTGCTGGGATCGCCATCCTCCCTTTGTTCAGGCCGGACCCCTCAAAGCCACCTCTGACTCCCACAGCAGGGAGCCTGTCAGCCCGGTGCTCTGCCTTCAGACCCTGAGCCAGCCCTCCCCAGGGCCCCCTGCACCCATCTCCTCCCACCACAGTAGTGACCAGCAGCCCGGCCTGCACCTCCAGTCACTGCCCACGAAGCAGCCCGAGGCAGGCGCAGGGAAGGAGTGGGCTCTGACTCCTCAGCCCTCCTGGGAGGAGGGAGGCCTGACACCACACTCAGTTCTAATACTCCTGGCCTTGTGTCCCTATTGCTCCTTCGGCCTCACGAGCCCTGCCCAGGTGGGCCCGGCCTCTGCCAAGTGTTCCCCTCGGCACACCACAGCCCCCTAAACCAGCACCCCACTGCTCCTCAAGAGTTCCTGTCAAGACTTGGGTCTTCATGAGAGGGGCGGCTTGGGGACAGCAGAATCCTCATCGCCTGGTGCAGGCAAGGCCCTGCAGGTGCCCAGTGGCCACCGAGGCAGTGGGAGAAGGCAGGGGGGCGGGGCACTCACCTGTTGCTGAGGAAGCAGCTCTGGATGACCTTCATGATGAAATTTGCAGCCTCGCGCTCAGTCATGTTGGGGCTAAACCTGTGCCTGGAGGAGAGGCTGTGTCAGGGCTGCCATGGGCAGGGCCGTGCTGGCTCCCTGGCCCAGTGGGAGGAGGGTCTTCCATGGGGACGGACTTCAGCTGAGAGCCATGCCCTGGAAATGTACCTTTGGGGTCCACATGTTGGAAGATGGGGTGCTGTGAAGGCCACGCCTGGCCTATCATGGGCCCTGTCCCCTTCCCAGCATCACCTGAGTGGTCCCATGGTATTAGGGGACTAAGCATTGGGGAGCTAAGCTACTGCAGCCCCAGACCTTAGGGTGGAGGTGGGTTGGGCGTAGCATCCTTGACATAAATAGAGGCCCCTGGGTGGGTCTCTGGTGTGGCCGGCACAAGCAGGGGCCCCTCACAGTTGTGGTCTAGGGGTAGAGCCTCACCTAGGAACCCTGTCTGCTCTGAGGTTCCAAGGAGATGACAACCACAGTGACAATTACACGAAAGATACCTATCTTGGATGGAGCCTCAGCTAATGGACAACTGTCCCCCAGATGGCCTGCGTGTCCACCAAGGAACCTACTTCAAGAGCTTGATTGTCTGGCCGCGAAAACAGGGCAGGCCCGTGTCCAACATGATAGTGACCAGGGAGACGACCACATCCATGTAGGGCCTGGGGAGAGACAGGAGGGAGCGGTGGGCTGAGGCCAGCCTAGGTGGTGGCCCTGCCTGTAGTCCTGTGGACTGGCTGATGCCAACAGCCTCAGGTGTGGGCTCCTGCCACCCACCTCGCCTGCCACATCTTGCACATCCCCGAGGCAACTTTCGATCTGCTGCACTCGGTCACCCGTACTGCCCAGGCAAGGGCTGCCCATACGCACTCTGGACAGGCTGAGTGTCCTGCCCTGTCCCCCACATAAGGCTGCCGGCCATGGCTTCTGCACCTGGGTGGGATGCAGACACGCTGACCTGCCTTTCTCTGCGGGGCAGTGGGGATGAACCCAGGTTGGACTGTGGCCTTGGCCAAGTGACCTGTATATGAAACTGGGACAAAGCCCATCTTTGGCACGTAGCCTGTGGGGTGGCAGGTGCTCAGGCTTTGGTGACAAGGTGGATGGGATGCCCAGAAAGGGAGAGCCCATGGCTGAAGGCGTGGGCAGGATTGTGGGGAAGGTGGTTGGAATTAGATGCCCAGAGCAAGAATTTATTGGCACAGGTGGGCAGACAGAGGTGACCAAAGGACAGGTGTAGGTCAGCAGGTGGCTGCTAGCACCTACCTCACTCTCTGGAACCCGATTCCCTTCATCCTAAAGGGGATCTCAGAACGTTCCACACACCCCCTCCGCCTCCACCCTGGCCCTCACCCAGGCTCACCGCACAGCCAGGTAGCCTGGACACACATCTCCATGAACCACTTGAAGGGTGTGGCCTCCATCTTGCCCCCCATGATCATCACCATCTCATCCGTCAGCTTGATGTCGGGTTCCCAGCCGAGATTGCCGCCCGGCGAGCTTTCAAACATGAAGCCAAAGTCTGCAAAACCCCAAAGAGCTGCCTGTGACTGGGTAGGAGCCAGGGCGGGCAAGGACGAGTGGTCTGTTTTGAGGAGTGGAAAAGGACTCTTCAACAGGAGCACCCCCTCCACCCCCAAAAGGCAGGTTGTGTTTTCTTGGAGACAGTGATGGGGTGGGTGGTGGGGCAGCAGGCAGAGAAAGAGAAGGGAGGAAGTGGAGGAAGGAGCCAAGCTGGGGCACTGAACCTGGACCAGCCCCACTCCGCCCAGCTCCAGCTTCTGACTCAGAGCAATGGCGGCTCTCGCCCCAGCTCCCTGGGGCCGGGGCCAGGCACCCTCTACAGCAGAACAGCTTGGTGGCCGACAGTTCGGACCTCAGAGCTGGACCCTGACACTCCTGGCAGGGTGGTCCTGGGCATTCTCCTCTCTGTGGGGTGGGGATCCCTATCCACCCCTGGGTGCCGGGGTGAAGGGAGAGGAGGGTGGCGCTGTGGCTGGCTGACCGATGTGGATGATATGGCCCTTCTTGTCCAGCATAATGTTGCCGTTGTGTCTGTCCTTGATCTGCAGCAGGAACAGCAGGAGGCTGTAGGCGGCCATGCTTCGGATGAAGTTGTAGCGGGCCTGTGCAGAGAGCGCCCTGGGCTCAAAAAGGCCCTGGGGCCTGTGGGCATTCTCCCTGGTCCCACACCCAGGATCCCTGGGCCTGTGGGCACTCTCCCTGGCTCTGTGCCCCCACTATGGAGGCAGAGCCCGAATCAGCAAGTCAGTCTTCGGCAGCAGGAGTGACGGGCTGTCTGGATGTGGGGGTGCAGGCACTTCCTCCCACACTCAGAACTTAACTTTCTTCTAAGGAGTCCAGCCCAGCTCTACATTCTTTTGACTCCCAAAGTGGCTTACAGATGCCCTGGTGTTTTTTTTTTTAAATGGAGTCTCGCTCTGTCGCCAGGCTGGAGTGCAGTGGCACGATCTTGGCTCACTGCAACCTCTGCCTCCTGGGTTCAAGAGATTCTCCTGCCTCAGCCTCCCGAGTAGCTGGGACTACAGGTGCCCACCACCATGCCCAGTTAATTTTTTTACTTTTAGTAGAGATGGGGTTTCACCATGTTGGTCAGGATGGTCTCGATCTCTTGACCTCATGATCTGCCCGCCTTGGCCTCCCAAAGTGCTGGCATTACAGGCGTGAGCACTGCGCCCGGCCAGGTGCCCTGGTTTTTTTTTTTTTTTTTTTTTTTTTTTCAGATGGAGTCTCACTCTGTTGCCCAGGCTGGAGTGCAGTGGTGCAATCTCGGCTCACAGCAACCTCTGCCTCCTGGGTTCAAGCGATTCTCCTGCCTCAGCTTCCTGAGTAGCTGGGACTGCAGGCGCGTGCCACTATGCCCAGCTAATTTTTGTATTTTTAGTAGAGACAGGGTTCACCATTTTGGCCAGGATGGTTTTGATCTCTTGACCTCGTGATCTGCCCGCCTCGGCCTCCCAAAGTGCTAGGATTACAGGCGTGAGCCACCGTGCCCAGCCCAGGTGCCCTGGTTTTAACCCTTAACAAAGGATGACTGAGGAGAGCAGGGTGTGGGTAGAGGCTGGGTATGGGTGGCTGGGGTAGGGTGGAGCGCACACGACTTTCCCCGGCCTGTGGCCACCCTGGCTACCTGCTGGAAGGCCAGAGTGGACTCATCCCCGTACTGGCGTGTGAAGTAGTCGTACATGCCGAAGTCTGTCTGGCGGCCCAGCTGGTCCCGGGAGGTGCAGTCGGGGATGCACTCGATCACCCCGCACTAGGAGGAAAGGCCAGTTCTGAGGCCCGCCGGGTGCGAGGTGCCCAGGGCTGCCCTACTGGCTCCACTCAGGGAACTTACCCCAGGGGCAGTGGCCACCACGCGGTAGGGAAAAACAAAGAGGTCCAGGCCGACCAGCTGGAAGATGTTCTTGAAGAGGTCGATGATCTGCAGGGCCAGCATGTCCTGGGAAGCCGGGAGGCGCAGGATGCGGTCAGTTGGCATCCTTGCACCCCAGTAGCTCTTCTGGCTCATGCAGGGCAAAAGCCGAGCACCCAGAGATGGAGTGAGGTGGGGAGACCACAGCCGAGCAAGAGTCTGGAAGGCCTTCCTTTCTGACCACCGGGGGCTGGACTCAGGCTGCTGGGACCACCAGGCCCTGGGCTGAGCATGAGGCTGAGCTGTCTGGTGGGGTGTGTGAGATAAGGCACCCAACCCCTGGACAGTTCCCTCAGGTGGGCACTGGCATGGCAGGGACAGTGGGAAAGGGGCTGGAAGGAGAGGCCTCTGGGTTTTGCAGAAGCCCTAATTTACCCCGTGGCACCTGAACCATGTAAGAGAAGGAAAAGATTCACATTTCTGCATATGAGATTGGACTCTGGTGGGCCTGGAGCCTTGGGGAGCAGCAAGCCCAGTCCCCAAGCCTACTTGAGGCCTGACCCTGCTTACCTGCCGGCAGTCGTCTCCCAGTTTGAAGATGGCTGCCTGCCAGGAGATCTTCTGGCCGTCGGCCTCCTGCGTGCTGCACTCATCCTCAGAGTCTGAGCGGCACCGCAGACCTGCCCGCAGGGAGAGAGGCCACTGTTAGCCTGTAGGCAGTGAGAAGCCCTCTGAGGGGGCCAGGGATGAGTCCTCTCACATGCCTGAAAGGAACCCCAGCAATCTTGGGGATCACTTCTTCAAAACCCCAAGGAGGCCAAGGAGGAGCCCAGCAGGGCCCAAGGAAAGCCTTGGAACAGCAGGTGGAATCCAGGGTTGGAGTCTAAGAACATTTAGGCTTAAATGGAACTAAAAACAGAGCCCCATTTCATCTGCAGTGAAGACCCAGGTGTGCCTGAGTCAGTGTTGGGTGCTGTGAGCTGGGGGGCAGGAGGAATGTGTCTGTACACTGGGGTCCTGGGAGGGCTCGGGGCCAGTGTGCAGACATGGCCATGGGAGGCAGGTCCCTGCAAGGGGTGGCAGCCCCCTCTCCACAGCTGGCCACACCGTCTGTACTGGGTTGAAGAGTGTCTCCCTAAAATTCATGTTCACCCCAAACCTTAGAATGTGTCCTTATTTGGAAACAGGGTCTTTGCAGATGTAATTAGGTTAAGACAAGGTCACAGTGGATTAGGACAGTCCCTAATCCAATGACTGATGTCCTTCAAGGGAGATCATCATGTGAAGAGGGAGGCGGAGATGGGAGTGGAGCATCTGCAGGCCAAGGTGAGCCCAGGACTGCTGGCAACACCACCAGAAGCTGAGGAGGCAAGGTGTGACCTGCCCAGAGCCTTCAGAGGGGGCACGACCCTGATGATGGACTCCAGCCTCCAGAACTGAGATCGTCCGTACGGTAGCCCTGGGAAACTAACACCCCCCAACAGCCCCGGGCCCCTCAGCCTCAGGAAGGAGCCTGCTGGAGCATGCCAGCTGACTCACGGCAGACAGACCTCTGGGGTGGCACATCTGTCAGTGCATTTGAGCTCCCTGCCATCCCCTAGTGAGGGGTCTGACTGAGGGCAGACAGATGGACAGACATCATCTTTTATGGAGAGCTGTACTAAATTTAACACATGCCAGAAGAAACTGGCATTAGCAAGGAAAAGCACTGAGCTCCCAAACAAAATCAGGGTTCTTTACTGACCTTCTTTTTCAAGTTCACTAACTCCACATCGCTTCACCTTGAACTTGGCCAGATATGGGGCTTTTGCAGCACTGAAAACAACAAAAAGAATGTGGCACCCATGATGCAGCCGAGAAAAACTTCACACGCGGACGCTGTGGAAGCGGGGGATGGGTAGGGTGAGGCGCTCACCTCTGCATCGGGGTCCCAGACTTGTAGTCGACGTCCAGCACAATGGCTTCGGGGTTGCTGGGCAGGGAGCAGCCTGTGCAGGGACAGAGGCAGTCACAGGGAGTGCATGTGTCACCACAGGTGAGCCAGAGTCAGTTTCCAACACGGATGTTACGTGCGTGTCCACCCTGCAGGCACACCCCACCCCTGTGGAGGGGCCTCTGGTCCTTGTCCAGGGCACCACTAACTTATTATTCTGTGGCCGCTAAGGGTCCGTCCTCCTTGACTCTTCGACTCTTCCAGCCATCGACCAAATGAGTCTGCACCTTCTGGGAAATGCTCTTCCTAGAGGAGCACTGAGCCCCATCCTCACGGATACAGCCCTACTGCTTCTGGGGGTGTGTGTGAGGCCTGTCCTGCCTCCACCTGCCTGAGCAACCCTCTGAACAGCCCTCCATTCTTGGAGTCCCTGTTTTTTTTTTTTTTTTTTTTTTTTTGGATAGAGTCTCACTCTATCACCCAGGCTGGAGTGCAGTGGTGCGATCTTGGCTCACTGCAACCTCCGCCTCCCAGGTTCAAGCAATTCTTCTGCCTCAGCCTCCTGAGTAGCTGGGATTATAGGTGCCTGCCACCATGCCTGGCTAATTTTTATATTTTTAGTAGAGATGGAGTTTCGCCATGTTGGCCAGGCTGGTCTCAAACTCCTGACCTCAAGCGATCCACCCGTCTTGGTCTCCCAAGTGCTGGGATTACAGGTGTGAGCCACCACGCCCGGCCTTCCTTACCCATTTGAACACTACTCTCTCAAAAGCCTTACTTAAATGTCACTATGTCCATGAACTGTCCTTGGTTCTCCCAGCCTTTAGGACTTTTGTCTAACACGTTTCTTTTTTTCTTTTTCTTTTTGAGACGGAGTCCTACTCTGTCGCCCAGGCTGGAGTGCAGTGGCTCGGTCTCAGCTCACTGCAACCTACGCCTCCCAGGTTCAAGCGATTCTCCTGCCTCAGCCTCCCGAGTAGCTGGAATTACAGGCGCCCGCCACCGCGCCTGGCTAATTTGTGTACTTTTAGTTGAGATGGGGTTTCACCAAGTTGGCCAGGCTGGTCTGGAACTCCTTACCTCAGGTGATCCACCCGCCTTGGCCTCCCAAAGTGCTGGGATTAAGGCATGAGCCACCGTGCCAGGCCAACATTGTTTCTTTATGCTTATTTTATATCTCTGTGAGTTCAAGCTTCTTCAGCTCAGGGACCATGTCTTACTCATCTTTTTAACAGCCACAATACCCAATGTCATGCCTTTTCTTTTCTTGTTTTTGCTTTTTTGAGACAGAGTCTCACTCTGTCACCCAGGCTGGAGTTCAGTGGTGCAATCTCGGCTCACTGCAACCTCCACCTCCTGGGTTCAAGTGATTCTTGTTCTCAGCCTCCCAAGTAGCTGGGATTACAGGCACGCGTCACCATGCCTGGTTAATTTTTTTTTTTGAGACCGAGTGTCGCACTGTCATCCAGGCTGGAGCGCAGTGGCGCAATCTTGGCTCACTGCAAGCTCTGCCTCCCGGGTTCACGCCATTCTCCTGCCTCAGCCTCTCGAGTAGCTGGGACTACAGGCGCCCGCCACCACACCTGGCTGATTTTTTGTATTTTTGGTAGAGACGGGGCTTCACCGTGTTAGCCAGGATGGTCTTGATCTCCTGACCTCAGGTGATCCACCTGCCTTGACCTCCCAAAGTGCTGGGATTACAGGCATGAGCCACCGCGCCCGGCCCAGGCTCCCCTTTCTCAGTGAGTGCTCAGTAAATGTGTGAAATAAGAGGACAAGGGAAAGCCTGTTTCTGGCCAAGGAACTGCCAGTCCCCAAGGGGGATGTGTGCTCCTTGAGCCCTGAGAGGTGGGCTTTGAGGGGAGCCAAGCTTGGCCTTGCTGTGGGGTACAGGGAGAGGGGGGCATGCCATCTCCTCCTCTTCCTCACCTGCCCTTCTGCCTGCTCCAGGCTGTGGCTCACACTCAGGCCCCTCTGTGCTCTCCTGCTAGAGCCCTGCTGGCTTCCCTGACCTCTGGGGCAAGACTCAGCCAACACAATCTAGAGCCAGGGGCTGGGGACTTCTGTGCATGCCCCCTGCAGTACAATGCTTCCAGCTCTTTTTGCCCCTCCCCAGCAGTTGTGGCCTTCCCGATGCGGGAACAAAGGCCCTGCATACATGTCCTGCCCTCTCTGGGAAGCCGTGCTGTTGTATGAGCTCAACACAACGTGTTGGGAAGAAATGGTTAAACCGGGGTCCTGCAGGGCACTCAAGGACCAGCCGCTGTGAACATCTGCACGGGACAGACAGAGTTTGGAAGACAAGTTTGTGCCAATAGTTAGAAATGCAGAGAGAGGCCGGGCACAGTGGCTCATGCCTGTAATCCTAGCACTTTGGGAGGCCGAGGCGAGAGGATCACAAGGTCAGGAGATTGAGGCCATCCTGGCTAACACGGTGAAACCCTGACTCTACTAAAAATACAAAAAAATTAGCCGGGTGTGGTGGCGGGCGCCTGTAGTCCCAGCTACTCGGGAGGCTGAGGCGACAGAGCAAGACTCCATCGCAAAAAAAAAAAAAAGAAATGGAGAGAGAGCTGCCCAGTGAAGTCTGGATTTCCATCTTCTCTTGAAAAGCTCGGCTTGAATTCCCATGTGGCCACAGCCACAGGCACCCAGGAGCGACTTCCCATGGAGGCGGTGAGGGGGTGGTGCTGATGGGTCCCAGCACACCTGAGCCCTCCCACACTGGGCCCGCCATCCCCTCGTCTGTGTGACCTGCTCCTGTAATGCTGGAGCCTAGGAACCCTCTTCTAGAGTAACAGCTACTGAGGTCAGTGTGAGCCTCCAGAAAAACAGCAGGCAGCAAGGAAGATGAAGGGCACCCACTGACGAGCAGCTCCCGCTCACTAGCGGCAGATTTTGGGGAGGGGCTGGGGTCCTGGGGCACCAGGCACCGTGGGCCCAAGCAGGTGTGGGGCTGGCCAAGCCACTGTGTCCACATCCTGTAGTGCCTGGAGAGGGCAGCAGCCTTCACGCCCCGCCGCCCGCCTGCAGGAAGAGGTTGGTCTGAGCCTCCAGAAGCCACCTGCTCACCTGGCTGCACCGTCACTTCAGACAGGGCCGACAGACAAGCCTTCTTTCTCTCGTCGCCTTTAGGGTAGGGCCTGAGAAACAGGAAAGAAATTCTTGCTTTGTCTCCTGGAGGAACTGGCTGCTGGGGGACAGCCCAGGGCCCCTCCTGCCTGGATTGCCCTCTCTGTCCCTCTCTTCCCGGCTCTAGCTGCTCCTAGCGCAGCCAGGCACCACTGGCAGCGATTCTTGCCCTGCATTCCTCATGGAGAAACCCCGACAGCCCCGGAAGGGCTGTTTTCTGGCAGGCTCTGCCCCTGCTGTGGGCGGGGGTGTGTGGCTGGGGGTGGTGGGGGTAATAATGCCTGCCACCTGCTGCCACCCAGGAAACGCTAGCTCCCGTCCTTCATCTCTTGGGTTAGAAGCTGCCAGCACTGCTATTCTCAGCACCCAGCCCAGAAAAGGGCCTCAAAGTGACCAAGGTCAGAGCAGTGTAAGCAATGGAGACAGCCCAGCCAGCGTGCCCAGCATTGATGACTCCAGGGTTTCATCCCTTATGAATGCACAAAGCCACCAACATCCAAGGATGGTGTCAGGTCCACATGAATGGAAGGTCTAGGAAAACGATGACAGGAGCTGCAAAGGCAGTCTGGTTTTCCTGACACCAAGAGGATCGATCCTTCAGAGTGTGGAGAGGGCAGGGTGACCTCAAATTGTGGAGCCATGTGCTAAATTCCACAAATCTCAGGAATGAAACTAAGCTGTGTTTCCTGAAACTGGCGTGGCCGTGCATTCTGCCATACCTTCAAGAGCCCTGACTCACCCCAAGCAGTGCTTCCCCACCCACCCTGGCTGTCCATCAGAACCACCAGCAGCCCCGCTGCTAGAGACTCTCATTCATCTGGTTGGGGCCACGCACGGGTATTTTTAAAGCTTCCCAGGCAATTCTGTTAAGCTGCAGGGACTGGAACAAGATTCCAGAAGGTGGTTTCCGAAGCACTGCACTTACTTGATGACAGCCGACACGTTGGTGATCTTGTTAAAGAAATCAAACCCCCGCTGGTAAAAGTCCTTCGCTGGGCCCGACAAGGAGCCTGTGTTCTCCTCTACTAACTGCTCCAGGAGGTCGCCGATGTCAGCTGCCAAGGAAACAAAGAGGCTGAGTCTCTGTGGCTGTGGCAGAGGCCCCTCAGGAATACCAGCCCTGTTTCCCAGGCCCCAGACTGGCGGTGCCCAGAGTATGCTCTGCAGGCTTGGTGAGACCATAACAGCTGCCGTGTGCCCCTTTTGCTGTGTTGACACAGCCGACACTGCTGGGAAGCTAAGCTGGTGCCTAAGCGGAGCTCAAGGTAGGGGCCAAGCGCACAAGTGGACGTGGAATCCTCACTGCTGCACACGCTACACACGCAGGAAGAAAAAAGCCCGTGTCATTTATGAATGTCACAGGGCATAGAATCCTCACTGCTGCACACGCAGGGAGAAAAGAGCCCGTGTCATTTATGAATGTCACAGGTGAAGCAATGAAAACTAATTCTTATTAAACTCTACCCTGAATACATGTCTTTTTTTTTTTTTTAATAGAGGCACACAGTGGGCGGGGCTCTATATTAAATAGTGCCTCTCACTATTCAAATCCCAGGCTGAATTTAAATTCCTGGGCTCAAGAGATCCTCCTGTCTCAGTCACCTGAGTTGCTGGGACTACAGCTAGTAGGTGGGACTACAGGTGCGCATCACCACATCTGGCTTTTAAAGTATCCTTTGTGATGAAACGGGATGTGCACGAAGCACTCTTGCCGCATCTAAGGCAGGCGCTGTCCTAAGAAGCACCTGGAGCTTGTCTGATTTTGGAGCCTGGACTAACCTTTTTCACAGACCTTTGTTTTTACTTGAAGAAATGACTGACAGACAACATATAGCTATTCAGACTTAGGGATGTGGCAGATGTTTTCCTGAAAATGAACAAAAAATAAATCTTCCACTCAAAGGAACTGAAACATTTTTTTGGAAAACTTGGATCTGCTGCTGTGAGCTCAATAGCTTCCCTTAAAAACTCTTTCTGGGCCGGGCGCGGTGGCTCATGCCTGTAATCTCAGCACTTCAGGAGGCTGAGGCGGGCGGATCAGAAGGTCTCAGCCAGGCAATGTGGCCCACACCTGTAATCCCAGCACTTTAGGAGGCCGAGGCGGGCGGATCAGAAGGTCTCAGCCAGGCAATGTGGCCCACACCTGTAATCCCAGCACTTTAGGAGGCTGAGGCGGGCGGATCAGAAGGTCAGGAGTTTGAGACCAGCCTGGCCAACATGGTGAAGCCCCGTCTCTACTAAAAAATAAAAAAATTGGCCGGGCACGGTGGCTCATGCCTGTAATCCTGGCAATTTGGGAGGCTGAGGTGGGCGGATCACGAGGTCAGGAGATTGAGACCATCCTGGCTAACACAGTGAAACCCCATCTCTACTAAAAATACAAAAAATTAGCCGGGTGTGGTAGCGAGCGCCTGTAGTCTCAGCTACTCGGGAGGCTGAAGCAGGAGAATGGTGTGAACCCGGGAGGCGGAGCTTGCAGTGAGCGGAGACTGCACCACTGCATTCCAGCCTGGGCGACAGAGCGAGACTCCGTCTCAAAAAAAAAAAAATTTAAAAAAAAGTCCGGGTGCGGTGGCTCACGCCTGTAATACCAGCACTTTGGGAGGCCAAGGCGGGCGGATCACGAGGTCAGGAGGTCGAGACCATCCTGGCTAACACGGTGAAACCCCGTCTCTACTAAAAAAATACAAAAAATTAGGCGGGCGTGGTGGCGGGCGCCTGTAGTCCCAGCTACTTGGGAGGCTGAGGCAGGAGAATGGCATGTACCCGGGAGGCAGAGCTTGCAGTGAGCCGAGATTGTGCCACTGCACTCCAGCCTGGGCGACAGATCAAGACTCTGTCTCAAAAAAAAAAAAATTAAATTAAAAAATAAATAAATAAATAAAATAAAAAAATTAGCCAGGCATGGTGGCGAGCACCTGTAATTCCAGCTACTCAGGAGGCTGAGGCAGGAGAATTGCTTGAACCCAGGAGGCAGAGGTTGCAGTGAGCCAAGATTGCGCTACTGCACTCCAGCCTGGGCGACAGAGTGAGACTGTCTCTCAAAAAAAAAAAGAAAGCCCTCTCTCGTCTCTCAGTCTGTGCTTAGTAATCAGCTAGGCGCTGAGAGAACAGGGCATGGCCTCCTTACAGAGGTTTGCTGCTTCTTTGCGTGGCATGTTTTCATTTGGCATTCCCTTCCCTGGAATGCTTTGCCCTGTCCGCCCTGCATGCCGGTGCAGCCTTTCAGACTCAGCTCAACTGTCTCTTTTCCAGAAAACCATCTCTGATTCCCCAACTCTGGATGGGCCAAGTGTCTGTACCGGAGGAGTGCTCCCACAGTTCCCTCAAATTGAAATCACCTGTCCATTTGACTGCCTCCTACAAGACAACAACAGACCATACCCCAGTCATGTAGGTGTGCACCAGCCTCAGCCCAATCCTGGGCCGTCAGCTGCTCAGAGGGGTGTGTGAACGCAGCTGGTGCCAGTGCAGGGAAAGTGCGGTGAGTGGAGTCTGCTCAGCTGCCTCGGGTGCGTGTTTATGCTTCTCAGCTCAGGCCAGAGGAGAAGCAGAGCCAGGCATGCACCGGCCTCCAATGACCGTGCAACACAGTCAAGGCCAGGGCTCAGGGGGGTCTAACTGCTTTTCCGTCCCTACCTCTGGCACCCTCAGGGCTGCCCACGTTGCACCCCTGTCCTGCCTGCCTCCACCATGAGCAGCTGCACTGTTGAGGGTTACCTGGGGGAACAAGCTGGCTGGCGGTCAGGTACTTCTTATCTGAGAACATGGCGGTCCAAAATTTAATCATGATGCTTATGTCTTCACGCAGCCGCTTCTCTCCTTGAGTAGGAAACTTTGGGGGACAGCTTCAAACAACCATAAGAGGACAACGGCTGAGTGTCTGGAGTCAGGGACTAGAGGCCAGTCACACAAAGCAGTGAGAAGGTGATGCAGACAATTTCTTAATGACAAAAGGTCAGCCCAAAGCCAGTCATTAGCAAGGATGATCTGGCCCATTCCCATGGGAAGGTGTGGTGGCTCGGGAGCCCTCTTATGCCCTCCTCCCTCACTGCCCACAGCAGCCCCTACAGCTTTCCACTGAAGCTGCACTTGTGGCAGATCAGGGCAAGGAAGCTGCACTCACACAACAGCACAGCCTATGGGTGCAGAGCCCCAGGCAGTGGGTGTTTGCAATTCTTCGTGCAATAAGCCTTCACATTAACAGGGAAATTAAATGGACGCACTTAATCTCCTAAATCAGTTGAACTGAGGGAAAATTTGCCTACATCTCGCTGGGAGGCTAGCTCTAAGTACACGGGACACATGCACAGGGCTGAAAGGTATTTAAATCCACAGGGCCAGGGATACTGAAGGAGGAGGTTGGTGAGCACAACTGGGCAACTGTGTATTCCTGTGAGTGACTTCCTGGGGGTCTGGGGCGATGGAGCACTTGGAGGGGCTGGGCCGTCCCTGGATGCTGCACAGCACATCTTGGGGGAGTACCTGAAGTAGTCAAAGGCAGTGGAGTAGATCTTCTCGCGAAGCACATTGCGGATGGTTGCATTTGGAACCACATCGGCATGCAGGAGGGACAGCCCCAGGGTCAGCAGCCTGTGAGGGAGCCCCGGACCCGGTCAGAGCAGGAGCCTGGCCTGGGGCCAAGTTCACCTTATGGACTCTCTTCCCTGCCCTTCCAGGAGCAGCTCACTGAAATGTGTTCCCCGTCTACAGAAGTACCGTGATACACAGACGCCCCATGACACACTGTACACACCAGGGGCCCTGTGCTCCCCAGGAAGAGGGCCCTCACTTGAAGCGGGGCCCGATGGCCGCCACGTGCCGGTTCATGCTCCCCTTGGCCCTGCCGATGTTCAGGGACATGGAGCGCTGCAGCAGGCTGGAGAAGATCTCCACTTGGTCAGAGCTGCAGTACTTGGCGATCTCAAACCGCTGCACCAGGAACTGAGCGAAAAGAGGAAGACGCTGTGGTGGTGGGGCTGAGCCGGGCTAACCCTGGGGCCGGCAGAGACAGCTGAGGAGGGGTTCTGGGCTGACTGGCCGAGCTTGCCGAAGGCCTTGGGCTCGGCTACCCCCACCCCAGGAACAGTCCTGGCCCCCCAGGTGGAGCACCCCACAGCCTTCGTGGGGGAACAGGCACGTACGTCGATCCAGATGTAGTGGGGGGTCACTTCGGGGGGACAGGGTTTGGGTTGACTTGCTTCCGAGGCAGCCAGGGGGTCTGCTTCCTTTATCTCAGCAGAAAACAGGCCAAATTTCTGCTCCACTGTCATGTGCCAGCCCCTGCCATCTCCCGCATGAACTACAGGTACAGAAGGAATGTTAGCTCCTCTGTGAAACACAAAAAGGGGCTACTGTCAAGTTTTCTCTAATTAAAAAAAGGAACACGTGCTCACTGAATAAGATTTAGAAACCAAGAAAAGTATGAAGAAAAAATTGAAGATCGCCTATAGTCCCACATCCCAGGGTCATCTGTGTCAGTGCTTGGTGTATTTTCTCCAGCCTCTCGAGGCTGCATTCTGTTCAACCCGGTTCACCGTGTGGACATTGCAGGTGTGAGGTGGCAGCACCCGGGATGTACCTGATGCCCTGACAGGCACTGGGTAGGTGACTCTTCTCTATAACCCTGATAACCCTCTGTGGCTGTGAGCGGGAAGACCCCTCTGTGGGCTGCTGAGCTGGCAAGGGCAGAAGAGGGTTCTGGATCCAGGGCCTGGCTCCTCCTCTCCACCCCACACAGACCCTACCCGATACCTTCATCCCGCTAACCAGATTAGGAAGGCCCATGGAGCCGAGGCGAGCCTGCAGCCACCATGGCCAGGCCTGGGAGCCCAGGGTCAGGCTGCTCCCATGGCCCAGTCATGCTCAGCCAGGTCCCCATTCCGTGGGGGGGCATGAGGGGTGCCCAGAGGGAGCAGCATGGTGCCCGGGAGACACCTGGGTGCTGCAGAGAGTAAGAGGTGCAGCTCACACATGGAAAGCCCCCATGATTTCTGGGTGTTTTTACAAGGAGACCAACAAACAGCATTTGGCATCTGGCCAAAGAGGATTCTATCCCTCTGTTGTCCCAGCAGCACCAGCTTCTACAAGGGCTCCAAGCGCCTGTGCAGAGGTGGCAACGAGGCCTAATGAGTAGAACACACACCGCGGCTCCCTCCCCAGTACCATCCCCTCCCTTCTTCCTCATGAGGTGGATCAGGGTGGCCACGTGGCCAGTCACAGGGCTCTCAGCCAGGGTCCCTGCTGGCTGAGGCAGCCACTGTTCTCCCCGGCCACTCTAATGAGCCAGGGAGAGTGAACTGGGCAAGGCCCTGGGAACACATGCCAGGGTGAGCTTCATAAGGTCAAGGCAGCTGGCCTCTGCCCTTTGCACTCTGTCCTTGTCTTCCTTCCTGCTGGGAGGCACAGAAGCCATCTGGAGGCTGTGAGGGTGGAGACAAAGGCCACATAAGCCCAGGATGGCCAGGAGCCGACGGGAGCCCGGGGCGGGGCTCTGTCTGCTGCTTCCCTCTAATCTGCCCATGGGGTGAGGACTCCTGGGGGACGAGGCACTACAGCCTGCTTTCTGTTTCCTGCAGACTGATTAGTCTTATGGAAGCAGACAAGGGAGCAAAAAAATGGCGGTGGGGGGGACCCCAGAACTGCCACGGACAAGAAGCCATCGAAGAAACACACTCCCATCTATTTGTTAAACAACCACATCCTGGTGGCTGCCTCTGTGCCAGGGCCTCGTGGACTCTGGGCATGGTGCTCTGAATGAAGACAAACATGACCACACAGTCTATGGTGGGGACCACAGACAACAAGAAATAAGCTACACACACTGAGAAACACTAAGAAACAGCAGTGCGAGTGAGCGTGTGGCCAGGTGGCCAGGGAGAGCCCTGGCAAGGAGGGGACATCTGAGATGAGCCCTGGAGGAGACGCAGGAGTGAGGCGCAAGGCATGGCCATCTGAGAAGAGGGAATGCATGACGCAGCCTATGGTGGGAGCAGCCCAGGAGGGCAGCTTCAAAAGTGAAACTGATGGGATGTGCTGAGAATCATCCGTGGGAAGTGCAAGCAGGACCCCAGCATGGCCACAGCACAGCAAGCGAGGGGAAGAGAGAGGATGGAAGTCAGGTGGGAAGGGGGCTTGCAGGTCACAGAAACAAGCCCACCTTCGAGTCTGTAGGGGGGCTCTGATTCCCCCCTGGCTTGCGCCAACCGCATGTGGAGAAGGGGAAGATGCCTGGGGTTGGGGAGCAGGAGGCCAGGCCAGGGGGCAGCAGCTGGGATGCTGGGACTTGTCAGATCCTGGATAAACCTCAAAGGTGAAGGTGATGGGATGTGCTGAGAGTCATCAGTGGGATGTGCATAAGAGGGAGTCAAAGATGTCTGAGCAGAGAGAAGGACCTCGCTGGCATCTACAGTGAAGGGAGGGACCTCGCTGGCATCTATAGTGAAGGGAAGGGTCACGCTGGCATCTACAGTAAAGGGAGGGACCTAGCTGGCATCTAGTGACGGGAGGGACCTCGCTCACATCTACAGTAAAGGGAGGGGCCACACTGGCATCTACAGTAAAGGGAGGGGCCCCACTGGCATCAACAGTGAAGGGAAGAACCACCCTGGCATCAACAGTGATGGCGGATGGGCGACCAGCGCAGCGGTGTCTGGAGCTGAGGTTGGACCCATTAGTTGGGGCTGCTAATCAGTTCACCATGCAGGCCATGGGCCAAGCCACTGAAGGGATCCACCTGGACTAGGAGTGACTGGGCTGGGTAAGCAGTGGAGCTGGCCAGAGTAGCCAGGCAGGGAGGAGGAGCCCTGGGGCATGCCAGTACTGAGAAGGCCCTGAGCTCAAGAAGGTCCCTTTATTCTGGAGGATGAAAGGGCTACAAAAATTACAAAGGCCTTAAGTCCCTGGGAAAAGCAGTTAGGCTCCCAAAACAGCTGCTTTCAAGACCCAGAACTCTGAAGGAGGCTGTGAGCAGCTTTCCCTGAGCTGATCTGTCTTCCTACCATCTGGGACCTGCTAGTGATATCTGTACTCCAACTGCCCTGCCCCCAGGGGTCAACCAACCCACTCCTATCTGAGGACCCACTCCTATCTGAGGACCAGACAGAGAGGCCAGAGGTTCAAGGGCACCTGAACTAAGGAAGTGGAGAGGAGAGAGACAGATCTGGGCTCCAGAGCCCCAGGTACAATGTGAGGGCTGACACGTGGTCAGGAGCACCCCCAGTGCCCTGTGAAATGGGAACAGCTACAGCCCCTACTCTTTTTCTTTTTTTTTTGAGACGGAGTTTCGCTCTTGTTGCCCAGGCTGGAGTGCAATGGTGCGATCTTGGCTCACCGCAACCTCCGCCTCCTGGGTTCAAGCGATTCTCCTGCCTCAGCCTCCTAAGTAGCTGGGATTACAGGCACATGCCACCACACCCGGCTAATTTTGTATATTTAGTAGAGACAGGGTTTCTCCATATTGGTCAGGCTGGTCTCGATCTCCCGACCTCAGGTGACCCACCCGCCTCTGCCTCCCAAAGTGCTGGGATTACAGGCGTGAGCCACTGCGCCTGGCTGAGCAGCCCCTACTCTTAAGGCCCACCGAGGTCTGAGGCTGAAGCAGCATATGGAAAGGAATCCTGACCATAGCAGCACTGTGTCCTGACAGTCACAATTTGTGGTGAAACCAGGGCTTTCTGGTGACCCCAGAAAACATCAGTGCCGGCTCTGCCAGCACCCAGACACCTGGTACCCTGAGACTGGCAAGGGGACTGGAAGAGGGCAGTGGCCTCCAGGCTCCCTCCACACTGCCCAGTGCTGTGTGCACACAAAGGACCACGGGTCAGACAGATAGAGGCCGAGCTGTGGGGCTGTGTGCCACCCAGAAACTCCGGGGAAAGGGGCCAGTGGCGGTCCCCCCTCCCCTGCGCCTCACCAGAGTGCCAAGGGCCCAGACACCATGTGAGCAGCAGCCAGCGGGGCGGGGGGGCCTCCTGAGCGCGTGGCCTTCCTGGGGGTGCATCAATGCCTGGTCACCTGGGGAAGAGAAGACGAACACAGTCACCCAGACAGCCATCAGCGAAGAAGGGAGGGAAGGGCGATGAAGGGACGCACCTGGGGGTCTCTGGCTGGGGCACCAGGGGCAGCCCAGCAGGAGACTGTGGCCACAGAGCCTGGTAGTTGGATCTGACAGCCAGGAAGAGTAAGGACCAGCGAACAGGTCTAGGGAGTTCGGTGGGTGCAATGCCTGCCCCTCTAACACACACAGGAGATTAAGGACACCCAGGGGCCACCTAGGCCAGGGGGCGCTGGTGGCAGACACACAATTCTTGGCCTGCGGGTGTGGTAGCAGGAGGCCTGGGCAGGGCCCTTCCCAAGCTGGCCACATTTACATAACAAAAGGTCAAAATTGGAGCCACTTGTGCAAGGGCTATTTATAAGAACCAGTCTCAACCGCTTTTGGCTCCCCCGTTCCTTCCCTTCCTGATCTGCTCTCACCGCCTCCCTGCCCAGAGGGCCCAGCCCCCTAGCCCGCTTGGCCTGACCACATGGCCTTCCCTCTCCAGAGGTTTCACTGCCTAAGGGCTCACCCAAGCTGCAGGCCTGGGCTTTCAATACCGGCCCACCAAAGCCTTGGGCAGCTGCCGCCAGGAAACGAGGGGTTCCCTCCCACCCCCAGAGCTCTGGGTCCTGCAGGAGGGGGGATCCTGAGGTGGTGGGTCCTTGCACCCCACACCTGCCAGCCTGGGCCCCCACGGAATAGAGCCGGGGTCGGGGAAGGGGCGTGCAGCGGCCCGTCCCCGTTTCCCCTTCCCCCACTCCACCCCCAGGGCCAGGGAGGCTCAGCAGGTCCCTCAGGAATGTGACCAGACCCGGGGTGCCGGCCCAGAGCTGGGAGGCCTAGGCTGCAGCTGGCCAGCTGTCTCTCCAGCCCCTAGTGCAGCTCCCCTCTGGGTGGGGGGTGTGAGGGGAGGGGGTGCATGGCTGGTCCAGGACCCCACCAAAGGCCCAGAGGGCAGCAGAATCAGCTCTGTTGGTAGGAAGCCCAAGGGCGTCCACAGTTAGCAAGGGTTGGGCCCAGTGGGCTAATGCTGGGATGAGGCCAGTAGGGCAGGGGCCACTGAAACACTGGCGGGAGCAGTCGAAAAACTGGGTAGAGGGTCTCGGTGGCACACTGGAGGCAATCAGATACCACCATCCAGCCCTGTGCCACTTCATCTGCTCCCCAACCACTGCCCCTCAGGACCCAGTCAACCATGGGTAGAGCGCATGCCAAACTCTGCAGCCAGGGGTCACCTGACCTTGCCAGAGGCCAGGCCAGCTACTGGATGCCGCGCAGGGAGTGGGTGGCAGAATAGGACTGGGGGGCACCTGAGTGCCATGGGGGTGGGAACACCCTCCGTCAGTGCCCACTGCCTGGCCCTGTCGGGCACTTTACAAGCCCAAGGCTAGCACTAGGTCTCCCCACCAAGGAAGGATGGCCCCAGGCTGGGTCAGCTGTGATGTAGAACAGGGCAGGGCTCCTCCCTGAACCCTCCACTTGAGTTAGGGGGTGTCAGAGCCACCTGCAGAAAGTTCACAGCAAGCACAATGCCACCATGCGTGCCATCCACACCAGCTGGGCCAAGTCTGGGCCACATCTAGGCCGCCACTGTGTCTGCGAGCAGCAATGCAGCCTCACCCCATGGCGGGGCAGGGGGGTGGCACACGCCATCCTGCTGCGAAACGCCTACTAAGCACTGCTCCTTCCTTCTCAGCCACAGAGCTCTGCCCTACCCGCTCACCGCTGGACATGAAACAGCAAGTGCCTATCCTGGAGGGCTCCGCCTGGGGAGTGCCAGGTAACTAGAAACACGGCTCTGGGTGCTGGCCCGGATGCTGGTGCTCAGCCCTGGAAGCAGCTGACTGCAGGCTGCGATGAGAATGCCACCTAGCACCCAGCAGCCCCTGGCAGCAGGCCCGGGCAGCACGCCTATCAGCCCCGAGGCTAGCACGCCCAGCCCTGGCCTACTGCCCATCCAGAAACGCTGGCTCCCAGGACGCCCAGGATCTGAGGCAGTAGGGCAGCAGGCCTGGGCTATCGGGGCCAGCTGGGCATTCGCCTAAGGCTGTGACCCATCCCCTCCCTAGGACAGAGCCTTCAGGGGTCCAGGGGAGAGGCAAGAAGGGTAGCACAGAAACTATCTCCCAAGTTAGGATCCCTCAGCTCCAGGATTCCCCCTGTAGGTGGACTGGCCCCAGCTGGGAAGGACAAGAGCCCCAGCAGCTGGAGGGAGGGCCAGCTCTCTCTGCGGAATCCTGAAGGTCTGCAGGAAGGAACACAAAGCCTCGGGGTTACCTTCCCAGGCCATCTGTTAGAGCAGACACACGGCCCTGTTTACGGAACAGCCAACATGCCAACTGCTCTCCTTTCCTTCCCCTCCCAGTCCCCGCCACAAAAAAGCCAGAAAGCCATGTCCCCAGACACTGAGGGCAGGCCCAGGGCCCAGGCAGGTGCTAGCGGGCTGGAACAGCACTCAGATACTCCAGCCTCTCAAGCCACTGGTGGCACATGCCCAAGCTCTGTAGAACTGGGCCAGCCACAGCAGCCCCACCCCCGCTCTGTTCGCCCTCAAAGAACTTACAGTAAGGCAGCTGCTCTGCAAGGCCCAGTCAGAGCCTACCCGGCCCAGCAAGTCCATTCTGTGGCAAGAAAAACCTTGGGGACACACATACCCAACTGCTAAGTAAGATTATCTCTGGGGAGCGGGATTACAGAAAAACCATAGTATCTGTATATTATGTTCATTTCTGTAATACTCAACATTTTAAAAAGTATTACCTTTTTTTTTTTTTTGATGGAATCTCATTCTGTCCCCCAGGCTGGAGTGCCATGGCGATCTGGGCTCACTGCAAACTCTGCCTCCCAGGTTCATGCCATTCTCCTGCCTCAGTCTCCCGAGTAGCTGGGACTACAGCCGCCTGCCACCACGCCCGGCTAATTTTTTGTATTTTTAGTAGAGACGGGGTTTCACCGTGTTAGCCAGGATGGTCTCGACCTCCTGACCTTGTGATCCGCCTGCCTCAGCCTCCCAAAGTGCTGGGATTACAGGTGTGAGCCACCGTGCCCAGCCAAAAGTATTACTTTTAAAACCCTAAAAATACAAAGGGCAGAAATGATGCAGAGACATGGATGAACCTCACAGTCGTGGCACTGAGTGGAAGAAGACTTTTGCGAGAGTACAGACTGCATGACTCCATTTACATCAAGTTCTAGAATAGGCAAAACGGACTGAGGGTAAAAACCAGAGCAGAACAGGCTGTGAGCGACAGGTGAGGACTGTCCAGGATGGGGCGAGGGACAAGCGCCCACTGCCTGGCCCTGACAGGCCTATCCAGGACGGGGCATGAGGAACTCTTTGGGGTGAGGGCAGCTCTCTAGCTTGCTGGGAATCTGGGTTAAGGTAAATGAAAATACAATTTTAGGCCCTTAATTGTATGTAAACTTTACTTCCAATGAAACCTCCAGACAGAGGCTTTCACAGGACATTCTCATCTCAGAAGCTCAGCACGATACCCTGGAAACACCACCAGCTAACCTTTCCTGGGCACTGTTGTATGCCCGACCATGTGCTATGTCACTGGAGCCGCAGGGCCACCCAGGAGCCTGTGCGTTCTGTCCATGTGATCAGGTGGGCTCCTCTCAATCTTCACACAGCACAGCTGAGCCTCAAACCCAGCACTCACCCTGACCTCTCACCTCCCCACAAGGTAGGAAAACCTGGGGCTGAAAGTGTGCAGGGACATGTCATCTTTAGCCTTGGGCAAAGGCAACCCTTCCCACTGATGATTTCCAGATCACCCAGGGGTATTGGTTCTGCCTCAATTTTCCAACTGGCACAGAGATCAAGGGCGACGGTGAAGCAGATTGGAAGGGCAAAGACGCCACGGTGGGAACAGGTTCCTATCCCTCCCGGCTGCTCCCCAGCTGGGTGGCCCTCAGTGCATCTCCAGAGGGCAGTCAAAAGCCCCAGGCCAAGACCACCCTGCACTCTGGATCCCTCTACTCGCTCACCAAACACAGACCAGCCAAATAACCAACGGGGATGGCAGAGGCCAGGGCACTGTGCACCCCTCGCTGCCTCCTGACACTCGAAGCAGCCCCCCATTGGGGGACCCACTAGCCCATGATCCTACGCGAGCGAGGTCAGGCCACACCTGCCCGTGTGTGGAGCCTCTGGTCAGTCCACGTGGCTGCAGGGGCCTGTGGGGAGGCTGGAACAGGGTTACCTCAAGGCCTTTCTTCTAAGCACCCAGCAAAGGGCAGGAGAGTGTGCTCTAGTCAGCATCTTTCAAAGGCCAGGAGAGAGGAGGTTTTCAGATCAAAGTGATCCCTGCTGAGGCAGAAAGCAGAAAACTCCAGCCCCAATTCTGAGAGGCACTGCCCCAACCCAGCCTGGATACCCACCTTGCCTAGAACCTTGGCCTCCAAGAAGCCAGGCATTCAGAACTGCTCCAGGTGCTGGGCCTCCACATGGCTCCTTCTGGAGGCCATGACTCTGGGAGACAGGAACACATCTCACGCCCACGTCCAGGCCCACAGGCGGGGGTCAAACTCAGGGTCAAACTCATCTCAGCCACATGATACCCCTGCCTTCAGACTGAAACTTCTGGCTCACGCCCAGCCAGGAGGGAGGCCTGGGGAGAAGGGTGAAGACCAGGAAAGGGCGCCACCCCAAGCAGGCCATCCCGCCTAGCCCTCCTAGGATCCTTCTCATCCACCTTCCTCCCTGGAAGCTATCCTTTACTACCAAGAAAGGGGCTTCCTGCAGGAGGCCTGGAGCTATGCTGGAGGACTGAGGAGAAGCTCCCCCCAGCCCACTCCCAAGGAGCAGCACCTTAACCACCTCCCAGCCTAAACAAAAGTAACAGTGAAATGAGAACCCTCCAGCTGACGCCAAGACAGCTGAGAGTGAGCAGGGCCGCCCACGGCCCGCCCGAGCTCCACTGTCAGGTGGGAGGGACAAGCATGCCAGGCTGAGAAGCCATGCTAGGCAGGGCAGGGCCACCAGGCAACTTCCACAACCCAGAGGTCTAAGTACATCTGACCAGGGTCAGAGAGAGCCCCAGACTTGCTGCCACTGCTCCCAAACTTCAGTCTAAGGTCAGCATCGGCCCTGGTTCCAGACCAACCCCCAACTATAGTCACCTCATACTTCAGGTGTGGCCGGGACAGATGCAGCTGCAACGGGTGGCCCTGTGTGAGCTCAGCCTCTTCCCAGGAGCCCCTAAGCCATGGGAGAGACTGCCTGGAAGGCACAAGGCAGCCAGGCAGGAGGCAGCCAGTATCCAGAAGTGCCCCAAGGCCCAGCCCCTGGACACACCAACCAGCCCTGCACAGTCACAAGCCCAGGACTTTGTTCATCCTATCCCCATGGCCTGGAGTCCTCCCTGAGGAAGCCTTGGTAGACAAGAGATAGCTCCAAGGGGCGAAGGCTGCACCTCGCCCACCGCCACAGCCCTGTATGAGATGGCAGCCTACATGTGGGCAGGTCTGATCTCCTCAATCTTCCCACAGGCCCAGTGAGCGGGGCGTTATCTCTGCAGTTTCAGATAAGAAATTAAAGGTTCTTGGGGGTTAAGCAACTTGCCCAGGGTCACAAGAGCATGTAGGTAGCAGAGTGAGGACCTAAAGCCTGACTCCAGAGTTGTAGTCTGATGACCCCCCCGCCCAACGCAGGCAGGGCCAGGGATGCCACTCACACATGGCTTCCAACTGCCAAGCTGCTTGGGGGAGCTAGAGGAGGCACCGCCCTCCATGCACTGGTGTGCCAGGAGCAGGGACTCCAGTCTGCACCTCCACCCTCACTCCCCCACCCCCCAGCACCACCTGCCTATCCACAGCAGGGCCCCACCTGGGTGTATTCTCCCAAACTCACTGTGAGGGCATGGGGTCTGCCCAGCTCCTCCACCAGAAGTGACAAGGTGGAGCCCCCATGCAGCCTGCTTTGGAGGCCCAGGTTGTGCTTGCTGCTCCTCTGGGAACACCCCCACCCTCCATGACCTCCTTCCCTGTCCCTTCAGGAATGGGCTGGTGGTGGGTGGGGCTCACTGCTCTGGGCAAGCCCAGCCATGTAATCCAGCCCAGACCTGGATGCCGGCCAGCAGCTCCTGGCTCTCCTCCCAGACCATCCTCCTGGAAAGCAACAGGCTCCACAAATGCCAGGAGCCCAGCTCTCTCCAACGCAGCTTCTACAAAATAAACACTCGGGTTCCACTCAACACATTGGTGATGCAGCGATTGGGACCTGAGGCTGGCCTCCTCCTCCTCTGCTCCTCAGGCCAGCCCTGTGGCCTAAAGTGAGGGAGGTAGCATCCACCCCAGCCCAGTGACTTTCCCAAGCCCATCCTGAAATGCCCATGGGACCTACTGATGACCTCGTACTGCCCACAGCAGGGCCAAGCCCTGCATGGTCCGAGCCACCCGCCCATGGGTACTGTCCCTTCTGAGGTGAGGAAGCCCGGGCTAACACCCCAGCACAAGGAAAAGGCTGGAATGGGCTGCTGAGAGGAGAGCTGGACCGAAAGTGCCTCCAAACTGTGCTTCCCCCAGAAGGTACAGCCTCAGTCCCCTCCCTCTCCTCATCACTTCCGGGTTTGGAGCCAGCAAGGAATGAGGCCAGGAAGACCTTGGAGACCTGCAGCTGATTTCCCCTGCTAGTGCTGGCACCAAGGAGGGCCCCAGGCCTGGCACAGTCTGGCTGACAGTTCTGAGACAGGATATTGGAGACAGGCAGGGGAACATTGCTTTAAGAAGCAGAATAACGGCCAGGTGCGGTCTGTAATCCCAGCACTCCGGGAGGCTGACATGGGTGGATCATGAGGTCAGGAGATCAAGACCATCCTGGCTAACACTGTGAAACCCCATCTCTACTAAAAATACAAAAAATTAGCTGGGTGTGGTGGCACGCGCCTGTAGTTCCGCTACTCCGGAGGCTGAGGCAGAATTGCTTGACCCTGGGAGGCGGAGCTTGCAGTGAGCCGAGATCGCGCCACTGCACTCCAGCCTGGGTGACAGAGTGAGACTCTGTCTCAAAAAAAAGAAGCAGAATAACAATTTAAGGTTGTGATAGTGACTACGAATGCTGTGCTCACCTCCAAACTCCATCCCAACACTACCCTGCCCCCTAAGAGGGGCCTGAGCATGGGGTAAAAGGCTCGCTGACAGCCACAGAGCAGGAGCCCACGCAAGACCACCAGAGGATGTGCAGCCGCTGTTCCTAGTAGGTGAGGAAAAAGCAGGAATCTGGCATCCACACATGTCAGGAGGCAAAACAGGCCCTGTGCTGGTTTCTGCAGTCCTCTCCAGCCCACTTCCCTGCTCTTCTTGCTCACTGGCCATGACCCAAGAAACAGCAGCAGCACCACCAGGGATCTTGTTAGACACGCAGAGGCTCAGACTCCATCCAGCCCTAACCACCAGAACCCTGGGGGCTCAAACACACAGTCAAGTCTGAGAAGGGTTAGGTTAGAAGCTTTTTTTCCTTCTTTTGTTTTTACCTGGACACCACTGATTGGAAAGCTCTCTACGGCCTGAAAGCCAAGCGCTCCACAAGTAGTAAACGCTCAAGGGATGGGCATCAAGTGGAAGGAGAAAGCCCCCAAAACGAAGATACATGTCCCATGTACACAAGCTCACAGGCTGGTGAATACAAACGGTAGACCTAGAATGTGCCACACCAAGGCTGAGCGTGTTACCACAGGTACCAGAATGGTGACCACGCTGGAGGGTTCCACAAACCCTGATCAGAGAAGTAGGCGTGAGTGGCAGGCAGAGAACACAGCTCTGTGTGGCAGGGAGGGAGGACAAGCAGTGGCAGCACAGCAGACAACAGGTGGAAATTCTACATGAAAGGCACTAAATGGGCGAGGAAAGCCTGGGCCGCCCAGGTGGAAGGGACTATCGTGATCATCTCTCTCACCCTAGGGACACCTTAAAAGGAGGTAACTGAGCCCCAAAGGGAGGCACCCAGCACAGCTGAGTCACAGAGCTGCAGCCATCCAACCCACAGCTCCAGGAGGGACTCTCCAACTTCACAATTTCAAAATCAACCCTAGCAGCTAACAATTTCTTAATGCCAAGTAAAGACTAGAATTAGAAACAAACAGAAACCCTATCATCTTCTACCATCATTACTTCACAAAAGAAAACATTTCAATGATCAAAGAGCAGGAAGAACTACTGGCAGTCCTGCACCTATGCAGTTCTCCAGGCCTGGCAAAGGCTCTGAGGCAACCAGCATGAAGGAGCCACTGCACCGTCTGTACGCAACACCGCCTGACCCCCGGGCTGGGACAAGACTGAGATGACATGCTGAAAGGGAATCAGAAAAAACAAAAACACAAAAATTCAACAACAGATACTAAAGACGGGATTTTGACTAGCCAAACAAAGACTAAAAGAGTATCTCCCAGGGATGAAAGGAAAATGGGGATGTTTTTAAACAAGACCAGGACTGTTCCAGAAACAATAAGAACGTCAAAGCCCATCAGGAAAAAGGTAACACCAAATGTTGGCCAGGCAGTAAGGCAACCAGAAGTCTCACATACTTTATAATTTTTTATTTTTTTGAGAGAGAGTCTTGCTCTGTCACCCAAGCTGGAGTGCAGTGGCGAGATGGCTCACTGCAACCTTCGCCTCCCAGGTTCAAGCAATTCTCCTGCCTCAGCCTCCCGAGTAGCTGGGATTACAGAAGTGCAGTGCGCCACCACCCGCAGATAATTTTTGTATTTTTCGTAGAGATGGGGTTTCACCATGTTGGCCAGGCTGGTCTCCAACTCCTGGCCTCAAGTGATCTGCCCATCTCAGCCTCCCAAAGTACTGAGATTACAGGCATAAGCCACCGCACCTGGCCAGAAAACTCACATGGTTTAGAAAACCCTTGGATGGCACAATCTAAAACTGTGGGCCCAAGGCCGTGGGTGGTGGCTCACGCCTGTGATCTCAGCACTTTGTGAGGCCAAGGTGGGTGGATCGCCTGAGGTCAGGAGTTTGAGACCAGCCTGGCAAACATGGTGAAACCCCGTCTCTACTAAAAATACAAAAATTAGTCGGGCGTGGTGGCAGGCTCCTGTAATCCCAGCTATTTGGGAGGCTGACGCAGGAGAATCACTTGAACCCAGGAGGCAGAGCTTGCAGTGAGCTGAGACTGCGCCACTGCACTCCAGCCTGGGCGACAAGAGCCAACTTCGTCTCTAAATAAATAAAGCCAACAAGCTAGCTAGCTAGCTAGCTAGCTAGCTAGCTGTGGGCCCAAAAACTCACCCAAGGTATACGCCAACAAGAATGCACACGTAATGCACACCAAACAGGCAGGCACACTCATGAAGGCCCAACAATGGAAAACAACTATGCCCACCCTGAGAAGGGACAGCTGCAGGTATAAAAGACTATGAGCCAGCAGTGAACAGGACAGAACGTTTAGGTTGAACTGTATGAATTTACCTTTTAGGGGTAAAAAAACAGCTGGCTGCTGATAATTTCACATGGTTTGACTTACAAACAACGCAGATGAATCTCTCAAATATACTTTTGAGCAAAGATGCCAGAGCCAAAAAGACTATTACAGTTCCATTTGCATACATTCAAAAGCAGGCAGCACTAATCTTATGGGTGGGGGTTGAGAGTGACTACAAGCTTCAGGATACGTGAGGGGCTTCCAGGGTTGTGTTTCGCACTCTGGATGCTAGTTACAAGGGCATAATCATTTGTGAAGAACTCTTGGAGCTGTGCACACTTCTTACGTAGGCTGTCCTTGAATTCAATACGTGCACAGAAACCTTCAGAAGGGAAGCAGAGATCAACTTCATCCTGATCAGCAAGTAGACTCAGTCCAGGCAGCAACCTCTCCTGGACCCCCAACCAATAACAACAACACAGGAAGCAAAATATTGGCAGGACAGCTGGCAACGCGGCAATGTCCAGGATGGAGTGCCCATCCTAGAGGAGGGAGCTCACACAAGCCAGCCAGGAGCCCACAGGAAACAGAGAGACTACTGTAAATCCTTATTAAGAGCAGACTCATCTCTGCTATCTAAAAGATAAAAACCTGATAATGTTTTTAAGTTGTCCTAAGGTCCAATTGACTTTTTTTTTTTTTTTTTTCAGACAGAGTTTTCCTCTTGTTGCCCAGGCTAGAGTGCCATGGTGCAATCTCGGCTCACCGCAACCTCCGCCTCCCGGGTTCAAGCGACTGTCCTGCCTCAGCCTCCCGAGTAGCTGGGATTCCAAGTGTGCACCACCATACCTGGCTAATTTTGTATTTTTAGTAGAGACGGGGTTTCTCCATGTTGGTCAGGCTGGCCTGGAACTCCCGACCTCAGGTGATCCGCCCGCCTCGGCCTCCCAAAAGTGCTGGGATTATAGGCGTGAGCCACCACACCCAGCCCCAGTTGACACTTCTAAAGGAGAAGGGGTTCTGCAAATCCTGAAAGGCAAGCCCAGGAGAAACAGGAAATCTGGGAGCACGGCAAGCGAGGTTCAAACAGGACACCAAATAATTCCCAGCAACCGCCTCCAGCAGGTCCTGGTGGCAGCCAGGTAGGGCAGGAGCCGGCTGGGCATATCAAAGGGAGGAAGCCAAGAAGAAAATGGGCGAGACTCTCAGGGATTTGGGGTCAAAGGAAGCCGCTGGGAGAAGGAAACAGCCCACTTGCTCCTTCATAGGTAATCAACACACAAACCCCCCAGTGCCTCAAATGGCTCAGGAGCTACAGCCAAAGATCAAGGATCAAGTTATTTTACTCCAAGAAAGAAAAAAAAAAAAAAAGTTATACGTTCGGCATCCATTGGAAGTTTTGTGATTGTTTGGAGACAGGGTCTTGCTCTGTGGCCCAGGCTGGAGTGCAGTGGCGCGATCATAGCTCTAATTTCTGGGCTCAAGGGATCCTCCCGTCTCAGCCTTTTGAGTAGCTGGAACTAAAGGTGCATGCCACGATGCCCAACCAATTTTTAAAATTTTTTGTAGAGATGAGGTCTCACTATGTTTTCCAGACTGGCCTCAAACTCCTGGGCTCAAGTGATCCTCCTGCCTCAGCCTTCCAAAATGTTGGGATTACAGGTGTGAGCCACTGTGCCAGGCCTTAAAAAGCAATTTTTACAGATAAAATTGGGCAACTGCTATGGAAAATATTACAATCTATGGTCCTGTGCCTGAAAAGCCTCCAAGTGTGATACTTTATAGAGAAGAGGTCTCTCCTGTCCAGTAGGTAACTTGAAAGTGTCTAAGAGACAAGTGCCCAAGAACTCAAAGAATGAGAGAGGGATCCATTCAAACTCAGGGAGAAAAATGCTCACAAAGTTTCACTGTACTTCTAAACTGAGTCTCAGTGGTGCATTAAGGAACTGGATTTAGAGACAGAAAACAAAATAAACTGGCACTTCTCTGCCTCAAGAAGCATAGCTTGGGGGTGAAAAGTCAGCTACTTAGAAGGCAGCAAAAACAAAACCCAGAAACCCACCCAAATGCTCACTGCCAGCAGGACAGGTGATTATGTGTGGATGGCGCCACCTTGGACACTGAAATGGAGAATGGGAACACAGGAACTGCTGCTCCTGGTGTCCCAAGAGTGCAGGACACCCGGCTCCCAGCGAACTGAGCCAAAATCATTCGCAGTTTCAGGATCCAGACAAAGGTGGGAAACCGACAAAAGCCAGCGAATGGCTGACCCGCAATTCAGAAGACTGTTGGCTTCTAGAGGGAAGTGGGAATAAGCCAGGGAGAAGTGCATGAGGTGTCCCAGGAACTTGGGAGGCTATTTCTTATGTGGCCATGAGGGAACAACGGTGTCACGCTTAGTGGGACACCCACGATTCAACCAATAGTAGGTTTACCACTACTTATCTCTCTATTCTTTAAGATTTGTGCACACACATATATACATGTAATTTACCTTTGTTTTTTTTTTTTTTTTTTTTGAGTCTTCCTCTGTCGCCCAGGCTGGAGTGCAGTGACACAATCTCGGCTCACTGCGACCTCTGCTGCCCGGGTTCAAGCGACTGTCCTGCCTCAGCCTCCCGAGTAGCTGGGGATTACAGGCACCCATCACCACACCCAGCTAATTTTTGTGGTAGAGACAGGGTTTCACCATCTTGGCCAGGCTGGTCTCAAACTCCTGACCTCAAGTGATCCGCCTGCCTCGGCCTCCCAAAGTGCTGGGATTACAGGCGTGAGCCACCATGCCCGGCCTATTTACACCTTTGTAAATAACTTCTTAGAGTTCAATGGCTAAGTCTACTAAGGAAGCTGAGCCTGCTCTGTGCAGAAGTCTCAAAAGAAAGGAAAGTCGGGTGTGGTGGTTCATGCCTTTAATCTGAGCACTTTGGGAGATTGAGGCAGGAGGATCGCTTGAGCCCAGGAGTTCAAGACCAGCCTGGGCAACACGGCAAGACCCTGTCTCATTTAAAAAACAAACAAACAAACAAACAAAAAAACAGAGAGAGAGAAAGAGAGAAAAGAAAGAGAAAAAAGAAAGAGGAAAGAGACCTCCCTGGAAATCCCAATCCAGGGAGAAGCCAAGAGGCTAAAGCTGAGGTGCACTCACAGAGCACCTCCCTTTCACCACCCGAGAGATCACCTGGTCCACAGCCGTCAAACTCAGCAAGGCCACACACTTGGGCAGCTATGACAACAATGCACAAATGAGGGCTTTGGAGGGCTCAGTTCCCACAAGAGATAACCCAGAAAATATCACCCTGTCCTAATCATACAAAGCAAAAGAACCTGGGGCCTCCACACCTGGGGTAGCAGGTATGCTTCACTCAACAGAAGTTGTCCAGGAGGGAGAAATCCCAGGCAACCTCCCAAGGTCTACAGGAGAAAGAAGGGCAGAATCAGAGCCACTCTAAGTGAAAATATCAGCGTTTAGAACACAGTCACCCCCCTGCAACCCCTCCAGCCAACCCTCGCCTAGTCCCTGTACCCTCCAATTCAGAGTCCAATAACCCTGAGTTATCTTTCTCAACACCCATCTCATCAAGCCACTCCCCTGCTTAAAGCTTTCAATGGGCCGGGCATGGTGGCTCACACCTTTAATCCCAGCACTTTGGGAGGCCCAGGCGGGCAGATCATCTGATGTCTGGAGTTTGAGACCAGCCTGACCAACATGGAGAAACCCCATCTCTATTAAAAATACAAAATTAGCTGGGCATGGTGGCGCATGCCTGTAATCCCAGCTACTCAGGAGGCTGAGGCAGGAGAATCACTTGAACCCGGGAGGAGGAAGTTGCAGTGAGCCAAGATCGCGCCATTGCACTCCAGCCTGGGCAACAAGAGTGAAACTCTATCTCAAAATACAAAAAAAAAAAATTAAAAAAATAAATAAAGCTTTCAATAAATTCCTGATGCCTAGCATAAAGTCCATGCTCAGGCCTGGCATGCAAAGCACTTCCCACAGGGGCATCAAGCCCACCTCATCCCTTCCACAGACACACCTGAGAGCTCCTGCAGGCCGTGCCCTACTCTGGGAGGAGCCTGCCCCCTCACGACTCCCTCCTCTGTGAAGCCAGAACTGCCTCTGTTGTCCCCCCGCTTCCAACGTCAGCACCAGCTGCCAAGCTGCTTCCCTCCTGCCTACCCCCACCACCCCATAGACCAGTACCCAAAGTTAGACCCTGTGTCCCAAGCAGCCACAGCAGCAGGCATGCAGCAGGCACTCATAAACATTCATTAGGTGAGCAAATGCTGGTCAGACCCAATGCTGAGAAGAGACAGAGTGAAACAACATGTGAAAGATAAGGAGGCACGTGGGGAAGATGGAAATGTCCAGTACCCTCCTTGCCACTGGTTCTAAAATTGTGTTGTTTACATTCTTAAATAGTCAGGGCTCCTAACGAGCATCTGCTTATGTGGCTTCTCTATTACTGTTTTGTGGGGTTTTTTCTGAGACAGGGTCCTGCTCTGTCACCCAAGCTGAAGTGCGGTGGTACAATCATAGCTCACTGCAACCTCGAACTCCTGGCTTCAAGCCATCCTGCAGCCTCAGCCTCCCAAAGTGCTGGGATTACAGGTGTGAGCCACTGCATCTGGGCTGTTGCTGTATTTGATGTTACCATGTACTACAACAGTGCCCTCTTATTCAGTTTTTTTTTTTTTTTTTCTGAGACGGAGTCTCGCTCTGTGGCCCAGGCTGGAGTGCAGTGGCGTGATCTCGGCTCACTGCAAGCTCCGCCTCCCGGGTTCACGCCATTCTCCTGCCTCGGCCTCCCGAGTATCTGGGACTACAAGCGCCCGCCACCGCGCCTGGCTAATTTCTTTTTGTATTTTTAGTAGAGACGGGGTTTCACCGTGTTAGCCAGGATGGTCTCGATCTCCTGACCTCGTGATCTGCCGCCTCAGCCTCCCAAAGTGCTGAGATTACAGGCGTGAGCCACCGTGCCCGGCCAAAAAAATTTTTTTTAAAGGCTGAGCACAGTGGCTCACGCCTGTAGTCCCAGCACTTTGGGAGGCTGAGGTAGGTGGATCACTTGAGGTCTGGAGTTCGAGACCAGCCTGGCCAACATGGTGAAACCCCATCTCTACTAAAAATACAAAAAATTAGCCAAGCGTGGTGGCAGGTGCCTGTAATCCCAACTACTTGGGAGGCTGAAGCAGGAGAATGGCTTTACCCCAGGGGAGGGTGTGGGGTGGAGGTTGCAGTGAGCCAAGATTGTGCCATTGCATTCCAGCCTGGGCAACAAGAGCGAAACTCTGTCTTAAAAAAAAAAATAGGCTGGACGCAGTGGCTCATGCCTGTAATCCTAGCACTTTGGGAGGCCGACGCGGGTGGATCACCTGAGGTCAGGAGTTTGAGACCAGCCTGCCCAACAGGGTGAAATACAAAAATTAGCCAAATGTGTTGGTGCATGCCTGTAATCCCAGCTACTGGGGAGGCTGAGGCAGGAGAATCACTTGAACCTGGGGGAAGCAGAGGTTGCAGTGAGCCAAGATCACGCCATTGCACTCCAGCCTGGACAAGAGCAAAACTCCCTCTCAAAAAAAAAAAACAACAACATTTAAAAAAATACAAAAATTAGCTGGGCGTGGTGACAGGTGCCTGTAATCCCAGCTACTCAGGAGGCTGAGGCAGCAGAATCCCTTGAACCCAGGAGACGGAGGTTGCAGTAAGGAGAGATTGTGCCACTGCACTCCAGCCTGGGTGATAAGAGTGAGACTCTATCCGAAAAACAAAACAAAAAAAGGGCTGGGCACGGTAGTTCACACTTGCAATCCCAGCACTCTGGGAGGCCGAGGCGGGCGGATCACGAGGTCAAGAGATCCACACCATCCTGGCCAACAGGTGAAACCCCATCTCTACTAAAAAATATATATATACATACAAAAATTAGCTAGGTGTGGTGGCGCGCACCTGTAGTCCCAGCTAGCTAGAAGGCCGAGGCAGGCAAATCACTTGAACCCGGGAGGTGGGGGTTGCAGTGAGCAGAGATCGCGCCACTGCACTCTAGCCTGGCGACAGAGCGAGACTGTCTCAAAAAAAAAAAAAAAAAGAAAAGAAAAGAAAAAAAGAAGGATAGCATTGCTTTACACTTTTATAAATCTCTTTAATGTCTAGCCTAATAGAAGAAGCTGGATTCTCATATCTCCTGCATTCAGTCTGTTAGGATATGCGGTTTTGATTAAAGTCTTTAAAGAAATTTGGCCTTACACAGAAAGAAGGAAGGAGTATTTTAATAACTTTTTCAGAAAACTGTCTATTCTTCATTGATATTACACTAAAGCTCGACAAATGAGTTTCTTAAAAGTTGCTATGGGCCAGGCGCGGTGGCTCACGCCTGCAATCCCAGCACTTCGGGAGGCTGAGGCAGGTGGATCACTTGAGGTCAGGAGTTCAAGACCAGTCTCGCTAACGTGGTGAAATCCCGTCTCTACTAAAAATACAAAAATTAGCCAGGTGTGGTGGCAAGCGCCTGTAATCCCAGCTACTCAGGAGGCTGAAGCAGGAGAATTGCGCAACTGCACTCCAGACTAGCAACAGAGCAAGACTCCGCTTCAAGGAAAAACATAAATAAAAGTTGCTATGTAGGCCAGGTACGGTGGCTCACATCTGTAATCCCAGCACTTTGGGAGGCTGAGGTGGGCGATCACAAGGTCAGGAGTTTGAGACCAGCCTGACCAACATGGAGATACCCAGTCTCTACTAAAAATACAAAAATTAGCCGGGTGTGGTGGCACGTGCCTATAATCTCAGCTACTTGGGAGGCTGAGGCAATAGAATTGCTTGAACCCGGGAAGCAGAGGTTGCAGTGACCCAAGATCGTGCCACTGTACTCCAGCCTGGGCAACAGAGACTCCATCTCAAAAAAAAAAAAAACAAAGTTGCTATGTAGGCTGGGCACAGTGGCTCAACACCTGTAATCCCAACACTTTAGGAGGTCGTGGTAGGAGGACTGCCTGAGCCTAGGAGTTCAAGACCAGGAAGATCCCATCTCTGGAAAAAAAAAAAAAAAAAAATAGCTGGCTGTGGTGGCGCATGACTGTGGTCCTAACTACTCGGGAGGCTTATGCAGGAGGATCATTTGAGCCCAGAAGGTGAGGCTGCACTGAGCCGTGATTACATCATCACTGCACTCCAGCCTAGGCAACTGAGGGAGACCACATCGCCAAAAAAAAATTAAAAATAAAAAAAAAATTGTAAAGCCTCATGCCGGGCATGGTGGCTAATACCTGTAATCCCAGCACTTCCGGAGGCCAGGGCGGGTGGATCACCTGAGGTCAGGAGTTCAAGACCAGCCTGGCCAACATGGCGAAACCCAGACTTTATTAAAACTAGACAAAATTACACCAGGCGTGGTGGCTAATGCCTGTAATCCCAGCACTTCGGGAGGCTGAGGCGGGCGGATCACGAGGTCAGAAGTTCGAGACCAGCCTGACCAACATGGTGAAACCCCATCTCTACTAAAAATGCAAAAATTAGCTGGGCATGGAGGCGCATGCCTGTAATCCCAGCTACTCGGGAGGCTGAGGCAGGAGAATCGCTTGAACCCAGGAGGCGGAGGTTGCAGTGAGCGAGATCCCACCACTGCACTCCAGCCTGGGCGACAGGGAAAGACTCCGTCTCAAAAAAAAAAAAAAAGAAAAAATTAACCAGGCGTGGTGGCAGGCGCCTGTAATCCCAGCTACTCGGGAGGCTGGGGTAGGAGAATCGCTTGAACCCAGGAGGCGGAGGTTGCAGTCAGCGAGATCGCACCACTGCACTCCAGCCTGGGCGACAGGGCAAGACTCCGTCTCAAAAAAAAAAAAAAAAAAGAAAAAATTAACCAGGCGTGGTGGCGGGTGCCTGTAATCCCAGTTACTCGGGAGGCTGAGGCACGAGAATGACTTGAACCCAGGAGGCGGAGGTTGCAGTGAACTGAGATTGCGCCACTGCACTCCAGCCTAGGCAACAGCGAGACTCCATCTCAAAAAAAAAAAGCCTCATGCATCCTTCCTATTTCATCACACAGAAAAGTAAAAATATGTGTAATTAAAGGTCTAGATTTAATACTCAGTCATCTGTACTGCCTCCCCTGGACATGTGTAGAACTGGTGGGTCTCAGCCCCCAGTGCTGGCTAACAGTGGGGAACACAACTCTGGCAGTGCAAGTGTCCACCCAGGGCAGAGGCCAGTGATTTTTTTTTTTTTTTTTTTTTAGATGGAGTCTCGCTCTGTCACCCAGGCTGGAGTGCAGTGGCAAAATCTTGGCTCACTGCAACCTCCGCCTCCCAGGTTCAAGCCATTCTCCTGCCTCAGCCTCCTGAGTAGCTGGGACTACAGGCGTGCGCCACCACACCCAGCTAATTTTTGTATTTTTAGGAGAGGCGGGGTTTCACCATGTTGGCCAGGCTGATCTGGAACTCCCAACCTCAGGTGATCCGCCCGCCTTGGCCTCCTAAAGTGCTGGGATTACAGGCGTGGGCCACCGCATCTGACCTTGTAACTTCTAAATATACTGAAAAAGGTATCGGGGACCCTCAGGGTCTGCAAACAACTTTGAGAATAGCTGACAAGCACTGCCTCAAATATTTCTAACAACTCGTTTACAGGCAAGGAGAATGAGGCCTGGAGAGCTTAAGAGACTGGCCCACGGAGGAAGCAGGAGTCATCTTTCCACAAAACTACACTTCCCCAAAAGCTGAACTCTTGGACAAGGAGCCCACTGCCAAACCTAAGAGTAACAAATTTCAGCAAATAAAAGGAAGTGCCATTTCCAATGGCATCCTCGAATACTCTAAGAGGTGGGGCTGGCAGAATCCATCAACAGGCCTCCAGAGGCCTGCTACTAAGAGCCAGCAACGCTGCTGAAAGCGGCACTGCCTCTGCAGGCTGTGTGACCAGGACCCGGCGGGGGCCCTGCACCTGGAAGCAGAGGGGGTCGGTGGGGGAGGGGTGCTACCAGGAAGCAAGATGTGCATGCTGCCTGCTGGGGGCATGAAGTCAAAGTCCCCTCCTGCCCAAAGTGGCTAGGCCAGCCCTAGGCTGCCTTATCAGCATCAACACATGCCTGGAATGTGGGACTTTGGCAACAACCCTCTCCCTTCGGCCAGCACGGGGCTGACGCCTGGTCCCTGGGCTCTGGTTCACAGTCAGAGGACAACCACCTTGAAGCACCAGAACCCGCACCCCCAGCCCATCTACCAGAAGACAATCTACCAAGAGTCACCGAGAGGAGCTATCCTGCCTGTGTCCCCACACCACCAAGGGCCATGTCTGAGCACCTCGTTTGTCCACACTCAGAGAATCTCAAGAGCTCGGCTCTGGTCCCTGCAACGTCCAGACCATCCCCCACATGGCTCTCCTGGAGGTGTTCGGCAAAGGCACAGGCTGCCGTGGGGCAGAAGATTCCCACATACCAGACAGTAAGGAGCTGCGTGTGACTGGAAGGATGAGGACGACCCAGAGAACGCTCTCTGGCCCCTGGTCCTTGGGGAGGAATGGGGGACCTGCAGGGGACCACCTTCCCACTCTGGGAGCCAGATTCCCTGGCTTTGTCCAGAGCAGCCAACCCACTACCCCACTCAAAATGAACACCTCAGCTGCCCTCCAGCCCAAGCACTGCGCAGAGTAAGGAGTCCTCACTCACAAATGTGTCCGAGGCTTTCACACACTTCACCTGGAGCTTCGCCACTCACTTCTTAGATGTACGACTCTAACTTCTCTGAGCCACTTGTACAACGAGGACTGACAAAATGATGAGGACCACACCGGTGTGTTCTGACAACTGAACCGGGCATAGAATGCCCACTGCCAGGCTGAGCCCAGGAACGAGCCCAGGATGAGTGCTTACCCTCTTCACCACTACCTTCCTAGCCTTCTGTCAGAACTCCGTGGGGACCATCCTCTTCCCATCTTCTAAGCCAAGTACCCTGGTACAAGCCAGACAGAAACTATAATAGCAGCTGCTTCCATAAAGGGGAAGGGCCATGGGGTCCCGGACAGGGCTGGGGTGAAGGGGCGCAAGACCTAGGGCAGGAATCCACCCCCAGATCACTCACTCAGGACAGGACCACCTGGACCCAGCTACCAAGATGTGCACCACCCCCTTCCTTCTGAGCCCCTTTTCCCATCTCCTCTACTGCCCCTGGCCAGGTTGCTGTCCCATCTCTAAGAGGCAAGATTTCCTACCCAGGATGCTGACCAAAACCACACCCAGGGGCCTACCCGTCCCCTCACATGATAGGCTGCTCCTAGCTGGCAGGAGCCGTCTTATAGCCTCTCTCCCTCAAATACAAACAAAACCCCAGAACAACCTATTGTTCTGTTCCAGCAAAGGGGGCCAGGCCCAGCCAGGCCCTACCTGAAGCTCTCTGTCTCCCGTCCCCCTTCAGTCCCCTCCCACTCTTCCTTCTCTGCCCCTATTAGTGGCCTCATATACCTTGCCCAGATAACACAGCCCAAGAAACCAACCTCAGGGACAAATCTCTTCTCTTCCAGGGAGAAGAAGACAGAGGTCCCAGGAGTCCCAGGGGCCCCCATTACTGGCCACCTCCGCTCAACCCAAACTGCACTATGTGAGGTCCCGCCAGACTACATACAGGCCAACGAGAGCCCAAGAATGCAGCCAGGAAACCAGGCCAGGCAGACTCCAAAAGCCCGTGCTACGGGGTCAGTAGGACCCGCCTACAGCTGAGGGCTATAGGCAGCTCTCCAGAGGACCTCCCAGGAGAAGCCAACAGTGCACATGGGCTAGGTTCCTCCTGCTGTTCACCCTCTGTGCCCAGTAACTACCCAGGAACAGGCATGACTGATTCTGCCAACTCATTCACTGGGTAACCGCTGACCCCACCAGGCCCTCGGAGTAAAGCAGTTAGTGAGAACCGCAGGTAAAAGCGCGGGCTACTCATCCCTCCGCCTGTGGATTCTATTATCAACAAAGATGCATCACCTGCTAGAAGAGCGGTTCTCAAACTTGGCTGCACATCAGGTTCACTTCAAAAGCTTCAGGAAAAGCTAGTGCCTTGGGCCCACCCCAGAGACAGGTATAGCTCAAGGTGAGAACCAGAGCACCAGCAGGCAGGCCTCTGCCAGGCAGCATGGGCAACGTGTGCTGGGTGAATGTGCGGCCTGCACTCATCACCCAGAAGAGCCCCACTGTGTCCACACAAGGACAGGCCACCGAAGTCCCAGTCCCCACTCTCCCTTCTCATTTACTTTGTGAATGAGAGCTCACCAACAGTTTACCGTCTTCCGAGTGCTGCGGCCTCACCGCCCGACCCGCAGCAGGGGTGAGGGCTTGCAAAGGCCATGCAACAGATCCTCCCCCTCAAAGGGGCTCAGGCCTCAGTGTGGTAATGGGAGCGGCCCCTTCCCACACTTGTCAGAGAACCCACCCACCCGGTGGAATGAAGCCGAAGCCCAAGCCGCAGGGCAACAGCCCGGGACGGCAGGGGACAAGTCTGTACAGCAGCCACACCCCTGCCAGAGCCAGGAGCTCTTCCATTTCCACAGCAGGCCAACTCTCACCTGGAAGCACCCACCTAACCAAACCCAATCCCTGCCTTCTTTTAGTCACACTGGGAACTGCCACAAGAAGGCTGGGGACTCCACATACTCCCTCCTCACCACAACCCATGTGTGATCACCCTTAAACAGAAAACATGCACCTAAGATCCTACGATGCGCTGCCCACCTCACAAAAAACCGGTGCCTCTAGGTAAGAGACACCTAGCTGACCCATCCCTGTGCCCTCTCACCATTAGAAGGACCCCCAAGTCCCCCTGTTCTAACACCGAGGCTGCACTCCCACTCTCCACCCACTAACATTACCATAAAAAATAAATTGAATAGTTAGAAGGAGGGGCTCCCCAAAGCCTGGCCACCTTCCCGAGGGTCCCAAGCAGTTTCTTGGAGTCCCTCTCCCCACTCAGTCCCGCCATACCCCTCTCAGGCAGTCTGGCCCTTCCCTCCTGAACTTTGGCGGGCTGGAACCAGCTCCCAGCCTCGCCTCCCTTATCAAGCTCACTGGGGGCCCACACAGAGCTCCCATCCCCACCAGCTTTTCTCGCTTTGCCACTCCCAGCTAAAACTGGGCTCAAGGCAAGCAAGCCTGCAGTCCCTCAGTCCCTCGGGGCCCAGCCCCTCCTCAGAGCCCTCCCCCAGCCCAGGTCCCTAACCCTTAGGGCAAGGCCCCTCCCAGCAGGAAGCGAACCCTGGCGGTGCCAGGCAGAGTCAAACTGGAAGGGCTGGTTCAGAAGCCCCTAAATGGGAGCCAGGACCTCTCTTAGGGAGGGGGCTTTCAGCCCCACTCCTCCCTAGTGCGATCTCAGATCTCTCCAGACACCACACTATATGGGCCTCCACAGGCGGTGGAGTCAAAGGCATTTACCCTCCAGCCCCCAGCAAGCTACTTAACTTCCAAAAGCAGCTCCTTCCCTCCTCCAGAGGAGAACGGGCCGCGTGCTGAACTGCAAGCGCCTCTATCACCCCGCCCAGGCAAGTCTGTGAGCACCAGAAAGCAGGGGCCAACATGACTTGGTCTAAACCAAGGGGGCCAGGCACTGACTTTGCGCTCAGAAAATGTGGCGGAATGAATAAAAAGCTTGAAAAAGAGCCGCATACATGCCTGGCTGGCAGTGGGGTCTCCCAAGCGGGCTTCACAGCTCACACAGTACCCGTGGGTCCGCGTCCTCAGTGCTCTCCAGCTGTCTCCACTGCCACCCTCTACCCTACCACTGCCTTTTAAAACCCAGTAGCAGTCACTTCCTGGTTAAAACCCCTCCCCTCCAGGCCAACCCCAACCCACATGGCATCCAGGGTTCTCAGCCAGCCCACGGCCGGCTCCTCCCACGCCACCGCTATGCCCTCTGCGCTCCGCTAGATGCCAGCCCTTATCACCCCATCTTATAATCATTTGTTGAGTGTCTGCCTTCCCTAGGCTGAGCTCCAGAAAACAGCGATACATGAATGTAAACTCCAGTTCTGTTCCCATTGTAGAAACCAGGCAGGAGAGTCAATCACTGCTCAAGGTCATGACGGGAGTAAATGGCAGAGCCAGCAATGCACTACAGACTTTGCGACCGACCAAGTCCAGTTCCCCTCTCACTGCCCCACAGGGGTCCGTCCTAGGCCAGGCTCGGAGGAGACAAGAAGGGAGGAACCCAATGTGTTCTTTCTTCCCGCGGTGAAAGCTGCCTCCCAGGCCAGCAAGAGCAGCCCAGAAGAAGTGCCCCACTCTCCCAGGGATCAGGTACTGGGGGCAGCGGGCAGGACAAGGTATGGGGTGGGGCTGACTGCTCCAGGCCAACAGACCAAGCAATAAGGTTGGAACCACAAGTCCCCTGGGTAAACTGAACTTTATTCCTTCCTCACGGCTCTCACTCTCCAGAACTGCCCCGCCAGCTCTTCTCCAGGGGCTGGCTGCTGATTAAATGGCACTTCCCCACCCCTCAGATCTGACCCCGCAAACAATAAGGACTTGAGGGGAGGCGGCAGGCTATCAGCTCAATAATGCAAAACCCTGTTGCTCCTCGTCCACAACAGCTGACTTCAAGTGGATGGGAGGCTGCGCTTATTAACAAAATGAGAAATCTGATCTACGGAAAGAAAACACTACGTGAGGATTAATCCGCGACTGCAGCTTGTGGAGAAGGCTGGGCTGCTGGCCAAGACCAAGGATCGAGGATGGGATCGTGCCTACCTGTCCCCAGAGCAGGTATCATGCAGCACAACAGGACTCATCACCCCTGCCCCACCTGCGCCTTCTCTTCTCCTTCCAGCAACTTCGACAATCATTTCGGTTTTGCTTTAATTAAAGGCCTGACTCCCTCGGGCTGCTTCTTCCTCTACACAGAGGCAGCAACCAGAGGGAGATTTTTCTTTTCAGGAATCGGTCGTAAAAACTCAGTGACTAATCTACAAGTTCCAACAACTGGCAGAAAAACACCGCAGGGAGAGGTTGCTGGGCACACAGCAGCACTCAGAGCCAACTGACCAGAGAAGCTGGGCCACAGGCACTCTACTACAACCTCCCTCCCCCAGCCCGACACTGGCCTGCCGACCCACCTGAGAGCTCTGACCTCCCAAGGCAGGCAGCTGGGGAGCCTCTTCCCAGCCTTCCAAGTCTACTGCTCGTCCTGTGGGACCCAGAGATCTTCACAGTCTCAATGGCACAAGACGGAACGTTCACTTCCAGGCAACAATCCTGGGCCACAGGACTCAGTTCAGCCCCCAAGTATCAGACTCCCGGCCCTGTTCTTGGTGTTCAGAGCCCACTAAACCAGCAGTCTTGCCACACAGCTTTGTCTCCAGAGGCCAGCTCATCTGCTTTTTTTCACACTACTCCAGCAACCCTGCTCCACCAAGCACGCACACTCTCCTTGACACAGGGCTCCAGACCAACCACATGGCCTGTGCTCCTGAAAATGCCTGCCTGAAGGCCCAGGGAGTCCAGACACTGGCAGATGAGAATGGACGAAAAGAAGCCAAGCCAGAAGCCAGGAAGCAATAAATGCTAGACCCAGAAAGGCCTTAGGTTTGAGTGACCCAGCTCCATCCCTCCATCCTGGATCCTTGGAGGACAGCCCCAAGTTCAGCCTAGGAGCTCCCAAGGCCCCTCCACTACCTGCCAGCTCTCCGACAGCACAAGAGACACAGCAATCCCACATCAGTCAACAACCCACCGCCACAGGATTCCTAGGGGCAAGGCTCTGCCCCTCCCCCCAGCACATATGTCAGAGGGGTGGCTTCCCTGGGTTACACCCCTCCTGCTGTTGGGGGAGTGGGGGGTCGGGGAACACAGCTTTCCAGATGTGCTTGGCAACTCCTACTAGAAAAGACTAGGGGTGCGGGGGACAGGAGAAGACATGGATAAATAACTTTAACACCGCTCCAACCCATCCGGCTCAGCACTGGGCTCCCTTACACAGGCAGTCCCAGGCAGTTCTGGGTGGGGCCGTTGGGAGCATTATCTGGCCTCATTCCCTCCTCTCAGCAAGTCACTGCCCCCCAGGGAGAGGCATTCCCCCCCCCCCCCAACCACGCACACACCCAGGCCTGTGTGAATATGAACCATCTTGGAAGATAAACAGAGAGTGACAAGCTGGGGCCCCTCAGCCCCCTCCCTCAGCCAGCCGGTCCCTTCCCCCTGAAAGCCGACCCCCTCCCCCAAGCCCATCTCTCTTCCTGCCAAGCGGCTGCCTACAGGAGAGGTCTGGGGGCAGGGCAGCGAGCCCACCAGCCGCAGAGCCCGGCCCTCTGGGAGCGGCCCCTCCAGGCCCGCCCCTGCCCCTGCCGTGGCCAGTCTTCCCGCGGGGAGGAGGCAAGAGAGGAGACCGCAGACGGTGCAGGACCGCAGTCCTGGAAATCGCAAAATCCTCTAGCGAGGGGGCGGCCGCGGGCGCAGGGCCGTTTGCATAATGGGAGCCCTCCCGCCTGTCAGGCAGCGCAGCTCGCCCGACGCTGTTCGGATTAGATTGCTAATGAAAAGGCACAAAGAGCCGGCGCCCGCTCGCCCGCCGACCCCCGCTCCGCAGACCCGCGCCGCCTGGGCCTGGCGCGGCCCGGTGGGCTTTGTGCCCCGGGTGCCCCACCGCCCGCGCCCCTCCGGGCATCTGGCCCACAAAGCCCGGGCCTGCCAGGGGTCCCGCGTGCGCCCCAGCCCAGGCCCGCCAGACGCTAGCGCGTCCCCCACGCGCGCAGTCCCACGTCGCCCGGGCGCGCGCGCGTCCACGCCCCTCTCCCCGGGGACGCGCCCAGCCCGCGGCCCCGGCCCCCGCCCGCTCCCCGCGACCCCCGCCCCACAAGGCCGCCCCTCACCTCGTGTGCGTCGGCGGCGGCGCTCCGCCCGCCGGCCGGCCGGCCCTACCAGCGGCCCTTGTCCTCAGCGCCCGGCTCGCGCCGCACGCGCCCGCCCCGTCCGCCTGCCGCCAGCCCGGCTCGGCTCCCCGCCTAGCGCGCCCCGAGCGCCGCTCACAGCCGCCCGCCCAGCGCCATCTTGGAAGCTTGTGACGTCGGCGCCGCCCGCTCACCCCTGACCCACATCTGAATGGGCGAGCGGCGGGGCGGGGACAGGGGGCAGCAGCTGGGGGCGTGGCCTGTGAACAGGGGCGGGGCCTGCGGGGGCGGGGCCGGGCCGGACAGCGGTCCCAGCACTAGGCGGGGCGGGCTGCCGGGGTCCGGCGCCGTGGGGGAGGGGTGCGCGGGAGGAGCCGGGGACCCAGACCCCGGACATCTAACCGGACTCCGACCTCAAGCGCCAGGGCAGGACCGCGACCTCGCCCCTGAAATACCCGGACCGCATACCGGCCCCCGGGACAGGGACCCTGGCCCCCCCCGACAGGCTGACGCCCACCCCCTCAAACTCTGGTGGACTTACCCCCTTTTAGCCCTACCCTGACCCCTAGGAGCCCCGAATTAGGGACCTCTATCGGCCTACGCGCCCCCTCCCCGACCCCTTTGCGACCCCTGCTCGACGCTCCCTGCGGTTGCCCGAGGCTCAAAGGCGCAGCCAGCAGTGACTGCAAGCTCGGGGGTCTGGGCTCCTGGGGAAGCCCGGGCTGGTTGGGTGCAAAAGAGAAGGGGCGCCCCTCCCGTGACCCCAGCGCCCCTCGGGCCCCCGCGGGCGCACCCCCGCGAACCCTACCTGCTCCGAGGGCGCGGAGGACCCAGCACGCTGCGCTCAGCCAGCCCCTTCCGGTGGCCGCAGCCCCTCGCAGGCCCCAGGGGTCAAGCGCCTGCCCGAGCCGGCCCACCAGGACCCGGGCTCCCGGCCGCCATGCAGATAGCCTTCCCAGGGGCTGGGCTGGCCTGAGCCGCCACTGCTTCTCTAGGGAGCTAGTTAATGGACCTCTCTCTACTTTGAACACCAAACAAAGGAACACACCACTATCGAGGTCGCCCAAGTCCAAGAGGAGCCCAGGTCTGCCTTACAGGGAAGTTGTGCCCCAGCTCCAGTCAAGATCAAAAACCAGTTTCAATAACCCTTCGCCAAGCTGATGATGCAACCTTTCTTTCCTAATGGATGTATAGGTTTAATGTCATCCTAACAACATTTCTTAGACTTCACAAAATTCTAAGTTCACCTGGAAAAATAAATAGCCGAAAACAGCTATGGTTTTCCCCCCTTGGGAACAAAAGCAGGCATGAGGGTAGACTTGCCCTAACAGATATCAAAACAAATTGTAAAGCTACCGCAGGCATTTCAGTGTGGTACAGAACAGGAAATAGAATAGAAAGCCTAGAAACATCCTAGAAATGGTAAGAACACAATAGATGAAAAAGGAAATATCAAACATCTGTGGAAAAAAAAGAGCTATCAAACATCCCTGAAGAAGAACAAGAATATTCCACAAATAGAGCCTAGCAGAGGACTCACTATTTGAAGGAACGACTGAAAAAAAAAGTCAACCATTCTACTAACCCAAGACATATAAATTAAAACTATAGGCCGGGCGCGGTGGCTCACGCCTGTAATCCCAGCACTTTGGGAGGCCAAGGCGGGCGGATCACGAGGTCAGGAGATCGAGACCATCCTGGCTAACACGGTGACACCCCGTCTGTACTAAAAATACAAAAAATTAGCCAGGCGAGGTGGCGGGCGCTTGTAGTCCCAGCTACTCGGGAGGCTGAGGCAGGAGAATGGCGTGAACCCCGGGGGGCGGAGCCTGCAGTGAGCCGAGATCGTGCCACTGCACTCCAACCTGGGCGACAGCGAGACTCCGTCTCAAAAAAATAAATAAATAAATAAAATAAAACTATAAGAAGCTGGGTTTTCTCCTAAACAAATTAAAAATCAGTTTCAAGTGATAACCTTCAAACACAAGGTCTGATAGGTAATCACTCTCATATACTTTTGGAAGCACATAAATCACCTCAAAATTCCTGGACATGAGTTTGGCGGTATGAGCCAAAAGTTGTTTTTTTGGGGTTCTTTTGTCTTTTTTTGTTTTTTGGAGACTCGGAGTCTCACTCTGTTGCCCAGGCTGGAGTGTAGCCTCAAACTCCTGGGATCAAGTGATCCTCCTGCCTTCCAAAGTGCTGGGATTACAGGCATAAGCCAACGCACCTGGCCCCAAAAATATTTTAAAATAATTATACCCTCTCAGACCAGTATTCCAGGATTCTGTTCTGGGGAAATTAGCCACGTTTGCAGACCACGTACTTATTATCTGTCTCTCTACCCATAAGTAAGTTTGTACCTGTAAGTTTGGAACCCATGCCTAGGAGCACACCTGAGACAACAGGCATTCCACGGTCCCTTGTTTCATCTGCATTTGAAAACTAATGTGGCTGGCTCATGCCTGTAATCCCAACACTTTGGGAGGCCAAGGCCGGCAGATCGCCTGAGGTCAGGACTTTGAGACCACCCTGGCCAACATGGTGAAACCCCGTCTCTACTAAAAATACAAAAATTAGCCGGATATCGAGGTGCATGCCTGTAGTCCCAATTACTCGGGAGGCTGAGACAGGAGAATTGCTTGAATCTGGGAGGCTGAGGTTGCAGTGAGCTGAGATCATGCCATGACACTCCAGCCTGGGCAACAGAGGGAGACTCGGTCTCAAAAAACAACAAAAAAGATAACTAATATATGATAATATTTTTTAAGTGTCATGTATAATAGTGAAAGAAAGCATATACAGGCGGTGGCTCACGCCTGTAATCCCAGCACTTTGGGAGGCTGAGGCGGGAGGATCACCTGAGGTCAGGAGTTTGAGACCAGCCTGGCCAACATGGTAAAACCCCGTCTCTACTGAAAATACAAAATTAGCTGGGCATGGTGGCGTATGCCTGTAATCCCAGCTACTTGGGAGGCTGAGGCAGGAGAATTGCTTGAACTCCAGAGGCGGAGGTTGCAGTGAGCTGAGATCCTGCCATTGCACTCCAGCCTGGGCAACAGAGCAAGACTCCGTATCAAAAAAAAAAAAAAGAAAAAAGCATATACAAATTTCTCACAATGGGGTTAAATAGTCCACATAATGGAATGTAGATTAGGCCAGGAGTAGTGGCTCATGCCTGTAATCCCAACACTTTGGGAGGCCGAGGCGGGCAGATCACCTGAGGTCGGGAGTTCGAGACCAGCCTGACCATTATGGTGAAACCCCGTCCCTACTAAAAATACGAAAAGTTAGCTGGGCGTGATTGCGCATGCCTGTAATCCCAGCTACTCGGGAGGCTGAGGTAGGAGACTTGCTTGAACCCGGGAGGCGGAGATTGCGGTGAGCTGAGATCGCACCATTGCACTCCAGCCTGGGCAACAAAAGTGAAACTCCGTCTCAAAAAAAAAATTAGCCAAGCATGGTGTCACATGCCTGTAGTCCCAGCCACTCAGCAGGCTGAGGCGCAGCACGAGAGTTGCTTGAACCTGGGAGGCAGAGGTTGCAGTGAGCCGAGGTGGTGCCGCTGCACTCCAGCCTGGGCGACAGAGTGGGACTCCATTTTAAAAAAATAAATAGGCCAGGCGCGGTGGCTCACGCCTGTAATCCCAGCACTTTGGGAGGCCCAGGCAGGTGGATCACGAGGTGAGGAGTTCAACACCAGCCTGGCCAAGATGGTGAAACCCCGTCTCTACTAAAAATACAAAAATTAGCCAGGCATGGTGACGGGCACCTGTAATCCCAGCTATTCGGGGGGCTGAGGCAGAGAATCGCTTGAACTCAGGAGGCGGAGGTTGCAGTGAGCCCAGATCACACCACTGCACTCCAGTCTGGGCGACAGAGTGAGACTCGGTCTCAGAAAATAAATAAATAAATTAATTAATTAAATTAATAGGATGGGCACGGTGGCTCACTCCTGTAATCCCAGCACTTTGGGAGGCCGAGGCGGGTGGATCACCCAAGGTCAGAAGTTTGAGACCAGCCTGGCCAACATGGTAAAACCCCGTCTCTACTAAAAATACAAGATTAGCCAGGCATGGTGACGTATGCCTGTAATCCCAGCTACTTGGGAGGCTGAGGCAGGAGAATTGCTTGAACTCCAGAGGCGGAGGTTGCAGTGAGCTGAGATCCTGCCATTGCACTCCAGCCTGGGTGACAAGAGTGAAACTCCGTCTCTAATAATAATAATAATAATAATAATAATAAATAAGTAAATTTTTAATTAAAAAATAAAATTTTTATTTATTTATTTATTTATTTTTTGAGACAGAGTCTCACTCTGTCATCCAGGCTGGAGTGCAGTGGCATCATCTCAGCTTGCTGCAACCTCTGCCTCCCAGGTTCAAGCAATTCTCTGCCTCAGCCTCCTGAGTAGCTGGGATTATAGGCACCCACCACCACACCCAGCTAATTTTTGTATTTTTACAAGAGGCTGGTCTGGACCTCTTGACCTCATGATCTACCCGCGTCGGCCTCCCAAAGTGCTGGGATTACAGGCGTGAGCCACTGCGCCCAGCCAAAAATAATTAAAAAAAAAAAAAAAAGAAGAGGCCAGGTGCAGTGGCTCACGCCTGTAATCCCAGCACTTTGGAAGACTGAGGCAGGAGGATCACTTGAGGTCAGGAGTTCGATACCAGCCTGGCCAACATGGTGAAACCCCATCTCTACTAAAAATACACACAAAAATATTAGCCAGGCATGGTGGCACACCCCTGTAGTCCCAGCTACTCGGGGGACTGAGGCAGGAGGATCACTTGAACCCAGGAGGTGGACGTTTCAGTGAACCAAAATCACACCACTGCACACTCCAGCCTGGTCAACAGAGCTAGACCCTGTCTTAAAAAAAATTGTATTTTTTGTACAAAAAAATTAGCCGGGCCTGGTGGCAGATGCCTGTAGTCCCAGCTACTCAGGAGGCTGAGGCAGGAGAATGGCGTGAAAACCTGGGAGGCGGAGCTTGCAGTGAGCCAAGATCACGCCACTGCACTCCAGCCTGGGCGACAGAGCGAGATTCCGCCTCAAAAAAAAATTTTTTTTTTAATTGCATTTTTTAAATGCATGCAAAAATATTGATATATGGAAAAGCAACTGAAGAAAATAAATCAAAAATATTTACGGAGGTTCTCTCTGGAAGTTGGGAATTTTTTTTTCTACACATGTATACTTTAGCGTGTGTGTTATTTTTATTTTATGAAAGTAACATTTCTAATCGGAACAATTCTAGAGATGCTGAAGCACATTTTATTTTTATTTTATTATTTATTTTTGAGACAGAGTCTAGCTCTGTTGCCCAGGCTGGAGCACAGTGGCGTGATTATGGCCCACTGCAGCCTCCACTTCCTAGGCTCAAGTGATTCTCCCAGCTGGGACTACAGGCATGCACCACCACACCCGGCTAATTTTTTATTTTCTGTAGAGACAGGGTCTCACTATGCTTCCCAGGCTGATCTCAAACTCCCAGACTCAAGCAATTCTCCCACCTCAGCCTCCCAAAGTGCTGGGATTACAAGCATGAGACACCATGCCCGGTAATTTTTTTTTTTTTTTTTTGTGCAGATGGAGTCTCGCGCTGTCACCCAGGCTGGAGTGCAGAGGCGCAATCTCCGTTCATTGCAACCTCCGGCTCCCGGGTTCAAGCGATTCTCCTGCCTCGGCCTCCCAAGTAGCTGGGATTACAAGTGAGCACCGCCACACCAAGCTAATTTTTGTAGTTTTAGTAGAGATGGGGTTTCACCATGTTGCCAGGGTTGTCTCGATCTATTGACCTCGTGATCTGCCCACCTCGGCCTCCCAAAGTGCTGGGATTACCGGCGTGGGCCACCGTGCCCAGCCCATGCCCAGCAATTTTTTAAAGTTAAATTCTCCCTCCTCCTCCACCCTAATCAGTCCTTTCTGAAGTAACATTAACAGTTTAACTCTCTTCTCTGACATCAATATGTATCTACTCACCTTACAAAAAAGATCCTACTATTTTGAAATCATAGACATTTTTCTAGTTCATTTCCATAATTCATTCTTTTTTTTTTTTTTCATGTCAGACGGGTAATGTGCCTATGTCGTAACAAGATTTGAAGGTGGCGGCCGGGCGCGGTGGCTCACGCCTGTAATCGCAGCACTTTGGGAGGCCAAGGCGGGCGGATCACGAGTTCAGGAGATTGAGACCATCCTGGCTAACACAGTGAAACCCCATCTCTACTGAAAATACAAAAAAATTAGCCGGGCGTGGTGGCGGGTGCCTGTAGTCCCAGCTACTCAGGAGGCTGAGGCAGGAGAATGGCATGAACCCGGGAGGCGGAGCTTGCAGTGAGCCAAGATCGCGCCACTGCACTCCAGCCTGGGTGACGGAGCAAGACTCCCTCTTAAAAAAAAAAAAAAAAATATTTGAAGGTGGCACATCTTACATGGGAACGTGTGTGAACACATAATCATCATGCTTATGAACTACAAAAGGATCATAATTCATTCTTTAAGAGCTGACAAATGTTCCAGAGTATGGAGCTTCTGTAATTTATTCACACTTCGTTAACCATGGTTGTTCAGTTTATTTACAGTGTGGTGCTTTTTGTTTTCTTTTTTCTTTGTTTTTTTTTTTTTTTTTTTTTTTTTTTTTTGAGATGGAGTCTTGCTCCTGTCACCCAGGCTAGAGTGCAATGGCACAATCTTTGCTCACTGCAACCTCCACCTCCCGGGTTCAAGCAATTCTCCTGCCTCGGCCTCCTAAGTAGCTGGGATTACAGGTATCTGCCACCATGCCTGGCTAATTTTTGTATTTTTCGTAGAGACGGGGTTTCACCATGTTGGCCAGGCTGGTCTTGAACTCCTGACCTCAAGTGATCCACCCGCCTCAGCCTCCCTAAATGCTGGGATTACAGGTGTGAGCCACCGCACCCAGCCTACACTGTGGTGCTATTAAAAAATATTTTTAGGCTGGGCACAGTGGCTCACACCTCTAATCCCAGCACTTTGGGAGGCCGAGGCAGGTGGATCACTTGAGGCCAGGAGTTTGAGACCAGCCTGGTGATCATGAAGAAACCCTGTCTCTACTAAAATATTAGCCAGGCATGGTGTCACATACGGATAATCCCAGCTACTCGGGAGTCTGAGGTGGGAGAATCACTTGAACTAGGGAGGCAGACGTTGCAGTGAGTTGAGATCATGCCACTGCACCCCAGGCTGGACAACAGAGCGAGACCTCGTCTTAAAGTAATTAATTAATTAATTAATTAATATAAATAAAATAGCAGATTTCAAAAATTTGTTCTCCCTGGCAGCAACCCAGTAAAGCTAGATCTGGGCGGAAGGTAATATGGAAATATAAAAACTACAGATTAGCAGGGATGGGAAGACCCGCCAGAAATGGGTTCATTTTGTGTCCTCACTCCCTCCGGATTCTCTGTGTGTCTAGTCCAAGATCTAACCACTATGATCTGCTTTCCTCATCCATTTGGGAATCAGGGCACCACCCCCTTGGGAGGCTTGAATGACAGGAGGTTGAGCAGGCAGAGCACGGAACTCAGGCTCTGGTGAGCCCTGGTACAGTGACTATGATTGTTGTGTCATGTAGGAAGGGTCTGTTATTTTACCATTATCTGTTTTCAATAAAAAACAGAAAGAAAACAAATATACAAAATACCCCCAAACAGTAAATTTCAGCTTCTTACTATGACAGCTAGATTTAGCATTTAACAGTATGCCCAAATTTGAATTTCGGATAAACAACCAATAATGCTTAATATAAGTATGTCCCGGCCGGGCGCGGTGGCTCACGCCTGTAATCCCAGCCCTTTGGGAGGCCGAGGCGGGCGGATCACGAGGTCAGGAGATCAAGACCATCCTGGCTAACACGGTGAAACCCCGTCTCTACTAAAAATACAAAAAATTAGCCGGGCGCGGTGGCGGGCGCCTGTAGTCCCAGCTACTCGGGAGGCTGAGGCAGGAGAATGGCGTGAACCCCAGGAGGCGGAGCCTGCAGTGAGCTGAGATCGTGCCACTGCACTCCAGCCTGGGTGACAGCGAGACTCCGTCTCAAAAAAAAAAAAAAAAGTATGTCCCATACAATATCACTTCTCACCTTCCCATATCCCAAGCTCAAGACACCTTATATACGCCATGATTTCTCCTGCCATCTCTGGGCATTCACACCAGGGCTCCTCCTGTCCAGGCCAGCCTTCTCCCTTCTCCCACCTGTGCCTGGTGAACAACTCAGTTCAGACATCATCTCTTGTAGGAAGTCTCCTGTGATCCCAGGCTAATCACCCTGATACAGTCCTGAAATACTGCTGAGCAGTTGGCATGAGGGCAGGAAGGCTTGGTCTTGTTCACTCTTGTATCCAGCTTATACATGGCACAAAGTAGGTTCTCAATTAAAAGTCAAATGAGGGGCCAGGTGCAGTGGCTCACGCCTGTAATCCCAGCACTTTAGGAGGCCAAGGCGGGTAGATCACCTGAGGTTGGGAGTTCGAGACCAGCCTGGCCAGCATGGTGAAACCCCATCTCTACTAAAACTACAAAAATTAGCCAGACGTGGTGGCAGGCACCTGTAATTCCAGCTACTCGGGAAGCTGAGGCAGGAGAATCACTTGAACCCGGGAGGGAGAGGTTGCAGTGAGCCAAGATTGCGCCATTGCACTCCAGCCTGGGCAACAGAGCAAGACTCCATCTCAAAAAAAAAAAAAAGTCAAATGAAGTCGGGCACAGTGGTTCGCGCCTGTAATCTCAGCACTTTGGGAGACTGAGGCAGGAGGATCACCTGAGGTCAGGAGTTCGAGACCAGCCTGGCCAGCATATGAAATCCTGTCTCCACTAAAAATACAAAAAAAAAAAAAAAAAAAAAATAGCTGGGTGTGGTAATGCACGCCTGTAATCCCAGCTATTTGGGAAGCCGAGGCAGGAGAATTGCTTGAACCCGGGACACAGAGGTAACAGTGAGGTGAGATCATGCAACTGCACTCCAGCCTGGGCTACAGAGCAAGACTCTGTCTCAAAAAAAAAAAAAAAAAAGTCAAATGAGACCACTCATGGTAGCTGGCGCCTATAATCCCAGCACTCTGGGAAGCCAAGGCGGGAGGATTGCTTGAGTCCAGGAGTTTGATACCAGCCTGGGCAAAACAGTGACATCTCATCTCTACAAAAAATTTTTAAAATTAGCCGGGCATGGTGGCACTCGTCTATAGTACTAGCTACTTGGGAGGCTGAGGTGGGAGGATTGCTTGAGCCCAAGAATTCGAGGTTGCAGTGAGCTATACTTGCGCCATTGTACTATAGCTGGGCAACAGCCAGACGCGGCCTCAAAAAAAAAAAAAATTAGCCGGGCTTGGTGGCATGTACCTATAGTCCCAGCTACTCAGAAGCTAAGACAGGAGAATCATTTGAGCCCAGGAATTTGACGCTGCAGTAAGCCAAGGTCACACCACTGCACTCCCGCCTGGGAGACTGAGTGAGACCCTGAGTCTAAAACAAATAATAATAAAAACGAAAATGAAAGTCAAATGAATGAGGCCAGGGGTGGTGGCTCATGCCTGTAATCCTAGCACTTTGGAAGGCTGAGGTGGGTGGGTCAGCTGAGCCCTGGAGTTACAGACCAGCCTGGGCAACATGGCGAAACCCTGTCTCTACAAATACAAAAAAGAAAAAAGCCAGGCCCATGGTGGTGAGTGCTTGAAGTCCCAGCTACTCAGGAGGGTGAGGTGGGAGAATAGCTTGAGCTCAGGAGGTCAAGGCTGCAGTGAGCTGAGATTGCATCACTGCAGCCTAGCCATGATGACAGGGCAAGACCCAGTAGAAAACCAAGGTTAGAGAGGTTAAGTCACCTGCCCAAGGTCCGTAGCTAACCTCAGACTCCAGCCCCTCAGACTGACATGAGCTCAGTTCACCCTCTTAGGAACACCATCTGAAGAATGCATCCCCAGCAAGCCTATTCCCTATAGCAAAGGCCAGGCCTGTGATGGGTGCCCCGCTCCTCACCACACACCTCCCTGTCAAGTCACCACTCCTTCACCCCTAGCAGAGCCAGGCACCTTGAGCCCAAGGGAGGCCACTCATGGAACTGTCATTCAACCAACAGATGCTGACAGCAATGATGAGGTGGGCACTGGGCTAGTGAACAGCACAGATGTGTTCCCTGGCCTCAGAAGCCCACAGACTAAGGAGAAGACGACAGAATACTCACAAGGGTGCTGGGGCTGGGCAAAAAGGTGCAGGCTGCTTTGTCTGGTCATAAGAGGGGAACTGACTTCCCTGGTCTGAGGAGCCAAGGAAGGGGCCGTGCCCTTGCCATGCCCTCTGCCTGCCATGCCTTGCTGTTCTTCAGTGCCTGCTCTAAGGTCACTCCTAGTGTGGTTTTCTCTGGCTGCTCTTTTTTTTTTTGAGACAGAGTCTCGCTTTGTCACCCAGGCTGGAGTGCAGTGGCACCATCTTGGCTCACAGCAACCTCCGCCTCCTGAGTTCAAGTAATTCTCCTGTCTCAGCCTCCTGAGTAGCTGGGACTACAGGTGTGCACCACTACGCCCAGCTAATTTGTGTATTTTTAGTAGAGACGGGGTTTCACCATATTTGTTGGCCAGGATGGTCTCAATCTCTTGACCTCCGGATCAACTCCCCTTGGCCTCCCAAAGTGCTGGGATTACAGGCGTGAGCCACCACGCCCGGCCACTTTTTTTTTGGAGTCTCGCTCTGTCCCCCAGGCTGGAGTGCAGTGGCGCGATTTCGGCTCACTGCCAGCTCCGCCTCCCGGGTTCACGCCATTCTCCCACCTCAGCCTCCCGAGTAGCTGGGACTACAGGCGCCCGCCACCACGCCTGGCTAATTTTTTGTATTTTTAGTAGAGACGGGGTTTCACCCTGTTAGCCAGGATGGTCTTGATCTCCTGACCTTGTGATCCGCCCGCCTCGGCCTTCCAAAGTGCTGGGATTACAGGCTTGAGCCACCACGCCTGGCCTCTTTTTCTTTTTTGTTGAGACAGATTCTCACTCTGTCGCCCCCAGGCTGGAGTGCAATGGCGCAATCTTGGCTCATTGCAACCTTGGCCTCCTGGGTTCAAGCAATTCTCTGCCTCAAGCCTCCCGAGTAGCTGAGATTACAGGCGCCCACCACCACACCCGGCTCATTTTTGTGTTTTTAGTAGAGACAGGGTTTCACCATCTTGGCCAGACTGGTCTTAAACTCCTGACTTCGTGATCTACCAGCCTCGGCCTCCCAAAGCGCTGGGATTACAGGCTTGAGCCACCGCACCTGGCCATGCTCTTTCTTTTTTATTTGTATTTTTATCTGTTTCTTAGAGACAGGGTCTCACTCTGTCATCCAGGCTGGAGTGCAGTGGTGTAATCATAACTCACTGCAGCCTCAAACTCATGGGCTCAAGGGATCCTCCTGCCTCAGTCTCCCAAGCAGCTGGGACTACAGGTGTGCACCACTATGCCCAGCTATTTTTTTTTTTTTTTGAGACAGAGTCTCGCTCTGTCGCCCAGGCTGGAGTGCAGTGGTGCCATCTCGGCTCACTGCAACCTCTGCCTCCTGGGTTCAAGTGATTCTCTGCCTCAACCTCCTCAGTAGCTGGATTACAGGTACCTACCACCATGCCAAGCTAATTTTTGTATTTTTTTTTTTTTTTGAGATGGAGTCTTGCTCTGTCACCCAGGCTGGAGTGCAGTGGCGCAATCTCGGCTCACTGCAAGCTCCACCTCTCAGGTTCACGCCATTCTCCTGCCTCAGCCTCCCGAGTAGCTGGGACTACAGGTGTCCGCCACCATGCCCGGCTAATTTTTTGTATTTTTAGTAGAGACGGGGTTTCACCGTGTTAGCCAGGATGGTCTCAATCTCCTGACCTCGTGATCCGCTGGCCTCGGCCTCCCAAAGTGCTGAGATTACAGGCGTGAGCCACCGTGCTCGGCCTAATTTTTGTATTTTCAGTAGAGACACGGTTTCACCATCTTGGCCAGGCCGGTCCTGAACTCTTGACCTCATGATCCACCGGCCTCGGCCTCCCAAAGTGTTGGGGTTATAGACGTGAGCCACCGTGTCTGGCCTGGCTCCACTTTCTTAGGGAGCTTTGCTTGCCCTCTGCTTGGGGTAGTTTGTGAATTCAGTGCTCTGTCTCTCCCAGGTCCTGGGTCTCCTGCTCCTGATCAATCTGCCACGTGCCATTTGATCTCAGAGTTGTCTCCACCATTAGACTGGCAGGGTCTGTCTTCTGGGGTCTGTGTGTAGGATACAGTGGCCCCAGGATGGGTAAAGGAGGGGACCCAGTTGTTCTTCTGTGATAGGTGGAGACAAGGGCCAGCAGGGCTGTTTCTCGGTGAAACCCATGGGGAGATAGTCGAACCAGGAACCAAATCCGGCCGGGCGCGGTGGCTCACGCCTGTAATCCCAGCACTTTAGGAGGCCGAGGTGGGCGGATCACCTGAGTTCGGGAGTTGGAGACCAGCCTGACCAATATGGTGAAACCCCATCTCTACTAAAAAAAAAATATACATATATATACAAAATTAGCCTGGCGTGGTGGCACATGCCTGTAATCCCAGCTACTCGGGAGGCTGAGGCAAGAGAATCACTTGAAACTGGGAGGCAGAGGTTGCGGTGAGCCAAGATCGCACCATTGCACTCCAGCCTGGGTGACAGAGACTCAGTCTCCAAAAAAAAAAGTCCAAAAATAAAAAAAAAAAAAAATGCCGAACTCAGTGGCTCACGCCTATGACCCTACCACTTTCAGAGGCCGAGGCGGGCACGGTGGCGCGTACCTGTAATCCCAGCTACTCCGGAGGCTGAGGCAGAAGAATCACTTGAACCCGGGAGGCAGAGGTTGCAGTGCGCTGAGATCGTGCCACTACACTCCAGTGTGGTGACAGAGCGAGACTTGGTCTCAAAAAAAAAAAAAAGTCCTGGCTGTGCCACTAGGCCAGACGCCCTAGAACTGACTTCTATGGACCTCAGTTTTCATACCTGTGAAATGGAACTCAGAGCCATATCTACTTCATTGGGTTGTGTGAATGTGAGGTAGTTACAGGATGGAGCAGGCAGAAGGTCAGCACAGCCTCAGTGGTTGGAGGAGTGGGGGTCAAGTGGACAGAGAGGGTACCCCAGGGCCAGAGGTAGAGGCAAGGTGAAGCAATGCTTCATTTCCCTGCTGAGGTTCCTCTCTAGCAGTTTGGAGGTGGGGCAGGAGTGGAGAAAACACATCCCCTCCTCAATCTGGGCTGAGGAACAGGGTTCTTGAGGCACCAAGAACCTCTTTGGGGCTCTGGCTTGCCTCCTGTAGTGAAAGGGATGGGCTGTGTGCAATGAACTCATACCTGTAATCCCAACACTTTGGGAGACAGAGTCAGGAGGTCCAGAACAGCCTAGGCAACATAGCAAGACCCTGTTTCTACAAAAAACTTTTTAAAAAATTAGCCAGGCGTGGTGGTGGCACCTGTAGTCCCAGCTACTTGGGAGGCTGAGGTGGGAGGATTGCTTGAGCCTGGAGAGGTTGAGGCTGAAGTGAGCTATGATAGCACCACTGTACTCCAACCTGGGCAACAGAGTGAAACCCTGTGTCTAAAATAAAAAGAGGGCCTGGCGTGGTGGCTCACGCCTGTAATCCCAGCACTCTAGGAGGCCGAGGCAGGCAGATCACTCGAGGTCAGGAGTTCGAGACCAGCCTGGCCAACATGGTGAAACTCTGTCTCTACAGAAGTACAAAAATTAGTCGGGCGTGGTGGCAGGCGCCTGTAATCCCAGCTGCTTGGGAGGCTAACCTGGGAGAATCTCTCGAACCTGGGAGGCAGAGGTTGCAGTGAGCTGAGATCACACCATTGCACTGCAGCCTGGGCAACAAGAGCGAAACTCCATCTCAAAAAAAAAAACAAACAAATAATAAAATAATAATAATAATAATAAAAAAGAGGGTGGGAGTGGACCAAGGCCTAATGGCATGGAATTTGCAAACTTTATCTTCCTAGTTTTCTCTGGGGAGCCTTCCTCCATCACCAGGGCCCAGCAGGGCCTCAGATGGCGGGGGGTGGGGCGGGGGCTACACATATCCCTCATGGCCAAGATGCTAGGAAGCCCCTGAGCTGGGGCAACAGCCTCTGGTCACAGTCATGAGGGAGGCTGGGTGCAGTAGCGCTTATCTCGCCTGACCTTGTGGAGACTGACCACTCCCTCCTTCTGGAAAACGTTGCCCCCTGCCCTCTCCAAGGCCTCCTCCTTCTTACATCCCCTGGTCCTGGCTAGGGCCTCAGCACCCAATTCTACTCCTTGACCCACCACCCTGTGGTGCTTTTGCCGGGCCCCAGCCCACAGCCATCTGCCAAACACCTCCCCCTGGAGTCCCTGCGGCGTCTCTGACTCAGCAGGTCTGTGCCTGCCCCTGCTGTTCCCCCCACCCAGTGGCTCTGCAGAGCACCCTGTTGCCCAAGCCCTGAGTGCTGGCCACTCCCAGGGCCTCGCCTTCCCCCACCACCAGCACCACCAATTTGAATTCCTATCTCTCCCTCTGGCCTCCTCCCTAGACCCAGGTCCTGCCCCAGGGTGGGGGAAGGAATCCTACAGATAAGGGCATTGGTCAAAGGGACACACCTGGGTTCGGGCCCCCAGCTCTGCCCCCAACCTGCTAAATGACCACACCCCTCTCCAAATCTGAGTTATTCCCTATGTAAAAGGGGGAAATAATTAAACTAGCTGGGTATGCTGTGCTGAGCAATATGTGAGCTCAGGAAAGGTCAGTTTTCCAGGGGAAGTATGGCCGCTGAGAGCCTCAGTCTAGTGCTTCTCATTCACGAGCTGGTTGGTGCCTTTCCTAAGTTGGAAATGGGTTAGTCCACAGATCCCGTTGCCTGGTCCATGCCAGGTCCAGGTACCTGCATTCAGGGTGCAGGGTGGAGTAAGACAGTCTGAAGGGAGAGGTAGCAGGATGAATGAGTAATTCCTGGGTGCGTTTTGGGATTATGCCTAAGGGCTGTCCGAGCACGTGGGAGGGGTAGCTAAATCCTGTAAGGGAGGGGAGAATGGGGAAGGCTGCCTGCAAGAGGTGGTGGAGGGTGCTTTCAAAGGATACCTGGGAGTGAGCTGGCTGTAGGCACAGGGCAGCTGGAAGGCCAATTTTAGGGAAGAGGAAATTGAGGCTGAAAGTCAAAAAACAAAGGAACTGCCTGAGGTCTCTCAACTGAGAAGTGAGTGGGCCAGGGTTCACATTCAGCCCCCACTCCATTCTCAGGCTGGGCAGGAAGGTACTTTGCCCTCAGGAGGGCACCTTCGACCCAAAGCACCCTGACCAAGAGGCTGTGCACCGTGGCAACCCTAAGACTGAGGCCCAGGTCCTGGAGTTCCACCAAGGTAGGTACAACCAGCCAGGCCGTCAGTGACAGGAGGATTTACTGGGGCTTCTAGGGACCCCGTGAAAGGGCAAAAAGACGGCACAGAAGCCTGTGGATATCAGATATAGATAGTGAGGGCTAGGGCTTTATGGGGAGGGTGGATGGGCCCTGTGGGCGGGGGATGTTTAGGAGATCTTCCAAACAGAGCATTCCAGCCTGGGGGAACAACCCATTATAGACCCCACCCAGCACCGAAGACAGGGACAGGTGGGGCTGAGCCTGGAGGCTGGCAGGACCTGTGCGGCCGGCTGCGGTGTCAGCAATGCCACCGTGTGTGGAACCCTCTGTGCCTAGGTTCCTGGAGCCAGCTCCACCTGGCAATGTGCTTTGTTTCACAAGACTAGAGTTGGCCCATCTTGTTCCGCCTCAGATGGAACACCTGACCTCCTGCACACCCCACCCAGCCTCCAAATTCAACCACCCCAGTAGTGAGACAGGGAGAGTAGGGTGTGACCAGAAGGTGGAATGAGCTTAAAATAGGCTGCAGAGATATCTCTGAGCTTTTAAAAAGTCGTATCTTTCATATCGTGTTCTTGTGAAATCTTCTCCAGATTTTTTACAATGACTCTGAAATTGATCAGTTAGCCTCATGCTTTCAAAATCCATAGCCGCAGTGAGCGAGAGGGGGCAGGTCAGCTAGAGGTGGAGGGGGCAGATGGGCCAGAGGCGCCTGGGCAGGGGTGGATGGGGCCTGGACAGGCTTAGTGACCCTTGCACCAGAACTCTCCGGACACCGCCCCTTCGCCCACTCGTTAGGCTCCTCTGCCTTCGGGCCGGCTGGGCTGCCCATCCCCGCTCGTTCCCCTCCTGGGCAGGTCTGGACTGGACAGGTTTTGGGCCTCCAGGTCGTGCAGTCAGTCAGGGAAGGGGCCTGGTGCAGGCCACAGCCAGGCATCCACCTCCTTCCCAGCCCACCCCTACCCCCCAGCAGCCTGCCAACTTGCTAGACCTGTGCGGCCTTCCCTTCTGCTGAAAGTCTCCAGATTCTCAGGGCTCTGCACGGGGAGCCAAGCTGGGGCTTAGAACTGTGCTCCCTTGCCCCCACCCCCGACCTGTGCCCTCATCAGCTTTCTTTTTTTTTCTTTTTTCTTTTTTTTTTTGAGACACAGTCTCGCTCTGTCGCCCAGGCTGGAGTGCAGTGGTGCGATCTCAGCTCACTGCAACCTCTGCTTCCCGGGTTCAAGCAATTCTCCTGCCTCAGCCTCCTGAGTAGCTGGGAGTATAGGTGCGTGCCACCACACCCCGCTAATTTTTTGTATTTTTAGTAGAGACGGGGTTTCACCGTGTTGGCCAGGATGGTCTCCATCTCCTGACTTGGTGATCCACCCGCCTCGGCCTCCCAAAGTGCCGGGATTACAGGCGTGAGCCACCGTGCCCGGCCTGTTTTAAATTTTTTTTGTAGAGACAGAGTCTCACCATGTTGCCTAGGCTTGTCTCGAACTCCTGGTCGCAAGTGATCCTCCCCTCTCTGCCTCCGCCGTAGCTGGGATTGCAGGCACAAGCCATGACGCCCCCCTTCTCATCAGCTGTCTGGGTCTTTCTCGGGGTCCTGACACCAGGCCAAGTGTTCTGCACACCTGACCTGCTCAAAACAAAACCAGTTCTGCCACAGTCTGGGAACATGAGGCTCAGAGAGGCCTTGCAGCTGTCTGTGAGCAGGCTGGCATTTGGATCCAGTGACTGGGTTCTGGAGCCCAGTGGCTCTGTGGCCCTGCCTCTCCAGCCTTATGCTTCTTTAAAACTGCCCATGGCCTCTGAAGTTGAGGATTTAGGGGAGCAGGGCTGCCAGAGGGGTGAAGAAGGAGATCTTTCTGTGGGTGGGTGTCAGAATGACCGGGCCTGACACTGGTCCCTGCTCCCCTGGAAGGACAGCCCCTCTCGGTTATGTGGGGGGTGGGCTGCCTAGGGTGCTCTGGGGAGAAGGGAGGGAGAGAATGGGGCTGGTCGGGTGGGGTGTGGATTCCAGGCCTGCTTGGTCAAAAAGATACAGTATTTCCTATTCCCCCTTACACTGGGCAGGCAGGTGTGGCCCAGGCAGCTCTGCCAGGTGTGCAGCCCCTGGAGAATGACCCTTAAGTGCACCTAGGCTGCCCCCTGGCGGCAGCATGAGGTCCTCCTCCCTGGACTTGTAACCCTCCCAGGGGGAGGAGGTCCACACCAGCTGATGGGTTGGCACCTGTCCCCAGTCCCTTTCTTCTTTCCTGTGCCACTGCTCCCAGAGTTGCCCAAAACACACGATCAGGTGCAGTGGCTTGAACGAAACCCTGTCTCTACGGAAAATACAAAAATTAGCCAGGCATGTTGGCTCATGCCTACAGTCCCAGCTACTTGGGAGGTTTAGGTGGGAGGATCGACAGCCCAGGAAGTCAAGGCCGCAGTGAGCAGTGAGCTGTGGTTGCGCCACTGTACTCCATACTGTAGCCTGGGTGACAGAGTGAGACCTTGTCTTTTTTTTTTTTTTTTTTTTTTGAGACGGAGTCTCACTGTGTCATCCAGGCTGGAGTGCAGTGGCGCGATCGGCTCACTGCAAGCTCCGCCTCCCGGATTCATGCTATTCTCCTGCCTCAGCCTCCCGAGTAGCTGGGACTATAGGCGCCCCTCAGCCTCCTGAGTAGCTGGGACTACAGGCGCCCGCTACCACGCCTGGCTAATTTTTTTGTATTTTTAGTAGAGACGGGGTTTCACTGTGTTAGCCAGGATGGTCTCGATCTGCTGACCTCGTGATCCACCCGCCTCGGCTTCCCAAAGTGCTAGGATTACAGGCGTGAGCCACTGAGCCTGGCCGAGACCTTGTCTTAATTAAAAAAAAAAAAAAAAAAGATAAAAACCTAGGTAACATGCTGGGGGGTGATGAGGGTTATGGAGGAAAATAAAACAGGTGGGGGCTGGAGTGAAGAGTGGGGGTGCCCCTCATAACTCTGACAAAGACTACAACGCAGCTGTCAGAAAAAAAGCTGATTTGAGGCAACGGTCAGGGAAAGTTGTGAAATTAAGTAAAAAGTGATGGAACAGGCTAGGTGGGAAGTGGTGGCTCACACCAATAATCCAAGTGCTTTGAAAGGCCAAGCAGGAGGATCTCTTGAGGCCAGGTGTTTGAGATCAGCCTGGGCAACATAGCAAGACCCTGTCTTTACAAAAAATGTAAAAATTAGCTGGAGGCTAGGCTCAGTGGCTCATGCCTGTAGGGAGGCCAAGGTAGGTGAATTGCTTGAGCCTAGGAATTTGAGACCAGCTTGGGCAACATGGCAAAATTCCATCTGTACAAAAAAATTGCCAGGCATGGTGGCTCATGCCTGTAATCCTAACACTTAGGGAGGCCAAAGTGGGCAGATTACCCGAGGTCAGGAGTTTGAGACCACCCTGGCCAACATGGTGAAACCTCGTCTCTACTAAAAATACAAAAATTAGCTGGGCGTGGTGGCGCATGCCTGTAATCCCAGCTACTCGGGAGGCTGAAGCAAGAGAATTGCTTGAGCCTGGGAGACAGAGGTTGCAGTGAGCCTAGATCGTGCTACTGCACTCCAGCCTGTGTGACAGAGCAAGACTATGTTTCAAAAAAAAGAAAAATTAGCTAGGTGTGGTGACATGCACCTGTAGTCCCAGTTACTCAGGAGGCTGAGGTGAGAGGATCACTTGAGCCCAGGAAGTTGAGGCTATGATCGTGCTACTGCATTCCAGCCTGGGTGACAGCCAGATTCTGTCTCAAAAATCAAAACACAACAGGGCACAGTGGCTCACTTTGGCCTTCCAAAGTGCTGGGATTACAGGTCTGCACCACCATGCCTGGCCTGAGAGTGCATGAATTAAAGTTTCTATTCTCTTGCTAGTCTGTCATTGCTTCCCTAGTGTGTGGGAACCATACTTGTCCCCACTTCTCAGTCAGAGAGCAGCCTGCCAACCTCCAAGTCTCTTGCCCCTGACCCAAAAGGTCCCAGGCTGTCCTCTCGGCAGAAGCAGCTGTCTTGTGGCTTACTGTGCTCAGACTCCATTTCTAGGCTGTGGGCTCATCAGGGATCTAGTGCTTTGAAAAAGTGTAAAGGAGAGCAGCAGTATTATTCACAATAGCTAAAAGGTAGAAACGACCAAAGTATCCATTGACAGATGAATGGATAAACAAAATGCATTACATACACACAATGGACTATTATTCAGCCTTAAAAAGGAAGGAGGCCAGGTGTGGTGGCTCACACCTATAATCCCAGCGCTTTGGGAGACTGAGGCAGGCGAATCACTTGAAGCCAGGAGTTGGAAACCAGCACAGACAGCATGGGGAAACCCCCTCTCTACTGAAAATACAAAAGTTAGCCAGGTGTGGTGGCACATGCCTATAATCCCAGCTACTCTGGAGGCCAAGGCATGAGAATCGCTTGAACCTAGGAGGTGGAGGTTGCAGTGAGCCAAGATCATGCCACTGCACTCCAGCCCGGGTGACAGAGTGAGACACTGTCTCAAACAAACAAACAAACAAACAAAAAGAAACGTGTGGTGGAAGAAGGGAAGAAAATTGGCCAGGCACACTCTGGTAGGGGATGGTTGGATGATGAAATACAGACAATAGAAAAACCTAGATAAAGACCTGGCGTAATGGCTCATGCTTGTAATCCCAGCACTTTGGGAGGCTGAGGCGGAAGGATCTCTTGAGGCCAGGAGTTTGAGACCATCCTGGTAAATATAGTGAGACCCCAGTCTCTTAAAAAATAATAATTGGCTAGGCGCGATGGCTCACGCCTATAATCCCAGCACTTTGGGAGGCCAAGGCGGGCGGATCACCTGAGGTCGGGAGTTCGATACCAGTCTGGCCAACATGGAGAAACCCCATGTCTGCTAAAAATACAAAATTAGCTGGGCGCGGTGGTGTGTGCCTGTAATCCCAGCTACTCGGGAGGCTAAGGCAGGAGAATCGCTTGAACCCGCAAGGTGAGGTTGCAGTAAGCTGAGATTGTGCCGTTGCACTCCAGCCCAGGCAACAAGAGTGAAACTCCATCTCCAAAAAATAAAAATAAAAATAAAAATAAAAATAAAAATAAAAAAGAAATAGGCCGGGTGCAGTGGCTCACGCCTGTAATCCTAGCACTTTGGGAGGCCAAGGTGGGGGCGGGGTGGATCACTTGAGGTCAGAAGTTCGAGACCAGCCTGGCCAACATGGTGAAACCCAATCTCCACTAAAAACACAAAAAATTAGCCGAGCATGGTGGTGGGCACCTGTAATCCCAGCTACTCGAGAGGCTGAGGCAGGAGAATGGCTTGAACCTGGGAGGCGGAGGTTGCAGTGAGCCAAGATCACCCCACTGTACTCCAGCCTGGGTGACAGAGTGAAACTGTCTCAAAAAATAAATAAATAAATAAATAAAACTTTTAAAAAGTAAGAAGAAGAAGAAAAAAAAATATGGAAATAAAAAAACAAGAAAAAAATAATAGGCCAGGTGCAGTGGCTCATGCCTGTAATCCCAGCACTTTGAGAGGCCGAGGTGGGCGGATCATGATGTCAGGAGTTCAAGACCAGCCTGGCCAACATAGTGAGACCTCGTCGCTACTAAAAATAGAAAAAAATTAGCCAGGCGTGGTGGCGGGCACCTGTAATCCCAGCTACTTGGGAGGCTGAGGCAGGAGAATCACTTGAACCCATGAGGCGGAGGTTGCAGTGAGCCGAGATTACGCCATTGCACTCCAGCCCGGGTGACAGTGCGAGACTCCATCAAAAAAAAAAATAAATAAAATAAATAAATATTAATAATAATTTTAAACAATTAAAAAATATGGGATTTTTTTTGAGACAGAGTCTCACTCTGTCGCCCAGGCTGGAGTGCAGTGGCATGATGTCAGCTCACTGCAACCTCCGCCTCCTGGGTTCAAGTGATTCTTCTGCCTCAGCCTCCCAAGTAGCTGGGACTACAGGCACGCGCCACCACGCCCAGCTAATTTTTGTATTTTTAGTAGAGACAGGGTTTCACCGTATTGGCCAAGCTGGTCTGGAACTCCTAACCTTGTGATCCACCCGCCTCGGCCTCCCAAAGTGCTGGAACTATAGGTGTGAGCCGCTGCACCCGGCCAAAAAATATGTTTTTTAAAATAATAGAGATGAGGCCGGGTGTGGTGGCTCACACCTGTAATCTCAGCACTTTGGGAGGCCAAGGTGGGTGGATCACTTGAGGTGAGGAGTTCGAGACCAGTCTGGGCAACATGGTGAAACCCTGCCTCTACTAAAAATACAAACCTGAGCTGGGCATGGTGACGCATGCCTCTAGTTCCAGCTACTCGAGAGGCTGAAGCAAGAGAATCGCTTGAACCCGGGAGGCGGAGACTGCAGTGAGCCAAGATAGCGCCACTGCACTCCAGCCTGGGAGACAGAGCAAGACCCTGTCTCAAAAAATAAAATAAAATAAAATAAATAAAATAAAATAAAATAAAATAAAATAAAATAAAATAAAAAATAAAATAAAATAAAATAAATAAAATAGATGAAGGCCAGGTGCAGTGGCTCACGCCTGTAATCCCAACACTTTGGGAGGCCAAGGCAGGCAGATCACCTGAGTTCAGGAGTTAGAGAGCATCCTGGCCAACATGGTGAAACCCTGTCTGTACTAAAAATACAAAAAAATTAGCCAGGCATTGCGGCGGGCGGCCAATAATCCTGGCTACTTGGGAGGCTGAGGCAGGAGAATCACTTGAACCTGGGAGGCGGAGGTTGCAGTGAGCCAAGATGATACTACTGCACTCCAGCCTGGGTGACAGAGCAAGACTCTGTCTCAAAATAATAATAATAGGCCGGGCACGGTGGCTCACACCTGTAATCCCAGCACTTTGGGAGGCCGAGGCGGGCAGATCACAAGGTCAGGAGATCGAGACCATACTGGCTAACATGGTGAAACCCTGTCTCTACTAAAAATACAAAAAATTAGCCGGGTGTGCTGGTGGGCGCCTGTAGTCCCAGCTACTTGGGAGGCTGAGGCAGGACAATGGCGTGAACCCGGTAGGCGGAGCTTGCAGTGAGCCAAGATCGTGCCATTGCACTCCAGCCTGGGCGACAGAGCGAAACTCCACCTCAAAAAATAATAATAAAATAAAATAAAATAAAAATAAAAATAATAATAATAGAGATGAGGTTTTGCCATGTTACCCATGCTGGTCTCCAACTCCTTGGCTCAAGCGATCCATCCACCTTGGCCTTCCAAAGTGCTGGAACTACAGGCTTGTGCCACCACCCTGGCCTTAAACAATTATTCATGAAAGGAAGGAAATTCTGACACATGCTGCAACATGGATGAAGCTCAAGGACATTATGCTAAGGGAAGGAAGCCAAAGACCTGCCAGCCGAGGTCCCAGTCCGTCAAGGGCTCCAGTGAGCGAGCAGGATTGAGCAGGTCCCTGGGCTGAGCAGTGGGAACTCTGCTTTGCTGTGAGTGTGGCACGGGTGGCGGCAGACTGTGGAGTGCAGGCTCTGTGGAGCAACTGGACACTCTGTTGAACGAAGTGCAAGGTGGTAGGTTTTTGCTTTTTTTTTTTTTTCTGAGACAGAGTCTCACTCTGTCTCCTAGGCTGGAGTGCAGTGGCATGATCTCGACTCATTGCAACCTCTGCCTCCCGGGTTCAAGCAATTCTCTGCCTCAGCCTCCTGAGTAGCTGGGATTACAGGCGCGAGCCACCACACCCAGATAATTTTTAAAATATTTTTGGAAGAGACGGGGTTTTACCATCTTGGCCAGGCTGGTCTCGAACTCCTGACCTCGTGATCCACCTGCTTCAGCCTCCCAAAGTGCTGGGATTACAGGCATGAGCCACCGCGCCCGGCCACAAGGTGGTAGTCTTTCTCAAGGACGCTGGGGCAACCCCATTGCGTCTTCACCAACACCCTGGTACAGATCCTGCAGCTGCAGTCTACCCCGCATACAACATGTTCAATGATCCCTAGCTAGACAAGGCATTGAAAACTATTCCATAGGCCGGGTGCAGTGGCTCCTACCTGAAATCCCAGCAGTTTTGGAGCAAGGCGGGTAGATCATCTGAGGTCAGGAGTTCGAGACCAGTCTGGCCAACATAGCGAAACACCGTCTCTTCTAAAATACAAAAAATTAGCTGGGTATGGTGGTGCATGCCTGTAATCCCAGCTACTTGGGAGGCTGAGACATGAGAATCACTTGCACCAGGAGGCGGAGGTTGCAATGAGCCGAGATCACACTACTGTACTCCAGCTTGGGTGACAGAGTGAGACTCTGTCTCAAAAAAAAAGAAAAAAAAAATTAGCTGGGCATGGTGGCATGCACCTGCAGGCCCAGCTACTCAGGAGGCTGAGGCAGGAGAATCGCTTGAACCCAGGAGGCTGCAGTGAGCCAAGATCGAACCACTGCACCACAGCCTGAGTGACAGAGTGAGACTCCATCTCAAAACAACAACAACAACAAAAATCAACTATTCCATGGGAGGCAGAGGCAGGAGGATGGCTTCAGGCCAGGAGTTGGAGCCAAGCTAGGCAACATAGCGAGAATTCCTCATCTCTACACACACACACACACACACACACACACACACACACACACACACACACACACACACATTAATTAGCTGGGTGTGGTGGCGCATGCCTCCAGATACTCAGGAGGCTGAGCGGGAAGGATGGTTTGAGCCCTGGAGGTTGAGGCTGCAGTGAGCCATGATCACGCCATGACAGAATGAGGACCAGGTGGAAGAACTGAAAACGTTGGGGATCCACACATCCGCTCCATCCTTTCAGATGGAAAGAAATACCAAGACTCAAAAAAACGAGGGTGCCCAGGTCCTCACTGAGCAGAGACTCACTGCTAAAAAAAAGCCTTACCTATTTGGGTTTTCACTAGTAAGCAGTTGGTTTGTAAGCAGTTGGTGATTTTAGTTTGTCTGGGTTTCAGCCATGAATATTCTATTGTAAACTTAATTATAACAACTGCACTGTAATAATTCAATGTCCTATTATGATGTTGTTATAGACAAAATTTGCCTTTACATTGTCATTTATTTTATTTTATTTTTCTTTTGAGACAGGGTCTCACTCTGTCACCCAGGCTGGAGTGCAGTAGCTCAATCTTGGCTCACTGAAACCACTGCTTCCCAGGCTCAAGCGATTCTCCCACCTCACCTTCTCGAGTAGTTGGGACCATAGGTGTGAACCACCATATCAGGCCAATTTTTGTATTTTTAGTAGATACGGGGTTTCAACATGTTGCCCAGGCTGGTCTTGAATTCCTGTGCTCAAGCGATCCACTTGCCTCGCCTCCCAAAGTGCTGAGATTACAAGTATGAGCCATTGACATTTAATCTTCCTTCCTTCCTTCTTTCCTTCCTTCCTTCCTTCCTTCCTTTTCTTTTTTTGAGATGGAGTCTCGCTCTGTCGCCCAGGCTGGAGTGCAGTGGCACGATCTCGGCTCACTGCAAGCTCCACCTCCTGGGTTCAAGCATTTCTCCTGCCTCAGCCTCCGGAGTAGCTGGGACTATAGGCGCGGGCCACCATGCCCAGTGATTTTTTATTTTTATTTTTTTTGAGACGGAGTCTCGCTCTGTCACCAGCCTGGAGTGCAGTGGCGCATTCTTGGCTCACTGCAACCTCTACCTCCAGGGTTCAAGCAATTCTCTGTTTCAGCCTTCCGAGTAGCTGGGATTACAGGCACCCACAACCACACCCAGCTAATTTTTGTATTTTTAGTAGGGATGGGGTTTCACCATGTTGGTCAGGCTGGTCTTGAACTCCTGACCTCGTGATCCACCAACCTCGGCCTCCCAAAGTTCTGGGATTACAGGCGTGAGCCACCGCACCTGGCCTACTTTTTTAAACTTAAATTTTAAAAAAAATTAAGTTTATTTTTAATGTGATTTATTTATTTATTTTTTAGATGGAGTCTTTCTCTGTCGCCCAGGCTGGGGTGCAGTGGCGCTATCTTGGCTCACTGCAACCTCTGCCTCCCGGGTTCAAGTGATTCTTCTGCTTAGCCTCCCAAGTAGCTGGGGCTACAGGTGCATGTCACCACGTCCAGCTAATTTTTTTGTATTTTTAGTAGAGACAGTGTTTCACTGTATTGGTCAGGCTGGTCTTGAACTCCTGACCTTGTGATCCGCCTGCCTCAGCCTCCCAAAGTGCTGGGATTACAGGTGTGAGCCATGGCACCCGGCCTATTTATTTATTTATTTTTTAATTTTTTTTTGAGACGGAGTCTCGCTCTGTCACCCAGGCTGGAGTGCAGTGGTGCAGTCTCGGCTCACTGCAAGCTCCACCTCCCGGGTTCATGCCATTCTCCTGCCTCAGCCTCCTGAGTAGCTGGGACTACAGGCGCCCGCCACCACGCCCAGCTAATTTTTTTGTATTTTTAGTAGAGACGGGGTTTCACCGTGTTAGCCAGGATGGTCTCGATCTCCTGACCTCGTGATCTGCCCACCTTGGCCTCCCAAAGTGCTGGGATTACAGGCGTGAGCCACCGCGCCCGGCCTCTTTCAATCATTTCTGATGACACCGGAGAAGGCAGTGTCCTTTCCTTATTGTCTCTTTTTTTTTTTTACCTGGGTATTCTGGAAGTGTCTTTCCTCTGACAGTGTTGTTGGACGTGGGGAAACAAAAGGGTATCAAAGAGAGGGAGAGAAGGATAAAGACCACCCCTCATTCCCGCCCTCCCAGAGGGGCAGCCTGGGGAGTCTATGGAGGAGGTGACTTTGAGCCATGATGTGACCTTAGATGAGGGGCCTCTCTGAGCCTCAGGAAGCTCTTCTGCAAAATGGGGCAAATAAAGAAATGCCCTCTGTGTGCAGTGGCTCAGGCCTGTAATCCCAGCACTTCGGGAGGCCAAGGCAGGAGAATCACTTGAGCGCAGGAGTTCCAGACCAGCCTGGGCAACATAGTGGGACCCCATCTCTACCAAAAAATTTAAAAATTAGCCAGGCATCAGGTGTGGTGGCTCAGGCCTGTAATCCCAGCACTTTGGGAGGTTGAGGCAGGCAGATTGCTTGAGCCCAGGAGTTTGAGACCAGCCTGGGCAACACAGTGAGACCCCTGCTTCTACACACACACCAAATTAGCCAGGTGTGGTGGTGCACATCTGTAGTCCCAGCTACTTGGGAGGCTGAGGTGAGAGAATCATTTGAGCCCTGAAGCTCAAGACTACAGTGAGCTGTGATTGTGCCACTGCCCTCCAGCCTGGGCAACAGACCAAGACTCTGTCTCAAAAAAAGGAAAGGTCCGGGCGTGGTGGCTCATGCTTGTAATCCCAGCACTTTGGGAGGCTGAGGTGGGCAGATCATGAGGTCAGGAGATTGAGACCATCCTAGCTAACACAGTGAAACCCCGTCTCTAGTAAAAATACAAAAAATTAGCCAGGCGTGGTGGCGGGCGCCTGTAGTCCCAGCTACTCAGGAGGCTGAGGCAGGAGAATGGCGTGAACCCGGGAGGCAGAGCTTGCAGTGAACTGAGATTGCACCACTGCACTCCAGCCTGGGCAACAGAGCAAGACTCCATCTCAAAAAAAAAAAAAAAAAAAAAAACGGAAAAGAAGGCCGGACGCAGTGGCTCACGCCTGTAATCCCAGCACTTTGGGAGGCTGAGGCGGGCGGATCACGAGGTCAGGAGTTTGAGACTAGTCTGGCCAACATAGTGAAACACTGTCTCTACTAAAAATACAAAAAATTAGCCAGGTGTAGTGGTGTGCACCTGTAATCCCAGCTACTCGGGAGGCTAAGGCAGGATAATTGTGTGAACCCGGGAGACGGAGGTTGTGGTGAGCCGAGATTGTGCCATTGCACTCCAGCCTGGGTGACAGTGCGAGACTCTGTCTCCAAAGAAAAAAAAAAAAGGAAAAGAAATGCCATCCCAAGGTGATCCCTCACAGGAAGTGACTCAGAAAAGCAGTGAGCTACGAAAGCTATCTGAATGAAGCAAGATCGTCATGTGGGAGACACTGACTACCCACTCCTAGCAAAGGGCTCAGCAGCACACGGCCTCCCTGCGGGGATGCCCTCGGGGAAGATGTGGCCCAGAGGAGTTTTTTGGGCCTTGCTCCTCAGTCCTGGCTCTTAGTAGGACCCTCTGCAGCCAAACTAGCATATCCTGAGCCAGGCTGACCTTAAAAAGTAAGCATTCAGGGCCTAGGGACCTTGGGCAAAGCAGAGAAGCTGGTGTCAGATGAGGTGCCGCAGGTACAGTAGGATAAGGTGTTCTCAGGTCCCCAGTGCAGCCCCAAGATGAGCCTGCAGTATTTTCCTTACATGATCTGGTCCTACTGTGGGCAGCGCTGCTGCCCAGAGCCTGAGAGGATTATGAAAACATGGCAACGGAAGTGAGGCCAGGGGACACAGCATGGGGGCATGAGGAGCAGGGGACAGCGGGTGGGGCTAGAGGAGAGGGAGGTTTAGGGAGGCCTCTGCTGCTGTGACTGTGAGCCCCAGCCAATGATGACGTGGCCACCGCACAATCTGAGTTCTGGGAACCATGTGATGGAATGTGTTCTGGGAATAGACTGCAGCCAGGAAAAAAAAAGCAGAAGGGTGCACCCTCCCTTCCTCAGCCAGGAAAACATTTCTGTAGCCCTTGCGGACCCAGTGCGCAGAAGTGAGAGGGAGGAAAGCCAGGCTCATGTTTCCTTGGTTGTGCTTCAACTTCTAAAATATGTTTTTTCTATGAACATTTTAATGAGGGGTTGGACATAAGACAGAAAAATAACATTCTGAGAGCTCGTTTGGAGGTTCTAGCAGGGGAGCGCAGCTACTCTTATACTCTTGACTGAAGACCGATCGTCCTCTATCGGGGATGGTCATCCTCTTCCATTGAGCGCACAGCTTCTGGAGGGACGCACATGGAGTGGTGCGGGAGGAAGGGGATACCCGCCTAGTCAGCCAGATCAGCCGAATCAACCCTGATGATCAATGGGGTGACACATGTCGCAGCCAGATCACCCTCACATCCCAAAAATAACACTCAGATTGCTTTTTCTTTTTTAAGATGTAGACTTTTCTTGAGACTTTCGTACAAGGCAATGGACAGATAACCTTAACCTCCCAGAGAAAACACACATTGGCCACAGAAAAAGGCGCTTCTCCGTATACCTGCCATAGTTATCAGCAACTTTGAAATGGCTTCTCAGACTCTCAGGGGTTGGCTTGTTGTGTTTGCTTTTGCAAATAACTCAGGCTTAAGTCCTGCTACTTTCAGAGCCTAGGGGACACTTAAGGACTACCATCAGTTTAACACAGTGGCACTTGGAGCACATGCTACTTATGGTGGTGAGGAGGGGTGCTGGTGTGAGGGTCTGAACGCTTGCTTCTCCTCTGGCAGGGTGTGAGCAGCCAGAGGCCACTACCTGGGCAAGGATGCTTGCTCAGTGTCCATGGAGGGACATGTGATCCAGCAGGTGGGCAGGAACCAGGCCCCTGTGGCCGCCCAACTCTCCATAATAGAATCCTTGGTCATCCATGGGCCCGTAAACCATGACCACGTCTCCTGCCCTCAGCGCCAGCCTGCCCTTCCCCTGGCCCCCCATTTGCCCATCCCCAGGATCATAGTCCAGAGCTGCTATCATGATCTTTGGAGTCCACAGTGGGAGTCTCTTGGAGTTCCCCTGGAGCACCAGGGAGGAACCCTGGGGGATGATGAGCCCCTGAAAGTCCTCGAGGTGGGCCACAGAAGGCAGGTGCCCTTGGGCCGGAGAACGCCACCTCCTATCAGTCTGCTCTGTCCCCACCTCCATCTCAGCCACTAGGCGCCCGGGGATATTGCCCACTTGCCTGTTGCACTCGCTGAGGTAGAAATCATGGGTGTCCTGAGAGCCCCACACTCTTAGCAACTGCCTTTTCTGGAAGACCAGCTCCTCCTCTGCAGCCTTGAGGTTGGCAGACATCACCAGGGGGTTGTAATCAGAGAGGGCCACAAAGACCCTGGCTGGAGTGTTGGCCCCCGTCCCCAGCTGTTGGGGGCCACCCCTGGGCATCTTGATGACTTTGGCGGATGGAGCTGGACACAGTGCCGAGCTGGGCTCATGGAGCTGGCACCCTCTCTTCACCCCCAGAGCTTGTCCTTGCCTGCTGTGGGGCTCAGGCTCCCTCCTCTCCTCTCGCCTCTCTGTGCCCCGCAGATCCAAGCACAGTGCCTCCTGCTCCTCCTTCAAAACGTTATGGAAGTCAGATGCATACTGTTGGCTGGCGCCCAGCTGGGGAGGTGTGAACCCTTGGGCATCTTGCTTTTGCCGAAGTACCCTCTCAAGGGCAGCCTTTTCCTGACACGGTTCTTTCCTGGGCCCACACTCGGTGCGTAGATGGATGAATCCTGGAGCAGGGCTTTTGCTGGTGCCCATGTGCTGGTAGCAATTTTCCTTCTCCCCAGGCTGGTCACTGACTGAAGGTGGCCTGTGGTTCTGGGGACTCTTCTGAAAGAGCAGGTCCTTTCTACAGCCCTCCCAGGCCTCTGCAAGCTCCTGGGCTTGGCTGCCAGCCCCTGAACTCGGACATTCTCCTTCTGAGCCCAGGTTGGACACTGGGGATTGCCTCCTTGGGGGTTCTTCAAAGAATGCTTCTAGGAACTTGGCCTGGGGCTCCCCGCAGCTTCCAGGGTTGTGGGGGCTGGCCTTGGCACTCGGAGGAGCCAGTGACAGCTTCTGGGGGCAGACGGGGAAGGTGACTCTGTAGGTGGATGGGTCGCCACAAGTGTAGCTAAAGGGTGGAGTCTCTGGCCATCGGTGACACATGAAGAAGTCCTCGGGGATCTGAGCAGGCACTGAATCCAGGGACTCACCACAGAGTGACATGGTTCTCACTGAGACCTTCTGCCACGTGAGGGGCACCTGTAGCTGGGAGAATTCCAATACGGTGCTCCCAGCAGTGGCATCGGCGACCTCACAAACCTTAAGCCCATCTGCATACACAGCATAACCGGTGACCTGGACTCCATTGGAGGACCCAGCTGAGTCAATGGTCACAGGGAGCCAGCTGACCACCAGGACACCTGGCGAGGCATGGCGCTCCACCAGCACATCCAGCGGTGGGTAGGGAGGTCCTGCCAAGAGTGTGTCGAAGGTGACGGTGGAGGACATAGTTCCCCAATACACCTGCAGCAAGTCCCATGGCAGCCGCACCTCCACCCGCACCCGGTAGTGCGTGCCGGGGCACAGGCCCTGGAAGGTGTAGCAGCTCACGCCCGCTGGGGTCAGGGCATGCTCTCGGTCATCAAGATATACCACATGGGGGTGGCGGTGGCTGCTGTAGACCCAGGTGATGTTGGCTGATGTGGCTGTGACATTCTGCAGGTGTAGCTGCATGGGAGCCATACGGAGCACCCCTTTGGTCCCCAGAAGGGGTCTGGAGAGGCCCTGCTTCCCCATGCTCTGCAGCAAGCCCAGCTGGCAGGCTTCCGTCTTGGTATCCAGGATCTCTGTTGCTACTTCTGTCTTGGAGCCCACCCTGACCATCTGGCACAGCCCTCTGTCCACCATTCCCTGGGCTTTCCCAGATAATAAGCTGTCTTCCTCCAGAGCTTCATCCTGCCCCGCTGGGAGTTGACTGGGGCCAAGATCAGGGGATTTGGCAGGCAGGCAGCCTGGGATGTAGCTGTCCGGAATCTGCTCCACGAAGTTGGAGGGCACCAGCCCCCGCCGGCCATCGTCAAGCTCCCCCTCATAGAAGCCATCCTCATCCATGTCCCCGAAGATATATATGTAGTCCCCAGCTGTGAGGGGCAGCTCACCCTCAGGGTGATCATTGGGCCCCTCAAATGGGTTGTAGTTATACTGAGCCATGAAGATCTTGAGCTTGGGGGCAGCAGGAGCCGCCGAGCCCCCCATTTCCAGGGCCAGGGACACGCTGTCAGGCTCCAGGTCATCCACCTCACTGGCTGTGTCCCTGTCCAGAGTAGGGGAGGACGGCACGGTGGCCCACATCGACCCCTCAGAGGAGGAGTTTGACTGGGAGCTGGTTTTCTTGGACAGAGGTTGGCTGGCAGGGACTGTCTCTGAAACTTGGGGGACACTGGCTGACTCCCCAAGGGCAACTGGGCTCTCCTCGAGGGAGGCTTCCCTTTTCTCCTGTATGTCTCTGTTGGGCTGTGACACTGCGTAGTCTTCAGGCCGTGCGTGGAACTTGGGCCTTCTGCTACCTTTAACTTGGGACTCCGGCATTTGACTGGTCTCCCAGGGCTGTTCAGGAGGGTGACCAGGCCGACACTGGAGCGCCTGTATCTCCTTCCAGGAAGGATGGAGGTCACACAGGGCCTTCTGCGGGTCGCGTTGCAGCTGCTGCTGCCTGTCCTGCCCGCGCGCCGCCTGCTGCAGCAGCTGTTCGGCGATCAAGCCGGAGGCATCGCGCTCTTGACACGCGCGGCCCAGGTGGCCGCGCACTTCGCTATTCTCAGCCTCCACCTTCCGCACCCAGTCGGTCTTGGCCTGCAGCCGCCCATTCTCCTCCGCCAGCCAGGCGTTTTTGAGCAGCGCCGCCTGCAGCTGTGTCTCGGCCTCCTCGCCACGTCGCCGCGCCGGGGCCGCCTGCGTGCCCAGCTCCTGGCACTCGCGCCGCCGCTGGTCCAGCTCGCGCTCCAGCGCCAGCATCTGCCGTCGCACCTCCTCGCAGGTTGCGCTCTGGCCGCCCGCCTCGGGCCAAGCGCCACCGTTGCCCTGCTGAAGCATCAACTGCCTCTGCAGGCGCAGCACTTCCCGCTGGGACTCGCGCTGCAGGCGGTCTAAGTCTCTGACGTTGAGCCACTGGGTGCAGGGGCCGCCCCTTCCAGTATGCAGGTCGCTGCAGGGACCCGAGGCGACACGCGCCTGCAGGAGGTGGCACTCCTGCCGCAGCTCTTCGATCTGCTTGTCCTTGGCCAGCGGCGCGCTCGCCTGCTCCGACAGGTCCCGAGCGCGCTGGCGGGCAAAGACTTGGCACAGCTCCAGGCCGGCGCAACTCTCGCCGGGTATAGGCGCGCTCACGGCCCGGAGGTTGGTCTCCTGCAGCTCGCGGGCGCGGTCAGCTAGGCGCCGCGCGAGCCCGGTCAGCTCCGCGCGCTTTACCTTGAGCCGCTTCACCTTCTCGTCTGCCTGGTAGGGGCAGCCTGCACGCCGCAGCTGCTTGTTCTCCTCTTGCAGGGTATAACAGCGGCGCGCCAGCACCCACAACGCCTTGGCCAGCAGCCAGTTCAGCTTTATCAGCTCGTGGTGGCCCAGGCCCGGGGGTGAGGGAGTCAGGACTTCGCAGGGCTGGCTCTCAGAGCCTTCTCCTCCCCGCGGGTTGCTGAGTTTCCTGTGGGCTGACGGTGGTGGTGGCGGCGGGAGTGGCGATGGTGGCGGCGAGAGCCTCCGGGAGCCAGGGGTGGAGGTGTCTGGTGAGGAGGGCCGCTCCTCGGATTTGGAGGCCTTGGGGAGGCTCCGGGTGCTGTCAAGCGAGCGGGAACACGCAGGTGCGAAGCAATCAAGGGAGCTGGCGTGCGTGGAGAGCAGGCCGTCTGGGGAGCTGGAGCACGCAGAGGACACCAGGCCTAGCGAGCGGGAGCGCACACCGACTTCAGCACTCAGGCTGTCTAGAGATCCGAGTTGGCAGGCGGGTTTGGGGGCGTGGCAAGAGCCGCTGGAGGTCTGGGGCAGCGGTTCTTCCAAGGAATGCACAGCTTGGGGGTCCGGTGATCCCGACAAAGCCGGGTGCCCGCGGAAGTGCGCCAGGATGTACTTGAGGAAGAGCTGGCGCTCCACCTCCAGCGCCGCCTGCAGATAGCGGATGCGCGCCGCCTGCTCGCCGTCAGTCTGCCAGCGAAGCTGCGCCAACACTTCCTGCAGGCGACAGCGGCACTGCGCCGCGGAAACCTCGGACGCCCCCGGGCGGCTACAGTGGCCGCGGTTCACCAGCTCCTCGGCCAGCTGGCGCTGCAGCTCCCGGGCTTGGCGCACCACGCCATCGCGCTCCCGGTGCAGCAGCTGCTGCAGCTGCCGCTGCTCGGCCTCCTTCCAGCGCAGCAGCTGCCGGATCTCGGCCTCGCGTTCCCGCTGCATCTCCTCTTGCAGCTGCCGCAACTCCCGGCTGCGCTGTGCCTCCCACTTGGAGCGCAGACGGTCAGCCAGCTGCCGCCGCTCCCGCTCGGCCTCCTCACGCAGCTGGCGCTCCCGGGCAGCGAAGCGCCGCCGTTCCGCCCGCCAGCCTGCCCGCTCCGCCTCCAGCTCCGCCCGTAGCTTCTCCAGCTCCCGCCTCTGGTTCTCCAGCACTGCCGCCGCCGGGCTGGAGCAGCCCGGCTTCTTGGGCGACGCGCCCAAGGGGCTGGGCGAGTCCTTGGCCATTGCGGCCGCGGCCCGGCTGGTCTCCAGACTTCGCCTGGCAGGCCTCAGCTCGCCAACGGCCGCCGCCGACCGCCCGGCGCGCCCCTTCCGGCGCCCCCTGGGGGTCTCCGCGTGCCCCTTCCGCCTCTTGGCATGTTCCCCCGCCTCCTGCCGCGGATGTCTGGCCCAGGCGCCTCTCCACCTGGCAAGGCCAGGGCTGGACTCCCACACCCCTGCTCAAACTGGCCCATGTCCCTTCCAGGATGCACGGGGGCTTTTCCGGTCCCTACACTTTTCCTGCTTCTAGCACCAAGTCCCTTGTGACCCTCCCCAGGCACCCTCCCAGGCACTGTGCAGTCCCAAGCAGGCCGCGGTGCCCCGAGGGAAGTCTGGGCTGCTGCTCCTGTACTTGGAGAAAGGGGCAGGGTGTGTGTGTTAAGGCCACCCATGGGGTGTGGGCATACCTGGTCGTGGGTTCAGGTGGTGTATTTGGGTCAGGTGGCTGGAAAATGCAGCAGGATAGGCCTCAACTTGGCTAGACCTGGACTCCCCAGGACCCTTCAGCCCCCTAACAGCCCTGATCACCCAACTGGTCATCCACCTTTTGAGGAAAGGATGTGCCTGATACACATTTGTGTTACTGCGCAGAGTCGGCTCAGAGGAGGTGTAAGCGAAAAGACCCTCCCCAGCAAGGTGGCATAGGGACCCAGGGCCAGATAGGCATGGGGGCACTGCCCAAACTGGCCATCTGGCCTGTCTACCTCCCACATCCAGGTACCACCTGGTGACAAACACTGGAGCCCCAGTGTCTGGGCTACTCATTGGCATCTTAGGTAGAGGCCTCAGGATGGGCCAGGAGTGAGGGTGAGGCTTCAGCAGAAATGTTGGAGGCATCCTGAGCTGCAGAAGAAACACACACACACACACACACACAGCTGCAGAAGAAACATACACACACACACATACTGAGCTGAAGGAATACACACATACACTGAGCTGCAGAAGAAACATACATACACACACTGAACTGAAGAAATACACACACACACACACACACACACACACACACACACACACACACACACTGCCTCTCTGACTGGTGGCCACCTGTGTGGCTTGGGAGCTAAGAAGCCCTGCTTCAGTCTGGCTCCTCTTTGCCCTTCCTGTCTGCTCCTGGTGCCAAGTGGCTTTTTGGAGACATGGATGGACACCTGATACCTGGCAGTCTGCATCGAGACATTGATTTTGTTTTTTGAGATGGGGCCTCACTCTGTCGCCAGGCTGGAGTGCAGTGGCGCAATCTTGGCTCATTGCAACCTCTACCTTCCACGTTCAAGAGATTCTCCTGCCTCAGCCTCCCAAGTAGCTGGGATTACAGGCTTGAGCCACCATGCCCAGCTAATTTTTTGTACTTTTTAGTAGAGACAGGGTTTCAGTATGTTGGCCAGGATGGTCTTGAACTTCTGACCTCAAGTGATCCACCCGCCTCGGCCTCTTAAAGTGCTGCGATTACAGGCATGAGCCACTGTGCCCGACAAGACCTTGATATTGAAGTCACATCAGAGGCCCCTTTGCTTCTTGGTCTGTCGTGTCTCCCTGTCCCCAGGAAGCACCTGGGACCTCTCACAACTGCTGTGTTCACTCAGCTTATGGCCCTCCTTTACAACACTCAAGTTTTTCAAATCAGTTTCCCCGGAACCCACAGAACATGCCTTTAGGCAGTGTCAAGTAACAAGAACATCGGGAATTATGGCTCCAGATGTTCTTTTTTTTTTTTTTTTTTTTTGAGATGGAGTCTCGCTCTGTCGCCCAGGCTGGAATGCAGTGGCGCAATCTCTGCTCACTGCAAGCTCCGCCTCCTGAGTTCACGCCATTCTCCTGCCTCAGCCTCTCAAGTAGCTGGGACTACAGGTGCCCGCCACCACGCCTGGCTAATTTTTTTTGTATTTTCAGTAGAGATGGGGTTTCACCATGTTAACCAGGATGGTCTTGATCTCCTGACCCTGTTGATCTGCCCGCCTCGGCCTCACAAAGTGCTGGGATTACAGGCGTGAGCCACCGCGCATGGCCCTTTATTTTATTTTATTTTATTTTATTTTATTTTATTTTATTTTTGAGACAGAGTTTTGCTCTGTCACCAGGCTGGCATGCAGTGGCACGATTTCGGCTCACTGCAACCTCCGACTCCCTCGTTCAAGTGATTCTCCTGCCTCAGCCTCCTGAGTAGCTGGGATTACAGGCATGCGCCACCACGCCCAGCTAATTTTTGTATTTTTAATAGAGACAGGGTTTCATCATGTTGGCCAGGATGATTTCGATCTCCTGACCTTGTGATCCGCCCACTTTGGCCTCCCAAAATGGTGGGATTACAGGCGTGAGCCACCGTGCCCAGCCCAGATGTTCTTTATGAGAGGTGAGGCAGATGTAGTGTGTATGTGAGAGGAAGGGGAGGTGAGATGCAGGGATGGCCTTAGCCTTGAACTGGTGCTGGGCTCCTGGACATGGTAGCCACAGGGAGGACTATCTTGAGAGAATCTTCATCACAGCCCTGTTTTACGGAAGAGAACCTGAGGCTCAGTGAGAGCCACTGGCTTGCCAGGGCACATGGGCAACTGAGGCAGAGCTGGTGGGTGGGGTTTCACAGCCTGGATGCCCTGCTGCAGTCTCCAGTAGGGCCTCAACTGTCAGGTCAGGAGGGCAGGCTGGGCCGGGCATGGTGGCACAGACCTGTAATCCCAGCCCTTTGGGTGACCAGGGTGGGAGGATCACTTGAGCCCAGGAACTCAAGACCTGCCTGAGCATCATAGAGAGACCCTGTCTCTACAAAAAAAATTTTAGCTGGGCGTGCTGGTGCATGCCTGTAGTGCCAGCTACCCAGGAGGCTGAGATGGGAGGGTCACTTAAGCCCGGGAGTTTGAGACTAGCCTGGGCAACAGAGTGAGCGAGACCCAGTCTGCATTTCCAGCTGAGATGAAATGATTGCTTGAGCCTGCAAGGTGAGGTCAAAGTCGCAATGAGCTGTGATGGCACCACTGCACTCCAGCCTGGGCAACAAAGCAAGACTGTCTCAAAAAAAAAAAAAAAAAAAGCCTGGTGCGGTGGCTCACTCCTGTAATCCCAGCACTTTGGGAGGCCAAGGCAGGCGTATCACGAGGTCAGGAGATAGAGTCCATCCTGGCTAACATGGTGAAACCCCGTCTCTACTAAAAATACAAAAAATTAGCCATTAGCCAGGCGTGGTGGCGGGCACCTGTAGTCTCACTTATTTGGGAGGCCGAGGCAGGAGAATGACATGAACTCAGGAGGTGGAGCTTGCAGTGGGCCGAGATCCCGCCACTGCACTCCAGCCTGGGCGACAGAGCAAGACTCCATCTCAAAAATAAAAATTAAAATTAAAATTAAAAAAAGAGAGTAGGCTGTCACCAAGAAAAAGGACACTGGGGTGGATGGGTCTCTGGGAACCCCACGGTTACCATCCAGCAGCTGCCCCAAAGTATGTCAAAAGCATTCGGGAATGTTGGTTGAGTGGATGAGCAAAGCCAGGCTTCCCCAGGGCTGGGTTTCTGCCATCCCTGTTCTCATCATGTTGTGCAGTGATTGTCCAGTGACCTGCCTGTCACCCCCATCAACTCTGATCTTGGGGAGAGCAGAAGCCATGTTTTCCCTTGTCCCTATTGCATCCCTGCATGTGACTTAGCACATCACTGGTGCCCAGGACATATGAGAATGAGTTGCAGGGAGGCAGGAGTCCCTGCATGAGCTCACCATGCTGCTGCCTTCTCCAGGTTCAACTTTCTCACCTATTAAATGAAAGAGATGGTTTCTTTTTTTTTTCTTTGAGATGGAGTCTCACTCTGTCACCCACGCTGGAGTGCAGTGGCATGATCTCGGTTCACTGCAATCTTCACCTCCTGGGTTCACGTGATTCTCCTGCCTCAGCCTCTCAAATAGCTGGGATTACAAACACCTGCCACCATGCCTAGCTGATTTTCATAGTTTTAGTAGAGACGAGGTTTCGCCATGTTGGCCAGGCTGGTCTTGAACTCCTGACCTCAAGTGATCCACAGGCCTCAGCCTCCCAAAGTGCTGGGATTACAGGCATGAGCCACCATGCCCAGCCTGAAAGTGGTGGTTTCAAACTGGGTTCTTTAGGGCTCCAGGGTTCCTTGGAAATATAGAACTGCTGGGCACACACCTATACTCCCAGCTACTTGGGAGGCTGAGGCAGGAGGCTTGCTTGGATCCAGGACTTCTGGATTGTAATGTACTATACTGATGGGGTGTCTGCACTAAATTTGGCATAAATTGGTGACTTCCTGGGAGCAGGAAACCACCAGCTTGTCTAAGGAGAGGTGAACTGGCCCAGGTTAGAAAAGGAGCAGGTTGGCCGGGCTCGGTGGCTCATGTCTGTAATCCCAGCACTTTGGGGGGCCAAGGCGGGCAGGTCACCTGAGGTCAGGAGTTCGGGACCCGCCTGGCTAACATGGTGAAAACCCGTCTCTACTAAAAATGCAAAAATTAGCTAAGCATTGTGGCGCATGCACGCCTAATCCCAGCTACTCGGGAGGCTGAGGCAGGAGAATCGCTTGAACCCGCGAGGCAGAGGTTGCAGTGAGCCGAGATCATGCCATTGCACTCTAGCCTGGGTGACAGTGCAAGACTCCATCTCAAAAAAAAAAAATTTTTTTTTTGTAGGCTGGGCGCTGTGACTCATGCCTGTAATCCCAGCACTTTAGGAGGCCAAGGTGGGTGGATCACTTGAGATCAGGAGTTCAAGACCAGCCTGGCCAACATGGTGAAACCCTGTCTCTATTAAAAATACAAAAATTAGCCAGGCATGGTGGCACACGCCTGTAATCCCAGCTACTCGGGAGGCTGAGGCAGGAGAATCACTTGAACCCAGGAGGTGGAGGTTACAGTGGGCTGAGATCGTGCCATTGCACTCCAGCCTGGGCAACAGAGAGAGACTCCATCTCAAAGAGAAATAAAATAATTGTGGCCCAGAATGGTGTCTTAAGCCTGTATACCCAGCCCTTTGGGAGGCGGGGATGGGTGGAGTACTTGAGCTCTGAAGTTTGAGACCAGCCTGGGCAACATGACACCCACCTCTACAAAAAACACAAAAATTAACTGGGCATGGTGGTGCATGCCTGTACTCCTAGAGACTTGGGAGGCTGAGGTGGGAAGATTGCTTGAGCCTGGGACGTCAAGACTGAAATGAGCCATGAGTGAGTCACCGCACTCCTGCCTGGGAGACATAGTGACACCCTGTTTCTAAAACAAACAAAAAAAGGCCAGGCATAGTGGCGTGTGCCTGTAGCCCCAGCTACTTAGGAGGCTGAAGTGGGAGAATAGTTTGAGCCCAAGAATTCAAAGCTGCAGTGAGCAATGATCATGCCACTGCACTCCAGCCTGGGCTACAAAGAGACTCCATCTCTAAAAAAAAAGTAAAATAAAATAAATTTTAAAATTGTTTTATCATTTATTTTTTGGAGACAGGGTCTTGCTCTGTCATCCAGGCTGGAGTGCAGTGGCGTGATCTCGGCATACTGCAACGTTCGCCTCCTGGACTTAAGCAATCCTCTCACTTCAGCCTCCCGAGTAGCTGTGACTACAGGCTAGCACCACCATGCCCGGCTAATTTTTCTTTTCTTTTTTCTTTTTTTTTTTTGTATTTTTTTTTTTTTGTAGAGATAGGGTCTTACCATGTTGCCCAGGCTGGTCTTAAACTCCTGACCTCGAGCAATCCACCTGCCTCGGCCTCCCAAAGTACTGAGATTACAGGCATGAGCCACCACACCTGGCCAATAAAAAAATTAATAGGCTGGGCGCAGTGGCCCATGCCTATAATCCCAGTAAGGAGGCCGAGGTGGGCAGATCACGAGGTCAGGAGTTCGAGCCCAGCCTGGCCAATATGGTGAAACCCTGTCTCTACTAAAAATACAAAAATTAGCTGGGCATGGTGGCAGGTGCCTGTAATCCCAGCTACTCGGGAGGCTGAGGCAGGAGAATTGCTTGAACTCAGGAGGTGGAGGTTGCAGTGAGCTGAGATCACGCCATTGCACTCCAGCCTGGGCAACAGAGTGAGAGTCTGAGTCAAAAAAAAAAGAAAAAAAAATTAACAACAGGCCAGATGTGACGGCTCATGCCTGTAATTCCACCACTATGGGAGGCTGAGACGGGCAGATCACTTGAGCTCAGGAGTTCAAGACCAGCCTAGACAACATGGCAAGGCTGCATCTCTATAAAAAAATTACAAAATTTAGCCTGGCATGGTGGTGCACGCCTGTAGTCCCAGCTATTTGGGAGGCTGAGATGGAAGGATACCTTGAGCCTGGGAGGCAGAGGTTACAGTGGACTGAGATTGTGCCACTCCACTTCCACCTGGACGAAAGAGCCAGACTCTGTTTCAAACAACCAAAAAAACGAAAAACCCAACCCCCCAAAATAAAAACAATAATAATAAATAAAAATAAATTAAACAGAAATACCATAGGCCTGTTGGGAGGAGGTATGCAGGAAGCGGATGGGGAGAGACAGTGCCCATACTTGCTTCAATGGGCAGATCTACTCTTTTTTTTTTTTGAGACAGAGTCTCGCTCTGTCACCCAGGCTGGAGTGCAGTGGTGCAATCTTGGCTCACTGCAACCTCCGCCTCACGGGTTTATGCCATTCTCCTGCCTCAGCCTCCCGAGTAGCTGGGAATACAGGTGCCCGCCACCGAGCCCGGCTAATTTTTGTATTTTTAGTAGAGATGGGGTTTCACCGTGCCAGCCAAGATGATCTCGATCTCCTGACCTCGTGATCCACCCTCTTTGGCCTTCCAAAGTGCTGGGATTACAGGTGTGAGCCATAGCACCCGGCCGGCAGATCTACTCTTAAGTGTCATTTATCAGATTCGAAGAAGTGTTTTGGTTTAATAAAGCATTATGCTCCTTGAAACAAGTTTGAGAACCCCTGGGTTAGAGGACCTCTTGCCCATTGTGTGCTCACACACACACAACACACACATACACCATCCCAGTACATAATGACTTCCCTGACCCGGAGAGAAGGCAATATGTCCCCCTTACGTCTCAGTTGGCTCCACATCGCCAGCTCTGTATTCCACTTTCCCTCTCTCTACAACCCCAGTCTATGACTTTTGGGCCACGGAGTCTGGGTTCCTGGGCAACCTGGTTCACATCCTTCTCCTGCCGGCATGGCCTGGCTCCATTTCTGTTCGGCTACCAAAGCCCCAAGCTTTGTGGAGCCTGCCTGGCCTTGAGGAGGGGAATGGGCTCCATCCTGAGAGCCTGCAGGAGGGTTTAAGCTTCCCATCCCCCATTGCTACAGTAGCTCCCCCAGCTTTTCATTCCATATCCTTTATTTTTATTTATTAAAAACTTAATTTTTGGCCGGGCGCAGTGGCTTACGCCTGTAATCCCAGCACTTTGGGAGGCCGAGGCAGGCGGATCACGAGGTCAGGAGATCGAGACCATCCTGGCTAACACGGTGAAACCCCGTCTCTACTAAAAATACAAAAAATAGCCAGGTGTGGTGGCGGGCGCCTGTAGTCCCAGCTACTTGGGAGGCTGAGGGAGGAGAATGGCGTGAACCCGGGAGGCAGAGCTTGCAGTGAGCCAAGATAGCACCACTGCACTCCAGCCTGGCGACAAAGTGAGACTCTGTCTCAAAAAAAAAAAAAAAAAAAACACTTAATTTTTTTTTTTTTTGTAGAGACAGGGTCTCCCTATGTTGCCTGGGCTGGTCTCAAACTCTTAATCTCGAGTGATCCTCCCACCTCAGCCTCCCAGAGGGCTGGGATTACAGGCATGAGCCACCACACCCAGCCGCATATTTTTTATTTTTGTTTCTATGTGTTTTCTGTCTGTTCTTTGCTGTCTCCTCCATGTCTAGAACAGTGCCTGGCACATGATAGGTGCTCAGTAAATACAGGACTGAAGAAGACAGAGGCAGACAGGCCAGATGTGGCTGCTGTCCTTAGGGAATTGACAGTCCATGATCTATGAGAATGAGCTGCAGACTGGGAGGCAGGTGTCCCAGCATGGGCTCACCAAGCTCCTACCCTCTCCCGGTCCAGCTTTCTCACCTATGAAATAAAAGTGAAGCTGGACATGGTGGCCCACGCCTCTAATCTCAGCAGTTTGGGAGGCCAAGGTGGGTGGATCACTTGAGATCAGGAGATTGAGACCAGCCTGGCTAACATGGTGAAACCCCATCTCTACTAAAAAACACAAAAATTAGCCGGACGTGGTGGCAGGTGCCTGTAATCCCAGCTACTCGGGAGGCTGAGGCAGGAGAATTGCTTTAACCTAGGAAGTGGAGGTTACAGTGAGCTGAGGTTGTGCCACTGCACTCCAGCCTGGGTGACAGAGCAAGACTCTGTCTCAAAATAAATAAATAAATAAATAAACAAACAAACAATAAATGAAAGTGATGGATTACATGAATGGTTTTCAAACTGGGTTCCTCAGGGCTCAGTTTGGGGGAGAATGCAAAGGTTAAATACAAATAACAATGGAATGTAGTAACATTGGCGCTTGGGCGAGTGCTCTGGGTGAGGAATGTGGTGCTCATGGGGAGAAGAGCCGCATCAGAGCAGGCTTCCTGCATGAGGCAAGGAGGAAACACAAGAGCTGAGAGCTGAAGGAGAGGGAGTGAGGGCTGCCAGAGGAGCTGGGAGGCGATTTCAGGCAGTGGGAACTGGAGCTGCAAACCCCCAGCCTCCTGCAGTCTGGCTATCTGTACCAGCCCTCACCCATGCCCACCACCCTCAGGGCACTCACATCCCTTCTTGCACTGATATTTTCCCGTCCTATCATGACCCTCGTTTGAGGGTGCAGGGAGGACTGGAGCTCAGAGAGGGAGGGTCACCTGGCCAGACCCTAACCCGCTGAGTTCCAGTGGAGTTCCTTTCATCCCCCAGCACTGGATGGGGCTGGATACCTGGAGAGGGACCGTGCTGCTCTTCCTGGGCCCTGCAGCCTGCCTGGCTGGTCCACATCTTCCTGGGCCAGGAGGGTAGTATGGTGCGAGCTTCTAGCTCTCTGGCTGGGGCCCCCTGGCCTACTGGGCTGGCTTCCTGCCCTGGTGGCCCTGGCCCAGCTCCCCAGCTCATGTGCCTCTGCAGCGAGTGGTCAGCCCCTTCCCATCTGCACTTTACAAGCCTCATCGCTGAATCCTCCCCATAGCCAGAGAGCCTGGCACTCTCCTCTCCAGAGAAGGAAACTGTCCAGGGTCACACAGGGACTTATGGGCAGGTCTGTGTGACCTGAGTCTGGGCTCTGAACTGGTGCTTGCAGGGTCTTGCCCTCTGGCTCTGGCAGCCTGAGTGTTACTGTAATCCCTGAGCCTTTGAACAAGCAGGCACTGCTTCCTGAGATCCCCATTGCTGCTATCAGCGTCTCTGTTTCCCAGCTCCACACTGCTGCCAGGACAGACGTATCTTCTGTCTTGTAGCATCTCCATTTCTCTTCCCTTTAGATCTATTTTTTTTTTTTTTTTTTTTTTGAGATGGAGTCTCGTTCTATCATCCAGGCTGGAGTGCAGTGGCGCAATCTTGGCTCACTGTAACTTCTGTCTCCTGGATTCAAGCGATTCTTCTGCCTCAGCCTCCCAAGTAGCTGGGATTACAGGCGCATGCCACCACGCCTGGCTAGTTTTTGTATTTTTAGCAGAGACGAGGTTTCACCACGTTGGCCAGGCTGGTCTCAAACTCCTGACCTCAGGTGATCTGCCCACCTCAGCCTCCCAAAGTGCTGAGATTACAGGCATGAGCCACCGCTCCCGGGCTGGATCTATTTCAATCACCCTCCTTCCTCTGCAGCCTGAAACTTGAGGCTTTGCCCACTTCCCAAAGGCACGAGTAGCAATGACCATTTGTTCTGTCATTTGGCCATAGCTCTAGGTCAGAGGACAGTCCTTCATCAAATGTTTGTTAAGCATGCAATCTAGCCAGGGGATGACAAGGGCCAAGTAATGTGTTAATTTCTTCATTCACTAAGCACAGAGAATGGAGTAGAAGGAAGGTGGAAAGGAGAAGGAAGGAAAAGAGAGAAGAAGGAGGATAGAAAGGAAGGAAGGTGGGAGGGAGAAAGGAAAGAAAGAGGGAGTCCTTTAGGTTATCTAAGCCCCCTCAGGACTTGGTCTGGCCCTCACAGTCCAAGAACAGACTTGGGCTTGAGCCTCTGACCAGCCAGATGACTGAGAAGCTGAGGAACAGCTTGAGCCTCAGTTTTTTCCTCTGTAAATGGGGTTGATAGCAGTTCTGACCCAGAGGGCTTTTGGGGGAGTCACAGAGATGCTGGGTGCTGCCTTTGCACTCAAAAGGGTCCAGGCTAGGTGTGGTGGCTAACACCTGTAATCCCAGTACTTTGGGAGGCTGAGGTGGGAGAATCTCTTGAGTCCATGAGTTACAGACCAGCCTGGGTAATATAGAGACAAACTGTCTCTATAAATTTTCTTTTCCCAAAAATTAGCCAGGCATGGAGGTGTGCACCTGTAGTTCTAGCTGCTTGAGAGTCTGAAGTGGGAGGATAACTTGAGTACAGGAGGTTGAGGCTGCACTGAGCCATGATCACACCACTATACTCCAGCCTGGGTGACAGAGCCAGACCCTATCTCAAAAAAAAAAGGGGGTCCAGCATGCATCTTCCTGTCAGCTTACCTAAGGGAGCATGATAAATTGAGTCCCTGCCACGATGGACATGGGGAGTGTAGTGGGAGGGAATGGCAAAGGCACCACAGGCAGAGGGAACAGCCTGGGCACAGTGGGGGGTGTGATGTGGCACAGCACTGATTGTGGGAAGCGAGGGATGTGGGAGATGAGGCTTCAGGTAGTCAGAGGGAGGTTGAGGCAAAGCCTCACCTGCATGCTCTAGATGAGGTCCAATTCCTGGTACCCAGCTTCCTAGCCCAGTGATGGGCCACTTCTCCCAGGGCCACAGTTTTCTCTCCTATCAAATAGAACATGTTAGTACTGCTCTATGGTGCCAATGAAGGGTATAAGTGTCCAGTGCCCATTTCCTGCCCCAGCAGAGGCACTTTCTTTTCCTTGTCCTCTTGCCTACTGGGGAACTCCTTCCATCCCTGGTTCCTCCCCCAGCTTCTGCGAGGCCCCTCCTCTGAGCCCCCACACCTCATCAAACCCTCAACACCGTCTGGTGTTTTCCTTGGTGCCTCTTCAAGATGCTGTGAGCTCCTTGGGGGCAGGTGGTGCCTGTGTACCTCTTTTTTTTTTCTTTTTTTTTTTTTTGAGACGGAGTCTCGCTCTGTCACCCAGGCTGGAATGCAGTGGCGTGATCTCGGCTCACTGCAAGCTCCACCTCCCGGGTTCATGCCATTCTCCTGCCTCAGTCTCCTGAGTAGCTGGTACTACAGGGGCCCGCCACTGCACCCGGCTAATTTTTTCTTTTTTTCTTTTTTTTTTTTTGAGACGGAGTCTCGCTCTGTCTCCCAGGCTGGAGTGCAGTGGCACAATCTCCGCTCACTGCAAACTCCGCCTCCCGGGTTCATGCCATTCTCCTGCCTCAACCTCCCGAGTAGCTGGGACCACAAGCACCCGCCACCACGCCCAGATAATTTTTTGTGTTTTTAGTAGAGACGGGGTTTCACCATGTTAGCCAGGATGGTCTCGATCTCCTGACCTCATGATCTGCCTGCCTCGGCCTCCCAAAGTGCTAGGATTACAGGCGTGAGCCACCACGCCTGGGCTTTTTTTTTTTTTTTTTTTTGTATTTTTAGTAGAGATGGGCTTTCCCCGTGTTCTCAATCTCCTGACCTCGTGATCCACCTGCCTCGGCCTCCCAAGGTGCTGGGATTACAGGCGTGAGCCACCGCGCCTGGCCCTGTGTATCTGTTTTTCTGGACCTGGGCCCAAGGCCTAATAGGTGAGTGCCCAGGACTCCATGCTGACTGGAGGAAGGAATAGCATGTGGTCAATGGGAGCAGAAGGGCCTGGTAGTCCAGGAGAAGGAAGAAGCCACTTCTTTTCAAAAAATTTATTGCCAGGCATGGCGGCTCACGCCTGTAATCCCAGCACTTTGGGAGGCCGAAATGGGCGGATCAGGAGGTCGGAAGTTCGAGATCAGCCTGACCAACATGGTGAAACCCCGTCTCTACTAAAAATGCAAAAATTAGCTGGGCATAGAGGTGTGCACATGTAATCCCAGCTACTCGGGAGGCTGGGGCAGGAAAATCGCTCGAACCCAGGAGGCGGAGGTTGCAGTGAGCCGAGATTGCGCCACTGCACTCCAGCCTGGGCGACAGGGCAAGACTCCGTCTCAAAAAAAAAAAAAAAAAAATTTATTACTGGCCGGGTGTGGTGGCTCACGCCTATAATCCCAGCACTTTGGGAGGCCAAGTCGGGCAGATCACGAGCTCAGGAGATCGAGAGCATCCTGCCTAACACAGTGAAACCCCATCTCTACTGAAAATACCAAAAAAAAAAAAAAAATTAGCCAGGCGTGGTGGCGGGCTCCCGTAGTCCCAGCCACTCAGGAGGCTGAGGCGGGAGAATGGCGTGAACCCGGGAGGCGGAGGTTGCAGTGAGCCGAGATCGCGCCACAGCACTCCAGCCTGGGCGAAGAGCGAGACTCCGTCTCAAAAAAAAAAAATTAATACTTTTTTTTTTTTTTTGAGACGGACTCTCACTCTGTCACCCAGGTTGGAGTGCAATGGTGTGATCTCGGCTCACTGCAACCTCCCCCTCCCGGGTTCGAGCGATTCTCCCGCCTCAGCCTCCCAAGTAGCTGGGACTATAGGCACCCTCCACCACACCCAGCTAATTTTTGTATTTTTAGTAGAGACGGCATTTCACTATGTTGGCCAGGCTGGTCTCGAACTCCTGACCTTGTGATCCGCCTGCCTCAGCTTCCCAAAGTGCTGGGATTACAGGTGTGAGCCACTGCACCTGGACTATTTATTTTTGTAGATATGGTAGTCTTTCTATGTTGCCCAGGCCGGTCTTGAACTCCGGGCCTCAAGTAATTCTCCCGCTTCAGCCTCCTAAAGTGCTGGGATTATAGGTGTGAGACTGTACGCAGCCAAAAAAGTCTACTTCTTTTTCTTTTCTTTCTTTCTTTTTTTTTTTTTTTTGAGACATGGTCTCACTCTTTCACACAGGCTTGAGTGCAGTGGCACGATCACGGCTCACTGTAGTGTCACTCTCCCGGGCCCAAGTGATCCTCTCACTTCAGCCTCCCAAGTAGCTAGAATTACTTGGCCATCACACCTGGCTAATTCTTTTTTTATTTTTTGTTGAGACGGGGTCTCCCTATGTTGCCCAGGATGGTCTCAAACTCTTTGGCTCAAGCAATCCTCCTGCCTTGGCCTCCCCAAGTGCTAGGATTACAGGCATGAGTCACCACAAGGTTACTTCTGATGGGAGGCTTGGGCAGATGGCACAGAAAGGATAGGTCTGTATGAACAAGGTTTGGCTGAGTGGAGGGGATCGGGTATGACTAGAAGCCAGGCCTGCTAGAGGGAGCAATGAAGGTTTTAGAGCAGGAGAGGGACCCCAAAGGCCAGGCAGCCCTTCCACTGGGACTGGGTACATTTCCTGAGTGCTTGTTTAGTAAAAGCACTTTGTAGCTCAGCGGCTTGACTCCCCACCTGCAAAGTGCAAGGGAGTCATCTTGCAGGCAGCGGTGAGGATGTAAGAAGATGCCATGGCAAAGGCTAGTCCTTGACATTGAGCCTCTGATGATCCCACTCTGTATTCTCAGCTTAGCACATCCGGGTCAAAGGTATGAACTGTGCTTCCTCAACTGGCTTGGAATTTCTCAGCGTAAGCGTCCCCTTCCTCCGTAATTCTCCACAGAGGAAAGCAGTTCCCAATACAGCTATGTTTTTTATTTGTCCTGGGCCCAGTAAGGGCAGGTTCTGTGCTCACAGTAGACCCCAGAGTCAGTCCCAGACTTCTAAGTCCCACCATGACCCTAGAGATCTGATGGGGTCCCTCATGCATACGCTGAATGTGTATTGAACACTCAGTGTACTGGCCTTGGGGGAGGTAAAAGGCAGGCAGAATCGCTGATCACATGAGGCTTGTCATCTAGTTTCTCCCTCCTTTACCGTGTCAAGCCTGGGCTCCCAAGATGAGTGTGAGGCCAGCCTTATTCCAGGATATATATATCTATATATATATATTTTTGAGACTGAGTCTTGCTGTGTTACCCAGGCTGGAGTGCTGTGGAGCTATCTCCACTCACGGCAAGCTCCGCCTCCCGGGTTCACGCCATTCTCCTGCCTCAGCCTCCCGAGTAGCTGGGAATACAGGCGCCCGCCACCACGCCCGGCTAATTTTTTGTATTTTTAGTAGAGATGGGGTTTCACCGTGTTAGCCAGGATGGTCTCAATCTCCTGACCTCGTGATCCACCCACCTCGGCTTCCCAAAGTGCTGGGATTACAGGTGTGAACCACCACACCCGGCCCCAGGATATATTATTTCCAGTTCCCTTTCCTTCTCTCCTTTCAGGAGAAACCCACTGTTCTTAGAAATGGAGAAAAATGTCCAGGCCCAGTGACTCACACCTATAATCCCAGCACTTTGGGAGGCCAAGGTGGGTGGATCACTTGAGGTCAGGAGTTCAAGACCATCCTGGCCAAAAATGCTAAAACCCTGTCTCTACTAAAAATACAAAAATTAGCTGGGCATGGTGGCAGGTGCCTGTAATCTATGCTACTCAGGAGGCTGAGGCAGGAGAATCACTTGAACCCGGGAGGCAGAGGTTACAGTGAGCTGAGATCATGCCATTTTGCACTCCACCCTGGGTGACAGAGTGAAACTGTGTCTCAAAAAAAAAAAAAAAAAAAAAAAAAAAAAAGAGAAAAACTCCTTAAGAAGGTCTGAGTATATTCTGAAGCTATGTTCTTCTCTCTGCATTGCTACCTGAGGTCCAAACCACTGTCACCTCTTTGCCTGAATGATTGCAACCGGTTTCCAAGTGGCCCCTGCTCCCCTTCTTATCCTCTTACCCACCTCCATTCCCCATTTTCCAATCAGAGTACTCCTTTTTTTTTTTTTTTTTTTAAGATGGAGTCTCACTCTGTCGCCCAGGCTGGAGTGCAGTGGCGCGGACTTGGCTCACTGCAACCTCTGCCTCCCAGGTTCAAGCGATTCTCCTGCCTCAGCATCCAGAGTAGCTGGGATTACGTTCGCCCACCACCACACCTGGCTAATTTTTGTATTTTTAGTAGAGACGGAGTTTCACCATGTTGGTCAGGGTGGTCTCAAACTCCTGACCTCAAGTGATCCACCCCCCTCAGCCTCCCAAAGTGCTGGGATTACAGGCATCAGCCACTGTGCCAAGCCCCAAAGTACTCTTTAAAACATGCGTCTCAGCCCAGGTGTGGTGGCTCATGCCTGTAATCCCACCACTTTGGGAGGTTGCGGCGGGAGGACTGCTTGAGCTCAGGAGTTTGAGACCAGCCTGGGCAAGACAGTGAGACTTCATTTCTACAAAAAATAAAAAAAAACTTAGGAGGGTGTGGTGGAACGTGCCTGTAGTCCCAGTTAATTGGGAGGCGAAGCAGGAGGATCCCTTGAGCCTAGGAGGTCGAGGCGGCAGTGAGCTGTTATCGTGCCACTGTACTCCAGCCTGGGTGACAGATCAAGACTCTGTCTCAAAAAAAAAAAAAATCATCTGACCATGGAGTCAATACTCATATCTATCAAAGACCTCTCACAGCACATGGAATAGAAACCAACTCCTCCCCTTTCTACAAGACCCTCCATGGTCTGTCCCCTGCCTCCCTCCCACCCTATAATCCTTTTACTCCATTCTGGACACTGAGACAGCCTCATGGTCTTCGCCAGTGCTGCTTCCTCTGCTTGAAACATTCTCCTCCAGTCCTCCCAGCTGTTCCTTCCCATTTTCCAGGTCCCAGCATTGGCTTTGGAGCCAGCAGCCCACCTGTGACAGGAGCCTGGCTCTGCTCCTAGCTGGCCGTGTGACCTTGGGCAAGTCACTGGCTTCTTCTGTGCTTCTGTTTATTGTGAAATGAGGATGTTAATGCTAACGTATCCCAGAGGATGGTTTCAAGGGTTAAAGAAAATAAAGCACTAGAGAGAGGTCTGGCACTTAGTAGGGCCATTTCCTCAATTTGGCTTCCTTGACCTCTCAAAGTATGTCCCCACAGTCACTTTCCTATCACCCAGTTTTCTTCACAGAGCTTGGCAGTGTGAAGTAACCTTGGTTATTCAACTTTTTTTTTTTCCCCCAAGACGGAGTCTTCCTCTGTCACCCAGGCTGGAGTGTAGTGGCAAGATCTCGGCTCACTGCAACCTCTGCCTCCCGGGTTCAAGCGATTCTCCTGCCTCAGCCTCCTGAGTAGCAGAGATTACAGGCGCCCGCCACCACGCCTGGCTAATTTTTTGTATTTTTAGTAGAGACCGAGTTTCACCACGTTGGCCAGGCTGGTCTCGAACTCGTGACCGCGTGATCCACCCGCCTCGGTCTCCCAAAGTGCTGGGATTACAGGCGTGAGCCCCCGCGCCTGGTCAACTATTTTATGCAATCAGTATTTATTATGCTCCTACTATGTGCCAGGCACTGGTTGTAACTGCCATCTGATTGGACGATCCGTAAACGCTGAGGCCCAGTCTGTGCGGTTCACTTGCGTTCCTCCACGCGCCCCCCAGCACAGTGGGAAGCACACAGTAGGTGCTCCGCTCTGCTCCTGTGCCCCGCCCCGCGGCCCCTCCCCCGCTCCAGGAAGTGCGGGGGCTCCAGCCGCCCGGCCGGCCGCGATGCATTCTGGGGAAGGAGCAGCACCAAATCCAAGATGGCGGCCAGCAGGAGGCTGATGAAGGTAAAAGCCATTCTCTGGCAGCGGCCGGGCGTGGGGCGGCGTCCTAGGCTCCGGATCCCCGAGGCAGGCGGCGGCTTCTCAGGGCGCTGCCGTCTGGCTTCCTGCCCTACACGGCCTCGTCGGTTCCCTGGGCCGCGCGCAGGCTCAAGGTGCTAACGGGGCTGGCCTAGGCCGCAGCCTGGGCGGGAGCGCAAGGCCGCGCTGGGAGCCGCTGTCGGCCCCTCAGCCCGGCCCGGGGCGTTCACGCCACTCTCCGCCCGGAGCTTGGCCGCGTCCCCCTGTCGCGGAGGCCGCGGTCCGATCTGAGGGCGTCGTTAATGTGAGAGCCCGGTTGGGAGGCTCCAAACCGGGCGCCTTCGGGGAAGGCCCGAGCGCCGGAGCCCCTGCCCGGAGCCCGCGCCGCGGAACCGCCCCGCCCTGGGCCGCAGCGCGCCGGGCTTGCAGCTCCGCTTGGCCCGGCCGCAGCTCGGGAGTCTGGGAGGTTCGGGCTAGGAAAGAGAGAAGGAGGCCAGGCGGCCAAAGTTAGGTCAGTTTGTTGGTGGGTCGTTTGGAATTGCGCTGGGTCCTAGCAAACTGTCGCCTTGTGACTGCAGAGTCACACAGCGGGTAAGTTCCAACTCCAGGAAGGCCTGAGGTCGGCCCCGATCGCGGCGCGGTTCTGCTTCCCTCTCCTCCACTCAGTCATCCCGATCTCCCCTCCCTGATAAAGTGCCATTTTTGGGGGGATAACGGTTGATTTCAGTCGTTCGAATCAAAACGGGCCAAAGTTTATAATAATAATTTGGTACTTTGGATCTTGAATGCAGCAGGGTGCTTTCTCGCTAATTGGCACCTTTTGGTGAGGAACACATGCTAAATTGGCTTAGTACTTTTGCCAGTGGATTTGCCAAGGTCCTCTGTAGCCCACCCCGCCAGCATCTGTGAGTCGGCGGCTGGGTAGTGCTGCCGGCCTGCAACGGGCCGGAAATTAAAAAAAGGCCCAGGAGCCAGTTTCCTGAGGGGAGATAAAGAGCTGGGGTTCGTTCTAGGCGGAGCAGTGCTTGGTAGAGCTAGACATTGAACTTGGAGCCACAGTCTCTGAGCATTCCCTCCGTCCCTGGGAACGTTTCCTTTCTTTTGTTCCCTAAGGGCTAGAGAGGACATTAACTTTATAAAACTGGAGTGGAAGTGGGCACAAAAGAACAGTCAGAGGACTTCAGACCTCTCCTCATCTCTTAAGCTAGTGACACCACCATTCACCAGATAAGGGGTCGGTTAATGGCTTTCTTTCCTACCCTACTCCCAGGTGCAGTCGTCCATTAACCCTTGTGGATTTAAATTTAGAAAGATTTCTGGAGTGCAGGCCGGGCGCGATGGCTCACGCCTGTAATCCCAGCACTCCTGGGAGGCCGAGGCGGGCGGATCACTTGAGGTCAGGAGTTCAAGACCAGCCTGGCCAACATGGTGAAACCCTGTCTCTACTAAAAATATAAAAATTAGCTGGGCGTGGTTGCATTTGCCTGTAATCTCAGCTACCCGGGAGGCTGAGGTGGAAGAGTCGCTTGAACCCGGCAGGTGGAGGTTGCAGTGAGCCAAGTTTGCACCACTGCACTCCAGCCAGGGCGACAGAGTGAGACTCCATGTCAAAAAAAAAAAAAAAAAAAAGATTTCTGGAGTGCATGCCTTGCTTTCTAATGTTACTGAAATTACTCTGAATCTATATCCTCATCTCTCAGGTGCCCTCCCAAGTGCTCTCCTCCCCAGACTACCCCTGACGGACACCAGAGTTCTTTTAAAGCAGATAACTCAATTCTTTCACTCCTGTTAAAAACCTCTATGGTGTTATTGTCCTCAGCAGTTAATCCTAACCTCTTACTTGGCATGCAGGACCTTTCTGAGACTGGCTGAAAGCAATCCCTTGAGCCTCACCTCCTGCCCTTTGGTTTCCCACAGTTCTTGCACCTAATCACAGTAGCTACTATTTTTCCAGCTTTTACTTCGTGCTTTATATGCATGATCATGTTTAATCCTTCCTGTGAAGTAGACATTGTGATTTCCATTTTGTCGATGAGAAAAGATTCTTTGGCTTGCCCAGGGTTACCTAGCTAGGGAGAGTGAGTTGTGATCGAATTCGGTTCTTTCTCCAAAGCAAAGTCTCCTGCTCTTACTTGCTGTCTGATGTCCCTTTGCACGTGTTGTTTGCTCTACCCAAGAAAAGCTGCCTTCTCCTCACTTCTCCCTTCCAGAGAAGTCCCAGGTTCAACTCCAGTGCCAACTACTCTGTGAGCCCGTGCTCCCACATCCCCCTTCAGAATGTGTTGTTTCCTCCTTTGTGTGACCACAGCGCTTTCTTTATATTTCTCTTTGAGCACTTGTCACAATCTCTTTGTGTTACAGACTTGTCTTTCCTGTACTGGGTTCTGAGATCCCGAAGGGCAGGGATCTTGACCTAATTCATCCTGGTAGCCCCCTAGCCTATCCCAGTTGACCCAGTTTGGAATCTCCAGGCTCTCAGGGGTCTAAGAGGGGACTTATTATGGTTTTAAAATTATTACTCTGTTTCTAAAAAAAAACAGACCTTGGAAAAAAATTGTAACATTAACTGAGTATTTATTAAGTATTAGGTTATTTACGTAAGTCATCTTTTCAACACTCAAAGTTAGTGTATTGTCATTTGTATTTTTTATAAATGAGGACATTGTGAGGTTAAGTAGGTTAAGGGAGTTACCTAAGGTAGAATTGTGGAACGTGGTGGGGAGAGAGAAGACGCTGACTCTTCCTGGCTCCAGGATCCAAATTCCATGCCTCTTGTCAGGCTGTCTTTCTTACTCAAAGGCTGCATGGAGCGGTGTGTTGTTTCTTAAGTTGAGGATGGAAAGGCTTTCAGTTCACTAGGGGAACACCAGTTATGTAATGCTGATCATTGGCTGTGAGAATCAATGTTTAAGACTGTTTTTTTTTTCTTTTAAAGGAAGAAAAATTATTGATACAAGTTGATAAACAGTCTTTTCAGTACATAGGGTGGTAATAAAGTGATTTTCGTTGGTGAAAAGTTGGGGCTTAGTGCATGGAACAGTGCCTTAGGCATAGCAATCTAGCAAATGTTGAATGATCAAATTAATTACATCTTAAAGAACTTTAGATTTCTGTTAAAAATGTTTTCTAGGACATTCCACAGCAAAGATTTCTTTGTAACAATGGACTGTCTGCAGATAGTGTAAAACACATTATTAAAAGTAGAGTGATTTACATATACTACACTGAGAAGTTATTTTAGGCAAAGTGAGTATGATAAAGTCTTTTATTTCAAAAGCACTTGCCAGGAGGCTTAACCTCTTTTAGAAGCCTTTTTAGGAATTACAGTGTTAATAAAACATTAAGTACATTTTAATTTGCAAGCAGCTAATTTAGCATTGTTGGCTACAACCAGATTGTAACCATTGCTTCAATCAGGATGGGGAAATTGCTGCAAAAGCCAAAAGTGAAACCTTTATGTGTGGCTTAGGCAACTGATTGCCATCTGATCATTTCTTTGCAGCTTCACACTGCACACATTTCCCCTAAGGGCCCTCCTGTTGAGTAGCTTCCCAGAAGGGCTTTTCTCAGAGGGGAAATCTGTGGATTTAGAGGGGTGTGTGTGTAATGTCTTATTACTTATCATGACATAACTGTTGAGTTAAGGAGTTTCACTCTTGTTGCCCAGGCTTCAGCGCGATGGCACGATCTCTGTGCACTACAACCTCTGCCTCCCAGGTTCAAGCGATTCTCCTGCCTCAGCCTCCCAAGTAGCTGATACTATAGGTGTGCACCACCACTCCCTGCTAATTTTGTATTAGAAAGGAGGTTTCACCATGTTTGCCATGCTGGTCTCTAACTCCTAACCTCAGGTGATCTGCCCGCCGAGGCCTCCCGAAGTGCTGGGATTACAGGTGTGAGCCACTGCGCCCAGCCTAATGCTATTTAAAAATGTTCACTCAGAACTTCATATTGTTATATTTTCTCCCAGTTCATAGTCATAGTAGGAGGAACCTCTAAAAGTTCATTCCTTGGGTTTCGTTGTATTAAGCAGTGAGGTAGTTTGCTTTTGAGTATAGGTTTAGATTCTGAGGTTGGGTGATTAAGGAGATAGAGCAATGAGTATGTCACATGTTTCAGGAGGTGAGGGGAGTTTTATATGTGATGTTATGCCAGTGTAAATGTCCTGAATCCACTGAGGCTTTGTGAATTGAGAAAAACGTTGCGTCTTTTTTTCTAAATTCATGCATTCCAGTAAGTTGGGACTGTTTCAGCCTCCCTTAATGGTATTCTTTGTAAATGTTTGGGACAGGTGATGGGAAGGAGTATACTCAATTATTGCAACATTTGGGACCTTTTAAGGTATTTACTAGAAAACTCTGAGGCAGGCCAGGCGTGGTGACTCACACCTGTAATCCCAGCTCTTTGGGAGGCCGAGGTGGGCGGATCATGAGGTCAGGAGTTCGAGACCAGCCTGGCCAACATAGTGAAACCCCCGTCTCTACTAAAAATCCAAAAAATTAGCTGGGCGTGGTGGTGGGTGCCTGTAATCCCAGCTACTCGGGAGGCTGAGGCAGGAGAATTGCTTGAACCCGGGAGGCAGAGGTTGCGGTGAGCCAAGATTGTGTCATTGCATTCCAGTGCGAGACTCCGTCTCAAAAAAAAAAAAAAAAAAAGAAAACCCTGAGACAAAAACTCTTGTCTCAGGGTACTGGGGCCTTTTCTGATCTTGTTAAAACTCTAAATTAGGAGACTGTTGCTTTAAAATTTTATTATAAGAGGACACTTGAAAGTATTCTCATTTTATTGGAACATTTATTACGTTTAAGATATTTCTATATTCTTTGCTACAGCAGTAAATGTGAGAGCCACATTTCTTTGCAGCTTCACACTGCACACACACTGCACACACTGTGCACATTAGAGAGCCACAGAGACGTTCCTCCTGAGCCAGACTCCAACCACTTCCAGAGTTTTCTTGGGAACGGCACATAGATCTGTAGGCATCTGAGTCTTAGCTCCTCCTGTGACTCTCTCCCTCTGGCCCCATGCATCTCCTCCTGTCCCACCTTAGTTAATGGTTCACTTGTCTACTCAGTTGCTCAAGGAAAAAACGCCAGCGGAGCCCTTCTCGGCTCTTCCTCCCTTGTCTAGTCACCTGGCGGATTCTGCTGAACTATGCCTTCAGTCTCTCTTCTCTGCCTGTCTTCTCTCCATCCCCACTCCCACTCCCAATGCCACTGCCACTCCCACTGCCTCAGTTCAGGCCATCCCTGTTTGTGGTAGACACCTGCATCGAGCTCCTTAATGGTTCATCTAAACTCCTTACTGGTCAGCGCACTCTCTGTCCCACACTACTCCTAACCAGCAGTGCATCAGAGTAGTGTATGGTGTGGTGTGCAGTAGAGAAGTGCACATGAGCAGGCCCTGCTCTCAGAGATTGGAGCAGAATTTAGTAGGGTGAGGATGAGGCTGGGACTCTGGATTACAAGTGCACATTCCTTAGCTTTTTCCTTCAAGGTCTTGTCTCACCAGCCTTGTCTCTCCCCACTTGCCCGTTGAGTCCCCTAAAAACAGCATGCTTTGCACACACACTCTGGATCTCGTGATTGGCATCCCTGTCTCTTCTCTGTACCAGGGTAACTTTTTGACCTTTGAGACTCAGCTCAAGGGGCAATTCCTCTGCCCTTGAGGAGCTCAACAAAGGAGAAAAATGGCACGTACCTGGAACAAAGAAATCCTGGGCTGGCCACTGTGTGCTAGATGTCTGCCACCTGAATAATGGCTTGCAGGAGAGGGAAAGACCCCCTCTGACACTGAGGAGGAGGTCGAACTTGGCCTGGCCCTTTAAGCACGAGTAGGGTTTCAGCAGTTGAAGAAGACGGACTGGGTGGCCAGTGAGGTTGAGTCTCTCTCATCCCTCAGGAGGGCTGTGGGCAGTGCCTATGGGAAATGCTTTGAGGAGCCCCAGAGACCATCTGCCTACTCCCCAGTGCTGCTTGCGTCTGACCTTGTGCCGTCCCGCTTTGGGTTTTAGTTAGGCCAGCCCCTGAGATGCTTTCCAGAAGTGTTGAGGCATTGGCTTGATTTTACCCCAGATTGGCATGTCCAGTGCACCTGGTTCCTCCAGAGCTAGGAGACCTCCCTCTGCCAGGCCAGCCTTGGAGGGTGAGCTACCTCTCTATAGAGGGGTCACTGAGGGCAGTGCTGATGGATTTAAGGACAGGTGGCAGAGATGCCATAGCCTTTAGGTTGAGGGGCCAGATCTACATATCTCCTGGATGCTACAGCTATCCAGGAGAAGTGGCATGCCACTCACTCAGAAAGGGCTTTGCATGTATCTCCTGTGGCCAGCTTCATCATGCCTGTTCTTGGGGGACATAAATAAGCCTAACCTCCCCAAGCCCCCCACCCCTATAAGAAAGGGAGGAAGGGGCTTTTGCTCAGAGCAAAGCTGTTTAGAGGAAGACTACAGCATAGCAGTTAAAAGCTCAGGTTCTGGAGTTTCAATCCTGGGCCTGCCATGTCTTAGCTGAGTGACCCTGGGCAAGTTACTTTACCTCTCTGTGCCTTAGTTACTTCGTCCGTGTGTGAAGGTTAAATGAGTTAATATATACCAACTGCTTAGAAGAGTGCCTGGCATATAGTAAGTGTGAGCTACTTGTAGATATTATTGGGAATAACCAAGACATGTTCCAGGGCAGGGAGGTGACCAGCCTGACAGGAGGGGAGGATTTGGAGGAGTGATAGGAGATGGTATTGCAAAGGTGTTTTCGGGACAGGTTGGGGCCAGTCTGCCTGGACATACCCTCATCACTGAGAGCCCATTCTCTTACCTGTGGTACTCTCTTATTCTGTAGGTTGGAGAAAGAGTTACTGAGACAGCTGTGTGAATGTTTGTTTAAAAATGTTGGCTGGGGGCCAGGCGCGGTGGCTCATGCCTGTAATCCTAGCACCTTGGGAGGCCGAGGTGGGCGGATCATGAGGTCAGGAGATTGAGACAATCCTGGCCAACATGGTGAAAACCCATCTCTACCAAAAATACAAAAATTAACCAGGCCTGGTGGTGCGTGCCTGTAATCCCAGCTACTAGGGAGGGGGAGGCAGAAGAATTGCTTGAACCTGAGAGGCAGAGGTTGCAGCGAGCTGAGATCGTGCCACTGCACTCCAGCCTGGGTGACAGAGTGAGACTCTGTCTCAAAAAATGTTGGCTTGGCGCAGTAGCTCACACCTGTAATCCCAGCACTTTGGGAGGCTAAGGCAGGTGGATCACTTGAGGTCAGGAGTTCGAGACCAGCCTGGTCAACATGGTGAAACCCCGTCTCTACTAGAATCACAAAAAAATTAGCTGGGTGTGGTGGCATGTGCCTGTAATCCCAGCTACTCGGGAGGCTGAGGCAGGAGAATTGCTTGAACCCAGGAGGCAGAGGTTGCAGTGAGCCAAGATCATGCCACTGCACTCTGGCCTGGGCAACAGAGTAAGACTCCATCTCAAAAAAAAAAAAAAAAAAAGAAAAGGAAAAAGAAAAATGTTTACTTGGCTGGGCGTGGTGGCTCATATCCGAATCCCAGCACTTTGAGAGGTCAAGGCGGGTGGATCACTTGAGGAGACCAGCATGGGAAACATGACGAAACCCCATCTCTACTAAAAAAAAAAAAAAAAAAATACAAAAATCAGCCGAGTGTGGTGGTGCATGCCTGTAATCCCAGCTACTCTGGAGGCTGAGGCAGGAGAATCGCTTGAATCCGGGAGGCGGAGGTTGCAGTGAGCTGAGATGGTGCCACTGCGCTCCAGCCTGGGTGATAGAGCGAGACTCTCGAAAGAAAAAAGAGAAAAGTTTACTTTTCCCAACAAAGTTGAATAGCTTTTTTTTTTTTTTTTTTTTTTTTTTTTGGAGACGGAGTCTCACTCTGTCACCCAGGCTGGAGTGCAGTGGCACCATCTCAGCTCACTGCAACCTCTGCCTCCCATGTTCAAGCCATTCCTCCTGCCTCAGCCTCCCGAGTAGCTGGAACTACAGATATGCGCCACCATACCCGGCTGATTTTTGTATTTTTAGTAGAGACGGGGTTTCTCCATTTCCCAGGCTGGTCTCGAACTCCTGCCCTCAGGCGATCCACCCACCTTAGCCTCCCAAAGGATTACAGGCGTGAGCCACTGTGCCCAGCTTAAAATTGAATAGCTCTTGAACTCAAAATTTGTCTTTCTAATATCTCAGAAATTTACCTTGCATATTGTAAACATCCAGTGTAGTGTGACAGTCACTGTGTCCAAAGATGAGCATAGGTGCTATGGAAGGCTCCCACAGGTGCTGAACTGGGGCAGGGGTGGAGGTTTGAAAGCAACTTTTTTTTTTTTTTTTTTTTGAGGCGGAGTCTCGCTCTTTCACCCAGGCTGGAGTACAATGGTGTGATCTTGGTTCACTGCAACCTCCGCCTCCCGGGTTCAAGCAATTCTTCTGCCTCAGCCTCCTGAGTAGCTGGGATTACAGGCGCACGCCACCACGCCTGGCTAATTTTTGCATTTTTGTTTTTTTTTGTTTTTTTTTTGAGATGGAATCTTGCTCTGGCGCCCATGCTGGAGTGCAGTGGTGCGATCTCGGCTCACTGCAAGCTCCACCTCCCAGGTTCACGCCATTCTTCTGCCTCAGCCTCCCGAGTAGCCAGGACTACAAGTGCCCGCCACCATGCCCAGCTAATTTTTTTGTATTTTTAGTAGAGACGGGGTTTCACCATGTTAGTCAGGATGGTCTCGATCTCCTGACCTTATGATCCTCCTGCCTCGGTCTCCCAAAGTGCTGGGATTACAGGCGTGAGCCACCATGCCCGGCCCCCAATTTTTGTATTTTTAGTAGAGCTGGGGTTTCACCATGTTGGTTAGGCTGGTCTCAAACTCCTGACCTTGTGATCCGCCCACCTCGGCCTCCCAAAATTCTAGGATTACAGATGTGAGCCACTGCGCCTGGCCGAAAGCAACTCTTGATTGAGAAGTTGAGGTCTCAGATGTAATATTCTTGCTTCTTGTCTTCTCTTTCCTTTTTTTTTTTTTTTTTTTTGAGACGCAGTCTCGCTCTGTCGCCCAAGCTGGAGTGCAGTGGCACGATCTTGGCTCACTGCAACCTTCACCTCTGGGTTCAAGCAATTCTCCCTGCCTCAGCCTCCTGAGTAGCTGGAATTACAGGCGTGTGCCACCATGCCTGGCTAATTTTTTTTTTTTTTTTGAGATGGAGTCTCGCTGTGTTGCCCAGGCTGGAGTGCAGTGGTACAGTCTTGGCTCACTGAAAGCTCCGCCTCCTGGGTTCACGCCATTCTCCTGCTTCACCCTCTCGAGTAGCTGGGACTACAGGCGCTCGCCACTACACCCAGCTAATCTTTTGTATTTTTAGTAGAAACGGGGTTTCACCATGTTAGCCAGGATGGTCTCGATCTCCTGACTTCATGATCCACCCACCTTGGCCTCCCGAAGTGCTGGTATTACAGGCGTGAGCCACCGTGCCTGGCCTGATTTTTGCATTTTTTAGTAGAGACGGGGTTTCATGGTGTTGGCCAGGCTGGTCGTGAACTCCTAACCTCAGGTGATCCGCCTGCCTCAGCCTCCCAAATAGCTGGGATTACAGGCGTGAGCTACCGCACCCAGCCCTTGTCTTCTCTTTCAACCTTGAAGCAGAAAGTTAAGAAAGTTGCTTCTGGTGGCTGTGTAGTTTCTCCTTCTGACCCTTGCTGCACACATACTCTAGAATTCCAGAGCTGTGTGAGGGATCTTGGAAAGCAGACACCAGTGGCCTCTGTTTACAGATGAGGAGGCTGAAGTCAGTGGTGGAGCCAGGCCCAACATCAAGGTCCCCTGCTCTCTGGGCCTTGCTCCTGCTTTTTAGATGGTTGCTTTTGGTCTTGAGGAAGGGACAAGATGGAGAAGAAGAGGGTTCATTTCAGATTCGGTGGCTGTTTGGGTTTTGTTTGTTTTGGTTTTTAACACTTCCAGGGCTGTGTTGATTATAGTTTTCTGTATTTCACTTTCTTGTCAGATTTTGTCCCTACTTTCCTAGCATAGGTAGGCAGAGCGGGGAACATTCTCTTTTGACAGCCCTTATCCCAGCAGGCACATCTGCAACCAAAGCAGGTGCTAATGTCAAAGGGCTCATGGGCTAATGTCAGGGCTCATGTGATGCTCCATCTTTCTGAGAGGAGACCACCTGACTCACGGTGAGGAAGAGGGTGTAACTCAGAGGTTGAATAGCCTCTGAACCCGTCTGAGATGGCTTATAAAAAAGTGTTTCACACCAGCACGCCTCTCATTAAGAACAGTCAGCGGCCGGGCACGGTGGCTCAGGCCTGTAATCTCAGCACTTTGGGAGGCTGAGGTGGGAGGATCATGAGGTCAAGAGATCGAGACCATCCTGGCTAACACAGTGAAACCCTGTCTCTACTAAAAATACAAAAAAAAATTAGCCGGGCGTGGTGGTGGGCGCCTGTAGTCCCAGCTACTCGGGAGGCTGAGGCAGGAGAATGGTGTGAACCCGGGAGTCGGAGCTTGTAGTGAGCCGGGATTGCGCCACTGCACTCCAGCCTGGGTGACAGAGCAAGACTCTGTCTCGAAAGAAAAAAAAAAAAAAGAACAGTCAGCATAAGAAAACCTAAGCTTCCTGAAGGATTCTCCACGAGTTTTACACAGGCAGTTCCCGTCGTGCCCATTTGTCCTGTGTCAGGCTTTGTGTGGTTGAGTCTGTTGTGGACAGACTTGAAGAGGTCGGTGTCCCAGCCCTCAAGGAGCTGTCAGTCTGGTAGGGGGGTGCTGGACTCTGGAGTTTGTAATGGAGGTCAGGAATGCCAGGCACACCCATGTACAGATGGACACGGAAACACCTTCCAGGAATGAGGCCCGGCAGCCAGAAGCTGGTGTCAAGGCCTGCTGAGTTGGAGCTTTGGCCATGCTTCCCCCATGCTTACTGTGGAGGTTGTGGGCAGTGCGTTCCTCTAAGCCTCTGTTGAGTGTTTTCTTTGTCATGTCCTCTTAGAATGACCACCTGAGAAGGAGTGTGCTGTAACCTCTGAGAAGCACTGTGCTGTGATAGAGTAAGAGTTCAGATGTAGATTTCTGCCTTTGACTCCTTAGTGTTGTGCCTTTGAGCCTCAGTGCCCTGATTTGTCCAGCAGATGATGAGATGACTTCATAAAGTTATGATCATAGCTAAGTGTATTATTTATTTATTTATTTATTTATTTATTTATTTATTTATTTTTTGAGATGGAGTTTCACTCTTGTCACCCAGGCTGGAGTGCAATGGTGTGATCTCGGCTCACTGCAACCTCTGCCTACCAGGTTCACGCAATTCTCCTGCCTCAGCCTCCCGAGTAGCTGGGACTACAGGTGCCCGCCACCACGCCTGGCTAATTTTTGTATTTTTAGTAGAGACGGGGGTTTCACCATGTTGGCCAGGATGGTCTCGAACTTCTGACCTCAGGTTATCCACCTGCCTCGGCCTCCCAAAGTGCTGGGATTACAGGCGTGAGCCACCATGCCCAGCCCCAGGTGTAATTAGTTATGATGATAACTAAATGTAAGATAGCTACCATACTGCTGACCTATGGAAGGGATGATGTCTTGGCATGGGTCCTGCCCCCTTAGCTAAATGTTAGTTGAAATGAGAGAATTGCATTAGAAGGCCATGAGGCTTATGTTTAGATTTTCAGTATATTGAATTACATTTAAGTCATGATTTAGTGGCCAGGCACGGTGGCTCATGCCTATAATCCCAGCACTTAGGAAGGCTGAGGCAGGAGGATCACTTGAGCCTAGGAATTTGAGACCAGTCTGCCCAACATAGTGAGACCCTGTCTCTGCAAAAAATAAAATGATTAACTGGGCATATTGGCACATGCCTGTAGTCGCAGCTTCTCAGAAGGCTGAGGTGGGAGGATCACTTGAGCTCTGGAGGTTGAGACTGCAGTGAGCCGTGATCATGCCACTGCACTCCAGCGTCGGCAACAAAGCAAGACCCTGTCTCAGGGGGAAAAAAAAAAGTCATGATTTTAGTGTCATTGCTAACGGTTGTCTTATGCAAGCTTGGAAAGTTTGCATTTCTGTTACAATTATTTACTTTGATAGACCAGTTATACTGGAATTTGGTAGATTTAAGGCAGGTTTATGTAACTTTCCTCAGATGTCCAGCTCCATCTGCCAGGTTTTGTTTTGCCTGAGCAGTAGGAGCCTAGAAATATTCCTTGCACAACACAGGCACATAATGACTAGCTGTGCAGGACTAGGGAAAATACTGAATATGTTCATGTTTTTGTTGATGTAAATATTGGTCAATACTATTCCAGAGCAAGCTAAGCCCTCCTGGGATCCCACAGAGTAAACAGGAAAACCTGCTCTGTCCGTTTCTAATGGGAGCATTAACTCACTGCTTTGGGTGGCTGAGATAGTCAAAAAAGAGCAATTTCAGTGCAGGTTCTAGTCCTGGGCATGCTCTATACAAGTTCTTTGACTTGGACATCTCTGAGCCTTGGCTTTACCATCTGTGAAATGGGGCTAATATGCCCCACTTGCCCATCTCAGGACTATGAATTGTAAACAGTGCAGAATGGCCTTATAATTGACCACTTCCTCTCAAGCCATGGCTACCCCTTTCCCAGCATCTCTTTGTTTTCTGTTCTTGTTGGAATTACTCTTTTCTTTTCTTTCTTCTTTTTATTTTCTTTGAGATAGACTCTCACTCTGTTGCCCAGGCTGGAGTGCAGTGGCGCGATCTCGGCTTACTGCAGCCTCTGCCTCCTGAGTTAAAGCAGTTCTCCTGCCTTAGCCTCCCGAGTAGTTGGGACTACAGGCATGTGCCACCATGCCTGGCTAAGTTTTTTGTATTTTTAGTAGAGACAGGGTTTCACCATGTTGTTCAGGCTGGTCTCGAACTCCTGACCTTGTGATCCCCCCACCTCAGCCTCCCAAAATGCGGGATTACAGGTGTGAGCCATTGTACCGGACTTAATTTTTGTATTTTTAGTAGAGATGGAGTTTCACCATGTTGGCCAGGCTGGCCTCGAACTCCTGACCTCATATGATCTGCCGGCCTCAGCCTCCCAAAGTGCCGGGATTACAGACATGAGCCACCATGCCTGGCCTCTTTTCTTCAAGAGACAAGGTCTTGCTCCGTTGCCCAGGCTGGAGTGCAGTGGCATGATCATAACTCATTATAACTCATTATAACCTCGAATTCCTGGGCTCAAAGGATCGTCCTGCCTCAGCCTCTTGGGTAGCTGGGACTACAGGTGTGTGCCACCATGCCCGGCTAATTTTTTTTTTTTTTTTTGAGATGGAGTCTCACCCTGTTGCCCAGGCTGGAGTGCAGTGGTGCAATCTTGGCTTATTGCAACCTCTGCCTCCCAGGTTCAAACAATTCTCCCACCTCAGCCCCCCAAGTAGCTGAAGACTATAGGTGAACACTACCATGCACAGCTAATTTTTGCATTTTTTGGTAGAGATGGGGTTTTGCCATGTTTTCCAGGCTAGTCTGAAACCCCTGGGCTCAAGCAGTCCACCTGCCTTGGCTTCCCAAAGTGCTGGGATTTGAGCCACCATGCCTGGCCATTTTGTTATCCTTATTATTTGTAGAGATGGGATCTTGCTATGTTGCCTAGGCTGGTCTTGAACTCCTGGCCTCAAGCGATCCTCCTACCTTGACTTCCCAAAATGCTGGGATTATAGGTGTGAGCCACTGTGCTGGCCGGTGTTCACTTAAAGGAAAAAAAAACCTTCAGGCTGGGCACGGTGGCTCACACTTGTAATCCCAGCACTTTGGGAGGCCTAGATGGGCAGATCACCTGAGGTCGGGAGTTCGAGACCAGCCTGACCAACATGAATAAACCCCTGACTCTACTGAAAATACAAAATTAGCCGGGCATGGTGGCGGGCGCCTGTAATCCCAGCTGCTCGGGAGTCTGAGGCAGGAGAATCACTTGAACCTGGGAGGCGGGGGTTGTGGTGAGCCAAGATCACAACATTGCACTCCAACCTGGGCAACAATAGTGTAACTGTCTCAAAAAAAAAAGAAAAAAAAATTCAGAACAAGCTGTGCCCAGTAGCTCATGCCTATAATCCCACCACTTTGGGAGGCTGAGGCAGGTGGATCACCTGAGGTCAGGAGTTCCAGACCAGCCTGGCCAACATGGCAAAACCCCATGTCTACTGAAAAAAAAAAACAAAAATAATTAGCCAGGCATGGTGGCACCTGCCTGTAGTCCCAGCTACTCAGGAGGCTGAGGCAGGAGAATCGCTTGAACCTGGGAGGCGGAGGTTGCAGCGAGCCAAGATCGCACCACTGCACTCCAGTCTGGGTGACAGAGTGAGACTTCATCTCAAAAAAAAAAACAAAAAAACAAACAAAAAAAAAAACAGTTCAGAACAACGTCTGGGTTTCGGTGCTTATAGACTTGTAGTCAGAGGGATTTTTTCCATGTGCTTAGCTCAGTGGGAGGTTTTAGTCCTTTTAGGAGCTTGTTTCTAGCTGTAGAAATGACACTGCATTCATCAAGGCTCCAGTTTTTTCCTTGCCAAGAAACTGGGTGGTATGAATGTGGTGGGTTTTTTTTTGTTGTTGTTTTTTTTTTTTGCGATGGAGTCTCGCTCTGTCACCCAGGCTGGAGTGCAGTGGTGCAATCTCGGTCTACTGCAACCTCTGCCTCCCAGGTTCAGGCTGTTCTCCTACCTCAGCCTCCCAAGTAGCTGGGATTACAGGCATGCATCATGACTCCTGGCTAATTTTTGTAGTTTTTTGTTTTTTGAGCCGGAGTTTCACTATTGTTGCCCAGCCTGGAGTGCAATGGCGCGATCTCGGCTCACTGCAACCTCTGCCTCATGGGTTCAAGTAATTCTCCTGCCTCAGCCACCCGAGTAGCTGGGATTACAGGCGCTTGCCACCACGCCCAGTTAATTTTTGTATTTTTAGTAGAGACGAGGTTTCACCATGTTGGCCAGGCTGCTGTTGAACTCCTGACCTCAGGTTCCACCTGCCTCAGCCTCCCAAAGTGCTGGGATTACAGGCGTGAGCCACCGTGCCCGGCCCTCAATATGGTGATTCTTAAGCAGAGCAGGGGTTGCACATCACAGTCATCTGGGAGCACTCCCCTCAGAAAGGTACCCATCTTGTACTGGAGGCTGATGCAATAAGCAGGTCCTAGATGGCGCCTAGGCACAGTCAGCTCTCCTTCCTTCTCCCCTGTACCCATCTAAGCCCTTCCCCTGCCTCTCTGCATAGGGGTATTAAACAGCCCCCAGGGGCTTGGCCATGCACCCTGGCTGAAAGTTCTGGCCCTGATCATGAGTGCCCTGAGTTGGTAAACACTGCAGCTAAACTGGTTTCCTTTCTGCTTCCCTAACGCCCCCACTGATTTCTGCCCTCCATGTCTCTGCATACACATTTCCCACACATGGACACCTGTTCTCTAGCAGTTCTGTCTTCCCCCGTCTTTCAAGGCCCATCTCAGAGCCTGTCTTCCACAAAGCTGTTCCCTCCACTGGTGTCTGCTAGACTTTCCTCACTGTGACCTAAAGGTTCCTAGAGCAGCGTTTCTCAGTTCTTTTAACCCACCCTCAACAGCCAAGAAAAGTGGCCTTAAGCTTTACTTTCCTTTAGGGATACTACAGGCCTTTTGCCATTTAACAGATATAAAATGACACAGTGGTATGGAATATGCTTGTTTACATTGTACCAGTGTCCTTGCATTGAGACTTGCTGCCCATAGTACTGCTGTGACATCTGAAGCATCCCTGACTGGCCCCACTGGTTATTCTTCTGCACGTCTGTTCACCTGCTCCTGGCACTGACTTCAGAGGAGACTCAAGAGGGTGTATAGTACAGTCTTGCCCAGTGCAGGTGGCTTCTTTCTGACAGCCCTGGCCACTGGCAGCCCTGTCTGCCCCACCCATTTGAGTATCTATAATGACATGACGACTGCTGCCCCGAGTCAGGGGGGCTTAGACCACGTGAAGGTAGCATTAAAGAGTTTGGCACTGAGTCAAAAGCTGCCTGGGATAGTGAACACTTACTGGCCCCAATTCTTTCTTCTTTACTCATATAGAAGGTTGAATCCTTTGCAGGTGAACTTTTTAAATTTTAATTTTTTTTTTCTTCTGAGGTGGAGTTTCACTCGTTGCCCAGGCCGGAGTTCAATGGAGCGATCTTGGCTCACTGCAACCTCCTGCCTCCTGGGTTCAAGCGATTCTCCTGCCTCAGCCTCCTGAGTAGCTGGGATTACAGGCGTGTGCCACCATGCTGGGCTAATTTTGTATTTTTAGTAGAGACGGGGTTTCTCCATGTTGGTCAGGCTGGTCTCGAACTCCCGACCTCAGGTGATCCGCCCGCCTTGGCCTCCCAAAGTGCTGGGATTACAGGCATGAGCCACCGTGTCTGGCCTAAATTTTTTTTTTTTTTTTTGAGACAGAGTCTCGCTCTGTCACCCAGGCTGGAGTGCAGTGGGGTGATCTCAGCTCACTGCAACCTCCACCTCCCGGGTTCAAGCGATTCTTCTGCCTTAGCCTCCCGAGTAGCTGGGACTACAGGTGTCACCACCACGCCTGGCTAATTTTTGTATTTTTAGTAGAGATGGGGTTTCACCATATTGGCCAGGCTGGTGTTGAACTCCTGACCTTGTGTTCTGCCTGCCTTGGCCTCCCAAAGTGCTGGAATTACAGGCGTGAGCCACCACACCCGGCCTCGGCCTAAATTTTAAATTTTAAGTTTTATTTTATTTTTATTTTTTTGAGACAAGGTCTCACTCTGTCACCCAGACTGGAGTGCAGTGGCATGATCATGGGCTCAGGCAATCCTTCCGCTTCATTTTTTAATTTTTTTGTAGAGATGAGGTCTTACTGTGTGGCCCAGGCTGGTCTCCAACTCCTGGCCTCAAGTGATTTTCCCGCTTCGGCAACCCAAAGTGCTGGGATTACAGGAGCACTTTGGGAGGCCGAGGCGGGTGGATCCCTTGAGGTTAGGAGTTGGAGACCAGCCTGGCCAACATGGCAAAACCCCATCTCTACTAAAAATACAAAAATGAGCTGGGCATGGTGGTGCGTGCCTGTAGCCCCAGCTACTCAGGAGGCTGAGGCATAAGAAGCACTTGAGCCTGGGAGGCGGAGGTTGGAGTGAGCTGAGATCACGCCTCCACACTCCAGCCTGGAGAGCGAGACTCCGTCTCAAAACAAACAAACAAAAAACAACAAAATGTGGAATTACTGGCATAAGCCACTTCGTCCAACCAGCAGGTGAACTTTTTAACGTTTGAAGACAGATGTATGTCATCTTCACATTTCTTTAGGCCATAGGTTCCTGGACCTTTTGATTGTTCCTGGTAGGACATGGTCCTTGCTGTTCTTGTCCTGAGCAGCCCTTATTTGATGTGGTCTTCTAAAGTATGGTGTCCAGAACTGGACACAGCATTTGGCTCTGAATAGTTCAGGGTGGCCTGGACGCTAAACATGGCACAAACGATTGGTCAGCTAAACCAGTCAGTTTTTCATGCTGCTGCTAAGGTTCATGCCTTGTGCTTGGTGAAAAATTAAGTGTTTGGAACCAAGTCCAGGTCTTTACTGGATCTCTAAAATATTTCATTCTGTGACTTGGGGTGTGGTTTTGCTATCCAGGATCCTTAGAGGTTTGGTCTTTAAGCCTGTATTCGTTCCTTCCCTGATATGTGGTACCTAACTACATCTCTCTCAGCCCACTTCCCACCAGGGTGACTTCAGGCCACCAGTTCTAAAGCCATTCGATTCTCCTCAGCTCTTCTTGATCCAGCCTCTGTTTATCCATTTTGTACAGAAACATTGTAGTGGCTGTTGAGAGAAAGGAGCATCCCTTTTAGCCAGGGCTTGGGGAGCTCCTTAGAGGAACAGGCATTTGAGAGAGGCTTTCAATGATGAGCATGTTGGGGATGTGGGGCTGGTGATAGGCAGGACAGTTAGGGACATCCTTCCAGAAGACATCCTGGGGAAAGACATAGAGGGGGGAAGTCACCAGGCTGACTTGGTAGGATTCTGCACACTGCTCATTTGGGTTGCACCAAGAGCTTTAGTTGGAATTACTGGGTTGCACCAAAGAGTTTTAGCTGGAAATATTGGATGGGAGGATTCCTACATATTTTGTTGGGGGAAGGGTCGTCTAGTGCTGTTGGATTTCTTTTCTAGTTTTTCTTTTTTTGAGACAGGGTCTTGCTCTGTTGACCAGGCTGGAGTGTAGTGGCACCATCATGGCTCACTGCAGCCTCAACCTTTTGGACTCAACTGGTCATCCCAAGTCAGCCTCCTGAGTAGCTGGGACCACAGGCATACATCAACACACCTGGCTAATTTTTTAATTTTTTTATTTTTGTAGAGATAGGGTCTTGCTGTATTGCCCAGGCTGGTCTTGAGTTCCTGTGCTTAAGTGATCCTCCTGCCTTGACCACCCAGTGTTGGGATTACGGGTGTGAGCCACCGCCCCTGGCTCCTGGCCTAGATTTATTTTATTTATTTTATTTTGTTGAGACGGAGTCTCACTCTGGGAGTCTGCACCCAGGCTGGAGTGCACTGGCGTGATCTCAGCTCACTGCAACCTCCACTTCCCAGGTTCAAGCGATTCTCCTGCCTCAGCCTCCCGAGTAGCTGAGACTATATATAGGTGCACGCCACCATGCCCAGCTAATTTTTGTATTTTTAGTAGAGATGAGGTTTCACCTTGTTGGCCGGGCTGGTTCTCAAACTCCTGACCTCAAGTGATCCGCCCACCTCGGCCTCCCAAAGTGCTGGGATTACAGGCTTGAGCCACTGCACCCAGCCTTTTTTTTTTTTTTTTAAACGGAGTCTTGCTCTGTCACCCAGGCTCAAGTGCAGTGGTGTGATTGCAGCTTACCACAACCTCCACCTCCCGGATTCCAGTGATTCTCCAACCTCACCCTCCCAAGTAGCTGGGAATACAGGAGTCAACCACCATGCCCGGCTAATTTTTGTATTTTTAGTAGAGACAGTGTTTTACCATGTCGGCCAGGCTGCTCTCAAACTCCTGTCCTCAAGTGATCCACCCGCCTCAGCCTCCCAGAGTGTTGAAGCGTTGGAATTACAGGTGTGAGCCACTGTGCCCGGCCTTTTTTTTTTTTTTTTTTTTTTAAGATAGGTTCTCGCTCTGTCGCCCAGGCTGGAGTTGGAGTACAATGGTGTGATCTTGGCTCACGGCAACCTCTGTCTCACTTGTTCAAGCAATTCTCATGCCTCAGCCTCCCGAGTAGCTGGAACTACAGGCATGCACCCCTATGCCTGGCTAATTTTTGTATTTTTAGTAGAGATGGGGTTTCACCATGTCAGCCAGGCTGGTCTCAAACTCCTGGCCTCAAGTGATCCACCTGCTTTGGCCTCCCAAAATGCTGGGATTACAGGCATGAACCACCACGCCTGGCGCTGGCATAGATTCCTTTTTTTTTTGAGACGAAGTCTTGCTCTGTCACCAGGCTGGAGTGCAGTGGCGCGATCTCGGCTCACTGCAACCTCCGACTCCCTGGTTCAAGCTATTCTCCTGCCTCAGCCTCCCGAGTAGCCGGGACTACAGGCAGGCGCCACCATGTCCACCTAATTTTTGTATTTTTAGTAGAGACGGGGTTTCACCATGTGGTCTCGATCTCCTGACCTCGTGATCCACCCGCCTTGGCCTCCCAAAGTGCTGGGATTACAGGTGTGAGCCACCGCGCCTCGCCTAGATTTCTTGATTAGTGGCTCCTGAGGGGTTCTGAAACCTGGCCTTGTGTGAGGGTTACCTGGGGAGATTTTGAACAGTTTTCTAGGCCTCATTGTAGACCCCAAAAAGAAGCAAAAGAGGAACTTTGTTAACTGCTTTGCCAAGACGCAGGTGTGTACATCTGAGCTGTGTGACTGAGCACTGGCTATATACAGCAGTGTCCTGTTCTCCCATCTCCTCTCAGGACTTGAGTCCGTGGCCTTCTGCTGGGGCCCAGGGCCCATCTCTCCTGTTAGTGCTTGCAAAGCTGTTAAGTAACCATCCCTCTCTGCCATGCTTCACACTTTGCCCTGGAGTGGGCATCAAGCTCTCTGGGGTTGAGTTTGGGGCATGGGTGTTTTCCATTTTCAGGAGCTGGGTGGCACCCCTGGGCTTTTTCAGTTCCCCTCTATACACTGAAGTCTACTTGGGCTCCGAAGTGGACCTCATTCTGAGAAGCATTGCTCTCTTTCTCCTGCACCACCTGCCCTGGTTGGGAAGCCTGCTGTCCCCATCAAGAGAAGGAATGTGTGAGCTGCCTGGTGCTTTCCCTTGAACTCTCTCTTTGTCAGCACTGCACCATCAGCCCTGAGCAGCTGACTTGGGTTGCTTCTTGCTCTGAGCAGAACTGAAACAAACCTTTGTGGGAGTGTTATTTGTAAGCATCTGTCATTCTTGGCTTTGGTCTTCCTAACTCTGTTCTAGAGCTGGGCTGCTCTTGCGGTTTTTATCAGGTCCTTTCTTCTGTCATTTGTAACATCCTTTTGAATTCCACTTCTTGGAATTTACATTGGTTTCCTTCAATTCCTTCCCTAATTCTTCACTGTCAGGACCATTCTCAGTTATCGGGGCACAGTTTTGCTTGAGGGTTTACAACCATCTTGAGGGTTTGAGTCATCTGGCCTTTTGAGTCTCAGATATTCAGATGGAACTGATCTCTGAATGATTCCAATTTTTCTTCTTTCTTTTTTTTTTTTTTTTTTTTTTGAGATAGGGTCTCACTCTAGTTGCCCTGGCTGGAGTGCAGTGGTTGTAATCTTGACTCACTGCACAGCCTTGACTGCCAGGGCTCAGGTGATTCTTCCGCTTTCACCTCTCAGCCTCCCAAGTAGCTGGGACCACAGGCATGTACCACCATGCCTGGCTACTTTTTTTTATTTTTTATTTTTATTTATTTATTTTTGAGACAGAGTCTTGCTCTGTCACTCAGGCTGGAGTGCAGTGGCGCAATCTTGGCTCACTACAACCTCCGCCTCCTGGGTTCAAGCAGTTCTCTGCCTCAGCCTCCCAAGTAGCTGGGATTATAGGTGCCTGCCACCACGCCCGGCTAATTTTTTGTATTTTTAGTAGAGACGGGGTTTCACCATCTTGGCCAGGCTGGTCTTGAACTCCTGACCTCGTGATCTACCTGCCTTGGCCTCTTAAAGTGTTGGGATTACAGGCGTGAGCCACTGCACCCGGGCTGTATTTTTTTTAGTGGAGACAGTGTTTTGCCATGTTGGCCAGGCTGGTCTTGAATTCCTGGGCTCAAGCAGTCTGCCTGCCTTGGCCTCCCAAAATGCTGGGATTACAGGTGTGAACCACTGCGCCTGGCCTGAATTTATCTTCTTGAAGTTGTTTTCCTCAGTGGAGGCATGATTGGAATTTTTTTTTTTTTTTTTTTTTGAGACGGAGTCTCGCTCTGTCACCCAGGCTGGAGTGCAGTGGCGCAATCTTGGCTGACTGCAAGCTCTGCCTCCTGGGTTCACGCCTTTCTCCTGCCTCAGCCTCCCGAGTAGCTGGGACTACAGGCGCCCGCCACCATGCCCGGCTAATTTTTTTTGTATTTTTAATAGAGACGGGGTTTCACCATGTTAGCCAGGATGGTCTTGATCTCCTGACCTCGTGATCCGCCCACCTCGGCCTCCCGAAATGCTGGGATTACAGGCGTGAACCACTGCGCCCGGCATGATTGGCATTTTGGGCTAAATAGTTTCTGTCCACAGGACCGTCTTGTGCAGTGCAGGTCTTTTAGCATCCTGGCCACTCATAGTGCCCGTGGTTCTCAGTAGAAGCTGTAGAGGATGTTGGGAAATTGGGGTGGGTTGGTCACAGTGCCTGGCATCTGTCTCAGGGTAAGGGCTTGGGAGGCTCAAGTGCAGAGTCGTATCTGGATGCCAGCAACACCCTGTTGAGAAACTTTCTACTATGGTATGCTCATCATTCTCTGAAGATGTCAGGGCCTGTTTGTTTGTTTGCCTGTTTCTCTCACTTTTGCCTTATAATCAGTTCTTCCTTGTTGGTTAGAATCATGTAAAGGAGGTTGCCTTTTCTGTCTTTGGAGAGCTTAACTTGACGGCAAGGTAAGTTGGGAGTTTATGTGATAACCCTACTTAGGATTCTCTGAGCTTCCCAACCCTGCTGTCATTAGCATCCTCAGGGTTGCCCATTCTTCTTTCTGGCCAGGTGTGTGGCTCACTCCCATGGCAGTATTTCTTTTATCTTTGTCTGTGGATCCCCTGGATCTCCTTGATACCAAAGCACCAGTAAGTGTCCTTTCTGCACCCCTGCCCTTAGTGCTCCTCACTGACTGCTTCCTCTCCTTTTTCTTGAGCAAGATACAGTTTTTCACTCTCATGTTACAGTTGAGTTCCATCTTGCCATATTTTTATAATTCTTGTGAAATTTACCTTGTGTTTATCATCCCTACTTTATTTTTTTATTTTTTTATTTTTTCGAGACAGAGTTTCGCTCTTTTCGCCCAAGCTGGAGTGCAGTGGTGCGATCTTAGTTCACTGCAACCTCTGCCTCCCGGGTTCGAGCGATTCTCCTGCCTCAGCCTCCCGAGTAGCTGGGATTACAAGCGCCCACCACCACACCCGGCTGATTTTTGTGTTTTTAGTAGAGATGGGGTTTCGCCATGTTGGCCAGGCTTGTCTCGAACTCCTGACCTCAGGTGATCCACCCACCTTGGCTTCCCAAAGTGTTGGGATTACAGGCGTGAGCCAACGCACTCAGCCATCACCCATACTTTATACTGTTGGAGTGTGGATTTCTGAAACCATAAAGTATATTTACAGATGATTTTAAAATTTGTTTTGTCCCATAAATGTTAGATATCTTCACTGTTGTTTCTTCTTTTTTTAGTTGTCTAGTTTCAAAGTTCTGTGTGGCATATTTTTTTCCTATCTGTATTTGGTTTAAAACATTTTGTTTGCTAGGACTCCAGCCTTAAGGGACGTGCATGGTATACCCTGTCCTTAGCCAAGAATCTTACTCTAGTATCTTGAGCCAAGGTCAAAAAAGCCAAACACAGCATTGGAACTGTATTTATAGAAAATCCTTCCCACCCCAGATTCCTTTTTCCTCCCAAAGCCCCAGCTTCCCATCCACCCACCAACCTGGTCATTAAGCACATGTTTGAGCACCACTGTGAGCCAGGCGCTGGCAGGACCAGGGCTTCCTGATCCCTGCCCTTGTTGAGCTTACATTCTATTTGGAGAGTGGAAGGAGGTGGCAGTGTGGGTGTGAGATCTCTTCCCCTTTCTGAGTCTGCCCAGGCTTCATAATCCCCAGGGGAGCATTTCTTATGAGTCTTGTGAGCAGGAGGACCAGGTGGCAGTTGGCAGGTTGGAGTGGTCCCTCAGGTTCCGTACCTCCTTATGCAGGGAAAGAGGGGCCTCATGCAGGTGGAGAGGGGCCAGGCCACCCCATTCCTCACTGCAGGAGGTTGCAGCCCATGCCGCTAACGCCTCCTCAGGGAGAAATGGATCCATCATCGCTCCCAGCAGTGCCTCTTCTCTCACCACAGCTATAGCCTGTGAGAAATCCCTATGTTCAGGCTCCACCCACACTTGCTGGACCAGAATTTCTGGGGCTGGGCCCAAGTCCAGGTGATTGTGGTGGGCAGATGAGGGTGACAGGCAGGAGCACCCTGTGGGGGGAAACTTGTGCCTGTTGCCTGCTATGAAGCACCAGTGTGTTCCACCTCTTCCGTGTATTCATTCACTGCACTCTCCCTCTCTGCTGCTCTGGGCCGGGCGCCCAGCACATCTTCCTACTCAGAACCAGTAACCTGGGCTCCGGTTCCCCCTTCCTTGCCAATTGTTTCCTTCCCTGCCTGTGTAGCCTCAGGGTGCCTTTTAAACTACCACTGTGTGATGGAAGTATGAGGTGCAAGGATCTTTTGGGCTTGATGTGGGGGCTGATAGGGAGCCCCCAAGCCACTGTGAGTTGAAGTACCACGTAAGGAGGTTCTGGAGGGTGCTGGAGCTGGGCCAGAGGAAGCAGCCTGGCGAAGGAGGCAGGGCTCAGCTGGATGGTGCTCGGGCTGCAGAAGAGAAGGTGCCTGACAGGTGTGGAGGCGGCTTTTGTGCCACTGGATGGGAGGCCGGGCTGAGGCGGGTAGAGTGGCACTTCATGTGTCAGAGTGGAGGAATGTTGGCGAGGCTGGTGTTCTGGCAGGAGGGCATTGCTGGGTGGTTTGGGTTATAGCGCCTGCCAGGCATTCACTGAGATGTTGGAGGCAATGGGAAATGTCAGGCTGGTGCACAGTTGAAAAACAGGTGACAGACAGTTCTGAAGACATCTCAGGCAGGACCCTGAAGTCGTAAAGTTGTGCTTTCTGGGTGAAATGGCACTTGCTGCATTGACTGTTTATACAACAATAACCCCACATATTTGCAAGGGGTCCTGTTGCCCACAACATGGCTTCCCTTTCCTTTTCTGCACTCTGGGTCTGTTTTGCAGCTGAGGAAACAGGCTCAGTGAAGGTTTCCCGTCCCCACCCCCCCACTCCCACCCCAGTCCCAGACTGGATGGTTCTCTTTGCTGTGTGCCCATGTTGAGGTGGAGTCCTTCTGAAATCACACTTATAGCACTGGGTAGAAAACTGGATATGCGTTTGTGTCTGGTTTGTTCCCAGTCCCCAGTTTTATTCATCTTTAGCTTCTCAGCATCCGGTGCATAATCAGTGCTTAATGAATCTTGATTGGAAGGTATCAGGTGTAGAGCACCTCAGGATAGCTCCTGCCACATGTCTGCCCTATGCAGGGTGCTGAGGGATTTAAACAGCCATGGTGACCAACCCAAAGAGGAGGTGGTACGTCTGCAGAAGCATGGTTCCCCCTGTCCTATTCAGGGGGGTTCACTGAGGTGGGGGCTTGTCTTGGTCTGGGGCATGGGGAGAGGCAACAACCTTGCAGAGGGGACCGCCATGGCAGCTCCATGCCTCCTTAACCACTCCAAGCACAGTTTAGTCCTCACTGTCCAATTTTGTCATTAGCATTTTTGGCACTTGGTTTAATTTGAGGGCATCAGGAGGGATCTTAATATGTGGTGCTTTCCCCTATTTGACACCCCTTTATGCTTTGTCAATCAACAGGAGCTTGAAGAAATCCGCAAATGTGGGATGAAAAACTTCCGTAACATCCAGGTTGATGAAGCTAATTTATTGACTTGGCAAGGGCTTATTGTTCCTGTGAGTATTGAACACTTCCACTTCCTACCAGATTATTCTTTAAGGTGATGTGTGTGCTGTTGGGCTTGTTTTTCTGCTCCTTAGTAGGCTCTTAGTCTAGGCAGCCAGCAGATGCACAGAAGTGGCTGTCGCTCTAGGGTGATAAGGTAGGGAGTGTAGCCTTGGGTCCTGAGTAGAGTCACATCTTGGCACTCGTTTTGTCAAATTCAGGGAGTCCTGAGCTTTGCAGATCTGTAGACACAGAGAAAAGGAGTGTGTCTGTGCTCCTGCTCTTTCCTGACTTCCCTGCGCCTGGCCTGATGGATCAGCAGGACCTTCTTCTCTGAGCTCCTCAGGAGGGGACAAGCATTCCCCTCTAGATATTTTGCTTTCTCTCTTGGTTTTGCATTCATGTCTCTAACCCTTTGGATACCTGTATTTCGGGCTTTATTCCTGGTCCCCTCCAACCTGTGCCTTCCATTTGTCTCAAGTCCCTTTTCCTAATTGCCCACATGTTCCCCTCACCCCATGTCTTTTCTGGGGCTTATGCCTCCAGTGTCTGCCCCCACAGCCCAGCTCCCCCATCTCACAGTCTTCTGCCTTCTGATGGGCTCAAGGCCCTCCTAACGATGGCTTTCCTTAGCACCCTCTTAGTGCCTACTCTTTTCTGCATCCTTTGATCCCCTCCCCTTCAAGAGGCTTGTCTTATAATTAACTCCAGTTTGCAATCCCCCTTCCTCTCACTCTCCTGAAACCACGTCACACCCAGCCCACAGGCTGCCCCCACTGTTGTCACACCTCTAGCTCGGCAGTGCTGGCATCATGGCCCTTGCTTGCCTCCTGAGCTTTTGGAGCACGGGCAGCATTCCAGCCCCCAGTCCTGTGACCAGCCTGCCACTCGCTCCTGTTCTGCCACTCCTTCCTCCTCACTCTTAAACATGACTCTTGTTGGTCTCCTGCTGTTCTCCTGTTCTGTTTTGTCTCGGGACCCTACTACTTTCGGCATCATAGATGATTATGCCAGACATGAAGGATTCCCACACCTGTCTCCATTCCTGCCTTCTCCCCGGAAGCTGCACCATCTGTCCACCAGGCGGCCTCACTTGGTCATTGTGTAGCCTTCAGCTACCTCAGCTCACACCCTTGTCCTGCGTGAGTGCCCTCCTTTCCTGTTCTTCCTCATCCACTCACCTTCTCTGTTCCTTTTCATTCCCACTTTGCACATCTGAGCCTCTGGCCCTTGCCCTGTGCCTGCCGCTGTCCTGTATATAATTTGTTCTCATGGATGGATTGGCTGCTTTGCCAAAGCAGAGCATGGAGCATGCTTCCTCCTGTAGATGCTTCTTCCTGATGCTGGTTATAAGGTCATGAGCATGGAGCATGCTTCCTCCTGTAGATGCTTCCTCCTGTAGATGATTTCTCCCTGTAGATGCTTTCTTCCTGATGCTGGTTATAAGGTGAGCATGGAGCATGCTTCCTCCTGTAGATGCTTTCTTCTTGATGCTGGTTATAAGGTGAGCATGGAGCATGCTCCCTCCTGTAGATGCTTTCTTCTTGATGCTGGTTATAAGGTCATGCTTTTTTTTTTTTAAGTCCCTGAATTTGATCAGCAGTTATTGGATTTGTAGTTTATTTCCATAATCATTTGGATAACTAAGGAAAGATATGCTTTGTAATGATTTAGTATGCTCAGAATGTTTAAATCTGGGAGCTTCCAGTCTGATTTTGAAGATGAGTCCTTTAGATTTCTTTAGGCTTGATGGTGTTAGGGCTCAGGGCAAAGGGTGTGGGTGGCAGAGACACCTCTGCATGGGAGGGGTTGGCCTGTGAGTGCAGCCCTTGCCTACTCTAGGGACCTGAAGATGGCCGGGACCATCTGACCTCTTGTCCCTTTTCTAATTGAGATTGTGTAGTCTACTGAGCAAAGAAATGAACAGTTAATCTGTGGCTCTTTGGAAAATGATAAAAATGAATGGAATGGTTTTAAGTGGTAAGGCTTGGGCAGTCTGGCCCTGAGAATTTAGTGGCCTGAGAGCCTGCTAGCCAGCTCCACGGGTAGATTGCTGCTGGGCATGCTCTGCCCCAACTCATGCAAAGGCCTCCCTCTGGTTTCACGCTGGCAGGGGCTATGGAGCAGTGGGCTAAGATCTTACTAGGGCAAAGGTGGAGGCTGGCTGGTAGAATCCAAGTGTGCTTGGGCTGAGGCTCTGGGGAGCTATCCAGGCCAAAGTTTCACCTTGGAGACGGTAAGCAACAGCCAGGGCTGCTCTTGTCCCTGTGTATACCACTTCTTCTCGGTCCTCTCCCTTGCTTTCTTCCAGGGCCCCTGGGTTTGTATGAGGAATGTTTCAATGAAGTCTTCTTCCTTCTCCAGAGCAGTTAAGGCATTGTTGACATCTGACATCCCCAGGGTCCACACTTGTACCCCAACCTGGGCTTTAGGTCTTCCTGCATTGGACGGGCTGGGCCAGCATGGGAATCTACTATACAAACTCACCTGAGGTCTGCCCAGTTGGGGTAAAAGTAGAGCCAGGCCGATGAAGGCATGGCAGCCCAGCCCTGGTCCTTAGTGGAGAGTGGTGCTGTCCTTGGGTAGCCACCTAGCGATTGCCCTGGTCGTAGTGCACAGAGGAGGGCAGGTGGGAGGGAAGGCTGGGGAGGTACTTCCTAGAGACTTCATTGTTGCCAACGCAACTCTGGTCTATTCCCTTTAAACATTTGTTTTTCTGTAATTTTTTTTCATCTAAGATGCTAAGGTAACGTCTAAGGAAGAAAATATTACCCATAATCACATCATCAAGAAATTCAGTTACATTTTGTGTACTGCCCTTTAGGAACTAGAGGTGTGGTAGTCACCCTTCTTGAAGCTTCTAGCCCAGTGAATGTGTTTACTCTTAACCTTCAGCATACTTCCTCTCAGCCTTTTTTCATGCAGTTTCTTTTTTTTCTTTTTAATTGAGTTGGAGTCTCGCTCTGTCGCTATGCAGTGGCACGATCTCGGCTCACTGCAACCTCCGCCTCCCGGGTTCAAGCGATTCTCCTGCCTCAGCCTCCCAAGTAGCTGGGACTACAGGTGCGCACCACCACACCCCGCTAATTTTTGTATTTTTAGTAAAGACGGGGTTTCACCATGTTGGCCAGGATGGTCTCAGTCTCTTGACCTTGTGATCCACCCTCCTCAGTCTCCCAAAGTGCTGGGATTACAAGCGTGAGCCACCACGCTGGCCTTCATGCAGTTTTTAATAAACCATTTCATAACTTCATAATAATGTTTTGGTTTTTTGAGGCAGGGTTTTGTGCTGTCACCCAGGCTAGGGTGCAGTGGTGTGATCATGGCCCATTGCAGCCTTGAATTTCTGGGCTCAAGCAATCCTCCTGAGTAGCCAGGACTACAGGTGTGTGCCACCACACCCAGCCAATTTCTTTTTATTTTATTCCATTTTATTTTATTTTTTGAGACAGTCTTACTCTGTCACCCAGGCTGGAGTGCAATGGTGTGATTTTGGTTCACTGCAACCTCAGCCTCCTGGGTTCAAGTGATGCTTATACATCAGCCTCCCGAGTAGCTGGGATTGCAGGTGTGCACCACCATGCCCAGCTAATTTTTGTTCTTGTTTTTGAGACAGAGCCTTGCTCTGTTGCCCAGGCTGGGGAGTGCAGTTATGCGATCTCGGCTCTCTGCAACCTCCATCTCCCGGGTTCAAGCAATTTTGGCTAATTTTTGTACTTTTAGTAGAGACTGGGTTTCTCCATGTTGGTCAGGCTGGTCTCGAACTCCCGACCTCAGGTGATCCACCCATCTCAGCCTCTCAAAGTGCTGGGATTATAGGCATAAGCCATTGCGCCCATCCTGTAACGTCTTAAATTTCCACTACAAAGGTTCCAGTTCATCCACATCCTTGCTAACATTTGTTATTTTACTTTTTTTTTGTTTTTACGTTACAGCCATTCTAGTTGGTATGTAGTGCTGTCTCATTGTGGTTTTGATTTCTGTTTTCTTCATACTAAGGATGTAGAACATGTTTTTGCATGGTGTGTTTTTTGTTTTTTTGTTTCTTTTTGAGACAGGGTCTCACTCTGTTGCCCAGGCCAGAATGCAGAAGCACAGTCTCGTCTCACTGCAACCTCTGCCTCCCGGGTTCAAGTGATTCTCCCACCTCAGCCTCCCGAGTAGCTGGGACTATAGGCGTGCACCACCACACCTGGCTAATTTTTGTATTTTTTGGTAGAGACAGGGTTTTACCATGTTGGCCAGGCTGGTCTCGAACTCCTGACCTCAAGTGATCTGTCCGCCTCAGCCTACCAAAGTGCTGGGATTACAGGCTTGAGCCACCGTGCCTGGCCTGATGCACTAAAGTTTTAAATTTTTTAATTTAATTTTTATTTTTAGAGAAGGGGTCTTGCTCTGTCATCCAGGCTGGAGTGCAGTGGCTCAATAATGGCTCTCTGCAGCCCCAGACTCCTGGGCTCAAGCAGTCTTCCCAAGTAGCTGGCACTATAGGCACATGCTGCAACCCCCAGCTAATTTTAATTATTTTTTCTGTAGAGATGGAGTCTTGCTGTGTTGCCCAGGCTAGTCTTGAACTCCCAGGCTCAAGTGGTCCTCCTGGCTTAGCCTCTGAAAGCTCTGGGATTTACAGATGTGAGCCATCACACCTGGCCTTAAATTTTTAATAAAGAAGTCCAATTTATCTATTTTTAATTTTGTTGCCTATACTTTGGTTTGATTTTTAAGACACTGTTGCCAAATCCAAGGTCATGCAAATTTTCCTGAGTTTTCTTCTAAGAGTTTTATAGTTTTAGCTCTTAAATTTGGATCTTTGATCCATTTATATGTAGATTTTTTTTTTTTTTTTTTTTTTTTTTTTTTTTGAGACAGGCTCTCGTTCTGTTGCCCAGGCTGGAGTACAGTGGCATGATCATGGCTCACCACAGCCTCAACCTCCCAGGCTCAAGCGATCCTCCCACCTCAGCCTCCAGAGTAGCTGGTACTGAAGGCATGAGCCACCACGCCCAGCTAATTTTTGTATTTTTTTTTTTTTTTTTGTAGAGATGGGGTTTTGCCATATTGCACAGGCTGGTCTTGAACTCCTAGACTCAAGTGATCCGCCTGCCTTAGCCTCCCAAAGTGCTGGGATTACACCACTATGCCCTGCCTCATTTCTTATTTTAATAATATGAGTCTTTTCTCTTTTTCCTTTTATCAGTCTAGCTAAAGTTTTTTCAATTTTGTTGATCTCTTCAAGGAAGGTTTCATTAATGTGTGTGTGTGTGTTTTTCATTTATCTCCTCTGTGCTTACTATTTACTTCTTTCTTGTGTTATTACTTTCTTTGTTCCTTAAAATATCCAGTTAGATTATTGATTTCAGACTTGCTTTTTCAATGTAGGTATTTAAAGCTGTAGATTCCCTTTGAGCACTACTTTTGCTGCATAACTTAAGTTTTGGTATGTCATTTTTTTTTCTGAGGATATTTTCTAATTTCCCTTGTGATTTCTTCTTTGACCCATTGCTTGTTAGAGAGTACGTTTAATTTCCCCATAATTGTGAGTTTTCTAGTTCTGTTATTGATTTCTAGTTCCCTTTCCTTCTCCCTTTCCCTTTCCTTTTTTTTTTTTTTTTTTAAATAAATAGAGATGGGGGCTGGGTGCAGTGGCTCACACCTATATTCCCAGCATGTTGGGAGGCTGGGGTGGAAGGATCGATTGAGCCTAGGAGTTCAAAACCAGCTTGGGCAATATAGCAGGACCCCGTCTCTATTTTATTAAAATAATAATAATAATAAATGGGTTCTCCCTGTGTTGCCCAGGCTGGTCTCAAACTCCTGGGCTCAAGCGATCCTCCTGCCTCAGCCTCCCAAAGTGCTGGAATTACAAGCATGAGCCACCATGCCCCCACCCGCCTAGTTCCATTTCTTTTTTTTTTGAGACAGAGTCACTCTGTCTCCCAGGCTGGAGTGCAGTGGTGTGATCTCAGCTCACTACAGCCTCTACCTCCTGGGTTCAAGCAATCTTTTGCCTCAGCCTCCCTGGCAGCTGGGGCTACAGGCATACACCACCACGCTCGGCTAATTCTTTTGTATTTTTAGTAGACACAGGGTTTCGCCATGTTGGCCAGGCTGGTCTTGAACTCCTGGCCTCTTTCACCTTTTTGCAGTTACATTTGTAGTTAGACCTCTCACCTTCTTTCTGCAAGCTTATTTGCACAGCAGTTGCTCCTAAAATCCACGCCCTCCGGATGCCTCATTCCTCCTTTCTGCATTGCCCCTCTGGCCTTTGATGGGAGCTGCATCCTGCCTCCCTGGGCTCAGCACTTGCCTGTAATTGTCAGTTCTTTTCTGCTTCCTGCTAATTGTGCCACTCTGCCTTCTCTCTCCCCTACTTCCGTCTCCTGTAGCTGTAATGGTTGAGACCAATGAGGGCAGCCCTGTTTTCTGAGGGCACACTGGAGTTGTTTTGGGGAGAAAGAGTATCCCCCTACATTGATGGGGCTGTTGAGCTCCTATCACAGCCAGACACAAGGTTCTATGGACAGAGGCCACAGAGAAGCCACCCTCCTGGAATCCATGGTCTCTTAAGCACTGAGTGTGGCTCCACCTGCAAGGCACTTAAGACCAAACAGAAGCAGGGCAGCGGTGGGTGGGAGGGTGACAATATCTGGACTGCATAGTGGAAGGCAGTGTGAGCAGAAACTATGAAAAAATATAGGCAGTGTGAGGACATATGTGTAGTTTGCATAGATGTACAGAAATTAAGGCCTTTGAGAGCACCATGTATGCACAGAGAACGTTCTTGGGCTGTGCAGCAGAGGCCTGACGGCATCCTGGGGAATGGGGTGTCTGGTGGGATTTTTTGTTTGTTTTGTTTTTTTCACTTCTATTTTTGGTGTGAGTGCTGTATTTTTTCCATTCTTGGGAGAAAAGTGAATTATGTATGAGAAGTACTCATGGCTATTTGAGCCCAAAAGGAAGGAATGGTCTTTGTCAAATTCGGTTAATGGAGATTGTGATTTTAATTGTAGATACAATTCAGAAGGTAGTTTATGAACATTATGAAATGAAAGATTGGAAAACCAGTTCTAAAATACTTATTCCTGGCCGGGCGCGGTGGCTCATGCCAGTAATCCCAGCACTTTGGGAGGCCGAGGCAAGTGGATCACCTGAGGTCAGGAGTTTGAGACCAGCCTGTCCAATGTGGCAAAACCCCGTCTCTACTAAAAATACAAAAAATTAGCCGGGCCTGGTGGTGGGCGCCTGTAATCCCAGCAATTTGGGAGGCTCAGCCAGGAGAATCGCTTGAACCGGGGAGGTGGAGGTTGCGGTGAGCTGAGATCGTGCCATTGTGTTCCAGCCTGGGCAACAAGAGCAAAACTCCATCTAAAAAAACAAAACAAAACAAAACAAACAAAAAAACTTATTCCTACTATTTACTTCCAAAGGGAATACGATTGAACTCTTTAGTGTTGAAGTATTTGTTGCCGGCCGGGTGCAGTGGCTCATGCCTGTAATCCCAGCACTTTGGGAGGCCAGGGGAGGCGGATCACTTGAGGTCGGGAGTTCAAGACCAGCCTGGCCAACATGGCAAAACCCCATCTCTACTAAAAATATAAAAATTAGCCGGGCGTGGTGGCAGGCATCTGTAATCTCAGATACTAGAGAGGCTGAGGCAGGAGAATTACTTGAACCCAGGAGGCGGAGGCCGCAGTGAGCCAAGATCGCGCCACTGCACTCCAGCCTGGGCGACAGAGTGAGACTCCATCTCAAAAAAAAGGAAATATTTGTTGCCAAAGAACTGTATTATGAAAAATCCCCAAAACCAAGTTGTTGAAAACAGTACAAAGAAGTCATCTTCAGAAACCAATATTAGAACAAGATGAATCTCATGTGGCAGATTTTTTGATTCAAATAACCAAAAAGCCTGTTTTCAGAAGAGACAATAAATACTTAAAGGCAAGGAGGGACGTGGTGGCTGACACCTGTAATCCCAGCACTTTGTGGGGCTGAGGAGGGTGGATCACCTGAGGCCAGGATTTTGCGACCAGCCTGGCCAACATGATGAAACCCTATCTCTACTAAAAATACAAAAAATTAGCTGGGTGTGGCGGCAGGTGCCTGTAGTCCCAGCTACTTGGGAGGCAGAGGCAGGAGAATTGCTTGAACCCAGGAGGTGGAGGTTGCAGTGAGCTGAGATCGCGTCATTGCACTCCAGCCTCGGTGACAGAGCGAGACTCTTTCAAAGAAAAATCAATCAATCAATCAATCATACTTAAAGGCAATTTACAAAGTTAAGTTCTTGTGACTTTCGAACATGGAGTAAGGACATATTCCATGTTCAGAAGTCACAAGAACTTAACCTCCTAAACTTAACTCTTTTGGGTTTTTTTGTTTTTTTGTTTTTGAGACAGAGTCTCTCTCGTCCCCCAGGCTGGAGTGCAGTGGTGTGATCTCAGCTCACTGCAACCTCTGTTTCATGGGTTCAAGTGATTCTCCTGCCTCAGCCTCCTAAGTAGCTGGGATTACAGGCGTGTACCACTACGCCTGGCTAATTTTTTTGTATTTTTAGTAGAGATGGGATTTCACCATGTTGGTCAGGCTGGTCTTGAACTCCTGACTTCAAGTGATCCACTCACCTCAGCATCCCAAAGTGCTGGGATTATAGGTATGAGCCACTGTGCCTGGCCTAACTCAGCTCTTGACAAGGTTCCAGAGTGGATCACGAAGGCTTGAGAGCATAGAAACCAGCCTGGGGCAGGGCCAGGCACGGTGGCTCACTCACGCCTGTAATCCCAGCACTTTGGGAGGCTGAGGCAGGCGGGTCACGAGGTCAGGAGATCGAGACCATCCTGGCTAACACGGTGAAACCCTGTCTCTACTAAAAATACAAAAAAATTAGCCGGGCGTGGTGGTGGGCGCCTGTAGTCCCAGCTACTCTGGAGGTTGAGGCAGGAGAATGGCGTGAACCCGGGAGGCGGAGCTTGCAGTGAGCCGAGATTGCGCCACTGAACTCCAGCCTCAGCGACAGAGACTCCATCTCAAAAAAAAAAAAAAAAAAGACAAACCAGCCTGGGGCACTCCGAGCAGGGCAAGCCGCGTCCCCTTGTTCTCTCTTAACAGGGGACTGGACTGTGTAGGGATAGGCAGCCCACAGGGCTGGTCTCAGTAGACATCCCTGTGGCAGGGAAAGCTTCAGCTTTGTTAGTTCACTGGGTGAAAAAGGTTAGCCACAGGGAAAGGATGCTGCTGTGGAGTCGCCACCAAGCTAGGCAGAAGTGACAACAGTGCACAGGACCCTTCAGTCCATCTGAAGCCTGGCATGAAGAAGGAGCAGCATGCTAGTTAGATCCAAACTAGGATCCAGCTCTTCAGGTCAGCCATGAGTCCTGTCTGTGGTGTCCTACAGCCAGCTAGGAACACACCACAAGGACGTGCCATGTAGCAGCAGTCCAAGTCAGACAACCAGAAGACACCTTGACTTCCTCTGTGGCTGCCAGAGAGCTGTATGGTGGTCTTCCCTGCTTCACAGCAGTGACATGAAACGGTGACTTCTGTGGGATGAAGGACTCTGGGTCTTTACTTGGGAAGGGAAAACATGAAGTGGAATGGGGTTTTAGGATTCTTGAAAGGTTGCCATGGGAAAGGAAGATTAGATTTGACCACAGGGTTAGAGCTAGGACAAGTGGGTGAAAGACCCCAGATAGTTCGGTGCCATATGGCAAAGAGCTTCCTCTTAGTCTTAGCTGCCACAAAATGGCTTTGTGCCATGGGAGGTTGATATCAAGAGCTGTGAAGGATCTGAGATTTTTACCCTACTTGCAGCCTGAAAAGGTGTCCTGCCAATTTATTGGATGTTGGTGGAAGACTCGAGAAAAGGGCCAGTTCCCCTCGTCCCCGCATCCCACAAAGGTGATGAGGATGGGCCCAGATGGATACCTGCAGATGTGGGGGGTTGTGTTCCGGGACAGGAAGGCTGAGTTTAGGGGAGGTCTCAGGCCAGTCACTCAATCGTACTTCACTTGCTCCATTTCCAAATGCAAGTGATGGCAGCACTGGCTTCCCAGGGTTGGTGTTAGGGGACCAGGAGGGGCGGAATATGGGCTGGAGATGGCACGGAAAAGCACCTGGCATCTAAGTACTTGAGAAACTTTGGTCAAATTTTTTTAAATTGGCTTTCCCAGGTTGAAATGATCAACTCTTATTTACATGCATGCATTATAATGACTAGAAGCAAATACAGGAAAATGTTAGCCATACTATATATAAAAGAAAATCCACTTTAAAACCGGTATCTTTCTTTCTTTATAAATAGCAAGTGGGCCGGGTGCGGTGGCTCACACCTGTAATCCCAGCACTTTGGAAGGCCGAGGCAGGCGGATCACCTGAGGTCAGGAGTTCGAGACCAGCCTGGCCAACATGGTGAAACCTTGTCTCTAGTAAAAATACAAAAAAATTAGCTGAGAGTTGTGGTGCATGCCTGTAGTCCCAGCTACTTGGGAGGGTGAGGCAGGAGAATCGCTTGAACTCAGGAGGTGGAGGCTGCAGTGAACCGAGATCGTGCCATTGCACTCCTGCCTGGGTGACAGAGCGAGACTCTGTCTTAAAAAAAAAAAAAAAAAAAAAAAAGACAAGTGGGCTGGTCGCCGTGGCTCACGCCTGTAATCCCAGCACTTTGGGAGGCTGAGGCGGGCGGATCATGAGGTCAGGAGATCGAAACCATCCTGGTTAACACGGTGAAACCCCGTCTCTACTAAAAACACAAAAAATTAGCCGGGTGTGGTGGTGGGTGCCTGTAGTCCTAGCTACTCGGGAGGCTGAGGCAGGAGAATGATATGAGAGGCAGAGCTTGCAGTGAGCCGAGATTGCGCCACTGCACTCCAGCCTGGGCGACAGAGCCAGACTCTGTCTCAAAAAAAAAAAGACAAGTGGATAAAAAGTCTGTCCTAGAATTTAGACATGGATTGAAAAGGTGTTTTTTGATTTTTTTTTTTTTTTTTTTTTTCTGAGACAGGGTCTCACTCTTGCCGAGGCTGGAATGCAGTGGTGTAATCATAGCTCACTGCAGCCTCAAACTCCTGGGCTTAAGCAATCCTCCCACCTCGGCCTTCCAAAGTGCTGGAGTTTAAGTTTTTGAACTAGTTTAGAGTGTGTAAAATTATCATAAGGAATTAATTTACATCTCAAATGACTTCCTCAATACAGCAGTATGAGCTTAGGGAGCACAAGACAGTCAAAGGCAGGCATAACAGAAAAACACTAGTCGTGTTCATGTGAAGATAATGCTGAAATCAGCTGGGCGTAGTGGCTCACGCCTGTAATCCTAGCACTTTGGGAGGCTGACTTGGGTGGATTTTTGAGCTCAGGAGTTCAAGACCATCCTGGGCAACACGGTGAAACCCCGTCTCTACTAAAATACAAAAAATTAGCCGGACGTGGCAGCCTGCGCCTGTAATCCCAGCTACTTGGGAGGCTGAGAGACAGGACAATCGTTTGAACCCGGGAGGCGGAGGTTGCAGTGCTGAGATCCCACCATTACACTCCAGCCTGGGCAAGCGTGAGACTCTATCTCTAAATAAATAGATAATGCTAAAATCTTTGGTTTATTTGACATTGAAATGTTGCAGCTTAAGTTGGAGGCAAATTTTCTGCAATGTTTTATAATATATATATTTTTTACAACAAAACCATGTTTTTTCATTAACATCCCTTGTTATTTCTGAGTGGCCTTCCCAAAGGGCAAGTTTAGCTCTAATGTTGAAATTCACTTGTAGAGCTGTAGGCCTTTACCCGGAAGGTATATCTTATGTTTTAATTTTTGCATGCCTCTTTCACCAAAAATCTCTGGGACAGGCACATAGTTTGTGTGACTTATGCACACCTGAGCCACTCCTTTGACCATCCACAGATCCCCAGACTAGGAAAGAGGCCCAGAGAAGTTCAGATGAGTTTGGCCAAGTTCCCTGGGTGGTGAGAGGCCTGGCCTGCCTCATGTAGTAACAGAACTGCTTCTTTTTTTTCCTTCCTCTTTTTGGAAGAAAAAAGAGGCAGGATCTCACTGTCTTGTCCAGGCTGGAAGGCAGTGGCGTGATCATGGCTCACTACAGCCTTAACAACTAACAACTTAAAACTATAGCCTCAAGCAGTCCTCCTACCTCAGCCTCCTGAGTGGCTGGGACTACAGGTGTGCACCAGCAGCACGCACAGCTAATTTAAAAAAATTGTTAGCAACAAAGTGAGATCCTGTCTTTACAAAAGGACTTGTTTTTGTTTTGTTTTGTTTTTTTGAGAGAACACCTTGCTCTATCGCCTAGGCAGGAGTGCAGTGGTGCAGTCTTGGCTCACTGCAGCGGTGTGATCTTGGCTCACTGCAGCCGGTGCCTCCTGGGTTCAACCAGTTCTCATGCCTCAGCCTCCTGAGTAGATGTGATTACAGGTGCGTGCCACCACGCCCAGCTAATTTTTTGTATTTTTAGTAGAGACAGAGTTTCACCGTGTTAGCCAGGATGGTCTCGATCTCCTGATCTCGTGATCCACCTGCCTCGGCCTTTTTTTAGTATAGATAGGGTTTCTTTTTTTTCTTTTTCTTTTTCTTTTTGAGATGGATTTTCACTTTTGTTGCCCAGGCTGGAGTGCAATGGCACAATCTCAGCTCACCACAACCTCTGTCTCCCAGGTTCAAGTGATTCTCCTGCCTCAGCCTCCCAAGTAGCTGGGATTACAGGCATGTGCCACCACGCCTGGCTAATTTTTGTATTTTTAGTAGAAACGGGGTTTCACCATGTTGGCCAGGCTTGTCTCAAACTCCTGGCCTCAAGTGATCTGCACATTTCAGCCTCCCAAAGTGTTGGGATTACAGGCATGAGCCACTGCGCCCAGTCTGTTTTTGGCTTTTTTGAGACAGGTTCTCATTCTGTCACCCAGGCTAGAGTGTAGAGGTGTGATCATGGCTCACTGCAGCCTCAGCCTCCTGGGCTCTTGTGATCCTCCTGCCTTAGCCTCCCAAAGTGTTGGGATTACGGGCATGAGCCACTGCACCCAGCCAAATCTGCTTCTCTTGAGCTTTGCCCATGTGTCAGGCATGTAGGACTTTATAGTCCTTATCTCTCATCATAAACTCTGGGTACAGGCTGTTGCTACTCCCATTTTACAGATGTACAGGAACATTCTCAGACTCTTTAAGCTAGGAAGAGGCAAAGTCTGAGGCTAGACCTGCTAACTTGGGGCCAGATGGCCTCATTCATGCTTCACCCCAGCTCCTCGGACAGGACCTGGCCCACAGTGGGGAACAGGGGAGGTTGGTCAGTCCTGGACAATCAGTGAAGACCTTTAGCAGATTTCACCAACCAAAAGTCATGCAGGAAAGTGTGCGCGCGCGCGTGTGTGTGGTATGTGTGTGTGTGTGTGGTGTGTGTGTGTGTGTCTTACTCTGTTGCCCAGGCTGGAGTGCAGTGGCACAATCTTGGCTCACTGCAACCTCTGCCTCCCAGGTTCAAGTGATTCTCCTGGCTCAGCCTCCCAGTGTGCCACCACACCCAGTGAGGGAAAGCTATTTTTACATGGCTCAAGCAGTGTAAATGACAATGATGTTTACTTACTTCCCCCCACCACCACCACCATTTAATTCTCCTCTTGAAAACTAAAAGCTGGCTGGGTATGGTGCATCACTCCTATAATCCCAGCACTCCAGCACTTTGGGAGGATCACTTGAACTCAGGAGTTTGAGGCCAGCCTGGACAACATAGTGAGACGCCATCACTATAAGAAATAAAAAAATAGCTGAGTGTGGTGGCATATGCCTGTAGTCCCAGCTACTTGGGAGGCTGAGGTGGGAGGATTGCTAGAGCCCGGGAAGTCAAGGCTGCAGTGAACCGTGATTGCACCTCTGCACTCCAGCCTGGGTGACTCCCCACAGATGAATATGCTGACAGTGGTTTCAGCTGCTCGGTGGTGATTCAGACCTGGACGCGTGGCTTCAGTAGCCCTGGGGCCACACTGCCTGCCCGCAGCCTCCTGTCTTGCTCTATGCTATTCCTTCCAAGTCCCTGCCATCTAGTCTTTAGTCCTCTCTGCCTGGGAGGCCTCTTCCACTCCTCAGCCTTATGTCATCTTATCCATCCTTTAAGGCCCTTGCTCCATGCCTCCCCTCCCAGGGCAGGGCTTGGATGTAGGAGAATGTGGAGAACTGGCGCACGCCAGCCTTGCTCCCCAGCAGAGGAGCTCTGTTTACTGGAGTGCGTACTTAGGCCACGGCTTGAAGATATGGGGCTGGGGTGTAGGGCTGTCAAGATTGTTCCTGGGGCCAGGTGCAGTAGTTCACTCCTGTAATCCCAACACTTTGGGAGGCCGAGGCCGGCAGTTCACCTGAGGTCAGGAGTTCAAGACCAGGCTGGCCAACATGGTGAAACCCCATCTCTACTAAAAATACAAAAAAAAAAAAATTAGTCGGGCAGGGTAGCGGGTACCTGTAATCCCAGCTACTTAGGAGGCTGAGGTGGGAGAATTGCATGAACCAGGGAGGCAGAGGTTGCAGTGAGCTGAGATCGCGCCACTGCACTCCAGCCTGGGCGACAGAGCGAGACTCCGTCTTAAAAAAAAAAAAAAAAAAAAAAAGATTGTTCTTGGGCTCTCTGTGAAGCTTGGATTTCTTTGGGTTGGGTGTGCCATGGCAAGTGCCATGGCAGACCTGGGTGAGGGAAAAGGGAGTACAATGGGAAGGGCTTCCCCAGCTCTGGAGATAGGTAGGGTTGGGGAGAGGCCAAAAGACTCTTTGCTGAGTCATCTCTCAGGCTCCTGGGGCCATCAGAGTGTCCAGGCCCCAAAGGTGGTTTTCGGGTGGTTCTAGGGGCAAGGGGCTAGGGCATGGTGCTGGCCCTGCCTGGTGATCACCTGTTGAGTGACCAGCTCAGGTCCCCAGGGTCCAGCCATTGAGCTGACTACTGTTTCTACCCTGGGAAGATTGAGCTGGCCAGGACTTGGCATCAAGGCAGTTATTTGGACTTCTAGTACTCACAGTGTATTCTGGTTGGGTTGTAACTTACCTCTGGTACAACTCTACTTGTATCTTCAGAAAAGATCAAGAGATATTTGCAAAAACATAATATGATAAAGGACTGTCTAAAGGACAAAGAACACTTAAAACTCTATAATAAGAAAACAACAATAAATAACACCGTGCATCTCTTAGAATGACCAAAATCCAGAACACTGCCAAATGCTGCTGAGGACGTAGAGCAACAGGAACTCTCGCTCTTTCCTGGTGGGAATGCAAAATGGTGCAGCCACCTTGGAAGACAAGTTAGGCGGTTTCTTTCATTTATTTATTCATAAAATCTTTTTAACAAAGAAATTGAGTCTCTCTCTTGCCCAAAATGGAGTGCAGAAGCGTGATCACAGCTCATTGCATTCTCAAACTCCTGGGCCTAAGAAGTCCACCCTTCTTAGCCTCTGAAGTAGCTGAGACTACAGGCACATGCCACCATGCCAGGCCAATATATTTATTTTGTTATTATTTTTTGAGATGGAATCTTGCTCTGTCACCCAGGCTGGAGTGTAGTGGCGCAACCTCAGTTCACTGCAATCTCTGCCTCCCGGGTTTAAGCAATTCTCCTACCTCAGCCTCCCAAGTAGCTGGACTACAGGCGTGCACCACTACGCTCTGCTAATTTTTTTGTATTTTTAGTAGAGACAGGGTTTTACCACGTTGGCCAGGCTGGTCTTGAACTCCTGACCTCAAGTGATCTACCCAGCTTAGCCTCCCAAAGTGCTGGGATTACAGGTGTGAGCCACTGAGCCTGGCCCAGGCTAATATATTTAATTTTTTTTTTTTTTTTTTTTTGTAGAGATGGGGTCTTGTTATGTTTCACAAACTGGTCTTGAACTCCCGGCCTCAAGTGATCCTCCCTCCCTGGCCTCCCACAGTGCTCAGATTACAGACATGAGTCACTGCTCCTGGCCCAGTTTGGCAGTTTTGTTTTGTTTTTTTTTTGAGACTCAGTCTCGCTCTTTCGTCCAGGCCAGACTGCAGTGGCGCAATCTCCACTCACTGCAAGCTCCGCTTCCCAGGTTCACACCATTCTCCTGCCTCAGCCTCCTGAGTAGCTGGGACTACAGGCGCCCACCACCACGTCCAGCTAATTTTTTTTTGTATTTTTAGTAGAGACGGGGTTTCACTGTGTTAGCCAGGATGGTCTCGATCTCCTGACCTCGTGATCCACCTGCCTTGGCCTCCCAAAGTGCTGGGATTACAGGCGTGAGCCACCGCGCCCGGCCGGCAGTTTCTTACAAAACTAAACATATGTCTTACCATTGGATCCAGCAATTACATTCCTTGGTATTTAGCCAAATGAATTGAAAACTTGTATCCACACAGATGCTTATAACAGCTTTATTCATTAATTGCTAAGGTTTGAAAGCAACCAAGATGTCCTTCAGTGGGTTAATGGATAAATAAATTGTGGTATATCTAGACAAATGACATTCAACACTAAGAAGAAATGAGTCTGGGTGCAGTGGCTCACACCTGTAATCCTAGTACTTTGGGAGGCCGAGACAGGCAGATCTCTTGAGCCCAGGAGTTTGAGACCAACCTGGACAACATAGCAAAACCCAGTCTCTATAAAAATACAAAAAAATTAGCTGGGGGTGGTGGTGCCTATCTGTAGTCTCAGCTACTTGGGAGGCTGAGGTGGGAGGATTGCTTGAGCCTGTGAAGTCAAGGTTGCAATGAGCCAAGATCACGCCACCATCCAGTGGGCAACAGAGCAAGACCCTGTCAAAAATAAATAAGTAAGTATGAAGTGGGGGAAAAACAAGTAACGGCTGGGCACAGTGGCTCACGCTTATAAACCCTGCATTTTGGGAGGCCGAGGCAGGCAGATCACTTGAGGTCAGGAGTTCAAGACCAGCCTGGCCAACATGGTGAAACCGCATGTCTACTAAAGATACAAAAATTAGCTGGGCATTGAGGCGGGTGCCTGTAATCCCAGCTACTTGGGAGGCTGAAGCAGGAGAATTGCTTGAACCCAGGAGGCGGAGGTTGCGGTGAGCCAAGATCGTGCCATTGCATTCTAGCCTGGGCAACAGACTCTGAAAAAATAATAATAATAAAAAGAACAAATAGCTTCTAACGACAAATTTATTTCTCACTTATTGAGGCTGGGAAGTCTGAAGATCAAGGTGCCAACAGATTCAGTGGCAACTGAGGGCCGGCTTCATGGTTTATAGATGGTGCCTTTTCACTGTGTCTTTATATGATGGAAAGGGCAAGGCAGTTCTCAGGGGCCTCTTTGATAAGGACACCAATCCCATCATGACCTAATCACTTCCCAATGGTCCCAACTCCTAATACCATCACATTGGTGATTAGGTTTCAACATAAGATTTTTGGGGAGATACATTCAGACATAGCAGCTACATATTGCATGATTCCAGCTATCATGTCTGATAACCACACAAAACCTATAGAATGTGCAACACCAAGTATGAGCCCTAACATAAACTAGGGAAGCTGAGTGGTAATGATGTGTTAAGGTAAAAGGTTCATTGGTGGTAACAAATTTGCCCCTCTGGTGAGGGATGCTGATAGTGGGAAAAGCTGTGTGTGTTCAGGGGCAGGGGGTATTTAGGAATTCTCTGTCCTTTCCTCTCAGTTTTGCTGTATACCTAAAGGTGTTCTAAAAAGTAAAGTCTATTTTTTAAAAAAGTATGAAGAGACCAGGACATCAATCTCAAGCCCCTTCTCAGTTTAGCAGATAGCTTGCTCTAGAAATACTTTTGGGTGGCTGGGTTGTCCTGAAGGTGGCAGGGCTTCAGTTGATACTTGAATCCCTTGAAATAAATTGATTTTTCAGATAAACAATTAAAACATTCCTGTCTTGGCCATAGGTTTATGAACCATGGTGTGTTCATTTTGATCTCTCTTTCCTTCCAGGACAACCCTCCATATGATAAGGGAGCCTTCAGAATCGAAATCAACTTTCCAGCAGAGTACCCATTCAAACCACCGAAGATCACATTTAAAACAAAGATCTATCACCCAAACATCGACGAAAAGGGGCAGGTCTGTCTGCCAGTAATTAGTGCCGAAAACTGGAAGCCAGCAACCAAAACCGACCAAGGTAAGACATGTGCCTGTGTCTTCCTCGGAGGGGGTCTTTGGGGGTGCTGCTCTGGGGTGGGGGCTTCTGGTACCAGATCAGACAGAATCCAGAGAATCTTTCAGGTACACGAAAAATGTAGCTGAGGTCCTGTCAGACCTTGTGGGAATGGCTCATCTCAGCTGAACTTTTGACCTGTATAGGGTTTGAGGAGGCCTTTCCAGTGCTCAGCCCTGGGCTGCCATCCACAGTGGGAACACACATGGACAGACAAGCCCAGTGGCTTGCTGCTGGTGCAGAGAGGTGCAGGCACTGGTCCCTGGAAGGGATGAAGGACTGTGGGGCTGCCTACAAGGGGAAGGGAGAGTGGGATTTAAGGTGGCCTCATGCAGTAGTTAGTGCCTGAACTCAGACTTGAAGGAGGAAAGGAGGTTGGAGAGGGCCTTCCAGGCTATAGGAAGGGCATGGGCTAGAGCCTAGTTGCTCGGGTGATGTGAGGGGAGGGACAGAGGCAGATGTAAGGGCAGTATTCCCAGATGAAGGCACGTAGTTGGCTTTAGTGGGCCTGGGATTCCCTGGAGTTGGATGTGGCTGTGCGTGGTGCACATGTCTGTGTGTGGCTGTGTGAACATAAACATGCTCATTCTTCTGGGAAGAATATTTGAGTCAGTATTGTGGTTGTCCTCCCTTTTGTCCCCTAGAAGTGACTAGTTTGTTATGGACTGTGTCTGGTTTTCATTTAATTCTAGACTTTCTTTTGAAGTCCTAATCTCATATTTTGATGGCTTCCTTTTAAGTACCTAAACCAGTATAAAGTCTGTTTAGATTAGAGTGGATGAAGCTGGCACTTGAGAGGCTGCAAGTGGAGGGTTTCTTTTAGGGGTGCTGCTCTAGGGTAGGGGCTCATGGGTCCTTCCTGATGCCAGATCAGACGGAGTCCAGAGAACTCCTACCTTACCAGGTGCACGCAAAGTATGGCTGAGGTGCCACCAGTCCCTGTGGGAATAACTCAGCTGAACTTTTGACCTGCACAGGGATTGAGGAGGTCCCTTGTTTTAGTGATTGAAAAAAGCCTTGGAAGGTGGAGTTCAAAGCCTTGCGCAAGAAAAATCAAGCCTCACTTGTTGGAAGTAATCACCATGAAAGGTGCCCATTAGACTCCCACACTGAGTAGAAGAAAGGAGTGGGTGCTAAACATTCAGTCAGGGCAGAACAGTCTCTAGTGGGCTTGGTCCTTGTTTGTGTACAAGCTGATGTTTATAAAAGCTTGACACAGTTCTTCTCAGTGCCTGGTTTTTTCTTTTCTTTTCTTTTCTTTTTTGGAAACGGAGTCTCGCTCTGTCACCAGGCTGGAGTGCAGTGGCGCGATCTCTGCTCACTGCAACCTCCGCCTCCCGAGTTCGCGCCATTCTCCTGCCTCAGCCTTCCGAGTAGCTGGGACTACAGGCACCCGCCACCACGCCCGGCTAATTTTTTGTATTTTTAGTAGAGACGGGGTTTCACCATGTTAGCCAGGATGGTCTCGATCTCCTGACCTCGTGATCCGCCCGCCTCGGCCTCCCAAAGTGCTGGGATTACAGGCGTAAGCCACCGCACCCAGCCGATTTTTTCTTTTCTTTTCTTTTTTTTTTTTTTTTTTTTTTTTTTTTGAGACGGAGTCACCCAGGCTGGAGTGCAGTGATGCCATCCCAGATCACTGTAACCTCCGCCTCCCGGGTTCAAGCAATTCTCCTGCCTCAGCCTCCTGAGTAGCTGGGATTACAGCCACCACGCTCGGCTAATTTTTGTATTTGTAGTAGAGACGGGGTTTCACCACGTTGACCAGGCTGGTCTCGAACTCCTGACATTAGGTGATCCACCTGCCTCAGCCTCCCAAAGTGCTGGGATTACAGGCATGAGCCATCATGCCCGGCGAGCCTGGTTTTTTTCTGTACAGATTCCTAGCACTGTCGAAAACCTATAGCTGCATTTGATCAAGAGTGTTCAGTAATTCCTGGAGTCCTTGCCGAGTCATGTCTGTTAACCCATCGTGCCTGGGGAGTGGCAGTCCTTCCAGGCCAGGTTGCCCAGGAAAGCCCTGCACCTCAGGTTCTGGCCACAAAGAGTTCTGAGGCTCCTCCCTTACCTGTAGACTGAGAGGGTGGGGCTAGGGCCAGGGAGGCTCTCAGGAGATGGATGCACGTGCTTTGCCACCTCTCATGGGGCTGCTGCATAGAAGGCCGTGGCAGGGTTATTCACTTTTTACCTTCCTATCCAGGTGCACTGCCAAAATGCTCTGCTTTTTCAGACTGTGGCTGCTTCTCCCCCACCCCCAAGAGCCAAATAACTTAGGGGCAGCTTTTAATTTTTTTTTGTAAAAAGTACTGTTGACTTGGGATTTTTAAGGTAAAAATTTTGGTACAGGAGCTATTCTGTGTGCCATGATGGACAGAACTGGAATTGCTATTTTGTGATTTGGGACAGTTGAGGATTCCTTCCTAGAACATTATTATGTAGATTGTTTGTGGCATGGCCTTGATCCCCATCCTCACATACATCAAGAATGTTGTTCCTTGCACTTGACGGCCACATTCCCATGTTTGTTATCTATTACTGCATTATAACCCCTATCAAAACTTTGTGGCTTAAAGTAATACCAGTTTATTAGTTTTTACTCTGGAGGTTGGCTGGGCTTAGCTACATGGTTCTACAGCTGACTGTTCATTCCTGGGGTCACTCATGCAGCTGTATTGAGGTGGGAACTCAACTTGGCTGGGAAGAGCTGGTAGGCATAGTGCACATGTGCGGAAATGGTATTAGCTAAGGCACTTCGGTTCTCTTTGTGTTCTCTTATTTTCCACAAGGCTACATTGGACCCCTTCATAGCATGGTGGTCTCAGGGTTCCAGGGTGAAGGCATAGAACTGGTACGGTGTCACTTCTGTGGATTCTTTTGGTCAGGCAAGTCCAGATTTAATGAGAGGGAAAATAGACTTCAGCTCTTGATGGGAGGAGTATGCAGGATGGGAGACATGATGGCAGAGGTGGGACAGGCAGGCAAGGTTGCTGAGTCCCCTTGCTGCCTCCTCAGGCCCACTTGGGCCTGCTTTTCCCAAATGGCAGCTCCTCTGGACATGCCATTCCTTCTCCCACCTGCCTGATTCTTCATATGTTGGGTGTCCCTGTTTTTCTGGTGCTATTTCCTGACTGCTGTTCAGCTGCCACTGTCCTGCAAAGCCTGCCTTTTTAAATGCCTCACCATTCCTTCATTTGTTTCTTAAATATGGGAAGTGAAAGTGCCACCTGAGGCCGGGCACAGTGGCTCACGCCTGTAATCCCAGCATTTTGGGAGGCTGGGGCAGGCAGATTGCTTGAGCCAAGGAGTTTGAGACCAGCCTGAGGAACATGGTGAAACCCCGTCTGTACCAAAAAAAAAAAAAGAAAGAAAGAAAGGGAAAAAGCCACTTGTGCCACCCTCCTGCTGTAATCTTCCAGCGCTCTTCCTTTGTCTCCAGAGCACCTGCTCATGATTTTTGTCTCCTGCCCTTGTCCTTAGAAACTTCAGCGTTCCCAATTATGGCTTCTCTCAGATCCAGCCTTGAAGTTCTTTGACCTCCTCAATTCACAACCTGTAGCTGACTTTAGCCACCCACAAGTACAGAAAAGTAAGCATAATGGAAGAAATAGTAATATGAAAAGATGCTCATATGACCCAGCAATTCCACTCTTAGCTATATCTACCCAAGAGAAATGAAAACATATGCCCAATAAAAACTTGTACACAGATGTTCATAGCACCATTATTCACAATGGATAAGAAGTGAAAAGAGCCCAAATGTCCATCAATTGGTGAGTGAATAAACAAAATGTGAGCCAGGCGTGGTGGCTCACGCCTGTAATCCCAGCACTTTGGGAGGCTGAGGCGGGTGGATCACCTGAGGTCCGGAGTTCAAGACCAGCCTGGCCAACATGGTGAAACCCTGTCTCTACTAAAAATACAAAAAATTAGCTGGGTGTGGTGGCGGGCGCCTGTAATCCCAGCTACATGGGAGGCTGAAGCTGGAGAATCACTTGAACCTGGGAGGCAGAGGTTGCAGTGAGCCAAGATTGTGCCATTGCACTCCAGCCTGGGCAACAAGAGCCAAACTCCGTCTCAAAACAAAACAAAACAAACAACAAAAAATGGTGTATCTCTACAATGAAATATTATTTAGCCATAAAAAGCAATGAAGTACTGTCTTATGGTACATAAACCTTGAAAATATGCTAAATGGGCCGGGCGCGGTGGCTCACGCCTGTAGTCCCAGCACTTTGGGAGGCCAAGGCGGGCAGATCACAAGGTCAGGAGATTGAGACCATCCTGGCTAACATGGTGAAACCCTGTCTTTACTAAAAATAAAAAAAATTAGCCGAGCTTGGTGGCAGGCGCCTGTAGTCCCAGCTACTCGGGAGGCTGAGGCAGGAGAATGGCGTGAACCTGGGAGGCGGAGATTGCAGTGAGCCGAGATCACGCCACTGCACTCCAGCCTGGGCGACAGAGCAAGACTCCGTCTCAAAAAAAAAAAAAAAGAAAGAAAATATGCTAAATGAAAGAACCATCCATGGAAGGCCACATATTGTATGATTCCATTTGTAGTTGAGCCTCATTGTTCATAGAGTCTGCGTTTGCGAATTTGCCTACTCACTAAAGTTTTTTGTAGCCCCAAAATCAATACTCTCGGCACTCGTCTATCACAGATGTGTGCGTGTGCAGAGCAGCAAAAAATTTGAAGTACCCCATGCACGTGTTCCAGCTGAGGTTGTGTGGTTGAACAGTGCGATGCCCTGCCTTCTTGTTTCAGCTCTCAACTGAAGCAAGTGGGCTGTCTAATGCCAAACTTCTTGGATTTTGTGCTTTTTGTTGGTGATTTTGCTTTGGCCCCAAACGTGGTGCTGAAGTGCTGTCTAGTATTCCTGAGCACAGAAGGTCATGATATGCCTTTTGGAGAAAATACATGTGTGAGATAAGCTTTATTTGGGCATGAGTTATAGTGCTGCTGAGTCAATATTACCTATTAAATAAGGTGTCTTTAAACACACATAAAACAAAGTTATATATTAATCAGCTGGCAAAAATGTGAGCAGAGGCTTGTTTGAACCTAAACCTCTGTTTCCCTTAGGAGCAATGATTCAGTATCATTAATTCAATGTTCATGGCAAGTTTATAGAACATAAGCACTACAGATAAAATTCAGCTGTATATGGGATGCTCAGACTAGGGTGGATCCATTGAGACAAAGTAGATTAGTGATTGTCAGGGTCTAGGAGGAGGAGAATAGGAAGTGACTACTGAGAGTGGGTTTTCTTTTTGGGGGATGAAAATGTTCCAGGCTGGGCGTGGTGGGTCACGCCTGTAATCCCAGCACTTTGGGAGGCCGAGGTGGGCGGATCACAAGGTCAAGAGATCCAGACCATCCTGGCCAACGTGGTGAAACCCCGTCCCTACTAAAAATACAAAAAAAATTAGCTGGGCACGGTGGCGTGCACCTGTAGTCCCAGCTACTCAGGAAGCTGAGGCAGGAGAATCACTTGAACCCGAGAGGCGGAGGTTGCAGTGAGCTGAGATCACGCTACTGCACTCCAGCCTGGGTGACAGAGTGAGAGCGAGACTCCATCTCCAAAAAAAAAAAAAAAAATTAGCCAGGCGTGGTGACAGGCACCTGTAATCCCAGCTACTTGGGGGGCAAAAAAACAAAACAAAACACCCCCCCCCTTTTTTTAAAGCACATTCCATGGAAGGCTACAACATTGCATATCTTTTTGGGTTGAAGGTACATTGACATTTTATTCTTTGACAATGAAGCTCCCTGGATTTTTATGAAAAGGAGGGGAAATCACAAATATTGTTTACATCCGCTATTGCAGAGAAACTGTCATTAAGAACAAAAGGGCCAGGCACGGTGGCTCATGTCTGTAATCCCAGCACTTTGGGAGGCCGAGGCGGGCAGATCACGAGGTCAGGAGATCGAGACCATCCTGGCTAACACGGTGAAACCCCGTCTCTACTAAAAACACCAAAAATTAGCCGGGCGTGGTTGCGGGCACCTGTAGTCCCAGCTGCTGCCACTGCACTCCAGCCTGGGCAACAGAGCGAAACTCTGTCTTAAAAAAAAAAAAAAAAAAAGAAAAGGAACAAAAGGAAGGAAATATTATAGGCTTTATTCTCTGATGAGAATATAGTGAGAGTAAAAGGTAAAATTGGCTAATTTGTTGTGTGGGTTTTTTGTTTTTTGTTTTTTGTTGGGGGGACAGAGTCTCACTTTGTCACCCAGGCTGGAGTGCAGTGGCATAATCTTGGCTCATTGCAACCTCCGCCTCCTGGATTCAAGCATTTCTCCTCCCTCAGCCTCCCGAGTAGCTGGGACTACAGGCGCATGCCACCACACCTGGCTAGTTTTTTGTATTTTAGTAGAGACAAGGTTTCACCATATTGCCCAGGCTGGTCTTGAACTCCTGAGCTCAGACAGTCTGCCCACTTCGGCTTCCCAAAGTGCTAGGGTTACAAGTGTGAGCTGCTGCGCCCGGCCTGTTGTATGTTTTTAAGCCCCTACATTTTGCAGAAAAAAAAAGTACTTCTGAGGAGCATTTGGGTCATGGAAGAGACCAAGAACCCAGGGCTGGATGTTTTATAAAATATAATTTTAATATGCTGTCCTATATATGAAAAATGTTGATAGAGGGCCACAGTTGTAATTTGTAAAGCAGACAATCTGTCAGGTGTTCTTACTAGCAAAATAAGTTCAGCTCAGCTGAAGTTTATTATAGTTTAGCTAAGGAGCCAGAAATGCACCCAGGGGAACAGCGAAAGAATGAAATACTTATCAGAACTACTAAGTAAATTTAAAAATACTCAGACTTGAGGCCGGGCATGGTGGCTCATGCCTGTAATCCCAGCACTTTGGGAGGATGAGATGGGTGGATCATGAGGTCAGGAGATCAAGACCATCCTGGGTAACATGGTGAAACCCCATCTTTACTAAAATTACAAAGAATTAGCAAGGCGTGGTGGCGGATGCCTGTAGTCCCAGCTACTGGGGAAGTTGAGGCAGGAGAATCCCTTGAACCCAGGAGGTGGAGGTTTCAGTGAGCTGAGATTGTGCCACTGCACTCCAGCCTGGGCGACAGAGTGAGACGCCATCTCAATTAAAAAAAAAATTCAGACTTGATCAAATTAGTGAAACTATAAAAAATAACGAAATAGACAAATGGCATCTTTTGAGAAATAGGTCTTTAAATTTTTATTTTGCCAGGTGCAGTGGCTCACGCCTGTAATCCAGCACTTTGGGAGGCGGAGGCAGGTGGATCACGAGGTCAGGAGATCGAGACCATCCTGGCTAACACGGTGAAACCCCGTCTCTACTAAAAAATTACAGAAAATTAGCCGGGCATGGTGGCAGGTGCCTGTAATCCCACTACCCGGGAGGCTGAGGCAGGAGAATGGCATGAGCCTGGGAGGCGGAGCTTGCAGTGAGCCGAGATTGTGAGCTGTGATTGTGCCACTAACTCAGCCTGGGCGACAGAGCGAGACTCCATCTCAAAAAATATATATATATATTATTTTTTTTTTGCGATAGGGTCTTGCTGTGTCACTCAGGCTGAGTATAGTGGCACAATCACAGCTCACTACAGCCTCAATATTGTGGGCTCAAGCAATCATCCCACCTCAGCCTCCCAAGGAGCTGGGACTACAGGCATGTGCCACCACAACCGGCTAATTTTATTTTTTATTTTTTGTAGAGGCCAGGTCTTGCTATGTTGCCCAGGCCAGTCTCAGACTCCTGGCCTCAAGTGATCCTTCCTCCTTGGCCTCCCAAAGTGCTGGGAATACAGGTGTGAGCCACCAACCTCTGCATTAGTTACCAAGGTGATGATAGTGAGAAGTAGAGAGCCTAAGTATTCATATCAGAGAGTGAGGTGAAAACTCCTGAGCGTGCCCCTAACGAAGTACTCAGCCTGTCCTTAGCCCAGTGAGGTTTCTAAAATGCTAATGCGGTAGTAATTCTCCTGTTACAGGGCCATTTCTAATCATGGGAAAGGAAGGGGAGCCACCTATTTGTGCTCTTAGGCGACTGTGGCTCAATTTCCAGCCCTGAAGTCAAGAACAGCCAGGAAAAGGGAGCAGTCTCACACCGAGGGTGGTGTGCACTGAAATACACTGTGGCCAGTCAGCCAAGGGTGGGCTTCGTTTATTAAATAAATAAATAAATGTTTATTAAATAAAAATATACCTCCAGGGCCTGCTGCCTCTAGAGGTACAGGTGGCTTGTACAGGGAGGTGATACCACCTACCCCTGAAGAGGCTTAGAGACTGAATTAGAGGCCACCCTGGCCTGCAGAGAGCTTTCCAGGCCCCTTGCCCCTGCTTGCTGTTCACAGTCCACCCTCCTTGCCCATCCACCCCCAACAAACGTGGAACCTGTCAGCATTGCATGCGCAATGCCCTCCTCGCCTCTGCCCCACTGCTTCACCTCTACCCACTGTGGTCACAGGAGCCCTCTCTTTCCCATTCTCACCAGGCACAGTAAAAAGCAGAGGTTAGGCAGGTGGGTTTTGGACACCAGGCCAGGAGTACTTTGTGCTGTGGCCCTCACTTAATGTGTGCTGTTGAATGATTATGCCTTTGCATATGACTCAGCCAGCATCAGCATTTTGTTTTATTTATTTACTTTTGAGACAGAGTCTCGCTCTGTTGCCCAAGCTAGAGTGCAGTGGCACGATCTCGGCTCACTGCAACTGCCGTCTCCCGGGTTCAAGCGATTCTCCTGCCTCAGCCTCCTGAGTAGCTGGGACTCTAGGCATGGGCCACCATGCCTGGCTAATTTTTGTATTTTTAGTAGAGACGGGGTTTCACCATGTTGCCCAGGCTGGTCTTGAGCTCCTGACCTCAGGTGATCTGCCTGGCTAGCATTTGCATTTTAATCCATTTCTTGTAATGCTGAATGAACAATATGAGCCCTTAATAAAGGAATTGACCAGGTGCAGTGGCTTCATGCCTGTCATCCTAGCACTTTTGGGAGGATGAGGCGGTAGGATCACTCAAGCCCAGGAGTTTGAGACCAGCCTGGGCAACATAGTGAGACCCCATCTCTACAAAAAACTAGGCCAGGAGCAGTGGCTAACACCCGTAATCCCAACTACTCTCAAGGCCAAGGTGGGAGGATTGTTTGAGCCCAGGAGATAAGACTGCAGTGAGCTGTGATTGCACCACTGTACTCTAGCCTAGGTTAAAAAAAAAAATTAGCTGGACGTGATGGCATGTGCTTGTAGTCTCAGCTACTCAGGAAGCTGAGGCAGGAGGATCATTTACACCCAGGAGTTTGAGGGTACCGTGCAGTAAAGTATGATTGAGCCACTGCACTCCAGTCTGAGTGACAGCAAGACTGTCTAAAAAAAATAAGAAGGAATTTGTGGCATCAGCAGTTCGGAGAAGAGGGGCACTGTTTTACAGTGGGAAGGAACATTCTGAGGGTGCTGGTCCTGACAGGGTCAGGGGGCAACTGTGGCAAAGTATGTGAGGAGGTGTGGGTAGCAGCTGCTTCTGATTCCCCACTATCCTTCCACCCTGGGGCACGTCTGGGCTACGGCACCTAGGGGGAGTACTGTGGCACCCATCAGAGCCATCAGCGTGACATCTGCCTGTGGTCTTGACAATGTGATGCGATGGCGGTTGTCAGCTTCCCATTGGCTGGCCCCAGTGACCCTTTCTAGAGGGTTCAGAAACTCCTAAGGGTCTTCCAGAGTTGGGTCATTGCGCATTGACAAGTGCAGCGCCATCACATACCCTTCTCTCTAGTGCCCACTCAGTCACCTTAACCGAAACTTCCCTGAGCCGAGCATGGTGCTGGGTGCTGGGCTGATGCAGGGAAGTTCTACCCGGTCCTGCCCTGAAGAAAGTGACCCTGTGTGCATGCATGAGAGTGAGCAGTCAGTTCAATACTAGGCCTCCTATCTCCAGAGTACACAAGAGGACTGGATTAGCCGGGCATGGTGGTGCACGACTGTAGTCCTGGCTACTTGGGGGACTGAGGCTGGAGGATTGCTTGAGGTCAACCCAGGAGGTTGAGGCTGCAGTGAGCCAAGATGGTGCCACTGCACTGCAGCCTAGGTGACAGAGTGAGACCCTGTCCCTCCTCCCCAACCCCCCGCCAAGAAAAAAGGGCTGGGAGTGACTGAGGGCTAAGACCTCCCCAGGTGTTAGGTCAGGAAGGCTTCCTGGAGGCGGAAGCACATCACTGTGAACAATTATCCACTGTAGTGTTAGCTATTTGTTGTCCATCAGTGTCTTCTAATCACAGAGGAAAGATGAGTTTTCTGGCAGTCAGAATTTTGGATAAATAGGAGGCAGCTTTGGCTTAAAAGCACATTAGCTGTAAATCAGTTGTAAAGCCAGAGTTTTGTTCCCGGATTAGCTGCCTCTTGCCTGTGCCATTTCTGAGACTGTGTTAACCCCCCATGCCTTGTCCTTCTCTTGGCAGTAATCCAGTCCCTCATAGCACTGGTGAATGACCCCCAGCCTGAGCACCCGCTTCGGGCTGACCTAGCTGAAGAATACTCTAAGGACCGTAAAAAATTCTGTAAGAATGCTGAAGAGTTTACAAAGAAATATGGGGAAAAGCGACCTGTGGACTAAAATCTGCCACGATTGGTTCCAGCAAGTGTGAGCAGAGACCCCGTGCAGTGCATTCAGACACCCCGCAAAGCAGGACTCTGTGGAAATTGACACGTGCCACCGCCTGGCGTTCGCTTGTGGCAGTTACTAACTTTCTACAGTTTTCTTAATCAAAAGTGGTCTAGGTAACCTGTAAAGAAAGGATTAAAAATTTAAGATGTTCTAGTTCTGCTCTCTTTGTTTTAAAAATCACTGCTTCAATCTACTTCAAAAGAATGGTGTTTCTTTTCTTGTCCAATTTTATCCAAAATCTTCAAGTTACATTTAACCCATAAGGTTTAAAAAAAAGGAAAAAAAACGGTTGTGGTTCCCTTTCTTCCCTACCCTTGCCACTCCCACTTTCTGGCACCGAGTTTATTTTTCACTTACTTACTTCCCCAGACCCCGGGCTCGCCTCCACAAAGGAGAAGAGACTGCCCTGGCGGTCCTGGTGGCTTTTCTTAGCATGTGTGGCACTGTTGCCCAGTGTGGGAGTTGGTTTAAATTCTCCTGACTCCAGTTTATAACATCCTTTTAAAAAATTTAAAAACAAACAGCCACACCCCTCCTCCAGTCCTTCTCCTCAGTTCTTGTGTGAAACTCCAGCTGATGTTACCACAGTAACATCAGTTAATTGGGCAAGCCCTGATGTCAGTGTGTGTAACTGACCTCTGGCCTGGCCTGCACAGAGAAGCCCTATAATCACAGGTCTGTGGTGGCCCCGAAATGGGGGGCCTGCTAGTCAGGAGGATGCTGTGCACACTGTGTGTGATGAATCTCGCCAGAAAGGCTCCTGAGGTCCCAGGTTGGCACTTCTCCCTGCAGCCATTGTAGAAGATCTGCTGGTCCTTGCAGGCAAAGCTACAGCCAGAATGTCCGTTTGAAACTCCTAGCTCATCTGTCACCGAGCTTCATCCGAATGTGCCACGGAGCTTGCTCTCCACTTCCTCCGTGCAGTGGCCCTGCCACAGCCCTCCCTCGGCACACTTTGACCCTTTGTAGGATTGGAATTAGCAGGACTCGGCTATTTAAAGCACCAGTCTGGGGTCGCCTGGGCCCCTGCTGACCCCCTCCTCCAGAGCAGCCAGCCCAGCCCGGGAACAAGACGGACTTCCTCTCCCTTCGGACTCACAGCCTTTGCAGAGTCAAGCTCCACTTGAAGCTCACTCAGTAATATCCTTTCAATGTGTTTTATATTGTTTTGACTGCCTTTTTTTGTAGAAATAAAAATTGACCTTAGAATTTATCGTCAGATAAACTTGTAAAGATTTGAATATTAATGTCTTTTCAAGGCAAATGGGATTGTCCCCGCACTAGTAGAGAATCCATGTCGCTCTGACACCCCAAGGAAGCCGACGATCCAAATGCCGTGTGTCACCAACCCCGCTTCTGCCACTGGCGGCTTCCCTTCTTGGCTCTTGGGGGGGACTAGATCCTGTGGAGAAGATGACTTAAACTTTGCTTTTTGTTTTAATTTTAATTCTATAACTTGAGATCTTTCCGGGGCCTACAGGCGTGTAAGACAGCTTGGTCTGGTCTGTGCAGAAGTGGGGAGTGATGGGCAGGTTCGGCAGCCTAACATTGTTCAGGCGCATGGCCCCTGCGGTGTGTACACGAACTCGGCTTCTTTTGTCCTAGGTACGCCAAGGGCAGGTTTCTGGAGACTCCCTTGTGCCCGGGATGGCAAGGGCACCGGGCTGGCGTTTCCACATCTGTCTTCATTAGCAGAAAAGTGATGATGGATTTTATTTCACTCACACTCCAGTTTGTAATAAAATGCCAAATTCTGTCAGCTATCCAAACAAGCCACCATTTGTTCTTGTTGCTTCTCTGGATCCAGAAATGTTGCCATTCTTGGAAACTGTCCCATTGCTTCGTATTTCTGCCAACGTAGCTCTGCCTGCCTGTCAACCCCTCACTGCACTCTGCTCATCACGGGAGGATACCTGTGTGCCGGCAGCCCCTCAGGGACTCTCAGCCCTGGCACTGGCACCCCAGGGTTGGCCCCGTCAGCAGAGGCTTGGCTTTCGAGCCAGTGGGTGTCTCTCCTTTGGGCCTGGGCGGCTTGCTCCTGCCAGCCATGCCTTCAGGGTAGGCTCTGAGCAAGCTGGCGAACAGCCCTGGCTGCTCCAAAACCAAAAAGCTGGGTCCTCTGGAGGAGGGGCGAGCTGTGGAGCAGCCACCCACTGCTGCCCCAAGCTCACTCAGGAATTCACACCCGCCTGGTTTCTTGAAGTGTGCTGGGTCCTTCCCTCTGCTCCCTACTCCCCACCACGGCAGAGAATAGGCTTTCTAAGATGCTGCGATCCCGTTCTGCTGCCCGTAATAAAAATGCTCTCAGACACTGGTTAGTCGTGTGGGTTTCTTCCTTCCTGGGAGCGGGCAGTGCCAGGGGCCTATGCTCTTGGAGATGGGAGGGCTGGCTGGGGCCCAGGTCCTGGGGCTTCTGATCTCTCTCCCCATTCCCAGCCTCTCCAAAAGAGGTACATAGAAGTGTTCCTGCCTCCCTAGAGGGAAGGAGATGAGGTATAATCAGCAAGAAAGCCGGAGACTTCAGACAGTCGGGGCCTGCAGAGGGCGCTCTTGGGCGTCTCGTTGAGGGGACAGGGACTAAAGTGTGGGTGCATCACTTACATGCGTGGGTCATCCTGGAGCCTCCTGGGAGTGTTAACAATCCATGTTTAGAAGAGGCAAACCTGCGGTCCCAAGAGGTCACAGAATTGATAAGGGTGTGCCTGTGGGTGGAGCTGGGCCATGTCCATGAATGGTGCCAGCCAGAAACACTCTGAGTCCCCAGTACAGCCCACTGCCAGGGTGCTGCGGCAGTGGTGCTAACTCAGCAAGGGCTCAGCCAGACCCAGGACTTTTTTGGCTAGGCCTTCCCTGCCTGGAATTTGACACCAGCTGAGACTAGGCCTGCACTGTTCAGCTGGATCTGCAGGTCTTGGGGAAGGAAACTTCTTGGGGTGTCATTTTACTAGCCTTTAACATACCTAGCACTTTACCCTCTGAGTCTCAGGAGAGCCCTGTGGCATCCTTATCCCTGCTTTTAAAGACAACCAAGACCCCTGGCCTGTTTTTGTTCACATTCTGACTGCAGAGCCTGTTGCATTCCACCATTTGGCATATTTCTTCCCACAGGGTCCCTCTGAGCCCAGAAACAGCCAGTTACCACCCTCCCCAGAGCCAGAGACCTTTAAGCCCCTCTGTCAACTTCCTCTTCCCTACAGCCACCAGCCACCATTTTTGGCCTTGTTCACTATTAATTGTTCAGCATGAAATAAGCATCCATTTCATCACTCCTGTACCCGCTGCAGCCTGACTTCTGTCACCTGCTGCCCCTTGCTGCTTCTCCTTTCATTTGGTGCCATCTAACCCAGCCCTGAAAGAAGCCAGAGCTGCTCTCAGCATTTCCCACCCTGTCCTGCCTGGCTCTTCCTTCTCTCTCTGCTTCCTGGATATGGCATGGGGGAACCGGGCACCAACCCAGAACAGAGGGGAGCTGAGGGTACCATTGCTCCCAGTGCAGTGCAGTGCCTAGCCTGGTCCATGCCTGGTAAGTGGCCATTTCCCAGATTATTGGAACGTGTTCTTGTTCATAGAGGGCCCCTAGGGAACCCTGGAGGCCTCAGAGGATCAGAGTAGAAAGGACCACCGTGCAGAGGCGATAACTGAGGCCTTGGGAAGGAAGTCACTTCCAGAGAGCATTCCCCACCCGGTGCTGGCCAGGTTCAGAAACCCCCCTGTGGCTCCACATGTTGCCGTGGGTTTCTCCTACATCTTCCTCTGTGTGTCACTGGATGACACTGGATGACTGTCCCTGTATGTACCAGACTGGGAGCTCCTTGCAGACCAGGCCATGTCAGCTCCAGCCCTGGCCTAGCACAGAGTGGACCCTCCAGACACGAATGCCGAGTGGGCGGATAACAGTGAACCGCTTGGCTAAGACACTGTTGCTGCCCCCACAGCCCCTGTGGCCCACCAGTCACCACCCCAACAGGTCCTTATCACTTTCACCTCCTCGTGAGATGGGCCTCATTATAATCAGGTGGGCCTGATTATCCTACCAGTCTATGCCCCCTCACTTCAGTTTTTTTTTTTTTTTTTTTTTTTGAGTCAGGCTCACTCTGTCACCCAGGCTAGAGTGCAGTGGCATGATCACTGCTCCCTGCAGCCTCTACCTCCCAGGCTGAGTCGATCCTCCTATCTCTGCCTCCTGAGTAGATGGAACTACAGGCTTGTGTCACTACACCCGGCTAATTTTTGTATTTTTTATAGAGACAGGGTTTTGGCATGTTACACAGTCTGGTCTCAATCTGCTAGCCTCAAGCCTTCCTCCCGACTCAGCCTCCCAAAGTGCTGGAATTACAGGCGTGAGCCACTATGCCCAGCCATTATTTTTTCTTTTTTAAATAACAGAAATAAGGTCTTAGTATGTTGTCTAGGCTGGTCTGGAACTCCAGAGCTCAAGTGATCCTCCCACTTCAGCCTCCCAAAGTGCTGGGATGATAGGTGTGAGCCACTGTGCCTGGCTTCACTTCACTCAAATGCTCATGGTCAGCCGGCTGCTGTGGCTGATGCCTGTTAATTCCAACACTTTAGGAAAGGCCAAGGTGACCAGATCTCTTGAGCCCAGCAGTTTGAGACCAGCATGGGCAACATGCCAAAACCCCATCTCTACAAAAAATACAAAAATGAACCAGGCATGCCTGTGCTCCCAGCTCCTCAGGAGGCCATGGTGGGATGATCACCTGAGCCTGGGGAGGTGGAGAACTGCAGAGACGTGATTGTGCCACTGTACTCCAGCCTGGGTGACAGGATGAAATCCTGTCTTTAAAAAGAAAAAAAAAGTCTCACGGTCCCCAGGGCTGCTGTCGACTCTGCTCATCCCTCCTTCCCTCCCTGAGTGACAGTAGCCACTCATATAGCATCTGTGCAGACCCCCAGGTCTCTCCTGCCCACCCACACCTCTCCTGAGCCTAAAGCTGCACAACCAGCTGCCTCCTCCTCTCAGAACACTTCCATAACAGAAGCCCCTCAAGGGAGCTACGTCTGTATCCCCGGCTAACTTCAGGCCACCCCTCTCCCAGCCTTAGCCAGCAGCCTGCAGGAGTGTGGCCAGATCTCAGCAGGCTGAGGCGAGGAGGTGGAGGCTAGGCAGCAGGAGGAGCAACTGTACAGTGATTCCAGCTCACAAGCATGGGTGCAAGAAAGCAGGAAAAGTGCTGCAGATGGGAGAGTCCAAGTCTAGTGAAGGTCAAGATGGAAGACGAGTGTGGAGCCAGAAAAAGGGACTGAAGCCACAGTCAAGGGGATGGGGCCATGAGTGGGTAGAAGCAGGAAGGAGGAGCGACATCCCACACTCACCCTTCAGAAAGCCACACGTCTCTCCAAGCTGCCTAGGCTGGATGAGAGCTCTCTTGGCCCCTGATTCCATGTTTGGCCCAGGCTAGGGCCCAGTGCACATTAAATAAATGAATGAGTAGTTTCAAAGCCCTGCTCTGCCACTCCTGCCTCTACCCCTGTAAAATGGGGACATCGGTGCCTGCCTCATAGATGCTATTTCATGAAATGAGACAAGGACCACATGGTATTCCATCTGCCTTTCCATCCTGCGGAGTGGTGCAGAAGGACTCTGTGCTCTAGAGGACTCGCACTGCCTTCCCCATCTGCTCCTGCACCTCAGGAGCTTTCAGCTAAGCCACATGCGGCCCCAGTCCACAGGGCATCCCTACATTGCCAGAAGTTAGGAACCATGGTATCCCATTTCCCGGGAAGACTGCTCCTCCTAGAAAAATTTAAATGTATTCCCACAGGGTTGCAGGGTCTCCTCACGCCTATCCCGTAGAATGGCTTACATCTAAACAGATGACTTTTGTTTTTGAGATGGAATTTCGCTCGTTACCCAGGCTGGAGTGCAGGGGCGCGACCTCGGCTCACCACAACCTCCGCCTCCCGGGTTCAAGCGATTCTCCTGCCTCAGCCTCTCCAGTAGCTGGGATTACAGACATGCACCACCAATGCCCAGCTAATTTTGTATTTTTAGTAGAGATGGGGTTTCTCCATGTTGGTCAGACTGGTCTCGCACTCCTGACCTCAGGTGATCTGCCCGCCTCGGCCTCCCAAAGTGCTGGGATTACAGGTGTGAGCCACCACACTCAGCCTACAGGTGACTTCTTAAATCAATACTGAGATTATAGTATTATGCCTCTTCCAAAGCAGCCTGGTGAGGACAATCTCCCACTCCCACCCTAAAAAGGAATAAAGAAAATTGCAGCATGAACAAAACCAGAATGGAGAATGGGCCATTTCCTGGAGTGGTTTGAGCCAAGAGGGAGCTGCTCTTTGTCCGTGCTTGTTTCTCTGAGGGTCTCCTGGGCACAGCTGATAAACCACCCAAGTTTGAAAGACACACGTTATTTTATTAATATAGCCATCTCTCCCCACTGCCCCAGTGGTGAAGGTGTTTGCATTGCAACATGGAGGGGCACCAAATGCTCTGCGGGCCCTAGCCCGCTGCCACAGGCTAGGCCTGCCTGCAGCCAAGAAGGCTGCTCAAACTCTAGATGCCATTTGGAGGCATGAGGACCTGAGCCCAGAGGTGGCAGTGTCCTACCCAGGGAAGTCAACAGATCGTGCTCCAGGTCCCAGCTCTGGGCTGGGCCAGGACTAAATCCTGGCTCCCCTTTCTTGGTACTAAGGGGATTAGTGCTTGGTTGTCTGTAGGGGGTCAGAGTAGGGAGGGTTCCAGGAAGGGTTCCAGAGTGGGCTCACAGGGGACCTCCTCCCCTGGCCTCTTGGAGTCCAGGTCGTCGAGGGCGCAAAGCTGCACGCCATCCTGGGCAAGCTGGGCCCGCAGCGTGGGCGCGGTGAGGACGCGCAGCTCATGCAGCCGCTCCCAAGAGCAAGAGAAAGCGTCGGGGCCTTCACCGCAGCCGCCGGTGGGAGGCACACTGGGGTAGCCGGGGTGCGCCATCAGCTCGGCTGTCAGGGTGTGGCCCGCTAGGGTACCTTCCAGGACCCGCGCCAGGGCCCCGGACACGCGGTGAGCGGACATGTGCCGGCCGCAAGTGCTCAGGCCCACGAAGGCGTCTGTCCACCTGTGGGGGGCGGGACATCAGAGGTGGGACCAGGCCGGGCCATGGCCAAGGGCTAGGTAGGCTAGGGAAGGGACGGCGGGGTGGGAGGGGGTAACTGGGGTGGCGGCAGCGGTCGACGCCAGACTCGCTTCCGGGTTGAGAAACGGACACAGCTAGCCAGGTGAACAGCCAGTGCGGAGGGACAGAGGCAGCTATGGTAGGAGACGGGGCGGGGAGCCTCACCGCAGGCCGTGGCGGGAGAAGGGGCCCACGGCGGCCCGGGCGTCGCGCTCCACGGCGCAGGCGAAGGCACGCGCGGGGGCCTCCAGCCAAGTGCAGCCACCCACACCGCGCTCCAGCGGCAGTCGCGTAAAGCGCACCCCATAGGCCTGCAGCGCCTCGGCGAACACCTGGCACACGCCTGCGGGCGGAGCGGGTCAGGGAGGAGCACGTCCTTTCACCTGGGGGCATCGAACTTCCCCTACTCCCCCAGCCCCGCCTGGGAGTAACGCCCTCCAAACTGGGATCACTAACCACGCACCTGGGAGCACGTGCACGTGCTGGTGCCCGTCCGCGTGCGTGGGGGCCCTGCCCAGCAGCTCCCGGAAGCAGCTTAGTTGGGCCTCGAGCTCCTCCCGCACCTAGAGGGCGAGCGAGAGACACCTTGAGCGACCGGGAGTAGCTGCCGAGGATACCCTCCTCGTGCTTCCGTGTGATGGCTCCAGTGTTTGAATGCGGAAGTCATCCACCGCCAGCTCCTAACGGCCTCACAGTACCCTCCGGGCGGAGCTCTGGGGGTCCTCGCGAGCATCCTCCTGTAGCTGCGGCTCCGCACCTGAGGCAAATCCACGTCTCCGGCCGCCACCGCCTCCCGGAATCCCATCTTGCCAAGGAAGAAGCCTTCCGGGCCGAGCAGCGATGAGGCGCCACGGCGGGCCGGACCCACGGGGCGGCCCTCGGACAGGTTGGCGTGGAGGCCCGTGGGGATGCTGTGCCTGAGGGCGGAGCGCGAGCTGGAGCACTAGCGGCCGCGGAGCCGCGCGCCCCAAGCCGATCGCCGCCCTGCTAGAGGCCCTCCCCTCACCTGCGGGCCAGCTCCGCCGCGCTCTCCGTGGCCGCACCGTTGACCAGCAGGGACACGCTGGTCACAGCCCCGGCCAGAAAGGCCTCCACGATACCCTCATCGCGTCGCGGGCAGTAACCAAAGTCGTCCGCGGTGACCACCAGGCGCATGCGAGGGCGGGACATGGCCGCCTGGGTCCACCGCTCGCGCTCCCAGGGGAGTGGGCCGGACAGCCCAGGCCCCGCCCCCGGACGCTGCCCGGGCCCCGCCCCGACGCACACGCCCAGGTGCGGCTGCACTTCGCCTTTGTTCTCGCCACCTAGCGGTCCGGCGTGCCCCTGCAAGGACCCGGCAACTGCTCCCGCGCTAACCAGACCAGTGATGGATTCATTGCAATGCGGAACTTTCCTTGACTGCAAAAGTGATATTTAATATGTAAAATATCAAAAGGAAGCCGGGCGCAGTGGCTCACGCCTGTAATCCCAACACTTTGGGAGGCCGAGGCGGGTGGATCACGAGGTCAGGAGTTCAAGGCCAGCCTGGCCAACATGGGGAAACCCCGTCTCTATTAAAAATACAAAAATTAGCCGGGAGTGGTGGCACGCGCCTGTAATCCCAGCTACTCGGGAGGCTGAGGCAGGAGCGTGGCTTGAACCCGGGAGGCGGAGGTTGTGGTGAGCCGAGATCGCACCACTGCACTCTAGCCTGGGCGATAGAGCGAGACTCCGTCTCAAAAAAAAAAAAAAAAAAAAAAAAGAATCTCCTACCCTTCCCAGAGATTGCCATTGTAAACTTTCTGGGTTGTGTCCTTCCAGTGTTTTCTCTAAGCAAATAAACACACCCAACTCCCTTTCTCCCCAACCCAACTTTTTTGTGTGTTGTTTTGAGAACATAAAGATGATTATATCAATGTTATCACATTCTAGTAGTTTCTTAGCAGTGCGAATGAAAATTTTCATATTATTAGCTATTTTTATTCTTTTTCAAATTGCCTATTGATCTTTTGCAGATTTTTCTAAGAGCAGGCATTTTCTTGATTTGTTGATTTTTTTTTTTTCTTGAGCTCTAGACACTAAGAAAATGAAAGAAAGCATATACACTAAGGCTTCATTTGAGAAAACATTATCTCCAGTTTCCATCTTGAGCTCTCTGCCAGGCTACAGCTTTTACATTCATAACTTCACTGTTTTCTCTTTGGTCCAGAAAAGCTTTCCTTACCCATGACTGTATAAATAGTCATTATGGTTGGCAGCCACAGTTTCCATTGCAATGTGACAGTCTTGATTTTTCCCATGGAAAGTGTGGTATTTGTGTCCGGGCTATGAAATTGGTAATGTCATTCCTGTTTCACAGATGAGGAAACTGGGGTTCAGAGAGCGAAAGTGTGGTCCTGCCAGGAGTAGTGGAGCTAAGACTGAACCTCACACCTCGGGGCCAGCACCCAGGCCTGCTATGTCCTCTCTGTCCCTGACCTAGTGGGTAGCCAGAGCTGAGAGGACAGAGCAGAGCTTGAGAGGAACAATATTTCGTGAGGCATGTGAGGATTGAAAGCCTCATAGAGTCCTTCAGCCATGCTCTTGGCATAAGGACTGATGTGTTTATAGTGACTGGTGAATTGTCAGACCTCAACCAACCACCGTTCTCCACTGGAAGCTGATCTTGGAAAGGTCAGAGGTCCCGAGGGTCTGCAGGTGGGAAGGAGGAGACTGACATTTATTGAGCACCTACTTGGTGCCAGACACTGAAAGTATTAGAGATTAAGGGTGACTTGCCTCTGTTCTGGCCCCAAAGAAGCACCATCTGATAGAAAAATAAGTAGCAACATGGTATGGTAGAGTCTGGAATGGGGTTTACTGTGAATTGCGTAGGGCGTGGCAGAATTCACAGTAAAAGGTTTTTGGAAGAAGTGACACCATGGTGGGGTATTACTGAGCAAAGGGGAAAAGGAGGGAGGGAGAGGAGGTAAGAATATACAAGGCTCCGCTGGGCGCGGTGGCTCAGGTCTGTAATCCCAGCACTTTGGGAGGCCAAGGCAGGCGGATCACAAGATCAGGGAATCGAGACCATCCTAGCTAACACGGTGAAACCCCATCTCTACTAAAACTACAAAAAAATTAGCCGGGCGTGGTGGCGGGCCCCTGTAATCCCAGCTGCTCGGGAGGCTGAGGCAGGAGAATGGCGTGAACACGGGAGGCGGAGCTTGCAGTCAGCCGAGATTGCGCCACTGCACTCCAGCCTGGGCGACTGAGCGAGACTCCCGTCTCCAAATAAATAAATTAATTAATTAAAGAATACACAAGGCTCCACTGGGTTACTGGGTGTGCTGTAGGGAGATTTTATTGAATCCCATACTCCCATATTGGAAGAACACTCAAGCCCATTTACAGTGTGGGACTAATGCTGAGAGGTTGAGTCACATTGGCAGGAAAGAGCAGAGCCAGGAACTGAAGCTAGGTCTGTGACTTAGAGCCGGCACTCTTTCCACTGCAGAGGGGAGAGGTCTCAAGGCAGAACCTGGGGCTGTGCACACCGCGGGAAGGGCAGAGGCCCCTGGAAACGAACAGGAGCAGGAGGCCCAGGGCTGCGCAGCAACCAAGGAGGACACGAGGAAGGTGCTTGTGCCACCGGTGGAAGACGTGGCTTTGGCTTTTAGGCTCCCCTCGGGGCAGGAGCAGATCAAAGAGCCTAGCCCCAGCTTCGGTGGTGGGTGGGGGGTCCTCCCGGCAGCGGGGAGCGTGGGCACCAGCATCCTCAGCCTGCGGCTCCCAGGCGAGTGTGGGAGGGCAGAGCCCAGAGAATTGGAGGTGGGGCCAATGTGGGCCCCGCCCCCAACCATTGTGTCGGAGAGGGAAGTGGACGAGCTCCTCGGTAAGAACCAATGAGGATGTGGTATGCAAATAAGCAAGTGGAGGCCGCCAGCCGACTTCCTCGCACTGTGCAGCTGCTCCAGTGAGGGCGCAGACTGTACTGGCCTGTGCGGAGCAAGGCGGTGTTTCTGGTGAGTCTGTTGATTCTGGGCTGGGGTGAAAGCCAGGTTGCCCAGGGTTTGGGAGGAGGGCGGGTCGAGCACACGCAGATCCAAAGATGATCGGAGACAGGATTGTCCTCAGCGATTCCACCCCGATGACTCTGGAAACTGCCTGCCTGCAGACGCATGGGGGCCATGGAGCAGAGGAAGGGCTGGATGCATGAAGGAGGCGGGGTGCGGGGAGCGAGGGACCCGCAGACTCCAGGGCCACAGATGCGTGGACCTATTGGAGACCCTCAGGTTGTCTCCCCACCCCACGCAGAGAGGAATGCGCAGCTGAAGAGAGAGGTGGGCAGCAGGCCCGGTCACCTGCCAGGTGACCACATGGCCAGGTGCCGCCACCACTCGGGTTACCTGGCCGATGACGAGGCCAGCCACTCCATGTGCAGTGCACGGGTAAGTGTGCCCAGCAGGGCGCCGACCCTTGAGGCCACAACATGTTCCCCACCAACCCTGGCACCCAAGACCACAACCCCCATTTCTCATTGTCTATTGACTTCTCTGGGCCTCTTAGTGAAGTCCTTATTGCCTTGACTTCTCCTATGTCCCCCACTGCTTGCCCCTGTCACACTCAATTTCATTCCTTGTTTCCTCCTGACTTCCAGCGACCCAGAAGGTGCTTGGGTGGACTGGGACCCTAGAGTGGGAGCATGGAGTTGACTAGGTGCCTATGGCTCAAGTTGGAGAAACAGGCCCGGGTAGCACAGGGCTCAAGACCTCAGGTGTTGTCTGCACTCAAGACCTCAGATGTTGTTTGCAGCCCTGCCATGGATACAGGGATGGCCTGCTGCATGGACAGATGAGGAGCTGGAGGGAGACTCCGAGAGATTCATGATTGCTCATCCTGCCACGTGTCAGGGCAGAAGCAGGCTTGCAGACTCCTTAGCCAGGACTTGTGTGTGTGAAATGTAGGTGTTAGGAAAGCTTCGGGGTGACCCTGAATAGACCTCCACTTTGCAGATGAGGACATTGGACCTCAAGAGGGGCCATCTTGCACACTGGCATCAGGCTGTAGGTGGCAGAGCCAGGGTCCAAACCCAGGGCTTCCAGACTCCAAAATGCAGCTCCTTCCACTACTCACTCCCACCCAGGTCCTAGTGTTACCCCAGGGAACCCTTCACCTGTAGGGCACCCCTGCCCCCTGTGACATACCTGTCTGCTCAGGTGCAGCTGCCCAAGAAGCCACTGGTCCCAGAAATGCGGCCAGCCTGCAAGCCGGGCCGTGTGCCACACCCACCATCCACATGTGGCAGCTCAGCACTCCAGGGCCAACGCCGAAACAAGAGGCACCCTCAGCCCTTTGGCCACTTTCTGGATTTCCTAACTGAGAGCCAGGTCCTGGACAGCCTGGAGACAGTGGTGGAGAAGGCGACTGAGCGCATGGCTGCCATGAAGACGGAGGCTGGGGTGCCGCTTGTGGAGGTGCAGGACCCAGTGGAGGTGCCAAGTGGTGGACGGCGGGCACATGCCCGGCCCAGCCTCAGCACCGTACACCGGCACCGTGTACGGCCGACCCTCTGCACTGGACACCCCAACAACTACCCATCCAGCTCCAGCTCCATGTCCAACTGCCATAGCAGCCTCATGGCCGGCTGTCTGGGCTCCCACAGCCGGGACAGTGACCTAGGTGCCCAAGGCTCATTGCCACCTGTGAGGGACAAACTCCTGCTGGAGAAGAACCTCAAGCGGCTGCTACAGCTGGAGAGGGAAGGGGTGAGAGCCAGGGCCATGGCTGGGTGGGGTGGACTCCCATGGAGAGCCCAGGGCTAGGGTCAGCCCTGGCTTGGCTGCTCCTGAACACTTCACAGAGTCACCCTCTTTCTGCAGAAAGGCCTCAGTCAGTCCTGCTCCCAGAGGGACTCCCTGCTGTGGGATTCGCTGGGTAGCCAGACCAGCTTTCAGTGGACACAGGAGCAGCCCTTGTCCTGGTTCTCAGGGCTGCTGGGCTCAAGCTCTGGCGTGCCTGAAGCATCAGAGCCGAGGCCTGGAGAACAGGAGCCAATCTTCCGCAAGCGAGAGTTCAATAAGGAGATCAAGTCATTACTGAGCCAGCTGGAGTCCCTCGACCTGCCTGGCTACTGTCCGCTCCGTGAGCCCCATCGCACGCTGAACTTCCTGGCTGACCACCGCCTCTTCCCTGCCCTGCAAAGCGTGGTCAGCCAGGCTGTGGATAAGCTCCGTGGCGCCCACTGCCGCGACGGCCGTCCTCTGTTCCCCACCAGCTTGGAGCCCACCTCAGATCTGCCGCCTCTGGGCTCTGAGCCAGCTAAACCCACCAATGGCGGGCAGCCCTATGCTTCCCCCCGCCCCACAGTCTCCAGCCCCAAGATGCTTCAGAGAAAACGCAAGGACAGAGGAGGCTCCCCCTCCATGTCTAGTGCCCAGGTGGCCACCAGATTCAAACTCAAGGTGACACCCACGGAGAAGCCCAATGTCCCCAGCCCCTCACTCCACTCCAGGGAGGAGGCACCTGACTCAGATCCCAAATTACAAAACCCACCTGTTTCCCTGAGCTCCAGCCAGAGGGCCCAGCCCTGGCAGGGCCTGCACCTCACCCTGCCCACGCCAGGGATTGTGGTGGAGGTGGCCTGCAGCCAGGGCCACCTCAGGGGCCCTGTCACACCTCCACTTTCCTCCCCCTACCCCCGCTCTTCCTGCTACCTTCTCCCTGAGCTCTCTCCAGTTGCCTCTTCATCTCCCGCCTCACTGTGTCCAGAGGTGACCTCCTCAAAAGTAGGACCGGGCATGAGTTTGCAGGAGAAGGGCTCCTTGACCCACCACTCCTAGCAGCCACTGTCACTAACAGGTGCTCAAGGTCAAGGTCTCTTGCCCTGCACTGTGGAAACCTCCTGGGCAGGGGTCAAGCTGATGGGGGCCCATGAATCCTGGCCTAGCTATTACCAGGTGTTGTCACAGATAAATAAAGGCTATTTTTTATGCTGGGTATTTTTTCTAACGTTTGTATGTGAATCTAGAGACGCTCCTACATGGGGGTGGAAAGTCCCGTCCCTTGTGGACAGCAGCCCAAGCCCAGCCGGGGCCTTGCCTCCTAGGTCTAGCTCCCTTGAATCCAGCTGCCTCGAGCAGGACTCTCCAGTCCCTGGACTTTGCTGAGGGGAAGTTGCCCAGGGAGGATGTGTACAAGACGTAGGTGGCCTCACACTGGTGGGTCTCCAGCACGGTCCCTCGACCCTTTCCTCAGCCATCAAGGCCCCTGCAGCTGTCTCTGGGCACAGGCCTGGGCAGGAGCCTGCCCAAACCCAGTTGTCAAGGCTCAGATTAGCCTTACCCTGTGACAGGTCCCTGCCCTTGCCCCAGGCCCAACAGTTGTAGGAGGTGTGATGGCGAGGTGAGCATGAGAGTGGGCAGTTGAGTGCAACAGCATAGCAGGTGTGGTAAGGCTGTACCCTTCGTGTGGCAAATGTGTTTGTCACACTAAGGGTACCCATTCATGTTTGTGATGGGCAGGGCTGGCAGGGCTCTGAGGAGGGCACAGTGGCTGGAAGGGGTGTCACAGAGGGATGGGGCTGGCAGGTGTGACATGTGTCCCTTTCCCTCCCCGGCTGCTATGCAGAGCCCCTGCAGCAGCAGCAGGTTCACGAAGAAGAAGCCGCTGCCCTCCATCTCGTCGAAGTCCAGCATGTCTCACTTCTCCAACCGCCTTTATGAGGAGCTCGCCGACTTCCTGACCCAGCAGGCAGCCTCCTTGGTCATCCGCAAGTACGAGTTCGAAAAGGACCTCAGTAAGCAGCTGGGCTTCTTCTCCTTCCCCATCACCCACGTGCTCAGGGACCTTTCCCTGGGCTTAAAGAAGGTAAAAGGCTCCCGCATCCACCTGTCCTCGGAGACCCACCGGAGCTGCCTGCTGCGTAAACTGGAGGAGTCCAAAAGGGCCCGGCAGGCCTCCCGGCTCAGCACCTCCCACTGCAGCACAGAGACACCCTCTGTGCAGCAGGAACCAGCCACCCACACTGCCCAGGACCAGGCCACAGAGCCCTGCCGCTCCCTCTACACCAACTTGCCAGCCAGCCGGCAGCTCAGCCCTTTGGAGCCCAAGCTCTACATGTCTGCCTGCACCGGCATGGGTTCCAGTCCCCCCAAGTCCAAGGACATGGACAATGAGGGCCGTGATAAAGCCGAGATTGAAGATGAAGATGAGGATGAGTTCAAGGATGAAGACCAGGATGAGGACAAGGATGAGGATGGAGTCTAGAGCCTCCCAGAGCCTGGAGAGGAGGCCTCGGTCAGCCACTCCGTGGACGTGGGCCACGGTGACCCACCATGAAGTCCCCACTAGCCACTCGATTCCCTGCTCTGTCAGAGTTGCTGCACATCACACCAGCCCCTGCCAAGAGCAGGAGTCACCACAGGCTGAATGCCCACGAGGAGCTCTGCTGAGACTCTCAAGGGAGCCAGTGAAAGAAATAGAAATAAAGCCTGTGTTGCTGGGACACAGGTTTGCTGTCCTGAGATTTCAGCCGCCATTTTATTTATTTACTTATTTGTTTATTTATATTTAAGATGAAGTCTTGGCCGGGCTCATGCCTGTAATCCCAACACTTTGAAAGGCTGATGTGGGCAGATCACTTGAGGCCAGGAGTTGGAGACCAGCCTAGCCAACATGGTGAAACCCTGTCTCTACTAAATACAAAAATTAGCCAGGTGTGGTGGCAGGTGCCTGTAATCCCAGCTACTTGGGAGGTTGAGGCAGGAGAATGGCTTTAACCTGGGGAAGCAGAGGTTGCAGTGAGCCGAGATTGCATCACTGCACTCCAGCCTGGGTGACAGAGTGAGACTGTGTCTAAAAAAAAAAAAGAAAAAAAAAAGTCTTGCTCTATCTCCCAGGCTGAAGTGCAGTGACATGATCTCAGCTCACTGCAACCTCCACTTCCTGGCTTCAGACAATTCTGCCTCCTCAGCCTCCTGAGTTGCTGGGACTACAGGCACCCACCACCATGCCCAGTTAATTTTTTTATTTTTAGTAGAGACGGGGTTTCACCGTGTTGGCCAGGGTGGTCTCGAATTCCTGACCTCAAGTAATCCGCCAACCTCTGCATCCCAAAGTGCAGGGATTACAGGCATGAACCACCACACCTGGCCACTAATTTTTTTTGTATTTTTAGTAGAGATGGCGTTTCACTATGTTGGACAGGCTGGTCTCGAACTCCTGACCTCAGTTGATTTGCCCGCTTCAGCCTCCCAAAGTGCTGGGATTACACGCATGAACTACCACACCTGGCTTTTATTTTTATTTTTATTTTTTGAGATGGATTCTTGCTCTGTTGCCCAGGCTGGAGTGCCTTGGTGCGATCCCGGCTCACCACAACCTCTACCTCCCGGGTTCAAGGGATTCTCCTGCCTCAGCCTCTTGAGTAGCTGGGACTACAGGCGTGCGCCACCATGTCGGGCTAAATTTTTTTTGTTGTTTTTTTGGAGACGGAGTCTTGCTCTGTCGCCCAGGGTGGAGTGCAGTGGCGTGATCTCTGCTCACTGCAAGCTCCGCCTCCTGGGTTCATGCCATTCTCCTGCCTCAGCCTCCTGAGTAGCTGGGACTACAGGCACCCACCACCATGCCCGGCTAATTTTTTTGTATTTTTAGTAGAGACGGGGTTTCACCGTGTTAGCCAGGGTGGTCTCGATCTCCTGACCTCGTGATCCATCTGCCTCGGCCTCCCAAAGTGCTGGGATTACAGGCGTGAGCCACTGCGCCCTGCCAATTTTGTATTTTTGATAGAGACAGGGTTTCACTGTATTGGCCAGGCTGGTCTCGAACTCCTGGGCTCAAGCGATCCGCCCACCTCGGCCTGCCAAAGCACTGGGATTAACGGCATGAGCAACTGTGCCCCGCCCAACACTGGAGTTTGACCGGCTCAGTGGAGTAGTGGTGTACATTGGAGTTGCTCATGTGACTGCTTTCAGCTGCTCATTGAACTGAGGCTGGAGCATTCCAGGGTCCCTCTCTATGTGGCCTCTTACCACGTAGTAATCTGGCACTTCATTACAGTAAGGTGCATTCTCTAGCTTCCTAGAAGGATAAAGCCAGACCTGCCAGCGTTCTTATGGCCGGTGCTCAGAAGTCCCCAAACAGCACTTCTTCGGCATTCGATTGGTCAAAACAAGTTGCGTAGCGGGGCTCGGTGGCTCCAGCCTGTAATCCCAGCACTTTGGGAGGCCGAGGCGGGCGGATCACGAGGTCAGGAGATCGAGACCACGGTGAAACCCCGTCTCTACTAAAAATACAAAAAATTAGCCGGGCTCGGTGGCGGGCGCCTGTAGGCCCAGCTACTCGGGAGGCTGAGGCAGGAGAATGGCGTGAACCCGGGAGGCGGAGCTTGCAGTGAGCCGAGATCGCGCCACTGTACTCCAGCCTGGGCGACAGAGCGAGACTCCGTCTCAAAAAAACAAAACAAAACAAAACAAAACAAAACAAGTTGCGCTACCTACTCAGATTCAAGGAAAGGCGAAATGGACTCCATGTCTTTTCTTTGGCTTATGGGGATGGGAGGAATTGTTAGTGGTCATATTTGGAGACTAGCTACCACCCTTCCTCCTCTCCACAGCTGATTGTACCTTGAGCAGCCCTTGTTGAGCCAATCAGATTCTCTCTTGAGAACCTGAACCTTAAGACAAATTATAGTTGGTAGGTGGAGGGCACTGGAGATGCCATAATCAGCCCTGAGGAGCTGCCCATAGGGTGAGCAGGGGAAGGTGGTCTGCAGCAGGAGGCCGGAGAAGGGAACAGCAAAGAGAGGCGACCAGGCTGCCCCTGAGAGTCAAGGGAGTGCTACGTTGGCTTCCCCAACTCTGGGTCTGGTATCTCAGCCTACTTAGAATCCTATCTTGCTTGTCAGGAAGATTGCCTGCTGTGTCCTCAGCCTCCTACGGTCCTAAATGCAATTGGGAAATGGCTGGCAGGTTCTAGCAGGGAACTGGCATGATCTTTTGATCTATGCTTTTACCACTTTTCTTTTGAGACGAAGTCTTACTTTATTGCCCAGGATGGAGGACAGTGGCGCGATCTTGGCTCACTGCAACCTCTGCCTCCTGGGTTCAAGTGATTCTCCCACCTCCGCCCTCCGAGCAGCTGGGATTACAGGCACATGAGACCATGCCTGGCTAATTTTTGCATTTTTAGTAGAGACGGGGTTTCACCATGTCTGGTCTGGAATTCCTGACCTCAGGTGATCCTCCTGCCTTCGCCTCCCAAAGTGCTGGGATTACAGGTGTGGGCCACCGGGCCCGGCCTATACCTGTAATCTTAACACTTTGGAAGGCCAAGGCGGGTGGATCACCTGAGGTCAGGAGTTCAAGACCAGCCAGGCCAACATGGTGAAACCCCGTCTCAACTAAAAGTACACAAATTAGCCAGGCCAACATGGTGAAAACCCGTCTCTACTAAAAATACAAAAATTAGCTGGGTGTGGTGATACATGCCTGTAATCCCAGCTACTCAGGGGGCTGAGGCAGGAGAATTGCCTGAACCCGGGAGGCAGAGGTTGCAGCAGTGAGCCGAGATCGTGCCACTGCACTCCAGCCTGAGTGACAGAGTAAGACTCCGTCTCAAAAAAAAAAAAAAAAAAAAAAAAAAAAAGACTTCTTGAATGATGCACATGGGAGACTCAAAAGTTTGAAAAAAAAAAAAAAAAAGGCTGGGTGCCGTGGTGGCTCATGCCTGTAATCCCAGCACTTTGGGAGGCTGAGGCAGGTGGATCACCTGAGGTCAGAAGTTTGAGACCAGCCTGGTCAACATGGTGAAACCCTGTCTCTACTAAATATATTTAAAAAAGTAGCCGGGCGTGATGATGCATGCCTGTAATCCCAGATACTCAGGAGGCTGAGGCAGGAGAATCACTTGAACCCAGGAGGTGGAGGTTGCAGTGAGCCGAGATCGCGCCATTACACTCCAGCCTGGGTAACAAGAGCGAAACTCCGTATTAAAGAAAAAAAAATTGTTGAATGAGATGTGAGGAGCAAGGTAAAGAGACGAATGAAAGAAGAATCCCAAGTTTTGGGCCTGAGCATCTGCAGAATGGAGGTGCCATTTACTGAGACTCATAAGCCTGGGGGAGGGGTAGTTTGAGGGCGGAGACCAGGAATTCTGCTTTGGATGTGCTGATTTTGAGATGATGGCTGACATGTCCAAGAGTATATATCCATCGCCTCTCAGATAGTACTTCAGCTCTTCCACCCTAGACTGGAGACCCCTCAAGTGCAGGGACTACCAAATCCAGGGCAGACTGACTTTTAACCGTTTGGACACCTAAATGCTGAAAAGATCAAGGTGTCTTATACTACATGTAACTCAAAATCAAAACAGTATTAAACACGAAACCCCCAAAATAACATGTTGCTGTAATGAAAATGGCTTTACTCTGGATTTTCTGAACGCAAAATTCTGGATGATTTAATTAAATATGAACTTTTCTCTCTGCTTTGCCTGTGCTTCAACTACACCCTAGTCAGACTCTTGAGCCCAGAGCTATTTGCTCTGTGACCCCACAGGATCTGGAGTGAAGCTGCTGTAACAATGTCCCATGAATGAATAAATAAACAGAGGTGTAAGTTTTCCTCCCTTGAAGGTTGAGCTGACAACACTCTGAGAAGGCGGCAAGAAGGAGACCTACTCATGGCCAGGAGACCTGGGACACGGTCGCCCAGGCATGGTTCCCACAGCCCCTTGGTCTCCTTTGACTCTGGTTTCCTAAGACAGCTTTGGGACTTTCTGGTGAGAAGCTGCCATTATTCTCAACGCTACAGCTCCCTGCTGCCCTCTCCTGCCCGATGACCCAGTGACCACGAGATTTAGCCACGAAAGGAGTCAAATGTATAAGTGGCCAGGGGAATTCAGAAACCCCAGGGTCTAGGGACTGTGGTGACCCAGTATCAGAGAGGGCCTAGGGCCGAATGACTGGAGGTTTCATTAATCCCGGGGTCCAGGGACTTAAGGACTGATCCCGATTCAGTGACCCCGGGATCTGTCGACTTTGTGACCACAAAATCTAGCGATCCAACAACCTCAAGACCCTGCAGCTGCGGGCCCAGGTTCTGAGGGGAGAGACTCATTACTGAGTGCCCAGGAGTCCAGGATCAAGGGGCGTCGTGAAAACGTGCCTGCAGGGTCCTAGGATCCTGAGCCGGTGTCCAGGGACTCACCGGCTGCGAGGAGCCGCGTCTTCACCAACTGTTCACGCTCACTCTCCGCGGCTCGGAGACTCAGCCGCCCTTCCCTGGGCACTCATTGGTAAGTCCTCGGAAGCGTGGACCAATCAAAACCCTCCTCGTGTCTCCAGTCCCCGCCCAGCTACGGCTCTCGCGAACCGGGGGCGGGCCCTCCCCGCGCTGACCCAGTGGCAGTGCAAGCGGAGTGCCGCGCGGGCCGACTATTGGCTGCCGCAAGCGGGCGCTGTCAGAACCGGATTGGGCCGCGGCGGGGACGGAAGCGGCCCCTGGGCCCGAGGGGCTGGAGCCGGGCCGGGGCGATGTGGAGCGCGGGCCGCGGCGGGGCTGCCTGGCCGGTGCTGTTGGGGCTGCTGCTGGCGCTGTTAGTGCCGGGCGGTGGTGCCGCCAAGACCGGTGCGGAGCTCGTGACCTGCGGGTCGGTGCTGAAGCTGCTCAATACGCACCACCGCGTGCGGCTGCACTCGCACGACATCAAATACGGATCCGGTGCGTGGGGCCAGCGACTGGGAGAGCGCGGGGAACCGGGGCTCGGGGTTGGGAGTGTGGAGACAGGGTGGTCATGGGGGTCTGTGGGCCGTCTGGAAGCCGGGCGGCGGGGGCTCTAGAGTCGTTGGGAGGTCGAGGGGCCAAAGCTTTGAGGGTGTCGAGGATATTGAGGGTGGGGACGGTCGTCGGGGAACTGCGGGCCCAAAGACTGAGGGGGTGTCAGGCGGGGGCTGGGGGTGAGCCCTTGGGGTCCCCTGGGACATGTTCTGGTCCCAGGGCGAGGGTCCGGGGTTCCGCGATTGACGGAGACCCTGGGTGTGTGGGGTGTCACTCCTCAGGCAGCGGCCAGCAATCGGTGACCGGCGTAGAGGCGTCGGACGACGCCAATAGCTACTGGCGGATCCGCGGCGGCTCGGAGGGCGGGTGCCCGCGCGGGTCCCCGGTGCGCTGCGGGCAGGCGGTGAGGCTCACGCATGTGCTTACGGGCAAGAACCTGCACACGCACCACTTCCCGTCGCCGCTGTCCAACAACCAGGTGAGCCCCTCCCGGAGCCCCCAGAGAGACTCCTGGCCTGTGTGAGGGGCCAGAGACAGAGCCCTGGGTTCCAATCCGAGCCTCAGCTTCTTCGTGAAATGGAAATTTCACTTCAGAGATGGTTACTGAGCGCCCCCTCGGGGGACACAGAGTAACTCCGCCAGGATCCTGCCCTCAGGTGCTCCCGGCCCGGCAGGGAGAACGACGGGAGAGAGATCCGGAGAGATACGCCTGGATAGCTCTTCCTCTGGTGGCAAGTGGGACCCAGGAGGGGAATCCACACAGCCTTGAGGGTGGGGAATAGGAAACTCCACTGGGGAGGAGGAACTCAGGCTAGATCTGAAAGGATGATTAGGAGTCCTACAAGCCACAAAGGGGAAAGAGAGACTTCCCAGGCCAGCAGAAGAGATTGTGCCAATGCATGGAGGTCATTGGAATTCAGGGGATTGGAATGGAACAGTGGGTGCCCTTGGGGAGCTGGTGGAAGAAAATGTTTGAGATAGATAGACAGCTTGACTGTTAGCCTGAGGGGCTGAATTTTAGGCTGAAGGTAGGTCAGAGGGGTTAGGACTGGGAAAATGTGGAGGAGGAGGCCTTAGCTCCGTGGGGACCAGTGGTCTCTGCACAGACAGATGCAATGGTGTGTGCATGTGTCTGAAGAGCCCATGCTGGGGAGGGAGTGCTAGAGGTTGCGGGGGCGGGTCATGGTGTCACCTTTTGCAGCTGTGGGAGCTGAGGCTCCAGGAAGGGTAGGGAAGAACCCGAGGCTCGGTGTACTAGGTGCGAATGCCGCCTTCTGTGGTGACCACTGTCTTCTCATCCTTTGCACCTATAGGAGGTGAGTGCCTTTGGGGAAGACGGCGAGGGCGACGACCTGGACCTATGGACAGTGCGCTGCTCTGGACAGCACTGGGAGCGTGAGGCTGCTGTGCGCTTCCAGCATGTGGGCACCTCTGTGTTCCTGTCAGTCACGGGTGAGCAGTATGGAAGCCCCATCCGTGGGCAGCATGAGGTCCACGGCATGCCCAGTGCCAACACGCACAATACGTGGAAGGCCATGGAAGGCATCTTCATCAAGCCTAGTGTGGAGCCCTCTGCAGGTCACGATGAACTCTGAGTGTGTGGATGGATGGGTGGATGGAGGGTGGCAGGTGGGGCGTCTGCAGGGCCACTCTTGGCAGAGACTTTGGGTTTGTAGGGGTCCTCAAGTGCCTTTGTGATTAAAGAATGTTGGTCTATGATTGCGTTTCACTGTGAGCCTGAGGATGACCAGGAGGTGCCAGCCCAGGCCCAGTTGATCATTTCTTCCTCAGTGCAAAACCTGTCTCCAGCCCAGCCTGACTGCTGAATCTGTCCAAACCCTTTATTATTTTTTTTTCGGGGGGCGGGGGGGAGGTTTGCTTTTTTTTTTTTTTTTGAGACGAACTCTCGCTCTTGTCCCCCAGGCTGGAGTGCAATGGCGTAATCTCAGCTCACTGCCATCTCCGTCTCCCGGGTTCAAGTGATTCTCCTGCCTCAGCCTCCCGAGGAGCTGGGATTATAGGCACCTGCTACCACACCCGGTTAATTTTTATATATATATTTTAAGTAGAGATGGGGTTTCACCATGTTGGCCAGGCTGGTCTCGAACCCCTGACCTCAGGTGATCTGCCTACCTCAGCCTCCCAAAGTGCTGGGATTAAAGGTGTGAGCCACCATGCCCGGCCTGGGTTTTGCTTTTTTTTTTTTTTTTTTTTTTTGAGGCGGAGTCTTGCTCTGTCACCCAGGCTGGAGTGCAATGGCACTATCTCGGCTCACTGCAAGCTCCGCCTCCTGGGTTCACGCCATTCTCCTGCCTCAGCCTCCCAAGTAGCTGGGACTACAGGCACCCGCCACTGTGCCCGGCTAATTTGTTTTGTATTTTTAGTAGAGACGGGGTTTCACTGTGTTAGCCAGGATGGTTTCAATCTCCTGACCTCGTGATCTGCCCGCCTCGGCCTCCCAAAGTGCTGGGATTACAGGCGTGAGCCACCGCGCCAGGCCGGTTTTGCTTTTTTAGAGATGGTCTCACTCCGTTGCCCAGTCTGGAGTGCAGTGGCATGATCATAGCTCACTGTAAACTTGAACTCCTGGGCTCAAGTGATCTTTCCACTTCAGCCTCCTGACTAGCTGGGACTACAGGCACACACCACCATGCCCATCTAATTATTATTTCTGATGAGACAGGATCTTGCTCTGTCATCCAGGCTGGTGTACTGGCAGTGATCATAGCTCACCGCATTCTGGGCTCAAGTGATTTTCCCACCTCAGCCTCCCAAGTAGCTGGGACTACAGGCATGTGCCACCATGCCTGGCTAATTTTTTTTTTTTTGAGATGGCGTCTTGCTCTGTTGCCAGGCTGGAGTGCAGTGACACAATCTCCGCTCACTGCAGATTCCGCCTCCCAGGTTCAAGCCATTCTCCTGCCTCAGCCTCCTGAGTAGCTGGGATTACAGGCACGTGCCACCACGCCCAGCTAATGTTTGCATTTTTAGTAGAGATGGGGTTTCATGATGTTGGCCAGGCTGGTCTCGAACTCCCAGCCTCAGGTGATCTGCCCACCTCGCCCTCCCAAAGTGCTGGGATTATAGGCATGAGCCACCGTGTCTGCCCTCTCTGGCTAATTTTTAAAATTGTTTTAGTAGAGACAAGGTCTCACTGTGCTGCCCTGGTGGGTCTCAAATTCCTGAGCTCAAATGATCCTTCCACCTCTGCCCCCATAAAGTGCTGGGATTACAGTTGTATTACTTTTATTTTGAGACAGGGTCTTACTGTTTTGTCCTGGCTGGACTCGAACTGCATGGCTCAAGCCTCCTCCTGCCTCAGTCTCTCAAGTGGCTGGGATTACAGGTGGATGCCACTGTGCAATCTTTTTTTTTTTTTTTTTTTTTTTTTGAGACGGAGTCTCGCTCTGTCACCCAGGCTGGAGTGCAGTGGCGCGATCTCGGCTCACTGCAAGCTCTGCCTCCCAGGTTCACACCATTCTCCTGCCTCAGCCTCCCAAGTAGCTGGGACTACAAGCACCTGCCACCACGCCTGGCTAATTTTTTTGTATTTTTAGTAGAGACGGGGTTTCACCGTGTTAGCCAGGATGGTCTGGATCTCCTGACCTCATGATCTGCCAACCTCGTGATCTGCCCGCCTTGGCCTCCCGAAGTGCTAGGATTACAGGCATGAGCCACCGCGCCCAGCCGCCACTGTGCAATCTTAACCTTTTCAGTGGTCTTCCATGTACTCCAGTGCTGCCCTGGGCATCCCCCTGTCCACCCTGAGGCGGTCTGATGGCAAGTGACCCCAGGTCCCCAGCCCCTTAGCTTTATGAACCTTCCTGTTAAGGGCCAAGGCCAGACCTCAGAGCAGGATGGGTGGGAGCCCCACTCCCTGTCAGCTGGGATGGGGCACAAGCTCTCCAGCTCCCTCATCCCTAGATGTGAGGAGCTCACTCTCCTGTCAGTTGTGGCAGTCTTGACACCTGTATATGACCAAGGGACAGGTGAGGATTCTGCCCATCTGCTGGAAAGTAGCATTGCAGTTTCACTCACCGGGTGCAAATGGCACCCCACCATAGGCACATGGCATCTCAGGCCCCCACCACGACCTTTGAAAGTCTCAATGAAATAACAGAACTACAGAAGATATTGCAAGGGAAGGCAGCCACATAAAACTGCTACCTGCAGAGATCTGAGAAGGCTGCCTGGAAGAGTAGGCACAATTTGGGCAGGCCAGAGTATCGTACCTTTAAGGCAGGAGCAGACGAAATAGGAGAGCCCTAATAAAGGAAGAGAACTGTTAGCTTTGCTGGTGTGTTGGTGGCCTCTAGCGGTTATGGCAGAGATTACAGGCTTCCTGGACTTGATAACTTAGCTGGGCTGCTGTGGGTCGGCCATGGGAGCTACTGAGTATAACGGTTTGCTTCCCTGAAGCAGAACAAAAGAGCCCAAGGAGAGGCTAGGGGTGGCAGCTGGCTGAAAGAGGCTCGGAATAGTGTGGACAGAGCACCTTGCACTGGAGAAATCAATTGACCTTTCGTGGTTTTTTGTTGTTGTCAATGCCTCTGTTGCCCAGGCTGGAGTGAAGTGGTGCAATCTCGGTTCACTGCAACCTCCACCTCGCAGGTTTAAATGATCTTCCCACCTCAGCCTCTGGAGTAGCTGGGACTACAGGCATGCACCACCACACCCAGCTAATTGTTGTATTTTTTCTAGAGACAGGGTTTTGCCATGTTGCTCACACTTGTCTCGAACTCCTGGACTCAAGTGATCTGCTCACCTCAGCCTGCCAAAGTGCTGGGATTACAGGCTTGCACCACCACGCCTGGCCTCAGTTGACCTTATTAAAGGATGGAGCAGCTGGACATGGTGGCACACGCCTGTAATCTCAGTGCTTTGGGAAGCTGAAGTGGAAGGATTGCTTGAGCCCAAGAGTTGGAGACTGCAGTGAGCTATGATGGTGCTACTGCATTCCAGCTGGGCAACAGACTCTGTCTCTTTAAAAAAGAAAAAAAAGGGGGGGGGGGGCCAGGCATGGTGGCTCACGCCTGTAATCCCAGCACTTTGGGAGGCCAAGGCCGGCGGATCACAAGGTCAGGAGATCGAGACCATCCTGGCTAACACGGTGAAACCCCATCTCTACTAAAAATACAAAAATTAGCCAGGCGTGCTGGCGGGCGTCTGTAGTCCCAGCTACTTGGGAGGCTGAGGCAGGAGAATGGCATGAACCCGGGAGGCGGAGGTTGCAGTGAGCCGAGATTGCACCACTGCACTCCAGCCTGGGTGACAGAGTGAGACTCCATCTCAAAAAAAAAAAAAAGGCCGGGCATGGTGGCTTACACCTGTAATCGCAGCACTTTGGGAGGCTGAGGTGGGTGAATCACGAGGTCAGGAGATTGAGACCATCCTGGCTAACATGGTGAAACCCCGTCTCTGCTAAAAACACAAAAAAATTAGCTGGATGTGGTGGCGGTGCCTGTAGTCCCAGCTACTCGGGAGGCTGAGGCAGGAGAATGGCGTGAACCCGGGAGGTGGAGCTTGCAGTGAGCCAAGATCGTGCCACTGCACTCCAGCCTGGGCAACATAGCAAGATCCCATCTCAAAAAAAAAAAAAGCCTTGGGGTGGGGTGAGGGGGTGGGAGAAAAGCTCTAGCCAATTGTGAATTTGGACTCCTGGGCTTAAGCAATTCTCCCATCTCAGCCTCCCAAAGTGTTGGGATTGTAGGTGTAAGCCACAGCACCTGGCTTTTTCTTTTTTATTTTTTTGGGGAGATAGGATCTTGGTCTGTCACCCAGGCTGGAGTATAGTGGCGCAATCACAGCTCACTGCAGCCTCTATCTCCTGGGCTTAAGAGGTTGTCCCACCTCAGCCTCCTGAGTAGCTGGGACCACAGGCATGCCATACCACACCTGGCTAATTGTTAAATTTTATGTAGAGATAGGGTTTTGCTATGTTGCCCAGGCTGGTCTCAAACTCCTGGGCTTGAGTGATCCTCCCACTTTGGTTTCCTTTTTTTCTTTCCTTTTTTTTTTTTTTTTTTTGAGGTGGAGTCTCACTCTGTCGCCCAGGCAGTGCCGTGGCTCTATGCAACCTCCGCCTCCCAGGTTCAAGTAATTCTCCTTCCTAGCCTCCCGAATAGCTGGGATTACAGGCAAGTGCCACCACACCTGGCTAATTTTTGTATTGTAGAGACGGGCTTTTGCCATGTTGGCCAGGCTGGTCTCGAACTCCTGACCTCAGGTGATGTGCCTGCCTCGGCCTCCCAAAGTGCTGGGATTGCAGGCATGAGCCACTGTGCCTGGCCCTCGCCTTGGCTTCTGAAAGTGCTGGAATTACAGCCATGAGCCACTGCACCTGGCTTCATCGTTAAACTTCTTGAGGATCATCTACAAGTCTATCCATCTCTCCCATTACTCATCTGACCTGAGAGGATTTGAATGGAAGTATATTGTTGGGAGGTGATTCCAGAAAATGCTGGCACAGAGGAATGGGGCTGTGAGAGGGGAAGGGAAAGAAGCTAGTGAAAGGTGCATTATTGAGCAAGTTACCCCTTTGGGCAACTGGAGCTCAATCCCACTGGGGATCTCTGGGACCCAGTGCAGAACGTGCATCAAAGTTATCCCACCCAGCTGGGTGCAGTGGCTCTCATGTGTAATCCCAGTACATTGGGAGACCAAGGCGGGCGGATCACTTGAAGCTAGGAGTTCAAGACCGGTCTGGCCAAGAAGGCGAAACCCCAGCTCTACTAAAAAAAAATACAAAAATTAACTGGGCATGGTGATGCATGCCCATAATCCCAGCTACTTGGGTGGCTGAGGCACTCCAGCCTGGGCGACAGAGTGAGAGTGTCTCAATAAATAAATAAATAAATAAATAAATAAATAAATAAATAAAAGCTATTCCACTCAAGGGGCAAGGAAGTGAGGTACTTACCTCCCAAAGTAGTTTCCCTCACAGGCTGGGTCTGCTGAGTGGGTGGGGGGAGCCACTCTGTAGCACTTTGCACTGGCCTTGTACACTGGGTAAGGGACTCCTGAAGCCAGAATAAGGCCCCCAGGCTGAGCCTCAGGTGCTGGCCATGAGCATCCTTTCTGTAGAGGTAAGTGCCAAGGGGATATGGGTGGGGCACCAACAGGGTAGACTACATCCTATGTATTCATCCGTTCTCACACTGCTATAAAGATACTACCTGAGGCTGGGCATGGTGGCTCATGCCTTTGGGAGGCAGAGGCAGGTGGATCACCTGAGGGCAGGAGTTCGAGACCAGCCTGGCCAACGTGGTGAAACCTTGTCTCTACTAAAAATACAAAAATTCGCTGGGAGTGGCCAGGCACGGTGGCTCACGCCTGTAATCCCACCACTTTGGGAGGCCGAGGCGGGTGGATCACCTGAGGTCAGGCATTTGAGACCAGCCTGGCCAACATGGTAAAACCCCGTCTCTACTAAAAACACAAAAAATTAGCTGGGCTTGCTGGCGGGCGCCTGTAATCCCAGCTACTCTGGAGAGTGAGGCAGGAGAATCACTTGAACCTGGGAGGCGGAAGTCACAGTGAGCCGAGATCGCACCATTGCATTCCAGCCTGGGTGACAGGAGAGAAACTCCGTCTGAAAACAAAAACAAAAATTAGCTGGGAGTAGTGGTGGGCACCTGTAATCCCAGCTGCTTAGGAGGCTGAGGCAGGAGAATTGCTTGAAACCTGGGAGGCAGAGGTTGCAGTGAGCCAAGATCGTGCCATTGCACTCCAGCCTAGGTGATGAGAGCGAAACTCTGTCTCAGTTAAAAAAAAAAAAATGATACTTCTTGGGACTGGGTAACTTATAAACAAGAGATTTAATTGACTCACAGTTCTGCATGGCTGGAGAGGCCTCAGGAAACTTATAGTCCTGGTGGAAGGCAAAGGGGAAGCAAGCCATGTCTTACACAGTGACAGGAGAGAGAGAGTGCTCAGGGGAAACTGCCACTTTTATTTATTTTTGAGATGGAGTCCTGCTTTGTCGCCCGGGCTGGAGTGCAGTGGTGTGATATCGGCTTACTGCAACGTCCACCTCCCAGGTTCAAGTGATTCTCCTGCCTCAGTCTCCTGAGTAGCTGGGACTACAGGCGTACACCACCACACCTGGCTAATTTTTGTATTTTTAGTAGAGACAGCGTTTCACCATGTTGGCCAGGCTGGGAAACTGCCACTTTTAAAACCATCAGATCTTGTGAGAACTCCTTCACTATTACGAGAACAGCATGGGGGAAAGTGCCCCCATGATCCAATCACCTCCCACCAGGTCCCTCCCTTGACACTTGGGGATTACAATTCTAGATGAGATTAGGCTGGGGACACAGAGCCAAACCATATCACCCTGCAAATCCAAGGGGGCACTCCTCTGGTCCAGCCCCAGCTCCTATGGGCTGTCAAAGCCCACTCCTCCCTCTCTGTCTATTCCCCCACCTCCGTTACCACACATAGGTAAGCAGTGAGGTGAGGAGTGTTGACCAAGAGGAACCCAACAGTGCACAAGTGGGAATCCCTGGGCAACCAAAGCCCATGCTGTGGGAGCAGATAAGATTGTTCCAGGCAGAATGCAGGACAAGGCCAAAAATAAAAACTGTAGTGGCAGCAGAACTCACTTTCAGTGAACACTTACTAAATGCCAGGTGCTGGGCCAACAATTTACACAGCATCTCATTTGCTGCTGGCAACAGCCAGCCCTATGGGGCAGGTTTGATTGCCATCTCAATTTTGCAAGAAGGCAACAGGGGTTCATAAAGATTCAAAACCACCTCTGCCTGCCTCAAAAACATTTGCTCTCAGCCATTGGACCGATAATAAAGCAGGAGGGGTTGCAGGGGCACAGTTGTCTAAGCACAGCTCCTCCCTTCCCTCTAGGAGCCGTTCAACAGCCCGGTGATCAATATACTTCCTAGTCATCAGCGAAGGGTAGGCGCTTAATGAATGCTTCTCCGCAAAGTGGATCACAATCACGAAGAAACCAAAGCTTACACTTCCGTTCCCCATATCTCCCACAGATCCAAAAGACCACGGGGCCCAGGACCCGGTCTCCATAGCCCAGCCATACCCGGGGGTTTTCAGGAAAGCCTCACTCGCGTCCTGCCGGGCGATCCGGGGTGGTTGAGTTGGGAGGGGGGCTACCCCAGTTTGTAAGCCCACCACGTCCAAATATCCCATCCAGGAGGCGCAGAGAGCAACCTCAGCATGCATAACAAAGCAGCCCGCGGCCGCGTTCACAGCAGGCTTGGCGGGGGTTCGGGAATTTCCACAGGGTCTCGGCCTCCCCCACTGTGGGCTCGCGCCTGGCGCCCCTCACCGGGCTTCCAAGCGCTCTTGTCGGTGTCGCTAGAAAACTCGCAGAGATTGGAGCTGAGAAAAGGCGGGCAAAGTTCCTTTTGATAAGTTATGAATGGGGAAAAAGTGTTTGTAGAACTCATTGTTAAAACCACGGAGCCCGAGACTCGGCCGGCGCCGGGCCAATCGGAACCCGGAGGCTATTTTGAAATCTCTCCCGTCTCAGCCAACAGGCATGCAGGAGGCGAATCCCCGCGCCAGCGCCGGCCAATGAGCGCAGCGCTATGCTAAGGAGTCGGGGGCCCGGCCCCTCCGACTGTCAGCGGGTTAAAGATGGAGCCGGCAGGCGAGGGGCCGCCACGAGGTGCAGGGTCGTCTGGACGGGGACCCGGGGGCAGACGATGGCCGGGATCCTCTTCCGTCTAACCCTCCGCGTCCTGACCGGGCCCTGGGCGGAAGGGATGTCTGCGTGAGTCAGCTGTGTCTGAGGAGGGGATCCTGGGCTGGGCTGGGCGGCCCTACTCGGCGGGTCAGGCGGAGGGGCGCGGCCGGGATCCCGGGGGCCCTCTTTGGAGCAGGGAACTCTAGAAGGGCGGGGAGCCCCCATCCTCTGCTCCACTCTGGGCCTCCAGGCAGAAGAATATGTTAGAAAAGAATCCAGAGTGTATCTAGTGCAGGGCAAGGGGCCAGGGATGGAGTCGTCAGCTAGAAGGGGCGCGTCGTCCCGGGGTGGGGCCGCCCTTTTTCTCCTGGAGCCGCGGGCCGAGTCAGGGCGCAGGGTCGTCGGGCTGTACCCACCCCGCTCCGGGCGCTAGCCGGCTTTGGACTGCGGCTGAGTGCGGGTTCGTCTTTGTGTGTGCGCCCCCTCCCCTGCGTGGCCCGTCAGCTCCTGCTCCGGGATTGGAACAACCCCCTAGTCTGGGGTTTCTCCTCCACCTCAATCCGGAGCGTTCTGGGAAAGGCCTGGGTGTCCTGGGTTCTGAAGACCCCAGGGACGCACCCCGCTGCGGTCTCCTTCCCTGCCCGGATGGACTGGACGGGGGCTCTGCCCCACCCACCCATCCATGGTTGAGCTTCCCGCCCTGCGTGTATTGGGGGTGGTGGGGTCCCCCCTGCTGGCCGCAGGTGCTCTGACGAGGTTGCACTACTGTGCTCTGAGAAGCAGTGCAATGATATTGTCAAAGCATCTGGGACCAGCCTTGGGGATCTCCCTCCCTATAACCCTCACCTCCCACTCCCCAGGCAGGGCCCCTTGGGCTTGCAGGCCCTCCCCTCCCCCCTACCCAATTCGCTCCCTTCTCCATGGAAACTTGAGATTCTAGACAGGCCTGGGCCTCTGGGGTCAGAGGGCACCCTTTCCCCCCGGGCAGAGGCCCCGCCCCAGCCAGCCTGCATTCCAGGTCTCAGATCCCTGCAGACCACCCTGGGGGAGGCACTGGCAGGCCTGCCCGACACTCTTTCCCTGTTGCACTACTATAGGCCGCTGGGAAGCAGTGCAATGATGAAAGGGCATCGGTCAGGTCCAGCCTGCTACCCTGGGAGGGGGAAAGGGAGCTTGCTGCCTCACTCCACTTTCCAGTTGAGAAGGTTGAGGTGCCCAGAGGGTAAGTGTTTCCACTGATTAGGCACAGATGTGAAGCTGGACTGGACCCTCCATCAGAGGATCAGGTGGGTGCAGAGCTGGAGAATCATCCCTAAACTCTCCATCCTGTCATGGCTGGACAGGTGCAGGAGCAGACCTCCCCAGCTTCTGAAAAGCTCTTGTTTGAAGGTCTTTCCACATTGGGTCCCTGGGGTAAGACTGGAACTCCAGGCCTGGTCAGGGTCTTAGGGGAAATACACGCCCAGTCTTTTGCATGGAAGATCATTCTAGGCCTGGCTTGGGCCCAGTCCTTGCTGGAAGCTTGAACAGGGCCAGGCTCTGGAGAGAATGTTCTTCTGGGTGGCAGTTGGGTAAGGGGGTAAGGCAGGCCTTTCAGGAGGCAGCCTTCACCCCAGGACGTCAGCTGGAGTGGTACTATGGACTGACCAGTTGACTGATCAGTTGAGTGGACTCAGCTGGAGTGGTACTATGTGAGATGGATGGGTGGACTTGGGATACAAAGCCTGCAAATGATGTCTACCAACCATGCCAGTTTGTTCTCTTACAGAGAGGTGTGCCCTGAACCTGCAGGAGGGACTGAGGTGTCTAACATTCCAACCGTCCCAGCTGGAATACAGGGTTGGAGCTGAACTTCCAAGGAGCCTGACCCCAGGCATGCTTGGATGACCACCTCTACCATCAAGACCTGACACGGTGCAAAAGGTTTCTACGTGCCCAGTCACAGTCATTCAAATCTTCTTTAGAGGAGGACTAGGTTTCCAGATGGGCTTTTGGGAGTTCCCCTCATCCCTAGCTGGGCGCATTGGGAAACTGCTTTACCCCTACCCTGGGGAGAGAAGCCCTGGCACCCGTGGGAGGAACAGGGGCAATGACACATGCTCCTTGGCTTCCTAGTCCTGATCCCTTGGGGTTCCTTGATCCTAGGGTCATCTGACTTAGATCCATCCTCCCTTCCTCTAGGCACCAGGGGCCATGGCTGGAGGTGGCCACCCCTCAGTCCTGTACAGATTCTGTACCCACTGGCTGGAGACCCCCATGCAGCTGTCTCCTGCTCTTGCTGCGGGGAGACTGAACTCAGGGCTCTGCTCACTGGCTCCCTCCCAATGGAAGCCTTCTCTGGGCTTCACAGCATTGAATATTCCTCCAGAACAGCTTGTTAAATCAAATTTTTTTTTTTTTAGATGGAGTCTTGCTCTGTCGCCCAGGCTGGAGTGCAGTGGCACGATCTTGGCTCACTGCAAACTCCGCCTCCCGGGTTTAAGCGATTCTCCTGCCTCGGCCTCCCGAATAGCTGGGACTACAGGTGCTACCACACCCAGTAATTTTTGTATTTTTAGTAGAAACGGGGATTCACTATGTTGGCCAGGCTAGTCTCGAACTCCTGACCTCATGATCTGCCCTTCTGGGCCTCCCAAAGTGCTGGGATTACAGGCATGAGCCACCGCACCCGGCCTAAATCAAAATGTTCTCCCTGTGGCAGAAGTGTCCATTAGACTGGGAGCCCCTGAGGCAGAGACAACTGTCATTTAAAAAATCTCTGGCCAGGCGCAGTGGCTCATGCCTGTAATCCCAGCACTTTGGGAGGCCGAGGCAGGTGGATCACCTAAGTTCGGGAGTTTGAGACCAGCCTGACCAACATGGAGAAACCCCATCTCTACTAAATATACAAAATTAGGCTGGGCGCAGTGGCTCACGCCTGTAATCCCATCACTTTGGGAGGCTGAGACAGGTGGGTCCAAGGTCAGGAGTTCAAGACCAGCCTGGCCAAGATGGTGAAACCCCATCTCTACTAAAAACACACACACACACACACAAAAATTAGCCGGGTGTGGTGGTGGGCACCTGTAATCCCAGCTACTAGGGAGGCTGAGGCAGAGAACTGCTTGAACCCGGAAGGCAGAGGTTGCAGTGAGCCAAGATCGCGCCACTGCACTCCAACCTGGACAACAGGGCAAGACTCCCTCTTGAAAATATAAAAAATAAATATACAAAATTAGCCAGGTATGGTGGCGCATGCCTGTAATCCCAGCTACTCAGGAGGCTGAGGCAGGAGAATCACTTGAATCCAGGAGGGAGAGGTTGCGGTGAGCTGAGATTGCGCCATTGCACTCCAGCCTAGGCAACAAGAGGGAAACTCCGTCTCAAAAAAAAAAAAAAAAATCTCTTGGCAGTGTCTGACAAAGAGGAGGGGCCCAATAACCCCCCACCCTTTTTTTGAGACGGAGTTTCGCTCTTGTTGCCCAGGCTGGAGTGCAATGGTGCAATCTCGCCTCACCGCAACCTCTGCCTCCTGGGTTCAAGCAATTCTCCTGCCTCAGCCTTCCGCGTAGCTGGGATTACAGGAATGTGCCACTACGCCCGGCTAATTTTTGTATTTTTAGTAGAGACAGGGTTTCGCCATGTTTGCTAGGCTGGTCTCGAATTCCTGACCTCAGGTGATCCACCCGCCTCGGCCTCCCAAAGTGCTGGGAGCTGTAAGCCACTGTGCCCGGCCTACACTTTTTAAAAATACAAATACAGGTATAAAGTGTGAAGCATGGGTTACTGGAATGACATGATGGGAGGGTGATTAGGGATCTGCTCCACCCTCAAGGGGGTGCTTGTCCTGTATGAAAAAAGGCACATCCTGGCCAGGCACGGTGGCTCACGCCTGTAATCCCAGCTCTTTGGGAGGCCGAGGGCGGGGGGATCACCTGAGGTCTGGAGTTCAAGACCAGCCTGGCCAATATGGAGAAACCCTGCCTCTACTAAAAATACAAAAATTAGCTGGGTATGATGGTGTATGCCTGTAGTCCCAGCTAGTACGGAGGCTGACGCAGGAGAGTCTCTTGAACCTGGGAGGCGGAGGTTGCAGTGAGCTGAGATCGCGCTATTGCACTCCAGCCTGGCGACAAAGTGAGACTCCGACAAGAAAGAGAGAGAGAGAGAGGGAGGGAGGGAGGGAGAGAGAGAGAGAGAGAGAGAGAGAGAGAGAGAGAGAGAGAGAAAGAAAGAAAAAAAGAAAGAAAAAAAGGCACATACTATAGATTTTAAAGTTTCATTTTGTAAGTCACACCAGGGCAGGAAGTAGAATAGAGATTTGAGCCCAAGTGTACCTGACAAGTCTCTCTGCCTGCACTCCTAGACAAGATGATCAGGACAGACCTCATTCTTCTTTGGTTGTCCCCAGGCAGGAGGAAATAAATGTCACTTCCTATGTTGGAAGAGCTGAGGGGTGGTGGTTTAGCAGTAAGAGATGAAAAATCTGATTAAACGTCTCAGGCACACTATGGATCTCAGGGCTGATGGAGGACAAGGAGGGGACAAGGGAGGACGCAGTCCAGGGTGCACCCCCTTGTTAGTGGCTGGGGTCAGTGGCTGACCAAGTAGGAGGGGAGAGGGGTAAGAAAAGTAGCTTTCAGGGAGAAGAAGCTGTGCGTGAATGTGGACATGTTCAGCATGAGATGCCCAAGAATCGTCCCCAGTGGTCATTTGGATGTGGGTCTGGAGCTGAAGGGTGAGACACAGTGGGTGTGTTTTTCAGTCAGTTATGGGTTCTAATCAGGAACAAGAAGTGTGTAAGATCGTCCCAGATGAGACGGTGAAGCCAGGACCTTCAGAAACGCATTCGAGGGGCAAGAGGAAAAGGACAGCGAGGTGGAGCAGGAGGAACAGGACACTGAGGAGGGGCCGGAGATGCAGCGAGTACAGAGCAAACAAGTGGCTGTAAAGGGGAGGAGAGCGCAGAATCTGGGGAGGCCAATGGAGAGTGAAGGAGAGGGAGGAGGGTGAAAAGTCCGAACTAGAGGGGTTAGGGGCAGAGTGAAGTTCTCGGGGCGTTGCCTGGATGAGGCCCGGGAGGCTACAGACAGCGAGGAGGGGCGCCCGTCGGAGGGGACTAGGGGCCTGCCGAGAGGTGGGGACCTTAAAGAAGTTGCTGACCAACCACGTCCTCGGCGCAGCCAAGAGCCCGACCCGGGTCAAAGGCCCGATGGCCCCTGCGGAACTGGGCCAGGACCCGCGCAGCCGCGTTCGCCCCCTCGAGGTCGTGAGCGCGCGTGCCCAGAGCAACGGGCATTGTCGCCTGAGGCAGGCGACTGGGGATTGGCCCCGCCCCCGGCTTCCGCGCGGATTGGCTGGGGCGGGGCGGCGCGGCTGCAGTAGGCTAGAGAGTCCGCACCTGCGCCGCGGCCGTGGGGAGAGAGGGTGCGTCCCGGCAGTCCCGCACGACGGGCCCCGCCTCCCCTGGTGACCCCACGCTCCGGCCTCGGGGGGAGTGGCGGTCGGCGCGCCGAGACCCTCGGGAGCCCCGCCCAGACGCCTGCTCCGCTTCCAGGCCACCCGGGCTCTCCAGCCGCGCTCGCTCGTAGAGATCCTAGACAAGTTCGACAGCGAGGTCCCGCAGAGCAAGACCTGCCAGCAGATCTCCGAGGAGGACTTGGAGAGGCAGGCGGACACCTACACTGGGCGCGCGCTGCGCCTCCTCTTCCGCAGCCCCGTCCGCAACCCGTCGCTGGCGGAGAGGGTGGTACAATTGGAACAGCGCGGGCTCTCTTTTTTCCGGATGCGGCCGCGGGGCATGGGACCGGCTGGGCGGGAACTGTCACTACCCGGGTCCGCCGTCCCCTAGGAAAGAGCTCCGACGATTGGAGCTTTGGGGGCCGGGGATGGGGGTGGGGTGGAGAGGTCGCCGTCGGCCTAGCTGGGGCTGCAGGGTAGGATCTATCAGAAAGCCGAGGCTGCACAGCCTGGGGAGTGGAGCGGGCAGGCGTCTCACGCCCCGGACCTCCCCCTGCCCTGCCTCTCCTACTCTTGTTGCAGGCGAAGTTCTTCTGTGTTGTGCAGGCGGAGCTGAACCATTGCAACAGCATGGGCGCCCTGGAGATGCACGAGCAGGTGGAGCAGCTGAAGCAGAGCATCCACCGCGTGCACCTCTACTCCCGGGGCGAGGATCAACCTCTCCCCGTGCTGGGCCCTGGGCGGGGGTCTGAGCCCAGTGCAGCCAGGCCGAGGGCTAGGTGACCACCTCCATTCTTCCGGTTGGATTTGCCCTCCTTGGATCAGGTTTTATCCAGAGCAGGAAGGGGCCTGGGCAGTCTGGACCTGGGAGGAGAGGCGCTGCCCCTAGCTAGATTCTTTAGTTAGGAGACTGACTTCAGCTCTGCTACTTCCTTCCTGGCTGTGTGATCCTGAGCAAGTTGGGCCACCTTTCCGAGAGAGAGAGCCCTCACTGCTCACCTTGGTGAGTGTTTTGGAGTGGTGGATGAAGGCCTGTAGGTAGGGCTGGCTCAAGCAACCAAGCAAACCTGAATCAATTAAAAAAAAAAAAAAAAAAGGCCGGGTGCGGTGGCTCACGCCTGTAATCCCAGCACTTTGGGACAAGGCCGAGGCGGGCGGATCACAAGATTAGGAGTTCGAGACCAGCCTGACCAACATGGTGAAACCACCGTCTCTACTAAAAATACAAAAATTAGCCAGGCGTGGTGGTGCGTGCCTGTAATCCCAGCTACTTAGGAGCCTGAGGCAGGAGAATTGCTTGAACGCAGGAGGCGGAGGTTGCAGTGAGCTGAGACAGCGCCACTGCACTCCAGCCTGGGCAACAGAGTGAGACTCCGTCTCGAAAAAAAAAAAAAAAAGTTGAGAGAGTCCTGGCACCGACCAACCATGTCCTTGGTGTGGCCCTGTGGCTTGTCTCTGGCCCTGTGTTTGGCACTTAAAAAAAAAGAGGCACTTTTTATTAAAGTAAACATGTACAAAACTGGAGATGACAGCGAACACCCCCAAGAACCTGTCGTCAGCCTCAGCAACTGTCCCCATCTTGCCAAATGTGTTTCACTCTCCATAACCCTAGGCCTTTTTCTGAAGTATTTGAAGGGAAATCTCAGACATCATTGTACCTCTGACTACTTTAGAATGCATCTTAATTAAAAAAAAAAAAAAAAAAAAAAAGGCCAAGCATGGTGGTTCACGCCTGTAATCCTAGCACTTTGGGAGGCCGAGGCAGGTGGATCACCTGAGGTCAGGAGTTCAAGACCAGCCTGGCCAACATGGTGAAACCCCGTCTCAACTAAAAATACAGAAAAATTAGCTGGGCTTGCCTGTAATTCCAGCTACTTCGGAAGGCTGAGGCAGAAGAATCGCTTGCACCTGGGAGGTAGAGGTTGCAGTGAGCCAAGATCGCACTACTGCACTCCAGCCTGGGTGACAAGAGAGAAGCTCCATCTCAAAAAAAAAAAAAAAGGCATTTGGCTGGGCACAGTAGCTCATGCCTGTAATCCCAGCACTTTGGGAAGCTGAGGTAAAAGAATCTCTTGAGCCTAGGAGTTGGAGACCAGCCTGGCAACATAGCAAGACCCCATCTCTACAAAAAAATTTTTAAAATAGCCAGGTGTGGTGGCACATGCCTGTAGTCCTGGCTACTTGGGAGGCTGAGGCAGGAGGATAGCTTGAGCCCAGGAGTTTGAGGTTATGGTGAGCTATGATCACACCAGTGTGCTCCAGCGTGGGTGATACAGAGTGAGACCCTGTCTCTATAAAGTGACAACTACAAAAACAAACATTTGCTGACATAATCACAATGTCATTGTTACACTTTACATAATTGACAACAGTTCTCTGACATCAGCTGGTCATAGTCACCTCTCCTAGATGGGCCACAGAAGTCTTTCTAGACTTGGTTTGTCACCTCAGGACCCAGTGAGACTCACACATTCATTATGTTTGGCTGTTAGGCCTCTTAGGTTCCTTTTAACTAGGGTGATTGTATAATTAGTGTCTAAATTGGGAACCTTGTGAGAATGAAATGAAAGGGGGCCATATATGTGGCCACACAGGGGCAGCAAATGTACACTGGGATGGCCCTGGGTCCTTGGCCACTTCTGTTGAAGTCCCCTTTGAGGAGGGATAGCCTGTCTGGTGTCGTCCTCTGGCAAGTCCCACTTCCCGGGTTTGCGTCTGTTACGGTCTGCTGGTGGGTTGCTTCCTCCTCTGCCTGTATTTCTTGGACAGTTGCTCTAAAGCTCGATTGGATTCAGGCTCAGTTCCTTCAGTATATTTGTGTTCGTGGGTGCCTACACTAGTGTGGGGCTACTCACTTCTGTGTCACATGGAGAGGCCCAGCTTGCCTGGGGGTCCCACTTTCTGGAGCATTGAGAGTGAGCCCTCCACTGATTGTTGGACCAACAGCACCTGTAGCCCCCCAAGGTGAGGTTGGTGAGATGGGGCATGTTGGCCCCTGTCAGCAGTGGCTCTAGGTATTGTTCATGGTGTTCTTTGGGGCCCCCTCACTTTCCTGTTGGAGGGACTGCGTGAAGACCCCATACCACTGTGTCTGGCTCCCACTCTACCTGCTCCAGCTGCAAGGTAGGCACTCACTGGCACCTTTTGTTGCAGACACCAAGAAGACGAGAAAGAAGCCAAGACAGAAGAAACCAGAACCCAACCTCTTGTGGGACCGGTTGACCTCCCCATGCCTGCCACCAACCCTGCTGCCACCTCTGCCGCTACCACCACCATGGTCTCCGTGGTGACCTCATCACCCCCTGGCACCTGGGGCTGCCTTGCTTGCCTAAAGCCAAGTAGGTGGAGCCCCTTGGTGCCTTCAACCCCCACCCAACGCCTTAACCAGAGCAAACCCCGTTTATCTGCTTTGTGCATCAAGACCCTGTCTGCAAAGAGGGGTCTGCTGCTTAAAAGCAGAGGGCTGAGATCCACGGCTACAGGCCCAGGAGAGCCCCTGGGATTGTTCTGAGCAGGGGGCACCCAGGACTGCCTGGAGTGGGGGAGGCTCCCACTGACCGACTTGCAGGGCAGTGGAGGGAAGGGACCAAAGACCGTAGGCATAGTGTAGACCAGACAGGATCCTGGGGCTCCCAAAGGACAGGTGGAAAACCAGGGGGCCCCTCCCACATCTCCAGCCCCACTCCTGCCTCTCCCTGTGGGCATGGCTCCCCATGCTACCCTCTGCCTGCAGTGCACTGGGTTAGAGCCAGGATGGTGTCTGGCCCCAGGGAGGTGCGGAGGCATGCTTACCAGGGGGAGCCAGGGCAATGGAGCTTGGGCAGGCTGTTTCCAGCCACATATGAGAAATGGAAGCCTCCAGGGTTGAGAACCAAGGGAGTCAGATCAACCAGTCAGATCAACCATGTGGCTGCAAGACAGGGCAGAGAGGGGACGTCAGCCCCAGGCCCCTCCACACCTCATGTGCAGTTCTACAGCACGGGCACAGGCACTGCCTACACAGAGCCAACCTCTGAGCCCAGACCCCTCCACTGTAAAATGAGAATAAGCACTCAGGATGGTTGTGAGGATTCACTAACAGACTGAGAAGAAATGGTGACCTAGGCTGGCACATGGGACACTCCCCAAGATGCTCCTTTTTCATTTCCCTCAAGCCCAGAGTAAACCCCTTCGACCTCCTTGGGTTTCGTGACAGGCCATTCCAGTTTAATTTCACTTCAGATCTTGAAATGTCCAAATTCTTCACCTGGAGGATAGAAAGGAAATCTCAGGATAAGTTTGTTGGCCTCATTTGAAGAAAAGTACCTTATAGAAGAGCCATAAGAATGACGTGGCTTTCATTCACTCAGCAGATACATTGGGACCATCTCTTGTGCCCACCTTGAGCTTGGTTAGGGGTACAGGAGATGGGGTCGGGCACGCTGGGAACTAAGGAGGTCTGAACCCAGCCTGGGGGATGGAGGACTGCCTGGAGGTGGAGGCCAGACCTGAATGAGTCACACAGGCTAAGTGGGGAGTCAAGAGGTGCAGGCAGTTAGGCCACCACACCTGGCCGCTCATCTTTTTCAGCATTGAATAATATTCCATTGCCTGGATATGCCACATTTTATCATTCGCCCAATGAAGGATATCCTGGTTGCCTCCAAGTTTTGCAATTATGAATAAAGCAGTATAAACATCTGTGTGGAGGTTTTAGAGTATACATAACTTTTCAACTCATTTGGGTAAATACCAAGGAGCATGCTTGCTGAATCATAGGGTACGATAGCCAAACTGTCTTCCAAAAAGACTGTACCATTTTGCATCCAGCAATGAATAAGAATTCAAAGGCCTTGGCTGGGCACAATGGCTCATACCTATAATCCCAGCACTTTAGGAGGCTGAGGCGGGCGGATCACGAGGTCAAGAGATGGAGACCATCCTGGCCAACATGGTGAAACCCTGTCTCTACTAAAAATACAAAAATCAGCAGGGCGTGGTGGCTCATGCCTGCAGTCCCAGCTACTTGGGAGGCTGAGGCAGAAGAATCGCTTGAACCCAGGAGGCAGAGGTTGCAGTGAGCCAAGATCGTGCCACTGAACTCCAGCCTGGCGACAAAGTGAGACTCTGTCTTTAAAAAAAAAAAAAAGAATTCAGAGGACTTTTTGTGTAAGGAACTCACACTGTTTTATAAAAAGACAATTCAGAATTCTGGCCGAGCGTGGTGGTGCACTACTGTAATCCCAGCAATTTGGGAGGAGTGAGGTGGGGGATCACTTGAGCTCAGGTATTCAAATTAGCCAGGCATGTTGGTGCGCACCTGTAGTCCCAGCTACTTGGGAGGCGTGAGTGGGAGAATCTCTTGAGCCCAGAGGGTGGAGGCAGGCACCTGTAGTCCCAGCTACTCGGGAGGCTGAGGCAGGAGAATTGCTTGAACCCGGGAGGTGGAGCTTGCAGTGAGCCGAGATCACGCCACTGTACTCCAGCCTGGGCAACAGTACGAGACTCCATCTCAAAAAATAAAAAGTAATAATAATAATAATAATAATAATAATAATAAATCTTTAAGTTCACCAATAACAATAGATACAAAATATTCCATCAAACGGGTGGAACATCATTTACTCAACTGTTCTTGCTTTTTGAAATATTTCTCCAATGGGGTCAATTTTTAGGTTATTGGTGCATTTTGCTTTCTGACTGAGTCATCATGGTGCATCACCACAAATGGGTTATTTTTAATTGGTTTGTATTTATTTGTTTGCTTGCTTATTTAGAGACAGAGTTGTGCTCTGTTGCCCAGGCTGTAGTGCAGTGGCGCGATCTCAGCTTACTGCAACCTCTGCCTCCCAGGTTCAAGCGATCACCATGCCTCAGGCCTCCTGAGGAGCTGGGATCACAGGCACATGCCACCACGCCCAGCTAATTTTTGTATTTTTAGTAGAGACAGGGCTTCACCATGTTAGCCAGGCTGGTCTCGAACTCCTGACCTCAGGTGATCCAACCGCCTTAGCCTCCCAAAGTGCTGGAATTACAGGCGTGAGCCACCGCACCGACTGTCCCCTCCCCACACCCCGGCCCTTTTTTAAAGAGACAGGATCTCACTCTGTTGCCCAGGCTAGAGTGCAGTGGCTTGATCATAGTTTACTGCAGCCTCAAACTCCTGGGCCTCAAGTGATCCTTCCACTACAGCCTCCCAAGTAGCTGGAATCACAGGTGCTGCCACCATGCTGGGCCTAAGATTCCAGCCCTTAAGGAGCTACATCCCATCCACTGTATGTGTGTCATGGAGGCAGTGGTTGTGTCAGGGAGGGTGCTCAGTAAACCGGGACACAGACTGAATTACACAGGATTACAAATTGTGAGGAATTGTGACAGACTTTATGGGAGATGCATGGAAGTGGGTGGTTAGGGAAGGTCTCTCTGGGGAGGTGACACTTATGTTAAAACCTAGAGAATAAGAAGCCAGCCATGAAATAAGGCAAAGATAGCTGGCTTTCGGTGACTGGGTGGATGGTGGTACTGCTCAGCAGAGTGGGGACTGGGAGAAGAGGGAGGATTGAAAATTCTGCTTTATGGCCGGGTGCGGTGACTCATGCATGTAATCCCAGGACTTTGGGAGGGCTGAGGCGGGAGGATCACCTGAGGTCGGGAGTTCGAGACCAGCCTGACCAACATGGAGAAACCCCTTCTCTACTAAAAATACAAAATTAGCCAGGCGTGGTGGCGCATGCCTGTAATAATCCCAGCTACCTGGGAGACTGAGGCAGGAGAATCGCTTGAACCTGGGAGGCGGAGGTTGCAGTGAGCCAAGATCACACCATTGCACTCCAGCCTGGGCAACAAGAGCAAAACTCCATGTCAAAAAAAAAAAGAAAAAAAAAAAGAAAATTCTACTTTGACCAGACATGTTAATTTAATTTTTTTAGGCAGAGTCACTCTGTCACCCAGGCTGGGATGCAGTGGCCTAATCTTGGCTCACGGCAACCTCTGCCTCCCCAGTTCAAGCTACTGTCTCGGCCTCCCAAGTAGCTGGAATTACAGGTGTGTGCCACCACACCAGGCTAATTTTTTGTATTTTTAGTAGAGATGGGGTTTTGCCATGTTGGCCAGGTTAGTCTTGAACTCCTGACCTCAAGTGATCCGCCTGCCTCAGCCTCTCAAAGTGCTGGGATTGGCCGGGCGTGGTGGCTCACGCCTGTAATCCCGGAACTTTGGAAGGCCAAGGCAGGCGAATCAGGAGGTCAGGAGATCGAGACCATCCTGGCTAACATGGTGAAACCCCGTCTCTACTAAACACACACACACACACACACACACACACACACACAAAGTGCTGGGATTACAGGCGTGAGCCACCACGCCCATCCAGACATGTTACATTTCAGATCAGTGGTTACCCAAGTGGAGATCAGGAACCTGGAGTGCTGGTGACTTAGTACTGGGAGTCATGGGATACAAATGGCATTTAAAATTAGGAGCCTAGGCAAGATTACCCTGGGCCTGAGTGTAGCTAGGGGCCCAAGGTACTGATCTGACCCAAGGGAAGGGTCTGGCAGAAGAGACGGAAGGGATCAGGTAGGGCTTTGGACCTCTAGGCTTGATGGCCACCTGCTGCTGGGCCTCCGAGGGGCCTGGAGGCGGTGGGGACCGAATATGCAGAGAGAATGAGAAGTGAGCGAGTAGAACGAGAGTGGTACATGGCTTTGAAGGCATCTGCCACGGAGGCGGGAAGGGATGGGGTGGAGGCTCATGAGACTTGAAGCTCTAGGAGGACGTTGAAAAAGACCTGAGCGCTGGCCGGGCGCGAAGCCTCAGGCCTGTAATCCCAGCACTTTGGGAGGCCAAGGCGGGAGGACTGCTTGAGCTCAAGAGCTCCAGACCAGCCTGGGCAACATTGTAAGAGCCTGTCTCTACAAAAAATTAACAAATTAGCCGGGTGTGGTGGTGCGTGCCCGTAGCTACTCGGGAGGCTGAGGTGGGAGAATCGCTTGAGCCTGGGAGGTCGAGGCAGTAGTGAGCTGTGATTGTGCCACTGCACTCCAACCTGGGCGACAGAGCGAGACCCTGTCTCGAAAATAAATAAATAAGACCTGAGAACCCAGTATGGGAATGGCCCTGAGCCGTGGCTAGGGGGGTAGACAAGGCGGTCCAGACAGACCCCTCAAGAAGATGGGGCTTCGAGGCTGAGGGAGCTCGGCCCCGAAAAGACGCCTGCGGGAGATGGCACACCTAGCTAGGACCCCATACTGGGCAGGCGATCCTTCCGAGCATGAGCACCTGGCGCTAGCGAACCACAATTCCCAGCACGCCAGGCGCCCGTTTCCGGGGCGCGCCGCGGAACCCGGAAGTGGTCACGGAACTCGGCTGCGGCTCCATGGTCTGAGTTGTCAGCCGTTGTTTTTTCGTGCTCGCTAGTCGCCGCCGCCGCTCCGCCATGGGGAAGCGACAGCACCAAAAGGACAAAATGTAAGTTGAGCCGCAGTCGGGAGCGGCGCTCCACTCTGCCTCAGTGAACCGCCTGTCCCGCACTGCGCGCCGCTCGCCTTCCCTCTCAGCTACTCCCCAGAGCACAGCCCAAAGGTCACTTCCTCCCGGAAGCTGCCGCCCTGTCTCCAGTCAGGGTAATGACCCTCGGGCCGCCGCGCTCTCCCGGGGCCGCGGCTCCGATGACGTCAGCTGCGGGCTCGAGCGCAGCCCGGTTTTCCTTACTCTGGTTCTGCCCGGACCGTCCCCCGTCTGTTCGCGAGTTTCGCCCTTGAATGAGTAGTCTCTACCTCTTCCGTACTTCACGTCTCGCTGTGTTCTGGTTCATGCCTATCAGCCTGCAAACGTGCTGCAGAGCCTTCTAATTTAAAGCAAACCAGGTCGGGCGCAGTGGCTCACCTGTAATCACAGCACTTTGGGAGGCCGAGGCGGGCGGATCACCTGAGGTCAGGAGTTCAAGACCAGCCTGGCTAATACGGTGAAACCCCGTCTCTACTAAAAATACAAAAATTAGCGGGGCGTGGTGACGGGCGCCTGTAATCCTAGCTATTTGGGAGGCTGAGGCAGGGGAATCGCTTGAACCCGGGAGGCGGAGGTTGCGGTGAGCCGAGATCGTGTCACTGCACTCCAGCCTGGGCGACAGAGCGAGACGCTGTCTCAAAAATAATAAATAAAATTTAAAAATCCACCCGTGCCCCGTGCCCCACGTCCCACGTTCCCCTCCCGCTGCCGCCGTGTTGTTTCTCTTAAGAACAAGTGAGAGACTAGTGGCTTCATGCTGTTTTCTGAGTCTCTTGAAACCACTCAAGTCAGAATTTCGACCCCAGAACTGTTGGGCTTCTCAACAGTATGTCACACCGTTGACCACTCCCTCTTTCTGAAGCCCTCCTTTGGTATCTGGGATTTCACCTGCTCTTTGTTTTCTCTCGACTTCAGCGGCCTCTCTTTTCAGGTTCCCAGCGACTTCTTGTTGCTAAATATAGTATTCAATCCTCAGTCCTCATTTTTTTTTTTTTTTTTTTTTGAGACGCAGTTTCGCTCTTGTTGCCCAAGCTAGAGTGCAATGGTGAGATCTTGGCTCACCGCAACCTCCGCTTCCCGGCTTCAAGAGATTTTCCTGCCTCAGCCTCCCGAGTAGCTGGGATTACAGGCATACGCCACCATGCCCAGCTAATTTTGTATTTTTAGTAGAGAAGGGGTTTCTCCATGTTGGTCAGGCTGGTCTCGAACTCCTGACCTCAGGTGATCCACCTGCCTCGGCCTCCCAAAGTCCTGGGATTACAGGCGTGAGCCACCGCGTCTGGGCAGCCTCAGTCCTCATTTTGTTGGGCTTCTCAACAGTATGTCCCACTGTTGACCACTCCCTCCTTCTGAAGCCCTTCTTTGGTATCTGGGATTTCACATGCTCTTTGTTTTCCATCGACTTCAGCGGTCTTTCTTTTCCCAGTCTCCTTTCTGGACCCTCCTCCCTTCTCTCAGATCTCATACGTTTCTTTTCCATAAACATTCTCTGTGGGTGATATAATTTCCCAGTCATCTATAAGCTGCTTTCCCCAGTCTTGTGTAGTTAGTGGCTTACTTAATATCTCCACTGGAGGACTGAAAGACATCTCAAATTTTTTTTTTTTTTTTTTTTTTTTTTTTGAGATGGAGTCTTGCTCTGTCGCCCAGGCTGGAGTGCAATGGTGCCGTCTTGGCTCACTGCAACCTCTACTTCCCACATTCAAGCAATTCTCCCACCTCAGCCTCCCCAGTAGCTGGGATTATAGGTGCCTGCCACCATGCCCATGCTAATTTTTGTATTTTTAGTAGAGACAGGTTTTCACTATGTTGGTCAGGCCGGTCTCGAACTCCTGACGTCGAGTGATCGACCTACCTCTGCCTCCCAAAGTGCTGGGATTACAGGCGTGAGCCACCGTGCCGGGCCAGACATCTCGAATTTAATATGCCTTAAACAGAACTCTTGATTTTCAGCTCTTGAGCCTGCTCCTCCCTGTAAACTAAAAATAAAACCCTAAGTCCCCCCACTGGCTAAGCAGACACCCTTGTGGCCAAGAGAACCCCAGGAAAACCTTAAAACTGAGTTCCTGGCCATGATGGGATAGAGATCAGCTGTGCCTTGTTATATCCCCCTCCCTTTTGTGGCTTAGACACAACAACTGACCAGCATTAATGTTGAAATAGAGATCATAAGGGGCCAGGCACGGTGGCTCACACCTGTAATCCCAGCACTTTGGGAGGCTGAGGCGGGTGGATCACCAGGTCAGGAGATCGAGACCATCCTGGCTAACACGGTGAAACCCCATCTCTACTAAAAATACACAAAAAAATCAGCTGGGCGTGGTGGCAGGCGCCTGTAGTACCAGCTACTCGGGAGGCTGAGGCAGGAGAATGGCGTGAACTCACGAGGTGGAGCTTGCAGTGAGCCGACATTGCACAACTGCACTCCAGCCTGGGCAGCGAGCAAGACTCCGTCTCAAAAAAAAAATAAATAAAATAAATAAAAATAAAGAAATAGAAATCATAAGATTGACAAAACAGACTCTTTGTGGCAATAAGATACCATTTTTTTTTTTTTTTGAGACGGAGTCTCGCTCTGTCGCCCAGGCTGGAGTGCGGTGGCATGGTCTCCGCTCACTGCAAGCTCCGCCTCCCGGGTTCATGCCATTCTCCTGCCTCAGCCTCCCGAGTAGCTGGGACTACAGGCGCCTGCCACCACGCCCGGCTAATTTTTTGTATTTTCAGTAGAGACGGGGTTTCACTGTGTTAGCCAGGATGGTCTCCATCTCCTGACCTGGTGATCCGCCCGCCTCGGCCTCCCAAAATGCTGGGATTACAGGTGTGAGCCACCGTGCCTGGCCCTCTATTTTTTTTTTTTTTTTAGTAGAGACTGGTTTCACCGTGTTAGCCAGAATGGTCTCCATCTCCTGACCTCGTGATCTGCCCGCCTTGGCCTCCCAAAGTGCTGGGATTATAGGCGTGAGCCACCTTGCCCGGCCGGTTTTTTTTGTTTTTTGTTTTGTTTGTTTTTGAGACAGAGTCTCCCCCGTCCCCCAGGCTGGAGTGTAGTGGTGCTGTCACAGCTCACTGCAGCCTCAACCTGCCTTCCTGCCTTAGTCTTTGGAGTAGCTGGGACCACAGGTGTGAGCTGTCACACCTGGCTAAGTTTTAAATTTTCTTGTAGAGACAGATTCTCGCTTTGTTGCCCCAGCTGTTCTCCAACGCCTGGACTCAAGCAATCTTCCTGCCTTGGCCTCCCAAACTGTTGGGATTATAGGTGTGAGCCACTGTGCCTGGTCTCCATGTCTGTTGTGTTTATCACTGTGTGGCTGACATATAGTAGGTGTTTTTTTGTTTGTTTGTTTTTTTGAGACAGAGTCTCACTCTGTCACCCAGGCTGGAGTACAGTGGTGTGATCTTGGCTGACTGCAACCTCCGCCTCCCGGGATCAAGCAATTCTCTGCTTCAGCCTCCCGAGTAGCTGGGATTACAGGCACCCACCACCATGCCCAGCTAATTTTTGTATTTTTAGTAGAGACGTGGTTTCACCATGTTGGCCAGGCTTGTCTTAAACTTCTGACCTCTAGTGATTCGCCTGCCTCGGGCTCCCAAAGTGTTGGGATTACAGGCGTTAGCCACCGTGCCCGCCCCATAGTAGGTATTTAGTAAGCATTTGCTGAGTAAGCAAAGATTACTCACTTCCAAAGACTTCGTCCTCTTTATAAAGGTGGTGGTGGTAGCATTATCTTCCTCTCTTCTTCAGGTACATTACCTGTGCTGAATACACTCACTTTTATGGTGGCAAGAAGCCAGGTAAGGCATGCAGTCTTTCTGTTCCCCGTTGGGGGAGTGGTATTAAGGAACTGTGTCTTCAGGATACAGTGAGCTGTAAAAATAGACAACAAGAACACGGAAACTATGGTAGACGAATGGGCTGAGGACACAGTTCATGAAAGAGAAATATACTCAAGATAGAAGAACCTGCTTCATCTTAGTGGTGATTTTTGTAAAATGTAATTTAAAATATTCCCCGATGCTGGGAGCTAAGTAAAAAATAAATAAGTAAATGAAATACAAAATTACATGTACATTTAAATGTTTTTTCTCTATCAAGTTTATAAGGAATAAAAAGAATGATAATATTTTCAGCTGTCAAAACTATCAAGACTACAATAACAAGAGCACTGTCATAATTTTAATGGAAGTAAAAAGTATGCACTTTTCCCAGTAAGTTCTTTTTTGATGTACCCCAAGTGTTTTGGTTTATCTGTTAAAAGGTTTTTAATCCACAGCAATTGCTGTACTTAAAAATTTGCATGAACTTTTTCATAAGCTGTAACTGAATTGCTAGCAGGTGCACATAGATGAAATACTTTACAGAGTAAGATTTCTGTTTTTTATTTCATTTTTAAACAGATCTCCCACAAACAAATTTTCGTCGTTTACCTTTTGACCACTGCAGGTAAGAGTTTTGCGAGTTTACCTTTCCCTTGTAATTGTTCTCTGATCCTGTCTGATAGTGAATCTGCCCCTTGTGGATGTGGGGTTATGCGTAAAAGTGTGCCTTGAAGATGTGGCCCTTCAGTTCATGTTGGGAGAAGATGCAGAGTCCTCGTCATGATGTTAGGAGCTTGCCTTGGTGTTGGATCCTGCTCTAGACCTTCACCAGGGGTGGCACAAACACTATTGTAGTTGGAGGAGAAGGTTGGTGAGAGAGGGAGGTGGCCAGGCTGCCCAGAGAGGGCTCCCTGGGACAGCATTTCAGGAGGTCACCATGCCAGTCTCAGCCAGCCCACATCCTGACCAGGGTGCGTGGCAACTCACCAGGAATGACTGTCCTTTTTCAGTCTCTCTCTGCAGCCCTTTGTCTACCCAGTCTGCACTCCCGATGGCATCGTCTTTGACTTACTGTGAGTTTTTCCTTGAATTTTGATCTAACAAATGTGAGATTCTCAACACCCATTAAGGAAGGGGACCCTTGGTACCCTTGGGTAGGGCTCTTGGGCACACAGAAGTAACAGCTAGGGCCTTGGGGACATGGCAGCAATGCTGCTGTGACCCTTGGGCAGGCAGCTCTAGTTGTCAGGTACTGCTGTCACTGCCTGGAATGGGGTAGACCACCCCCTACCCCTCCAAGTGCAGGCATGAGCCACTGCACCTGGCCTGAAAATGAATTTTTAGGAAATTTCAGCCTTATTTTAGAAAAAGAAAATTTTACCACAGTCCCACTATCCAAGATAACCACTGTAAATATGCTAATTTTTTGTGAACTTATTTGTAGTAACATGATTGAGATAACACTGTGAACACTGTGAAGTGTTGACAGGTAACACTCTGTGGATCTATTTATTCACTTGGTTGTGATGAGAGCTTTTTTCCCCGTGTGATTCAGAATTCTCTGAAAGTATAGTTTTTCTTTGTTCTTTTCTTTTTTTTTTATTTGAGACAGGGTCTCACTATGTTGCCCAGGCTGGTCTTGAACTCCTGCGCTGAAGCAGTCCTTCCACCTCAGCCTCCTGAGTAGCTGAGATTTCAGGCACACACCATCACCATGCCTGGCTTGAAAGTATAGTTTTTGATGCTAGCTTAGTATTTAATTATACAGATGTATCAACATTTATGACGGAGTGGTGGCTTATGTCTGTAGTCCCAGCACTTTGGGAGGCTGAGGCAGGAGGATCTCTTGAACCCAGGAGTTTGAGACCAGCCTGGGCAACATGGTGAGAACCTGTGTCTACAAAAAAGTGCAAAAATTAGCCAGCCATGGTGGTGTGCACCTGTAGTCCCAGCTACTTGGAAGCTGAGGTGGGAGGATCGCTTGAGCCCAGGGGTTGGAGGCTGCAGTGAGCCATGACTGAAACACTGCACTCCAGCCTGAGTGACAAGGCGAAACCTTGTCTCAAAGAAAAAAAACCCAAACCATTTACTTACTCATTTTCACCTGTAGTTTTTGTTGTTTATACATAACTACAGTAATAACTCTGAACATATTTTGAAACCTATGTATCCACAAATATCCCCCAACTTCCTGAGACAAGATGAGGAGCTCTTCCTCTCCTAAAGTGAAGCAAGACCCCTTCACAGGCCTCTAACCTGGAAGCAGCCCTGCAAGACCACAGTGTTGTTACCAGGTGGCGCCTAAGCACCCTGGTGATGCTTTCTGTTCTGTCTTCCCTTCAGGAACATTGTTCCATGGCTTAAGAAGTACGGGACCAACCCCAGCAATGGAGAGGTAGGTGGCTGTGCAGGAGTTTCAGTGATGCTAGTGAATGCTATCCTCTCACTTCTCCTTTTGTTCTGGTGGTTTTCATGAACACAGGAACATGGGAGAGAACCGTTCATGGGGCCCAGTGAGGAGGGACAGTCTTCCCCTCCTCTCCCCACACCCATTCTTTTCCAGAAATGCTTCCGGCCTGTGCACGTGTATATATGTGCATGTCTTTTCTTGGGCCATAGCTGTGACCTCGTCTTAACTTGATTCTATCTGCAAAGACCCTATATAAACCTTTGATTATATCCAAGTCAGGCCACATTCACAGGTTCCCAGTGAGCATCAGTTTTGTGGGGACATTATGCAGCCTGGTTCCGAGGGAGATCTAGTGTATTTTACCAGTGACCTTGCCCTTCCTGTTGGAATTACTTGCATGTATTCCTCCACCTCTTTCCTATGGCCTGGGGCAAGAGCTCAAACTGTGCGAGACGGAGGGTCGGGACTCCGGTGGGCTCCCTGTGCTGGAGCCGCTGGGAGGGAGCTCCCTGGACAATATGACCCTCCCTACCGGGCCAGCAGGAGAAGCTGGCAGCCCATCTGTCTCAGCTCTTCTGGCCCTTGTGGTGTTCTGGGGGCTGCAGGGTTCTGGGGACTCTTTGTAGATGGAGTTGGTGCTCCTCCAAGGCTTCCCTGCTCTCCAGTACAAGGGGAACTTGGCCAGGGGGCTGGTTTTTGAGTGTTCTTGGACCAGCGACTAAAGCCCGTGGCTTTTCTCTTTCAAATGCTTGGGTAGGGGGCTTGTGGCCTCACCTCCTTAGGGAGGGCACTCTTCTTCCTTGGTCTTTGTCACTTGAAGACTGTTTCTGTGATGTCTGCTGCTGGGAGCCACATTGGATCCCAGGGGCTTCCCCCAAGGTCCGTGCCCCAGTCTGGGAAGTCATTCTCTGTTGCTCTTCTCAGCAGAGGTCCCTGCTGCCTGCCTGTGCCCTGTGTGGCTGGGTGTCGGCCTCAGGGAGCAGCCTGGTGGCAAGGTGGGGGTAGGTGGGGTTTTCCTGTCCACAGCTGCCCTCATGGCCCCTGCTGTCCCAGTGGATTCTGTCATTTGGTTGCAGCTGGGATGCATTTTGCTACTTTGGGTGTTTTGCTTCACAGGTACTCTTTGGGGTTCCCAAACTTGTCGATTGTGCTGGCCCCCACACCCACAAAGTCTGATCTGGCAGTTAGCCACGCTGTTAGGGCTTACATCAGGGAGGTGTGGCCATTTCTTTGTTCCAGGCATCATGTTGGGGTGAGTCTGCAGGAGCGCCCTACACGTCTTTATCCTGTGCCTGCGCCTCTCCCTTGGCCTGCTCTGGAAGGGACCTTGCTGTGTGCTTGCTTGGCCAGACCTATGGGTGTCAGCAGAGCCTTGCTAGCCAAACCTCTGAGGAGAGTTCCTGGGCCAAGGGCTGGCTGGCCCATGTGACTTTTGGGGGCTCAGGAGGAGCCTGTTGTGTTGGGGAGTCTCTCTGCTCAGGTCCTGTGTCTGAATAGGGACCCTGCTGGCCCTCTGGTGGTCTCCTCCACACCTGTAGTGATGTAGGGAGGTGGGGGTAGTTGAATGACAAAGGAAGGAACGAAGGTGGTTAGAGGAGCAGATGCGGTCAGTTGGGTTGGCCAGCAGCAGGCAGGGCCCACGGAGGGCGGGGAGGGCAGCTTAAGGACCTGCTGCCAGCTTAGGGCCCAGCCCCAGGAGGCTCCCGCTGTGTCTCCCCTGGGCCTGGGTAGGCATAGCTGGGCCCAGCCCACACCAGGTGGCAGCAGCTGCTGGATTGTGGCCCTGAGTGAGGTGCTCCCCAGCAGCACATAGCTCTGCCTCCCTTCCAGGGTCTCCCCACAGCCCCGCCCCCAGCAGTTCCCACCTCCGGTTGTCCAGACTTTGTTTTATGGGAAAGTTTGCTGTGGAAGAGCTGTACTGCAGACACACCACAGAAACTGAAAACATTACCTGCCACCTGGGGTAGGGGAAATAAGAAAAAAGAAAAAACATCCAGAAACAGAAAAATAGAGTCCCATCTTCCCAACACAACCATTCTTAGCATTGGAGTGTATTTCTTACTTTCTCCCCACTTTTAATGTTTTGTTTTTCTTAAATATTCATATGACAGAGCACTTTGGGAGGCTCAGGTGGGCAGATCATGAGGTCAGGAGATTAGCCTGGTGTGGTGGCGTGTGTCTGTAGTCCTAGCTACTCGGGAGGCTGAGGCAGGAGAATCACTTGAACTAGGGAGTGGGAGGTTGCAGTGAGCTGAGATGTTGCCGCTGTACTCCAGCCTGGTGACAGAGAGGGACTCTGTGTGTCCCACCACTCTAGCTGAAGAAATATGTTCACTTTTTAATTTTAGAAGTAATCTGTGCTCACCATAAAGACGTCCAAACCCTGCAGAAGTATAACACACACCACCCTGTGGCCTGGTCCTCCTGCTCGGGGTCACCCGTGACGGCTCTTCTCAGAGCGTGGTGGGGGTGCCACATAAACACAACTGCCCGACGCCATCCTGCAGCCCCCGTGAGGTCCTTGCAGGGTCTTGGGGCCTTCCCTTTTGTCCAGAGCTGCACAGGGTTGGCCTAGTCAGAGACTTTTCCTGCCTGTCTCTGACCCTAGCATCTCTGTGCATCAGTTACTTATTCATTATCATTAATTATTAACTGTGCTTCTTCCAGAAGCTGGACGGGAGGTCCCTGATCAAGCTGAACTTTTCCAAGAACAGTGAGGGTGAGTGGAACTATCACAGCCAATTCTGGGCTTGACCTGCAGACCCAAGGGCCCAGCTCTCACCAGTTTTCATACGGAATCAGTCATTGCTTTCTGACCAAGCTAGACACCTGCTTTTAATTCCGCAAAAAGTGTCACAGGGCTGGGCACGGTGGCTCACACCTGTAAACCCAGCAGTTTGGGAGGCCGAGGCGGATGGTTCACGAGGTCAAGAGATTGAGACCATCCTGGCCAACATGGTAAAACCCCGTTTCTACTAAAAATACAAAAATTAGCCGGGCATGGTGGCGGGCGCCTGTAGTCCCAGCTACTCGGGAGGCTGAGGCAGGAGAATCACTTGAACCCAGGAGGCAGAGGTTGCAGTGAGCCAAGATGGTGCCACTGCACTCCAGCCTGGCAACAGAGCGAGACTCTGTCTCAAAAAAAAAAGGTGTCACAAGATTTCTTCTCAAAGGTCTGGGTAGTTTTAAGGTGGGGGAGGTTGGGGGCAGAACCTGTGGTGTTGGGAACTTCCCACAAAGGCGATCAGGCCATTGTAAGCTGCTAGTGGCCTTTGTGGGCACAGTTGGATCTGCAGGGCATGGGCCCCCTCTGGCTGAGGCTGTGGTCTGTTTGTTGTTGGAGGCAGAAGTTGCTCATGCTGGGAACCAAGGCGGCAGCTGAGTAGGGGATGTGGGTGGTCTGGAGGGATTTGTCCAGTAGCTCTTGGGCTAGGCTTTTCTTTGCCACAGCTCATAGAGCCCAGCCCAGTGCTGCGGCTCCTGCTTCATGCCCATTACACACCTTCCGCTGTTCTTGTGGCCAGAGGCCCGGATGAGTTGTGCAGCCCACCCCTGCCCAGGTGGTGATCTTGTGCTAGGTTCTAGTCCAGGTCTTTTGCCTGTGGAGATGCTATGGCTTAGGGGTTGTCCTTGCTTACTGGGTGCATGCATTCCAGGGAGATGCTGTAGCACCTGAGGCCAAGGCCCTTTTGCCCCGCTTGTCTGAGCCCAGAGCCCGGTCCCCAGTCGGTGCAGCATTCGCAGGTGAATGAATGGGTGAACCTCAGCACGTCATTGACGTCGGTGGAGGACACGGCGCTCCACCCTGGTGGCCGAGGGTGGGCTGCCTCCCCTCCTGTGATCAGCAGTGTGTGTGTGTGTGTGTGTGTGTGTGTGTGTGTGTCTCATTCAGCAAATATTTATTTATTTATTTTGTGTGTGTGTGTGTGTGTGTGTGTGTGTGTTATTGTTTATTTTTTATTTCTCCAAACCTCTTTTTTTTTTTATTGATCATTCTTGGGTGTTTCTCACAGAGGGGGATTTGGCAGGGTCATAGGACAATAGTGGAGGGAAGATCAGCAGATAAACAAGTGAACAGAGGTCTCTGGTTTTCCTAGGCAGAGGACCCTGCGGCCTTCTGCAGTGTTTGTGTCCCTGGGTACTTGAGATTAGGGAGTGGTGATGACTCTTAACTAGCATGCTGCCTTCAAGCATCTGTTTAACAAAGCACATCTTGCACCGCCCTTAATCCATTTAACCCTGAGTGAACACCGCACATGTTTCAGAGAGCACAGGGTTGGGGGTAAGGTCATAGATCAACAGCATCCCAAGGCAGAATTTTTCTTAGTACAGAACAAAATGGAGTCTCCTATGTCTACTTGTTTCTACACAGACACAGCAACAATCTGATTTCTGTATCTTTTCCCCACATTTCCCCCTTTTCTATTCGACAAAACCACCATCGTCATCATGGCCTGTTCTCAATGAGCTGTTGGGTACACCTCCCAGATGGGGTGGCAGCCGGGCAGAGGGGCTCCTCACTTCCCAGAAGGGGCGGCCGGGCAGAGGCGCCCCTACCTCCCGGACGGGGCGGCGGCCAGGCGGGGGCTGCCCCCCACCTCCCTCTTGGACGGGGCGGCTGGCCGGGCGGGGGCTGCCCCCCACCTCCCTCCCGGACGGGGCGGCTGCCGGGCGGAGACGCTCCTCACTTCCTAGACAGGGCGGCTGCCGGGCAGAGGGGCTCCTCGCTTCTCAGACGGGGCGGCTGCCGGGCGGAGGGGCTCCTCACTTCTCAGACGGGGCGGCCAGGCAGAGACACTCCTCACCTCCCAGATGGGGTTGCAGCCAGGCAGAGGCGCTCCTCACATCCCAGACGATGGGTGGCTGGGCAGAGACGCTCCTCACATCCCAGACAGGGTGGCGGCCGGGCAGAGGCTGCAATCTCGGCACTTTGGGAGGCCAAGGCAGGCGGCTGGGAGGTGGAGGTTGTAGCTAGCCGAGATCACGCCACTGCACTCCAGCCTGGGCAACATTGAGCACTGAGTGAACGAGACTCCGTCTGCAATCCCGGCACCTCGGGAGGCCGAGGCTGGCAGGTCACTCGCGGTTAGGAGCTGGAGACCAGCCTGGCCAACACAGCGAAACCCCGTCTCCACCCAAAAAATACGAAAACCAGTCAGGCGTGGCGGCGCGCGCCTGCAATCCCAGGCACTCGGCAGGCTGAGGCAGGAGAATCACGCAGGGAGGTTGCAGTGAGCCGAGATGGCAGCAGTACAGTCCAGCTTTGGCTCGGCATCAGAGGGAGACCCTGGGGAGCGGGAGCGGGAGAGGGAGAGGGAGGGACAGCAAATATTTATTGAGTGCCTGCCATGTGCAGAGAGCACAACAGGCTGTGTCTCTCCTGAATGAGAGGAGCATGCATTCTGGTGGGGGAGAACACCAGAGAGCAGCTCAGCAGGGTGTGCCAGAGGCTGCTTGTGTGTGTAGAGCACAGCAGGGGGAGGGGAGAGGGCCGCCCTGACCCGCTGCAGGGAGGGAGAGCCGTGTGGGCATCGGGGGAGTGCAGGGCCAGGCTGATGGCACAGCCAGTGCAAAGACCCTGAGGTGGGCGCACGCTCAAGGGTGTCTGTGCCCAGCTGGGAGTCCAATGTGGCTGGAACAGCGTGTGCTAGCGGTGGAAGCAGGGGATGTGGTGACAGAGGTCAGGGGTGGGGATGGTGTGCAGAGCAGTCCTGTGGGGCCTGGGAGCCACAGGAGGACTTGGGCTTCCGCTCCAAGATGAGAGCCACTGAGGGAGGAATGAGGTCCAGCCTTTTTTTTTCTTTTAAAACTTTGACCTGGCAGTCAGCTTCTTTTGTTGTGTTTCCTTTTTTCTTTTGAAATGAGGTCTCTGTCACCCAGGCTGGAATGCAGTGGCACAGTCTCAGCTCACTGCAACCTCTGCCTCCTGGGCTCAAGAGATCCTCCCACCTCAGCCTCCCAAGTAGCTGGGACTACAGGCACCACCACTGCACCCAGCTAGTTTTTGTGTTTTTTGTAGAGACGGGGTTTCACCATGTTGGCCAGGCTGGTCTCGAACTCCTGGGCTCAAGTGATCCACCTGCCTCAGCCTCCCAAAGTGCTGGGATTACAGGCGTGAGCCACTGCGCCCCACCTGTTTCTTTGTTAATTGGAATTCCCCGTGCGTGAAAGTGGAGTGAGGAGGTGTGATACGCCTCCCCTGTGCCCATCATCAACTCCAGCCCCTGCTGTCTCCCATCTGTGCAGTTCTGTCTTTGCTCCCACCAGTACCCCCTTGCATGATGCTGAAGCCCCAATTTAAAAAACAGTTTTCACATCAGAAGGATTTTTGTTTGTTTGTTTGTTTTTGAGACATGGTCTTGCCCTGTTGCCCAGGCTGGAGTGTAGTGGCATGATCAGAGCGCACTGTTGCTTCGACCTTCCAGGACCAAGTGCTCCTTCCACCTCAGTCTCCCAAGTAGATGGGACCACAGGCATGTACTACCATGCCCAGCCAATTTTTTTTTTTTTTTTTTTTGAGATGGAGTTTCGCTCTTGTTCCCCAGGCTGGAGTGCAATGGCGTGATCTCGGCTCACTGCAACCTCCGCCTCTTGGGTTCAAGCGATTCTCCTGGCTCAGCCTCCCGAGTGGCTGGGATTACAGGCATGTGCCACCACACCTGGCTAATTTTGTATTTTTAGTAGAGACGGGGTTTCTCCATGTTGGTCAGGCTGGTCTCAAACTCCCGACCTCAGGTGATCCTCCCGCCTCTGCCTCCGAAAGTGCTGGGATTACAGGTGTGAGCCACCGCGCCCAGCCCCAGCTACTTTTTTAATTTTTATTTTTGTAGAGATGAGGTTTCCCTATGTCACCCAGGCTGGTCTTGAAGTCCTGGGCTCAAGTGATCCTCCCGCGTCAGCATCCCCCCACCAAAAAAAAACAGCTGGGCACCATGGTTTACGCCTGCAATCTCAGCACTTTGGGAGGCCAAGGTGGGAGGATTGCTTGAGCCCAGGAGTTCAAGACCAGCCTGGGCAACATAATGAAACCTTGTCTCTACAAAATGAAACCTAAAAATTAGCCAGTGTGGTTGAGCACACCTGTAGTCCCAGCTACTTGGGAGGCTGAGGTGGGAGGATTATTGGAGCTTGGGAAGTTGAGACTGCGTGAGCTGTGATTGCGCCACTGCATTCCAGCCTGGGTGATAGAGCTAGACCCTGTCTCAAAAAACAAAACAAAACAAAAAAACGGGGTCTCAGCCTATCGCCTAGGCTGGTCTCAAACTCCTGACCTCAAGCAATCCTCCCACCTTGGCCTCCCAAAGCACTGGGACTAGAGGTGTGAGCCACCTCTAACTTGAGGCTCTAACTAATTTGAGGCTCTAACTTGGCCTCAAATCAGGATTTTTTTTAAGAAAAAGTCCCCACAAGGCCAGGTGCGGTGGCTCACGCCTGTAATCCCAGCACTTTGGGAGGCCAAGGTGGGCAGATCACGAGATCAGGAGATCGAGACCATCCTGGCTAACACGGTGAAACCCCGTCTCTACTAAAAAAATACAAAAAATTAGCCGGGCATGGTGGCGGGCGCCTGTAGGTCCCAGCTACTCAGGAGGCTGAGGCAGGAGAATGGCGTGAACCCGGGAGGCGGAGCTTGCAGTGAGCCGAGGAGATCATGCCACTGCACTGCAGCCTGGGCAACGGCAAGACTCTGTCTCAAAAAAAAAAAAAAAGAAAAAGTCCCCACAAATACATGTGGTTGATGTTTCTGAGTCCCCCTACTGCACTTACTTTTTTATCCCCAGAAGTGGGCACTTTGACAGGGCCCCTGGCCACTGGGTGGGGACTTACAGGCAGAGAGACAGTAACCAAGGCCAGGTGCAGTGGCTCATGCCTGTAATGCCAGCACTTTGAGAGGCTGAGGCAGGCAGATGACTTGAGGTCAGGAGTTCGGGACCAGTCTGGCCAAGGTGGTGAAACACTGTCTCTACTAAAAATACAAAAATTAGTCGTACATGGTGACGCATGCATGCCTGTAGTCTCAGCTACTCCGGAGGCGGAGGCAGCAGAATCGCTGGAACCCAGGAGATGGAGGTTGCAGTGAGCCGAGATCACGCTACTGCACCTCAGCCTGGGTGACAGAGCAAGACTCCATCTCAAAACAGAGTAAAACAAGGCCGGGTGCAGTGGCTCACACCTGTAATCCCAGCACTTTGGGAGGCCGAGGTGGGCAGATCATTAGGTCAGGAGATCGAGACCATCCTGGCTAACATGGTGAAACCCCATCTCTACTAAAAATACAGAAAAATTAGCCGGGCATGATGGCAGGCACCTGTAGTCCCAGCTACTCGGGAGGCTGAGGCAGGAGAATGGCGTGAACCTGGGAGGCGGAGCTTGCAGTGAGCCGAGATTGTGCCACTGCACTCCAGCCTGGGTGACAGAGCGAGACTCCATCTCAAAAAAAAAAAAAAAAAAAAAAAACAGAGCAAAACAAAAAAAAGACAGTAGGCAGGCAAGGGGATGGGCGGTTCTGAAGGAAGAGCTGACCAGGGGGCTGGCGGAGGATGTGGGTGAGAGGAGGTAGAGCTGTCAGGGCTGGAACATGGGTTGTTTCCTGCCGAGGGCCAACTTCAGTAGGAGGAGGAGGCTAGCATGGTGATCACCCAGGGGTGGGCTGGAGGATCTGAGGAAGACGATGCCGGGATTGGGTCTTGCAGGATGAATAGGAGTTTCCTAACGGTGTGGAAGGGCTTGAGGGGGTGAGCAGCTGTCCCCATGGTTCCCTGCTCTGGCAGCTGACATGGGGTTCCACCTCCTCCCATCGCTGACTTTGGAGTTCTGTCCTGCCCTGGCCCTCTGCGGTCCTCACTGGGATGTTCACAGCCCACAGAGGTGACTGGCCTCCCTGTGTGTGCCTTCTCTCTAGGGAAGTACCACTGCCCAGTGCTGTTTACCGTGTTCACCAACAACACCCACATCGTGGCTGTGAGGACGACCGGCAACGTCTACGCCTATGAGGTGTGTCCTCGCTCCGGGGCGTGGAGACAGCGGTGGGGAGATCTCTGCTGTGTGTTCCTAGTATACACTGGCTGGGCTGTGTGCTACGTGTACGGCCTGTCCTCGTGGGGTTTACAGTCACAGCCACAGGCATGGTCATCTAGCAAAGCTCTGGCAGTGCAGCCTCCCCATTTTCAGGCAGGTCAAAAAAAGGGTTGGGGGAGGTGCATCCTTCGGAATCCAGGCAGTCCTGGCTGCCCAGCAGGGACCCTTAAACCCCAAGAGGTCCTTCCGCGTCTTCAGCAAAGCCCAGGTGCTGGGAAGGCACCCATGTTTTGAGGACAGGCCTCTAGGGCTGTGAGGGGAGTGCTCGCCCCGGATCTGGATGGAGTCACTTGCCCCCAGGAGGGAGCTGTCCCCTGGAGGAGTTCTGGCAGGGAGTGGGTGTAGGGAGAGGGGAGACAGCCGTGTTCACACATGGGTCCTCCTCTTGGGTGAGGCGGGGCAGGCCCCACATGGCGGGAAAGCCGACCTTTGCGCCGTTGTCAATCCTGCACCTGGACGTTTGTGGGGTGTAGGTGGCCAGCGCTGCTCCAGGGGCCTTGGGAGCCACTTCTTGCCAGAAGCCTGCACAAACTGGCATGGTCAGTCCTCGTTAGTGGAGTGAGGGCTCTGCTAGACCGCACCGCAGGAGTGCAGGCATCTTGTGTGCACAGCCCCTGCCCACGGGGGCCTGGCACCATACCTGTGCATGGGAGGAGCTTGGCAAAGCCTGCAGCGAGTGGGTGGGTGACTCGCTGAGTCTTTTTGCTGATCAATGTGCAGACAAGAGCTTCCTGCAGGAAGGTTGCTGCGAGGGTGAACTGGCTCATCGTCTGAGGCCCAGCCAGCTCCGCCTCTGTGGGAGCCACTGCTTTCAGCCAGTGGGGTGTACACTGCTGTCTCTCTCATTCCTCATGCCTCTCAAATCGTGCCATGGTCGGGGCCAGCTCCAGGCCTCCCTGCTTGCAGTCCCCTGTGCCAAGGCTTGGGGCAGGCATCGTAAAACCACTTCCTCCTGGCTATAGGCAGTGGAACAGCTAAATATCAAGGCCAAGAACTTCCGGGACCTGCTGACCGACGAGCCCTTCTCCCGGCAGGACATCATCACCCTCCAGGTGAGTGTCCCCTGCCTGCCTGCCCCAGCTGCCTTCAGCACCTGCAGCCAGCCCAGGCCTCTACAGGGCCCTACCCCCACGTCAGGGCCCCTCATATCTGTCCTCAAAGCCACCTGAGGCATCTGAATAGCCACTCTGCAGGCCTGGCTCTGCTTCAGCGCCTCGAGGGCAGGAGCTGGCATGAGCTCTGCAAAGACCCTGTATCTGGCACAGGGTCCCTGCAGGTGTCAGAGAACCCCAAGTGAATTAATGAAAAACACTGACTTAGAAAAGCAGGTGCTGGCTGGAGCGTGGCCTGCTGAGTCAATCACCTCTGTGGCTTGTCCCATTCTAACCAGAGGTCGGCCCACGGCTGCCCACGTTCCGGTCCGATAGCTCCCTAACAGCAATGAATGCTCGTTAGCCATGTGCCTGGAGGAAGGTCACAGCTCAGCCAGCAGCTAGCGAGGCTGCGTCCCCGTCCCTGCCCCTGCCCCTGTTTGCTGCCCTGCCTGGGGCAGACCACCTCCTCCCTCATGCCCTGCTTGACTCCCCCAACCTCAGTGTAGCCCTGGCCTCTTCCACACCTCTGACAGCTGGCCGTCCTTTGCTGCATGTGGCTGCCATTTGGCCGTAGGCTGGGTTCACTCTGCTGGGCATTCTCTTTTTGCCACAGGACCCCACCAATTTGGACAAGTTCAATGTCTCTAACTTCTATCATGTGAAGAATAACATGAAAATAATAGACCCAGGTATGTACACCTAGGGGCTGGGCTAGGCGAGGGGGCTTTTGGATGAAATTGGGACAGTGCTCCCTGGGTAAAGCCCCCGCTTTCCTGGAGGTCAGGGGGTCCCAGCCCAGACAGGCCCTGCATTTTCTGAACTAGTGTTCAGAGAATCTGAGCCAACTGCAGCCTCAGAAACAATGGGCGGGATAGACTTGCTGCCCTGCCAGCACACCTGCTCAGGTTCCCCTGCTCCCTGCAGACTGGCCGGTGCTGTCAGTGGGCAGGTGGTGGGGTGATGGGGTCCTCCTGTTTCCCTGGCCTCTGGTGGCTGTCCTGCAGCCTTGGAGGAGCCAGCAGGACTCATGTTCAGAGGTCACTCGGCCTTGTGCTGCAGAGCAGTGGCCTGGGCACTTTGTGAGCATTGTTTGAACGGGTTTTAGGTAGGCTGAGCACGTGAACTGGGGAAGATTTGAGTCAGGAGAGCCTGAGGTCAGGGTTGGGGCTGGGCCGTGTCTGTGCTCTCTGCACAGGGATGCCGGCCCCTCTCCACAGGGTGGGCTGCTGTCCAAGGCCCAGTAGGCAGCAGGCACCCTCCTGAGTCGGCAAGAATGGGTGATTTCACATCTGGAAAGACCCCCAAACACTTCTATTATTTTAAATAAAAATAACCTTTAAAATTACAGAAGCAAAGCAACTGGGTGTGGTGGCTTATGCCTGTAACCCCAGCACTTTGGGAGGCCAAGGCAGGCGGATTGCTTGAGCTCAAGAGTTCGAGACCAGCCTGGGCAACATGGGGACACCCTGTCTCTACAAAAAATAGAAAAATTAGCTGGGTGTAGTTGGTGCGCCTGTAGCCCCAGCTACTTGGGGGGCTGAGGCAGGAGAATCGATTGAGCCCAGGAGGTGGAGGCTACAGTGAGCTGAGATCTTGCAACCGCTTTCTAGCTGGGGCGACAGAGCTAGACCCTGTCTCAAAAGGCTGGGCGCGGTGGGTCACGCCTGTAATCCCAGCACTTTGGGAGGCTGAGGCAGGCGGATCACGAGGTTACAAGATTGTAACACAAAAAAATTAGCCGGGCGTGGTGGCGGGCGCCTGTAGTCCCAGCTACTCAGGAGGCTGAGGCAGGAGAATGGCGTGAACCTGGGAGGCAGAACTTGCAGTGAGCCGAGATTGCACCACTGCACTCCAGCCTGGACGATAGAGCGAGACTCCATCTCCACAAAAAAAAAAAAAAAAAAAAAGAAAAAAAAAGCAAAGCGTATACTCTAAAAAGATTAGAATATACAGATAAATATAAAATATACAAATCAACCTGAAGTCCATCCTGAGACCCTTGTGAACTGCCTGGGGAGACCTTCAGGCCTGTAGCGGGGCACTGTGGCATTCTGTGGCTGGCAGTGGCACGGTGCCTGCGCCATGGCTGGACGGCCCTGGGCTATTCTAGATCTGTGTCCCCAGCACGTGTGTGGGGAGGCTACTGGGGGCTCGGCGGCTCAGGGCCATGCTACTGTTTTGTAGATGAAGAGAAGGCCAAACAGGACCCGTCTTATTATCTGAAAAATACAAATGCCGAGACCCGAGAGACCCTGCAGGAGCTCTACAAGGAGTTCAAAGGGGACGAGATTCTGGCAGCCACCATGAAGGCCCCGGAGAAGAAGAAAGTGGACAAGCTGAACGCTGTGAGTGGCGGAGGGCACTCGGCCAAGCCCAAGCCCCGTCTTCCTGCCCATCTCATGGCCTCTTGGAGTGGTCCTGGGAAAGGGGCTCATGGGGGCCTGGGATACACGGCAGGGAGGCAGCCAGGATCCCCCAGAGCTGTGGTGCCCCTGATGGCTCTGAGTGCACAGCCCTGGGGCTGCCCTGAGGCAGATAGAATCTGAGAAGGCAGAAGGGGAGGGGCTGATGTCCACACTGGTCGTTGAAGAACCAAGGGGTGTGTGGGGGCATGTAGGGGAGATCCCTGCCACAGAAGGTCTGCCTTGTGCTGTGGTCCCAGCCTGAGCTCAGTAGCCAGGGCAGGCACGTTGAGCGGGCACATGTGGTTCTGTGGTGGCTGGGAGGGCAGGGCCCGATGTGCACTGGGGCCCAAAGCCATGCCAGGGAGAGTTGGGGCGTTTCATGGTCTGCTGCGGTGCTGACGTGGATGGCATGCCTGGGACTGCACGGTGCCACCTGTCTGGGGCTGTCGTGTTTGCTTCTTCCTCCTGTCAGGCAGAGCATGGGGATCTGGAGCTAGGGGGAGGGCAGAGACATGGGCAGGTAGCTCTGAAGTTCTCCTTCTTAAAGAATTATTCAAATTCTGGAAAATTTGAAAAAGAAAGCTTGTTGTCCAGTGTGTCACTCCGTCTAACACACTGCCCTTAGCACTTTGATATATTACTTTTTTTTTTCTTTTGGAAACAGGATCTTGCTATGTTGTCTAAGCTGGTCTTGAATTCCTGGCTTCAAGTGAGAGCCTCCTGCCTTGGCCTCCGAAAGTGCTGGAATTACAGGTGTGAGCCACTGTGCCTGGCTTGTATTTTCTTCTGATGGGAGAAACCCCTTTTTCTTCCTCTATGATAAAAAATAACATTTATTGGGGCTTTTCCCCGACCCCTGATTAAATATGTAATGTGTTTAGTGTAGAAAGTTTGAAACTTTTAAAAAGAAATGAGGCCAGGCGTGGTGGCTCACACCTGTAATCCCAGCATTTTGGGAGGCTGAGGCAGGAGGATTGCTTGAGGCCAGGAGATCAAGACTAGGTTAGACAACATAGTGAGACCTTATCTCTACAAAAAATCAGCCAGGCGTGGTGGCATGCGCCTGTCGTCCCAGCTACTCAGGAGGCTGAGGTCGGAGGGTCACTTGAGCCCAGGAGTTGGAGGCTGCAGTGCACCAGGATCACACACCACTGCACTCCAGCCTGGGTACAGAGCAAGACCTTGTCTCATAAAAAAATTAAAATAAAAATAAATGAGAAGTCAGCCATACACTCCTAACCCTGAGGTGGCCAGTCCTGTGTGGTATTTTATCTCCAGGGTTTCACCTGATATCATAAGAGTCGGGATCCAGTGGAGGCCAGGGGACCCTGGCTTGGCCTAGCCTTGGCTTCTTCCTCCTGCTGGTTGGGGAGGCCCTCCTGGAGGAGAGGCACCAAGCAGGGCCTGGGGGGCAGGGGTGGCGTGTGGTTGGCTTCTAGGCAAGCGACACGTCCCCACCCAACTGCCTCCCATGGCACTGCTGAGGTGCCACCCTGGTTTCCTTGGCAGGCCCACTATTCCACAGGGAAGGTCAGCGCTTCCTTCACCTCCACCGCGATGGTCCCGGAGACCACACATGAAGCAGGTAGCCACCTTGGCCTCTGTAGCCACCTGCCATGTGACCCAAAAGTGGCAGGGGGTGGGTGTGCTCCCCGACTCCCACTTTATTGGTCTGTCAGGGGCTCCCACTGTCACCTGAGCCCCTAGTCCTCCCCCTCTTAGCTGCTGAACCCCTGCCAGCCCCATGAGGCTGGGGTGAGCCTGTGCGTGGCCTAAGCAGACCCTCGGCCTCCAGCTCCCCTGCTCTCCCCAGAGCTGGAGCCTAGTCCCCGCCTGTGTGTCTGAGGTCGGTGCTGCCTGGCATGGTGGGGCTGCCCCAGGGTGAGGGCAGGGGCTGAGCTGGGACCTTGGCTTGTAGCTGCCATCGACGAGGATGTGCTGCGCTACCAGTTTGTGAAGAAGAAGGGCTACGTGCGGCTGCACACCAACAAGGGCGACCTCAACCTGGAGCTGCACTGCGACCTGGTGGGTGTGGAGGCCAGCCACTCCCCATGCCCCAAGGTCATCTCTGGGTCATCTGACAGCCATGTCTTAAATATAGGGCTGCCACTGGTATGTGCTTGTTGTAGGAAATTCAGCCTGTCACTAGGCGGGACCCGCAGCAGTGCCCTGTGTCCTTCCTAGGGGGCCGCGTTGGCAGCATGGCCTGCGCACAGGTGCCAGTGTCTCAGAGAAGGGGCCAAGCCGCACCTGCTGCTCTGCCCACACTTCTCCCATGCGCTGTACTCTGGGCCGTGCGGCTGCACGGGTCCTGTTGCTTAATGTTGTGGGTCCATCCGTGCCCAGTGTGGCTGGGCAGCTGACTCTGCTACATGTTAAAGACCAGCCTGGCCAACATGGGGAAACCCGTCTCTACTAAAACTACAAAAATTAGCCAGGCATGGTGGCGCATGCCTGTAGTCCTGGCTACTCGGGAGGCTGAGGCAGGAGAATGTCTTGAACCTAGGAGGCGGAGGTTGCAGTGAGCCAAGATCGCGCCACAGCACTCCAGCCTGGGCAACAGCAAGACTCCACCTCAAAAAAAAAAAAAAAAAAAAAGCCTCCTGTGGCTGTGGTGAGCTGCCTTTGGCAGCTCTCTGCTTCATACAAGTATTGGGGCTATGTTGCAGACACCAAAAACCTGCGAAAACTTCATCAGGCTTTGCAAGAAGCATTATTACGATGGCACCATCTTCCACAGATCCATCCGGAACTTTGTGGTGAGTGACGAGAGTCACTGGCTGCACAGATGAGCTTGGTGGGACATCGGGGGCTGGGTGGGCTTGTCCCTGCCCCATCCCAGGGCCCTGGCCCATCCCACGGTGGCCAGGATGAGTCCAGTTGGTGATCCTCTGTTGGGGAACCCATAGACTGACCCTTGAGGCCCCAGCCCATCCAGAACTGGGTTCACAAAGGGAGGTGGCTGGGAGGGCCCCTCATTATCACCAAGAGCCCAGCCCCTGTGTGGAGCCATCTGGCAGGAGGGGTGTCCTTCAGTCAGGCAGGCGGTGGGCCTCGGGTCTCAGAGTGTGACTTGCTCACTGGCTTTTGTTTTCACAGATCCAAGGGGGCGACCCCACAGGCACAGGCACGGGTAGGTACTGGTGCTGGGCCCCTCTCTGGGCACTTTGGCTGCTCCGTGGGGCATGAGGGGGTAGCTGGGCAGGGGTTGTGCACAGCTCAGACATGGAATCTGCTAGACCAGGGTGGAACGACTGGCAGCCATCAGTGCTGTGCCCCCTCAGGCCTGGCCCTCAGTTTTCTCATTTCCAGGTGGCTGTGAGGCCTGCATGGTAGAGGAGGCAAGAGTGTGTGGTCTCTTCCCTGGGCCCCTGGGGTCTGCCTCAGACTGAGGCCAGCCCTCCCTCCTGCAGCCTCTCCAAGCCCCTCAGCCTGGCAGCTGCTTGGGTCCAGATCCCCCAACCTCTGTATTCCCATAGCTTGAGTGATGATGATGGTGGCCTTGACTCTTTAATCCCTGTCCCGGGGCAGGCCCCAGGCGGGGCTGGGGTGAGTGGGCAGCAGCCTGCCTGTTTGGAGGCGTGGGGGCTCCAAGGGACCCAGGAGTTGGTGGCGTGGGGCTGGGAGCCTCCCTATCAAGTGCCCCTGCCCCAGGCTGGGCTCAGCAAGGCCCTGATGCCCCTCGGGACTCTGAGGTTTCTAGTTCTGCCTCGGCTGGGGCCCAGGCTTTCCTGCTCCCATGGGCCTTTCTCTTCCAGGTGGGGAGTCATACTGGGGGAAGCCCTTCAAAGACGAGTTCCGGCCCAACCTCTCGCACACGGGCCGCGGCATCCTCAGCATGGCCAACTCCGGGCCCAACAGCAACAGGTCTCAATTGTGAGTCAGCTGGGCTTGCTGGGGTGGCCTGGGAGGTGAGCCGGCACTCTCTGCGGGTTCTTCCTCTTGGCCCTCTCTGAAGGGTGTGCTGGTTCTGAATCATACCCAGACGGTGTACGGCACACCTAGGCCAAGCATGTGCACCTGCGTTCAAAAGGGGGTCCCCAGAGTGAGTCAGCAGGGAGAGCTGCCCGCACCGGGTGTGTCCTCGAGAGACCAGAAGTCGGGAATTACTGGAGGTCCAGAAGGGCTTCTTGACAGGGACCAGGCATTCGTGTGGGTGCCTGTGGCCAGGCAGTGCTGGGGGAGGTCAGCGTGTGGGAGGGGTTGTGCAGGGCACAGGCTGCACAGGGAGAGGCGCCTGGAGAGACACAGGAGGTCTGGCCCTGGTGCATGTGGGGAGCAGTGTGCAGTCTGGTGGCAGGAGGCAGGGGATGGGGGGCCAGCAGGGCCATGCACACAGGGGCCGGATGCCTGTATTGTGGAAGAACAGAGGTGCCCTTTCCATCCCCAGACAGTGGCCTGATGTTATGTTTCAGTCTTTCAATCGTTTTCTTCACATGGGTCCTGTGACTTCCGGGATAAAGCAACCTCTTAAGGATTTTTTATAGTTTATGATACTTTTGTAAATGGACTTTTTTTTTCCCAACTTTTGGGGATCATTGCTCATGTAGAGAAAAACTACCGTTCATTTTATATCTAGCCACTTTAACAAATTATCTTATAATTCAAAAGTTTTTAAGATTTTTTTGGGTTTTCTAGATAGTCACGCTTATCACCAAAAGCTGGTCTGCTCTCTGCTTCCCTGGTGTGCACATCAGTCACGTCACCGTCACGTCACCGTGGGCCTGATGGGGGAGGAGGATGTGGGCATCTTGCTGTGCTCCACAGAAATCGCTGTTTTGCCTTCTCAGAACATTTGTTGTTGGGCTGTTTTTAGGAGGGTGGCTGACTTTTTAGAGGTTTCTTTGTTAGCATCTACTATGATGATTCTGTCCTTTTTCTGGTCCTCCCGGGATTTGTGGATGTGGCCACTACAAGGCCAGAGTGGATGGGTGTCTCCGTGGCATTCTGGGGTGAACCCTGGCCTGTCGTGGCTTCGCCGTGGCCTTCTGCCAGCTCACTGTCACACGTGGTCTCGGTTGTGTGGACTGGCTCCAGCAGGTTTTGCTGTGACAGGTGTGGCCCCTGCATGTTACGAGCAGGGCTGGCTGTGGCTTTGTGGCCTGGAATGGTTAAAATCACAGGGATGGCCAGGCGTGGTGGCTCACACCTGTAATCCCAGCACTTTGGGAGGCTGAGGTAGGTGGATTGCCTGAGCCCAGGAATTCGAGAGCAGCCTGGGCAACATGGCAAAACCCGATCTCTACAAAAAATAAAAAAAATTAGCGGGGCATGGTGGCGTGCGCCTGTAGTCCCAGCTGCTTGGGAGGGTGAGGTGGGGGGATAATCTGAGCCTGGGAAGTCAAAGCTGCAGTGAGCTAGGATCGCGCCACTGCACTCTATCCTGGGCAGCAGTGAGACCCTGTCTGGAAAAAAAAAAAAAAATCAAACGAGTCAGCTGTGCTTAACAGCTGGGCAAAGGCAGCTGGCAGCTATTCGTGCCACTTCCTTGGGGCTTTCATTTCAGGGTTAACGGGCACTTGTTTCCATGAAGGCTGGTATTCTCTTGGCCTCGCTGTGCTGACCTTTTTTTCTCATGCCTAATCACACTTTCCATTCCTCAGTCCCTTAGTGGTCTTTGAAGGGTTTGTCTGTTTTCACTTCACTTTGAAGGGTTTGTAATTGTTTTCAGTTTCTGTCTTTGCTTCTTCATGGTGCTTTTCCTCCTTCCTCACTTTAATCCATGTGTGTTTCTGATAGCCACGTCTGTCATTTTGAGGGTGCATGTTCCCTCTTCACTGCTTGCTGGTTGTTGGTAGCTTCCCTTTCAATTTCTTCTCAGCCAAGGATTGCCTAGGACTGTTGGTTATTTTCAAGTAGGTTGGGTGCGTGGTTTGTTTTTGTTGTTTGGCAGGGGCCAGGGCAGGGAATCATTTTATTATTTTTTATTTCTCTTTGGCTTAACCAGCCTGTGAAACTGCTGACAGATCAGTTGCCACCTTCTCTTTTTTTTTTTTTTTTTTTTTTTTGAGATGGAGTTTCACTCTTGTCACCCAGGCCGGAGTGCAATGGCGGGATCTCGGCTCACTGCAACCTCTGCCTCCTGGGTTCAAGCGGTTCTCCTGGGATTACAGACGCCCACCACCACACCAGGATAATTTTTTGTACTTTAGTAGAGACAGGGTTTCACCATGTTGGCCAGGCTGGTCTCCAACTCCTGACCTCAGGTGATCCACCCACCTCAGCCTCCCAAAGTGCCGAGATTACAGGCATGAGCCACCACACTCGGCCTTCTTTTCTTATTTCTAGTAGTATTTTGTGCTTTCTTGGACAACTGTTGCCAAAGGTTTGCCTATTTTACCGTATTCAAAGATCATTAGACTTTAATTTGTTACAGCTTTGTTTTCCCTTTTGTGATTCTTGTAATTAAAGATTTTCCAGGAGGAGGCCAGGCGCGGTGGCTCATGCCTATAATCCCAGCACTTTGGGAGGCCGAGGCAGGCGGATCACGAGGTCAGGAGATCGAGACCATCCTCGCTAACACGGTGAAACCCCATCTCTACTAAAAATACAGAAAACTAGCCGGGCATGGTGGCAGGCGCCTGTAGTCCCAGCTACTCAGGAGGCTGAGGCAGGAGAATGGCGTGAACCCAGGAGGCAGAGCTTGCATTGAGCCGAGATCGCGCCACTGCACTCCAGCCCTCCAGCCTGGGTGACAGAGCGAGACTCCGTCTCCAAAAAAAAAAAAAGATTTTCTAGGAGGAGCTTGCCTCAGGATGGTTCTTTTACTTTCCTCTTATCTGAGTTTAATTCTGCTTCTAGTTTCCTTCACTGTGTTAGAAATCAGCAAGAGAGGGAACTGCTTGCAGGTCAGAGCTCAGGTCTGCACCGTTGCAGATGTCACATCTGCGGACACTTGTCTGGTGGCCTCGGGTGTGGTCAGACTTGGTGGGCTCAGGAGCGTGTCCCTGCGTGGCTGGGGGGTGCATGTTTGATGCAGTGGAGGTTAAGTCCTGTGTCTCACCAGCCGGGTTGTGGGCTGTGCCTGCCTGCACCACCCTGGGGAGTGCTCCGTGCCGCCAGCGCCGGGACCCACCCCATGTCTTCCATCGTTTTCTTTTCAGCCTCTCTGGCTCTGCCCTCTGAGGGCTTTTTGAAGGCTCACAGCTGGGGTCTGTCGTGTTCTCCTTCATCCTGACAGTCTTTTTTTTTTTTTTCTTTGAGACGGAGTCTCGCTCCGTCCCCCAGGCTGGAGTGCAGCGGCGCGATCTCGGCTCACTGCAAGCTCCGCCTCCCAGGTTCATGCCATTCTCCTGCCTCAGCCTCCCTAGTAGCTGGGACTACAGGCGCCCGCCACACGCCTGGCTAATTTTTTGTATTTTTAGTAGAGATGGGGTTTCACCGTGTTAGCGAGGATGGTCTCGATCTCCTGACCTTGTGATCCGCCCACCTTGGCCTCCCAAAGTGCTGGGATTACAGGCGTGAGCCACTGTGCCTGGCCAATCCTGACAATCTTAAATGTGGACTTAATTCTTCAGGTGGTCTGTTGCGTTCTATGATCTTGTTGCTTTCTAGTTACCATTTTTTATATTTATTTTCATTTGCTTCTCTTCTCTTTCTGCTGGTTTGGAAATTAGATGTTTTACTTCTGGTCTAAGGTTAAGAAGGACATCTATTTAAAGTCCAAAGTTGGCCAGGTGCAGTGGCTCACGCCTGTAATCCCAGCACTTTGGGAGGCCAAGGCAGGTGGATCACAAGGTCAAGAGATTGAGACCATCCTGGCTAACACAGTGAAACCCCGTCTCTACTAAAAATGCAAAAAAATTAGCTGGGCGTGATGGCGGGCGCCTGTAGTCCCAGCTACTCAGGAGGCTGAGGCAGGACTATGACATGAACCTGGGAGGCGGAGCTTGCAGTGAACCGACATCGCGCCACTGCACTCCAGCCTGGGGGACAGAGCAAGATTCCATCTCAAAAAAAAAAAAAAAAGTCCAAAGTTATGAGGTAGTCTCTGCCTTCCTCCCAGACCAGGCTGGCAGAAACTCTCTCCTCGTCTCATGGCAGTGCTGTTGGCTGTTTTAATTCCACCCCATTTCCTTTTTTCTTTTTCTTTTTTCTTGAGACAGACTCTGTCGCCCAGGCTGGAGTGCAGTGGTGTGATCTCAGCTTACTGCAACCTCTGCCTCCCAGGTTAAAGCGATTCTCCTGCCTTGGCCTCCTAAGTAGTTGGGACTACAGGCACACGCCACCACGCCCAGCTAATTTTTGTATTTTTAATAGGGACAGGGTTTTACCATGTTGGCCAGGCTGGTCTCCAACTCCTGGCCTCAAGTGATCTACCTGCCTTGGCCTCCCAAAGTGCTGGGATTACAGGCGTGAGCCACTGTGCCTGGACGACCTGAGCATTTTCTTAGTCCATGTTTATTTATGTTACCCACGTTTCTTAATCCCTTGACTCCTGTTCTGGCTTTGTTGCCTCCTTTCTCCTCAGTCCTTCAACAGGTCCCTTGATGACATGGGGCTGGCTCTGGTTTTCCAGGTGTCCCCTCGTCCCAGCCACCTCCCACAGAGCTGCATGGCCAACCTGGTTCTGGGCACAGGGACCACCTGACAGGCAGTGGGCAGCAGCCGGGGCAGCAGGAAGACCTGGGGACAGCTGGAGTTCCGGGGTCCCCTGGGCAGCCTTGGGGGCTAATGACCTGCCCTGGTGGGCAGCGCAGGGAACCACGTGCACACATGCGTCCGTGGAAGCTGCAGGTTCCCAGAGCTGGCTGTAGAGGGTGGGCAGCTCCTGGTGTGCTCTTAGGCAGGCCAGGTGCAGAAGGTGCCATGCTCTCCCTAACCATCCAGCCCTCCTCCCCAGCTTCATCACGTTTCGCTCCTGTGCCTACCTGGACAAGAAGCATACCATCTTTGGACGGTAAGGGAAGCGGCTGTGTGAAGCCTGGGGGGTCAGTGGGCTAGGTGGGTTCCTTCCCCACCTGAGGCCTCCTCACTGCCTTTTTCGTGGACCTGAGTCATGTGCCATGCTGGCCATCACTGCTGGGGGTTGAGGCTATGCAGAGCTGCGATGGAGGGTGCTCCATGTGCCAGGGAAGTCTGGCTCTCTAGACCCACCGGGCTCAGGAGAGGAGGAAACTCGCCCATGTGGCCTGGACACTGCCCTGTCTCAGACCCAGTGGCGCGCCACTCGCAAGCCTGGCCACACCCAGCTCCCTTCACCCTCTAGTCCAGGGGTCTTTCCAGCGTTGTGGGCCACGTGGTCTCTGACGCCCACCCAGCTGTGTGGAAGCAGCACGAAACAGGGTGGACGCAGGTGATGTGGTTCTGGCCAAGTGGAACTCTGTTTACCAAACCAGCGGGGAGAGCACAAGCCACGTTTTGTGACTCCTATTTTTCCTGTGGGTGGGGGAAACCAAAAAAAAAACAAAAACAGAAAAAAACCCAGCTGGATATGCCCAGGGCCATGGTCAGCCGACCCCGCCCTTGCCACTCCCTCTCATCGCCTTCCTGGCTGCTGCCCAAGGACCACCAGGCCAGCCTCGGGGCTCTCAACCCCTCTTCCCACGTGCCTTGGGGCTCAGCCGTGGGGGTGCCCTCCTTGAGCACACGCAGACCCACCTCTGTCTCCCTGCTGCAGGGTTGTTGGGGGCTTTGACGTACTGACAGCCATGGAGAATGTGGAGAGTGACCCCAAAACTGACCGCCCTAAGGTCTGTGCCCAGGGAGGTGGGGCGTGGCGGCTGGGGGCCAGGCAGGCAGGGGGAGGACCTGCCGTGCACTGAGCCCCCTTTGCTGCTAGGAGGAGATCCGCATTGATGCCACTACAGTGTTCGTGGACCCCTATGAGGAGGCCGATGCCCAGGTGAGGGGGCACGATGCCACCACCTAGGAGGGTCTGGGCTAGTGCACTTTTCCACCCCAAGCCTAGCATCTGTCCTGCCCGAGGTGCTGCCGGTTAGCCAGCGCCCTGTTGTGCCACAGATTGCGCAGGAGCGGAAGACACAGCTCAAGGTAGCCCCGGAGACCAAAGTGAAGAGCAGCCAGCCCCAGGCAGGGAGCCAGGGCCCCCAGACCTTCCGCCAGGGCGTGGGCAAGTACATCAACCCAGCAGCCACGTGAGTGCCGCGGGGCTGGCCTCCCTGTTTCCCATGGTGTTTCCTAGGGCTGACTGAGGTCTGAGGGTCAGACCCAGAGGGGCAAGCAAGCTATGGGCACTGGTCCCGGCCGTGGGCTTGTGCTGTGTGGCCTCTGCAGCCGAGGGACTGCCTCTGAAGGCCTGGCCGGGGCCTCTGTGGGTGGAAGAGATCAAATTCAGGGGGATGTGGGAGCAGCAGGTGGGAGGGGTTGGGCCTACACCGGGAGGGCTGTATGGAGACACAGACAAGTCAGGAGGGGCTGAGGGAGGGTGTGGGCTCCCAGCGGCTTCTTCTCTTCCCAGGAAGCGAGCAGCAGAGGAAGAGCCCTCAACCAGTGCCACTGTCCCCATGTCCAAGAAGAAGCCCAGTCGGGGTTTTGGGGACTTCAGCTCCTGGTAGCAGCAGGTTGGCCGCTGTGGACCTTGGTGGGGTTGCAGGGCTGGGGGCCCATGTCCACATCTCCATTTCCAGCCTTTCTAGCCTGCCCTCTGCTGCCAGCCAATAAATTGCTTGCCTGCTGCCTGCATCCCCTTTCCTGGCCCCTGGGAGCCCACAGCCTTCCCATCCCTTAACCTGTTGCCAAGGGCCTTGGCCCTGTTTCCAGGACCTGGCCCAGCCAGAGCCCACTGCTGGGACCTTCAAGCACAAGGCCTGCCCTACACCCAGGCTGGTGCCTCAGGCCTCCCCTCTAGTAGGCAGGCCAGGTTAGTGAGGAAGGACTGTGTCTCCAGATTGTGGTTTCCTCTTTAAGACAGGGTCTTGCTCTGTTGCCCAGGCTCCAGTGCAGTGGTGTGATCATGGCTCACTGCAGCCTCGACCTCCTGGGCTCAAGCAATCCTCCTGCCTCAGCCTCGCAAGTAGCTGGGACTACAGCCGTGCACCACTACATCCAGCTGTATATGTCTGGTTTTCTTACCCCTACTTCTGTCATCTTCTCAGGGACAGCCTATTTATACAACCAGTGTGGTCCCCTGACCAACGCCATTACCTGGGACAAGTTTTCAGACCCCAGACTTACTGAGCCTAAGCCTCTGCAGGGTGGGCTTCTCGGTCTGTTTTGACAAAACTTCAGGGGCTTCTGAAGGCTGGTGTTGGACGGCAGCATTGAGTTTCCTGCCGTGCCCTGCCTGAGCTCTCAGGGCCCTGCTCACCTGCTCTGGCTGTGAACCACCTGGGCTTCATCTCAAGCCTGCCTGGCGTCTCTGTGCCCCTGTGAGAATCTTGAGGGGACCCACACTGGGTTGAGGCCAGTGTCTCCTGCTGTGAGAACAAGTGGATGTCCCTCTCCCCGCCCTCCTGCTGAAGTGGCCTTGCTGCTCTCAGGCCCGGCCACTGGGCTCCAAGACTCTGCTCCTCCTGTCAGTCACTGACTCTGATGGCCTTGGGCCAGCTGCATCAGCAGCCCTTAAAGAAAGACCCCTCCCTCAACCCCCATTTTTCTGTTAAATGTGCCCCTGGCTGGCTTTTTCTTCGTCTTCAGCCCAGGCCAGTGGTCAGTGTTCTCATGTCATGGACTCTCCTTGCCTGACACTTGCCTCTTGGGCTCCCTGTTGCCCTCAGGCCACCCCCCACTTCTAGTTCTTCACACTAAGCCCTAACTTAGGCCTTGTTCTTGGTTTTCTCATTTTTGTTGCCCCAAATCTTGAACCTGTCAGCAACTTGCAGGCTGTACCTCTGCCCTTCCTTTTCTCATCAATCACTGATGCTGAAGCTGCAGGCCTGAGCCCTTTGTCTCCCTGGATGCTGGGTGGCGCCTCATCTGCATCTCTGCCTCACCCCATCCACTGCCACAGGCTGCCTGATGACCACTAGAGGTATGTCTGCCCCTCGTCACCCTGCTGCACACCAATCTGTGGCCCTTCATCATGCTAAGAACAAGAACTGCGCCATGGCTGGCTCCTTCTCTTCTCCAGCCCATCCCTCTGCAGCCTGTCATCCCTGTCTGTGACCATTGGTCGGGCCCCTGGGCTCTAGAGTGACTTTTGACGCCCTCCATCCCTCCCGCCAGGCACTGTCCTCCGCAAGGCCTGGTGCAGCCCTGGCAGTAACTGGCTTGTAAGAGGCTCAGACACCAAGCTGGGCCTGCAGAGGAGGGGCACAGTAGGACACAGTGACTGCCCAGGTGTCCACACACCTGTAGGCCTCTGAGCCAGCGTCCAGGGTACAGGTGCGGGTGGTGGGGATGAAGGCCTGACCAGGGAGGGAGAAGCAGGTTTGGAGAGGACCCTGTGCCCACCCTGACAGACACCCTGGCTGGCCCTGACTGACTGTATTCTCTGGCCACATTCAAGTCCCCCATTGGTGGGGGCAGAGAAGTAGGACCAGGCCATCCTTGGCTCCAGAGCTCGAAGACCCCAAGACAGCCCTCTGCTCTCAGCGGCGCCACAGAGAGCCTGGGCTCAGCCTTCTGCATCAGGACATGGCCTCGTCCACTGAGGGCACGATTTAAACATTTGACATCAGAAGCTTTATTTGTAAACCTCACACAGATAAGGACCAAGGGCTGGCGGTGTGGCCAGAGGACAGGGGAAGCTGAAGGCCCCGTGCTTGAGCTCGGCAGTCCTGCTCCTTGCAGTGAAGCCACCATGGGTGACCGTCCAGCCTCACCCGGTGGCCTGCACAGTGAGGGAAGGGCTTCAGGGCCATCTGCTCCCAGGGCAGGGGACAGGCCACCAAGGACCTTTGGCAAATGAAGGTTTACATTTCTGTAGTTTGTTTGTTTTAGAGCTTAATTTGTAGTTTTTTAGCTATTAAAACCATTTGAATTTTTAACGACCTGATGAGGGCATCAGGTAAATTAAAGGATTTTGGGAAGATTCTTATTTTCAATTCTAATATCTGACAGATGCCATCAAGAATAAGCATTAAGGTATAAAAAATACTGTGTGTATAAAACAATGCCAAACCACATTCCTACAGCAAATGCACTGTGCCATTTATAACCCTGACATCACCTCCCAAGGCTCTCAAGGAAGATTTATTTTAAATAACTTAAATAGAAGTCCTAGATGATATTGTTTAGGAATTTAAGAGGGTGGTGGATATGGTCCTGTGAATAGCACTTCCCCTGAAGCCAGCTCATGGTCTGTTCATTTGGTTTAAAAATGAGCTTGTATTTTGCAGAAGCCCAACAAAAAAAAAGTGATAAAAGTGTTGTTGGTATAAATTACAAAAAAAAAAAAAAATACAAAAGTCATAAGACTACTAGTAAAAAATGTTCAATCAATGCCGTCACAAAAGACAGTACAAAAACCAAAGTGCCCAAATAGAAGGAGCAGCGAACTTGCCCAAAACAGAAAAGCTCTAAATAGAACTTTAGTATATACAAAAACCACTCGGTAGAGTTTTAGAAGTTTCTTCCATGTAAGTGAAGCATCTTGAGTCACTCAGGACTTGGCTGTCCTCGCACCCGTGGCAGGCTGGGGACGGCACGAACCTCCAACTGTTTCCCCTAGTCCCCGGGGCATCGGAGGCTGGGTTCCCACATGGGAGAGGAATGAAGACTCACTCAAAGGGAAGGGTCAGTTTAAGATAAGTTTTCAGTGAACTCCTTCTTCCACCCGGGAAGGTGTCTTTCAGCCTCTTCACAGTCTCAAGACAATTGACTGAAGCCACAGGCATTGCTAACTTCATGGGCCAGCTTGTGGGCGGAGCCTCTTCAGGCTTGAGACCATGGCAGCAAGAGCCCTGCAGCGTGCAGTGACCCCTGCGCTCTGGGTGGCTGCACGCGAGCTCAGGAGGACAGGATGTGCTGGGCCAGCCTAAACCCTCGGGGGAGACTAGCGCAGGGATAAAGCAGCTTGCAGGGCCATAGCCGGATGTGGAGGCTTCCAAGACAGTACAAAGATTTCCTTCCTTTCCTAAGTGGAAGATGTGCTTTAAAGGAACTTCTGCCTCTGTCACTCCTGCTGAGTGGATGCATCTCAGTGCCATGCCCACCAGGGCAGCGGCATTTCCCACCTGCCAAGGCTTCCAGGCTTGGGCAAAGAGATGGCACCCAAAGGCATGCTGTGTGTGGGCAGTGAGCTCGAGTGGGCACAGCCCAGTGCCTGCCTGGACCGCAGGTCTGGGTTTAGGAAGGGCTGAAGTCGGGGGAGGTGTGAAGCTGGGCAGGTGGCCACGTTCTTATTGTCAGCCAGCTCGCACTCTTGCCCCTAGACTAGCCTTGTCTGAAGGCAGCTTCAGAGCCACTTGCCAGGCTGAGAACTATCCGGGCTCAGTGCTCTCCTATCTGCTGCCCCTCGGTCCCCCTGCCTGCCCTCTGCCCTGAGACAAGTTACTAAATGTTGAAAACCAAACTTATCTGGGAGTGGTTTTTGACCTCCATCCTCTGCAAAGTGGCCTAAACCCTTATGGGGTGCCCACTCCTGGTGGAGGGCAGGTGGATGAGTGGATTGTAATTTATAATAAAATATATGGCAGAAACACAGGCCTTAGGAGATTGCACAGGCCCCTCTATCAGTTCAAGTGACATGGGACAGCACCACGCAGGGACGGGCAACGCGTCTAGCAGGCCAGGCGTCTTCATGCACAAAGGCTAAACTTGTTGCTTTAACCTTTTCTGAACAAATTTTAAACATTCTGGCAAATGTCAAGTTTTGAAGTTTTTCCTGTGGGTTCTGGCCTCTTTCATATGCAAAAATAATTCTTTTTCTTCAAGTACATCCAGGGTAGAAAATGAAATCTGACTTTTCCTCGGTCCAGTGTGTTACTCTATAGACATGGACCAGCCACTCAGCAACTGCCTGACACCTAAGCTGCTGTCACTGCTGAGGGCACAACCCCTGGTACCAGACCCTGTGAGGCTGTCACCTCAGTAAGGGCACCTCTGCGGGCCCCGGGACAGCCTTCTCTAAGGGCTAGCTCACCTGCTTTCTAGATAAGGAATCTACTGGCTTAAATAAACATGTTCCACTAGACACCATTCTCAATTTAGAGTGTATCTAAAATGTCATCTGTGCTGGCCTCTGTTTTTGAACAAGCTAAAAACCAAAAATGCCCTTAGTGTATAAGTCTGTTGACTGCCTCTGGAAGATTCTTAAATAACACTGTACTTTAAGGGTTCATTTGCAAGAGGAATAGCCAATTTGAAGTTCTGCAAATTTAAGAAAAACAGCGGGGTGGAGGGTGGGCTACAATACCTTTTCTCTAAAAAAGGGAATGGTGAGACTTGCTATCTAAAGAGACCCTGTCCCTGTGGTCTTCAGAGACTCAGTCTGGTTCTCTCTTGTTTTAAATTGAGACGGAGTCTCGCCCTATTGCCAGGCTGGAGTGCAGTGGCGCGATCTTGGCTCACTGCAACCTCCGCCTCCTGGGTTCAAGTGATTCTCGTGCCTCAGCCTCCCGAGTAGCTGGGATTAAAGGCATGCGCCACCATACCCAGCTTTTTTTTTTTTTTTTGAGACGATGTCTCACTTTTGTCCCCCAGGCTGGAGTGCGATGGCATGATCTTAGCTCACTGCAACCTCCGTGTCCCAGGTTCAAGTGATTCTCCTGCCTTAGCCTCCTGAGTAGCTAAGATTACAGGCACTCGCCACCATGCCCGGCTAATTTTCGTATTTTTAGTAGAGATGGGGTTTCACCATGTTGGCCAGGCTGATCTAGAACTCCTGACCTCAGGTGATCCACCCATCTTGGCCTCCCAAAGTGCTGGGATTACAGGCGTGAGCCACCGCACCCGGCCCCAGTTTGGTTTTCAACTGAACCTTAAAAAAGCAGAGCCCAACTATATTGAAGACAAAGGTGAAAGGAAGATATTAACTAGGCAGGTAAGTCATCAGTTGGTTAATTCTTTCTCTAGAACTTGAGAAGTTAGAAAAAGCTCATTGAAAATTTTCAGAAACAACTGTGTACACGAAGAGGACAGATCCGAGGGACACCTTACCCACAGAGATGGCCGAGAGTGTCAAGAGCTATGCGCAGCTAGCCTTTGAGGTCAGAGGGCAAGAAAGGCTGTCACCAGATGCTCCTACGTTTCCATTACATTCACAGTTTCTTTCACAAAACAGCATTCAAAGGAGAAGGGAAAGTTCGCACATTACTCCCAGCCATTGTCTTTGATCATATGAGCAAGCTCAATGATGAATTTTCCTTCCTTATATTTCTGACTGCTCTCAAAGGCATGCTCCTTGAAAAAGAAGAGACAAAGGTTTCAGGACAGAAGGTTTCACTTTTCAATTTCATCACTCTTTTGGCAAAAACCCCCCCCAAGTCTATACTATGAACTATATACCCAGATGTTCCCTGAGCGGTGCACTCATCCGGCGCTGGGAGGGTCTGTTCCAGGTGAGTCCATTGAGGCAGTGTAGGTTTACTTTGCATTTGTTGTTAAAGGTTTTTCATGTGCTCGCTTCGGCAGCGCATATACTAAAAGGTTTTTCATTTGTTTGTTTGTTTTGAGATAAGGTCTCACTCTGTCACTCAGGCTGGAATGCAATGGTCTGGTCATAGCTCACTGCAGCCTTGACCTCCAGGACTCAAGTGATCCTTCCACCTCAGGCTCCCAAAGTGCTGGGATTACTTGTAGGACAGTGTGAATGCAGATCTGTTTACTGAACATTTACTACATGTGGGACAATTTAAGAGGCTTGAAGAGATGCAAAAGACTACACTCCAGGAATTCCGTGCATAACTAGCGTGAAGGCAAATACAGGGAGAGTGACATAAACAGGTCAAAGACATCTGGAGGCTGGGCGCAGTGGTGCACACCTGTCATTCCAGCACTTTGGGAGGCCAAGGAAGGAGGATGACTTGAGTCCAGGAGTTTGAGACAAGCCTACGCAACACAGTGATTTTCTTCTACAAAAATCAAAAACTTAGCTGGGTGTGGTGTGCCTGTAGTCCCAGGTACTTGGGAGGTTGAGGTGGGAGGACTGCTTCAGCCCAGAAGGTCAAAGCTGCAATGAGCTGAGATCGACCAAGACCCTGTCTCAAAAAACAACAACAAAAAACAGGATATCTGGAGAAGGTCCTTCATGGGGAGGAGTTAACATCTCTCCCACAGACACATCCTCATCATTTTGTTTTGCTGAGTGTGTGGCCTGGTGCTAGGGACACAGATGACCAAGATGGATCCTGCCTACCCAAGCGGCAGCCCCAGGTGTGGCAGACACAGGAAGGACTGTGCCAGCAGGAAGCGGGTGCAGCCATAGAGGGGAATGCAGTGTGGTGGCCATGCAGGGAAGGCACGGGTTTCTGGAAGTGGGGCCCACAGATGGGTATGGGGCTGACTGACCAGGGGAAGGGCTAGGGATGCGTGCTAGTCTTGTGGAGCCCGTTTCCATGGTGTGAACTGTGGCCTTCCAAAACTCATGAGGAATCTGGGAGACCAGAGATGATCAGGAATTCAGGAAAGAGGCAGAGCAGGTGGCCTGGACCCGAAGAACACCAGAGCCAGAATGGGAAAGCCTCCTTCAACAAAGGCAGGCAGGCCGGGCGCGGTGGCTCACGCCTGTAATCCCAGCACTTTGGGAGGCTGAGGTGGGTGGATCACTTGAGGTCAGGAGTTTGAGACCATCTCAAAAAACAAACAAAACAACAACAACAACAACTGGGGAAGGCATGGGAGCATCCAACAGAAGGCAGATGGCCAGGGGGTCAAAACCATGGAATCTCAGGTGGCCTGGGGGAGGGGAGGACTCGGCCACGAAGGTCAGAGAGAGTGGAGCCTGGAAGAGAGACTTCAGGGCAGCGTAGAGGAGGGAAGCGGGGCAGGAAGGTGCAGGGCCTGAGGAGGCCAGATCAGCCATGTGGTGGAGAGAGAAGGGAGCTAGAGGTGAAGGCTGGAGAGGAGGTGGCGATTGCAACCTTCAATTCAAGGTCCCTGAGAAAGAGGGATTTGGGGTAAAGAGCTCATGGGGCAGCTCTCTGTCTCTGACTCCAGCAGGTCTGGCGCTGAGGTCTTCTAGACTTGTCCCTGACAGTGGGCACAGCCTCCCGCAGCCCCCTGCAGCCTCCTCGGCCTCCTCCCACACCAGGCTCTGCTCAGCGGGCCGAGGGCGGGCTGGGTGCAGAGAGCCTGGCTTAGGAAGAAACAGGGCTTGAAAACATGGTGTTTTTGTTTTTTGTTTTGGGTTGGGGTATCACTGTCACCCAGGCTGGAGGGCAGTGGTGAGACCATGCCTCACTGGAGTCTGGACTTCCCACCTCGGCTGAGGAACTGGGGTTTCTGAAAGTGCTGTGACTGGTACCATGGGCCACACTGCACGGGGAGGTGTGGCTCAGTGGCAACTTAGTGCCACATCCCCTTGTGGCACGAGCATCCCCTTGTGGCACTCACGTATTTCCACCCGAGCGTGGTCTTGCAGTTCTCGCAGTAGATGTCGGCAACCGCATGCAGCCCGGTGAGAAGGACCCTCTCCTCTGCAGGGCCGCAGCCCACGTTCACCCTGCGGGGACAGAGGGGCCACTGCGCTGCAGGCCCGGCCCGCCCCTGACCAGGCCCTGCCCCCTCAGCGGGCCCCACCCCATCCTCCTAAGAGTTCCCCCAAAACAGGGAAACTCCCAGAGAGCAGTGCCGTGCCTCTCCCCCAGCCCTGCCCGCCACCACCATCAATGGGAAAGATCAGTGATGGGACAGGCTAGGGGGCAAGATCCTTAGCGCGTTTCAGAAACTCCCGGCGGGGGGATGGTGGGTTCTTTCAGGACCCCTAAAGACCCAGGTGATTCTACACAGGGCACTGTGTAGGTGCCATCCAGGCCGTCCCAGGGCCCGTGCCGCTCCCCCCGGGCTGAACCAGGGTACTCACACGGAATTGAAGAGGTAGGCGCGTCCCTGGCTCCCCTGAAAGGACTGAAAGAAGAAGGTCCCGTGAGATTGGCTGCGAGTGCTTTCTGGAACGAAGCGGTGCTGCCCAGAACCAGGGGAGTCCAGCCCCGCGGCTGTTAGCTGCGCCGGGACGCGTCACCGGGAGCAGACACCGGCGTCCCCCCTCCAGAACTCCACTTCTAATAACAGCCACTTAACGGAGCTGCAAGCTGTTTTTCATTGTAGACAGGAGTGGCTGATTCTGCTGCGTCAACATTCTGCAAGTGACTATTATTGGGAATCATGGCAAGATCAGTTTTTAAATGGTGAGCTTCATATGTCTGGACAACTTTACCTTAGAGGAGTTCTGAGAGGGGATCACGAATGATTTTCTCTACCCGAAAACCCACAGATCCTCAAAATGCTCTCCTCGCCGCCTCTTCTGCAGCAGTTCAGATGTGCTCACGCTGCCAGATATTAGGGGGTAGGGGGAGGTGTCCATATTTTCCCACTGAAATGTTTTAAAAGTCACAGCATGGCTGAGTATGGCGGCTCACGCCTGTAATCCCAGCGCTTTGGAAGGCTGAGGTGGGCAGATCACCTGAGGTCAGGAGTTTGAGACCAGCCTGGCCAACATGGTGAAACCCTGTCTCTACTAAAAATACAAAAGTTAGCTGGGCGTGGTGGCGGGCACCAGTAACCCCAGCTACTTGGGTGGCTAAAATAGGAGAATCACTTAAACCCGGGAGGTGGAGGCTACAGTGAGCCAAGATTGCGCCACTGCACTCCAGCCTGGGCAACAAGAGTGAAACCCCGTCTCGAAAAAAAAAAAAAAAAAAAAGTCATAGCACAAGATGGCCTTTCACTTGGAGAAAGGCCATTCCAGTGACATCTATCTCACCAGGAAAATAAAACAAGCTGAGAAACAGCTCATGGTATATTCACGTATGCTAAGATGGCTGAGCGTGAAAGAGCCAGAATAGGGCATCTGCACCCCCTGATGCACTTGGTCACTCCCCACGACCTTTGCCCTCACGGGACAGGTGGGAACGCCTGCTCCAGTGCCAGCCTCAAGTCTCAATCGACCTCAAACATAATCAAAGAAATGCAAACCAAATCAAAAATTTTGGGGGGAGTTGGGGTTTTGAGATGGAGTGTCACTTTGTCACTCAGGCTGGAGTGCAGTGGCACCATCTGGACTCACTGCAGCCTCTGCCTCCAGGGTTCAAGCAATTCTCCTGCCTCAGCCTCTCCAGTAGCTAGGACTACAGGCACGTGCCACTAGGCCCAGCTAATTTTTGTATTTTTAGAGATAGGATATTTTAGAGATAGGGTTTCGCCATGTTGGCCAGGCTGGTTTCGAACTCCTGGACTGAAGTAATCTGCCTGCTTCGGCCTCCCCAAGTGACGGGATTGCAGGCGTGAGCCACTGCGCCTGGCTTACATTACAGTTTATAATGGAGGCTGTCATTTAAAAATGTCTTAGGTGAGCTGGTAAGAGATGCTCGCTCAATACCACTCCCACAAAGGAAACCGCATATGTCATACATGATGTACGCTGTCAGATTTTCATATCTAAATTTCATTGGAAAGAAAACAGGAAAGCAACATTTCTGTATAAAACAAAGATGGTTTTGTATTGGCAGGCATGAACCACCATGCCCAGCCCTTTTTTGGGGTTTTTGACCTAACAAAGGCAAAAGGCTATGAGGAATGTGACTGAAACACGATTTGACAATATCGAAGTGGAAAAAGCACACACTATAGGACCCAGCAGTCCCACTTCTAAGAATTTACTGTAAACAACAAACCAGCTTGAGTGTATAAGGAAATGTGACAGGAATGGTCACAGGTTACAGTGTTCATAATTAGGAAAACAAACAACAACAACAACAAAAACGGGCTGAGGCAGGAGGATTGCTTGAGCTCAGGAGTTCGAGAGCCATGATTACACCACTGCACTCCAGCCTGGGGGACAGAGCAAGAACCTGCCTCTAAAAAACATAAATAGGCCAGGCGCGGTGGCTCACGCATGTAATCCCAGCACTTTGGGGGGCCGAGGTGGGTGGATCACCTGAGGTCAGGATTTTAAGACAAGCCTGGCCAACATGGAGAAATCCCGTCTCTGATAAAAATATAAAAATTAGCTGGGCATGGTGGAGGGTGCCTGTATTCCCAGCTACTCAGGAAGCTGAGGCAGGAGAATTGCTTGAACCTGGGAGGGGGAGGTTGCAGTGAGCCAAGATCGCGCCATTGCACTCCAGCTTGGGCGACTAGAGTGAAACTCTGCCTCAAAAAAAATTTTAAGAAAGGCTGGGCGCGGTGGTTCATGCCTGTAATCCCAGTACTTTGCAAGGCTGAGGCAGGCAGATCACAAGTTCAGGAGTTCAAGACCAGCCTGGCCAACATGGTGAAACCCCGTCCCTACTAAAAATACAAAAATTAGCTGGGCATGGTGGTGCGTGCCTATAATCCCAGCTACTCAGGAGGCTGAGGCAGGAGAATTGCTTGAACCGGGACCCGGGAGGCAGAGGTTGCAGTGAGCCGAGATCGCGCCACTGCACTCCAGACTGGGCTACCGAGTCAGGCTCCGTCTCACAAAAAAAAAAAAAAGAAAAAAAAATTTAACCTGGAAGTCAGGTACTCATCCATAAGTGAGTAAGCAACTGCATCCGCATATGGGCCTCATGCAGGGGATGGGAAGGTAGGAGCAGATATGGAAAAACAGTCATAGGCTAGGCACCATGGCTGTAATCCCAGCACTTTGAGAGGCCAGGGTGGGTGGATCACCTGAGGTCAGGAGTTCAAGACCAGGCTAGGCAACATGGCAAAACCCTGTCCCTACAAAAAATATAAAAATTAGCAGGGCATGGTGGCTGTGAGCCTGTACTCCCAGCTACTTGGGAGGCTGAGGCAGGAGAATCGCTTGAGCACGAGAGGTGGAGGTTGCAGTGAGCTGAGATTATGCCATTGTACTCCAGCCTGGGTGACAGGAGAAGCCCTGTCTAAAAATAAATAAATAAATAAATAAAAATAAAAATAGTCATAAAAGTCATAAAATACTAAGTGAGGAAAAGTTAGCTGTAAAGTGAGTGTCATTTGAGCCCTTTATTTAAAGTGAAAAATGTGTTTCTATTAAAACAAAATAAAGACAACAGATGCCAAACTACTAACAGTGACATCTCCAAGGAATGGAGCCGGACAAGGCAGGAGGAAGAAGCAAGTCTCCTCGTTTACACATACACATTATTTTAATGTGATTATGTGCAATATTATATAATTTAAAAAAAATTAAAAGGACCTGGCACAGTGCCTCATGCCTATAATCCCAGCACTTTCGGAGGCCAAAGTGGGAGGATCACTTGAGGCCAGGAGTTCGAGACCAGCCTGGACAACATGGTGAAACCCCCTCTACTAAAAATACAAAAAATTAGCCTGGTGTGGTGGCGCACACCTGTAGTCCCAGCTACTCAGAAGGCTGAGACAGAAGACTTGCTTGAACCCGGGAGACAGAGGTTGCAGTGAGTGGAGATGGCACCACTGCACTCTAGCCTGGGCGACAAAGCAAGGCTCCATCTCAAACAACAACAACAGCAACAACAAAAAACAAGAGCCCCCAGTTGTCCCTGGTAGACTTCTCACCTGAGCATGAACTAAACCTGTGTTTTAAGCTGTTGAGATCTGGGGAGGCTCTTTTTCCTCAGCATTCAGGCTTAAAAATGAGTATTCCCTTAAGTGGCATTCTGGGATTAGGAATATTATTCTATGTTCAGTTTAACTAATAATCATCTTATAGACTTTTCCCACATCCTCATCAGTCTTCAATATTCTGGACTGAATTTCCTAATTCTCACCTACTCTGAAAGTCCTTATTTTTAAATAGGGTTTGGCTCAGAGACAAGAGCAGCTCTGTGATTCAGATTCAGAGCTGTCTTATCAGAGTTGGCGCCAGCAAACTCCTCCTGTAAATTAGGGCCAGGAGATAAGTAGTTTAGGCTTTGGAGGACATATGGTCCCTGTTCTAATTACTCTGTAAACAGATGAGCACAGCTGTGATCTATTAAAACTTTGCATAAACAGGTGGTGTGGCAGATTTGGACCACAGATCAGAGTTTGCTAACTAAATGGAGCCTTCTAGTAACCAGAGCTGCCTACAGCAGCAACAGGCTCCCTCGAGCCAGGGGATTCCTTGTTAGTGACAAATACAAACTTAGAGGCTGTGAAGACAGTGCCTCTCGCCTCGCAGGTACTGGATTCTGTTCTGCGTGGCAGGTGTTCTCGATGGTCTCAATGAATCCTCATCAGAATCACCACGGAAGGGAGAAAAGCTCACTCTAGTCGTCATCTTGCCACCTCGCCCGGCCCATCACCCATGGAGGCACGAGGTCTGATCCTTCCTGGTGGCCTGTGTGCTCAGAGAGCTTAGTTCTCAGCACTTTTTTTCATCCTGAAATGCTCATTTGGCACCAAATGACTTCTGAGCAGGCTTCTGCCTTTTTTTTTTTTTTTTTTTTTTGAGACAGAGTCTTACTCTGTCACCCAGGCTGGAGTGCAGTGGTGTGATCTCAGCTCACTGCAACCTCTGCCTCCCAGGTTGAAGCAATTCTCATGTCTCAGTCTCCCAAATAGCTGGGATTACAGGTGTGTGCCACCATGCCCAGCTAATTTTTTTGTACTTTATTAATAGAGACAGTGTTTTACCATGTTGGCCATGCTGGTCTTGAACTCCTGACCTCAAGTGATCCACCCATCTTGGCCTTCCAAAGTTCTGGGATTACAGGTGTAAGCCACCAAGCCCAGCCAGGCTTCTATTCTTGATACAATTTTTTTTTTTTTTTTTTTTTTTAAGACAGAGTTTCGCTCTTGTTGCCCAGGCTGGAGTGCAATGGCGCGATCTCGACTCACTGCAACCTCCGCCTCCCAGGTTCAAACGATTCTCCTGCCTCAGCCTCCCAAGTAGCTGGGATTACAGGCATGTGCCACCACACCCGGCTAATTTTGTATTTTTTTTAGTAGAGACGGGGTTTCTCCATGTTGGTCAGGCTGGTCTGGTCTCAAACTCCTGACCTCAAGTGATCCGCCCACCTCGGTCTCCCAAAGTGCTGGGATTACAGGGGTGAGCCACCACGCCCAGCTGATACAATTTTTAAAACAGCTCATTGATGACCTCCAGGCTGTTCAACAGAAGCATCTCAAATTCCTTTTGACCATGTAGCAAGGAACACACCTGGCATGCTTCCGAAACAAAACCATGCATGGGGCCGGACATTGACCACCTCTCAGTGCTCAGGTCACCTGCTTAGGTCATGGCCAACACACAGGTGTCACGGGGCTCCACAAGGCCACAAGCTTCACTGCCCCTACCCAGGGGCCCAGAGCAGCTCCGCCTCTCATTACCTCATGTCATTTTACACACTAAGCCTACCTCAGAAAACACCGAGGAAATGGGGTGCCTGGCTCCTTCCACTTCTCACCTCACACTTCCCAGTGCACACAGGAGCCCCAGAGGCAATGAGAGAGCAGAAACTCTGCCTCGTTCAACAGTTTCTATCTCAGATGATGAACAGAAATGAGGAGCCTCTCACTATTACCTACTGAAAATACAAGCAGGTAAATGTTCTTCTCTTGAGTTAAACAGGAAACCTAAGAGATTCCTGGCTGGGCGTGGTGACTCACACCTATAATCCCAGCACTTTGGGAGGCCAAGGCAGGAGGATCGCTTGAGGCCAGGAGTACAAGACCAGCCTTGGCAACATGGTAAAACCCTGTCTCTACAAGAAAAAATAAAAGTAAATAAAATACCTATTTAAAAAAAGAAGAAAAGATTTCTGAAAGGCACAACTTCCTGACAAACTTTGTTCCCAAAGTGGTCGTGACCTGTGAAGATGGGGAGACGTCATGACCTGAGGATGGGGGGAGGTCATGGCCTGTGAGGATGGGGGGAGGTCATGACCTATAAGGATGAGTGGAGGTAATGATCCGTGAGGATGGGTGCAAGTCATGAATTGAGCATGGGGGAGGTCATGACCTGTGAGGATGTGGGAGGTCATGACCTGAGGATCGGTGGTCATGACGTATGAGGATGCGGGGAGTTCATGACCTGAGGCTGGGGGGATGTCATGACCTGAGGATGGGTGGAGAACACTGTCATTCCGACTGAGCATCAGCTCCTCCATGATGTTTGGCCTGTTTAAATGTTCACAACTGGTTGATGATCAACGCCACACACTGCTAATGAGGAGCTCAGCACAGTAAGGAGGGGCCAGGGGATCTTGTTTACATCTTCAAGGCTGCTCATGGGTTCTATGCACAGAGACCAGCCAGAGCTTCACCCAGGGCTCCTACACAACCGACAAACGCAGCCACACCCTCTGGGGCATTTTTCTGAGCAACCCCTTTCCTTCTTAACCATGCTGAGTTTTTAAAATGTCTTAATACCCTTATTATTAAACCATTTCCACAGATTTTTCTAGACTTCTTTTGCTCATTCAGTCCTCTCTGGCTTTCTGCTGTGAGTAACAAGTGATTCACCTTGCCCCTCGTAATCCCTGGGAGTGCCAGCTGCCTGGCCCTGGAAAACCGCCCACCATGCCAGGATCACATCTGAGATCGTGGCACAGCCACACTTAACCATGCACAAAACGCTCACCAATGCTGCCTAGAAGGCTCTAGACGTTCAGGACACAGCAGACTCAGGAAGTCATGTGATGCTTAAATATTCTTCCACTATGTAGGTACCACAATGACAGATAATCATTGTGCCATCAATTTTTTGGCATAAGCCACTTGCCTTGGAGATGAGCTCGTCATGATTGGCCAGGTGTGCTCTGCAGTGGATACAGCTGTACGTTCGGTGACAGTTCGGCAGATACGCTTGGAAAGTTTTGGACTTTGTCATTTTCACCATCTCTCCTGGGCACTCCTCACTCAGCTCAGGGCTGGTTCTGGAAGAACCGTGGCTCTGCTGGCCTCTCTGACAAAAGCAACACTGGAAAATGCACGCAAGAGCCGTCGTTGTCCAGGAGGGCGTGTGGCACTGTCCACACAGCTGGGACGAGAGAAAAACGTAACCTGCCAACCAATCAGACAAAGTGGTGGGTTACAGAGAGAACATGCGTGTGAAGCAGGTACATATGGGATTCATGTGTTGTGAAGCAACACGCGGGGTGGGGGGGTGGCAGGACTAGAATTTTTTTTTTTTTTTGAGATGGAGTCTCACTCTGTTGCCCAGGCTGGAGTGCAGTGGCGCAATCTCAGCTCGCTGCAACCTCCTCCTCCTGGGTTCAAGCGATTCTTCTACCTCAGCCTCTGAGTAGCTGGGATTACAGGAACACGCCACCAAGCCTGGCCTCCCAAAGTGCTGGGATTACAAGCACCACTGCGCCTGACCAAGATCCAACTCTTTAGTATCAATTGTAGACAAAATGAACACTGACACCATGCCACTGCTTAACCACTTTACATTTAGTTGGAAGTGAAAAAATGAACTCCTTTTACATGCAAATAATTTGAGAAAAACATTGATTCAAATTCTTCTTATACCAGGTTTGGCTTTGGAAACATGAAAGGAGAGGCAGAACCAAGACGCCCGGTGAGTGGGCCCGGTGGCAGGGCTGGATGCACCCCACCCCGAATCCGGGAATTCACCACGCAGAGCACCAGGACATTGAGGAATGTGAGTGATGGATCCAGTATTATTTAATCTTTAAGAAATTCCAGTCCTGAAATAAACCCTTATGTATGGTCACATGATCTTCAACAGGGTGTCAAGACCATTCAATGGGGAAAGGACAGTCTTTCAACAAATGGTGTCACAACAACTGGATATCCACCTGCAAAAATATAAAGTTGGACTCTTACCTAACACCGTATACAAATTAACTCAAAATAAAAGACCTAAATGTGAGAGCTAAGACTATAAAACTCTTAGAAGGAAACACAGGGGAAAAGCTTCATGACATTGGATGTGGCAATCATCTCTTGGATACGATACCAAAAGCATGGGCAGCAAAAGAAAAACAGACACATTAGACTTCGTAAAAATTCAAAACTTCTGGCTCGGTGCAGTGCTCACGCCTGTGGTCCCAGCACTTTGGGAGGCTGAGGTGGGTGGACCACTTGAGCCCAGGAACTCAAAACCAGCCTGGGCAACAAAGCAATACCTCATCTCAACTAAAAATACACAAAATTAGCTGGGTGTGGTCCCTGTGCCTGTGGTCCCAGCTACTTGGGATAGCTGAGGTGGGAGGATGGCTTGAGCCTGGGAAGTTGAGGCTCAAGTGAGCTGAGATCGTCCAACTGCACTCCAGCCTGAGCAACAGAGTGAAACCCTGTCTCTAAATAAATAAATAAAAACTTTTGTGCTTCAAAGGATACTATCAACAGAGGCAACCCAGAGAATGAGGGAAAATATTTTTAAATCATATACCTGATAAGGTGTTAATATCTAGAATACATATATTCTATATTCTCTCTATACATATTCTCTATATATCCATATTCTCTATATATCCTAGTTATTGGAATATGTAAAAAAAAAAAAAAAAAACAACTACAACTCAGCAAATCAAACAAACAGGTTAAAAAATGGATAAAGGGCCGGGTATGGGCCCGGCGTGGTGGCTCACGCCTGTAATCCCAGCATTATGGGAGGCCGAAGAAGGTGGATCACTAGGTCAGGAGATCGAGACCACCCTAGTCAACATGGCGAAACCCCGTCTCTACTAAAAATACAAAAAATTAGCCGGGCGTGGTGGCGGGTGCTTGTAGTCCCAGCTACTTGGGAGGCCGAGGCAGCAGAATTGCTTGAACCCAGGAGGCAGCGGTTGCAGTGAGCCGAGACCATATCACTGCACTCCAGCCTGGGCGACAGAGTGAGACTACATCTCAAAAAAAAAAAAAAAAGGAAAATGGATAAAGGACCTATGTATCTATATTCTCTATATATTCTAGTTGTTAGAATATGTTAAAAAAAACTCAGCAAAAAGAAACACAATCTGATTAAAAAATGGACAAAGGACCTATATATCTATATTCTATATAGTTATTAGAATATATTTAAGAAACTCCTACAACTCAACAAAACAACCCCAATCTGATTAAAAATGGACAAAGGACTTATATAAACATTTCTCCGAAGAAGATATACAGATGGCCCACAAGCACGTGAAAAGGTGCTCCATGTCACTGATCCTGAGGGAGGCAGACAAGGACCACGTTGAGACACCACCACACACCCTCTAGGACGGCTACTATCAACGCGCACACACGGAAAATAAGCGTTGGTGAGGATGTGGAGGAATTGGAGCCTTGTGCATTGAGGGTAAAAATGTAAAATGCTGGAGGCACTATGGGAAACAGTATGGTAATTCCTCAAAAAACGAAATATAGAATTACCATGGGCTCCAGCAATTCCACTGCTGGGTATAAATCCACGAGAACTGAAAACAGGGTCTCAAAGCCATGTCTGCACACCCATGCTCACAGCGACATTATCCACAACAGCCACGAGGGGGAAGCAACAGTGTGTCCCTCCACAAACGGGCATTCTCATGATCAAAATGTGGCGTCTGCATACAGTGGAATGTTATCCAGCCTTTAACAGGAGGGGGCTCCTGTCACAGCTACAGCATGGAGGAACCCTGAGGACACTATGCTCAGTGAAGTAAGCCAGTCACAAAGGACAAATATTGTATGAGGTACTTAGAGTAGTGGGACTCAGAGACAGAAAGAGCTGCCAGGGGCAGGGGAGTCCCCGCTTCATGGGTGCAGTGTTTCAGTTTTGCAACATGAAGAATTCTGGAGGTTGGAGGGTGGCGATGGCTGTACAAAAATGTGAATATATTTAATGTCACTGAACTGTACACTTAGAAATGGTTAAGATGGTAAGAGTTATGTGTACTGACTACAATTATTTTAAAGAAGAGTGTATCATTTTTACATTTCTAAGGTCTCATTAACAAAAGAAGGTTAAGTCCATGACTGATGCTGCCATCATCAGCAACAGGACGTGCGCCAAGTTTTCCTGGTGGCACCACCCCAGCCTGGCCTGTGACAAGGGGCCTGCAGAGAGTCAGGCACACCGGATTTTCTTTCAGGCCAAACAGAAGAGCAAGGGTTTCCCCAAATTCGAGAGCACGGGGCTGGGAAGAAGAGCCAAGCGCCAGCAGTGTCCTCACACCTGCTCCTCCTGAGATGCACCCCCCACCGCCCCCCACCCCATGTGACCTCTGCTCCGGCAGCAGCCTGTCCTGTGCCCTTCCATGGGATGACACCCAGGACGGCGTCTGCCCCCCACCTGCGCAGGCACGCCTGCATTAGAGGGTCACCTTCTCACATCTGGGACTGAAGATGTGTGTGGGCAGAACGCAGCGTTTGTAATCGTGTGAACGGAAGACACAAACGGCCGGTGGCGGCCACCCAGGATGGTACTGGGACCCGGTCACCACGGCGCTGCTGTGCCCTTCCTTGGTGCCCCGGCCTGAGATGCTGCCTAACTTGGACTTGGTGCTTCTTGGTCTTTGCTTGTCCTGATGGCTGTGCCCCGTGTGTGGCCCTGAGCCACACTGCTGCGTGTTCCGTGTTTTGAACTTGACACCGACGATGCTGTGAGACTTCTCTGCTGACGTGCAGCCAAGTCTGCCTCTGTCCCCATGTGCAGCTGGGCCCCCTTCACCTGGTGTCCCGTCAGATACACTGCATGCAGCCACTGACGGGGTGTGGATGTGTATCGGCTCCCAGGCTGGCTACTAAATGGTGCTGCTGTCGCTGTCACCTCTCCTGAGCCGCACAGGCAGGTGTTTCGTTGGAACAATCCCAGGAGCAGATGCCCGTGCACACAGCAGCACCTCCCAAGTGCCGGTGACAAGGTCATCCTGCCAGCAGCGAACATGAGTCCCTGCTGATCTTTATCCCGCCAACTTGATATGGTCAAATTTTAACACTTCTGCTGCCTGGCAGGTATAAGGCAGCAGCATCTCATTGTGGCTTTAATTTGCTTCAACCTGACCATACAGGTGGGCACCTTTTATGATTCCTCCTTTTCAAATCTTTGTCACATTTTCTATTAGCTGCTGGTCCTTTCCTTACTGATTCGTAGGAGTAAGTGATATATTCTGAAAACTAAAGCATACATTAAGCCATATCGGTCGTGGAATGATAAGCATTACTGGAATGTGGACATGACTGTGCCTGTGATGTAAGCTTCAGGAAACTATAGTGTAAGGCATGTATGTATAGTATGTGGATAAATGGATATGCCATATACACACACACACATACATATACATATATGTGTGGATTATGTATGTACATGTGCATTAATGGGTTTCAAGTTCTCTAAAAGAAAAAGTGTAACTAGACAAAAAAACTATTAAGGCTGGGTGTGGTGGCTCACATCTGTAATCCCAGCACTTTGGGAGGCTGAGGCGGGCAGATCGCCAGGTCAGGAGTTCGAGACCATCCTGGCCAACATGGTGAAAACCCCGTCTCTATTAAAAATACAAATATTAGCTGGGCGTGGTGGCGTGCGCCTGTAGTACCAGCTACTCGGGAGGCTGAAGCAGGAGAATCACTTGAACCCGGGAGGCGGAGGCTGCAGTGAGCCGAGATTGCACCACTGCACTCCAGCCTGGAGACAGAGTGAGACTCCATCTCAAGAAAAAACAACAACAACAAACAAACAAACAAAAAAACCCCACGCTGCTTACTATGTATAGTTCAAATAAAAAACATAAAAGGTAGATTTTTTATTTTTTTTATTTTTTTGAGATGGAATCTCTGTCGCCCAGGCTGGAGTGCGATGGCACCATCTGCGCTCACTGCAACCTCCGCCTCCCGGGTTCAAGTGATTCTCCTGCCTCAGCCTCCTGAGTAGCTGGGACTACTGGCACGTGCCACCACACCTAATTTTTCTTTTTCTTTTCTTTTTTTTTTTTTTTTTTTGAGACAGAGTTTCGCTCTTATTGCCCAGGCTGGAGTGCAATGGCACGATCTTGGCTCACCACAACCTCCACCTCCCGGGTTCAAGTGATTCTCCTGTCTCAGCCTCACGAGCACTGGGATTACAGGCATGCGCCACCACACCCAGCTAATTTTGTATTTTTAGTAAAGACGGGGTTTCTCCATGTTGGTCAGGCTGGTCTCAAACTCCCAACCTGAGTTGATCCACCTGCCTTGGCCTCCCAAAGTGCTGGGATTACAGGCGTGAGCCACTGCGCCTGGCCCTACACCTGACTAATTTTTGTATTTTTAGTAGAGATGGGGTTTCACCATGTTGTCCAGGCTGGTCTCAAATTCCTGGCCTCAAGTGATCTGCCTGCCCCGGCTTCCCAGAGTGCTGGGATTACAGGAGTGAGCCACCGCGCCCAGACTAAAAGTTACATTTTTAAAAAAGAGGTGACTTAAGATTTCATAGAAACCAACTTTTTGTAAAACTATGATAAGCCAAATACTTGGACCAGCCCTCCCACTGAGAAGTACCAAAAATGCTGACAAAATAAAAGGATGTTTTCTTAAAGGCATCCAGGGGCTGACAAGACAGTGAGGAGCCGCCAGGCACCATCTGGGGAAACCAGAAACCAGAGAGGCGAGCCAAGCCGCTCTTGCCCTGAAAACATCTGCCCCCATCCAGCCACCCCGGGCTTCCGATGAGAACTCTAAGGCTGGTCCCCACCCCACAGAGCAGTGATCATAGGACAGCCCTCACAGGACTTATGGCCCAAATTCACACCAGTGAGAAGATTCCAAAAGCTCACAGTTGATGGATTTAGTTTAAATTGGCTTTAGGCTGACAGCGCCCTGAGGTACCTGGCAGAAGGAAGCGTAAACCTAGTTTGGAGGAAGCATCTTTATCCTAGATCTGAAAAATTCCCACAAAGTCATTTTTCCAGGACAATGAGTAATGCAGTCAAAAGTAACCACACATTCACAGAAACAATGCCCCATGAGCAAGGACAGAAAAGGCCAGCAGCAGGACCAGATCCAGAGACTCAACATCTCAAAGACCTGAGGCAGACCATGAGGCTCCTCCACTTACCTGTACTCACGGAGGGAACCGATGAGCTTGAGAGTATATGTAACCAACAGCAAACGAGAAAAAAAATGACCTTGCAGAAAAACAGGTGTAGACATTCTAGAAATAAACAGCATTCAGCCCAATGGGTTTAACAGGAATAGGAGAATAAAAAGAGAATACCTACACTGAAGATACGTCAGAATAAATTATGCTGAATAAAGAAGAGCGAGAGGCCGGGCGCGCTGGCTCACGCCTGTAATCCCAGCACTTTGGGAGGCCGGGGCTGGGGGGGCGGGGGGCGGATCACAAGGTCAGGAGTTCGAGACCAGCCTGGCCAACACGGTGAAACCCCGTCTCTACTAAAAATACAAAAATTAGCCGGGCGTGGTGGTGTCTGCCTGTAGTCTCAGCTACTCAGGAGGCTGAGGCAGGAGAGTTGCTTGAACCCGGGAGGCGGAGGTTGCAGTGAGCTGAGATTGCGCCACTGCACTCCAGCCTTGGGTAACAGAGCAATAGTCCGTCTCAAAAAAAAAAAAAAAACAAAAAAACAGTGAGGAAGGTGGAAATATGAGTCTTAAACTAAGAGATGTGAAGCAGGGAGAGATGACATTTATTTGGATTTCAGAAGGTTGAGGCAAGAAGAAAATGGGGTAGAGGCGCTTTGTGAATAATTGATGATTGTGGATTCTCCAGAATTAAGGAAAAGCTACTAATCCACAGACTTAAAAAGCCCAACAGTCCTAAAGCAGGATAAATAAAAATAAAGCCACAGCTAGACAAATAATGAAACTGCAAAACACCAAAGATAAAGGGGAAAAAAGTCTTAAAAGTGTCCAGAGGAAGGAAAAATGACCTGTTCAACAGAACAAGCTCCCAGGTAAAACAAGAGCCCAAAAGGCAGCAGAGAAAGGGACAATTATGATTCTGAAAGATAATAACTGATATCTCAGATTTTACATTCAGTGAAAATATCTTTCAAGAAGTGGGGCAAAGGCTGGACATAGTGGCTCACACTTGTCATCCCAGCACTTTGGGAGGCCAAGGCAGGAGGATTGCTTGAGCCCAGGAGTTTGAGACCAGCCTGTGCAACAGTGAGACCCTGTCTCTACGCAAAAAAAGTGTTTTTCAATTAGCCAAGTGTGGCGTCACGTGTCTGTGGTCCCAGCTACTAGGGAGGCTGAAGTGGGAGGATTGCTTGAGCCCAAGGGGTCGAGGCTGCAATGAGCAGAGATTGTGCCACTGGACTTAGCCTAGGTAATGAGTGAGACTCTGTCTCAAAAAAAAAAAAAAACAAAAACAAAACAACAACAACAACAACAAAGAGTCTGAGTCTGGGTGCAGTGGCTCATGCCTGTAATCCCAGCACTTTGGGAGGCCAAGGCGGGTGGATCATGAGGTCAGGAGATGGAGACCATCCTGGCTAACACAATGAAACCCCATCTCTACTAAAAATACAAAAAAAATTAGTGGGGCGTGGTGGTGGGCACCTGTAGTCCCAGCTACTTGGGAGGCTGAGGCAGGAGAATGGCGTGAACTCAGGAGGTGGAGCTTGCAGTGAGCTGAGATCGCACCACTGCACTCCAGCCTGGGCAACAGAGCGAGGCTCCATCAAAAAAAAATAATAATATAAATAAATAAATAAAAGAAAAAAGACTGGCATAAGATACAAAAACAGGTCAATGTGACATGAAAGAGAGCCCGGAAACAGACCACAGGTGGATACAGACAGCACAGAGGAGCTCTGCAGCGCCTGGAGAACAGTTCCCAGGGGAATACTGCTGGACCAAGCACATCTGCAGGAGAAGAGAAACCAAGCTGAATCCGATTTCATTAACAAAATCAACAGTTCATCACATTTATCAACAGAGATGACTTCATCTAGCAGGAATTTTGTGGAGGAAATTTCTGTACAAAGGTATACACGTGTAAATACACACACACACACACACACACCATCTTCTAAATGAAGTCCATTTCTTTCTCCAATATTATGTTAAAGAATTTCTGAAAAAGTCTGCCTATATTGGATATTCCTGATGGGTGATTTCCCCAAACCTTAAACTCTTTTTCTTACTAGCTGCTATTAAGTCATCTTGTGCCAATCCTGAAATTTTCTCTTGGGTTTCTTAGAATCAAGAAGACCTCACATTTAGCGTTAACACAGTACATTTTATTAGATCTTATCTATTGCCCTGAACTACTGGGCCCTTCATGAATCTGAACCCTGCCATCTCTTCCATCTGGCATCTCTTCCATGAAACTTGCTGACATGCCCTGGGGAGGTCATGGGGACAGGTATCAGCTCGGCCACCACCCTCCAGGAGCCCAGCACCACTTCCACCTCTGCTCTCCTGTCCACATGTCCCACACGGTGCACGAGGATGTCATGTGACAACTTGTCAGTAGCTCATTCAAATCCATGCATGTTGCACCAGTTCATGGAAGGAAGCGTTCTGACTTCACTTCTTACTGAACTCATGTTCAATCTCTGTGATATTTTCAACTAAGTTTCTTGTTACTAAAATGAGACTTAAATTAATAAACTTTCATTTCTCTCTTCTTTCCCTGGACTTCCCTTTAACAAAGATACTAAGAATATGAAGTGAAGCAGCTAAGAGAGAGACAGGAAACTTATTCACAAACTGGGTATTCAGGTCTCTAGCGTTCAGAATCCCTGCTCCAAGTGACTCAAGTAGAGAGCTACAGAAACTGCCCTTCACTTTGTTCATCATTTTAAAATAAGTAGTATCAGCCAGGGGCGGTGACTTATGCCTGTAATCCCAACACTTTGGGAGGGTGAGGCAGGAGGATCACTTGAGGTCAGGAGCTCGAGACCAGTCTGGACAACATGGCGAAACCCCGTCTCTATTGAAAATACAAAAATTAGCCAGGCGGCCGGACGCGGTGGCTCACGCCTGGAATCCCAGCACTTTGGGAGGCCCAGGCGGGTGGATCATGAGGTCAGGAGTTCAAGACCAGCCTGGCCAAGATGGTGAAACCCGTCTCTACTAAAAATACAAAAATTACAGCGCACCTGTAATCCCAGCTACTCAGGAGGCTGAGGTGGGAGAATCGTTTGAACCTGGGGGGCGGAGGTTGCAGGGAGCCAAGATCGCACCACTGCACTCCAGCGTGGGTGACAGAGCGAGACTCCATCTCAAAAAAAAAAAAAAAAATTAGCCAGGCGTGGTGGTGAGTGCCTGTAATCCCAGCTACTTGGGAGGCTGAGGCAGGAGAATCACTTGAACCTGGGAGGCAGAGGTTGCAGTGAACTGACATAGCACCAATGCACTCTAGCCTGGGTGACAGAGCGAGACTCTGTATCAAAAAAAAAAAAAAAAAAAAAGCAGTATCACTTTTTTGTGTGTGAGACAAGGTCTCAGTCTGTTGCCGAGGCCGGAGTGCAGTGGCATGGTCACACAGCTCACTGCAGCCTTGACCTCCTGGGCTCAAGCAATCCTCCCAGCTCAGCCTCCCAAGTAGCTGACACTACAGGCCCATGCCACCACGCCTGGCTAATTTTTTTGTTGTAGAGATGGGGTCTCACTTTGTTACCCAAGCTGGTCTCAAACGCCTGGGTTCAAGTGATCTAACCGCCCCAGCCTCCCAAAGTGCTGGGATTACAGGCATCAGCCACCACACCTGACTGCGATTTTTTGAGACAGTCTCACTCTGTCACCCAGGCTGGAGTGCAATGGCATGATTTCGACTCACTGCAGCCTCCACCTCCTGGGTTCAAGCAATTTTCCTGCCTCAGCCTCCTGAGTAGCTGGGCCTACAGGCATGCACCACCATGCCCAGCTAATTTTGTATTTTTAGTAGAGATGGGGCTTCACCATGTTGGCCAGGCTGGTCTCAAACTCCTGACCTCACATGATCCACCCGCCTTGGCCTCCCACCCACCACGGCTTCCCAAAGTGCTGGGATTATAGGCATGAGCCACCATGCCTGGCCGATTTTGTTTTTTTTTTTTTTTTTGAGAGTCTTGCTCTGTCACTCAGACTGGAGTGCAGTGGTGTGATCTCAGCTTACTGCAAACCCTGCCTTCTGGGTTCAAGCAATTCTCCTGCCTCAGCCACCAGAGTAGCTGGGACTACAGGTGCACACCACCACACCCAGCTAATTTTTTTGTATTTTTAGTAGAGATGGTGTTTCACCATGTTGGCCAGGCTGGTCTCAAACTCCTGGCCTCAAGTGATCTGTCTGCCTCAGCCTCCCAAAGTGCTGGGATTACAGGTGTGAGCCACTGTACCTGGCCAACATTTTGGGTTTTTTGGGGGGGGGAGGGGAGGACAGAGTCTCGCACTGTTGCCCAGGCTGGAGTGCAGTGGCACAATCTCAGCTCAGTGCAACCTCCGCCTCCTGGGTTCAAGCCTCAGCCTCCTGAGTAGCTGGGATTACAGGCGTGTGCCACCACGCCCGGCTAATTTTTTTTGTGTGTATTTTTAGTAGAGATGAGGTTTCACCATGTTAGCCAGGATGGTCTAAATCTCCTGACCTCGTGATCTGCCCGCCGCAGCCTCCCAAAGTGCTGAGATTACAGCAGTGAGCCACCATGCCCAGCCTTTTTTTCTTTTTTTTTTTTTTTTGAGACAGAGTCTCGTTCTGTCACTCAGGCTGGAGTACAGTGGCGTGATCTTGGCTCACTGCAACCTCCACCTCCTGGGTTCAAGCGATTCTCCTGCCTCAGCCTCCTGAGTAGTTTGGATTACAGGTGCACATCACCATGACTGGCTAATTTTTATATTTTTAGTAGAGAAGAGGTTTCGCCATGTTGGCTAGGCCGGTCTCCAACTCCTGACCTCAAGTGATCCACCTGCTTTGGCCTTCCAAAGGGCTGGGATTACAGGCCTGAGCCACTGTGCCCGGCCCAACATTTTTTTTTCTTTAATTGCTGTTTGTCCTGAACACATTTTAAGTGGACAGAACATTGTAGACTCTCGGTACAATGGACAGCAGATCTCTAGGGCTCGTTCATCTTCCTTACCTGAAACTTTATGCCTGTGGATTAATAAATTCCCATTTCCTCCTCCACCAAGCCCCTGGCAGCTACCATCCTGATGTTTGATTCCATGAATTTGACTTCTCTAGATACCTCATGTAAGCAGAATCATGCAGTGTTTGTCCATACCTGGCTTATTTCACTGAGCACATAATGTCTTCAAGGTACATCCATGTTGTTGCCTACTACAGAATTCCCTTGTCTTTTTTTAAGGCTAAATAGTAGTCCATAAAGAGAACATGGTATACACATACAGGGAAAGCACTTCAAAAAGTGGCCATTTGGCCAGCGCGGTGGCTCATGCTTGTAATCCCAGCACTTTCGGAGGCCAAGGCAGGCAGATCACAAGGTCAGGAGTTCAAGACCAGCCTGGCCAATATGGTGAAACCCCATCTCTACTAAAAATACAAAATTAGCCAGATGTGGTGGCACGTGCCTGTAGTCCCAGCTACTTGGGAGGCTGAGGCAGAAGAAATGCTTGAACCCTGGAGATGGAGGTTGCAGTAAGCCGAGATCACGCCACTGCACTCCAGCCTGGGCAACAGAGTGAGACTCGTTCTCAAAAAAACCCCAAAACCAAAAAACACCTGTCTCTACTAAAAATACAAAAAAATAGCCAGGCATGGTGGTGCATGCCTGTAATCCCAGCTACTTCAGGGGGCTGAGCCAGGAGAATCACTCGAACCTGGGAGACGGAGATTGCAGTGAGCCGACATCGTGCCACTGCATTCCAGCCTAGGCAACAGAGTGAGACTCTGTCTCGGGGGCAAAAAAAAAACAAAACAAGTGGCCATTTGCCAAGGGTTTTGTTTATTTTGAATTTCTAAATGCCATGAATGCCTAACTGCAGATCATCTTTTGGGAGAAAACGCAAGCCCCCACCCCACAGTCCGTAACCTCTGGGGCCAACACTGGTGCACATCGCTTGTCCTTCCACAAAGGACACCTGTGTTAGGAGTAAGAGCACAGGAAGTGAGGACCCTGGGCAGGAAGGGGTGGCAACGACTTCTGGGGGATTATTTTTTTTTAATTAATTTTTTTTTAAATATGCTGCCCAGGCTGGAGTGCAGTGGCTATTTACAGGCACGATGCCACTACTGATCAACATGGGAGTTTTGACCTGCTTTGTTTTCAACTTAGGCCTGTTCACCCCTCTTTAGGCAACCTGGTGGTCCCCTGCTCCTGGGAGGTCACCATATTGATGCCTAACTTAGTGTGGACAACTGAACTGCATAGCACATTACAGCCCAGAACTCCTGGGTTCAAGCGATCTCCCCACCTCAGCCTCCCGAGTTGCTGGGACTACAGCAGTGAGTGGTGCGCCTGGCAGGGGATTTTATTTAATTAATTGTTTTTTTGAGACAGAGTCTCACTCTGTCATCCAGGCTGGAGTGCAGTGGCGTGATCTCGGCTCACTGCAGCCTCTGCCTCCTGTGTTCAAGCGATTCTCCTGCCTCAACCTCCCAAGTAGCTGGGACTACAGAAGTGCACACTGCACCTGGTGGGGGATTTTAGTTAATATTTTTTGAAACAGAGTCTCACTCACTCTGTCATCCAGGCTGGAGTGCAGTGGCGCGATCTCGGTTCACTGCAGTCTCTGCCTCCTGGGTTCAAGCCATTCTCCTGCCTCAGCCTCCAGAGTAGCTGGGATTACAGGTGCAGGCCATTACATTCAGCTAATTTTTGCATTTTTAGGAGAGACAGGGTTTTGCCATGTTAGCCAGGTTGGTCTCAAACTCCTGACCTCAGGTGATCCACCACCTCAGCCTCCCAAAGTGCTAGGATTACAGGTGTGAGCCACTGTGCCTAGCTGGAATTTTATTTTATTTTAATTAATTTTTTTTTTTTTGAGACGGAGTCTCATTCTGTTCCCCAGGCTGGACTCACTGCAACCTCTGCCTCCCAGGTTCAAACGATTCTCCTGCCTAAGCCTCCTGAGTAGCTGGGTCTACAGGTGCACGTCATCACGCCCAGCTGATTTTTTGTATTTTTAGTAGAGACAGGGTTTCACCATGTTGGCCAGGCTGGTCTCCAACTCCTGACCTCAGGTGATCCACCCGCCTTGGCCTCCCAAAGTGCTGGGATTACAGGTGTGAGCCACCACGCCTGGCCTGGGATTTTATTTTTTAAGCTGCTGTTGGGTATACACATGTCCATTTTATTAATCTTCATTTCTCATCTGTACGTACCATGTATGTCTTGAGATGGCAAAAGGATCTTCCATTGAGTGAAAAGTGAGTCTCCCATCCCAGAGCCCCAGTCCCACTCCAGGGACAGCACAGCAGCAGTTCCTCTTGACCTCAGGAACATTCCACAGGCACAGGCTCCGTGTACCTCCTTCAAACCTCATCACACTCTGCTTAAATAATTTAGTATTTTGTAATTATGAAATAGTTCATTAAGGCTGGGCATGGTGGCTCACACCTATAATCTCAGCACTTTGGGAGGCCAAGGCAGGCAAATCATGAGGTCAGGAGTTTGAGACCGGCCTGGCCAACGTGGTGAAACCCCATCTCTACTAAAAATACTAAAATTAGCCATGCGTGGTGGCGGGCACCTGCAATCCCAGCTACTCAGGAGGCTGAGGCAGGAGAATAGCTTGAACTCGGGAGATGGAGGTTGCTGTGAGCCATGATCGCACCACTGCACTCCAGCATGGGTAACAAAGCAAGACCTCATCCTGGGGGGAAAAAAATAGTTCATTAAAAAATTTTTTTCTTTTTTTTTTTTTTTGTTTTTGTTTTGAGACAGGGTCTCACTCTGTTGCCCAGGCTGGAGTGCAGTGGCATAATCTCAGCTCACTGCAACCTCTGCCTTCCGGGTTCAAGTGATTCTTGTACCTCAGCCTCCCAAGTAGCTGGGATGACAGGTGTGCGCCACCACACTTGGTTCATTTCTGTATTTTTTGTAGAGACAAGGTTTCACTATGTTGCCCAGACTGGTCTCAAACTCCTGGCTCGGGCCATCCACCCACCTTGGCCTCCCAAAGTGCTGGGATTAGAGGCATGAACCATTGCACCAGCCTAAGAAAATAAAATTTTATTTTACTTTTTCTTTCTTTTTTTTTTTTGAAATGGACTTTCGCTCTTTCCGCCCAGGCTCGAGTGCAATGGTGCAATCTCGGCTCACTGCAACCTCTGCCTCCCGGGTTCAAGTGATTCTCCTGCCTCAGCCTCCCAAGTAGCTGGGATTACAGGCATGTGCCATCATGCCCGGCTAATTTTATATTTTTTTAGTAAAGATGGGCTTTCACCATGTTGTCCAGGCTGGTCTCGACCTCCTGACCTCAAGTGACCCACCTGCCTCAGCCTCACAAAGTGTTGGGATTACAGGCATGAGCCACCATACCTGGCCCTAAAATGGTAATTTTTTTTTTTTTTTTTGAGACGGAGTCTCACTCTGTCGCCCAGGCTGGAGTGCAGTGGTGCAATCTCGGCTCAATGCAAGCTCCATCTCCCGGGTTCATGCCATTCTCCTGCCTCAGCCTCCCAAGTAGCTGGGACTACAGGCACCCGCCACCACACCCGGCTAATTTTTTGTATTTTTTGTATTCTTTGGTAGAGACAGGGTCTCACTATCTTGCCTCGGCTGGTCTCGATCTCCTGACCTCATTATCCGCCTGCCTCGGCCTCCCAAAGTGCTGGGATTACAGGTGTGAGCCACTGTGCCCAGCCTAAAATGATAAAATTTTAAAGTCACTTGGGTGGTTTTATTAAATCTAGATGGTAGAAAAAAAATCACTGACTAGTGTCCTGGCCCCTGAAAGGCACTTAAATATCTAGGGAATGAATATGTATCAGGGGAATCCTCACACGGAGACAGCAAAAGTAAATGGGGGTTGAAACATCACTACTGCGGCCGGGTGCAGCAGCTCACGCCTGTCATCCCAGCACTTTTGGAAGCCAGGGCAGGAGGATCACTTGAGCCCAGGAGTTCGAGACCAGCCCAGGCAAGATAGTGAGACCCTGTCTCTACCAAAGGAAAAAAAAAAAAAAATAGCCGGGCACGGTGGCACATGCCTGTGGTCCCAGCTACTCCAGAGGCTGAAACTGGAGGATTGCTTAAGCCGGGGAGGTCGAGGCTATGGTGAGCCGTGATGGTGCCCCTGCACTCCAGCCTGGGCAACAGACCGAGACCGTGTCCAAAAAAAGAAACATCAGTACTTGATATGAGAAATGGCCACTAAACACTGGTAAGCTTGTTAAAAACATGGACCCATGGGCACCAAGGAGTCTCTGCGGGCAGGGGCCGTGGGGTGCGGGCAGCTGCAGATTCACCTCACCCAGACCCACATGTCCCCAGGGTCTAGGACCATGGTCCCCAAAGAGCAGTGCACAAGCCAGGGCCCTGCCAGCGCTGTCCAGGAAGGACCAGCCGCAGCCTGCTGTGGCCCCAAGCTGGTCCCAGAAGGTTCCAGGAAGGAATCTCATCTATTCAGGCGCAAGGCCCCCAGAATGACAAGAATGTTGCCAAAGACAGGCGTTTGCCCTTTACATCATGCATCTGCACCTTAGGGTCGGCAAATTCTCAGGCCGTTGAATTCTCACAACATCCTGAGAAATAGGCATCCCTGCCCGCTAGCGGCCACCACAGTCCCACAGGCGGGTACTCAATCCAGAGCACAGGTGCTCTCCGCTCTCGGTCCCACCTGGCCTGAGAGGGAGGAGCATCAGCGGAGGACAGTCCAGTCCCCAGGAGGGAGGGGACCCTCTGACCACCAGTGTTCCAGGCAGGAGGAAGCGGTGCGTCCCCATCAGGGTCCTGTGTTACCCCAGGGTCCTCCATGCTGTAACTGTTCTCTATTTGCTCAAAGCCTGTAACTCTCAGTGGAGATACCACCCCTGGTGGCTGTAGCCCAGCCTGCTGCCCTCCCTTGCTGGCCCCTTCCTGCACCTGGGCTGTCCCCACAGCAAGTGCCACTGGCTGAGCCTCCCAGCTGTGAGGCAGACAGATGCAGCGACAAGCTCAGATCTCAGCTCTCGCCTCCACCTTGTGGTTTCTCTGAGTGTCACACATCCCCAGTGGGATGCAGAGGACGCTACTAACTCTTCCTGGACCAGAGTGCCTAGGGCTCTGCAGAGTAAACACTGAGGGCACCGCTAATTACAAAAAGCCTTGTTTCCAACCAAAACAGGCTTGCTGTTTCCCAAGCACACTTCGCATGGGCTTTATTTGGAGACCTTCATTATACAGCCCCGCCCCCAAGGCAATCTTACCTGAAGAGCCTGCTGCCCTGGGTCCCAAATGTCCCCCAAGTCCCTGTCCCTGTCTCCTGCCTTGAGTCTGGTCACTGCACAGATGCCTCCCGTGCGCTTCATGTGGTCTCAGTCCTGATGGCAACCCTTGTCACTAGCCCTCAAAGGGGTCCTGGCAGTAGTGGCCAGGGCTGTATTTGTGGTCACTGAGAGGCATGTCATGTTAAGTTTTAACTTGGCTTTAAATGACAGATCCACTGTTGCACTGGGGAACCCATGGCCAAGTTTGGAAACAACCAATGTAAATGGGCTTTTACAAGATCTATTGGCAAATAAGGAACCACCCTGAAGTAAGTAACTGAAAGGAAAATGCTGGGCAATTCACCAGGAAAATCATCTCCACTCTCGGACACTGTGTGTCCCCACGTTTGGAGGGCAGCTGCCATCCATCCCCCCAAATAGACATTAATGTGGGGTATGTTTTTAGAGCAAAAACAATTTTCTGGAATCCAGAAATTTCTCTCCTAAAATAAGCCTGTAAAATTATTTTAAGAGAATGTGAATCAGGCCCATGTCCATATGGTGCCGGTAGCACACTTCTAAAGACAAACACACTGAGGAAGCAAACAAAACCAAGCAGCTTCTGACACTTCATGGGATGGAGTGCAGACTGGGGTGCCCCCTTCACTTTTTCAACCACCCCACTGGGTCGTCGCCCCATCCCTGGGGCACCTGTGTAGAGGACAGCCTGTTCCCCTCAATCCCCAGGCTGCTCCACCTACCCCCTGGCACTGCCACCACCTGGCAGGTGAGTGTGGGTCCCATCCCCATTACTTCCCCGGGGAGCCCTCCAGGGTGTCCCGAGATGGAAAGGAGGCCTCAGGCAGATACGGAAGCCAGTGCGTCAGGGTCAGAGGCTGCAAAGCTGGAGGAGAACTGGGGCGTCTGCTGGGCGTGGCGATGAAGGGGCTGGTGTGCCAGGTGGACAGAATGCCAGGGAGAGCGGGGAAGGAACAGTGCTCATGTGGCCCCGCCATGTTCAGCCAGGATTCATAAAGAAAGTGGAACCAGGATATCATGGTCCACCTCTTTAGGGAGGAGAGGGATGAGCGGTGAGAGGTGGTGGTGTCACCTGCCCGGCCAGCCGTCCCCACAGCTTCTCCACCTCCGCTCCCACTCGGCCACCCCTTCCTTCCCCTCCTCTCCATGGAGGAGGCCTCCCTGCTTTTAGCTTTGCCTCTCCCACCCCTCACTGGCAAGGCACCGTCCTTGGGATTAGAAAGATGAAAAGGCCACCGCCATCACGGAGGGAATGGACAACGGATAAAACCACCAGCTCCTGGAAAAGGACGTGCAGCGGCTCCCAGAGCCTTGGCAAGCCAACACCAGCCCTGTCCTACACTGCTCACCATACAAGAATCGCACGATTAACAGCAGTTCTAAGAGATGCGTGTCCTTATTAGCCCCACGATGCACATGGGGAAACCGAAGTCCAAAAAGGTTACCTGAGCACCCAAGGTTGCACAGCCAGTGACCTGTGAAGCTGGATTCAAAGCCAGAGTCTCCCCACCTTGGACCACGGTGTCCAAGGTGGAACATGCAAGTAGATGTTCAACTCTGAAGGCACACTCATACTGTCTAACACTTAGCAGGTTGGCAATGATTTTTTTAAAAGTTAGGCCAGGCGTGGTGGCTCACACCTGTAATCCCAGCACTTTGGGAACCCAAGGTGGGTGCATCGCTTGAGTCCAGGAGTTTGAGACCAGCTTGGGCAACATGGTGAAACCCCGTCTCTACAAAAAAATACAAAAGCCCAGGCACACTGGCTCACGCCTGTAATCCCAGCACTTTGGGAGGCCGAGGCGGGTGGATCACCTGAAGTCAGGAGTTCTAGACCAGCCTGGCCAACATGGTGAAACCCCATCTCTACTAAAAATACAAAAATTAGCCGGGCATGGTGGTGTGTGCCTGTAATGCCAGCTACTTGGGAGGCTGAGGCAGGAGAATTGCTTGAACCCAGGAGGCAGAGATTGCAGTTAGCTGAGATTGCGCCATTGTACTCCAGCCTGGGCAACAAGAGCAAAACTCCATCCTGAAGAAAAAAAAAAAAAATTAGCCGGGCATGGTGGTGCATGACTGTGGTGCCAGCTACTTGGAAGGCTAAGGCAGGAGAATCACTTAGGCCCAGGAGGGAGAGGTTGCAGTGAGCCGAGATCACACCACTGCACTCCAGCATTGGTGACAGAGTACGATCTTATCTCAAAAAAAAAGTTGATAAGGTCAGGGGTGGCCCATGCCTGTAATCCCAGTGTTTTGGGAGGCCAAGGTGGGAAGATTACTTGAGGCCAGGAGTTCAAGATCAGCCTGGCCAACACAGCAAGACCCCCATCTCTAAAAAAAAAAAAAAAAATGAGCTGGGTGTGCACCTGTAGTCCCAGCTACTTGGGAGGCTGAGATGGGAGGATCACTTGAGGCCAGGAGGTCAAGGTTGCTGTGAGCCATGATCACACCACTGCACTCCAGGCTGGGCGACAGAGCGAGACAGTCTCTACAAATAATAAATTAAATTTAAAAATTTAAGAAGTTGACAACACCACTGGTGAAGGTGCTCTGTGATCCAGCCATTTGGCAACACCCACAACATTCCTAGGAGCACAGCCCTGGATGGGGGTTCATCTGGGGAGTTCACCTTTGGCTGATGCACATGTGCAAAATAACTGGATAAAAGCAGTTATTACCTGAAATAACAAAATATCATCCTATAATAATACTGCCTGTAATAAAAGATTAGAAACCACCTCAAGTTTAACCAATAGAGGCTAGCACGGTGGCTCACATCTGTAATCCCAGCACTTTAGGAGGCCGAGATGGGCAGATCACCTGAGGTCTGGAGATCGAGACCAGCCTGGCCAACCAACATGGTGAAACCTCGTCTCTACTAAAAATACAAAAATTAGCTCGGTGTGGTGGTGGGCACCTTTAGTCTCAGCTACTAGGGAGGCTGAGGCGGGAGAACTGCTTGAACCCGGGAGGCAGAGGTTGTGGTGAGCCAAGATTGTGCCACTGTACTCCAGCCTGGGCAACAGAGCGAGACTCCTTCTCAACAAAAGCAACAACAACAACAAAGTTTAACCAAAAGAGACTGGCCAAATGCACTGATAAACACACATCAGGGACATTTCCATCATGGGGCTTCCAGAGTCTCGCTCTGTCTCCCAGGCTGGAGTGCAGTAGCACGATCTTGGCTCACTGCAGCCTCCGCCTCCTGGATTCAAGCAATTCTTGTGCCTCAGTCTCCCAAATAGCTGGGACTACAGGCACCTCCCACCATGCCTGGCTAAGTTTGTATTTTTAGTAGAGATGGGGTTTCACCATGTTGGCCAGGCTTGCCTTGAACTCCTGACCTCAAGTGATCCACCCGCCTTGGCCTCCCAAAGTGTTGGGATTACAGGCGTGAGCTACAGCATCTGGCCCACACTGACTATTCAAACTCTCACATAGTACATGAAGTCACAGGTGTGGAAAGGTCTGGAAAAATTTACAACAAAGGGCAACAGCATGGGTACAATTTGCCTTTGGCAATTCCAGCTTCCATCCACACACATCCACTTCCTCCCTACTTGCATTACAGGAGGAAAAGCTCCCCTCCACATTTCAGGAACTGCAGCCTAGGTGCACAATGGGACTCACTGACAGCATCAAACCACCTATATGGCTGCCCTGAGACAAAGCTCCATGGCCCTCTGTAGACTCCCCACCAGCCCCTGCTCTCTGGGGAACCCAAGGGGCCTGGCTCCTCCATTGCCCAGTGGCCCCAGGTGCCTCGGCCCTCCAGGCTCTCTCCTCCATCTCTCCTCCCACCTGTGCTCAAGTACTACCTCTACCACCTCTCCTGAGACTACTGATAATGTGCTTGTACTGAGCGCTTCTTTTCAAAGAACCTGTACTACATTTTTTTTTCTACCATTAGTAACAAAGTTTCCCACAACCAAGGCCCTGGGACACATCCCAGTAGAGGTGCTTTCTTGCTAACAACAAGAAGAGGGGGCTGTGCATGGTGACTCATGCCTGTAATCCCAGCACTTTAAGAGGCCAAGGTGGGAGGATCATCTGAGGTCAGGAGTTCGAGACCAGCCTGGGCAACATGGCGAAAACCCGTCTCTAAAAAAAAATTTAAAAATTAACCAGGTGTGGTGGCACGTGCCTGTCGTCCCAGCTACTCGGGAGGCTGAGGTGATCGCCACTGCACTCCAGCCTGGATGACAGAGTGAGACCCTGTGTCAAAAAAAAAAAAGAAAGAAAAGGGGAGGTGTAGGAACTATGTGCAACACTAGCCTTGTTAGGTTGAAAGAGTGGGTACCACACCCAGAAGACTGGATTGAGATAGAAGAAAAGAGGTTGAGAATCTTAAAAACTACTTTATTTACCCTCATGCTAAATAAAGTCTCATCAGACATTAAAGGCCCTGTCTTGGGGCAAGAGAAGGGGGGAAAAAAAAAAAAAAAAACAGATACACAAAGAGGAACCAGAAAAGGTGAGGGGGAAGCGTTTGGGTGGCGGGGGTATATGCCAATGCTGCTGAGAAGGCAGGTGGCACCACGAGGGAGGGAGTAGGTGAGGTTTGGCAACAGGGATGTCATCACCCCCAGGACAAAGGTGAAAGAGGGTCTGACTTGCTTTGAGAGGCTTCCCAGGCTTTGATGCAAAATGTGCCACGTGTTTGTTGGCTCTGGGACCTGAAGCCAAGTTCTGCTACCTTCTTTGTAAAGTGGGGTAACGTGCAATTTACAGGGCAGTCAGAGTCACATGAGATGTTAAGGGGGATGATCCTTGGGCACAGTTTAGGTGTCTGACCAGGGCCTTACGGCAGGAGCATGTGTCACTGTTACAGGACGGCAGGGGCTCAGCAAGCACCTCACAAGCCCCACCAGGAATCCCGGCCCCGGCCCAAGGCCCTGCAGGTGCCAGAGGGCCTACTGAGCAATGGGGTGAATAACGGCTCCTAACCCCTTTCTGGGGTGTGGGCAACAGTGGTTGGCTCCAGGATTTCCATTTTACTCTCACCTGCCAACAGGTTTTTGGTACTCAGCATCTGTATAGCAGGTGTAACGTCCTGGCATTTGCTGGCGGAATCGATTTCACCCTCTTGACTTCTTTCCTGAATCTATCTCGCACTGCTTGCTCCAAAAACCCTTAGCCCTCTATGTCTTGGCTATTGAGAACTTTCTTCAACCTCCGCTCAAATCTCTTGTCAAAATTCCCACTCCCTAGAGCTTTCACTGATTATTAGATCTAACTACTTAAAAACATTTACGTCAACTTCATTTAACTCTAATGAAAAGCATCACAGAACAGTTTGAAAGCAGGGGGGCTTCTATTGCTTCTTCATATTCAAAACAATTTTGTTTATTAGTCTTCCATGGAGACAAATATGTTAAAACTACAGGGTTGGCCAGGCGCGGTGGCTCACGCCTGTAATCCCAGCACTTTGGGAGGCCGAGGCAGGCGGATCACTTGAGGTCAGGAGATTGAGGCCATCCTGGCCAACCTGGTGAAACCCCGTCTCTATTAAAAATACAAAAATTAGCTGGCTGTTGTGGCGGGTGCCTGTAGTCCCAGCTACTCAGGAGGCTGAGACAGGAGAATCGCTTGAACCCGGGAGGCGGAGGCTGCACTGAGCCGAGATCACGCCACTGCACTCCAGCCTGGCGACAGAGTGGGACTCTGTCTCAAAAATAACAACAACAACAAAAACAAACAAACAAACTGCAAGGTAGGCTGGGCTCACACCTGTAAATCCCAACACATCGGGAGGCTGAGACTGGAGGATCACTTGAGGCCAGGAGTTTGAGATCAACCTGGGCAACACAGTGAGAACCCCAAACCTCATATCTACCAAAAAAAATTTTTTTTTTATATAGCTGGGCATGGTGGTGCACACCCACAGTCCCAGCTACTCAGAAGGCTGAGGCTGTAGGATTGCTTGAGCCCAAGAGGTTGAGGCTGCAGTGAGCTATGATTGTGCCACTGTACCCCAGGCTTGAGTGACAAAGCAAGACTCTGTCTCTCTAATATAACAAAACAAGGCTGGGCACTGTGGCTTACACCTGTAATCCCACCACTTTGGGAGGCTGAGGGGTGGCAGATCATCTGAGGTCAAGAGTTTGAGACCAGCCTGGGCAACATGGTGAAACCCTGTCTCTACTAAAAATACAAAATTAGCTGGGTGTGGTGGCACATGCCTGTAATCCCAGCTACTCGGGAGGCTGAGACAGGAGAATCGCTTAACCCTGGAGGTGGAGGCTGCAGTGAGCCGAGATCATGCCACTGCACTCCAGCCTGGGTGAGACAGAGCGAGACTCTGTCTCAAAAAATAAACAAATAAAGTAACAAAACAAAACTAACTGGGGGTGGTGGCTCACACCTATAATCTCAGCACTTTGGGAGGCAAGGGGGGAGGATCGCTTCAGCTCAGGAGTTTGAGACCAGCAACAGAGTGAGATCCTGTCTCTACAGAAAAATCAAAAAATTAGCTGGGTATGGTGGTGTGTGCCTGTGTTTCCAGCTACTCAGAAGGCAGGTGGATGGCTTGAACCTAGGAGGTTGAGGCTGCAGTGAGTGGAGACAGTGCCATTATACTCCAGCCTGGGTGACAGAATGAGACCTTGTCTCAAAAAACCAATTTGTTTGTTGAAATAAACAAACCAAAACAAACCAACAAAAAAAGAAAGAAAAAAGGAAAAAACCTATAGGGTAGCCTCTTTCCCTTTTCCTGCATCCCTGCCCCTTGACACAGGTGCTGGTGGAACTTAGTGAAGACAGGCAAGAATCAAGAACAGATGTTAGAGGAACACTGCTCTCAACCTAAAGAAAATAGCTTTATGGTGAGGTATAGCAGCTCAAGCCTGTAATCCCAACACTTCAGGAGGCTGAGGCAGGTGGATCACTTGAGCCTAGGAGTTCAAGACCAGCCTGGGAAACATTAAGTGAGACCCCAGTCTCTACAAAAAAAAATGTAAAGTTAACCAGTCATGGTGGTGTGCACCTGTAGTCCTAGCTACATGGGAGGCTGAGGCAAGAGGATCACTTGGGCTCAGGATGTGGAGGTTGCAGTGAGTCGTGTTTGTGCCACTGCACTCCATCCTGAGCAAGAGTGAGACCCTGTCTCAAACAAAGAAACAAACAGAGAAATGGCTTTATAAATTACAGTGATTCAAAGGTGAAAAGGCTTAATACCCACAGTTTAGTGACAAGAATGCACCCAGGTGTTTTTCATATTGGCAAGTGTACCACAGCAGTGTAGGATGGGGTAAGGATAGGGAGCACTGGGTGTAGGATATATTGGGATTGTCTGTACTATCTTTGCAACCTTTATGTAAATTTAAAGTTTTTCCAAAATAAGAAGTTATTTTAAAAGAAGACTATTGCTCAGATTGGTAATTAAGAGCGCTCAGTTATTATATAAATGCTCAATATGGGCCCAACCCGTAGGGGTTCCCACAAGTAGATGAGACTCTACCCTGTAGGGCCCAAGAGGAAACACCATGAAGGTCCTGGAGATCCTCTTATTCCTCAAACATGCCACTACCATTGCCTCGCAAGAGCCCTGAGGGGGACCAGTGCATGATTGTAAGACAAAATGACATCAGGATTAAGCACAGCTCCTGGCACCTGGCAGGGGCTCAGCAAACATTTGTCACATCTATAGCTTGCTCAGGTGAGGTGCCTGGAAAGTCTCCCCAGTGGTGGTAAACCTAGTCTTGGGACCTGAGTAGGGAATTAGGAGTGTCAGGGGCTGGTGGGTGGGAAGAATAACATTCTTAGCAAAGGAAACATCAGGTTAAGGTGGGTATGTTTTAGATAGAGGAAGAAGAAATGCAACGGAACAGAAAAAGCGTGGGGCGGGGAAATTGATGTCTTCCATGTTCATTATCTGCCTAAAATAGAATCTCAGCCTTTTTTCCATCCTTAGAATTCAGCACATAATTTGGACATCAAAGATGTCAATCAGAGCCAAGCATGGGGGAGGCGGACCCTGTTTAGATCTCTGAAGCTCAGGCTTTTGCAATCTCTGTTAACGAAACCTATGCCACAAGTGGTAAATACCGAGGACGCTCCATTTTAGTCATGATCTTTATGTGGCTACTTGAAAAGCTTTTCCGCCTTTCTGATAAACATTCCTAGGAGACCTCTTTTGCCCTCATTTCCTTGCCCAGTTGAGGCTGTATTTTTTAAGGAAGGAAAATCCAAAAATCAGGGATCTTGTCCATTTTCCCTATCTTTTCACGGCGGGGCGGGAGAAGAGGGACAGCGGGGGAGGTGGAGAGAAGAAACGGCGGGGGAATCAAAGATTAGGCGTTGTTGTCTGTGCCAAAACGGAGTGAGCCCAATATCAACAAATCAAAATCCAAAACGGAACAAAAAAGTCACAGGCCCGCCCTGCTCGCGCCCCCGCCCGCCCGGACGCCCAACAGGTGCTTCCCGGGCCCGCCCGCAGCCACAGTATCCTTGGGTGGCCACAAAGTAACCGCCCGCGCAGCTGCAGCCAGGCCCGCCCGTACTCACGGCCGCTCCGCGGTCCGCGCCCCGGCCCGCAGCGCCCATCCGGCCCGGGCCCCGGTCAGCGCGGGCTCGGCTCTCAGGCGTTCCCGGCGCGGCCCGGGACGCGCTGAGGCCGTTAACGCCTAGGCAGGGCGCGAGGCATCCTCCCGCCGCCGCCCCGCGGGCCGCCTGCCCTTTGTTTTGGAGCCGTAGCCCGGCCCAGACGCCGTTAACAGCCTTGGAGCGCGGCGCCGGCCAATCAGCGCGCCATGTCGCCAGCGCCCCGCCCCCATCCTGCCTCCGTTCCGCCCCGCGTCCCGCCTGCCCCGCGCGCCCCCGCCCCGCGCGCTCCGGGCCAAGGAGCTCCGCCAGCTCGCACCCGGCCGGGACGGGCAGGAGCCCACGTGCCGCGGGGCGCGCCGCACTCCCATTGGCTGACCCGCCGGGCGCGGCCTCGGAGCCAGCCTGTAAGGGCCGAGGGACACGGGGGCGGGGCCGCGCGGGGCGGGGCGAGAGCAGGGGCGGGTTCCGCGAGGAGCGCCGCGCTCGGACGCAGGCTGGCTGGGCAGGGACACTCGGCCGGCGGGGCTGGCGGTGGTGGTCACTCGTTCCTCCGGCTCGCGGGGATGGGCCGAGGGCGTGCAGGGCCCGCAGCTCCAGAGGCTGAGGCGAGCTTGCGCGCAGCCTCCTCGTCCAGCGCCGTGCACGTACCGCCCGTCCGCGCGGTCGGCCGCGTTGTAGGGGACGGACGTGGAGGCCGAGGCGAGCTTGTGTGCGCCTGACCAGGGCCCGCCTTGGCCGGACCCCTCCGCGGCCGGGTCCCCAGAATGCGGTCGTCCGTGCTGTCCCGTCCCCACCACCCTCTCTGAACCCAAGGACCTAACCCCCTAGGACCCCCTCGCCACGGAGGACCCCCCGGGTCTGCGTCTGGCCCCTCGCTCTGCTCCAGGACTGCCGCGTCAGACCCTACAGAAAGCCCCTTCCTCTGGGTAGTGCTCCCGACGCCCCGGCAGCCTGCGCCACCCCCACGCCTCTAATGTCACTGTTTTCTTGGTTCCGTATCCCTTCTTTAAAAAAATATATATTATTTGAAAATAGATATGTATTATTTGAATATATATATTTGAAGGCTGGGTGTGGTGGCTCACGCCTGTAATTCCAGTACTTTGGGAGGCCGAGGCAGGAGGATCATTTGAGCCCAGGAGTTCAAGAGCAGCCTGGGCAACATAGTGAGACACTGTACCAAAAAAAAAAAAAGAAAGAAATTAGGCATGGTGGTGCACACCTGTAGTCCCAGCTACCTGTGAGGCTGAGGCGGGAGGATCACTTGAGCCCAGGAGGTCGAGGCCTCAGTGAGCCATGATCGCGCTACTGCACTCCAGACTGGGTGACAGAGCGAGACCCTTCCTCTTGAACAAAAAAAAAAAAAAAGAAAAGAAAAAAACCAAGAAAACAACAAAACCTCTATTGAGGTCACAATGTATATAACATTGTTATCAGCGTCCTCTGGACGTATTCTCTTGTTTTCTGCAACCCACTGTGTATGTAAAGATCTCTTCAAGTCGCTAAATGTACACCTGACTCATAACTTAGATTGTGGCTGGATGTTGCCTTTTTTTTTTTTTTTTTTTTTTTCCTTGAGACAGGAGTCTCGCTGTGTCGCCCAGGCTGGAGTGCAGTGGTGTGAGCTTGGCTCACTGCAACCTCCTCCTCCTGGGCTCAAGCGATTCTCCTGCCTCAGCCTCCCCAGTAGCTGAGACTACAGTTGCCCGCCACTAGGCCCGGCTAATTTTTGTATTTTTAGTAGAGACGGGGTTTCACCATATTGGCCAGGCTGGTCTCGAATTCCTGACCTCAAGTGATCCGCCTGCCTCGGCCTCCCAAAGTGCTGGGATTACAGGCATGAGCCCACGCGCCCGGCCCCATTTAACTATTTTAAAGTGTACAGTTCACTGGTATTAAATACATTCATAATGTTGTGCAACCATCATCATCATCCCTCTCCAGAACTCATCTTGCCTAAGTAAAGCTCTGGACTCAAGAAACAATGACTCCCGTTTCCTTCTACCCCATGCCCCGCACCACCCCATTCTACTTTCTGTCCCTATGAGCTTGACTGCTCTAGGTGCCTCACATAAGTGAAATCATCTAGTATTTGTCTTTTTGTGGCTTACTGTGACTTTTGTGGCTCATTTCACTTAGCATAATGTCTGCAAGGTTCACCGATGGTGTAGCACTGTCACAGTTTCCTTCCTTTTTTTAGGCTGAATGATATTCCATTGTATGTAGATACCACATTTTGTTTCTCCACGCATCTGTCAGTGGACACCTGGCTTGCTGCTTCCATACTTTAGCTATTGTAAATAATGCCACTATGAACTTGATGGTACAAACATCCCTTGGCACCCCTGGTTCCAATTATTTTGGGTATATACCCAGAAGTGAAGTTGCTGGATCATATGGTAGTTCTATGTTGAATTTTTTAAGGCGATTACATACTGTTTCCCAACGTAACTGCACCATTTCACATTCTCTCCAACAGTGTACAAGGCTTCCAGTTTCTGCACATCTTCACCAACTGTTATTTTCTGTTTTTTGACAGTGGCCAGCCTGGTGCATGATGGGTTTGGTTTGCACTTGCCTCGTGATTAGTGGTGTTGAGCATCTTTCCGCGGACTTGGTGGCGTCAAGTGTTGTTAACTATGACCACGTGACCACATGACCTATTTCATTTTATCTGTACAACGTTTCTGTTTGGGGTGATAAAAAAATTTGGAATTGGTAGTGGGAATGGCTGTACAACAATGTGAATGCCACTGAATTGCACCCTTAAAATTGTTACAATGGGCCGGGTGTGGTGGCTATGCCTATAATCCCAGCACTTTGAGAGGCCCAAGTGGGCAGATCACCTGAGGTCAGGAGTTCAGGACAAGTCTGGCCAACATGGTGAAACCACCGTCTCTACTAAAAAAAAAAAATGCAAAAAAAATTAGCTGGGCGTGGTGGTGTGTGCCCGTAGTCCCGGCTACTCAGAGGCTGAGGCAAGAGAATCGCTTGAACCCAAGAGTTGGAGGTTGCAGTGAGCCGAGATGGAACCACTGCACTCCAGCCTGGGCAACACAGTGAGACTCTGTCTCAAAAAAAAAAAAAAAGTTAAAATGGTGAATTTTGTTATGTATATTTTACCACAATAAAAGTAGTAAAAGAAAGTCTACATTGTGATCTAGTACACATTTGGATGAACAAAAAGTTTCATGATTTAATACATACTCTTATTTATTTTGGGCAATGCCCTAACATTTCTATCCTCCTCTGTTTTTATTAACAAAATCCCAGGCACGACCTTCTGGGTGGCCTTGGGCAGCACCATCAGCCAGGCCTGCAGCCTGCCACCCCCGCCTGCCTTGTGGTCGCACCATTTATAATCCACTTTCCCACAGCCCACTCAGGAACACCACCTTCAAGCTCCAGGGCTCCCTCCCTTTAGCGTCCCAGCTCCATGCCTCAGCATGCCCTCCCACTGGGGGCTGCCCTCCCCCATGCCCACTTCCTCCCTAACCCCTTTCCCACACCCCACCCTCGCCTGTCCTGGAGAAATTCAGCCCCCTCCCCCAACTGGGAAACGCACCACTGCAGCTGGCTGCTTACTTTGGGGACACCAGTTTCTAGGGAAGCCTAGTCCTCCTGAAAACCCTCCGCCTGCTGCACCTCCGGGTCTGTGCAGGTTCCACCATCCTGGAAGATGATATCATGCCTCCTCCCCTCTGCTAACTCTGTGTCCAACTTTACAGAGAACATAGAGATGGGAGAGGACTCCTCCCTGCCCCCACTGCTAAACATCCCATCCTAAACATCTGCCCTGCCTGCTGCCATGAACACGTGGCTCGCCCTTAGTCCTGCCCCCCACGGCTTACTGGGCTGCCCCATCAGGGTAGGAGCCGTGCTCTCAGCTCCACGTACCCTCTTTGGCTATGCCCACCTGCTCTGCAACTCTTCAGGGCAAGATGACACAGAAGGGCCTGGCCTGGGCGCCTCCCATGCCCACCTCCCATTCTCAGGGTTCCATCCCAACCGCTCCAACATCATGTCGCAAAACATCATGTCGTCACATCTGGGCTCAGCCTATACCTTACTGGATGGTCCTACTAGCATTTCCTACAGTGGGGCGCTTTTTAAAAACACTTTCTTCACTTAGATTCTGGGGCTCCACTCTCTTCCTCACCAGCCTCCATTTCCCCACCTGCCCTCACCCTCCTGATGTTGGAGGCCCCAAAAGTTCAGCCCTTAGGTCTCCTCCCTTCCCTCCACTGGCCTGACAGGTGATCTCCACCAAGCTCATTGGCAGTGGAAGACCACATGGAGCCTGCTACTGATCAAGTGTGTTCCTCACCAACCACAGTGGCTCATGCCTATAATGGCAGTACTTTCGGAGGCTGAGGCAGGTGGATCCCTTGAGCCCAGGAGCCCAAGACCAGACTGGGCAACATGGTAAAACCTCCTCTCTCTCTCTGTGTGTGTGTGTGTGTGTGTGTGTGTGTGTGTTTAGCCAAGTGTGGTGGCCACACGCCTGTAGTCCCAGGTACTTGGGGGGCTCAGGAGGGAGGATCGCTTAAACCTGGGAAGTTGAGGCTGCAGTGAGCACTCCAGCCTGGGCAACAGAACAAGGCTCTGTCTCAAAAAAAAAAAAGTGTGTTCCTCAGCACAAACCCTCCTCTGACCCCCGAGCTCTCACCTACAGCTGCCCACTCGCAGTCTCACTTGGAGGTCTACACTTTAAACTCAACACATACCAAACCAAGCCTCTGTCTCCACCAGCTCAATTAAGGGCATTGCCATTTTTCAGGCACAGGCCAAATCCTCAGAGTCCTCCTTGACCCCTCTCTTTCCCTCACATCCCAGGTCCAATCCCTCAGCAAGTTCCCAGGCTTCCACTGCTGTCACCAGCACCCAGGGCCTGAGCCACTCTCATCTCTTGTCTAGATTATTGTTATTGCTCAAGTCGCCTCCAAATTACAAACTTTGCCTCCTTAACTTTATTCTTCACTGACTGATTCTTTGAGAACAAAAGCCAGATGTATACCTCCTCGAAAGCCCCAGGTAAAAGCTAGAGTTCATTAATGGGCTGAAGCGATTTGGCTCCTTCCTCTCTCTCCTCCTCCATTTCCTATTACTGCCCCTGCAAGAGTTTAGCCAACTACAAAGCACAAAGTTTTTGTTTGTTTGTTTGTTTGTTTGTTTTTTGAGACGGAGTTGCTCTGTTGCCTAGGCTAGAATGCAATGGTGTGCTCTCGGCTTACTTCAACCTCCACCTCCTGGGTTCAAACAATTCTCCTGCCTTGGCCTCCCAAGTAGCTGGGGTTACAGGCGCCCACCACCACGCCCCCTTAATTTTTTTTATTTTTATTTTTTTTAGTAGAAACGGGGGTTTCACCATGTCGCCGAGGCTGGTCTCAAACTCCTGACCTCAAGTGATCCTCCCACCTCGACCTCCCAAAGTGCTGGGATTACAGGTGTGAGCCACTGCGCTGGGCCCAGAGTTTGTACTGGGTCTCCACATAGGCGTGGGTGATGGCCCAGGAGGAGGAGCTCAGACTCCAGTCTCTCGGTGTGACCCGAAGCGCCACTTCCCTCTGGCAAGACACCTCCAGGACTTGGTGATCAGCTCCCAGAAGCAGGTGCGCAGGCCAGCCCTCTCCCTGGGCAAGGAGAAACCCTTTGCTCTGTCGTCCCCCCATGGACTGCTCTCAGGACGCTCCCACGCCCTTGCTGTTCCCTTCCCTGCAAGGCTCCTCTTCTGTCAGCATCCTGGTCCCAGGGGCCCTCTCTCTGCACACTCAGGACTGCACCCTCCATGCTCTCTTCTCCTTGCATTGGTCTGTATATTTCCCCTTCGCTTGGTTATTGTCGTCTCTCCTCCCCTCCCCAGGATGCGAGCAGGGGTTGGGGAGAGGCCTTGGTGTGTTCTCGGCCGATCGCTGGTGCTGAGAGTGTCACTGACAGCCACTGGGCAGGATGGCTGAGGATTAACTAAGACCCAAGATGCCAGGCACGGTCCATGCTTAGGAAATGCCAGCCTTCCTCCAGGTGCCCAGCTCCTTCCAGGGCAGCATTTCTTGGGAAGAGGCAGGACTGAGGGATAGCAGCAGTGGCTCAGTGAAAGTCCAGAGCTGAGAAAATAGATTTGTACCAGGGAGTTGCCCCACAGTGTTCCCCGGTATCGAAAAACAGCCGCCAGCCAGCAGGCTGTGTGGTTATCCACTCGAAGCCCAACATGGGTGAACAGACCAGGCTACCTATTCCAGGCATGGATAGGAATATGGAGCCCATGAAATTGCTGCAGGGTCGGTGCCCATCACAGGCTCTGCAGCCCTGCACAGAATGACAGCATGTGTTGACTGATGAGGTGGAACCAGACCCGCCTGAGGGCTGAGACACAGTGGAGGCTGAAGACTCCTTAGGGGATCCTGTCTGACTGGGTGTTACAGGCTGACTGTGTCCCTCACATGTGACTGCATTTGGAGAGAAAGTATTTAAAGAAAACATTAAGGTCATGAGGTTGGACCTTAACCAATATGACTAGTGTCCTTATAAAAAGAGATTAGGTGGCTGGGCATGGTGGCTCATGCCTGTAATCCCAGCACTTTGAGAGGCCAAGGCCGGCAGATCACCTGAGGTCAGGAGTTCGAGACCAGCCTGACTAACATGGTGAAACCCTGTCTCTACTAAAAATACAAAAATTAGCCGGGTGTAGTGGTGGGCGCCTATAATCCCAGCTACTTGGGAGGCTGAGGCAGGAGAATCGCTTGAACCCAGGAGGCGGAGGTTGCAGTGAGCCGAGATTGTGCCATTGCACTCCAGCCTGGGCAACAGAGCGAGACTCCAGATAAAAAAAAAAAAGAGAGAGATTAGGCAAGACATGGTGGTTTATACCTCTAATCCCAGCTCTTTGAGAGGGCCAGTCGGGAGACCCCCATCTCTAAAACAAATTATTTTTTTTGGACACAGGGTCTTGCTCTGTTGCTCAGGCTGGTGTGCAGTGGCACGATCATGGCTCACTGCAGCTTCAGCCTCCTGGGCTCAAGCGATCCTCCCACCTCACCCTACCAAGTAGCTGGGACTATAGGCAGGCACCACCATGCTCCACACCTGTAATCCCAGCACTTTGGGAGGCCAAGGTGGGCAGATCACCTGAGGTAGAGAGTTTGAGACCAACCTGGCCAACGTGGTGAAACCCTCTCTCTATTAAAAATACAAAAATTAGCCGGGCGTGGTGGTGCACATCTGTAATCCCAGCTACCTAGGAGGCTGAGGCACGAGAATTGCTTGAACCTGGGAGGCAGAGGTAGCAATGAGCCCAGATAGTGCCATTGCACTCCAGCCTGGGCGACAGAGGGAAGCTCTGTCTCAAAAAAAAAAAAAAAAAAAAAAAGTTTCTATGTTGCCCAAGCTGGTCTTGAACTCCTGGGCTCAAGTGATCCTCCCACTTCAGCCTCCCAAAGCACTAGGATTACAGGTGTGAGCCACTATACCTGGCTTTTTTTTTTTTTTTAATTAGCTGGGTGTGTAGCACATGCCTGTAGTCCCAGCTACTTGGAAGGCTAAGTTGGAAAGATGGCTTCAGCCCAGGAGTTCAAGGCTGTAGTGAGCTATGATTGTGCCACTGCATTCCAGCCTGGGCAACAGAGCAAGACCTGTCTCTTAAAAAGAAAAAGAGAGATTGGCCGGATGCGGTGGCTCACGCCTGTAATCCCAGCACTTTGGGAGGCCAAGGCGGGTGGATCACAAGGTCAGGAGATTGAGACCATTCTGGCCAACATGGTGAAACCCTGTCTCTACTAAAAATACAAAAATTAGCTGGGCGTGGTGGCTCGCATCTGTAGTTTCAGCTACTCAGGAGGCTGAGGCAGGAGAATTGCTTGAACCCAGGAGGCAGAGGCTGCAGTGAGCCGAGAGCGCACCACTGCACTCCAGCCTGAATGACAGAGTGAGACTCCATCTTAAAAAAAAAAAAAAAGAGAGAGAGAGACAGATTAGGACACAGACACGCACAGAGGTATGACCATGTGAGCACACAGGGAGAAGACGCCATCAACAAGCCAGGGAGAGAGGCTGCAGAAGAAACAAACCCTTCTGATGCCTTGACCTTGGACTTCCAGCCTCCAGGACTATGACAAAATAAATTCCTGCTGTTCAAGCCGCCCAGTCTGTGGTACTTTGTTACAGCAGCCCAAGCTGACTAATATACTGGATTTTGGGGGTAGAAAGATACTTACAGCAACTCTCCTCAAGGGTCGCCCAGCCTGCCTTCCACCCAAATCCTGCCTAAATCCTTCGGGTTGGCCAAAATTAAGCTGCTTGCCTTGGTGTAACTTCAGCGCGGGCTAGTAGAATTGCTGTGGACAGACAGGGAACTTAACCTCCTGGGTGCCAGTGGTCTCCTCGGCCAAGTGAGAGGCCGTGCTGTGCGGAGTGCCCTCCAGAGCCCCTGGAGTCTAAAGTTCTGTGACTTGCTAAGACTTTCCTTTATGATTGGAAAGCCCATTAGGAAGCAGGCAGGTGCTGTTGGCATAGCAACCACAAGCCGTCTTATGTTCTTTCCAAATTAAAAATTTTCCAGCTTTAGAACTGAGGAGAGAAAGATGTAAGAGCAGAGATGAAATTAAGTTATTGATGGAAGCGGTTGCCATGGCATTGTGCTGTCCTTGGAGTCTGCCAGCTGCCACTTGATTTCTCCATTTTTCGTGCAAACGAAGGAGTCCAAGAGAAGATAAGGACCAGCCTCCCACAGTGAGGGAGAAAAACAAAACATATGTGTTCATTAGAAAGAGTTGACTCATGATGGGAACCTAAACAATATTTTAAGAGTAGCAGCTGGGCGCAGTGGCTCACACTTGTAATCCCAGCACTTTGGAAGGCTGAGGTGAGCAGATCACGAGGTCAGGAGTTCAAGACCAGCCTGGCCAACATGGTGAAACCCCATCTCTACTAAAAATACAAAAATTAGCCGGGCTTGGTGGTGCATGCCTGTAATCCCAGCTACTCAGGAGGCTGAGGCAGGTGAGTCCCTTGAACCTAGGAGGCAGAGGTTGCAGTGAGCTGAGATTGTGCCATTGCACTCCAGCCTGGGCAACAAAGCCAGACTCCATCTCAAAAAGCAAGCAAACAAACAAACAAAAACAGAGTAGCTATACACCCAATGTGCAGGCCTTCTCAAAACTTACGTGAATCACCTGGGGATTTTGTTAAAATGTGGTTGCTAAAATGGTAAGTCTGGGGTGTGGCCTGAGATTCTGCATTTTAGGCCGGGCACGGTAATCCCGCCTGTAATCCCAGCACTTTGGGAGGCCAAGGTGGGCAGATCACTTGAGGTCAGTAGTTCGAGACCAGCCTGGCCAATATGACAAAGCCCCGCCTGTACTAAAGTACAAAAAAATTAGCCAGGCATGGTGCCACATACCTGTGGTCTCCTCAGCTACTCGGGAGGCTGAGACATGAGGATTGCTTGAACCTGGGAGGCAAAGGTTGCAGTAAGTGGAGATTGCGCCACTGCATGCCAGCCTGGGTGGTGCAATCTTGGCTCTGTCTTAAAAAAAAAAAAAGATTCTGCATTGTATTGTATTGTATTATTTATTTATTTTTGAGACAGGGTTTCACTCTGTTGCCCAGGCTGGAGTGCAGTGGCACAATCACCGCTCACTGCAACCTTCGCCTCCCAGGCTCAAGTGATCCTCCTGCCTCAGCCTCCTGAGTAGCTGGGACCACAGGTGTGCACCACCACACCTGGCTATTTTTTTTTGCATTTTTTGTAGAGATGGGGTTTTGCCATGTTGGCCAGGCTTTTCTCAAATTCCTGGACTCAAGTGATCCACCCGCCCAAAGTGCTGGGACTACAGATGTGAGCCACTGTATCCAGCCCATTATTTTAAATTGTGGTAAAATACACATAGCATAAAATTTACCATCTTAGACTTTTTTTTTTTTTTTTTTAAGGGATGAAGTTTCATTCTGTGGCCAGAGTGCAGAGGTGCAATCACTGCTCACTGCAGCCTTGACCTCCCGGGCTCAAGCAATCCTCCCATCTCAGCCGCCCGGGTAGCTGGGACTACAGGTCCGTGCCACTATGCCCAGCTAATTTTTTATTTTTATTTTTGTAGAGATGGGGTCTCCCTATGTTGCCCAGGCTGGTCTCAAACTCCTGGGCTCAAGCAATCGTCCTGCCTTGGCCTCCCAAAATGCTGGGATTATAGGCATGAGCCACTGCACCTGGCCCACGTTAAGCCTTTTTTAAGTGTACAGTTCAGCAGCGTTAAATGTGTTCACACTGTGCACATCCAATCTCCAAAACACTTTCCATATGGCAAAATGGAAACTGTAACTATTAAATAACAACTCCTCATGTCCCCCTCCCCACAGAGAGTCTGCATTTACGACCACGTGATGACAATGGTGCTGGTCTGTGGCTCACATTTTAAGTGTCAGCTGTCCTTCGGAGCCTTTCTTGGTACCAGGGGCTGAGGTAGGTGCCAGGCAGGCCAGAGTGAACAGGCCATACACTGTGCTTCCCAGGAACTTCCTGGCAAGTGGGGCAAGACACGGGGTGATGAAACTTCAGAGGAGTGGACAGGCTACCTCATTCACACGTGTGACTAGCGTTTGCATGGCGCAGGGAGGATGGAAGCATGGATGGTAATGTGGAGACACTCAGTGACTGCCGCATTTACTTGCTAAGTTTGCTGGACCATTCCCTCATGCTGGCATGTGGGCATTGAAGGCTACTCACCTTATTTTTGCTATTATAAATAATGCTGGTATAAACATCTTTGTATATGTGGCTGTTTCCTCTTGAATTTTTGTCAAGAGAAAAAAAATCTCAGGAATGGAATGACGGAGCCAAACTCATCTTCTTGTTAGCTCCGGTTCCATCTTCCAGATCCCACTGTATTCCTCTACGGTGCTGTTAACAACGCTAAAGGGGATGGATTTCTTTATACCTTTATGGCATTTGGCGGTTATTTTTATTTTATTATTATTTTTTATTTTTAGAGATGGGGTGTCACTCTGTCACCCAGTCTGAAATGCAGTGGCTTGATCCTGGCTCACTGCAGCATTGACATCCTGGGTCAAGTGATCCTCCTGCCTCAGCTTCCCAAGTAGCTAGGACTATAGGTGTGTGCCACCATGCCTGGCTAATTTAAAACAAAATTTTTTTTTTCTTTTTTTTTGTAGAACGGGGCTTGCCATGTTGCCCAGGCTGGTTTTGAACTCCTGGTCTCAAGTGATCCTCCTGCCTTGGCCTCCCAAAGTGCTGGACATTTGGCTTTTATAAGTTCTCTTTTGCTGAAAACCAAAGTAAGGTATATACAAAATGGCACTTCATCTTTAATTTGCGTTTCCCTGTTTACCAACAGTGGATGCTTTCCTCATGTAAGCAGACAGTTTTCTTTCACTGACCATCAGTTGGGGAGGAGGCAAGGTGTCTGTAGTTTCATGATTCTTTACATGTTTTGGAATGGACTTTTCTTATTGGCCACTCACAACAGATATGTCCCCAGGCCCCCGGCCCTCTGTACTGTGGTCATTGTTGGCATATGTGAAATCAGATACAAGATATTCCTCTAGTCCTCTGGTTTGTCCAAGACACTGGATTAATGGTTTCTCCAAGCACACCTAGTGAGCGAATACCCTGACCTTCTGGATTCATCTGTTAGGAAACGCATTGGGTAACAGGTATGGGAATGGGGGTGACTTCCAGTTTCAGTTCCAACATGTGAAGTCATCGCTCCTGCCCTTACATCAAGAACATAACTGAATAAAGTGAAAAGTCAATGGTTTTCTTAGATCCATCAGAGAACTGAGGCCATAGGACAAGCCACCACCCCAAAAGCCAGAGAGACAGGCAAAGGCCAGAAATCACAGTTTGCTGGAAGCAGACACCACCAGGGCCAGGAGCTGGGGGGAAGATTTAAAGGACCCCTTAAATGGCAACTTAGATGAATGGCCGGATTTTGTATGAGTTTGAGAGTTAAAAACTCATTGGGGCTGGGCGCGGTGGCTCATGCCTGTAATGCCAGCACTTTGGGAGGCCAAGGCAGGTGGATCACGAGGTCAGGAGATCCAGACCATCCTGGTTAACATGGTGAAACCCCGTCTCTACTAAAAATACAAAAAAATTAGTTGGGCATGGTGGCGGGAGCCTGTAGTCCCAGCCACTCCGGAGGCTGAGAGAGGAGAATGGCGTGAACCCGGGAGGTGCAGCTTGCAGTGAGCCGAGATAGCACCACTGCACTCCAGCCTGAGCGACAGAGCAAGATTCTGTCTCAAAACAAAAACAAAAACAAAACTCATTGCGGGGGCCAGGCGCCATGGCTCACGCCAGTAATCCCAGCATTTTGGGAAGCTGAGGTGGGTGGATCACTTGAGGTCAGGAGTTTGAGACCAGCCAGGCCAACATGGTGAAACCCCGTTTCTACTGAAAATACAAAAATTAGCCGGGTGTGGTGGCAGGTGCCTGTAATCCTAGTTACTTGGGAGGCTGAGGCAGGAGAACTGCTTGAACCCGGGAGGCGGAGGTTGCAGTGAGCCGAGATTGTGCCACTGCACTGTGATGGAGAGAGACTCCGTCTCAAAACAAAAACAAAAACACCCAACAACCTCATGGGGATCCAGTCTAAGGGGGACTCTCACACTTTTGTTGGTTTTACCTCCAAGGGGCCCCACCAGGTTCTCATAGTGAAGAATGGAGGGAAATCCCTGGTGTTTGACCAGGGAGAAGGGAAAAGCAACCATTTTGAATTGTTCCTAGAGTGTTCTCAACAACAAAGACCAGCCAGCAGGAGAGAAGACCTCCCAGAGCCTTACCCAACACGGGGGAAGGGATACACCCTCTGGTTCTTGCTGGCCCTTGTGACTTACCCAAGAGGGCAAAAAAAGCTGAGATGCACCTGTGAAGGTCACAGCCCAGGGACACAGGCTTACTAAAAGACTGACAGCTAATCATGGGATTCCAGAGCGCTTCCCCTCTGTCCACACCTTGGCACCCCAACTGCAAGGCTCCCGCAAAATACAGAGGGTCACTGCTGAAAGAACCCAAGGCTCAGGCTCCACTTAAGAAAAAGTCTCCAGGGAAAAAACAAAGACAATAGGGGAAAGAGAAACAAAGACACTGAAGAACATTTTAGTCTCTGACATCTACAGCAAAACACAGCCTGTTAGCCAGAAAAACAGAAAAACTTCACACTAAAGGCCTATCCACCTCAGTGTTATTACCCAAAAGATCACATCTTTCAACAAAAAATTGTAAGGCATGCTAAAAGATAAGAAAAAAACACAGTTTGAAGAGACAAAGCAACTGACAGAGCCAGACTCAGATGTCAGAGACTTCGGAATGATCAGACTGAGAATTTAAAATACCTAGGATTAGTATGCTAAGGGCGCTAATGGAAAAAGTGGGACAGGCAAGAACAGATGGGTGATGTAAGCAGAAAAATGGAAGCCTTAAGAGAGGAGCAGGGATTTAAAATGTTTATGTAGATCTGAGCTTCTATCTTATACCATTCTCCTTCCCTCTCAAGAAGTTTTTTTTTTTTTTTTTTTTGAAACAGGGCCTCACTCTATTACCCAGGCTGGAGTGCAGTGGTGCAATCACGGCTCACTACAACCTCTGCCTCCAGGGCTCAAGTGATCCTCCCGCCTCAGCCCCGAAGTAGCTAGGACTACAGGTGTGAGCCACCATGCCCAATTTTTGTATTTTTTGTAGAGATGGGGTTTCACAATGTTGCCCAGGCTGGTAAAGATCTTATTTTAACATTTCTTATAAAGCAGTGCTACTGGCAACAATTTCCCTCTGTTTTTGCTTGTCTAATAAAGTATTTATATTTTAGAGGCAGGGGCTTGCTCTGTGGCTTAGGGTGGAGTGCAGTGGTACGATCCTAGCTCACTGCAACTTTGAACTCCTAGACTCAAGCAATCCTCCCACCTTGGCCTCCCAAAGTGCTGGGATTATAGGAGTGAGCCACTGTGCCTGGCATTTTGTTTTGTTTTGTTTCTGAGACAGAATCTCACTTTGTCTCCCAGGCTAGAGTGCAATGGCATGATCTTGGCTGACTGCAACCTCCGCCTCTGGGTTCTAGCGATTCTCCTGCCTCAGCCTCTCAAGAAGCTGGGATTACAGGTGTCCACCACCACACCTAGCTAATTTTTGTATTTTTAGTAGAGACGGGGTCTCACCATGTTGGCCAGGATGGTCTTGAACTCCTGACCTCAGGTGATCCATCCGCCTCGGCCTCCCAAAGTGCTGGGATTACAAGTGTGAGGCACCGCACCTGGCCTTGTTTTGTTTTTGAGACAGGCTCTTCCTCTGTCACTCAAATTGGAGTACAGTGGTGCCATCATAGCTCACTGCAGTCTTGAACTTCTAGACTCAAGTGATCCTCCTGCCTCAGCCTCCTAAGTAGATGGGACTACAGGGCTTGTGGAACCAAGCTGAGATTTTTTTTTCCTTTTTCTTTTTTTTTTTGGTAGAGGCAGGTCTCACTTTGTTGCCCAGGCTGGTCTCAAACTGCTGGCCTCAAGAAATCCTCCTGCCTTGGCCTCCCAAAGTGCTGGGATTACAGGCGTGAACCACTATGCCCAGCTATTTTATCTCCATTATGAAAAACAGTTTCATTGGACACAATATACTAGGATGGTGGTTTTTCTCTTTCAATACTATGTATAATCAGAGTGGTGGGAGGGGACACCCAATTGTAGAGGGTGAACTTCTTGTTTTTCACCATTAAGTATGTTAGCTGTGGGTGTTTTGTAGATGTTCTTTATCAAGCTAAGAAAGTTCCTCTCTATTCTAATTTGCTGGGAGTTTTTACCATGAATGGATGTCAGATTTTGTTGCTGAGTCTGGTCTGAAGTTCCTGGGCTTAGGTGATCCTCCTGTCTCAGCCTTCTGAGTAGCAGGGAGTACAGTTGCAAGCCACCATGCCTGGCTTCTTTCTGAATCTATCTGATCATATATGATTTTTCTTTTTTAGCCTGTTGATGTGATGATCATAGTTTATTTATTTATTTATTTTTTTGAGGCAGAGTCTCGCTTTGTCGCCTAGACTGGAGTGCAATGGTGCCATCTCGGCTCACTGCAACCTCCACCTCCTGGGTTCAAGTGATTCTCTTGCCTCAGCCTCCCGAGTAGCTGGGATTACAGGCGCGTGCCACCACGCCCAGCTAATTTTTGTATTTTTAGTAGAGACGAGGTTTTGCCATGTTGGCCAGGCTGGTCTCGAACTCCTGACCTCAGGTGATCCACCTGCCTTGGCTTCCCAAAGTGCTGGGATTACAGGCATAAGCCACTGTGCCCGGCCCTGATTTTTTTTTTTAGGCAGGATTTCACTCTGTCTCCCAGGCAGAAGTGGAGTTTTGCCGTCACCACTCACTGCAGCTTTGACTTCCTGGGCCTAGGTGTTGCTCCCACCTCAGCCTCCCGAGGAGCTGGGACCACAGGCACTGGCCACCATGCCTGGCTGTTTGTATATTTTTTGTAGAGATGGGGTTTTGCCACATTGACCAGACTGGTCTTAAACTCCTGGGCTCAAGTGATCTGACTGCCTCAGCCCTAACATGCTGGGATTACAAGTGTGAGCCTGTAAAACTGGCCTGATTTTTGAATGTTGAGCCAGATTTGCATACCAGGAATCAATCCCACCTGATCAAGACCTATACTTCTTTTTATACATTGTTGGTTTCTATTTGCTCGTATTTTACTGAGCATTTTTGCATCTATGATCATGAAAAGATATTGCTCCATAGTTTTCCTATTTATTTATTTTTTGAGACAGAGTCTCGCTCTGTCACCCAGGCTGGAGTGCAATGGCGTGATCTTGGCTCACTGCAACCTCCACCTCCTGGGTGCAATAGATTGTCCTGCCTCAGCCTCCCAAGTAGCTGGGATTACAGGCATGTGCCACCATGCACAGCTAATTTTTTGGTACTTTTTAGTAGAAACGGGGTTTCACCATGTTGGCCAGGCTGGTCTTGAACTCCTGACCTCAAGTGATCCACCTGCCCCGGCCTCCCAAAGTGCTGGGATTACAGGCGTGGTCACTGCGCCCAGCCTATATAACATCTTTATCTGGTTTTGGGATTAAGGTAATGCTGGCAATCATAGAATGAGTTATGAGTGATTCCTCTGTTTCTATTTTCTGGAAGAGATTGTAGAGAATTGATTTTTTTTTTTTTTTTTTTTGAGACAGAGTCTCACTCTGTCACCCAGGCTGGAGTGCAGTGGTGCCATCTCAGTTCACTTCAACCTCTGCCTCCTGGGTTCAAGTGATTCTACTGCCTCAGCCTCCTGAGTAGCTGGGATGACAGGCACCTGCCACCACGCCCGGCTAATTTTTGTATTTTTAGTAGAGACAGGCTTTCACCATCTTGGCCAGGCTGGTCTCGAACTCCTGACCTTGTGATCCGCCCCCGCCGGGCCTCCCAAAGTGCTGGGATTACAGGCGTGAGCCCCCGCGCCCGGCTGATATTTCCTCTTTAAAACATCTGGGCCTGGTAGAGTCATGTCAAATGAGTTGAAAACTTAAGTCCACACAAAAACCTGCACATGGATGTTTACAGCAGCTTTATCTATAATTGCCAAAACTGGGAAGCAAGTGAGACGTTGATAGCTGAATGGAGACACAATCAGTGGTATATCCATACAATGGAATATTATTCAGTGATAAGAAGAAATGAGCTATGTAGCCACCAACAGACATGGTGGAATATTGACTGCATATGGCTGAAAGATGTCTGAAAATGACACATTCTGTTCTAACTACATGACATTTTAGAAAGGCAAAACCACAGCAACAGTAAAAAGCCGCATGGCTGTCAAGGGTTGGCGGGGGATAGGTGTGCTGATGGTGCAGGGGTGGGTGTGTGGGACTCCATGTACTATCTGCTTAATTACTCTGTAAAAAGCGGTACTAAAAGAGTAAAATCTACTTTAAAAATAGAGAGATGAGCAAGAGGGGAGGAATGACCAGGTTTGCTGAAGAGAGAGGCTTCGGGGGCCTCACAGGGGTCAGGACTTGTCTAAGAGGAGTTTGATAACCATGGCCAAGGAGAGACATGGGCTTCCAGTGATCTGAGACGATCCTGACAATGGAATGTTAATTACAACCTTCAAGATTTAACATTACAGTCCTGGAGAGCCAAACATTCGTAAATGCAGTGCAAGGTCTACTTGTGCAGAGTGAACAGATGAAAGCATCAATGGCAGGAGGTAAAATGAAAGATTTCTGTGGACAGAAACGTCCTGGAGTTCTCGGCACCTGCATGTAGCCTCCCCACTGCTGGCTGACATGGCATTTTTTCTTTTAAAGAGAGTGGGTCTTGCTCTGTTGCCCAGGAGGAGTGCAGTGGTGCGATCATAGCTCACTGCAGCCTTGAACCACTGGGTTCAAGTGATCCTCCTGCCTCAGCCTCTCCAGTAGCTGGGACCACGGGCATGCGCCACTATACCTGGCTAATTTTTTTTTTCATTATTTTTTGTAGAGGTAAATACAACCTGTGTTGTCCAGGCTGGCTCTGAACACCTAGTTTCAAGAGATCCTCTTACCTTGGCCTGTCAAAGCACAGGGATTACAGGTGTGAGCCACTGCACAGCACACAGCACTATTTTCGAGTTTTAATGATTCCTCTTCTCTGGTTACCAAGGTAATACAAAGTATTAAACCTCCTGGTGTATCTGTCAAGAGGTGCTGCACCTTGGAAATTCTCCTGCACACCAGGAGTGTCCTGCTCTCTGCTGTGGCCCAGGGCTGTGTGGTCTTGGGCCTTTCCTCCATCCTCTGGAGTCAGATCTGGCAGGCACATGCTGTGCATTAAGCCTTGGGGCCGGCAGTGGAGGCCTGGCCAGGGCCCTTGGCTGGGGTCGAAGGGCTGATCCTGAAAGGGCACAGGACCAGCAGGCTGCAGCAGCAGGAGTGGTCTTCCATGGAAGGGGCTTCCCGGGGGAACTGCGTTACCTGATTCCCACCACGTGTGCCTGCTGCTTGTGGTGGGGTGCCGTGCAGGGGATCAGGACAGTGGGGGCTCCTTTGGGGGTCTGACATGGGCTCAGAGCCAGAAATGTACACCTGCCACCTCCTAGGAAAAGAAAGCACAAAGCAAAGACAAAGAGGGGAGGGGCGTGGCATGCAGCAGACCATGCTGTCACCCAGGTGGCCTTGCTATCTCTGACCTCAACCTTGGGCTGCACAGCTCATGGGAGCATCTAGTGGATGCTCCAACTAGATTGTGCCAAGGTGGGGCCGGGCCAACGTCTCAGCCACGAGGAATCCTCACAGAGCAGTCACCAGAGCCCTTGCTGCCGGGACACTTCCTCCAGTGCCCAGATATGGCCAGCCTGGGTGGCTGGGTGTGTCTGTCTTCCCTTTGGAGCTCCTTTTGCCAGGGGAAACTCTGTGTTCTCTGATCTCAGGTGGTGCCTATTTTGATGACAGCACGTTCTTTTTTTTTTTGAGACGGAGTCTCGCTCTGTCACCCAGGCTGGAGTGCAGTGGCGCAACCTCGGCTCACTGCAACCTCCACCTCCTGGGTTCAAGCAATTCTCCTGCCTCAGCCTCCCGAGCAGCTGGGACCACAGGCACAAGCCACCATGCCTGGCTAATTTTTGTATTTTTAGTAGAAGTGGGGTTTCACCATATTGGCCAGGCTGGTCTCAAACTCCTGACCTTGTGATCCGCCTGCCTCGGCCTCCCAAAGTGATGGGATTACAGGTGTGAGCCACCGCGCCCTGCCAATGATAGCACCTTCTTAAAACAGGGGAGCTTGTGTATACACTTAACCCTGAGTCGGTTTCGTGTCAACGTCGGATATGTGAGTGTTAGGCTGTTCTTGTGTTGGTATAAAAGAATACCTGAGACTGCATAATTTATAGAGAAAAGAGGTTTAATTGGCTCACAGTTCTGCAGGCTGCAGAGGAAGCATGGCACTAGCATCTGCTTGGCTTCTGGGAGGTCTCGGGGGCTTTTACTCCTGGCAGAAGGGGAAGTGGGAGCAGGCGCGGCACATGGCCAGAGCAGGGGTGAGAGCGTCAGTGTGGGGAGGTGCCACAGGCTTTTACACAACCTTATCTCACAAGGGTAGCACCTCCCATCAGGCCCCACCTCCAACACTGGGGACTACATCTTAGCAAGCTGTTTGGCGGGATCATCCAAACTTGTCATCAGCGAGCAACAAAGGGCTGCCAGAGGGGTGTGCATGCTGCCCCACCCAGGTTAGCACAGTCACGCTCACCCTGGGGGAGCACAGGCAGCCACTGTGACCCCACTATCACCCACCAACCAAACAGTGACTCTGGTGTCTACTTGGGAGTCTAATTCTCCTTATCTGAAAAAAAAAACCAATGCCTTCGGTCTGCCTTGTCCTTGCAGAACCGTCTTCGCTTCAGTCTATTCAAGGCTCTCTTCCCTTCAGAGAAGAGCCGGACACACTGTGGCTGGCTCCCTCCCCGGGGCCTGGCTGATGGTCCCCGGAGGGGCCGCAGCACTGGAGGCACATGTGTGGGCCACCTGCTCACCCTCTTTTCCACTTTCATCGCTTGTGAGAAAACAGAAATAAGAAACGGGCTGCGTCGTTAGCTGCCTCTCCTGCCTGCTGATTCCACTTGTGTTCTGTGCAGCCTGCATATCGTAGGCAGCAATAGCTCTCTCCTCAGAATTCACTTTGGCAGCCAAGCCCCCCTGCAGCTCCTCCTTGCCCTGTGCTCCCTTCTTGGGTAGATGCCCTTTAAACACTGTGCTCCCAGCCTTGGGGCCCTGTTTCCCAGCAACACTGAGTCCAGGGTGCTAATCCCCTGGCGCCTTCCGGCCACAGGCGGCCTTCACTGACAGTATGACTTTCTCCGGTTTGAAATCTGCATTGGCCCAGTCTTTCTTTCTTAACTGAGACATTGCAGATTTATGGACTTTTTTTTATTTTTATTTTTTGATACAGAGTTCTCACTCTGACGCCCAGGCTGGAGTGCAGTGGCGCCATCTCGGCTCACTGCAACCTCCGCCTCCCGGGTTCAAGCGATTCTCACGCCTCAGCCTCCAAGTAGCTGGGACTACAGGCGTCCGCCACCACACCGGGCCAAATTTATGGATTTTTGTTTCCAATCTAGCAGTGACAGTGCTTATTCTAAAACTGTGGCAGTCCATGCTGCTCTCATTCCTGCACTTATTCTTCTTTAGGCACTTAGCGCATTTGTAATTTTAACTTCTTTATATTAAATGGTTAAACCAATGCCTGGCCTCCCTGCTGAGTTATGTGTTGGGAGAGCAGTCTCGTTTGTTTTGCTGACTGCAATACTCATCGCCTTACAAATTCATGTCTTATCAGCCATTGCCTGCCCCTCCCCTATTTGTATGACCTCTCCAATAGCCTTAATCATCCTTCCTGTACTTTTAAACTAGTTAGATGACTGTACTCAATTCCCTAGCGAGGCCTTCCTGCTGCCGACCAGACAGTGATGCCCATGCTGCCAGCTCTCTGTCCTTTCTTGGTCCACTGTGGAGGCGTTAACAGTCATCTGTGGTCTTGTTTTGTTTTCTCAATTGCTCAGTCTTTTGTGACATTTGCTCTCCTCTCAGTTCCCATCACCATTTTTTGGCTCCTCTATGGCAGGCACATTATGCTATCTGTGGGAGGTAGACAGGTTCCCACCCTTGCTTATTCAGAGCAGAGAAAGTTCTACTGATTTCATTTCATAAAAGGATATCGGTGATAAAAGTATTTGAAAACCACTGCTTTTTGGAATATGTAATGCAGTAGACTTTCAAAAGCAATTTAGAAAACAAATTGTCGCCCAGGCTGCAGTGCAGTGGCACAATTATGGTTCACTGGAGCCTTGACCTCCCAGGTTCAAGCGATCCTCCAGCCTCAGCCTCCTGAGTAGTTGAGACCACAGGCTCATGACACCACGCCTGGCTAATTTTTAATTTTTTTGCAGAGCCGGGGGCGGTGGGGTGTCCCATATGTTGCCCAGGCTGGTCTCGAACTCCTGGGTTCAAGCAATCCACCTGCCTCAGCCTCCCAAAGTGCTGCAATTACAGGTGTGAACCACTGCACCCAGCCACAAAGCAATTCTTGAAAAGCAACCAGGGTTGGCTTCCAAATGCTCAGCCCTGTCATGGGTCTCATCTGTAGTCTTAGTGCCTTCCTCCTCCTTGTGTAGATGGTTCCATCTCAGAAAACCTACATTTCCTAGCCTGTAAAGCCTAGCCAGCTCCCCATGGAATGGGAACAATTTAGTATTTTAAAGGAAGTATGAAGAAAGAGCACTCTCTGGGATTAAAGAGGAGGCAGGCTGAAGGAATTATGACATGGCCAATGGGTCACTGCCTGACTCTCCAAACTGGTCTCAGAACTGGCCCCTCTGCGCACGGACTGCTAACTCGAGGGCCCGCACTGCTGACTGGCAGCAGATCTTCCTCCAGTGCCTTGTTCCAGGTTTGAAACCTTTGCCCTAGTGTCCTAGGGCACCGCACACCCCCGCACCCCTTCTTCACACATTCGGCTTCCCTTGTCCAGGGTCCCACCATAGAGGAGCCTCCCCTGCTTCACCCACCACTTTCATAGCTGACAACTGGCTTCTGTTACTGTCTAGTCTTACTAAACAAAAGGGGCAGTGGCTCCTTCTGGCCACAAAATTCCAGGATTCCTCTCCAACTTCTACCCAATCAGGTGCTTCTCTTACCTAGTATTTTAATTTTGACGTGTCTTTCCCAAGCCTGTGTCTGGAGCATGGTGGTTCTGCATCGAGCTGAAACTGCTGGGATTCCTGTGCTTGGGACACAGCCCAGCACATCACAGGTGACAGTTCCAGAGCATGGAACCGGTGTCATGTTTCCAGTCGATTCAAGGGAGAGCATCTGTAGGCCCGATGTGTGGATGTGGGACATTATTATACGAAAAACTCAGACTCTAAACTTTGGTAAGAAGTTAGGAAACAAGACGGAAGGAAGAGGGAAACAAAATAATTTTTCCAGGCATTGGTGATTAAAGATGCCTTTCCTTTGAAAGTACGCAGGCTGCTGTTTTCTGTGTGTGCCCGTAGTACTAGGGTGGCTCTGAGTACAGGAAGCGACAATGGCCCAGAGGGTCCTTCTGATACCCAGATAAAGACAAAACTTGCCTTCAAATGGAAAACTGCTACTGTTCACATTCTTGCTGTAATCATCAGCTTTTACACACACACACATTTGTGGAACCCCACAGAAACATCACAGGCTGGGTGCAGTGGCTCACACCTGTAATCCCAGCACTTTGGGAGGCTGAATCATCTGAGGTCAGGAGTTTGAGACCAGCCTGGCCGACATGGTGAAACCGTCTCTACTAAAAACACAAAAATTAGCTGGGTGTGGTGGCGTGTGCCTGTAATCCCAGCTACTCGGGAGGCTGAGGCAGAACTGCTTGACCCCAGGAGGCGGAAGTTGCAGTGAGTGGAGATCACGCCACTGCACTCCAGCCTGAGCGACAGAGCAAGACTCTATCTCAAAAATAAATAAATAAAAAAATATAAAAAAAATCACAAAGCTACTGGACATTGGCCTTCTTGGCCTGCGTACGGCTGAAAGATGTTTTCCTTTCTCTCAGGGACCAGCAGCTCCAGGCATTTCCTGAAAATGGGGACTGCCCTGCTGCAGACCCCGCTCCTGGCTTCTGGCGCTACAAAGTATTTGGCAGGAACTCAGTGACTACTGAATGGATCTGGAGCAGATAAGAAAGCCAGTGTGAAGTCCCAAGGAAACCCACAGGATTGGCACTGGCATCTTCCATTGGGTATTTTGTGACTAAAGCTGGACGGGGTCCTTCTTCCCTCTCTCCTTGCTCCTGCCACCACCGTAATGTCACCATCAGCGACGGTGATATAGCTGGCCTCACAGTTCCCCAGGCAGCCCCAGACAACTTTCTGCTCTCCATAGACAGTCTAGACTGGCGATGCTGAGACGCTCTATATCATTGTCCGGACATGGCGGGGTCTAGGACCACTGCCCACACCACATGCTCAGCCACAACACATGCCCAGCCACTCAGTCTCCGCCCACGTGCCACAGCCCCTCCACTGGTCCTGTGGTTGCATCCCACCTGGTCTCCCCACTGCACCTCTTCCCCTTGGTCTTCTACTTCGCCCAGCCCAGCTAACGTGACATGCAGGCAGAGGGTGTCCTAGCGTCACTGCAGGCCCTTCCAGCGGCGGGCAGTCCTCCTATTACAACTTTCACGGTGGCTCTGCCTCATCGTCAGCAGAGACCTTGTCTCCCACCTTCACCTGCAAAAGACACATCACAGGGCATGATCTCCCTCCACTCTCTCCTCTCCACCTGAAAATGATGTCGTCTTCAGCTGTCCTTGGCACCAGACTCAAGAGAACGAGCCCTGTGTCCATCTCGGCCCCATGGGGCCCAATGCCACCATCCCCTCCACTGTTTCTCCGCCTCACTGCTCCTTCTTCCTAGAGTCAGGAATGCTAAGCCTGTCCCTAGGAAAACCCATCCCTGCACTGCTTCTCTTTGGCCACTCCCAAACCCTGCCCCCTTGGCTTCAGGGCCGGGGGTGGGGGTCTGCACTTGCTTCCACAGCCTAGGGGTGTTTCCTGTTCCCCTCAGATGGTCCAGGCCAGCTCTGAACGTGTTGGTTCTAAGTAAACACAGCGAACTGGCCAGCCTAGATGCTGGTCCAAACTGCCATCTGGAACTGCTGAGCTACCGCTGAGAGAAGCCCATCACAAAGTGGGGAAAATGGGACCAGGCTCCTCTGCTGAACAAGGAAGATGATTATTCTGATTGCCTTATACAGAATCTGGACAACAGGGAAGACTGTTAAGTCTCTCAGGGAGAGGGCCAGTGGAATACTCCCACAGTGCTTCAAATACCCCATTGCAAACTCCCAGTTTAGGTGTGATCAGCTCACTTCCCTGAAGGTTTCTGACAGGAGGGTTTCTTCTCTGATTAGTAAGAGGGTTTCCTCTCAGATTAGCAGTTACGTTTGTTTGCAGGCATTTTAGTGACACCTCACAACAAAATTTAGTGAAATAAAGCAGCATTTAAAAAGACTTGCTATTTACTGAGTACTTGCTTTGAAGTACTATGCTGAACAGTTGAAATGTATTTTTATAATCTTTACCATATACAAGGCAAGTAATATTGCTTCCACTTTACAGCTGACAGTCTGAAGCAGAGGAAGAAAGCAGAGACGCAGAATGACTGGCCCACAGCCAGCCGCAGTTATAAGCAGGGGGTAGTTCTGAACCCAGCTGGATGGGTCCAAGGCCTGTGCTCTTTCCATAACACCACATCCAAAACATTTTCCAGTATCTTTGTTTTGTAAATAAGTCATTACATAATGCCCAATATTGATAAGAACCAAATGTCCAAGAAATCCTATCTTTATGACTTCTTGCTCTGAAAAAAGGGGTTGCCCAGGATGTCTGCCCAGCAGTGGGGTTGCAGAAGTTCAGGAGGATGAGGAGATGGGCGTGGGCACCGCCTACCCCCCCCCCCACAGGTGAAGGTCTGAAGAACCACCTGGAGAACCCTAGGAGCACTGACATCCCCATTCAACTCGAGGAACAGCTCACAGCCCTAACACAAGTTACCACATGCAGAGCAAATCTGGAAGACATCTGGGGAACATAACGAAGGACTAGACAATTTCACGTTTTCACAGATGAAACTGCAATTAAACTATACATGCACGGTGCTGTGTTATTTTGGTAATACAGGGACACAATTTAATGATTCTAAGGATTTTTTTGTAGTTTTTTTTTTTTACAAGTCAGGTGCCATAAACATTCAAATAATCCATCTTTTAAAAAGTACGTTTACAACATCAAAAGAATTAAGATGAAATATAAACCTTTCTACTTACAATTTTTATACAGATTAACCAAATCACAAATACCACAAATAAATGTTAATGTTAAATTGTAACAATATAATGAATAAACATTCAGATTCTTAATAAAATCTTCCTTTAACATTTTTTAACTTACCATTATACTAAATAATCTATGCAGAATTTTGGGGTACAATACCAAGAAGGCACCAACAGTACAAAGCAGATACAAAGCAGTTTCAGAACTTTCTTGAGTGCTCTACACGCATAAACAGCACAAGAAAAGGCAACAAGCTTTAGGTAAACCTGGTGCAACCCTGGAGGACTTGCTCTGGATTTCCATTTGTTTCTGACCCATCATGTCAAGGTGGATGACGTAAGAGAAACCACATATTCACTGTTATAGCTTCTCATCTGCACCACAGGAGTATCATGTTTCAAACACCAGCATAACAATTTTAAAGCACAAATGCTTTAAAAATGTATAAGCAAAAGGATTGCTCAGATTTTCAAAACCATTACATTTACAAAAATATTTCCCTTAAACTTGGGATTGCTCCAAAACATTGATTTACAAATATAAAAGTATTATGGAAGGACCCAAAGCATGTGTGCGTATGTATGTGTGTATTAACATACTGTTACCATACTATATAAAAGTTACCAATTTAAAAACCATATTAACATATAAGCAAATAAAGAGAAAACAGTTTCCTCTGAATGGCTGAAATATTACGTGGCATGTGGTTGGGTAGTTTACTTTTGTGATTCCTTAGAGAAAACCACTGGTGAGCTACATGTAGCTTCTCAAAGCTACTGGTTACCTCTACACCCACTGCCTGTGCCCAAGAGCAGAAGGAATGAGTGTGCACACACCACACACTGTGCACTGCACACACAATACAGTATTCTTCTACCCAGATGCCACAATGTCTGCGTATCTCTGCTAGCTTTGAGGACCTGTGTCAGGACAGAGTCCTCATGATTAGTTCTTTCAATTCCATCCCACTGGCTTGTTCAGTATTTCTTTTATACTAAATGAAAGGACTGGAATGTTTCAGCAGGAATTTTTTGCTTACATTTTAGACACCAAAAAAGCTATTAGTCTGAAAGCTTATTTGAACATACAAATAGTGGAGGTGCTGTTCCGTGTCACTAATATGAATTAAGATGACCTAATCTGTACATTTTTACAAATGTAAGAAGAGCCAAAATGATGCATCTACTACACATGATAGCTAGCGCTTTTCATAGGTACCTTGGTTAGGACCATTCTCTGCCCAGTTACATTATGTTTGGCATGATTAATAAAAAGCACACAACTTATGGCTACAATGATTCTAGAATGAAGTTAGTGGTTTCATGCCAATCTGACTCCACAGTACCAGGAAGGGGAATGGGAAGGAGCTCACAGTCTCCAGATGTTAGTAGCCAAGGATATGGTTTTCTATTTAGAAGAGGACTCCAAATTAACCTTATAATAGTAACTTTCCATTTAAAAAGAAACAAGAGTAATAAAACTGTCAATGCTTTTTTATAAATGAAAACTGACTAATCAGTGTTATCCGGTAACAGTCACATTTCTGTGTCCCGTCAATGCTGTGTGGACCTTCAGACGGCAGCTCTGAGCACGCAAGTGAAAAGCGCGTATTTCAGGGCAAGAATAGAGATGTGGGTCTGTTTTCCGAGGATGAGCCAGCTATCCTTCCTCAGCCACAGGAGTGGTGAGCGTGAGCACCCTGGGCTGGGTGGTGAGGACTGCGTACTGTGGGGCGGCCCTTCCCAACTCTTGGCTGTGCCCAGCAGCACCTCTGGGGCACAAGGGCAGGCCCTCTTTAGAGAGAACCAGGGAATCCAACCTGAGATGTCGGGGCTTCTTTGTTAGGGTTTGACAGAATATTTGAGACCTAAGATTGTGAATAAAGGAACATGACAGCATCGATTCTCTGCCGAGCAGAGGTAAAAAGGACCCTACAGAAGTACCTTTCTAACTCATCTTATGTAAATCCAAGTGCTGGGCCAGTGCCTGGGCGGCAAAGTGAGGCCTGTGAGCATTTCTGTGTTCAGCACAACCTGAACCTGACTGTCCATTCAGACACGCTGATCCAGAGGAAAGCAACACTGAATCTTAACATGAATGTGAAGATAGAAGATGTACATTTATTTTCATGAATTACAAATGCATTTCTGTTCATATTAGCAGGCAGTCTTTATATAACCCATTCTCCATTGCTGTCAAAAATCAAACAAGAAAAAAGGACAGCTGAGAAATGAAAAGCTAAAAATAGAATTATTTTTCCTAAATGATCTGCTGGATAGCATTTTCCGTGGAACACAACTCAGAGGTAACAATAGAGTTTTCATTTCAATCGTAGGCATGTGGCACTTGGACAGTCATCTCTGCACAGAAAGCTGTAACAGTCATGCGAGGGTACAGTAATTATTGAACAAGGCAAATTTCTCACCACAGAGAGCAGTGGGGAAGTCAAGAGGAGGCACCGCACTGGGACAGAACACCGAGTCAACTCCACAGTACACAGTGGCAGGAACAAATACTTAAAGAGATCAGTAAAATATGGATAGAGCTCCAAACACGAGTTAGTGCTAGCTTTTTCTGACAGTCTGACTCAGCAGTATCAGAAATATTTGAGTACTTGAGGACAGAACAGTGCTTCACGTCATGAGCTCCTGGAGGCTTTATTACAAATTGTTATACTGTAGGTTGAAAAATGAACTTGAGATGCTGACATGCTGTAGAAGGAAAAAGAATTGTATACTTTCTCATTTAAAGACGCAGTGTTCCTCTCTGCTAAATCCTCAGGCATGGAACGTGGTTACTGAAACACCCACATTTGAAGTAGCTCAAGGGCGTATATGCACCAGCATGTGGAGTTCCACCCTGGGACATCCCCAGAAACCGCCCACAGCTCAGCACTGCAACCTTTGTACTTCTCTCACCAAATGTCGAGTGAAGCTGCCACTTTAAATCTTTTTTTGTAAGTCTTACAAACATTAAGTACTGCACATAACGCTTCTTGACAAGTGTTACACCTCTATATGGTACAAGTGACCACAGTAACTACAGAGTGACACTGCTGGGTGCAGTACTTCCTTTTTATTTAGAAAAATGACTGCATTTTCTAAAAGCTGGGCCAATAGCACATACCTTATATATGTTAGTGACTACCATGATATGAGAAAAGACGTGGACAAGTGCTCCCCAAGGATTCCGGAGACGGAAGCACTTGCTGCAGGCTGCAACATCAGCCAAGGTATTTCCACAAGCTCCTGCTCTGGGGAAACAGTTATGGTCAAAAGGTGAAGTGCAAATAAGGGGCTGTCACTGACTTAAAGTGCCCTAGGTAGTAGCCTTCCCTATCATAAAGTGAGATGCCAGTGACTAGAGCCAATTGGGGAAGAATCTCTCTCTGGTGCGGCTGCATGGTCAGCAGGGCATCATGTAGAAAAGGATTCAGGAGAGGGAGGAACCACTGCATCTTTCAAACCAGAAAGCAATTAGTGACTAAAGCAACAGTAAGCAGTAGGTGCACTGAAGTACATACTGCCGCAGGTCACCAATGGGTGACACACACAGGGCTGCCAGGAGGAATTCTCTGGACTGAAGAAATTCTTTGAAAGCATAAAAGCCACAACTACCAGAAACCGCCCCTCCAAACGGCTCAAAGGAGTCAAAGTGGATAAGCCAAGACGGGCTGGAGACAGGACCAGGGGTCAAGAACTGGGAAGAAGAACACCGATGTCTGAGCACGTCCAGTCCTCTGAGCCCTTGTCCTATAGAAACACAAACAGACCACTGAGTTAAGAGTGAGCCATGTGAAAACAGCATCATCATCAGCATCACAAAACACAAAAGTGACAACAGTGAACCACATTAAAACAGCAGCAGCAGCAATAGCATTATGAAAACAGAAAAGGGAAAAAAGACTCCTGCAAAATGGCCATTTCTTTGGACACATTTGGGCAAGGATAACACATGGCAGTTCTGAAGGGGCCAGGGTCAGCCCTCACTCCACAGGCACCTCCTCTCAGACAGTTCTGAGGTGGTTTCCACAACACTCATAGGAAAGACGCCACTCCCCCAGCCTACGCTGACTGCAGTGTTCCTAAGATGTCCTTTATTTACCGTAAGATATCCAACACTAGTGCATGAAAATCTAGCAGAGTATCACTTACTATTTCACAGAGCACTTTCAGAGCTGTGGTTTCCATCTGCCACTCAGGAGGTGGGGCAAGAAGAATGGGCTAACTATAGCCAAACTGTGGACTTGGAGATGGGCTAAGAGGGAGAAGTGGTCTCTTTTATGTAGAGGTGAACTGCAGCCAAACCTACGGGTTGGCAGGAAATTAAAGCTGCCCTAAAATGCTTTCATCTTCAATAAACCAAAGGGAAATGCGGTTCATGCCCCTAGTGATCAATCCACCTGAGAAAATTCACAATCAGGCAGATGAAGAAGGAAGTTGAGCACTGACCTCTACCTTCACCCGCCTCACAGGGTAGGAGACTGAGGACATGGGCTGGGTAGGAATGAGGCTTGTCACAGGTAGTAGGCATGATCAGCTTTTAAACTTGCCCATGGAAACATTTCTAAAACTGACCCCCTTAAGCAAAATACAATGAATATAATTTGACCCTTTTTTAAGACCTTTCGGCCACCACTACAAATATCACTTCATTGCTTCCTCTACCAAAGGGGCCCCACAGCTGTGCTCTGTGGTCCTGGGGTGTATGTTTCTAAGCCTTTCTTGCTGCAGCCAAACGGTCAACCGTGCCCTCCCAGTGTTCCCATGTTTTATTACACCTTTACCTCCTGAGCTCTCCAATTCAGAGCTCCTGATCTCCAGTGTGTGGGCTGGGAACTCAGAGACAATGCTCCTTAGTATTGTGAATGAGTCCTGAGAACTTTCCCAAGGAGCAAGGCTAATCACAGGCAGTGTGCAGCCTGCCACTGTTTCATGCTGGCAAACATTTCAAGAAAATGACATTCTGGGTCCAAAATACCTGGATTCTCTGCCTAGTTTTGCCACTTGATGTACAATTTTGAGCGAAGTGCTCAAAGGCTCCTGTCTTCAGTTTCCTCAATTATAAACATGGATGCATGCTGACTTCCCAAAATTCTGTTGTGATCACCAAAATGAAATGTTTATGAAAGAACCTATCCCATAGTTTAATCAGCCAACCCAGCCCCAGCTTCCCCTGGATTCATGTGATATTCTAGATGACTAAATTGTAAGTCAGTCTAGACGTTGGCAACGTCCTTTGCAATGAATGGATAAAATGCGATGGGTTGATGGGTGGATAGAGGAACAGATGGACAGATCTATGAGAAAACAAGTAAGATGTTAATGTTAACTGTATAATCTAGGTGGTGGGAATATGGGTGTCTACTTTAAATTCCTTCAACTTTTCAGAATAGTTGAAAACTGTCACTAAAAGAATGTTGGGAAAAAAAATCATGCTATAAGCACATAGGGAGCATCTGTGTGTCTTCTGTGTCTGGAGCAAATGAACAACGCACAGAGGTGACTGTCCTTGCCACGCCGGGACTCTCAGAGTGGTGGTGGACCTGAGAGGGATACTGGTCCCCCGCCTTGCAAAGCTGGCTTCAGGAGGCGTTCTGCCAGCAACTGCGCCCTGTGGCCTCAGGAGCAACCCTGCCTCTGTCTTGCCATCCTTGTGCCTGCGGTGCTGCCTGTCTCTTCAGTGGCCTGACCAGTTTTCCCCCAAGTCCCTGCTCTCAGAGGTCCTCCTGCATCCTTACTGCCACCAGAGTCACCTGAGCCACTGCTTCAGGTCAGGCAGCTACCTGTGAGGGAGAGCTGGCCTCCTGGGGAAGCAAGGGCCACAGCCTGGGCTGGCCTCTTTCTCTGCAGCCCCCCTCTTGCCCAGCTGTCTGGCATGCCCGCCTTCCAGGGTCCACACAGCTGTGCCCCTCCCCAACCAGCAAAGAACCCAACTGTCAGGTTTCAGCTGCAGCACAACTGCCGCGAGTCGGCCACACTCTGTGAGGCTTTAATGTCTGCCTTACTCTCTGGGACCCACCATGCCTGTGTCCATCTCTGGGACTCTGTATACTCCTTGTTGTTTACATTTCCTGCTATGAGGCTGCTGGAAAGCAAAACCTGGGTTTTATTCATCTTTGTTCCTTTCCTAACTGGCGAAAGGAAGTGCTCAATGCTGATTAAATGATGAAAAACAAATTATCACGTCAACCCCAGAAGCTCTTTTATACTAAAAATGTGCACAGTTGTGTGTGTGTGTGTCTTTCTCCCCTACTACATGGGCCCCTCTGAGGCTGTGTTTAGGTCCTGCTTGCCGCGTTTGCTGTTAGTGTCTAATGCAGACTAAGCAGGCAGCACTGCCGCCTGACCTGAAGCGACAGAGATGAGATGCTCACAAGCCACCACCTGGCTGAGGGAAAATGACTGTGAAAGGAACTGTGAAGGAAGAAAAGCAACAGAAGTTGCTCAGCTCAATATTCTAGGTTCTGTAAACGGCAAGAGAGTGCTCTTCACAGAAGGGCAGGCCTCACAGGCCATCCAGGTCTGTTATGACTACCCCACGCCGCTGCTGTAGAGGAAAGGCAGCGGGCTGACCAAGGTCTAGTTAACCTGACCTTGTACAGACACTGGGAGTGTGTCCTGGAGCCTCACGGAGGGAGAGGGACGGACTCTTGAGAAACAGAGACAATTGCTCCACTGTGAGCACCTCACAGAGGAGCCAGGAAGGAAGTTCTGTGGGGACTGCAGGTGTGAAAATGGTTGGATCCTGGGGCCCAGCTTTCTGTCAGTGAGTGATTGTGCAAATCACTGTGGCTAACACCTCCTCCACTAGAGAGCCACATGTGTATGGGGCAACAGAAGACATGAACCAGCTCAGCCCCTGCTGATAACAGGCTTCTTTCTCAGTCACTCCGCAAGGCTTATGGCTAGCAGTCCACTGCACGTCCTGTTCGCGTGACTCCACAACACTTCCCTTGGGTTTGAGAGATCGTCTTTTGGGGTGCGTCTGGTGTTAACAGCAGGCTAAGTGAGGGCTTAACAGTGCCAGCAGCCCTGCCTCCCCCAAGTTGGTAGGTTTAGAAAACTTGGAGTCTTTAAGACTTTGCCTTTCCTCCTCCTCTTGAATTTGCCGCTTCTCACCACTTCATTTCTAGTCCAAGGCTACGGCCCCTTTGGTATGGAAGACCAGGCATTTGTTCTTAGCTGATCTCCTACCCAGTATTCCCTCATTTCAACCCCTCCTGCTTTGATGTCAGACTTTTGAAAACACCATTTTCCGGCCCCCAAACTACTAGTGTCTATTCCCTACCAATTCCTCGTTCTGTTGCCCTGCCTGGCTTTCAGGGCTATCTGCTTGGAGGCTGAGTTGGTCATGTCAGTCCTCAGCTCATGTCTACTTGGTTCTTTGTTCTTACTGACGGGGAATGGACGCCTCTAACTGCAACACGGTTCTGTCCAAAGCATCTCCCCAGCAACTGCTTCTACCTTGGCTCACAATTCTTTTTTTTTTTTTTTTTTTTTGAGACGGAGTCTTGCTCTGTCGCCCAGGCTGGAGTGCAGTGGCGCAATCTCGGCTTGCTGCAAGCTCCGCCTCCCGGGTTCACGCCATTCTCCTGCCTCAGCCTCCCGAGTAGCTGGGACTACAGGCGCCTGCCACTGTGCCCAGCTAATTTTTTGTATTTTTAGTAGAGACGGGGTTTCACCGTGGTCTCGATCTCCTGACCTCGTGATCCACCTGCCTCGGCCTCCCAAAGTGCTGGGATTACAGGTGTGAGCCACCGCACCTGGCCCACAATTCTTTATTCACTGCTTCTTTCTATAGAGTTCTAAACACAAGTCCAGTTCTCTCTCCTCTTGTCACATACTCTCTAAAATCAAGATTTGCATTCTTTTCCTGTATACTTTTCTTTTCTGACACAGGGTTCACCCAGGATGGAGTGCAGTGATACAATCATAGCTCATTGCAGCCTTGGACTCTGAGATTCAAGCGATCCTCTCCCCTCAGCCTCTCAAAGTGCTGGGATTATAGGCATGAGCCATTGTGTTGGGCCTGCTCAATTTTTAAAATCTACCAATATTGTCACATTGTTCACCTTCCCTTATGATCTAAGCACATGTAGCTTCTGTGCAGGCCCATGTAAATCCCCCTGACTGGCCAGCCCAGCCTCCATCTCCTGGATGAAGTTTCTCCAGCTCTCCAGCCTACACTGCTAGTCTGAACTGGTAACAGGGTCTGGGCCCCTTGCATGTGACATCAACTGTAGAACCAGGTCCCAGCTAGGAGTTTCTGAAGGGGCAGGCACAGAGGACTCTAATACTAAATTTATTTAACTGGTGGCTCTGCTTTCCATGGGAGGGAGTCCTGAGGCGAACCCTTTCCAGAGAGATGCTCATGTAACTGTGAAACTGCTCTGGACAGGCAGCAAGGAAAGGATGAGAACCCAAAGATGAACAATCTGGAATATGAAAAAGTTGTTTCCAAATAATCACATTCACTACCCTTGAGAGTAAAGGAGGTACTTGGAGTTTCTAATAAACGAGAGAGAGATTCCTAGGAGAATATATGTAACTTTCTAAATAATTTTTAATTCTAAATTTAAAAAAATACCTTCCAATAAGGAGCTTGGAAAAGAATACAAAATAATGGACCTTGAGGAACATAATATTCTAGAAACAAAAGGCAGCGCCTCCCTTGCTAGAGCTCACTGTATTAAACTCCAGGTACCTGACAAATTTAAGATCTGTATCCTGGCTGGAATCTAGCAGTCTCTTCAAAAATTAGTTCTTTGAGCTTTTCCTTAGGCAAGTCATCCAATTCCATGTCGAACTTGAATGGTGCTTCGGCGATGGGCTTTAAAAGAAAACAAAACATTTAACAGTCAAAGTTGTTATGGGTAAGGCAGTAATTTACTGATTCATAAAATGACCACTGCTCAGATTCTGAATTTACAACAGGACTGATGTCTCATAAAAACTTAAGAGTTGATGGCCGGGCGCGGTGGCTCACACCTGTAATCCCAGCATTTTGGGAGGCTGAGGCAGGCGGATCACTTGAGGTCAGGAGTTCGAGACCAGCCTGGCCCAACATGGTGAAACCCCATCTCTACCAAAAATACAAAAAATTAGCCGAGTGTGGTGGTGCACGCCTATAATCTCAGCTACTCAGGAGGCTGAGGCAGGAGAATCGCTTGAACCCAGGAGGCAGAGGTTGCAGTGAGCTGAGATCGTGCCACTGCACTCCAGTCTGGGTGACAGAGAGAGACTGAGAGTTGTGCCCACACTCCTCAAGTTCTCATAAACACTTAGCCTGGGAGCAACTGAATCTGTTTCAAGTGTTTTTCTGAACTTACCACAAATCCCAGAATAATTTTTAAATGTTTTAAGGCAGTGAATGTCGAAATAAGAGAAATGTGCTGCTGTTGGGGTGGTGGTACGTTTATCCAATCAACACCCATAATACTAAAATACATGCATTTCATTAAATAAATCATGGTATCTTTGTATGAAAAAACATCTTAGAGCTGTTAAAAATTAAGCTGCAAGGCCAGGCGCAGTGGCTCACATCTGTAATCCCAGCACGTTGGGAGGCCAAGGTGGGAGGATCATGAGACCAGCCTGACCAACATAGTGAAACTCCATCTCTACTAAAAATACACAAAAATTAGCTAGGCATGGTGGCAGGCCCCCGTCGTCCCAGCTACTCGGGAGGCTGAGGAAGGAGAATTGCTTGAATCCAGGAGGCGGAGGTTGCAGTGAGCCGAGATTGCGCCACGGCACTCTGGCCGAGGCAACAGAGCAAGATTCCATCTCAAAGAAAAATAAAAAAAACTGGCCAGGCACGGTGGCTCACACCTGTAATCCCAGCACTTTGGGAGACCGAGGCAGGTGGATCATGAGGTCAAGATATTGAGACCATCCTGGCCAACACAGTGAAACTCCGTCTCTACTAAAAATACAAAAATTAGCTGGGTGTGGTGGTGCGTGCCTGTAGTCCCAGCTACTCGGGAGGCTGAGGCAGGAGAATTGCTTGAACCTGGGAGGTGGAGGTTGAAGTGAGCCGAGATCACACCACGGTACTCCAGCCTGGCCTGGTGACAGAGCAAGACTCCATCTCAAAAAAGAAAACAAAATTAAGCTGCAAGGAAGATTAATAGGAAAATGCCTATGTTGTGTCAAGAGAATGAAAACTATTTTATTTTTAAAATTTAGATACAGAAATACAAGACTGAGAAGGAAATACTCCAAAATGTTAGTAACTGTAACAAGATTATAAAGCTACATATTTGTAGTATGAAAAAAATCTCTCCTGTATTTTCTTACAAGTTTGCTTTTCTCTTTTTTTTTCTATACAAAACCTCGCTTTGTTGCCCAGGCTGGAGTGCAGTGGTACGATCCCGGCTTACTGCAACCTCTGCCTCCTGGGTTCAAGCGATTCTCCTGCCTCAGCCTCCGGAGTACCTGGGATTATAGGCGCCTGGCACCACACTTGGCTAATTTTTGTATTTTTAGTAGAGACAGGGTTTCACTATGTTGGCCAGGCTGGTCTCGAACTCCTAACCTCAGGTGATCCACCAACCTTGGCCTCCCAAAGTGCTGTGATTACAAGTGTGAGCCACCATACCTGGCCCCATTTTTTTTTTTGAGACTGAGTCTCATTCTATTGCCTAGGCTGGTGTGTACTGGCATGATCTTGGCTCGCTGCAACCTCTGCTTCCCGGGGTCAAGCAATTCTTATGCCTCAGCCTCCAGAGTAGCTGGGATTACAAACATGTACTACCACGCCCAGCTATTTTTGTATTTTTAGTAGAGACGGGGTTTCCCCATGTTGGCCAGGCTGGGCTTGAACTCCTGACCTCAAGTGATCCTCCTGCCTCGGCCTCCCAAAGTGCTGGGATTACAGGCGTGAGCCACTGCGCCCAGCCCCCATTTTAATTTTTAACCATACTCCAGAAAGCTATTTAAGTAAAATATAAACTGTCTATTTAGATCAAAGAACCCCATACACACTCAGTGACAAACTGATTATTATTTTTTAGAGAAAGAGTTTTGCTCTGTCACCGAAGCTGGAGTGCAGTGGTGTGATCACAGCTCACTGAAACCTCGATCTCCTGGGCTCAAGAGATCTTTCCACCTCAGCCTTCTGAATAGCTGGGACTACAGGTGTGAGCCACCATGCCTGGCCACATTTTGATTTTTAAATGCCCGTGAACTAATGCAATGTTACAGAACTAAGCTGATGATAATACCAGCTGTCAATCAGTGAATGCCTAGAATCTCACCTCTCACCCATGTAATCCTCACATGGGGCCTTTAGGGGGAGGAAGCACAGACCCCAAACTCTGCACTAAGCTTTGGCCATCTGAAAGGGGAGAAGGACTCATGTCCAGAAGAATAAATAGCTCAGCCCGAAGGAGGGCTATGCATCTGGGATCACAGGAGGTGTCCTACACGCATCACCCACCACCCCAGCCAGCTGATTTGGACTCGGAAGCTTGGGAAATCTCCAGCCCACTAAGCTTGTAAGAGCCCCAAACCTGTATTCTCTCCTATTCTGTGTTACTGGCTATGTTGTAGGTATTTCACAAGCTGCCTAACTTGTTGCTGGAGGCAGAGAGATGGATGTGGAAGGGAAAGCTGATTCTTTCAAAAATAGGAGGGTAAAGACTATTCTCTGTGCATATGAGCCTCAACTACAACAATCCAAACTTTTGGTTCATATTGCATTTTTCTTTGTTATCCTCCAGAGAATAAAGTTAAAATTGAACCCCAGAGACACCAGAGAGCCAAGGCACTAGGACTGTCTTGGGGAGAACATGACATGCAGCATCTTCTACCTGAATGCCCTGCCTGCTCTGAAGAGCTGCCATATCCACTCTGGCCTCATCACTTCTTACAACAGGCTCTCGTGTCCTTGTCTCTAGGGAATAGCACACCCGACATGGAGTCGCCAAGCCACAGTGGAAACTGTCCAAGTTGACTTCCCTCCCCACTCTGTGTGCTGTCCCTGTCAGCAGGCTGCCCACCTCCTCTCCACCCCGGCCATCCTCAGGGCCAGCACTTCACTTCAGGTGTCTCTTCCTGTCACACCATGACAATGGCCTCCAGTCTCAGACCCATGCCCTCTGTGCTCCATACTGGTGCAGCTGTCCCCTTTATACATGCGTTTACCCCGCCCCTACCTGTTGCAGGTGGCCTGGAGGAAGTCTTCTGAGATAGACAGAGTTACGGGGGGAGGGATTTCAAGCTGTGCCCCACAGCACTCGTCCTCAAGGCAAAGGTGGGCTTGTTGGAAGAACCGGGTATGGCAGCAGGTATATCTCAGGAAAATCTAAGCAAGATATGGTTGGTCCACTGCTGGCTGATCTATGTCCCTGAAGCAGCAGCCAGGAACATGAGCTCTTACCTCGTCACTCGGGTCGTAATACTGCTCCAGATATGGGTGGGCCAGAGCCTGTTCTACTTCAATCCTCTTGTGTGGGTTGAATGTCAACATTTTGTCCAATAAGTCCAGAGCTATAAAGAGAAAGGTTTTGCAGTAGTGAGAGCAGAAGTAGTCACAGAAATACTTCAATTTCCTGTTTAAGTAACTTACCCACAAAACAACTGAGCTAAGCATGACTACAGAGAGAGCAGCCAGCACAAAGGGTGCTGACTATATCTCCAAGCCTCCCGAGACTGTGAACATAGGGACCGACCATCTGACAATTGCAGACCGCAAACAAAAACACTGGCACTACTTAATGAAGCGTCTTTTCTGACAATGATCATTTCTTTTTTTTTTTTTTTTTTTTTTTTTTGAGACGGAGTCTCGCTCTGTCGCCCAGGCTGGAGTGCAGTGGTGCAATCTCGGCTCACTGCAAGCTCCGCCTCCCGGGTTCATGCCATTCTCCTGCCTCAGCCTCCTGAGTAGCTGGGACTACAGGCGCCCGCCACCACACCCGGCTAATTTTTTGTATTTTTAGTAGAGATGGGGTTTCACCGTGTTAGCCAGGATGGTCTCGATTTCCTGACCTCGTGATCCGCCTGCCTCAGCCTCCCAAAGTGCTGGGATTACAGGCGTGAGCCATCGCGCCCGGCCAGCAATGATCATTTCTTATTAGGTTATTTGTAGGTAAAGGTCAACTTCATCCATCTGCAAATTAGCACATACTATTAAGCCCTCAAAGTAGAATGATAAAATATCATTATTTCTTCTTAAAACATTTTAAAATTTAATTGTATGTCCCTTCTCACCATTCCTAAAATGATAAACAATCACGTAAAATTTGGTACAATTTAATACTCATGATCAGTTTAAGGAATCACTTCTAGCCACTACTTTCAAAAAGTAAGTTTTCACTATTTACTAAGAAAATGTTTCCTAACCCTTAAGAACAATCAGTAGACCTTCCGAAGGGATTGCTTGGGTGCTGGGGGGAGGTGGGAGGCATCTTGCTGCCTGAGGTCACTGAAGGGCTGTGGGTGTGTATTTGTGCTCAGCCCCGGCCAATTTTGACCTCCCTTGTTGCAACCCCTGACCTTAAGACAACAGGAGATGATAAACATGGTAAACCACATGCTGGACATAATGAGAAATTCCGCATAGAAAACATTTAAAAGTTATGTATGTTTCTATCTATAATCTTTTCAATACATACAAGTGCACTTTAGGAAATTACGGAATAATGATATTTTGTTTTATAGCCTAGATAACTTTTCAGAGTAGAGAATCCAGACAGGTTTTGCTGTGACTGAAGGAGTGTCTGCGCAGTAGAAGAGGTGGTCATGCCTGCAGCTGTGACCCTGGGTCTGTGGGCACACAAACTGGCTAGGTTTAGGAAGTGGCCCTCTCAAGGGTCAGGACAAAGACGCATGATGGTCAAGAACCCAGGAATCTCTGGTTCAAATCCTACTTCCAAGGAACACTTGTAGATATGTGTGCAAGACACACAACCCTTGCCGAATCTTAAGATTCCTGTGGTTGGCTGGGCACGGGGGCTCACGCCTGTAATCCCAGCACTTTGGGAGGCCAAGGCGGGCGGATCACAAGGTCAGGAGATCGAGACCATCCTGGCTAAAACGGTGAAACCCCGTCTCTACTAAAAATGCAAAAAAAATTAGCCGGGCATGGTGGTGGGCGCCTGTAGTCCCAGCTACTTCGGAGGCTGAGGCAGGAGAATGGCGTGAACCCGAGAGGCGGAGCTTGCAGTGAGCCGAGATTGCGCCACTGCACTCCAGCCTGGGCGACAGAGCGAGACTCCGTCTCAAAAAAAAAAAAAAAAAAAAAAAAAGATTCCTGTGGTCTATAATATAGGTAATAAATCCCACTTTGCTTCCTGCTCCCAACCAGCCCTCCCCACATAGAACTCACAGACATTTTCTCAAGGACTTTCTTGAAACTAGATTAAGTCATTTGGCTTTTCACCCAATTAGATACTGTCTGTGCTAAGAAAAGTCCAGAAGGCCTGGACCACAATAAGATTCTAACAGTATTACTTCTAAACCACTGGGGGCAGAAGGGTCCTACTCAAACTTGTTCGTATTAAGTAGACAGGCACTCCAAGCCAACTGGATGTTTTGCAGCTTAAGCATTTCTAAAACAGATCCATTAGTTCCTTAAAGTTAAATAAATTCTAGGCCCTTAAACCTCCAGGCATAAATTTCAAAGAAGACAGCTTTTTAAAAAAAGATTTGCTACTTGAAAAGTAGCTAGATCTCCAGCCTTCTGTTACTGCAAGTGCTATTTCTACATTATTCATAGCTACAGAAGGAGAAAAGGAGAGAACCGGGAAGCAGCTGGCAGGTGCGGATCCCACAGTCAAGAATGTCCGGACTCCCTCCTCCCACGCCACATGGGCATTCATTGGTAACACTCAGATGGTGTGAATCATGGCTGCCTGTGTGGATGCTTACTTGGATACAGGTTTTATTTCCCCTAAAAGACTGGAAGTCCCTTTGAGGCTAGTATTACTCCTGACCACAAATCCTGACTTTCCCTAGTGCCTTCCAGAATACTACATTTTCTCTTTCTGTGTTTTTTAAAACAGAGTTTGGATTTTGTTCTATGGCCCAGGCTGGAGTGCAGTGGCATGATCATAGCTTACTGCAGCCTTGAACTCCTGGGCTCAAGCAATCCTCCTGCCTCAGCCTCTCGAGTAGCTGGTACTACAGGCACATGTTACCACACCCAGCTAATTTTTTTAAATTAATTTTTCTGTAGAGATGGGGAGTCACTATGTTGCCCAGGCTGGTCTTGAACTCCTGGGCTCAAGTGATCCTCCTGCCTAAGCCTCCCAAAGTGCTGAGATTACAGGTGTGAGCCACTGTGCCTGGCCCTTGTCTTTTTTTTTTTGAAACGGGAGTCTCACTCTGTTGCCCAGGCTGGAGTGCAGTGGCGCTGTCTCGGCTCACTGCAACCTCCACCTCCTGGGTTCAAGCGATTCTCCTGCCTCAGCCTCCCGAGTAGCTGGGATTACAGGTGCCTGCCACCACGCCAGGCTAATTTTTTGTATTTTTAGTAGAGACGGGGGTTTCACCATGTTGGCCAGCGTGTTCTCAAACTCCTGGCCTCGTGATCCACCCGCCTTGGCCTCCCAAAGTGCTGGGATTACAGGTGTGACCCACCGCGCCTGGCCAGCCTGGCCCTTCTCTTTAACTTCAAATAGTATGTAACAACCTGATTCCAACCCTTTCTTCTAATCCATCATCCTTTTTTCCTTCTTGCCCTGTCCTGGACCTGGGGAAAGCCATTGACTGGCTCTCCACAGTGCCTCTTCATGTCTATCTTGCCTGCCTCGTGAAACTCTGACCCTGAATCAATGCTGCAACCTGTCACTTCCATCCTCAACTCATGTTTCTGTGCGGGGCCAGAGAAAAGACTGAACTGTGCAAAGTGTGCCAGTGCGACAGTGCTTCTCAAACTTTCTGATCTCAGAACTCTTTATACTCATCAAAACTGAGGGACGATTTAAAAACCAGTTAATTCTGCTCATAGCTCAAATAGTTACATAAGTGCTTTTCCCTGAGAAAACCACTGCATTCAGTATGCAGCAGAAATGCTATACGTGTTTGTCACACAGACATCGTGAAGACATGTATTAAGGATGGATTTAATATGGTGAGTACTTTTTACTGGCACTGGTTTTGAGCAGTGGGGGTGTGGCAGTGCAGAGCTCAGTAACCTCTCTAGTTCCACTGCCTTGACCTGCCTGTGGTGCTGGGGACTCTGCTCATCATTGCTCCTGTGCCACAAGTGCTGATGGCAACATAGAGAGCAGTGTGAGTAACTCTTTAAGAAGATTATTAAAACAGCTTTAACCTTGTGGACACCCTGAAAGGATCCTGGGGATCTCAGGTGTTTAAGGAGCACACTATCAGTAACTACCGTTCTACAAAAACTCAAGATTTTCAGCCTCATCAAGGCCCTCAACAGCTTCTGGAAAGCTTTGGTCAGTCCCCTCCTCTACTCTCAGATTTCACCCAACTTGCACGGCTTGAATCATGACCTTCTTGCTAACTGACCCTCATTACTCTCAGCATATCTTCTTGAGGGTGCTACAGAGAAAACTGAGGCACCCAAGAGTGATCTTCGCGGAATTCCCTCCTAGCCAGATTCACACACACCCTTACTGACACTGCCAAGAAAGATATCCTCTCTCTACTCAAAGTCAATTCTCCCCAACTTGTGGCCTGGTCCACAACCCCTTCCCCTCATGTGGACCAGTCGTTTCTGTCTCCACTTTCCATTTCAAATTTCTCACTTCCATTCACTGTTTCAACTCCTCTTGCATGGTCACCAACAAGCCCCTCATTGGAAAATCAACCCACATTTTCCAATCTATATCTTGCTAGACCTCTCTGCTGCATGGACACTGTTGTGCATGCCTACTTTCTCAAAATGCCATCTTCTGCTTCTGTGATATCACATGGCACTAGTTTCTTTTCTTTGTCCCTATTCCATCACTGGCTGAAGGTTTGTGTTCTCCAACTTCTCACAATCTCACTCTTCTTCTTCTTCTTCTTCTTTTTTTTTTTTTTGAGACAGGGTCTCACTTTGTTGCCCAGGATGGAATCCAGTGGCCTGATCTCAGATCACTGCAATCTCTACCTCCTGGGTTCAAGCGATCCTCCTACTTCAGCCTCCCGAGTAGCTGGGATTACAGGTGTGTGTCACCACATCAGGCTTATTTTTGTATTTTTGGCAGAGACGGGGTTTTGCCATGATGCTCAGGCTGGTGTCGAACTCCTGGGCTCAAGTGATCCACCTGCCTCGGCCTCCCAAAGTGCTGGGATTACAGGCATGAGTGACCGCACCCGGCCACAATCTCATTCTTCTATCTTTTCAATCTCTTGCAAGATTTAAAAGACCACAGGTTAAATACCTCCCAAAGCTATATTGAGCTGAGGGTGACCAAGCTGTAGATCAATAAATCCAAGTTTGTGTAGGTAATAAAATATATAGCCTATGATTCCATTTACAATCAATGTATGTATCTATATGTGTAATAAAGTCTGCAAGGTTTTCAAACATTAGGTTATCTGAGAAATGGAGACAGACTTCTTATAGAAATTGCGTTTTTTAATTTAAAAAAAAAAAGTGGGGGCCAGGAGTGGTGGCTCACGCCTGTAATCCCAGCACTTTGGGAGGCTGAGGCAGGCAGATCACGAGGTCAGGAGATCAAGACCATCCTGGCTAACACGGTGAAACCCCGTCTCTACTAAAAAATACAAAAAATTAGCTGGGCATAGCGGTGGGTGCCTGTAGTCCCAGCTACTCCAGAAGCTGAGGCAGGAGAATGGCGTGAACCTGGGAGGTAGAGCTTGCAGTGAGCCGAGATCTCGCCACTGCACTCCAGCCTGGGCGACAGAGTGAGATTCCATCTCAAAAAAAAAAACAAAAAACAAAAAAAAAAAAAACGGGGGGCGGGGGGGGTCCGGGTGTGGTAGTGGCAGGAGGATCCCTTGAGTCCAGGAGTTCAAGACAGGACTGGGAAACATAGCGAGACCCCATCTCTACAAAATTTATTTAAATTAGCCAGGCACGGTGCTTGCCCGAGCCCAGGAGTTCGAGGCTGCAGTGAGCTGTGATTGTGCCACTGCACTCCAGCCTTCCAGCCTGGGCAACAGAGGGAGAACCCTGTCTCTTCAGGAAAAAAAAAAGGGGGGGGGTGGGGGGGAGAAAATAGAATTCCTTATCTTCCCTCACTCTCGGGATCACCTGCTGGTTGTGCCCACCAGCATCCACTGCCCCTCTAATCCATCCAACAGTGTTTGCTATAGGGGAGCGCTCAGGCTTGCCCACGCTCCTGGGCTGTGCTGTGGGAATGGTGACACTCACTGGGCCATATTCACCTGAGTCCCCTTGGCCACAGTGACTGCTCAGGGATAGGCATGGCATCCAAGCTGAGCACAAAGAGGTGATGAGAGTCAGCCTAAGTCCTGGCTGCAGTGATCAGGTCAAGTGTCTTACTCTCATCATGAAAAGAGAGGCTGACTGACAGACAGCCCAGAGCAAGGCAAAACTGGATGATAAAGAAGTCCAGATTCTAGACACAGTGTCTGTGCCCATCAATCCACATGTGACTGAACTTTTCAGTTATCAGAGCCAATAAAGCTCTTTCTTGGGCCAGTAAGTTCTTGTTATGTGGAACTGTGGAACTGAAAAGACCTCAGACGGTTGACCCACCAAACCCGGCCTTCTGGTCTGTGTGAATGACTCACCCACATTCCCTTGCTCCCCAAGCACCATCATTCAATGGTAACCACTGCTTATCTTTTCACATATGTTGTTGAATTCTTTTCTATGCATTTTCTTGTAGAAGGCTGAAATCATATTATGTATGACAAATGCTGTTTTATTTTCCCTTAGTAAATACTGTTCATTAGCATTTTCCCCCACTATCAAAACTTTGTAAAAAAAATCACTTTTAGCGGCCTTAAAATATTCCTTTAAGTAGATGTCTCATAATTTACTCAGCCATTTGATTAACATTTGGCACTTAGGTTGTTTCTAATGCCTAACAGGTGCCTTAAATTAAACACAGACTAAACCAAATTCTCAACTGCTGTCACCCAAACTGCTCCTCCTATAGTTTTCCTCATCTCAGTATTTCCTGTAGACTGTGTGTTCTTGTCCTTTGCTCATTTATTTATACACTGTGGTCTTAGATTTGTCTCTGCTCTTTAGATACTAATAATATTAATAATGAATCTAAAGTTAACAATAATTCCTTAACTCTTTTAATTATCCTATGAGGTGGGAACTACAATTGTCTCAATTTAGGGTTGAGGAAATCATGAAACAGCTTAAATAACTTGTCCAAAGTCAAAAATCCAAGTAGCAGAACCCTAGTTTGAACTCAGGAGGCGGACTCCAGAGCACCGGGTATAACCACTGTACTTTGCTGCCTTCTACAGAACAGTTAGGAGAAGGTCCAGTGTTACTCAATTTAGAACATTTTAGACCTATTGTCCACACCTAATCTAATTTTATTTAGCTTTTAAACTTTTATATGTCTCTCTTTCCTTGATGTTTGTTTTAAAACATAGGAAGTCTTTCTCCATGCAGAGATCAGAAAAATACTGAATACTCTATTGTTAGTTTCTCATGATATAAATTTTAAATAAGTATCAATTCTTTTAGAATTCATTTTGATGTGTAATGATTTAAATTGATTTTCCTCCAAATAGCTATTCAACTAGCCCAGTACCATCTGCTGAATAATAATTTCTTCTCCCTCACTGAAGTCATTTGAGAGAATCGTAAGCTAAGACTCCTTTAAAGAAAAATCTACAATAGTGTCGGTTTAAGGGATACAGCAATCAAAAATTTCCAACAAACATGAAAAAATTTCAATCTCACTCTTAATTACAGAAAAACAAATTAAATGCCACTCCCCCATTTGGTTGGCAGACCTAAAAGTTCAATACCCAGAATTGCTGGAACAAAAGACATGTGACAGAATTGCCAGACTGTCCTCTACAGAGACTCAACCAGTTTACACTCCACCAGCTCTCTCCGAAAACACCCTTTTCCCCACAGCCTTGACCACACAGTAGGGTGTCAAACTTTGATGTCTGCTACTCTGTTGAGGAGGGCGTTAAAAAAAAAAAAGAATTACTGACTTTTCAATGTTTGTATCTTGTATAATGAGTAAACATGAGTACCTTTTATATATTTAAGAGCTGTTTCATCTTCCTTTTCTGTGAACTCTCATTAAAAATTCTAGCTTGTAAGTTTTTTAATCTCTTGAGTTCCCTGAGGTCTTCCATTCATTTCCTGACAAATCTAGACTATCAGTTCTGTAAGAAAGCTCTCTCTCTCTTTTTTTTTTAATGAGTCCTCAGACTTCCCATCTCCAAACAGGTTCTTAATCCCTCTTATTGCTGGTACTATGTATGTCCAGGGCCTTAGAAGCCTTGATGGCACCAAACAGACACTCAAATCTATCCACTGAATGAATGAATTTATGTATGTTTTCTTAAAAATATAAAAACAACTGGCTAGATGTGGTGGCTCATGCCTGTAATCCCAGCACTTTTGGAGGCCAAGGCGGGTGGATCCCGAGGTCACGGGATCAAGACCATCCTGGCCAACATGGCCAATATCTTGGCTAAAAATACAAAAAATTAGCCAGGTGTGGCGGTGCGCGCCTGTAGCCCCAGCTACTAGGGAGGCTGAGGCAGGAGAATTGCTTGAACCTGGGAGGCAGAGGCTGCAGTGAGCCGAGATTGCACCACTGCATTCCAGCCTGGGTGACAGAGTGAGACTCCCTCTCAAAAAAAAAAAAAGAAAAAAAAGAAAAGAAAAATAACAGTGCTGGGTGCGGTGCTCACGCCTGTAATCCCAGCACCTTGGGAGGCCAAGGTGGGCAGATCACGAGGTCAAGAGTTCGAGACCAGCCTGGCCAACATGGTGAAACCCCGTCTCTATTAAGAATACAAAAATTAGCTGGGCATGGTGACATGTGCCTATAATCCCAGCTACTCGGGAGGCTGAAGCAGGAGAATTGCTTGAACCTGGGAAGCAGAGGTTGCAGTGAGCCGAGATCGCGCCACTGCACTCCAGCCTGTGTGACAGAGTAAGACTCTGTCTCGAAAATAAATAAATAAATAAATACATACATACATAAAAAGCAAAAATTAGCCAGGTGTGGTGGCACGCACCTGTAATCCCAGCTATTCAGGAGGCTGAGGTGGGAGAATCGCTTGAACCTGGGAGGCAGAGGTTGCAGTGAGCCAACATCGTGCCACTGCACTCCAGCCTGGGAGACAGAGCAAGACGCTGTCTCAAAAAAAAAAAAAAAAATTAGCCACGCATGGCGGCACATACTTGTGGTCTCAGCTATTCAAGAGACTGAGGCGGAGGATTGCTTGAGCCCAGGTGGCGGAGGTTGCAGTGAGCCAAGACTGTGCCACCGCACTCCAGCCTGAGTGGCAGAGTAAGACCTTGTCTCAAAACAACAACAAAAAAACATGGTAGAACTGTTGAAGTGATGTTCTGAGATTTGGTTCCAAGAGACCTTGCAGCATAGGCTCTTGCTCTTTTGGAATATTTCTGCCATCATGAGAAGCCACTGAGTCTAGTCTACTTTAGGATAAAGAGGCAACTGTAGGAAGGACCAACTGTTAAGACGTTAAACCACCACAATTGAGGGATGGTGAAGGGAGCCAGCAGATGACTGCAGTGCATGGCTGAACCCAGGTGGGCTCAGCAGAACTACCCAGCTGTGCCAGCCCAATGGACTCATGAACAAATGCATGGCTGTTATTTCAAGCCTGAGTTTTGGAGTGTTTTTTTAATGCAGCAATAGGTAACTGATGTAAACTTTAATGTCCAATGTGAGTCTGGCTGAAGGACACTTATGGGTCACATCCCTACAAGGGAACACCATGTAGTCACTCTTTAACAACTAGAGGCCGGGTGCAGTGGCTCACACCTGTAATCCCAGCACTTTGGGAGGCCAAGGCAGGTGGATCAACTGAGGTCAGGAGTTCGTGACCAGCTTGACCAACATGATGAAACCCCGTCTCTACTAAAAATAAAAAAAAATTAGGCCGGGCTCAGTGGCTTACGCCTGTAATCCTAGCACTTTGGGAGGCCGAGGCGGGCAGATCAGGAGGTCAGGAGATCGAGACCATCCTGGCTAACATGGTGAAACCCCGTCTCTACTTTTAGATTGTGTTTTTGTTTGGTTTTGTTTTGAGATGGAGTCTTGCTCTGTCACCCAGGCTGGAGTGCAGTGGCATGATCATAGCTCACTGCAACCTCAAACTCCCGGGCTCAAGCAGTCCTCCCACTTCAGCCTCCTAAGTAGCTGGGACTATAGGCATGCACCACCACATCTGGCTAATTTTTGTATTTTTTGTAGAGATGGGTTCTCACTATGGTGCCCAGGCTGGTCTTGAACTCCTAGGCTCAAGCAGTCCTCCCGCCTCAGCCTCCCAAAGTGCTCGGATTATAGGCATGCGCCACTGCACCCAGTCAGTTTTCTTTTATAGACGATTGTCGATAGTACCTGCGTCACAGGATTGTGTGAATGTTCATACCACTGGCATTTGTAGGTCTAACATCTTTCCATATCTTGCTCTGTTGCCCAGGCTGGAGTGCAATGGTGCAATCTCGCCTCACGGCAACCTCCACCTCCCGGGTTCAAGCGATTCTCCCACTTCAGCCTCCTGCGTAGCTGGGATTACAGGCACCTGCCACCACACCCAGCTAATTTTTTAAAATTTTTATTTATTTATTTATTTAGAGACGGAGTCTCGCTCTGTCGGCCAGGCTGGAGTGCAGTGACACCATCTCGGCTTACTGCAAGCTCTCCCTCCCGGGTTCATGCCATTCTCCTGCCTCAGCCTCCTGAGTAGCTGGGACTACAGGCTCCCACCACCACGCCCGTCTAATTATTTTGTATTTTTAGTAGAGACGGGGTTTCACCATGGTCTCGATCTCCTGACCTCATGATCTGCCCGCCTCGGCCTCTGAAAGTGCTGGGATTATAGGCGTGAGCCACCATGCCCAGCCTGTAATTCCAACATTTTGGGAGGCCAAGGAGGGTAGATTGCTTGAGCCCAGGAATTCAAGACCAGTCTGGCAATGTGATGCAATACTGTCTCTAAGAAAAATACAAAAAATTAGCTGGGCGTGGTGACATGCGCCTGTGGTCCCAGCTACTCAGGAGGCTGAGGTGGGCAGATCGCTTGAGCCCAGGGAGGTCGAGGCTGAAGTGAGTCGTGATCACGCCATTGTACTCCAGCCTGGGCAACAGAGTAAGACCCCATCTCAAAAGAAACAAAGTAAGGCCAGGTGCGGTGGCTCATGCCTGTTAATCCCAGCACTTTGGGAGGCCGAGGAGGCAGATCACCTGAGGTCAGGAGATTGAGAACGGCCTGGCCACTGTGACGAAACCCCATCCCTACTAAAAATACAAAAAATTAGCCAGGCATGGTGGCATATGCCTATAATCCCAGCTACTTGGGAGGTTGAGGCAGGAGAATCGCTTGAACCTGGGAGGTGGAGGTTGCAGTGAGACAAGATCGCACCACTGCACTCCAGCTTGGGCAACAAGAGTGAAATTCTGTCTCAAAAAAAAGTAAAATAAAAACAAAAAACAAAATGAAGGCCGGGCACTGTGGCTCACGCCTGTAATCCGAGCACTTCGAGAGGCTGAGGCAGGTGCATCACCTGAGATCAGGAGTTTGAGACCAGCCTGACCAACATGGTAAAACCCCATCTCTATTAAAAATACAAAATTAGCTGGGCGTGGTGGCGCATGCCTGTAATCCCAGCTACTTGGGAGGCTGAGGCAGGAGAATCACTTGAACTCGGGAGGCAGAGGTTGCAGTGAGCCCAGATCACGCCATTGCACTCCAGCCTGCTGGGCGATAGAAGTGAAACTTGAAAGAAAGAAAGGAAGAAAGAAAGGAGGAGAAGGGAGGGGAGAAAAAAGAAAATGAAAATAAGCAGCCAGGCACAGTGGCTCAGGCTGAGACGGGTGGATCATGAGGTCAGGAGTTCAAGACCAGCCTGGCCAAGATGGTGAAACCCTGCCTCTACTAAAAATACAAAAATTAGCCAGGCGTGGTGGCGGGCGCCTGTAATCCCAGCTACTCGGGAGGCTGAGGCAGAAAATTGCTTGAACCTGGGAGGCAGAGGTTGCAGTGAGCCAAGTTCACACCACTGCACTCTAGCCTGGGCGCCAGCCAGAGTGAGACGCCGTCTCAGAAAAAAAAGAAAGAAAAAAAAATGAAAATGAAAATAAGCATAAAAAAAGAATCAGAAATAGTTTGATGCAACTCATGATTACAGACAAGAGTAAGGAAACAAACAGGAGAGGAACGTTTGGGAGTAGGCCTATTTATTACAGTTTTGTTGTTTTTTTTTTTTTTTAAGAGATAAGAGTGTCACCGTCAGCGTGGAGTGCAATGATGCAATCACAGCTAACAGCAGCTTTGACCTCCTTGGGCTCATGCAATCCTCCCTCCTCAGTTCCCCAGGTAGTTCAGACTACAGGCAGGTACTACTACACTCGGCTGAATTTTAAGTTTTTAATCTTGTAGAGATGGGGTCTTACTATGTTGTCCAGGCAGGTCTCAAATTCCTGGCCTCAAGCGATCCTCCTGCGTTGACCTCCCAATGGGCTAGGATCACAGGCATGAGCCACATTACCAGGCCTAATGATGCAGCTTTGTTGCTTATGCAGCTCTTTAAAAAAGTGACTCAGGAAATAACATTTAGTAACATTTAGATAACATGCTTAGGTGGTATAATATACAAGCAAATCTAATCAGTAACATGTATTATGCATGTGACATTCTAGCTAAAAATATCCTACCATCAAAATACATTACAGGCCGGGTGTGGTTGCTCACACCTGTAATCCTAACTCTTCAGAAGCCCAGGGTGAGCAGATAGCTTGAGCTCAAGACTTTGGGATCATCCTGGGCAACACGGCGAAACCCTGTCTCTACAAAGAATACAAAAATTAGCTGGGCATGGTGGCACAGGTAGTCCCAGCTACTCAGATGGCTGAGGTGGGACTACCTACCTGTAGTCCCAGCTACTCAGGTGGCTGAGGTGGGAGGATGGCTTGAGCCTGGGAGGTGGAGGCCGCAGTGAGCCCAGATTGTGCCACTGTGCTCCAGCCTGGGTGATAGAGCCAAACCCGTCTCCAAAAAAAAAAAAAAAACCCAACCCCCAAAAACCGGTCAGGCACGGTGGCTCACGCCTGTAATCCCAACACTTTGGGAGGCCAAGGTGGGCAGATCACAAGGTCAGGAGATCGAGACCATCCTGGCTATCATGGTGAAACCCCGTCTCTACTAAAAATACAAAAAATTAGCCAGGGGTGGTGGCGAGCGCCTGTAGTCCCAGCTACTTGGGAGGCTGAGGCAGGAGAACAGTGTGAACCCGGGAGGCGGAGCTTGCAGTGAGCCGAGATCACGCCACTGTACTCCAGCCTGGGCGACAGAGCGAGACTCTGTCTCAAAAAAAAAAACCACAAAAAACAAAAAAAACAAAAAAAAACCACAAAACACCCCAAAACCAAAATACATTATATAATTACAACCACACAGAAGCTTGCACACATTAGTGCAAAAAAAGTGAAAGGTTACTGTGGGATCCTGGTGATCAATATCTTACTCCCTTACCATTCCTCCCATACTTCTTAACTGTCTACAATGATGAAATTCTTCTACCTTTATATGAAAGATTAAAAGAAAATTTCTCCCATTTTCAAAAGAAATTCATTTCTAAACAACCAAGTATTTCTCAACCTTCACTCAGGTCAATACATAAAACCAATTCAACATTTAAGTAGACAGTTGTTAAATATACATATACACATATATTCATATGCATGTATAGATAAACACATACAGATAAAATAGGAAGTTAGAAATAGCTAAATTTCTAACAGAACACTGGATAAAAATGCTATAAAATCATTAACGATAACCTAGATCTATGCACTGATGTGGAAAAGATATTCAAGACACAATTCTATTAACCATGACATTTAGGGAATAATTATAAAAGAATTTTACCTTCTTAAATATTTCTATAATTTCTGAATTTTTAAAAAAGTTAACCTTTATAATAATTATTTTTAAAAAATAAATTATAGAGAAAATATGCACATGTATGTAGATAAAGATATGGAAGGACAAGCACCCTATTCAGATTCCCTCCTCAACTTTTAAGGAACCCTGTTTTTATAAATGGGCCCACCTAGATAATCCACCTACCTAGACAAGACAATCCAGGATAACCTTCCTATCTTTAAAGTCAGCTGATGGGCCTATTCGGGGCATACCACACTGCCCGTGGATTAGCCCTGCTCTGTAAGGAGCAGTTAAAAAAAAAATAAGGTCAGCTGATAAACAATCTTGATTGTATCTGCAACCATAATTCCTGTTTGCCAGGTAACCTAACATAGTTATAGGCTCTAGAAATTAGAATACAGCCATGGGGGTGGGTGGGGGGTCATTAGTCGGCCTATCATGGTTTTATAACAGCATGAAGTTTTAAAAACTAGCTGCCTAATATATTTAACAGGTACACGTTAAATGGGAATAAAGAATAATACAATTATTAAACGAAGCTAACCTAAAAAAAAAAAAGGATAAAAAAATCAAATGTATCACTTTTTTTTTTCATGGGTACTCTAAAAAATCTTTGCTTAACATAAGGTCATGAAGATTCTCTCCTGTTTTCTTCTTGAAGGTTAATAACTTTAGGCCTTATATTTAGGTTTATGCTCCATTTTGAGTTTTGTAAATTTTGCATATGGGTGTCTAATTGTTCCAGCACCATTTGCTGAAGAGACTGACACAAACAATGACATGGATTTTTATAAATCTCAAATGCATTATGCTGAATGGGAGAATCTAGACATAAAAAGGCTACATACTACATGATTCCATTAACATGACATGCCGGAAAAGGCAAAACTATAGGGATATAAATCAGATCAATGATTGCCAGAGCTTGGGGTTGCAGAGGGATGACTGACTACAAACGGCACAAGGCAACTTTTGGGGATGATGGGAATATTCCACATCTCAATTGCGGTGGTTGTTACATGACAGTTTATGTTTGTTAAAACTCAGAGGCCCACACAACTAAAAAGTGTGAATTTTATTCTGTGTAAATTATTCTTCAATAAACCTGATTTTAAAAATTATCAAGTGACAAGATGAAAAGGTGTAATTTGTTTGCAGGGTCCTAGACTTCCTGAGACCTAAAAATGTGACCTTAGGCTGAACGCTGTGGCTCACGCCTGTAATCCCAGTTTTGGGAGGCCAAGGTGGGCAGATCAAAAGGTCAGGAGTTCGAGACCAGCCTGGCCAGCATGGTGAAACCCTGTCTCTACTAAAAATACAAAAATGAGCCAGGCGTGGTGGTACGCGTCTGTAGTCCCAGTTACTTGGGAGGCTGAGGCAGAAGAATCGCTTGAACCCGGGAGGAGGAGGTTGCAGTGAGCCGAGATCGGGCCACTACACTCCAGCCTGGGCGACAGAGTGAGACACTGTCTCAAACAAAAACAAAAAAAAAGTGACCTTAATGCAAATTAAAATTAGCAAAGAAACCAAAAGGTGGAGAACTAGACCGTCATTACCAGGTTCCCTTACTGCACTGCCACTGTTTCCAAAAAAAAAAAGGGGGAAGACAACAATTCAGAGTGAGCACTAAAGAAAGCATTATCCAATAGCCATAGGCTCATTTTTCAGGCTAGTGACCTAACAATTTAACAAATAAACGCGAAGCTAAGCCTAAGAAAAAACTAATCAACGAAATAACATTTACCTTTGGAGTCAGCATTTGGGAACAGCCTGTTCCATGGCACCTTATTTTTGTGTGGAAGAGAAAGCAAATAGTTCCTAGCTTTTAAATTTATTATACAATTCAGGTCTTCTTGTGATGGGGATCCAAGAATACCTATCAGATAAAAAAATTAGCTATTAGTTATCAGGACCAAGGTAAATGACTACACACCATCAACTCTGAGTCGGAATGAACCCTGATAATTGATATGAGCCGTTGCTTATCACCACTCCTGATGTTTACCTTTCTTATGTTTTTACACAAAAGTCCTTAACATTTTAAATCAGAGAAGGTTAAAAATTCACACCTACCACAGGTTAAAGAGTATATTAGAACTCTTCTTAATTTAATGAAGTGACTTTGATGTAAGCTGTACAAACTTGAGTAAATCTAGCTCCTGAAGGGCTCGGGAACCTTACCCAAAATGTGGTTCAGCTGGTCAAGATAATGCTTCCCTGGAAAGATGGGCCTGTTAGAAAGCATTTCTGCCAGAATGCAGCCTACAGACCAAATATCAATGGACTTGGTGTAGCCCTGCAGGAGAAAGAGAGAAAAGACTGAAAATGGTATCTGGTGTTACAGGACATGATGAGATCTTCCTGTATGACAGGTGCATTGCTGATGGGACTCTGAACTTCTCCTTTGACTCTACAATTCAGAAATACAAGTAAACAACATGGAAAAGCAAAAAACAATTTGGCTTTCTTATGAGAGGCTGAACAACCAAGATTATGTGATTTTATTTTTCTCTTCATAGTTGATTAACTTGGGCTGGGCACAGTGGCTAATGCCTGTAATCCCAGCACTTTGGGAGGCCGAGGCGGGCGGATCACTTGAGGCCAGGAGTTTGAGACTAGCCTGGCCAACATGGTGAAACCCCATCTCTACTAAAAATACAAAAAAATTAGCCGGGCATGGTAGTGGGTGCCCGTAATCCCAGCTACGTGGGAGGCTGAGGCAGGAGAATTGCTTGAACCCAGGAGGCAGAGGTTGCAGTGAGCCAAGATCGTGCCACTGCACTCCAGCCTGGGTGACAGAGCGAGACTCTGTCTCAAAACAACAACAAACCCACAAAGTTGATTAACTTATTAAATTAGAATTTCCAAAGTATACATCCGTCCTTTTTTGAAACAATTTGAGAGACAGATTTAGAATTGTCATAAATTGGAGCTGGAAAAAGAAAAAAGGTCTAAAAACCTTTTCTGGGTTTGGGGGAGTGTGTGCTAGCTCCATCATATTTTACCAATCTCTTCTAAAATATTCTCAGCTGGGCATGGTGGCTCACGTCTGTAATCCCAGCACTTTGGGATGCCGAGACGGGCGAATCACCTGATGTCAGAAGTTCAAGATCAGCCTGGCCAACATAGTGAAACCCTGTCTCTACTAAAACTACAAAAATTAGCCGGGCGTGGTGGTGGGCACCCATAGTTCCAGCTACTTGGGAGGCAGAGGCAGGAGAATTGCTTGAACCTAGGAGGCAGAGGTTGCAGTGAGCCGAGATTGCACCACTGCACTCCAGCCTGGGCAACACAGGGAGACTCCATCTCCAAAAATAACATAACATAACATATAACATAACATAACATAACATAACATAACATAACATAACATAACATAAACATAACATAAAACATAACATAACATATAACATAACATAACAAATAAAATAAAATAAAAGAATTCTCATCTTCTTTTCCTATTCATTTTTCAGGAATATGTTTTCTTTTAAAGGAATCCTGTTAGAAGTCATGGGAGGATACTTTGGGAGGCTGAGGTGGGAGTACTGCTTGAGGCCAGGAGTTTGAGGCTGCAGTGAACTATGACTGCAGTTGCACTGTTACACTCCTAATAGCAGCATGTGAAAGAAAATGCATTTCCTCATGTCCTCAACAACACTGGGTATTAACTAATTATTATTATTATTATCATTATTATTATTATTTTGCCACACATGGTGGCTCACACCTGCAGTCCCAGCTACTCGGGAGGCTGAGGTGGGAGGATCACTTAAGCCCAGGGATTGGAGGCTGCAGTGAGCTGTGACCGAGCCAATGCATTCCAGCCTGGGTGACAGAGTGAGACCCTTTCTCTAAAAATTAAAAAAAAAAAAAAAAAATCATGGAAGGATTCTGTCTGAATCATAACAATGGTGCAAAAAAGATGTTTCTCCAAGGAATATAAGCTGACTCTTTTAAAATTAAGAGATGGTGTCATCACTCTGTCACTCAGGCTGAAGTGCAATGGTGTAATCATGCCTCACTGCAAATTCAACTTCCTTGTCTCAGGTGATCCTCTCACCTCAGCCAGGTCCTGAGTAGCTGGCACTACTGAGTAGCTGGCACACAGTAGGTGGGCCACAGGCATACACCACCACACCTGGTTGATTTTTAAATTTTTTGTAGAGAAGGGGTCCCACTATTTGCCCAGGCTGGTTTCAAACTCCTGGGCTCAAATGATCCTCCTGCCTCAGCCTCCCAAAGAGCTGGGATTACGGCATGAGGCACCATACCTGGCTCCAGAAGTGCCTTCTAATACAATGAAGTGCTTTTCTGGTATTCATGTTAAAAATGCATGACCCAAAACTGAGGGGCATTCTACAAAATAGCTCATCTGCACTCTTAAAGGAGACTAAAGAAACACAACAACCTGTCTCTATGAAAAGCACAAAAATAAATAAGTAAATCAGCCATGAGCAGTAGCACGTGCCTGTAGTCTCAGATACTTGGGAGGCTAAGGTGGGAGGATGGCCTTGAGCCCAGGAGGCGGAGGTTGCAGTGAGCCGAGATGGTGCCACGGTACCCCAGCCTGGGTGACAGAATGAGAACCCGTCCTTTTTTTTTGAGACGGAGTCTTGCTTTGTCACCCAGGCTGGAGTGCAATGGCACGATCTCAGCTCATGCAACCTCCACCTCCTGGGTTCAAGCGATTCTCCTGCCTCAGCCTCCTGAGTAGCTGGGATCACAGGTGCCTGCCACTATGTCCAGCTAAATTTTTTGTATTTTTAGCAGAGACAGGGTTTTGCCATGTTGGCCAGGCTGATCTCGAACTCCTGACCCCATGTGATTCACCCACCTTGGCCTCCCAGAGTGCTGGGATTACAGGTGTGAGCCACTGTGGCTGGCCTGCGAACCTGGTCTTAAAACAAGCAAGCAAACAAGCAAACAAACAAAACTCATGACAGTACAACATGTGAACCTGTGCCCAGGTCGGGGGGTGGTTTGGGTGGGGTATAGTTCAAAGGTTATTGGGATAATATCTAAAATGTGAATATAAACTGTGCATTAGATACTGAATCAGTATTAAGTTTCTTGATTTTGAAAACTGTACTGTGGTCATGTTAGAGAATACTCTTAAGGCAGGGTTTTTCAACCTCGGTATGACTAACATTTTGGGCTGAGAAAGTTTCTGTTTGGAGGGCTGTTCTGTATATCGTAGGATTTTTAGCAGCATCTCTGGCCTCTTGATGCAGGGAGTACCCCTACCCCTCACTGTGACAACCCTGCCACATGTCCCCAGGGAACAACAGGACCATGGTTTGAAGTAAAGACATACTGAAACAAGGTGAAGGGGTGTATCTACAATTTACTCTCAAATGACTCAGAGTGCGTGGGAGTGCCCACACACATGCACACAAAGAATGATAAAGCAAATGGGGCAAAAGATAAAAAATCGGTGAGCCTGAATCTGGGGTAAAGGGTATTTAGGAGTTCTATCTGGCGGTTCTACAAGAGTGTTCCAGAGACTCCTATGGGTTCCCTCTAGAGGATCTGAGAGGTCACAGTACATTTATTATACTACTATGACATTTTCATCCTTTTCAGTCACGAGTGAAAAGAAGATTTTTCCAGATGCAATATGATGAGTGATGATGTGTACATGAAAATGTGACACTTGGAATATCTGTGTAACTCAGTGAACCAGTATTTTCCAAATACGCTAAAAAATCATGCATGAGTATGAGTGCAAGGTAGACTAATGGATTTTAACGAAATAGTATCAAGAATTCACTGATATGATTTCAGATTCCACACTGCAATTAACCTTTAAGAAACCACCACTTGTTTAAACTGGGGGTAGGATCAAAGAATAGCCACAAGTGGCTGAAAAGACTACTAAAATTTCCCTCCTTTTTCCAGCTACATACCTGTGTGAAGAGTTTTCCTCTGGCCATACCACCCTGAACACGCCCGATCTTGTCTGATCTCGGAAGCTAAGCAGGGTTGGCCTGGTTAGTGCTTGGATGGGAGGAATAGATCTTGAATTTCATAAATAGCACTCAGACATCTATTTTTAGGCTTATTTGTAAATGTCTTGATAAAATGTCTGATTACTGTTACATACTAGGGAAAAATCTCACTTTTTTGTGTGTTATGCTTTTAAGCATAGATTTTGTTTGCTAAAATGTTATTTAGAATTTTGCATGTATTTTTCACTGGCTTGCGATTTTTCTTTTTATATAACATCTTTTTTAAAGGGTCTTTATTAATATTGCACTCAAGTTTTCTTCTGTTTTCTATGCTCTGAATTCAAGCAGTTAAAATCCATGGGAAAGAGTTTTCCTTGACATTTTTGAAGAACTATGCATGTAATATTATATTGATTATTAAATTGATTAAAGCCTGAAAAAAAAAAAAAAAAGAGTTTTCCTCATGAACTTAAACCAAAACAACATATTTGACAGACTGAATGCAGAACCAGATGAGAATCCAACTGTCTTCTATTAAGCCAGACATTAAAGAGACTTGCAAAAATGAAAACAATGCCACTCTTCTCACTAAAAGGTTGTTTTTCGTTTTGCTTTTTTTAAAGACAGGGTCTCACCCTGTTGCCCAGGCTGGAGTGCAGTGGCGTGATCACGGTACACCGCAGCCTCAATTTCCTGGGCTCAAGAAAATCTCCCATCTCAGCCTCTTGAGTGGCTGGAACTATAGGTGCACACCACCATGCCCAGCTGATTTTAAAATTTTTTGTACAGATGGCAGGGCACAGCAGCTCACACCTGTAATCCCAGCACTTTGGAAGGCCGAGGCAGGTGGACCACAAGGTCAGGAGGTTGAGCCCATCCTGGCTAACATGGTTAAAACCCTGTCTCTACTAAAAATACAAAAAAATTAGCCAGGCGTGGTGGCGGACGCCTGTAGTCCCAGCTACTCGGGAGGCTGAGGCAGGAGAATGGCGTGAACCTGGGAGGCGGACCTTGCAGTGAGCTGAGATCACACCACTGCACTCCAGCCTGGGTGACAGAGCACGACTCCGTCTCAAAAAATAAATAAATAAATAAATAAATTTCTTTTTTGTACAGAGTCTCACTATGTCACCAGGGCTGGTTCCAAACTCCTGGTGATCCTCCTGCATTGGCCTTCCAAAGTGTTGGGATTATAGGTGAGAGCCATCATGCCTGGCCTCACTAAAACGTTTTTATTGTAGAAAATAAACTTATTCTTAAGAAAAACATGTAATTTATCTTAACATGTAGTGGGTTTACTATTTAAAAATTAATTAATACATTTTAAAGTTTCATATTGTAGGCCGGGTGTGGTGGCTCATGCCTGTAACCCCAGCACTTTGGGAAGCCGAGGCGGGTGGATCACCTGAAGTCAGAAGTTCAAGAGCAGCCTGGCCAACATGGTGAAACCCCATCTGTACTAAAAAATACAAAAATTAGCCGGGCATGGTGGTACACACTTGTAGTCTCAGCTACACGGGAGGCGAGGCCGGAGAATCATTTGAACCCGGGAGGCAGAGGTCGCAGTGAGCCAAGATTGAGCCATTGCACTCAAGCCTGGGGGACAAGCGCCAGACTTCTCTCCAAAAATTAAAAAAAAAAAAGTTTCATATTGTAAATAACAATAGATATAACCTACGTAACTAAAAAAAGGTGTGTGGGTCCTTGACTTTTTTTTTTTTTTTGAGACAGAGTCTCACTCTGTCACCCAGGCTGGAGTACTGTGGCAAGATCTCGGCTCACTGCAACCTCCACCTCCCAGGTTCAAGCGATTCTCCTGCCTCAGCCTCCAAGTAGCTGGGATTACAGGTGTGTGCCACCATGCCCAGTGCATTTTTTGTATTTTTAGTAGAGACAGGGTTTCTCCATGTTGGCCAGGCTGGTCTCGAACTCCTGGGCTCAACTGATCCACCCGCCTCGGCCTCCCAAAGTGCTAGGATTATAAGTGTGAGCCACCATGCCCAGCTGGTCCTTGATAATTTTTAACAAATGTAAAGGGATCTTGGCTGGGCGCAGTGGGTCATGCCTGCAATCCTAGCAATTTGGGAGGCTGAGGTGGGTGGATCAGTTGAGCCCAGGAGTTTGAGACCAGCCTGGCCAACATGGCAAAACCCTGTCCCTACAAAAACATACAAAAATTAGCCGGGCATGGTGGTACACGCTTGTAGTCCCAGCTACACAGGAGGCAAGGCTGGAGGATCGCTTGAGGAGGGGGTGGCTACCAGCCTGGGTGACAGAGAGAAACCCCGTCTCAAAAAAAAAAAAAAAAAAAAAAAGCCAGGCACGGTGGCTCATGCCTGTAATCCCAGCACTTTGGGAGGCTGAGGTGGGTGGATCATCTGAGGTCAGGAGTTTGAGACCAGCCAATGTGGTGAAACCCCATCTCTATTAAAAATACAAAAATTAGGCAGGCGTGGTGGCAGGTGCCTGTAATCCCAGCTACTTGGGAGGCTAAGGCAGGGAGAACTGCTTGAACCTAGGAGGCCGAGGTTGCAGTGAGCCGAGATGGTGCCGTTGCACTCCATCTGGGTGACAGAGCAAGACTGTCTCAAAAAAAAAAGAGGCTGGGCGCAGTGGCTCACACCTGTAATCCCAGCACTTTGGGAGGCTGAGGGGGGTGGATCACTTGAGGTCAGGAGTTTGAGACCAGCCTGACCAACATGGTGAAACCCCGTCTCTACTAAAAATACAAAAATTAGCTGGGCTTGGTGGCATGCATCTGTAATCCCAGCTACTTGGGAGACTGAGGCATGAGAATCGCTTGAACCTGGGAAGCAGAGGTTGCAGTGAGCCGAGATCATACCACTGCACTCCAGCCTGGGTGACAGAGTGAGACTCGGTCTCAAAAAAAAAAAAACAGAAAGAACAAAAGAAAGAATGAACCAATGAAAGAAAGAAATGTAAAGGTATCCTGAGACAAGAAGGTTTGAGAATGGCTACCTTATACTTTTCTTGCAACTTTTATGTTTTTAGACAGAGTCTCACTCTGCCACCCAGGCTGGAGTATAGTGGTGTGACCTTGCCTCACTGCAACCTCTGCCTCCCGGGTTCAAACGATTCTCATGCCTCAGCCTCCTGAGTAGCTGAGATTACAGGTGTCCACCATCATGCCTGGCTAATTTTTTGTATTTTTAGTAGAGATGGGGTTTCACAAAGTTGGCTAGGCTGGTATCGAACTCCTGGCGAGTAATCCACCCACCGCGGCCTCCCAAAGTGCTGGGATTACAAGTGTGAGCCACCACACCCAGCAACTTTTCTTTAAAAAATTTTTTTTCTTTCCTAAACAAGCTAAAACAGCGCAAGTTTTCTGAAAGCTGAAATTCTATAAAACGTTACAAATATGTACACAGAGTGCTCTAGCTTCTCAAAACTGGGACAATATGAGTTTAAAAAAAAAAAAGAAAGAAAATTAAAATGGAGAACACATAAAAAAAAAATCCTGGGTCTGCAATAGTGTTTTAAAAACAAAGGTAGGATACAGAGGAAGAGAAAGGGTAAATGGGAAAAATCTTCATAGGAGAATTCTAGCTAATACAAGTAAAAGAAAGAACAAATTTAGAAAATTACCATTTTATAACCTCCAGTATGATAACTGACAGAAGTGAGTGCTGAACCACTGGGGGAAGGCTGCTGGGAAACAAGGATGGCCATCCTGGCTAACATGGTAAAACCCTGTCTCTACTAAAAATACAAAAAAATTAGCCGGGCGTGGTGGCGGGCACCTGTAGTCCCAGCTACTTCTGCACCGTCTTCAGGAATCTGTAGTGGTCGTGTTAGAAACGTGCAAGCTACATCTCATCAGAAAGAACTCACTGGAGGAATCCACAATGTGAACCACTCTGTGAAACAACTGATCTGTACATTGCAAAGTACTGAATGTCTTAAAGAAGAGAGGAAGGGCAAGACTGTTCTAGACTAAGAATAATGCATGAAACAATTAAATCATGTGTTGAAAACAGAGTTACCTAGACTTTTTTGGGAGGATGGGATGTCATGGAATTAATGCTGATCATTTTATGAAAGGGTAAGGGTACTCTAGCTGTGGGAAGAACACCTTCCTTGTAAGGAGCATTAGTATGCCCCAAAGGGTCTAGGAGTGAAGTGTTATATGTTGGTGAAGTGTCACATGGTCTGACAAAAGAGAAGAGACAGAAGAAGAAAGAGAGAGAGAAAGGAAAGAGTAAGAGAGGGAAGGAGGGATAAGAAATATGACAAGGTGTTAATAGCTGGAGAACCAAGGACAGGGGCATATGGGTATTCACTCTACTCTCAATTTTTCTATGGGTTTGATAATTTTCTACATTAATAAAAATAAACAAAATGAAGACAACTGCTAGAAGTAACATTCTCAGGCTACAGGTATCGCAAATAAGAAAAAAATGAACACTCAATTTTCACTTTGGTGACCCTGCAAGTAGAAGGAAAAGCTGGTCATCTTGAAGAACACCCTCTCTGGCTACTTCTCCCTGGAGGGTAATAGAGAAGTGGAGACAGTGGCGGCGTCTAAGTCAGAACGGAGACTGCAAGACCAAGCCACACCAGGACAAAGGCACACCAACAGCTCCCTTTACAACTGGCACTGAACACTGGCATGCCAATGCTCCTTGTTTAGAATGGCTGTCACGTGGCCAGTCAGAGAAAGAACCTGTTGTGTGGGATTATTTGTGATATAGAATTACAGAGAATCAACATGGCATTTTCTTCTCTGAAACATCTGTTACACCAAATCCTTCTTTATAATGGAATTTATGTTAATGAGATTTTACTTTTATAACTAAACTGAACAAATGTAGGATATCAAGAAAAACTAAATGCTTTAAACAAATTCCATTTCCTTATGAAAAAATCTAATAGCTTATCTGTACTAGTAATAAAGGATGGAGGAAGAAAAAGAAGACTATAAGCTAATTAGACCTGTTCTTTCATTTCCACTAAGCCTCTCAGGACTATTTCTGGTTCCTGGGCCCTAGATACAAGATCCAATGTCTATTTTTATTGCTTTTCTTCAAGTATCTTTACATGACAGCAGAGGGAACTGTGTTTAAGAATCTTATAATCCTGAGATACTAGATACAGGTAGTATGTCAGGCCTACTTAACTACTCAATTTTCACACCTTATTCATATATTATTTGCAAATAACAGAAAAATACTGAATCTCAATCTCCATAGCAGCCCTCAATTTTTGCCTCCTGGCTCATAAACCCAACAAAAAATGTCAGACTTCACTTTTCTGGGCTTTTGTAAACTTATTCAACCATTTCTTATGACCAAGACACAGACCTTGCTAGTAGAGTGTGGATGAGACCTGGATGCACTCTCTATAGCCACTCACAGATGCAGAGGAAAGCACTTCATTTGGAAGCAGGAAATCACGTAATTTCAAAAGAATCCACGGCAGTTCCTACTCTGTCCACATTTATGTTTTCTTCAAGTACAACAAATTACAATATAATTCTGCCGAAGAGACATTCTTCATTATCAGATAAATTTGACCTTTATAGAATAGCCCTGGCCCATGTTCACAGAAATACACATTACTGAATAACCTCTACAACAAACCCAGCCTGCACCTAACAGTGACAGCGATAGGTAGGACTTCAGGACAGCTGTCCAAGGAGTGAAACACAGACCACTTATGGTAACAGTGACTGGAGAGGCACACCCCCTCCTACTCTACAACCGTCAGCACTATATCAGCTGAGGTAGAGAGGCTGAGCCCTAGGGCCCAGAAGTTCAATGCCGAACAAAATTTAGACAGCACCTTGGGGCCAGGTGTGGTGGCTCATCCCTGTAATCCCAGCACTTTGCGGGGGGCGTGGGGGGTGCTGAGGTGGGTGGATCCCTTAAGCTCAGGAGTTCAAGACCAGCCTGGGCAACATGCGACATAGGAAGACGCCCTACTTTTACAAAAAAAATTTAAAAATTAGCCAGATGTGGCCAGGCACAGTGGCTCACGCCTGTAATCCCAGCACTTTGGGAGGCTGAGGTGGGCGGATCATAAGGTCAGGAGATAGAGACCATCCCGGCTAACACGGTGAAACCCCGTCTCTACTAAAAAATACAAAAAATTAGCCGGGCATGGTGGCGGGAGCCTGTAGTCCCATCTACTTGGGAGGCCGAGGCAGGAGAATGGTGTGAACCCAGGAGGCGGAGCTTGCAGTGAGCTGAGATTGTGCTACTGCACTCTGCCTGGGCAACAGAGTGAGACTCCATCTCAAAAAAAAAAAAAAATTAGCCAGGTGTAGCGGTGCACTCTGTAGTCCCAGCAACTCCGGAGACTGAGGTGAGGAGGGTCACTTGAGCCCAGGAGGTTGAGACTGGTAAGCCGTGATGGTGCCACTGCACTCCAGCCTGGGTGACAGAGTAACACCCTGTCTCAAAAAAGACAGCACCTTGTCTCTGGCCAGACAGGCAAACTCTCAACGCAGAGGGAGACTTACGGCTTACTGCAATGCATTCAGAAAGTTCTCTTACTTACTGGATTTCTTTTTATGCAAACTTCATCCTTACCTTGGAATTCAACATAATTTCTGGAGCCCTGTACCAACGTGTGGCCACATATTCTGTCAGGAACCCTGTGTGATCATGGTCTGGATCTGCAACACGGGCCAGGCCAAAGTCACAGATCTAAGAGAGAAAAAAAACAGGATAACTTCTTAGAAATTCTAACCTTTCATATCAAAACATCACAAAAATAAAAAAGGCAATAGGAATAATAATGCTACTAAGTGGCAGATACTTTCTGGGCATTCTAGAAAATCATTATTTAATTTTCCCAACAACCTGAAAAGCAATCAACATGTTAGAGACCAGGATGCAGGCTGAAGAAGTCTTTACAGAGCACACTTTAAGAAGCATCCCTACCTTTCATTATCTGCTTAGCACAAAGCAATCTCAATAGGTGAATTGACAAAAACTGTTCTGAGTAGTCACCAAAACCAACCAGTACCCTTTTCTCAGCCTGTCCTGCTGGAGCTCTCAGGACTGCTGTGAAGATCTGCACTGGCCTTCTATTCTCAGACTCTACTTTCTGCTAGTCTTCTACTTAGTCTATAAATATAAGTATTTCCAAAGATTCTTCCCACTTCCTTCTTCTAGGTAGTCAAACCTACTCCCAAAGCTTTTTTTTTTTAAAGTTTCATATACTTAAGAATATTTTATTTTTAAAAAATACATAGTTTCTCATTTTCTCCGGTCTCAAGCATCTACTGGCCTTTCATCATCTGGCCCTCCAATATCATGGTGTGGCTTATTTTCTATTTTTAGTAGAGATGGGGTTTCACCACGTTGGCCAGGCTGGTCTCGAACTCCTCACCTCAGGTGATTCAACCACCTCAGCCTCCCAAAGTGTTGGGATTACAGGTGTGAGCCACCATGCCTGGCCATGATTTTTTTTTAAGGTCTGTCAACACTATAAAATCAAAGACTAACCAAATTTACATGACACTAATCAATACAATGCCAAGGCTACAAAATAAAAAAGCAGTAGTACTCAGTATAATTCCATACAAAGGAAAATAAATAAGGATATGGTACAAGAAAATATACCTTTTGGGCTGTGTAAATTCAGATTTTCAAAAACAAAGGATGCCCCAAAGACGTGTTTCATTTGTATCTATCAGAGTCTTTCTTTCATAGGCATAGCCAGAATTTTCACATGTTGTGATCCCAGCATCTTGTGACTCCTACTGGGATTTCTGTGGGATCAGTCTAGTAAACAAGGGCACAGACTAGTATAGCTCACGTTCCCTGGTAGTTACACTAGAAATGTGCTAGCAGAGCCTCCAAATAGGGTCTGTAACCCTGGTGAGTTCCTGTGGTCCTGAAGAATAAAGTCTACAAGAGAGGATCCCGGAAGGGTCCTAAGATGTCAATGTCTGCTGGGTCTTAAGCTTCATAAAATAAGTGCAAAGCATGTTTATGGAAACCAAAAAGCAAGCTTATTTCTGTCGGCCTTGACTGATAACAGAGCCAAAAGTTAAAGGTCTAAGACACTGATAATAGCTGATATCGATAAGGGTTCAAGATATTTTGGTAAGGGTTCAAGAGTAAAAAACACTGTAACATAGAAGTCATTGGATGAAGGTTGAAGAAATCTTCTTGAAAATCTGAAAGGACCTAAATAACAGGAGGTCAGTGACGCTGCAAGTTACAAACTTCCTAGGCCAAGGGGCCTGTGGGAATAGGCATCATGGTCACATGGCACTGAGGATGTGATAAATGTGCAGTGATCCCAGAGCTCCAGCAAACACAAGTCCTCTCCTCATGTGGTGTTCTCAACTGTCATATGCACACTGAACTGCCACTGCCTCTTGCCCTGCTTTGACACGCTCACTGTAACAAATCAGTGACATACCATACTCATCTTTGAATGAGATTCTCTCTTCTCGCATTTATACCCATGAGAATGATGCACACACATTGCTGTATACTTTTTTTTTTCTGAGATGGAGTCTCACCCTGTTGCCCAGGCTGGAGTGCAGTGGTGCCATCTCAGCTCACTGCAACCTCTGCCTCCCACTGATTCTCGTGCCTCAGCCTCCCAAGTAGCTGGGATTACAGGTGTGCGCCACCACACCCAGCTAATTTGTTTGTATTTTCAGTAGAGACAGGGTTTCACCAAGTTGGTCAGACTGGACTTGAACTCCTGACCTCAGGCGATCCGCCTGCCTCAGCCACTCAATGTGTTGGGATTACAGGCGTGAGCCATGGCACCTGACTGCTGTATACTTTTAAAATATCAGTAAAGGCCGGGTGTGGTGGCAAATGCCTGTAGAATCCCAGCACTTTGGGAGGTCAAGGCGGGCGGATCACGAGATCAGAAGTTCGAGACCAGCCTGGCCAATATGGTGAAACCCCGTATCTACTGAAAATACAAAAATTAGCCAGGCATGGTGGTGGGCACCTGTAATCTCAGCTACTCAGGAAGCTTCAGCAGGAGAATTGCTTGAACCCAGGAGGTGAAGGTTGCAGTGAGCTGAGATCATGCCACTGTACTCCTGGGCAACAGAGCAAGACTCTATCTCGAAAAAGTATAAAATAAAAATAAAAATAAATAAAATAAAAATAAAATAAAATAAAATAAAATGTTAGTCAATTTGTTATGCTTCTGATTCTTTGTGTTAACTTGGGTTTTCAAGACGATGCCTAAATTATGCCACGGCCAACAACTCGTGTGTGTGAGTGTGAGTAGGTGAACAGAATGGCCTTAAAGACAAGTCCATAAACTGGGAAGAGACAACAGAGAGAGTAGTCTGGTTCTATTTGTTTTATTCTTAAAGATGAACACTTTCAAGCAAAAATAAGAGCCAATTCTTCCCAGAAATGTTATATGCTTAAAATATTGATTGAGAATGTCTCTCCAAAAACAAAAGCAATCTGCCATAACAGGGCTATGATGATAACCAAAAGAAAAAAAAAACACGAGGAGACATAAAAATATTCACTGCAAATTTTCAAGACAATCATTAAGTGCCAAAGAAGTAGTACAGCCATCCTAAACATAGCTTTATTCGTTTTGTGCCCACCTGACTCTTGGTTGCACTGATCCAGGTAAAGGAGCTGGTTCCATCCCATGTGGAAAAGACATAAACCTGTATCAGAAGGATCCTAAGAGGGGACAGAGTCCAATCCACACAATATCTGATGAAGGAAGCTGTCCTTTACATCTCACTGGACATTGGCCACCGTGTTCACCCACCGTGACAAAACCCACCGCTTTTTACACACAGTTCTAGAAGGTTCCCCACGATCTACTTGCAACCAACCTTTTTAGCTTAGTGTCGATGACTCCCTATTACTCATCCAATGCTGCAGCCACAGGGAGGAAGACTCAGTGCTTTCGGTAGTAGTCCCTTCCTTCTTATTTTATTTCTGTACTCTCTGCCTATGATACCCTATGTCCAATAGAGCCACTGGCCTCCCGCAAGAAAAGCTACCCAACCTCGAGGGCCGGCACAGATACCACCTTCTTCCTGCTGCCTCCCAGTCCCAGCCAGCGCTAGCCCACCTCTCTCCTTTGCATTTGTACACCATCTTTTTCTCCATCTCAGTTACAGAACATCTCATTATAATCACCTACTGTCTACCAGATTTCTGATCTATCAGTTTTCAGATTTCAAGGGCAGACCCTCATCTCTCTTGTCTGGCGTATCTCAAAGGGCTTCTCATAGGAGTGTCTGTTGAACTGAAATCCAATAAATGATTATTGCTATACATATATATGTACTTAAGCAGCTTTATTAACCTATAATTCACACACCATACAATTTGCTCATTTAAAGTGTATAACTCAATGGTTTTAGTATTATAATGGTGGAAATTAACCATTACCACCATCCAATTTGAAAATATTTTTATAACCTCAAAAAGAAATTCCAGTGAGTTAGTATTCCTTCCTTCTTTATTCTCCCAACTCCTCTAGCCCTAGGCAATCAGTAATCCACTAATTCTAATTTTTGTCTCTATGGATTTGCCTATTCTAGACATTTCACGTAAACAGAATCATACAATATGTGTCTTCTGTGGCTGCCTTCCTTCACAGACATGTTTCCAAGATTCATCCATGTTGTAGCATTATCAGTACTTCACTCCTTTCTCTTCTACTGTGTGGATCCACCACACTGTATTTATTCATCATCAGCTGGACATTTGGATTGTTTCTACTTACTGGCTATAGTGAACAATACCACTATGAAGATTTGTGTTCAAGTTTTTGTATAGATGCATGTTTTCATTTTCACTAAGGAGTGGAATCCTCACCAACACTTATTATCTGACTTTTTAACTACAGCCATCCTAGTTAGCATGAAGTTGTTTCAATGTAATTTTGATTTGCATTTTTCTACTGACTAATGATGTCAAGCATCTATCATTCCATGTGCTTATTGCCATCTGTATATCTTCTTTAGAGAAATGTCTATTCAGATCCTTTGTCCATTTTTTAAACTAGGCTATTTATCTTTTCATTATTGAGTTATAAGAGTTCTTCATATATTCTAGTTTTAAGTCCCTTATCAGATGTATGATTTGCAAATACCTTCTCTCATTCTGTGGCTTGCCTTTTCACTTTTTTGATGGTTTGCTTTGTAGCACAAGTTTCTAATCTTGATGGAATCCACTTACTTTTTTCTTTTGTTGCTTGTGCTTTTGGTGTCATGTCTAAGAAGCTTTGCCTAACATAAGATTGCAAAGATTTACTTCTATGTTTTCTAAGAGTATTAAAGTTTTAGCTTTTAATTGAGTTCTTCAATCCATTTTGAATTTTTTTTTCCTTTTGAGACAAGGTCTCACTCTGTCACCCCAGATGGAGTGCAGTGGTGCAATCTCTGCTCACTGCAATTTCCACCTCCCAGGCTCAAGCAGTCCTCCCACTCAGCCTCCTGAGTAGCTGGGACCACAGGCACATGCCACCACGCCCAGATTAATTTTTTTGTATTTTCGGTAGAGATGGGGTTTTGCCATGTTGCCCAGGCTGGTCTTGCTCCGGAGCTCAGGCAATCCACAGGCCTTGGCCTCCCAAAGTGCTGGGATTACAGGCGCGAACCACTGCACCCAGCCATTTTGAGTTAATTTTTTCATCTTTTTGTATGTGGCTATTCAGTTGTCCCAGATTCATTTGCTGAAAAGACTATTCTTTCCCCAGTGAATGGTCCTGGCATCCTTGCCAAAAATCAGTTGACCATAGATACACGGGTTTATTTACTGACTCTCACTTCTATTCCACTGACCTATATGTCTATTCTTATGCCAGTAGCACACTGTCTTGATTACTGTGTTTTGCAGTAAGTTTTGAAATCAGGAAGTGTATCAGTTCTCCATATGAATTTCCATATGAATTTTGGGATCAGCCTGTCAATTTCTACAGAAAAAAACAACTGGGGGCTTTGATAGGGATTGCACTAAATCTGCAAATCAATTTGGAGAATACTGCCATCTTAACAGTATTAAGTCTTATGATCCACAGACATGGGATGCCTTCCCATTTATTTAGGTCTTCTTGAATTCCTGTGCATTTTTTTAGACTGAATCGACATCGCTCCGTCACATCTAAGATATCCATAAATTTCCCTCGTTTACCTGTAACACCCATTAAAACAGAAATATGTAAATGCTGCATATTTTCAGAACTCTGAGGACTGTAAAGAATTTGGGGTTTTCTTATTTAGTTGGAATGCCTTATTAGGTATTAAAGTCAGTGACGTTAAGTTTTCTGCTGCTATCTTTTGAATAAAATTTATTGAAGAAAAATGTCACCAACAAAACATGATTTTAAAACTAACACATAAGGCCAGGCGCGGTGGCTCACGCCTGTAATACCAGCACTTTGGGAGGCCAAGGTGGGCGGATCACAAGGTCAGGAGATTGAGACCATCCTGGCTAACACGGTGAAACCCCATCTCTACAAAAATACAAAAACAAAGAAAAATTAGCCAGGCGTGGTGGCAGGTGCCTGTAGTCCCAGCTACTCGGGAGGCTGAGGCAGGAGAATGGCGGGAACCTGGGAAGCAGAGCTTGCAGTGAGCTGAGATCGCGCCACTGCACTCCAGCCTGGGTGACAGAGCGAGACTCCATCTCAAAAAACAAACAAACGAACAAAAAAACTAACACATAATGTACGTGATCCTGTTTATCTATATAAAGTATAAAAATACACATGTATGCAAGAGCATAGAAAATACTTTGGGAGAAAATACACTTTGTTTTTTAGGACAGAGTTTTGCTTTGTCACCCAGGCTGGCGTGCAGTGGTGTGATCTCGGCTCACTGCAACCTCCGCCTCCCAGGTTCAAGCGGTTCTCCTACCTCAGCTCCCATGTAGCTGGGATTACAGGCGCATGCCACCACGCCCGGCTGATTTTTGTATTTTTAGTAGAGATGGGGTTTCGCCATGTTGGCCAGGCTGGTCTTGAACTCCTGACCTCAGGTGATAAGGCCCACCTTGGCCTCCCAAGGTGCTAGGATTACAGGCGTGAGCCACCGCAACTGGCCACCAATTTGTTATAGTAGTTAGTTATCACGGCCTGGTGCTGTGGCCCACATACATAATCCCAGCACTTTGGGAGGCCAAGAAAGGAGGACTGCTTGAGCCCAGGAGTTCCAGACCGGCCTGGGCAACATACTAAGACTCTGTCTTTAAGAAAAAAAAAAAAAAGGTATCTCTGGGGAGAAAGGAGCAATGGGATAAGGAAGAAGAAGAGGACTACCACACTTTATTAGCATTTTTGCCATAAACATGTTTTTGGGTATTTCTGGTGTAATTTAAAATATGAATAATGACAAATATAACTATGCTTCAGTGAAAGGGTTTTTCAATATATATCACCTTAATAGTAAATAACCTGGCTGACCTTGAGATCACAGGTGGTGTTGAGCAGCAGGTTGGAAGGCTTGAGGTCACGGTGCAGAACGTTAGCTGAATGGATATATTTTAACCCTCTGAGGATCTGGTAGAGAAAATAGCAGATATGGTCATTGCTGAGGTGTTGTGTCTTCAAGAGCTTGTAAAGATCTGTTTCCATGAGGTCCTGTACTATATATCTGTTTGCACAGGTTAAGGTAAAACACCAATTAGCTGGTCACATTTAGCAAAGCATTGAAAACAAAAATGCATCCTCTCTTGACTCTCTTCCCAAACAGTCCATCATTACACCATGAAGCCCTTAAAGGAAAGAAGAAACTGAGGAAAACTTGGTTTCCTTCATGGAAAGAATCTGAAGTCGTTAACTCCTTTTAGGTCCTGTGAGATGGCAGGCATTCCAGCATTACATCTGACTGATGCGGCTATGGGCCTAGACTGAGATCTGAAACAGGCTGTTAGGGAAATTCTGGTCAATCTTGAAGTCTCAACCTCTTTGCTCTCTAAATTGTCCACCATCAACGAACCCCCTCCAAGGTTTGCTGGAAACACTGTTAGCCTGTAAGTAGCAGATACTCCCTCCTCTGTTTGGTCCAGTAACCTGTAATGTCACTATTCTTTTTACTTCTTGTTGCCGCTCCCCTCCTCTCCCAAGCTCCTCAAAAGCCAAACATAAAACTTCCAGAAATACAGGTCTAGAAACATACTCTTACTAGTAAATCCAACCCTAAGTCTATTTTCTTGACTCTTCCATTACTGTTAAGATCTTAAATAAGTAAGACTATGGGCAAGTCGTTCTAAGAAGGGGTTTGTGCTAGTTTTCCTCCTCATGCTTTCTTGCCTGGTCACGTACTTAACTACCTAAAAGTTTAGCTATGGCTACTTTCTTTCTCACAGAAATTAAATTATTAAAGCATTTAGCCTTTAACTTCATCATAGTATTATTTCATTAGCAGTATTTCTACATTTCTTTTACTCACTTCTGTGTAAACACTAGTCTCTGTTTCTTACAGATTTATGCTATAGGAGGCGCAGCATGGGATTCAAAGGAAACATGATTTAAAAATCTGTCATCTGAGAGAGGCTTATTTTCATGGCAAAAAGTAAAGCAGGACCAACAGGTGGTAGTGGCAGGAGGCATTTCACTTCAAATATCACTACAACTTATTAACAGAGCTGTTTAAAAATGGAAAGGGCTGCCTAGAAACAGCGAGCTCCCGCACCCTGGAGGGGCGGAATACAAATTGGGTAAACTGGTAGGAGTGCTGTATAACCCTTTCCCTTCTGGCAGATCCTCTTCAGTATACTTAACCTCTCTATCTTTCAAATGGAGCCTTTACCCAGGCAGCATCCTCTAGATCTGTTCAGTCCAGATTTCTAAATGTTGGTCAGAGTTAATCACATAATTTCAGACCTCAGTTGACCTTAAAGATCATGACGACCAGTTCCTTCATTTTAAAGGTGGGGAAACTGAGACCTAAAGTGGTAACCTGACTCTTAAGATCAGGACAGTCCTGATTTCACCAGGTAGATAGCCAGGGCACCCTCTTTCTTAGTCTACTACTGATCTTCCCTTTACCTTTTCATCATCACAACAAACCATCCCTTGGACAGAAGAAACATGACTGCAAACAGAGTTAACCAAGATTTTCCATGACTAGACTTAGGGAGTAAATAGCAAACAGATTACGATTTTCCCTTTAGCATGTTTAATGCACTTTTCCTTTAAGTTCAGGAAATTTCAAGTTCTATTTACTCAACAAGGTTACCAAGCAGTGGAATTGGCCAGTTGCCTAAAAAGGATACACATCTTTCATTTGCTCGATGGTTGGTGCTCGAATAATGTCATTGATTCCAATGATGTTCTCATGTCTGAAGCGCAGTAAGATTTTTATCTCCCTCAGGGTTCTCTGGCAGTAGGTCTGGTGCTCAAAGGGGCTGATTTTCTTGATAGCTACTCGAACTTTGTTGACATTATCATAAGCAGAGCTTAAAAAAGAGAGAGAGAGATGGCATTAAAAACAGCCCTCAGAATATTTGAAGAAGGCAAGTTGGTAAAGTATTATATTTTTAACACTGTGTAAACACCTGTTTCATACCCGTGAAGGCAGCATGTATATTATCCACAAAAAGGCCTCAAGCTAGGGAGGATGGATGCAACTGACATGAGAGAGCACACAGTGACTCTCAAAACTAACAGAGAACCTAGCCCTGTTAACTGGGTGAAAGTCTTGCCTTTATAAACCCAGAAATACACAAACAAGCATTCTCCCATTGTCTTAAACAGCAACTGCATTCTGGTGAGAGTAATCACTTCTGTCTCTGAAACACCTTCTTACTGTTGTATCAAATTCCTCTGACACAGAAGAAACATTCAAATAACCTACAACTGTACATCTTTATCCCTAACAAAAATGGACCCAAGAGAACACCTTGATTACTTCTATTAACTTTGTTTCTCTCACTTGCAAAACAACATGACCATTTCTTCCCCCAAGAAACTGAATCAAGATGTTTGGGTAGTTTTATAACAAAACCTAGAAAAGTATTCTTCAAAAAACATATTTGTGGCAATAACATGGGGCCCAGTTCTTTCCTAGTTGTCCTTAATGTCTGATAAACCAGAATTATAAGCAAAAGCAATAATAAAAATTATACCTTCAATTTTATGAATTTGAATCTTGAGTATTACTACTATCTTTATGATAAACATTCTATTACAATCTTGTGTATAAGAAATTTTCATATTAATAAATGTCAACATCTGGCCCACTGACCAAAGCAATCAAATAACATTGACAGGCAGTAAGACAACATTTCTTGTTTCCTTGGGGTAAGTGCTAGAATAGAAAGCAGTAAAATAACTTTATTCTAAAATTTATGCTTCTAGGGCCGGGTGCAGTGGCTCACACCTGCAATCCCAGCACTTTGGGAAGCTGGGGCGGCTGGATCACTTGAGGACAGGAGTTTTGAGACCAGCCTGGACAACATGGTGAAACCCCGCCTCTACTAAAAATACAAAAAAATTAGCCAGGCATGGTGGCAAGTGCCTACAATCCCAGCTACTTGGGAGGCTGAGGCACAAGAATCACTTGAACCTGGGAGATGCACGTGGCAGTGAGCCAAGATTGTACCACTGCACTCCAGCCTGGGCGACAGAGTGAGACTCCGTCTCTAAATTAAATAAAGTTTATGCTTCTATAATATTTATCAGTCTACTAATCCTAAGAATTATTGATACATTTGTCTGATTCTATGACAAGATAATGCTCTGGAGGAGAACTTTGTCTTACTAGGATCCAATTATCCTACAACACCATTAACATATAGTACACAGGTGGCCCCAAATGCTTTGAAATGAAGTATATTTTCTTAAGTAAAATAACCACTACTCAAATCTTATTTTGCTTTGGTTTGGTACATGAGGCCCTAAGCCAGTGATTTTCAGTTAGGCAACAGCATATATAATAGTAATAATTTAACATAGTATTAAAAAGCATATATAATAAGCAAGCTTATTCAATATTGGGAATATTTTTAGAAAAAAATTCTATTTTGGTAATTCAAATCATAGAACAAGAGTTCAACAACAGCACGGATTAGTTATAAAATGCTGGTTTAAACTCAACATTACAATTTTCTAGTGTTAATATTATAAATTTCTAGTGTTAACAGTCACAAGTGGTCATAATTTGTTCTGCAAAATTATAATCCAACAAAATTTTTGGAGAGAGGAGTTTATGGTCAGTGTGCCCCTCTACTGTATCAACACTCAGTGACGAAATAACTGCCCTCCCCCCCGGCCTCTTTAAAATTTTTTTGTGGAAGCAGTCTCGCTCTGTCGCCCAGGCTGGAGTGCAGTGGTGCGATCTTGGCTCACTGCAAGCTCCCCCTCCTGGGTTCAGGCCATTCTCCTGCCTCAGCCTCCCGAGTAGCTGGGACTACAGGCCCCGCCACCACGCCTGGCTAATTTTTTGTATCTTTAGTAGAGACGGTGTTTCACCGTGTTAGCCAGGATGGTTTCAATCTCCTGACCTCGTGATAGGCCCCGCCTCGGCCTTGCAAAGGGCTGGGATTACAGGGTGAGCCACCATGCCCGGCCAACTGCCTCCTTTTAAGTAAGAAAATATGAGATCATCCTCATCTGGTCCCACTTGAAAAAAAGGAGTTTTGTCTGTTCCTGTCTGCTCCGCTTAACCATTCTGCTGCCTTTTTGGTTTATGCAATCTATCTTTCATAGAACTGATGACAAAGAGGGTTACACTCTTCCATAATGATTCCATACTTGCTAGTTTCTCCTTGGATTTCTCGGTTTTGTTTTACATATTTTATTGTTGATACTTGGTAAATAAGGCATACCATGAACTTTCAGGTGTCTATAAACATTTATGCTTTAAAATCACTTTGACATTACCAACTGTGTCTTGTTTTGCTCAACCCCTTTTGTCCCTAACTACCACCACACTACAGGTTTTTGCTATAAGTGTGTCTCTTATCACAGGAATCCAAAGATGGTTCATTAAAAAAGAAGGCCGGGTGCGGTGGCTCATGTCTGTAATCCCAGCACTTTGGGAGGCCAAGGCAGGCGGATCATGAGGTCACGGCAGGCGGATCATGAGGTCACGAGATTGACACCATCCTGTCCAAAATGGTGAAACCCCATCTCTACCAAAAATACAAAAATTAGCTGGGTGGGGTGGTGCGCGCCCATAGTCCCAGCTACTTGGGAGGCTGATGCAGAAGAATGGCTTGAACCCAGGTGATGGAGGCTGCAGTGAGCCAAGATCGCGCCACTGCACTCCAGCCTGGTGACAGAGTGAGACTCAGTCTCAAAAAACAAAAAAAAAAAAAGTGGGGGTCAGTCCTAATGGGTGTGTGGTGATAGCTCATTGTGGTTTTGATTTGCATTTCTCTGATTCATGATGATGACCATCTTTTCTTATGTCTTCTTTTGAAACGTGTATTCAACGTTATGCCTTTTTTTTTTTTGAGACGGAGTCTCGCTATGTCGCCAGGCTGGGGTGCAGTGGCTCAATCTCGGCTTACTGCAACGTCTGCCTCCTGGGTTTATGCAATTCTCCTGCCTCAGTCTCCTGAGTAGCTGGAATTACAGGATCTCCTGACCTGGTGACCCGCCTGCCTTGGCCTCCCAAAGTGCTGGAATTACAGGCGTGAGCCACCCACCACGACCAGCCAGGACTGCCACTATTTAAAAACAAACAAACAAACAAACAGAAAACCGTAAGTGTGATGTGGATAAATTTGAACCTTCATACTCTATTGTTGAGTGTGCAAAATGGTGTAACCACTTGGAAATTCCTCAAAAAATTAAAAATAGAATTCCCATATGGTCCAGCAATCCCACTTCTGAGCATATATCCAAAACAATTCAAAGTAGAATCTCTAAGAGCTACTGGCAGGTTCATTGTGCAGCATTACGCACAATACCCAAGATGTGGAAGCAACCGAAATGTCCACTATGGATGAATGGATAAAGAAAATGTAGCATATACATAGAGTGGAATATTATTCAGTCTTTAAAAAAAAAAAAAAAACCACACACACACACAAAGAAATTCAATTCAGCATCCAAAAACCATGCCTAATTGTTTTTATTATTTATTTATTTATTTGAGACAGAGTCTCGCTCTGTCGCCCAGGCTGGAGTGCAGTATCGCATCTTGGCTCACTGCAAGCTCCGCCTCCTGGGTTCTCGCCATTCTCCCGCCTCAGCCTCCCGAGTAGCTGGGACTACAGGGGCCCACCACCACGCCCGGCTAATTTCCTTTTTTTTTGTATTTTTGGTAGAGATGGGGTTTCACCATGTTAGCCAGGATGGTCTCGATCTCCTGACCTCGTGATCTGCCCGCCTTGGCCTCTCAAAGTGCTGGGATTACAGGTGTGAGCCACCGCACCCGGCCAATTGTTTTTAATTTAAAAACTTTTTGGTAGATATGGGGTCTCACTATGTTATCCAGGCTGGTCTTGAACTCCTGGTCATAAGTGATCCTCCCACCTCAGCCTCCCAAAGTGCTGGGATTACAGGCATGAGCCATTGTGCCTGGTCTGACTTAATATTCTTAAAGTGTCTACACTACTCAGTGTGGTCTGCAGAGTCAATGTAATCCCTATCAAAGTTCCAATGGCATTTTTCACAGAAACAGAAAATGTAATCTTTAAATTCATATATGGAACCACAAAAGATCCCATATAGCCAAAGCAATCCTGAGCAAGAACAAAGTGGTGGCTTCACATCACTTGATTTCAAAATACACTACAAAGCTATAGTAACCAAAACAGCACAACACTGCGGGGATAGGGTGAAATGTGCAGATAATTTGTTAGAGTATAAAGTTTCAGTTAACCAGGATGAATAAGTTCTAGAGCTCTATCCTACAGCATGGTGACTACAGTTAATAATAATGTATTATATACTTGCAAATTACTAAAAGATTAGATCTTAAACATTCTCACCACAAAAAGTATGTGAGATGACAGATATGTTAATTACCTTGCTTTAATCATTTCACAATATACACATATATCAAAACATCATGTTGTATATCATGAATATATACTAATTATTTTTCCAGCACTTCCACCTCAGTTTCATATACTAATTTGTATTTGTCAATTATACCTTAATAAAGCTGGGTGGGGGGCAGGGAATCAGCATGGTACTGGCATAAAAACAGACAAATAGACAAATGGAACAGAATAAAGAGTCCAAACATAAAGGATAGTCTCTTCAATAAATGGTGCTGGGAAAATTGGATATCTACTTGCTAAAGAATAAAATGGATACTTATTTCACACCCTATACAAAAATCAAATCAAGACAGATTAAAGACAAAAATTGTAAAACCTGAAATTATAAAAACTAGAAAAGGCTGGGCGCAATGGCTCACCCTGTAATCCCAGCACTTTGGGAGGCCAAGGCGGGTGGATCACGAGGTCAGGAGATCGAGACCATCCTGGCTAATACGGTGAAACCCTGTCTCTACTAAAAATACAAAAAAAAAAAAAAAAAAAATTAGCCGGGCGTGGTGGTAGGCGCCTGTAGTCCTAGCTACTCGGGAGGCTGAGGCAGGAGAATGGCGTGAACCTGGGAGGCAGAGCTTGCAGTGAGCTGAGATCGTGCCACTGCACTCCAGCCTGGATGACAGAGAGAGATTCCGTCTCAAAAAAAAAAAAAAAAAAAAAAGCAAAAGCAAACAAATAAACAACAGACAAACAAACAAAAACTACTAGAAGAAAATACAGGGGGAAAGCTTCTTGACATTGGTCTGGGCAATTATTTTTTGGTTGTGACTCCCAAAGCACAGGCAACAAAAGCAAAAACAGACAAATGGAATTGAATCAAACTAAAAAGCTTCTGCACAGCACAAGCAACAATCAACAGAGTGAAGAGACAACCCAATGAATGGGAGAAAATATTTACAAACCACATATCTGATAAGGGGCTAATATTTAAATATATAAGAAATTCACACAATTCAACAGCAGGAAACAAACAAAATATTTAAAAATGGGCAAAGGCCAGGTGCAGTGGCACCTGCTTGTAGTCCTAGCTATTCAGGGGGCTGAGGTAGGCAGACTGCTTGAGACCAGGAGTTCAAGACCAGCCTGGGCAACATAGAGAGACCCTGTCTCAAAAATGGAAAAAAGCAGGTGCGGGTGGTAGGGAGTGGGGGCAAAGAACCCGAATAGACATTACTCAAAGTAAGACATACAAATGGCCAACAGGTATATGAAAAAAGGCTCAACATCACTAATCAGAAAAATGCCAATCAAAACCACAATGAGATATCACCTCACAGCTATTAGAATGGCTATTATCAGCCACCTACGGTGGCTCACGTCTGTAATCCCAGCACTTTGGGAGGCCAAGGCAGGCGGATCACCTGAGGTCAGGAGTTTGACACCAGCCTGGCCAACATGGTGAAACCCTGTCTCTACTAAAAATACCAAAGTTAGCCAGGCGTGGTGGTACGCGTCTGTAGTCCCAGTTTCTTGGGAGGCTGAGTCAGGAGAATCACTTGAACCCAAGAGGCGGAGGTTGCAGTGAGCCAAGATGGCACCACTGCACTCCAGCCTGGACAACAAGAGTGAAACTGTCTCCAAAGAAGAAAAAAAAAAATGTTCTTGCCCCCACCACACACAAACGTTAACTATGTGAGTTGATGGGTATCTTAATTAGCTTTACTGTGGGGATCATTTCGCAAGGTATACACATATCAAAACATCACATTTAACACAGTAAATATATACAACTTTTATTTGTCAATTATGCCCCAATAAAGGTGGGGGAAAAACCAAAAAGGTCATTCTATCACATGCTATAACATGGATGAAGCTTGAGGACATTATATCAACAGAAATAAGTCACAAAAGACAAATACTGCATAATTTCACTTATATGAGGTATCCAAAATTAACAAACTCATAGAATCAGAAAGGAGAATGGTGGTTAAAAATGGCTGAGGAGAGGGAGAAATGGGGAGATGTGTTCAAGAGTACAGGTTTTCAATTTTCCAAGATGAAAAAGTTCTAGATCTATTGTGCAACAATGTGAATATACTTAACTCTACTGAACTGTGTACTTAAAAATGATTAAGATGGCAAATTGTATGCTTTTTACCAAAACATATAATTAACCAAAACAATTTTACTTTGTAAAGAGATGAAGTCTCGGCTGGGCACGGTGGCTCACGCCTGTAATCCCAGCACTCTGGGAAGCTGAGGTGGGTGGATCACGAGGTCAGGAGATCGAGACCAGCCTGGCTAACATGGTGAAACACTGTCTCTACTAAAAATACAAGAATTAGCAGGGCGTGGTGGCACGCGCCTGTAATCCCAGCTACTCAGGAGGCTGAGGCAGGAGAATTGCTTGAATCCGGGAAGCAAAGGTTGAGTGAGCTGAGATCACGCCACTGTACTCCAGCTCTGGGCGACACTGCAAGACTCCATCTCAGGGGGAAAAAAAGCGAGAGAGACAGAGAGAGAGAGAGAGAGAGAGAGAGAGAGAGAGAGAGAGAGAGAGAGAGAGAGAGATGAAGTCTCACTATGCTGCCCAGGCCGGTCCTGAACTCCTGAGATCACTTCCTCAGGCTTCAGAGTAGTTGGGACTATACGCACATGCCATGGCACCTAGCTTAAAAAAAATTTTTTTAAGGGGGAAAGAAACATGTTAAAGAGGGAAAAAAATTAAGTATTAATTTTTTTTTGATGGAGTCTCGCTCTGTTGCCCAGGTTGGAGTGCAGTGGTGCCATCTGGGCTCACTGCAACCTCCGCCTCCTGGGTTCAAGCGATTCTCCTGCCTCAGCCTCCTGAGTAGCTGGGACTACTGGTGCCCGTCACCACGCACAGCTAATTTTTTGTATTTTAGTAGAGATAGGGTTTCACCATGTTGGCTAGGATGGTCTCGATCTCCTGACCTCATGATCCTCGGCCTCGGCCTCCCAAAGTGCTGGGATTACAGGCGTGAGCCACTGCACCTGGCCCTTTTATTTCTTTTGAGATGGGCTACTCTGTCACCCATGCTAGAGTGTACTGGCACAATTATGGCTGACTGCAGCCCCAACCTCTCAAGTAGCATAGTGGGGACCACAGGTGAGCACCACCACACCTGGCTAATTTTAAAAAGTTTTTTTGTAGAGACAGGGTTCTACAATGTTGCCCAGGCTGATCTCGAACTCCTGAACTCAAGTGATCCTCTTGCCTTAGCCTCCCAAAGTACTAGGATTATAGGCGTGAACCACCACACCTGGCCAATAAAGGGGGAAACTTTTATCCAGCTTTGGGTTAGTACCTTCTATATATCAAGAACTATTCTAACATTAGGACGCAAAAATTATAAATAATACTCTGGGCTGGGGGTGGTTTTCACATCTGTACTCCCAGCATTTTGGGAGGCCAAGGCAGGCGGATCATGAGGTCAGGAGTTTGAGACCAGCCTGGCCAACATGGCGAAACCCCATCTCTACTAAAGATAAAAAAAAAATTAGCTGGGCATGGTGGCATGCGCCTGTAGTCCCAGCTACTTGGGAGGCTGAGGCAGGAAAATCAGTTGAACCCGGGAGGCGGAGGCTGCAGTGAGCCGAGACTGCACCACTGTTCTCCAGCCTGGGCGACAGAGCTAGACTCCATCTCAAAAAAAAAAAAAAATAATAATAATAATAATAATACTCTTCCCTTGAGGAACCCAAGATATTGAGAGTGTCTAGTCATCTTAAATGAACACAACCTCAAGTCCCAGATGAATTCTATCCTAAGACCCATAAATTATGGAGAATGGGAGGACATTAAGGTCTGAAGTGAGCACACCCATCTCAAGTCTCAAAACAGATAGATTCCTGCTATTTGATAATAAAAGGAAATGAGATTCCTATTTGATAATAACAGGAAATGAACTATTGATATATGCAGCACAGATGAATCTCAAGTAATTATGGTGAGTGAAGCCAGACCAAAAGAAATGTATTTCCATCTATAGAAAATACAAAGTAATCCTGGGTTTACTTTGGATTTACCCCCAGGATTGCCTGGGAATGGGAGGAAGAAGATTGCAAATGGAAATGAGGTAACTTTTGGAGGCAATGAGTATGTTCCTTATCCTAATTGTGTTGATGGTTTCATAGGTGTATAATGTATTAAAACTTATCCAACTTTATACTTTAAATGTGTGCAATATTTTGTATATCAATTACTTCTTAGTAAAGCAGTTAAAAAAAAAAAAAAAGAACCAGGGTTCTTTGGCCACATGATTCATTCCAGTGCTGGGGCAATTGGGATACAGATTCTAGAAGTGTACCGATCAATAAACGTAGAAGTCCATGAAATTCTGAAGTAGATTATTTAACAGATGTTTTATGATTGCTTAGGGAAGGAAAGGGAACCAGCATGAGTCAATTATGAACAAGTCATGCTAAACTAGCTTTATTTCCTGTTTTGATAGGGTTACCACAACAACACGAAATGAAGACAGAGTTCTGGTGAATTCAAGCCACGCTTGTCAAGAACTTCCCATTTGTGAGGCTTCATGTTAGGACTGGTGGCAAAAACAAATAATGATCCTGCTCTTAAGAAACTTGCAATTTTGTGAGAGAAGGAGACAGGAACAGAGAACATACTTTGCCTTTTATCACATTAAAGCACTTCTGAAACCCAAGGAGGAGCTGGGTTAACTTCAAATACTAAGGGAAGGATTAAAAGAAGATGAGGCCCGCAAAAGCCTTATCCTGAAGGATGAGTAGGCTTCTGACAGAAAAGCAAGACCGCAAAGAAAAGAAAGAGGAAACAGGAGGCGAGGTAAGAGACTGAGACATCTGTGGTCACTGGCCACTAACCCTCACCCAGACATGCCCATGCCCATGAGAGAAGGTTATTGGGGTCGGGGAAAATGCTCCTCAGGTGCCCGGGAATTCCCTGCATCTGGAAAAGTGTAGTCTGTACCCAGCAGGTGCACTTGAGGTGGTGGTCAAAGGGGCAGCTGCTTGCTGGCGTGTATTGCACCTACATTGTGCAGGCAGGAGGCCACACACGTGCTCAAGCTCACAACACATGGATAGTGCTGTGGCTGGGAAGGGAAGAGCACTATGCTGAAGGTCTGCTCTGCCGGAACTACTGACATAGAACTCTAAGGAGCCTGAGTATTTTCTATTTGAACCCAACCTTCCAGGTCATTAAGAAGGTATATTAGGCCTGGTGTGGGCATGGTGATGCACGCTTGTAATCCCAGCACTTTGGGAGGGTGAGGAGGGCAGATCACTTGAATCCAGGTGTTCGAGATCAGTGTGGACAACATGATGAAACCCTGTCTCTACAAAAAATACAAAAATTAGCTGGGCATGGTGGCACTCGCCTGTAGTCCCAGCTATTTGGGGGACTAGGCAAGAGGATCACTTGAGCCAGGGAGGTTGAGGCTGCAGTGAGCCATGATTGTGCCACTGCACTCCAGCCTGGGTGACAAAGTGAGACCCTATCTCAAAAAAAAAAAAAAGGAAAAGAAGGCATATCTGTCATGGCAGGAGGAGAGAGCAAAGTCTGCTTAATGTTTCTTAGGTTGATTTTTTTTTTTTTTAATGGTATGTAGGGCTCCATTTGTATTCTTGACCTAGACCTTATAAACGTGAGAGGTGGGCCTGGGTCTGGGAGGTACAAAAAGAAGGTGGAGGTAAGGGACAAAGATAGTTTTCAGCATCCTGATTTAAAAATCTAAGAATGCCTGTCAGTGATTCAGATGGAGGAGATGACGGTTCCATCCTTCCAGCAGCATCAGGAGAGAGATCAAGTTGGGAATTCTTAACAGAAGCCACAGTGATTAGCACTCCTGCAGAGAGAGAATTTCAAGAAAAGAAGTCGGAAGACAGAACTCAGGAGCAGCATGAGGATGAGGAATCAGTTAAAGAAAGTGGAAAGAAATGATAATGGAGTAAGAACCTTTAGGCCAGGCGCCGTGGCTCATGCCTGTAATCCCAGCACTCTGGGAGGCCGAGGCGGGTGGATCATGAGGTCAGGAGATCGAGACCATCCTGGCTAACACGGTGAAACTCTGTCTCTACTAAAAATACAAAAAAAATTAGCCGGGCATGGTGGCTGGCGCTACTTGGGAGGCTGAGGCAGGAGAATGGGGTGAACCCAGGAGGCAGAGCTTGCAGTGAGCCAAAATTGTGCCACTGCACTCCAGCCTGGGTGAAAGAGTGAGACTAGTCTCAAAAAAAAAAGAACCTTTGTTGTCCAACTCCAGAGGCCATGTAGTTCTGCTTAACCATGTAGCAGAACCAGAAAAGGGTGGTGTTTCCCAAGACAAAGAAGGAAGGCATTTCAAACAGGAGAGACTGAGAAAAGTAAGAACTGGAAAGCATTCACTGAATCTGCATGCAACCAGACGATGTGTGGTAACTTTGGTTCAAGTAAGGAAATGGAGAGGATGGGGAGAGGAGCAGAAAGAGTACAGCCGACTACTTTTTAAAGAGTGATCATAAGGCAAGGATAACGAAAAAAACTTAAATCCAGGTGAAAAACTGAGAGGCACAGGATGTTATGAAAGCCATGGTCGGGGGCTGGGGGAGGGGAGGCTGAAGGCTGCAGGACCGGGTAGGGTGAAAGAGAAGGCTCCAATGGCTAACCAGGGGGAAGAGAAGGGAGAGTAAATTCCAGGCAGAGGAGATGTGGGGCAGTGGTGCAGAGGCCTGTGGGAACCTGGGGCGACAGAGTGCCTGCAGAGAGGCGGACACACAGGGACATGACAGGGGAAGCTGGAGGGTGAGCAAGAGCCAGGCCATATTTATATTTTCGTAATTTTATCCTGGGAAGCCACCAAAGGATGCTAAGCACAGACTTTAAGCATGGCAACATTTATATTTTTATAACTTTTCCTCAGGTAGCAGTTTGTTGAAAGAATGGAATGGGGAGGATGGTGCACTGGGTCACCCGGAGGCAAGGAGCCCTTTCAGCCAACTCAGAATGAAGGGGAGCCACAGCTCTGGATAAATGGGCAAAGAGCAGGCTCACAAGAAATGGGTGCTTATTTCACAAACCTCACATGTCCCAGCAGGGTCCTGTTCAAGCAGTCTCCATCCAATTAGATGAAATTCCTCAAGGACACAACTGTATGTTCTAAATAGCTCATGTCTTCTTTACTGCAGTTGTAACCAAATTTGCAGGGCGGGAAAAAAACAGTATCCTTATCTGATGCCTCTCAATGAAGATATGACAACAAAAATCCTACAGGTGGCCACAAATGCCATAAGGAACAGGCTGTTAGCCAGAAGTACTTTGGTCTTGACAACTCAGCTTCCACCTGTCCTAGCCCCAAGATACATGAAATACCAGTGGGCCCCAGGCTCAAGTGACCCAAGGATATTTCAAATGTCTTTTTCTTTTCTTTTTTTTTTTTTTTAAAGACAGAATCTTGCTCTGTCATCCAGGTTGGAGTGCACTGGCGTGATCTCGGCTCACTGCAATCTCCCCATCCCGGGTTCAAGTGATTCTCCTGCCTCAGCCTCCCAAGTAGCTGGGACAACCTACAGGCACAAGCCACCAAGCCCAGCTAATTTTTTTTTTTTTTTTTTTAAGTAGAGACAGAGTTTCACCATGTTGGCCAGGCTGGTCTCAAACTCCAGACCTCATGTGATCCACCCACCTCGGCCTCCCAAAGTGCTGGGATTACAGGCATGAGCCACTGTGCCCAGCCTATTCTTTATTCTTAATACTTTATTCATTTGAAAGCTTTCCTTTTGTGGTAAGGTACAGTTCCTTTCACTGATGTTTATTTGTTCTATCATTTCTCATAACCCCCCCACCCCCACATCCTGAAGGTACTTGCTTTCTTGTAGAAATACTTAGGTCTGTCCGTGGCCCTGACCCTGTAAATAGGGCACTTGGCATTACTATTGTTCTCCAATGCCCACAGAAGGTCAGAAAGCAATGAACCAATCTGATCCTCACAGCTATACCACTTCCAATACGGCTACCACTTTTTTTTTTTGGAGACAGAGTCTCGCTTTCTTGTCCAGGCTGGAGTACAGTGGCGCCATCTTGGCTCACTGCGACCTCCGCCTCCCAGGTTCAAGCGACCCTCCTGCCTCAGCCTCCTGAGTAGCAGGCGTGTGCCACCATGCCCGGCTAATTTTTGTATTTTTAGTAGAGACGGGGTTTCACCATGTTCGTCAGGCTGGTCTTGAACTCCTGACCTTGTGATTCGCCCGCCTCAGCCTCCCAAAGTGCTGGGATTACAGGCATGAGCCACTGCGCCCGCCCGTCTCCTCCTTTCAACACCATATTTACTACCGTGTGAAAAGCAACAAATGTTAATATGGTTAATGCAATACACAGTACTTTAAAGTCTTGTTTCTTCCTATGTGAAGACTTCCGTTTTTGGTGTATTTTATATGAGGCAGACATATACACTCATTAGCAATTTAAGTACATTAAAGGTATTAAAAAACAGAATTCTTTTTTTTTTTTTTTTTTGAGACGGAGTCTCGCTGTGTCTCCCAAGGTTGGAGTGCAGTGGCGCGATCTCGGCTCACTGCAAGCTCCGCCTCCCAGGTTCATGCCATTCTCCTGCCTCAGCCTCCCAAGTAGCTGGGACTACAGGCGCCCGCCAACACGCCCGGCTAATTTTTTGTATTTTTAGTAGAAACGGGGTTTCACCGTGTTAGCCAAGATGGTCTCGATCTCCTGACCTCGTGATCCGCCCGTCTCGGCCTCCCAAAGTGCTAGGATTACAGGCGTGAGCCACCGCGCCCGGCCAAAAAACAGAATTCTTAGGAGCTTGAGGATTCTGTTTCACAAAAAAAGACTGACAGTACTCGAAATCAATCTTATTATAGATTGGTGGGGTTTGTGATTAAGTATGAAGAATAAGAAATGTCCATGTCTGCCCATGAAATCATTTTCTCACTATGCTCTGATTAAAACTGACAAACATTTAAACTGAGATTAAAAATAAATTCTACACATTAATCATTTACGCATTCACTTTAAACTTGCTTACACTTACTGATAATACTGCTTTGTCTTAGTTTATAGATGTATATTACTCAAAATATTTACAGTTCATTTATTGGGAACCAGGTAATGATGGTATTGAAAAGAAGTTATGAACAATTCTCACTTAATAATACCTACAATTTATTGAGTGTTTATTATCTGTCAGGCTCTGCTCTATGTTAGTATCTGTGGACCTCTCTCTAAGAAGGTGGTATTTAATGGTGCCTTGAAAAGCAGGTAGGATTTTAATAGGCAGCACACGAAAAAGCACTTAAGGAAGAAGGAGCTACAGAAGCTGAAGCACGGAAGGCTGGGTACCAGGTGCTGGATAGTTCAATATGGCTGGAGTTTACACCTGTCCAGGGGAAGAACAAAAGGTGATGTTACTAAAAAGCTGAGAAATCTGTACTTTACTTCAATAACAGAAGATGAAGAGTCTGGATGTGGTGGCTCATGCCTGTAATCCCAGCACTTTGGGAGGCTGAGGCAGGTGGACCACCTGAGGTCAGGAGTTCAAGACCAGCCTGGCCAACATGGTGAAACCCTGTATCTACTAAAAACACAAAAATTAGGCATGGTTGTGCGTGCCTGTAATCCCAGCTACTTGGGAGGCTGAGGCAGGAGCATCACTTGAACCCAGAAGGCGGTGGCTGCAGTGAGCCAAGATCATGCCATTGCACTCCAGCCTGGGTGACAGAGTGAGACTCTGTCTCAGGGAAGGCAGGGGAGGGGAGGGGAGGGGAAGGGAATCAGAAACACAGGTATAGAACTGACTGAAGGCCAGGCGTGGTGGCTCACGCCTGTAATCCCAAGCACTTTGGGAGGCTAAGGCAGGTGGATCACCTGGAGTCAGGAGTTTAAGACCAGCATGACCAACATGGTGAAACCCTGTCTCTACCAAAAATACAAAAATTAGCCAGGCACGTAGTGGCAGGCTCCTGTAATTCTAGCTACCTGGGAGGCTGAGGCAGAAGAACTGCTTGAACCCAGGAGGTGGAGGGTGCAGTGAACCGAGATCGTGCCACTGCACTCCAGCCTGGGCGACAGAGCAAAACTCCATTTCAAAAAGGAAAAAAAAAGAAAAAAAAAACTGACTAAAGAGGCTAAAACTAGACATAGGGAGACCAGTTATAATTCTTGAAATATCTATACCCATCAACACTTTGAAATTACAGTGCTTGTTAGACCTGCTGCCTGATCTTGCTATTTACGGCATTAGTAAAGAAGCACATATAAAGACTTCTTAATTTTTCAAAAGTGGTATTTCAGCATAACTGATTCCCTTTGTAATCTCACATTTTATTTTATTCATTTAAAATATTAATCTGAAAAGGAGCCACAAGTTTCACCAACTGCCTAAAGGATTCACGTCATTAAAAAAAAAAAAAAAAGATGAGAACTCTTGTTATAAGGGCAATTTATAGATTCAGTGGAAATGGCAGAGACAGGAAACTAGTACAGAAGTTTGTATTCAAGAGAAAAAAAACGTCAGTTTGGGATCGTAAAGGATGTGCATCAAATAACTTTAAAAACATTTGAATGTTAAAGTTAATTTTATTTATCAAATAATCACCTACATTATGTTAAGCACTGTGGATAAAGCAGTAAAAATATAAAGCTCTCTGCCCTCATAAACTATGAGAGGAGATAGACATAGAGGCTGGGTGCAGTGGCTCATGCCTGTAATCCCAGCACTTTGGGAGGCTGCGGCGGGTGGATCACCTGAGGTCAGGAGTTTGAGACCTGCCTGATCAATATGGTGAAACTCCATCTCTACTGAAAATACAAAAATTAGTTGGGCGTGGTGCCGTGCCATCTGTAGTCCCAGCTACTCGGGAGGCTGAGACAGGAGAATCGCTTGAACCCGGGAGGCAGAGGTTGCAGTGAGCTGAGATCGCGCCACTGCACTCCAGCCTGGGTGACAGAGGGAGACTCCATCACAAAAAAAAAATAAGAGAGAGAGACATAGGTATTAATAAACATATTTGTCATAAACATGACTACATTATAAATTATGATAATTGCTAAGGAAAATGCAAGTTATATAATTAATGTTATTAAGGATAACTAGAAAACTTAGTTTAAATTAGAAGCTTACGGAAGACTCTTCTTCTCTAAAGAAATTAGGGAAGGCATTTAAACAGAGAACTGAAGGATAAGCCGGAATTAGCCAGGTTGCTGGGTGGCAAAGGCAGCAAGTATTCTACAAGCAGGGAGAGGGTAGACCAGAAGTAGACCAGAAGTAGACCAGAAGCCCTAAGAAGACCACTGTGGCTACAGTGTACCAGAGAGAGCGTGGCTCACGATGAGGCAGAAGAAATGCGCAGTGACCCAGCAGTTATGCTAAGGATTTATCTTTTAAGTGTCCTTTCACTTTAAACTGGGGAATAAAAGTATCCAACTTATATTTTGTAAATGATCTTACCAAATAAGAGAAAAACTGAACTGTAAAAAGGAAAAAGTGGCTGGGGGCAGTGGCTCATGCCTGTAATCCCAGTGCTTTAGGAGGCCAAGGCAGGTGGACTGCTTGAACCCAGAAGTTCGAGATCAGGTTGGGTAACATAGTGAGATCCTGTCTCTATTTTAAAAAAAGAAAATAAAAATAAAAAAAGGAAAAAGTTAAAAAAAAAAAAAAAGGAAACCGTTCCAAGCACTGCCATAATACCAGCAAGAGGTGACTGACAGTGGCGTGGACTAAGCAACAAGGATGTAATTGGCATGTTAAGCAGGTCAGTTCAGTGTTCAGTGTGAAACCATACCACCCACTGCAGGACATCTAGCAACCCAGACCCAAGGTCACTATCAATCCAGCAGCACTCTCAAGTCAGTAAAATAATAATTTAAAAAAAAAAAAAAAACACCCACCACATCTCTGAAGGGAGTAGTAAAGTCCTTGGAATGCGTAAGAGCAGTGACAGTGGAAATGGAAAGAGACAGCCAAGACTGAAAGGGAAAGGCTGCTGAGTGGGATCCACGAATGAGATGGTGAGCAGAGCAGGCCAGATAAGATCATCAAGGTCAAAAATGAATTGTGCAGAGAGGAGAAAAAATTTGCAATATGTAGGACTTGTATTTAGCATACATAAAGAACTCTTAAAACTTCAAAACAAGACTACAAACAACCCAATATTACAAATAGGCAAAAGAATAAACACTTCCTTTGTGACAACAAATATGAAAATATGACTGATGAGTCATAAAGGAAATGTAAATTAAAACCAAATACCCATTAGAATAGCTAAAATAACTGACCAATACCAAGTGTTGGTGAGGATGCAGCAAAGTTGAAACTCTCATATACAGATGTCTGTAGGAGCTTTATTCCTAACAGCCCTAAACTGTGTACGACCCAAATGTTAATTAACAAGCAAAGGGTAAACAAACTGTGGTACATCCATACAACAGGACAGTACTCAGCAATAAAAGGAATTACTACTAATCCATGCAACAAGGACAAATCTGAAAAACACTATGCTAAATGAAAGAAGCCAAACACAAAGAGAACAAACTTTTAAATCCCATTTATATGAGATTCTAGAAAAGCTGAAGCTAATCTATAGTGATAGGAAGCCGTGGCTGGGTGCAGTGGCTCACACCTGTAATCCTATGACTTTGGGAGGCTGAGGTGGGTGGATGACGAGGTCAGGAGTTTGAGACCAGCTTGGCCAACAAGGTGAAACCCCATCTCTAGTAAAAATACAAAAATTAGCTGGGCGTGGTGGTGTGCACCTGTAATCCCAGCTAGTCAGGAGGCTGAGGCAGGAGAATCGGTTGAACCTGAGAGACAGGAGGTTGCAATGAGCCGAGATCGCGCCATTGCACTCCAGCCTGGGTGACAGAGCTGGACTCTGTCTCAAAAACAAAAGGAAAGAAAGCCGTGCTTGCCTGAGGCACAAACTGACTGCAAAGGTACCCAAGAAAGCTTTTTGAAGTGATGTAAATATTCTGTATCTTTATTGTGGTGGCAGTTACACAACTACATACATTTGTCAAGATTTCACTGAACAGTACACATAAAAAGATACATTTTATTGCATATAAATTATATCTCAAAAGGTGATTTTTTAAAAATTTAGCTGTGCTACAAAATTAAGGGGTTGATTCTCTTTCATGGTTCATAAGCTCATATTCAAGGAAATTCCAAGGGAAATGTTCCAAACAGGTTTTAAGTAATGACAGTATCATTAGAATAAATGCCCAGCCTTCCACAATCATTTCAAAGGCTTTGACATAAAATTTCTAATATTTTTAGGTTTTCTTCCCATCCTCTTCATCCCCTGTCATTATAGTCATGTCTCATAGCAGAGGCTCAATATTTGTGGATAATATATCCACCTTATTTAGACAAACGTTATTATCATGCACAAGCACCATATACTGTAGCAACTAAAATGCTACCTAACAACTGTGAATGGGTTATTTTTAGGGAAAGCTATTAAGCTGTTCTCTAAGCCACCCATTTTGGTGAACTTTAATTATCTGAACACGAAACTACAGCACTCTGTTTCACAGATAAAAATTATCTTGTCTTCAGATGCTAAGTAAGTTAGACTGAGCCAAACTCATGTTCCAAAAATAAATAGGTAGATAATACTAATGATTGCTTTAAAAGAAAATGTATTCCTTACTTTAGCTTGGTTCTCTGACAATTCACTAACCAAGAAAAACAGTGCAAAGGTTTTTTTTTTTCAGATGCTGCAAACCATTAAGTGAACTATTAAAAGCTAGCCTAAGGTTATTTAAGCAATAAAACCAGTAATAGCAAATGCTTAGCATTTATTCATAATTTTTTATTATTTTAAGAGCCAATGTTCCAATGTACTATAGGTACCATGGCTTAAAATCTAGTCATTAACAAGTATGCAACTTCTCTAGAAAAGGTGCTCTGGAGAGCCCAGAGCTTGAACAAGTTTTGTTGGTTACATATGCATTTGTCAATTTCTTCAGTAATAAAACAGACTAAAAGACCCAGAAAAGGTTTCAATTCTGGTCCTATCCCTCACTAGCTGAGAGACACTGGCTGAATTACTTAGTATCTCTGAGTAATCACTTGCTTGGCTAGAAAATGAGGAAAGCCCGGGGATTGTGAAGATTAGAAAAAGCAGATGCAGCCTAAAAGATAGTAGGCCTTCAAAAAAAAGTTGTATGGTCTTTTAAAAATTATTTTACTTGGCCGGGCGCGGTGGCTCACGCCTGTAATACCAGCACTTTAGGAGGCCGAGGCAGGAGGATCACGAGGTCAGGAGATCGAGACCATCCTGGCTGACACGGTGAAGCCCCGTCTCTACTAAAAATACAAAAAATTAGCTGGGCATGGTGGCAGGCGCCTGTGGTCCCAGCTATTTGGGAGGCTGAGGCAGGAGAATGGCATGAACCCGGGAGGTGGAGGTTGCAGTGAGCTGAGATTACGCTACTGAACTCCAGCCTGGGCGACAGAGCGAGACTCCGTCTCAAAAAAAAAAAAAATTATTTTACTTATTATTATTCATTACATTTATCATGTGATACCCTAAAAAGGAAGTAACATCAGAAAAGAACACTGGGCTTCAAATCAGGAGGTCTGAGTTTTAGTCCTAACTCAGCTATGCCCTACATATATGCTTTGATAATGCTGGCCAAGTTACAAAAAGAAGATTCCATTATTTCATGTTCAGGCTACATCCAAACATAAGCAGCACAAAATAAAAAATATGGATAAAGAGACACACTCAGTTATACAGGTGTATGCGCAGACACTGACATAGATGAAGACTTGTAGTGACTTATATTCAGAAAAGTTTCCACAAATTTTTGGTGAACTGTGGTACCCAAATTATTAAAGTATGAAAAACATTTCTCTCTTCATGAATGGGAAAAATGTCTATTTTACTTGATCTAAGATATACTACCAGGATTTAGTACTGCGACTATCCATCATCTTAAAAATCCATAACCAAGCAGCTCTGTTTTACTTAAAGCATGCTAGGGTAGCCCAAAGTGAGACTTGGTAACAGATACTATCTAATGCAAAGCAGTTACTGCTTAGAAGTGTTCTGAACTTGCCATGAGAAAGAAAGGGAGACCCTGATGAAATAGATGGAGTATCCACTTCTTGATCATTTCCCTACATTTCCTTTCTCCTCATTTATTTCCTCCCACTTTCACTGGAAAAGAACTTTACAATGGTCTGGGTGAGGCTAGCTGGCAGTGAGTTATGACAACAGCTAGAAGTAGTATCAACACAAACCAAGAGCATTAAGTGACCCCTGAGGTAGAGTGAGAAAATAAGGAAGGACTACATTTAATCATAATGATCATAGTCACTAGCACAGTGCTAAGAACTTAAGAAAAATCCTTATATATTATCTTCACCACAACCCTATGAAACATAACCCCTACTTTATAGATGAAGAAACTGAGGCAGAGTGGAGGGTCAACTAACGTGTCCATGATTACATACCTAGTAGTTAACAGAACTGAGATTCAAATCCAGGTGTGCTGACCCCCAAAACCCATGTTCTGAACCATGACACTTTATATAGGCCAACAGTCCTTGGCCACAGGCTCTTGTGGTGATCAACCAAGTTCAGGTTCATCATTGAGCCAGATTCAGACAGGTCAACTGAAAAGAAGCTGAAGAAGGCAGGCAGTAAGGACAAGAAAAATAATCATAATGATCATGATATAGAAAATGTACTGCTTCCCAAAGTAGCCTATCCATTTGGAAGGTTCTGGCTATTTAGATCTATTTCCTCAGGATAAGTCAAAACCTGTCTTTCCTGAAATAAGGTGAGTATGTGCTGTAAATGAGGTGTGGGAGTATGGGAGAGCAGGCTGGAAGGCAGAAGATGTGAAGGCAAACCAGGCACAGGGAAGGTGAGAAAGGGACCCGAACGGGGACAAGTTAAAAGAAAACATTGAAGACTCAGCAGAAAGAATCCAGAGATGTTTAGTGCTGCCAATCATGACAATTAAGTGACTTTCTCCAGTATGTATCAGCAGTCTGAGCAAGATCAGACAAAATAAACAGTAGGGTTCCTATAGAGTGGGAGTGGAGAGATCAGGAGAACTGAGAATCTGGTCAGAGTGGGGAGGTCAGCAGACAGAATCCAGAGCGAGGCCAGAGAGGACCAGCACACCGGGAAAACACAAAGGTGAGGGTCTCAAGCCAGGGGTCGTCAGGGAGAGAGGGCAGGATAGGGAGCCATGGTCTAGAAAAGAGGATGATCTACTTTGTCATGGTGACCCTGGCATGCTTTTGTAAGCTGTACCCCAACGAGTCAAGTCAAAGGAAGAGAGGCTCAGATGACCACCTCCGTCACTGAAATGTAAGAGTGAAGAAATGCAAATATTTTCTGAACTGCCTCACTTTTGGAAATATTAAACACCTGTCTCAGAAATCTGGAAAATGACTAAGATGGGGAAAATGTTTAAACTTGCAGTATCCAGTATTATTATCTAAACTGAAAAGAACTGCCTGCACAACTAAGCAGGTGGTGAGATGTTACATAACAGATGCTAAACTAGGTAAAGTGGAAAAATGTAATACATAATTATAACTTTAAAATGCCAGTAAGAAAATCTTCAGTCAGCTCTGGAAAACTAATTTTACTTCTTTTCATGAAAAAGTTGCAGTTAGTTTCTTTTGCAACCTGTCATGATAGAAGAGGAATTGCAGAAGGAAAGGAAGACCCTAAACAAAACTGATAATCATTCATCTGTATGTGTTTTAAAACATATGCAGGTAGTTTTCATATATGGCTGGTGGGAATGCAAACTGTACAACTCTTCTGGAGGGGAACTGGGCAATACCTAACAAAATTATATATGTGTACATCTTTTAACCCAGCAATCCTACTTCTAAGAATCTACTCTGAAGGTACACCTCCAATGATATGAAAAAACATATGTACAAGATTATCCACAGTAGCACTATTTGTAATTGCAAAATACTGGAAACAATCTAAATGCCCACACATTGGAGGAGACTGAAGACACTATGTTATATCCACATGGAGTACTATGCAGCAGTAAAAATGAATGAAAATCATTCTAAGATGTCTAAGAACAGACACAGAATGAATTCCAAGATATATTGTTAAGTGAAAAAACCAAAGTACAAGATTTAGACTATGCTATCCTTCATATAAGAAATGGGCAATAAGAACATATACATATATCTGCTTATTTGTACAAAAGAAATACAGGAAGGATAAACCAGAAACTAAAGAGATCAGCTACCTACAGGGGATAGGTGGGAAAGGGATAAAACGAAATGGGAATGGATGGTAGGGATAAGGAAGGAGTGATATTTCTCTGAGTATATCTTTGTGTATAGATGACTCAAAACCAGAGTAATGTAGCGCATACCAAAAAAATTAAAGAACCCAGAATACAAACAGTAACAAGTGAATCTAACTGCGTTACAAAGGAATAACATAACCACACTGAAGGGCATGAGGAAGAAACTTTGAAAACCTATTTTGACTGGATATTGTAAAGCTAAAGGCATAAAGAACTGTAACACAAATGCTGCTACCTAGTAAGTAAATTTGTTTCTCACAAAGATGTGAGTTAGCAATTCTGACACTAATTCATGTAGACAGTGGTACTGACTGAAAAAGTAAGTTTAAAAAAATGAAGGATAATGACAGCCAGGTTGGCAAAATAATTACAAATAAGAGGGAAGGCTAAAATAAACCACACAGTGTTGGATTAGAATGAGATATCAGTATGAACTCATAATTTCTAACATATACACAGACATACACAGAAATAAACATAGATACATGTGTAATATGTAGCTGAGTATACATAAGCCTATTTTCCTAGTTCTGTCTGCTGAGAAGACTTAGAAGCAGTGACACCCAGTAGCAATGAGCACACTTAAAAGCATATTGACAGCCAGGCTGTAATCCCACTTTGGGAGGCCGAGGTGGGTGGATCATTTGAGGTCAGGAGTTTGAGAACAGCCTGGCCAACATGGTGAAACTCCTCTTTTACTAAATAAATTCCTTTACTAAATAAAAAAATTAGCCAGGCGTGGTGGCGGGCATCTGTAATCCTAGCTACTCAGGAGGCTGAGGTTCAAGAATCACTTGAACCCGGGAGGTGGAGGTTCCAGTGAGCCAAGATTGCACCATTGCACTCCAGCCTGGGCAACAAGAGCGAAACTCCATTTCAAAAAAAAAAAAAAAAAATACAAAAGCATATTGAAAGGGCCTAGAGGCCAACCTGAAAGAGCAAACTAAAGTTGAAATTGTAACAATCTGAGCAACAAAATAAATCACAGTATTAGACTAAATCCATAGAATAAAACACATATCCATGCATCCACACCTATATAAATAAGTGAATAAATGAGAGGGAGGATAGTTCTTCCTTACAGATGCACTCCAATTAATACAGAAGGAATGAAGGAAATTGGGGAAAAAAATCAGAATTAGGCAAAAACCACAATAATAAGTTTCAGACAAGACCCATGGATGGATGCTAAAATCAGTGAGTAAAATTGATCACAGTCTCAGAGTACATCCCCTAAGATGTCTACGATAATAGTCGTAAAAGGATAAACAGGCAGATACCACCACCTTAACCAAATGATTAACATCTAAGACACAGCAACATCATGAATTCTCAGATATGATGTGCTGAGAAGAGCACAACACACTTAAAAATGCATAATCTCATTCTAATCATGAAAAAACTCAGACAAGTCCAGGTGCAGCGGCTCACGCCTGTAATCCCAGTGCTTTGGGAGGCTGAGGCGGATGGATCACCTGAGGTCAGGAGACCAGCCTGGCCAACATGATGAAACCCCATCTCTATTAAAAATACAAAAAACTAGCTGGGCACGATGGCAAGCGCCTGTAATCCCAGTTATTTGGGAGGCTGAGGCAGGAGAATCGCTTGAACCTGGGAGACAGAGGTTGCAGTGAGCCAAGATTGCGCCACTGCACTCCAGCATGGGCAACAGGGGCAAAACTCCATCTCAAGCAAACAAACAAACAAACAAAAACAAAAAAATCAGACGAGCCAAATGCAGTGGCTCACACCTGTAATCCCAGCTATTTGGGAGGCTAAGGCAGGAGGACTGCTTTAGCCCAGGAGTTTGAGGAAGACCCTGTCTCGAAACAACAAAAAAAACCCTAAGAATAACTGTCCTAGACTGTGTGTATATGTGTGTATGAATTGGGATTTTATTTTGTAAAGGACCCCAGGTGATTCTAAAGTTCAACTAAGATGGAGAGTCACTGCACCAACCCTTTTCTTCTCAGCTCACTTTGTCCTGGGCCCATATCTCATGGTTTTGGGTCTACTGTGGAAGTACCTTCTCTACAGAACAAAGACAAAGCAATAGAACCCAAATTCTTCCAATTCCCTTTGGGATCTATTCCCTTCTTCTCCTGCCTACCAGTATGAACTTCTATGGGATTATGCTGATGAGAAAAAATAAATTACATTTAAGTGACTGATACCAAAAACTGGAATTACTTCACAGATGAGAAACCTGGTCCCAGATACAGTGCACCTTCTGGACCTCAGTATCTTCAATTTTAAAATCATTGTTTTGAATCTGATTTCTAATTGTTAAGCTGAAGTGTTTCTTTAAATTTTTAAGTTGGTTAAAATGTGTGTGTGTGTGTGTGTGTGTGTGTGTGTGTGAAAGAACCTGCTCCCTCATCCTCAACAGCCTCATCAATCTCCACCCATTACCCATTTTTATTAGTTGCTTATCTTTCCATTATTTCCTCATGCAAACACAAATACATATTAATTTATTTACACGTATTAGAGTAAAGTGATTTCTAAATCTGAAGAGGCATCAGACTCATCCAGGGAGCTTTTTAAACAAGTGGACACTTAGTTTCTATTTTATACCTATTGACTGAACAAAACCCCTGGAGAGTGGAGCCCAGAACTTTGACAAAGTTCTCTCAGGCAGTTTTCTGTGACAGACACCTCTCAGGGTACTTACCCCAGCCCACATCACCTTTACCCAATAGGGATCTGTCCCCTTTTGTCTGTGCTGTTGAGAGTATTGCTCCTGGCCACAGCTGATGAGGTACTACCCAGCCCAGACAAGAATCCATTCTAAGGTAGAGCTGGGCCAACTAGCTCCTCTTCTCAGACAGCCTGGAGCTGGAGCACAGAGACTCCAAGGGGCCAGGCTGGCTGGCAGAAGAGTATCTGGTTGCATAACTGGGAATGCTGGGATGGGCCACATGCACCCAGACTTCATTCTGCAGAGAGGAGCCAAGTAGTAGACAGATCTGGACTGCAGAAACAAGGCCTGCTGCTCCACAGAGAATGACAGAGGCACTGCCTTGGTTCTCAGTGACTTCCCAATTCTTCAATCTAGTCCTCCATTCCTCAGGTCTTCAGTAGGTTTTCTGGAGTGAGTGAAGGCAGCAGGAGTTTCAGCAGTCGTCCTGCAGATCATCTGTTACTCTGAATATGCAGTGGGTGAGTGTTGTGGGCGTGGCTGTTATCTGGGGGCAGGTTGAAAAGCTGCAACACTGCCACTGACTCTGGCAGTTATTTCTCTGTCTAGGTCTTTGCTTGTGTTTGGAACAGATGTATTTACTGCTCAAGAGTGCAAATGAGGAGACAATATGGGAAGAAAAGAAAAGAAATTTCAGAAATAAGATTTCCACTGTAACTTGAGAAATAAAAAATTTGAGTAATTTCACAAGAACTCATAATTCTGCTTAACTAGTATTCCGTAGGATGACAGTGGCAATGTGGCAGCTTTTCAACCTGCCCCCAGATAGCAGCCATGCCCACAACACTAACCCACGATACATTCAGAGTAACAGATGATCTCCAGGACGAATGTTCAAACTTGTGCCGTCTTCGCTCACTCCCGAAAACCTACTTAAGTGATAGAGTATATTTGAAGAAATAACCTTCAAACTATTCAACTTTTATTTTGGGTCAAGATACAAAGCCTTGGTCTTGGAAGTCCTGAAACCTGAATTCAAGTTCTTGTATTGTATCACAGCTCTGTGCTTGTAACCTCGGGCAATTATCTTAACCTCACTGAACCTCAGTATCTTCCTCTGTAAAATGTAAAGAATACTTATCTCACATATAAGGTTACTTGGATGAACAGGTACGTGAACTTGTTTCATAAATTCAATACAAACAGTGTCACTGCCATCTAGATTTTTATCACTTTCATCTCCAATCTCACTTTTTTCATTATTTTAATATAATTTTAAATAATTACCTTTTTTTTTGAGATGGAGTCCTGCTCTGTCACCCAGGCTGGAATGCAGTGGCGCAACCTCGGGTCACTGCAACCTCCGCCTCCCAGGTTCAAGCAATTCTCCTGTCTCAGCCACCCAAGTAGCTGGGATTACAGGCACCCCGCAATTTTTTTGTATTTTTAGTAGAGACAGGGTTTCACCATGTTGGGCAGGCTGGTCTGGAACTCCTCGCCTCAAGTGATCTGCCTGCCTTGGCCACCCAAAGTGCTGGGATTACAGGTGTGAGCCACCGCACCTGGCCCTTAAATAATTAAATTTAATAATCATTATCATTCTTATTCTTTTTGTTGATAACTGTAAACTCTGCATTAGTTTTCCTTATATTTCTTTTCCTTTTTTTTTTTGGAGACAGAATCTCGCCTTGGCTAGAGTGCAGTGGTGCAATCTTGGCTAACTGCAACCTCTGCCTCCCGGGTTCAAGTGATTTTCCCCCCTCAGCCTCCTGAGTAGCTGGGATTACAGGTGCCCGCCACCACACTCAGCTAATTTTTATATTTTTCAGTAGCGACAGAGTGGTCAGGCTGGTCTCGAACCCCTGTCCTCAGGTGATCCACCTGCTTTGGCCTCCCAAAATGCTGGGATTACAGGCGTGAGCCACCAGGCCTGCCCAGTTTTCCTTATATTTCATTAGGCATAAAAATTATGAAGCTGGGTGCGGTGGCTCACACCTGTAATCCCAGCACTTTGGGAGGCCGAGGCGGGTGGATCACCTGAGGTCAGGAGTTCGAGACCCGCCTGACCAACATGGCAAAACCCCACCTCTACTAAAAATACAAAATTAGCCAGGCATGGTGCTGCATGCCTTTAATCCCAGTTACTTGGGAGGCTGAGGCAGGAGAATCACTTGAACCAGGGAGGCAGAGGCTGCAGTGAGCCAAGATCGCGCTACTGCACTCCAGCCTGGGCGACAGAGCGAGACTCTGTCTCAAAACAAAACAACAACAAAAACAAAAAACAAAAAACTCTATCTATCTATCTATCTATCTATCTATCTATCTATCTATCTGCATGCTAATTTTTAGAACATGATAACTACATAGGACTTTAAAATAGTTAAAAGTCCTACCATAGAGTCGAGGTGACTTAGCCAGTCACCCAAAAACAGAGCTAGGATTAACCCTTATTCATTCTTCTGAATTCTATGTTCTTTCCATTATACAAGAATGTGCCCAGAAAATCCTACACAACAGAACTCTGGGAAGAGCTAAGCTGAGAAATGGTACAGAATGCTGCCTTCAAAACCCAAGAAAATAAACACATTATAAACAAAGAACAAAGATAAGACTCAACTGCAAGGAACACAGCAAGCAAATTTTAAAGGGCAGCCCAGGAAGGAGCTGAGAGTGTTAAGTACAAACCATCAAGGCTCAAGAGAAAAGGAGATGGCTTCACAGAATCAAAAACCCACAAGAAGTCAGGCATGATGGCTCGCACCTGTAATCCCAGCATTTGGGGAAGCTGACGCAGATGGATGGCTTGCCCCTACCAGTTTCAGACCAGCCTGGGCAACACAGAAAGCAGTCTCCATCAACACGAAACATTTTAAAAATTAGCTGGGTGTGATGGCTCCTGCCTGTAGTCCCAGCTACTCGAGAGGCTGAACTGAGGGAGGAAGGGACCCAGAATCACCCAGCTATGATCACTGCAGTCTAGCCTGTGCAACAGAGACCCTGTCTCTAAAACTAACTAAAGAAATAAATAGCAGGAAGAAGTAAAAAGAAAGATCTAGGATGCAGGAAGAGAATGAGAAGACACATACCCGGACCCAGCCAAAAAAATAAAAATCAACAATGATTACTCTCGAAATTGATGTTATGAAATCAATGCCAAACAGTAATACATAAATAAATAAATCCTGATACAAAATAGTAAAATGCATGCAGAAATGTAAGCAAACAAGAGTGCAAAAGAATACCTGCACACTCAGAGTCAAGTAGGGCTGGTTCTACATTGTTAAAGGACACAGAGGCTGGCTGCTACACGCTGGGGGAGGGAAGAAATGGAGAGTGACTGCTCATGGGAATGGGGTTGCTTTTTGAGGTAATAAAATGTTCTGGGATTAGACAGTGGTGGTGGTTCCAAAACTTTGTGAATATATACTGAAAACAACTAAATTATATTCTTTTTAAAGGTGAAGTTTTTCTTTTCTCTGGTAGGTAAATTATGTCCAAAAAAAAAAAAAAAAAAAGCATGGTCCCTTCAAACAAAAATCCCTTTTCTCAGATCATTATTTCAGGAGCTAACACTTAAAAGAGAGATCCCTTCACTCTGGAAAGCTGACAGTAATCAAAACAGGGCATGAAAGCCTGGAGCAGGGAGACAGATCAGCTCTGGGAGTTGGGATGGGGAAGAAGAGAGAAATGGCATCTTGATGATACTTTTTATCCTGGCCAACCCACTTCACCAGCGAAAAGCTGATAAGCACTCAAGACAGAGGCCCTACACTAAAGAATTTAAAAGTATACAGGCCGGGTGTAGCAATTTGTACCTGTAATCCCAGCACTTTGGGAGGCTGAGGCAGGCAGATCACTTGAGGTCAGGAGTTCGAGACCAGGCTGGCCAACACAGAAAAACCCAGTCTCTACTAAAAATACAAAAATTAGCCAGGTGTGGTGGTACATGCCTGTAGTCCCAGCTACCTGGGAGGCTGAGGCAGGATAATCACTTGAACCCAGGAGGCGGAGGTTGCAGTGAGCCAAGATTGTGCCACCACACTCCAGCCTGGGCGACAGAGTGAGACTCAAACAAACAAACAAACAAAAACAAAAACAGAACTTAAAAGTATACATCTGGGGGGAGAAAAAAAATGTAGGGGTGGACGTGGTGGCTCATGCCTGTAATCCCAGCACTTTGGGAAGCTGACGCTGTGGATCCCTTGAGCCCAGAAGTTCGAGATCAGCCCTGGGCAATATGGAGAAACCCAGTGTCTACAAAAAATACAAAAAAATTATCTGTAGCCGGGTGTGGTGGCACGCGTCCGTAATCCCAGCTACTCAGGAGGCTGAGGCAGGAGAATCGCTTGAATCCAGGAGGCAAGAGGTTGCAGTGCGCCGAGATCGCGCCACTGCACTCCTGCCTGGACGACAGAGCGAGACTCCGTCTCAAAAAAAAAAATTATCTGGGGTGATGGTGTGCGCCTGTGGTCCCAGCCACTTGGGGGGCTGAGGTGGTAGAATCACCTGAGCCCAGGAGATCGAGGCTGCAGTGAGCCATGATCATGCCATTGCACTCTAGCCTGGGCAACAAAGTGAGGCTGTCTCTAAAAAGTTAAAAATAAATTAAAACTAAAATGAGGGCCAGGTGTGGTAGCTCACGCCTGCAATCCCAGCACTCTGGGAGGCCAAGGTGGGAGGATCGCTTGAGTCCAGGAGTTCGAGACCAGCCTTGGCAACATAGTGAGACCCTGTCTCTTGAAAATAAAATAAAAAATTTAAAAATTTTTAAAAACTGAAAAAATGAAGCAATATAAATGCCCAACAAATGGGGGCAACAGTTATATAAATAACCTGTTTTTAATAAAATTTAACATTATGTTGATGTTACATGTTGGAGTCAGATACATAGAAAAAGGAAAAAATAGGACACAATAGTATGGGATAATCATTACGTAGGTTTAAAAAAACAAAAGAATCCTTGCTGAGAACAGGTCTGGCAGAGCAAAGTGAGCTTTAGCCTGAAGTGGGAGGGAGAAAGTAAAACAGTGGGCAGGGCTCTGGAGGAAAGAAGGATGGTAGTGCTTCAAAGGGAAGCAGAAGTTTTGGCTTTGTTTTATTTTTAGGACAGAAGAGTGATCAGCCCCTAGGAATTTGGATGAGATCATCCAGAGAGTGTGTATGGGACACAGAGGGCCCAAGAACTAAGAACAAAGAGTCAAAGACTTGGGAAAACCAGAGGTGTCTCAGCAAAGTAGTAGATGTAACTTTTTAAAAAGGAAATGGCTTATAACATCAAGTGCTCCAGAAAAAATCAAAATCTTTTGATTTTCCAGGGAGAATGGCAAAAAAAGGGGAAAAAGAATCTTTGGTGAGGAAGGCCTTCAGGAAAAAGCAACCAGTCCAGAAAGATCAAAATCAAGAAAGACTGTACATAGAGTGTGCACACCATCAGTTCAGAGTGCAAGAGTGGGGGTAGGGGGCTAAAGTCTGGCTCTCGTGGGCAGAAGAGGTGGGCACAGAAAGCAGAGCAAGCAGCACGAACCATTCCCGAGAGAGCCTGACTATGAAGGGGAGAGAACAAATGGCACTTGTCTCACAGACTCTGGGGCAGTGCCCAGGAAATTAAATTTAGGACTATATATCAATTTAAAAGTACTGGATAGAGTAACGAAAGTGATGTTTTCAGTAAGTGTTGTACAGCAGAAGGCTTGTTTTTGTTGATTTTAAAAATCTTTCATGGGAGATTGGAGAGATGCTGGTAAAAAAAAATACAGCATTAAAATAAAATCTTTCACTATAAAACTAGCTAGTACGGCCAGGAGTGGTGACTCACACCTGTAATCCCAGCACTTTGGGAGGCTGAGGCGGGGTGGATCACCTGAGGTGAGGAGTTCAAGACCAGCCTGGCCAACATCGTGAAACCCCATCTCTACTAAAAATACAAAAATTAGCCAGGCCGTGGTGGTTCATGCCTGTAATTCCAGCTACTTGGGAGGCGGAGACAGAATTGCTTGAACCCGGGAGGCGGAGGTTGCAGTGAGCTGAGATCGCACCACTGCACTCCAGCCCGGGCGACAGAGCAAGACTCGGTCTCAAAAAAATAAAATAATTAATTTTTTAAAATGCTAGTGTAACTTCAGAAAACTTAGAATATGATTTTAAATAAAAATAATAACTAAACTAAAAAAGCAAATCCTGTATAAGCCCTTAGTTACTTGGGAAGTCATTTAAAAGTTAAGCCCATATCATCTCAAATTCCAAAACTTATTGCAAGGTAAATAATCAAAAGGGTGGTGCTGGCACAAAGAAAAAAGATATAGATTGATGGGACAGAAATGAAAATCTAGAAATAAACCCATCTATGGTCAACTGATTTTTGACAAGGGTGCCAACACCACTCAGTGGGGAAAGGAAAAGACTATCCTTTCCCTTCAACAAATGATGCTGGTACAACTAGACAGCCATGTGCAAATGAATAAAGCTGGATCCTTACACTTCACAATATACAATGGCTCAAACACTTAAATGTAAGAGCTAGAACAATAAAACTCTACAAAGAAACATAGGGATAAATCTTCAGGGTAAACCCTGAAAATCTGGCAATGGATTCTTACATATATGACATGACAGGCATAAACAACAAAAGAAAAAAATAGATAAATTGGACTTGACCAAAATTTAACAACTTTGTGCTTCAAAGGACACTAGAAAGAAAATGAAAAGACAACTCACAGAATGAGAGAAAAATATTTGCATATCATGTATTTGATAAGGAATCTGTATCTAGAATGTATAAAGAACTTTTAAAACTCAATCACAGGAGCTGGGTGTGGTGGCTCATGCCTGTAATCTCAGCACTTTGTGAGGCTGAAGTGGGAGGATCACCTGAAGTCAGGAGTTTGAGACCAGCCTGGCCAACGTGGTGAAACCTCATCTCTACTAAAAATACAAAAATTAGCTGGGCGTGGTGGTGGGTGCCTGTAATCACGGCTACTCGCGAGGCTGAGGCAGGATAATCGCCTGAACCTGGGAAGCAGAGGTTGCGGTGAGCTGAGATCGCACCACTGCACTCCAGCCTGGGCAACAGAGTGAGAGTGTGTCTCAAAAACAAAAACAAAACAAACAAAAAAACTCAATAATAGGCCAGGCATGGTGGCTCATGCCTGTAATCCTAGCACTTTGAGAGACTGAGATGGGAGGACTGCTTGAGCCCAGGAATTTGAGACCAGTGTGGGCAACATGGCAAGTCCCTGTCTCTACAAAAAATTAAAAATTAGCCAGATATGGTGGTGCATGCCTGTGATCCCAGCTACTTGGGAGGCTAATGCAGGAGGACTGCTTGAGCCCAGGAGTTCAAGGCTGCAACGAGCCGTGATCACACCACTGCACTGCAGCCTGGATGACAGAGTGAGACCCTGTCTCTAACAAAACATAATTAAAAGATCAATACTTCAATTTATGTTCAAGTGGTTAAACACAGAATTACCATATGACCTGGCAAATGAAAACCATGACCACATAGAAACTTGTACACAAATGTTCGTAGCAGCATTATTCATAATAATCAAAAGGTGGAAACAAACCAAAGCTCCATCAACTGATAGACAAGCAAAAGGTGGTGTATCCACACAATGGAATATTATTCAGCCATAAAAATGGAATGAAGTACTGATAAATGCTACAACATGGATGAACCTTGAAACATGCTAAGTGAAAGAAGCCACACATGTGATGCCATTTATACAAAATGTCCAGATAGGCAAATCTATACAGATAGAAATTAGATTGGTAGTTACTTTACACTGAAAAAGAAGGGGAGAGAGAGAGAGAGAGTAAATAGCTAAAGGATACAGGATTGGTTTCTTTCTTTCTTTTTTGACACAGGGTCTCGCTTTGTTGGCCAGGATAGAGTGCAGTCGCGTGGTCACAGGTTACTATAGCCTTGACCTAGGCTCAAGCAATTCTCCTGCCTCACCCTCCCAAGTAGCTGGAACCTCAGGGCCATGCCACAATTCCTGGCTAACTTTTAAATTTTTTGTAGAAACAAGGTTTCACTATTTTACCCAGGCTGGTCTCAAACTCCTAGGCTCAAGTGATACTCCTGCCTATACCTACCAAAGTGCTGAAATTACAGGTGTGAGCCACTGTATCCAGTCAAGGGTTTCTTGTTGAGGTGATTATTCTAAAAATTGACTTTGATGGTTATTAAACATATCTGTGTATATATTTTAAAAAGCTACCCTGGGAGGCCAAGGTGGGCAGATCACGAGGTCAAGATCGAGACCATCCTGGCCAACATGGTGAGACCCTGTCTCTACTAAAAACACAAGAATTAGCTGGGTGTGGTGGCGGGAGTCTGTGATCCCAGCTACTCAGGAGGCTGAGGCAGGAGAATTGCTTGAACCCGGGAGGCTGAGGCTGTGGTGAGCTGAGATCACGCCACTGCACTCCAGCCTGGCGAAAAAGTGAGACTCCATCTCAAGAAAAAACAAAACAAAACAAAAAAACACGCTGAATTGTACACTTTAAACGGGTGAAATGTTTGTAAATTATCTCTCTCTCTCTTTTTTTTTTTTTTGAGACAGAGTCTCTTTCTGTCACCCAGGCTGGAGTGCAGTGGCGCGATCTTGGCTCACTGCAGCCTCTGCCTCCTGGGTTCACGCAATTCTCCTGCCTCAGCCTCCCGAGTAGCTGGGATTACAGGCACACACCACCATGCCCGGCTAATTTTTTTTTTGTATTTTCAGTAGAGACGGGGTTTCACTATGTTGGCCAGACTGGTCTTGAACTCTTGACCTCGTGATCCGCCTGCCTCAGCCTCCCAAAGTGCTGGGATTACAGGCTTGAGCCACCGTGCCCAGCCATAAATTATATCTCAATAAAGCCTTGGTTCTTTTGAAGTTAAGTCCCTGGGGCAAGAAATATACTAGATGAACTTAGAACATATTGTAGTGCCAGGAAGTATGGAGCTAAACATTTTTTTACATGTAAATAATTAAGGTATGTCAAAGGGACACAGAAGCCAACTGAAAGAGCTCCCAATGCCCAAAGCTGGAAAAACATAAGCACCAAAATCGAAGTGCCATTGGGATTGTAACCCAAAATGTAAAATTAATATTCACAAGTCCATAGTGATATATACAAATGGGGAGAAGAGACAATCTCCCAAATAGAAGAATACCAAATAATTTATGTTGATACTACACCATCAAGGAGGTGGAAGATAACTCCCTACTCCTTCAGTGTGGGATACACTTAATGACTTGCTTCCATTGAGTATATTACGCAAAAAGGAGAAAACAGTGAGACACCTGGCAAACACTTTAGCCAGGTGATCAAGGTCAACAACAAGAGTGTTCTGTTGACAGTATATGCCCTTGATGTGATGTGATGAGAATGGCACTATCTTTGTGGTCTTCCTCCCCTCCAAACCCACAACCCCACTTTAATCATGCGAAGAACATTAAGCAAAGCTGGGCATGGTGGACTGTGCCTGTAATCCCTGCTACTTGGGAGACTGAGGCAAGAAGATCACTTGAACATAGGAGCTTGAGGCTGCAGTGAGCTATGATTATGCCACTATACTCCACCCTGGGCGACAGAGTAACACCCTGTCTCTAAAATAAAATTTTTAAATAAAATAAAAAATTTATTTTAAAAAAGTTAAGCCCTTTTTAGTATTTAAATATATTGCTAACAAGTAAAAAAAAATGCATGAATAATGATATGGTTTAAAATTTTTTTTTTTGAGATGGAGTCTTGCTCTGTTGCCCAGGCTGGCGTGCAATGGTGCGATCTCAGCTCACTGCAACCTCCGCCTCCAGGGTTCAAGCAATTCTCCTCCCTCAGCCTCCTGAGTAGCTGGGACTACAGGCATGTGCCGCCACGCCCAGCTAATTTTTGTATTTTTAGTAGAGATGGGGTTTCACCATGTTGGCCAGGATGGTCTCAATCTCTTGACCTCGTGATCCACCTGCCTCGGCCTCCCAAAGTGCTAGAATGATAGGCGTGAGCCACTGCGCCCAGCCGGTTTTAAAATTTTGACTGTTGGCCAGGTGTGGTGGCTCATGCCTATAATCCCAGCACTTTGGGAGACCGAGGTGGGTGGATCGCTTGAGTCCAGGAGTATCAGAGCAGCCTGGGCAACATGGTGAAACCTCGTCTCTACAAAAATTACAAAAATTAGCTGGCTGTGGCACACGTCTGTAGTCCCAGCTACTAAGGAGGCTGAGGTGGGAGAATCACTTGAACCTGTGAGGCAGAGGTTGCAGTGAGCCAAGATCGCGCCACTGTACTCCAGCCTGGGTGACAGAGTAAGACCCTGTCTCAAAAAAATAAAATAAAATTTTTACTGTTTTCAAAGACTGATTAGTGGTCTGGAAAATGATTATACTACTGTGTTGGATCAAAGATTCAGAATACCAAATGATATGATGTATATAAAATGTAATCCCAATTTTACTAGGAAAAAAATGTGCCAGGATGTTGACAGCAGATATCCCTGGGTAGCAGCATTACAGGTGAATGCTTTTTGCATAAATGTGCCTTTCTGTGTTTTCCAAATTTTCTCTAAAGAAAAAAAACTGAGATGATTATCAAACTATATTATTTGGGGATTACAAATTGTAGCAAGTTCAGGAGAAGCACAGATTCATTAGCCCTTGGAACAAAGCTGTTTCAGAATTCAGTATTTTTCAGATTTTAGAAAGGTAATACAGTGCATACATATGTGCATACATCCCTGGCGAGGTCTGGTGTGTACCAAGGAATCCAGCACTGATATTTCTGCAGCAAACATACAAATAATCACACTAGATGGGAAAAATACAGACTATGAATAGTCTCGTGGCAGTCCACGTCAGGTTTTGCCCCAAATGAGCTTACAAAAGATACCCAGAAAGGTCTGAAACCCTGAGCTGCAAATAAAGCACTGTGGACCTGTGGAAGGATCCTGAATGAGGAATGAGTTTCAACCGTTAGAACCAATTCCAGTGGCGACGAGCCCCTCCCTATAGTTTTGCTGAAGTAAGAACACTTTTATTTGTGGTGTGAGGGGTACAGACCATATTTAGAGATGAGAAGACATCAGAGGCAGAAGAAGGGGTAAAGAGAACTCACTTCTTCAGCAAAGGGTAAGGCTGAGCTCTCCTGTCAGAGAGGAGAGTGCAGGGGTCACCAGACAGCACTCTGAGGATCACTATATCTCAACCAAGCCCATCAAGTTTGTACTTCTGATATGTCTGATAATTTACTTGAGTTATGTCATTTAACAGGTCGGCCAAGCCTTGGAGATCTAGTCAGAATGCCTGCATGCATATTTTTAAAATTTAGATGTATACATACTTATAATGGAGAGTAAAGATTCAAAACCCAAAGAATTACTAGGATATTTTTAAAGAACAGGTGAGATTTATTAGGAATAGACATAGTGATCAAATGGTTATAGAAGACAGGAACACAACATTAAGCTCCAGTGTACTTATCCCCTTTATAATGTTGATACTTATGATACAGTATGTAAATAAAATATTACCTACCCTTACATTGTAGCAATAGGCTTACCTTTTAACATGGCTTTGCTACAACCAACAAGGTGGTGTCCACTCTAGGTAGTCCACATTCAGTTTCCAACCATCCCATTAAAATCCCTTCGTCTGTTTTGTGTTGCCATAACAGAATACCACAGACTGGGTAATTTATAGGAAAAGAAATGTATTTCTTATAGTTCCGTAAGCTGGGAAGTCCAAGGTCAAGAGGCCTGCATCTGGCAGAGGCCTTCTTGCTGTATCACCCCATGGCAGAAGGGCAAGCAAAGGCAGGAGCGTAAGAGACAGAGAGGGCCCAACTCACTTTTAGACCAACCCACTCTGTGATAATGACCTAAATCCATTCATGAGGGCAGAACCCCCATAGCCAAATCAGGTCTTTTTTTTTTTTTTCTTTTTTTCTCAGATGGAGTCTCACTCTGTCACCCAGGCTGGAGTGCAGTGGCGCGATCTCAGCTCACTGCAACCTCTGCCTCCTGGGCAGTGTGTTGGCAAGGTTGTGGAGAAACTGGAATCCTTTTGCCCTGTTGGTGGGAATGTGAAAAGGTGCAGCCACTTTGGAAACAGTATGGGAGGCTGAGTTGTGAGGATCACTTGAACTCAGGAGTTTGTGGTTCCTCAAAATTAAACACAGAATTACCATATGATCCAGTAGTGCCCTTCTGGGTTCCTACCCAAAAGAATCGAAAGCAGGGTCCCAAAGAGATAGTTGTACACTTATATTCATAGCAGCCTTATTCACAAGAGGCAAAAGCAACCCAAGTGTTCATCAACAGATGAGTGGTGTGTGTATTTACAATGGAGTATATTGTTCCACCTTAAAAAGGAAATTGTGACACATGCTACAACATGGATGAGCCTTAAGGCCATTATAGTAAGTAAAATAAGCCAATCATAAAAAGACAAACACTGTATGATTCCACTTACATGAGGTACCTAGAGCAGTCAGACTTCATAGAGACAGAAAGTAGAATGGTGGCTGCCAGGGGCTTGGAAGAAGGAAAAATGGAGAGTTATTTAATTGCTATAGAGTTTCAGCATTGCATGATGTAAACAGCCCTGGAGGCCAGGCACGGTGGCTCACGCCTGTAATCCCAGCACTTTGGGAGGCCAAGGCGGGTGGATCACGAGGCCAGCAGATGGAGACCATCCTAGCTAACAGGGTGAAATCCCGTCTCTACTAAAAACACAAAAAATTAGCCAGGCGTGGTGGCGGGCGCCTGTAGTCCCCGCTACTCAGGAGGCTGAGGCAGGAGAATGGCGTGCACCTGGGAGGCTGAGATTGCACCACGGCACTCCAGCCTGGGCGACAGAGCAAGACTCCGTCTCAAAAAAAAAAAAAAAAAAAAGAGCTCTGGAAATTGGTTGCACAATGTGAATCTACTTAATGCTACAGAACAGTACACCTAAAAATAGTTAAGATGGTAATTTTTTTTTTTTTTTTGAGATGGAGTTTTGCTCTTGTTACCCAGGCTGGAGTGCAATGGTGCAATCTTGGCTCACCGCAACCTCTGCCAGCCAGGTTCAAGTGATTCTCCTGGCTCAGCCTCCTGAGTAGCTGGGATTACAGGCATGCACCACCACGCCCGGCTAATTTTGTATTTTCAGTAGGGACAGGGTTTCTCCATGTTGGTCAGGCTGGTCTCGAACTCCCGACCTCAGGTGATCCGCCCGCCTCGGCCTCCCAAAGTGCTGGGATTACAGGCGTGAGCACCTGGCCAAGATGGTAAATTTTGTTATGTGTATATTACCATAATTTTTTAAAAAGGCTCCATGAAATTATCTATGTACATAGGTATCTAGCCTATATCCCACAGTCATTCACTCCAATACTTTATTCTCTACCCCATTCTGGGATGCATAAAGATTGCTCTTAGGATTACATAGTGATTTAGTTAATACAGTCATTTCAACACTCAAAAGACATGATCCTTGTTTCACCAGAGTAAAATGAGACTCTGAGAAGTTACAGGACATGCTCTAAGTCACCCAGCCATAAGTGTCAGAGCTGAATTTTCAAATGCAGTTACTAATTTGATAAATGAGATATGTTACCTTGCTGTTCTTAAAAAGGCTTGTAACTTCAGTGAGGAACTTATTCCTGTCTTCATTCATGTATTCAACTAATATAGAGAAATGAATGGGAAAGTGAAGAGAAGATGAAGACTATTACGGAGATGGCACAGGGTTAGCCAGCCTTATTTGTGTTATGCAGATGGGGAAACAGACCTAGGCAGGAATCTGCCTGATTCAACAAATATTTACTGAGTACCTACTATGTGCAATGTGTATACTAGGTGCTGGGGATACAGCAGAGAACAAAGTCCCCACTCTCAATGAAAGGGGCCAGTCTTTTTATTCATCTTTAGTTAATTTTAAGCACACAACAGCTATCTCAAACTTTCTTCACACTTTCCAAGCCCCTGATCCCTTATGTACTCTTGGCAGATGCCCCACCTTATCTCTTACCAGAACCTAAGGCCAACTAGCATAAAATCCCTTGAGCACACTTAGATTGGCATGCTTTTACTGTGACATCTGTTCCTACAGCACCCTTACTTTCTTCTCTTGAGCTGAGGGTGAAGATCTCTTTCTTTCCCATCTGTAATCTCACAATATGCACAACTACACCAGAGACAATGGAGGCACAATACAGGCCAGAGGTCTGTTCCTCATTCCTTCTGCGGGGCCTTCCTCCAGTGAATATCTCTTCTAACATTGTCAATCATATCCAACAGAAAAAGAGATCTCTCCATTGGTACAAAAACCTACAGCTCCTAAGAAGATTTTGACTCTCACTGCTCAACTTCTCAAATAAAAATTCCTCCACTTTAGTTCTAATTATCACTCAAATGCTGTTAGACCTGTGGGCAGGTCACTATATCCCTGCCTAGGTCTGTTTCCCCATCTGCGTAACAGAGAAATAATTGTGCTTTATCTGTCCTACAGAAGTGTGAAGAGGTTTGATGTGACAGCAGTGAAAGCAATTTAAAAAGTACAAAGTGCTGTATAAAAGAAGACGTTTTCATAATTATTCTGTTTTCACATGCTATCTTTATTCCAATGATCTCAAAGTACCTACCCAAGCACAGTTCTAACTCTAGTATATGTAAGCAAACGTGCAAGTCTGTCACCTTCCACACAAAGAGTCCCCCCACCCCCGCCAAACACACCACTCCCTCTCCCTCTCCTTCTCCCTCTCCCTCTCTCCTTCTCCCGCTTTCCACGGTCTCCCTCTGTTGCCGAAGCTGGACCGTACCGCCGTGATCTCCGCTCGCTGCAACCTTCCTGCCTGTTTCTCCTGCCTCAGCCTGCCGAGTGCCTGGGATTGCAGGCGCGCGCCGCCACGCCTGACTGGTTTTTGTATTTTTTGGAGACGGGGTTTCGCCATGTTGGATCGGCTGGTCTCCAGCTCCTAACCGCGAGTGATCTGCCTGCCTCGGCTTCCCGAGGTGCCGGGATTGCAGACGGAGTCTCGCTCACTCAGTGCTCAATGTTGCCCAGGCTGGAGTGCAGTGGCGTGATCTTGGCTCGCTACAACCTCCACCTCCCAGCCACCTGCCTTGGCCTCCTAAAGTGCCGAGATTGCAGCCTCTGCCTGGCTGCCACCCCGTCTGGGAAGTGAGGAGCGTCTCTGCCTGGCCGCCCATTGTCTGGGATGTGAAGAGCCCCTCTGCCTGGCCGCCCAGTCTGGGAAGTGAGGAGCGTCTCTGCCCAGCCGCCCATCGTCTGGGATGTGGGGAGCGCCTCTGCCCCGCCGCCCCGTCTGGGATGTGAGGAGCGCCTCTACCCGGCCGCGACCCCGTCTGGGAACTGAGGAGCGTCTCTGCCCGGCCGCCACCCCATCTGGGAGGTGAGGAGCGTCTCTGCCCAGCCGCCCCGTCTGAGAAGTAAGGAGCCCCTCCGCCCGGCAGCCGCCCCGTCTGGGAAGTGAGGAGCGTCTCCGCCCGGCAGCCAGCCCGTCTGGGAGGTGGGGGGCAGCCCCCGCCCGGCCAGCCGCCCCGTCCAGGAGGTGGGGGGCACCCCCCGCCCGGCAGCTGCCCCGTCGGTGGGGGGCGCCTCCGCCCGGCCGCCCCGTCTGGGAAGTGAGGAGCCCCTCTGCCGGGCCGCCACCCCGTCTGGGAGGTGTGCCCGGCAGCTCATTGAGAGCGGGCCATGATGACAATGGCGGTTTTGTCGAATAGAGGGGGGAAATGTGGGGAGAGGAGAGAGATCAGATTGTTACTGTGTCTGTGTGGAGGGAGGTGGACATGGGAGACTCCATTTTGTTCTGTACTGGGAAAAATTCTTCCGCCTTGGGATGCTGTTGATCTATGACCTTACCCCCAACCCCGTGCTCTCTGAAACATGTGCTGTGTCCACTCAGGGTTAAATGGATTAAGGGCAGTACAAGATGTGCTTTGTTAAACAGATGCTTGAAGGCAGCATGCTAGTTAAGAGTCATCACCACTCCCTAATCTCAAGTACCCAGGGACACGAACACTGAGGAAGGCCGCAGGGTCCTCCTCTGCCTAGGAAAACCAGAGACCTTTGTTCACATGTTTATCTACTGACCTTCCCTCCACTATTGTCCTATGACCCTGCCAAATCCCCCTCTCCGAGAAACACCCAAGAATGATCAATAAATACTAAAAAAAAAAAAAAAAAAAAAGGAATATTTTCACGTGCAAATGAAAAAGCCCTAAACAAATCTTAAAATATATAAAGTGGTTCAAAAAATGTTTATTGTTATTATTTTAATAGAGGCCTATACATGGAGCATTTATTTGGGAAAGTTTTAAATGAATGTTTTCCCCTGTTTTGGTTGTTATCAATCTACACTTTACCAATTTTCAATAATGATCATGCCTAATTAATTCAAATTAAAAGGTGTGTAATACAAAAAAAAAAAAAAAACTGCAACCAACCCTCGAATCAGCTCAATCTCTCACTGAATTATGGTTATCTGTCACCACTGTATCTGCCTATCAGTGATTAGGGAGAGCTCTCTCTGGAGAAAAATGTCACCTAGAGCATCAACAATTTTCATACACAGTATCCAGCATTCACTTGAACGTTACCAAGCATACAAGGAAACAGAAACGAGAAAAAAGAGACAACATATCCACATATCCACAGTGACCCAGTTACTAGTTACTGAAGATGATCTTTAAAATAGCTGTAATTCGGCCGGGCGCAGTGGCTCACGCCTGTAATCCCAGCACTTTGGGAGGCCGAGGCTGAGGTCAGGAGTTCGAGACCAGCCTAGCCAACATGGTGAAATCCCGTCTCTAAAAATACAAAAATTAGCTGGGCGTGGTGGGGCGTGCCTGTAATCCCAGCTACTTGGGAGGCTGAGGCAGGAGAATCACTTGAACCTAGGAAGCAGAGGTTGCAGTGAGCCTAGGGTGTGGTGGGGCGTGCCTGTAATCCCAGCTACTTGGGAGGCTGAGGCAGGAGAATCACTTGAACCTAGGAAGCAGAGATTGCACCATTGCACTCCAGCCTGGGCGACAAATTGCGACTGTATCAAAAAAAAAAAAAAAAAAAGAGGTAACTCTTGGAAAGGAGAAAATATCTGCAGCACATGAATCTAAAAAAAGACTCATCAAAATCTACAAAGAACTCCTATAATTTAATGAAACAAAAATCTCCACAGAAAAATTTGCAAAATAACCCTTAAATACTTCACGAGATAGCCGAATGTCATAAACATACAAAAAAGAGTTAACCACCAAAAAAGAGCTAAAATATCAGAGAAATGCAAACAAAACCCACAATGCATACCACTTCATACCCACTAGAGAGGCTAAAAATGATACCAAGTGTTGTTGAGAATATGCACTGGTCTGAACTCTAATACACTGCTAATGGAAATATTTTACCACTTTGGAAAACAGTTTGGCACATCTACTAAAATGGAATCTATGCACAGACTGACACAGTCATTCTGCTACTAAATATATACCCAGCAGGACAATGTGGCTCACGTCTATAATCAGCCCAGGCTGGTCTTGAACTCCTGAGCTCAAAGTGATCCTCTCACCTTGGCTTCCTAAAGTGTTGGGATTACAGGCATGAGCCACCACATCTGGCCACTTTTCTTTATGTATATTATACATCAATAAAAGTAAAGAATAAAAAGGGAGAAGAGTCTGAAAAGAACAATTATCACAAAATTAAGGAACGTACTCAACTCTTAAAGATTTGAGAAGGCGTTTCTAAGGTACTAGCAATGTTCCATTTTGCAATCTGCACAGTGATGACAAGTATTTAACTTATTCTGTAAACAGTACCTTTTTTTTTTTTTTTTTTGAGACAGAGTCTTGCTCTGTCGCCCAGGATAGAGCACAGTGGCGCGATCTCAGCTCACGGCAGCCTCTGCCTCCTGGGGTGACGTGATTCTCATGCCTCAGCCTCTGGAGTAGCTAGGATTACAGGCAGGCGCCACCACGCCCAGCTAATTTTTGTATTTTTAGTAGAGACAAGATTTTGCCATGTTGGCCAGGCTGGTCTTGAACTCCTGACCTCAAGTGATCTGCCCGCCTTGGCCTTCCAAAGTGCTAGGATTACAGGCATGAGCCACTGTGCCCAGCCACAAACAGTACTTATATCTTACCTATGTTTAAATGGATATTCAAAATAAGATTAAAAGAGGTAAGAAAATACAATACTCTAGTAAATGTAAAAATAAGTGAGAAGAATAAATGCCAAGAGAAATATAATTACCAAGAAGAAATTCAAAGTAGGAACAGTCGTATAACCATTTTTAAAATAATTTTGAATCAGCTTAACATGTTTTCAACAAAAAACCAAACACATACCAAAACCAAAAAACCACCCAGGTCCAGACTTGTACAGGCAAGTTCTACCAAACTTTGAAGGAATCATTCTAATTTTACAGAAATAAAAACAGAAGAATAGGAAAAGAAACACTTGCCAATTCATTTTGTAAGGGTAGTCTAATTTTCATACCAAACCACATGAGAAAAACCCTATTATTTATTAACAAGCCAAATCCAGCAATATATAATAATAATACATCATGACCAAGTTGGGTTTAATCCCAGGAATGCAAAATTGATTCAATATTAGAAAATCTATTAGGGTAACATGAAACTTAAAGAAAAAAAACAAGAAAATTTCTATACATGCAATTAAAAAGCATCTGTAGAAATTCAATCATTCAGGATTCTTTTTTTCTTTAAGTTTAAAAAAACTTGACAAAGAAAGCTTTATGAAGCCAGGTGCTGTGGCATGTGCCTGTAATCCCAGCCATTCAGGAGGGTAAAGTGGGATGATCACTTGAGCCCAGGAGTTTGAGACCAGTCTGAGCAACATAGCAAGACCCTGTTTCCGGGGAGGGGGTGGGTGGGAAGTAAGCCTTATGAAAAACCAGTAGCCCCTATCACTCAATAAAAGCTTTCCTTTTAACATCAGAACAAGTCAGGGATGCCCTCTGTATCACCACTGCTCTTCAACTTTGTAATGGAGAGTCCGGCCAGCACAGTTAAGACAAGATAAAATATATCTAAGTCATGAAAAGAAACAAAATATCATGATTTTCAGATGATATGTTTGTCCTTAAAAAATTTAAAGAGGGATTACTGGAATAAGAGTTTGTTGGACAATCTTTTTATTCCAGTAATTCATCAGTTTACAAAAGTCAAATGCATTTCTATAAACCATCTACAGATATCTCTTAGAATATAGCCGGGCATGGTGGTGGGCGCCTGTAATCCCAGCTACTAGGGAGGCTGAGGCAGGAGAATGGCGTGAACCCAGGAGGCGGAGCTTGCAATGAGCTGAGATCGCCACTGCACTCCAGCCTGGGCCACAGAGCGAGACTCTGTCTCAAAAAAAAAAAAAAAAAAAAAAGATATCACTTAGAATAGCAACAACAAACATAAAGTATCAAGGAATCAATTAAACACATGATGTGCAATAATAATAACACAAAACTTTACTGGGAAAACAACTTAGGAAAACAATGTGGAATACCCGGTGAATGTACATATGCCCTACCATCCAGCAATTCCACTACTGGGGAATCTGTCTAAAGATCTGTGAAACTCTTGTGTATCAGGAGAAATGTGCAAGGTTACTTGCAGGAACACTGTAATAACAACAAACCTAATGTCCATTAATACTAGAATGGATAAATTGTGGTATATTTATACAATGGTATATAAAGCAGTGAAAACAAGTAACTATACTATACTCAAAAACATAATGATGAATGAAAAAAGCTAGTTGAAGAATACACACAGTATGATTTCACTTATATGAAATTCAAAACCAGGAAATACTAAGTACTGTATTGTTTAATAGAAAGATAATAGTCCAGCCCGGGTGCGGCGGCTCAAGCCTGTAATCCCAGCACTTTGGGAGGCTGAGGCGGGCGGATCACCTGAGGTCAGGAGTTCGAGACCAGCCTGACCAACATGGAGAAACCCCATCTCTACTAAAAATACAAAACTACCTGGGCGTAGTGGCACATGCCTGTAATTCCAGCTACTTGGGAGGCTGAGGCAGGAGAATCGCTTGAATCTGGGAGGTGGAGGTTGCAGTGAGTCAAGATTGCACCATTGCACTCCAGCCTGGGCAACAAGAGCAAAACTTCATCTCAAAAAAACAAAAAAAAAAACAACAGAAAAACAAGAAAAAAACAAGAATAAACACATCGAGCCGTGATCATGCCACTGCACTCAAGCCTGAGTGAGAGAGTGACACCCTGTCTCAAAGAAAACAAAAGACAAAAATACATAACAGGCTGGGCTCAGTGGCTCACACCTATAATCCCAGGATTTTGGGAGGTAGAGGTGGGTGGATCACTTGAGGTCAGGAGTTAGAGACCACCCTGGCCAAGGTGATGAAACCCTGTCTCTACTAAAAATACAAAAATTAGCCAGATGTGGTAGCGCACACCTGTAATCCCAGCTACTTGGGAGGCTGAGGCTGGAGAACTGCTTGAACCCGGGAGGTGGAGGTTGGATTCAAGTGACAGCGCCACTGCAGTCCAGCCTGGGCGACAGTGAGACTTTGTATCAAAACAACAAAACACATAACAGTCATTAATTACCACACATAAAGGTGCTTAATGGATAATAAGTGCTCAAGGAAATGGCAGTCATGGTGGTGGTTGCAGAGAACAACTGGAGGGGATTAAGAGTGGTGGTAGAAACCAAGCAGAAACCAGTCTAAGAAAACCAAAAAAATACCAGGCAAATAGTTTCAAAGGAAAATTATACCATTTTAAGATAAGGTAGACTGGTGGCTGGCGCCTGTAATCCCAGCACTTTGGGAGGCCGAGGTGGGTAGATCACCTGAGGTCAGGAGTTTGAGACCAGTCTGGCCAACATAGTGAAACCCCATCTCTACTAAAAATATAAAAATTAGTTACACGTGGTGGTGTGCACCTGTAGTCCCAACTTCTTGGGAGGCTGAGGCAGGAGAATCACTTGAACCTGGGAGGAAGAGGTTGCAGTCAGCCGAGATCATGCCACTGCATTCCAGCCTGGGTGACAGAGCAAGACTCTGTGTCAAAAAAAAAAAAAAAAAGACAAAGTAGTCTTAATGCTATTTCAGAACACAGAAAAGGAAAGAAAACTTCCACACTCATTTTATGAAGCAAGTGTAATGGTAACCCCAACCTGACAAAGACTGCACAAAAGATACTACAGTTGAATACTACTTACGAATATCAACACAAAATCTCTGAATATTAGCAAACAGAATCCAATGGCACATTATAAAAAGGAATACAAATAAACAAGCACAGTTTATTCCAGGTATGAGAGATTCCATATAAGGAAATCTATTGACATGATCTTCACATTAACAATGTTAAATGTGATGAAATCATATCATCTTCACGGAGGCAGTAAAGACATCTGACAGCTGGGTGCGGTGGCTCATGCCTGTAATCCCAGCACTTTGGGAGGCCAAGGCGGGTGGATTGCCTGAGCTCAGGAGTTCACGACCAGCATGGGCAACAGGGTGAAACCCTGTCTCTACTAAAATACAAAAAATTACCTGGGGGTGGCAATACGCGCTTGTAGTCCCAGCTACTTGGGAGGCTGAGGCAGGAGAATTGCTTGAAACCAGGAGGTGGAGGTTGCAGTGAGCTGAGATGGCACCACTGCACTCCAGCCTGAGAGACAGAGCAAGACTCCATCTCAAAAAACAAACAAACAAAAAGAAACAAAAAACTAAAATAGGAAATGATGGATACTGCCTTAAGTAAACAAAATACACCTCGGTCCAAAGCCAGCATCTGACTTCATGTGAAAACATTAGAGACTTCCCTGCTAACATCACACACCACATAAGGCTAAAATATTTTCCAATTTACATTTTTAGAGGTAAGCATTAAATTCTATGATGCCAGACAAACATTTACCAGATTTTTTTTTTTGAGATAGAGTTTCACTCTTGTTGCTCAGGCTGGAGTGTAATGGCGCACAATCTCGGCTCGCCACAAGCTCCGCCTCCCAGGTTCAAGCGACTCTCCTGCCTCGGCCTCCCGAGTAGCTGGGATTACAGGCATGTGCCACCACACCCAGCTAATTTTGTATTTTTTGTAGAGACGGGGTTTCTCCATGTTGGTCAGGCTGGTCTCGAACTCCTGACCTCAGGTGATCCGCCTGCCTCGGCCTCCCAAAGTGCTGGGATTACAGGTGTGAGCCACCGCGTCTGGCCAAAATTTACCAGTTCTTGAATGCTGAATCCTGCTGGGATAACTGGAAACACTCCTAATGTTACTATAAACTCTCACACTGCCTTGTTGGCAATAATTAAATAGCTCTTTCTAGCAGTTGTGTTCAAGTGGACAGATAATCACAAATGTCTTTTCTTTCTAGCTCCCTTTGGACGAAAGAAAGAAAGAATTTACAACACGTCTAAAGATTGTCACTTTTATCATCCCTTTGAATGATAAGTGATCAGGGCTGTCCCAAAAGAATGCCTGAAAACATTACAAAATGTTATCATAAGCAGAATGGCTCACTAAGGGGATGAACATTCTGGCAAGTCTTAATCTAGCATCACTACCAACTGTTTTTTCACTGGTCTAAAACATAACATCTAATATTTTTATTTGCCTATATAGCCCTGCAGTAATAATTAACTTGTGAAAGGTCTACACTGATTTTTTTCTTTATAAAGTATTTGCTTCAACCATGGAACAGAAACAAAGTTGATTTAATGGGAAAAATGTAAATTTATTTGAGGATAGGTTCAGCACTGCTAAATTGAAAAGGGAAAGAAAATTTCAAACAAACCCCAAAAAGAAACATTTTCACATCTGTAGTGAAAAAGCTAAATAGCAGTACACTAAACTTGGTTACTGACAAAATAAATCCTTGTGGCCAAGGTGAGGCAAAGATATTACTCTCTACTTTGCTAGCCTACCTTGTGTTCAGTGAATTCAAACATTAATTGGGGCAATGTATTGTTTTTGCTTCATTTTCTTTAGCTGTGCAGTAAAGTCTTTGCTTTCATAGAAAGATTGTGCCAAGTTCTTTCTTTTTCAGAATTGCTTTTAAATCAGTTCTATTTAAGTATTTCTCTCTCTCTCAAACTTGACATTTTTCATTACACCTTTTTTTTCCAATGCCAAAATAGCAGCATTAACATTCATTCCAGTCACTAGGTAAAAACTCTCTTCAGTCAAACACACATGAATAATCTAATTCGTGAGGTAAACGACTACTGTCATACAGTATTACGAAGTTCCAACCTTACTTGCAGAGCAAAAAATAAAAAATAAAAATAGTCATTTTCCTCAAGGGTTTAATTGTGGGCTTTTAATGTTGAAGTAAATCAATTTACTAGTTTTTAACCTCAAGTTTTTCCCTATTTCATTATATCTCAATAATGATTATCCAGAGATTTCTGAGGTAAATTACATTAAAGACAGCGCTAGTAACTGGGAAACAATCCACACATGAATCTTAATATATTGCATATATGCTAATTTCATGTAATGTTCCTGAGGGCGGTGACAATATTAGAGCTGTACGAGACCCTAGAGACCATCCCAATCCCTTAACTCCACAGATGAGAAACACAAAAACTTGCAGAAGCAGAGTGACGAGCACATGCCCATGTGACATGTCATCAGAAGCAGGGACCAAGACTCAGGTCTCTTGCCTTCCAGGCCAGTCCTCTTTTGGTAGGCTAAAAGCTGCCTTTCACAGCTTCCCACAAATTTCAACACATCCTCACTCAAGTACGTTTCTGAAAGGGACTCACCGACAACTCTTTAGAGAAAAGGAACTATATCTCAAACCATAGGAAAAGTTCTATATCTAGCTTATCAAACTTTTAGTCTCTGAAGCATGTGAGAGTAAGTTTGCCAGTATTTCTTTCTCATTATCCCCCAATACTTTAGTGACTATTTCCAACAAACAAAACTAGACTATTCTCCCATACAAACAAAATGCTACCATCAAAATCGTCAACGCTCACCTGTCAGATTATGACCAAAGGCCTCTAAGTCAGAATCCCGCCCAGGCAAAATGACATGGCAGCCAACTGTGGAGCCTCGGTTGGCCTCGGATAGCTGGTCCCCCCTTCATTCACACCACATATCTGAGGACCAGATATGGAAAGCCTCTCATGCTGGAAAACTTGGCACAGTAGAAAGGCGGCCACACTTTTGCCCGTCACACAATGCACATTCACGGGGGACCTGTGCTAAACCATTCACAGACAACCTGTTTCTGGGTCAGGGTTTCGTATACAGCAGAGCAGTCAGCTATCGACACAAGGGTTTGTAACAAAAAACAAAAAACAACAAAAAAAAGGAAGGACAAACCAAAACAAAAAAGAAAATACCAAAAAAAAGAAGAGTTAAAAAAAAAAGAAGATAAAAATAAAATCATTAACACAGATACACGACTACAATCTAATTTTCAGACATTCTAGTTTTGCCAATCATGCCGATTCAGAATCATGAACCACATGGAGTTGCCATGTTTCTGCACACTTCTTTAGTGTGGAACAATTCCTCAGTGTTTTCTTGGTTCCATGATCTTGACTTAATTTTGAGGTTTACAGGCCAGTTATTTTGCAGAATATCCCTAAACTCGGGTTACCTTGATGTTGCCTCCTGAAGATTTGGATTATGCATGAAACACTTGACTGTCCCTATTCTAACTATATAAAGATGCTCCTTGACTTACTATGGACTTACATCCCAATAAACCCTTCATAAATGGAAAACCTCATAAGGTGAAATGCTTGTTTTTTTTGGGAAAGTTTCTTGCTCTGTTGCCAGGCGGGAATGCGGTGACACGACGACGGCTCACTGTAGCCTTGACCACTCAGGTTCAAGCGATCCTCAGCCCCAGGCTCCCAAGTAGCTGGGACTATAGGCACGTACCACCACACCTGGCTAATTTTTTTTTTTTTTAATTTTTAGTACCTTTAGTACAGAAAAGGCCTCACTATGTTGCCTAGATTGGTCTCAAACTCCTAAGCTCAAGGAATCCTCATGCCTCGGTCTCCCAAAGTCCTGGGATTATAGGCATGAGTCCTGCACCCAGCCTAGCTGAAAATACATTTAATACACCTAACTTACCAAACATCACAGCTTAGCTTAGCCTACCTTAAACATGTTCAGAGCACTTACATTAGCCTACAGTTGGGCAAAATCATCTAACGCAAAGCCCATTTTATAATAAAAGTGTTGAGTAACTCATATGATGTATGAAATACTATACTGAAAATGAAAAACAGAACAGTTGCGTGGGTACTCGGAAGTAAGGTTTCTACTGCATGTGTATCACTTCCATACCATTGTAAAGTCATCTGACCACCAAGCCAAATATTTGTACTTCTGCACATGCTGCTTTACATAGAGACCGAGACAAAGGGGGATTCACATCTTGTCAACCCTGTTTACTTCAAAGGAATAACAGAGCATTAACTAGGTACCAAGTGCTCAGGACTTCAAGTATACTGTTTTATTTAATACTCATGACAATCCTTTGACCCCTTACTTGTGACTGGCAAGTTACCCAACTTTTGTTTCATTTTCCTCATCTGTAAAAACCGGAGAGTGATACACACTCCCTGGAGAATGACAGGGAAAACAGTACCAAGAACTTTAACCTAACAAGTCAGAAATCAATGAGACCCCTTTTGACAATTCCCACCTTGCCCTTTAGACATTCCGAGATATGCAGCTTTATTTAATAAATGACCCCACCTTGGGCCTCAGCTGACTAGACCAGAGGCAGACACTCTCCCAGGCTGGAAAGGCCAGGTGGAGTGAGCTGTTCTGTGCAGAATGATCTCCCTAACAGTGTTTTTACACATTCTGTTCCACTTGGAATTGGATTCAGAGTGTTCTCAGCCTCTGGTCATCAAAAAACCTGAAGACACATACCTTCAGGGAGCTAGGGTCAGCTCTCCTCTGCTGAGTGCATGGGGAAGTGACAAAAGAGAAAAGAGGGGGGAAAATCCAGCTGCTGAGAGATGTAGGGTACAAGAAGCTTTTGTAACTGTAAAGAGGGAGGGAGGTAGCTACGTTGGTCTATTTTCCAGTTCCTGGTTCCAACTATACCTAAAGCTTTAACTGCACTTTCTATCCTTGCAGTAATATGACAAAGGCCCCCAGATCTTAATCATAAACTTTTCATTTTCTATAATGCAGTCTCTACAAAGTAGTGCCTAAAACATTCCAGCACTCTACCCTACCTTTTACCCAGCTAGCTCTAAGTCTTCCTTCAGGTCCCAGCTTAAACACCACTTCCTCCCGGAAACCCTTCATGACTACTCAGAATATCTTATATCATCCAGTGGCACTCCACACCTCACCATACTCAGTAAATGTTATTACTGCCCTGTTGGACTGTAAACACCAAAGAGTAAGAACAACTTTTGTTCACTACTTTGTTCCTACTGCCTAGCACATAATCCGGTACGTGTTTAATAATATTAAATGAATGAAAATCAAGAAACTGGTAGAGGTAACTAGAAGGAATGGGAAGAAATCAATACTGCTTCCTGATAAAAATTAAGTTGCTAGATGACAGATCCTTTGGAGATAAAGAAAAAACAAAAACAAAAAACAAAGTTACTTTAACTCTAATCCTTTCTAGCCTCTTCTTCAGGTCTGTCTGCAATGGCATAATCATTTTATACTTTAGGGCTAATCCATTCAGGAACCCAGGCTGTAGGAAGTACGTTTCTAGGTAACTCGGTATAACAGAGAAAAGCCTATAGTAGTTAAAAGAAAAAAGGTCACAGGATTTGGGGTCTGCATAAATCTCAATTTACATCTCAGTTCTGCAATATACTTACTGGCTGTGAACCCTGAACGAGTTACCTGACACCCAGTTCCCTTATGTGTAAAGTGCAAAATATAATACCTCAAAGACAAGGATGACGGTCAGGCGCGGTGGCTCACACCTGTAATCCCAGCACTCTGGGAGGCTGAGGCGAATGGATCACGAGGTCAGGAGTTCAAGACCAGCCTGGGCAACAGGGTGAAAGCCCATCTCTACTAAAAACTACAAAAAAAAAAAAAAACTTAGCCAGGTACAGTGGCAGGCACCTGTAATCCTAGCTACTCAGGAGGCTGAGACAGGAGAACTGCTTGAACCTGGGGGCAGAGGTTGCAGTGAGCCAAGATCGCGCCACTGCACTCCAGCCTGGGCAACAGAGTGAGACTCTGTCTCAAAAAAAAAAAAAAAAAAAAAGACAAGAATGAGAATGAAGCTTAAACCAGCAAGGCAGGCTTGCAACTAACATTAGTCAGTTGATCATGGCATATTATCCATGCAGACACCTGCTATCCAGCTCCTACTGGCCATAGGTTCAAACCCCAGGGCCTGCCTTGAGTCTGAGAATCTGGGAGGGACCTTGGAGACCATCTATCCTGTGGGTTGCCCAACATCATTTTCAAAGCAATCAAATCCTTTTTCCAAATGGGATCTTGCCCTGCTAACCCTAATAGTTACTACCTATGTGAACTGAAGATGATAATGACTAAAAGGAAATTAAGAAAAAGAAAAAAGACTAAGGGCAGAGGAAGAAGGGAAACGGGAGGGGAAGGAGGTAGATAAGAGAAGAGCAAAGAATAGAAAAAACAGGGATTAGGGGAGAGAATGCTGTATGTGAAGTTTCCCTATTTGGGGTGAGGCCTGAAGCCCCTAAGAGAGGAGGAGATTTGAAAACCACAGACAGAGCCCAGTCCTTTCATGTTATAGCAGGGGAAATAGAAACACATAAATTTTGTTCAGCTGCCTATAGCTTTCTCCTCCTGTGGTTCTGCTCAGTTTCCAGAAAGCCTGGGTAACGTCTGAATCCTCCTGGAATCTCTCTTCTTCCTTCTGGTACGGTGTGGGCCATTTCAAAGCTCAGGCAGGTGGCCTTTCCTAGAGGGAGCAGAGACAGCGCAGCTACTGGATGAGCTCCTAGGCACCTTTCAGTGTGGGAGCCTCAAGAAGTGAAAGAAAAAAAGCAAATCTAAAGGGGAGCAAAATAGCATCTCAGGATTAGGCAAGAGGGTGGGTGGAGTAGGCCGGAGGCAAGGAGCTCTAGATGTTTGTTGGGGAATGAGGTGTTTTTCAATTAATAGGTATATAAATTGTGAGCAAGGTGAGGAATAAATTACATACAGTTTTGGGGAAAAGTCAACTTGAATTTACACAAATCAGATTATGGGAATGGTGTAATGGTTATAGCTAACTACCAGGAATACATCATTAGGGATGCTATTAATATAAAAATTAATTTTGTTTTGACTTATCCTTTTACTCTAAACTCTGCTCAGAAACACTAGATTCTTCTGTTACTCATGTAAGCTGCTGTCCTTGCATCTTTGAGCTCCAAAAGTGTAGAGGAGACTTCTTGATTAAAAAAGTTAAGTAAACAATGAGCAAGCAAAATTAAGAATCTCAATATCTCTGTCTCCAGGTCTAGAGTTTTTATATATGATATATGTTATTGCTGTTCCTGCCTTTCAAACAGGTGGTACAAACACCCAGCAGAGATCCATGAAGAGAGTGCATTAACAGGAAGCAATAGGGCAAAGTTCATAGAGATGAGCTTTAGAGAAAAGCGGGACTTAAATAGAGCCTGATGTTTCTTGGGGCAGGCTGGGGTGCTGTACTATGGGCATCTTGGCAGGATGATTCTCCAGTGGAGGGAGTGTACCGTGCAATCCAGACCATTTAGCATGTCTGCCCTTGACATGCCTACTGACGGCCAATAACACCCCCTAATCAACGTGACAACACAACAAAAAGCCGCCCCCCTATACATTTCCAAATGCCTCTGTAGCAGGGAGGTAAAATCACCCCCACTGAGTACCACGAGATAAAGTAGGCACAATGCGGCCAGGTGCAATGGCTCACGCCTGTAATCCCAGCACTTTGGGAGGCCGAGGCAGGTGGATCACCTGAGGTCAGGAGTTTGAGACCAGCCTGGACAACATGGCGAAATCCTGTCTCTACTAAAAATACAAAAATTAGCCAGGCATGGTAGCACACACCTGTAATCCCAGCCACTCAGGAGGCTGAGGCAGAATTGCTTGAACCCAGGAGGCAAGGTTGCAGTGAGCCTCCAAGCAAAACTCTGTCTCAAAAAAAAAGTAAGTAAGTAGGCAAAATGGGCAGAAAGCATAAGAGATAAAGTGGGAGTGGAACTGGCAGACAGAAACAGGGCCATCCTTTAATGACTCCGTCACCCACAAGATCAAGTCCAAAGTCCTTACCAAATAATGCCCTTCAGGATTTGGCCCTGCCTACCCCCAGCTGTCTCAACTCCCACCTTCTTACTAAGGCACCCTACACTCCAGCCTTCCCAAGTAATTTGTGGTTTTCCTGACCTGATGCACTGTGTTCACGGTCTGTGCCTTTACATGCACACTTCGCTTTGCCTAGAAGGCATTTCTCAAGGCAAACTCCTACTCACACATCAACACCTAGCTCAGAAGTCTGGGAAGCCAAAGAAAGACAGCCCCAAGTCACTCAGCTCTTCTCTTCCTCTCAGCACTTCACAAACTCCTGGGTAACACTGGTATCTTCTCTGTATTATTCCCCAATTCCATCCCATTATTTGGATGAAGAGTTCAATAAACATTTTCTGAGTAAATAACTCTACATGAAAGGTTTTAAAGGCTAAAAAGTGATACAAGCAAAAGCAGACAACAGATATTTCTTGTTACTGAAATAATCTATTTTCTCAACTCTGATCTTTGGTGGAGCACTACTTAGGAACCAGAAAAACTGGGGTTGCTTCATCACTTCCTAGCTGTGTGTCATTGGGCAAGTTAACTAACCTCTGTGTGCCTCAAGTTTCTTCACTTGTGGGGTAAAAAACAAACAGAAGTTACCACTTTTGCTGTACAGTTATATGGCTTAGCATTAATGTATGTAAAATACAAAACAAGAGTGCTGAAAAAGTGGTAGTTCTACTAGTCTGCTATAATCACAATAACCTTAACAAGACAGGAGGACATTGTACCATCAGGAATGTGATCACAATGAAATTTTAGTTGAAACCATCCCCCTCTTTTTTCTTTTATTCATTCAGCTTTCCCAAGTTGAACATCCCCGCTTTAAAAAAAAAAAAAAAGAGGCCAGGCACAGTGGTTCACACTGTAATCCTAGCACTTTGGGAGGCTGAAGCAGGGGGATCACCTGAGGTCAGGAGTTTGAGACCAGCCTGGCCAACATGGCAATACCCCGTCTCTACTAAAAATAAAAAAATTAGCCGGGTGTGGTGGCACACACCTGTAATCCTAGCTACTCGGGAGGCTGAGGCAAGAGAATCACTTGAACCCAGGAGGCGGAGGTTGCAGTGAGCCGAGATTGTGCAACTGCACTCCAGCCTGGGCGACAGAACAAGACTCTGTCTCAAAAAAAAAAAGAGCTGAAAGTCAACAAATATAATGGCTTGTCAGCTGCATTCTGTTTCCCTCCTATAGTACTCAATACCAATCCCTTAATGAGTACCATCTCCCTTGGCTCCTTTGATAACGTGCACTCCCAGTTCTTTGGTCTCTCTGGCCACATTTCCTCTGTCCTCTTCCATAACTTGACCTTTATTGACACAGTAAAGGCAGGCACTCCTTTGGCTTAGTTCTCAGATGTCTTATCCACTCTTAAGGCTTCAATTAATATCTCTATGAAGATGACCCCATGAGCTCTCTTGTCGCATTCAGAAACAGCATTTCAAACTCAATTAAACCAAAATAGACACTTGCTATCTTAGTCTAAGATGACCAAGCATACTAAGAGTGTTTCAATCTCTCCTCCTCTCCCTCCTCCCCGTCTACACTGTTCCCTTATACATCTGACCAGTCATCAGTTTCCTCTTCTTTGCCAGAGTTACCTGGTTGGTCCTCTGTTCTACTTCAGTGGTTCTTAATGTTTCCAGGATAATGGACTCATTTGAAAATCTATCAAATGCTATGTATTTTTTAACCAAAAAGATAAATATAGAAAACATATAATTACAATTTCTTTTTTTTTTTTTTTTGAGACCCAGTCTTGCTCTGTCACCCAGGCTGGAGTACAGTGGCGCGATCTTGGCTCACTGCAAGCTCTGCCTCCCGGGTTCACACCATTCTCCTGCCTCAGCCTCCCCAGCAGCTGAGACTACAGGCGCACACCGCCACGGCCGGCTACTTTTTTTTTTTGTATTTTTAGTAGAGATAGGGTTTCACCATGTTAGCCAGGATGGTCTCGATCTCCTAACCTCGTGATCCGCCCACCTGGGCCTCCCAAAGTGCTGGGATTATAGGCGTGAGCCACCGCGCCTGGCCATGATTGCAATTTCACCTAACCAATGACCCAGATAAGAATCTGTGCTCATCCACTCAAGATTTTAACTACCATTTACACAAATTTTCATCTCCAGCTCCTGCTCCCCTCTTACAAATTTTAAGATGGTTTCTGGATATAGCCTGAATGGCCTACAGGCATTACAAACTTAAGTTCAAACCAGAACTATTTCCCCCTGACAAATCTGCTCTAACAGTATTCCTTTACTTGGATAATGGCACCACCATCTCCCAGGCTCCCAACCTAGAGGCCTCAGAATGAACAACCGCCCATAGCCAATCAACCAGCAAGCCTTGTTCTATCTCAGAAATCCCTCCAAATCCAAATCCCACCTCTCTTGGTCTCTTACCCTTTAAGGTCTCATAATCCTTTGATTCCACTCAGACTTGCCATGATTAAAAGTCTTTTTACCACTCTTCCCACAAGGGTCCCTGTTACTATTTCTGTCAATACAAAACTCCTCACCTCCATCTGCTACCTTCCGCTGCCACTTTATTACTGCACCTCTAGGTGGTTAGGCTTTCCTAATTTATTCCTCCACTCCGGTTCTTCTTCCTTCATTCCCACTAGTGTTGATTTGTCTTCCCAAAAAATTTCAAAATTGACCATGTATGACTGCCTCTTTCAAAAAAAGGCCGGGCACGGTGACTAAAGCCTGTAATCACAGCACTTTGGGAGGCTGAAGTCAGGGGGACCACCTGAGGTCAGGAGTTTGAGACCATCTTGGCCAACATGGCAAAACGCTGTCTCTACAAAAATACAAAAAAAAAATTAGCTGAGCATGGTGGCACGCGCCTGTAGTCCCAGCTACTCAGGAGGCTGAGGCAGGAGAATCGCTTGAACCTAGGAGGCAGAGGTTGCAGTGAGCCGAGGTCATGCCACTGCACTACAGCCTAGGCAACAAGAGTGAGACTCCACCTCAAAAAAAAAAATAAACAAATAAATAAATAAATAAGATGCTTCCTCCACTGAACAAATATACAGTCAAACTTAGTTTTGCCTTTGGAGTCCTCTACAGTTTGCCACCTAAGTACATTTCCAAGATTAGATTCCACAGCTCAAGCTGTCACTTGTTCCTATTATCTGCATATCAAAATCACACCCACTCTTAAAGGCCCAACTCAAATCCCACTCTTCATCTTTACATCCTCTACATAATCATTAGGAAAGGACTCTAAACAAAATAGTCACAATTCCTAATGAACTGATAAGGAAACAGAAGGGGGTAAATCTAAAAAATGGCTAGAAATCCATAAATCCTTTTGGAAGCATTTTTTAAAAGATCACCATTCAAATATTAGTGAATATTTCAACGAGCCCTCCATAAATCCAGCACTGTTAGCCAATATTTATTAAATGCTAATAATGTGCAATGGAGAAGGTTAACAGCAGGGTATTTCATCAACCTGATAAAAGGCTATAATCTGGATCTTGGATTCAAATTCCAATTACATTTGTATTTCACTTAGGAAACGACAATCACAAAAAGGGGACTTAGCATTTCAAATGGAGAGTCAGAAGGTCAAACAAGCCTACAGCAGTGACAGAAGTAGTTCCCACATCTAAACAACTTCAGACTAGTAAAAACCTTATCAGACAGGAGAAATCTTATCAGATGGGGGTATCTTTTCAATTGACATGTCCTAAACGTAAAATACTTTTTTCAGTCCACATTTTAGATAAGCTAATCTTGTTAAAAGGGCCAAAGGATGTGATGGGAAATTCTGAGCCTCTCATAATGAGACATGTTCACTGGCACACTTCCCAGTGAGTGCAACAGCAATGCGATGTGTGGTGGAGAAATGATGCTACTGGCAATACTTTCTCTCCATTACTTTTTAGGGCCTTATTTCTTTCAGGCTCGACCTAATTTAAATTCTGTCTTGGCTCCTAAGCCTGTGAGTTCACATTAATTTTCACAGTTGTATTCAGCATTTTGCTCCTAAACAAAGTGAAAACATTAAAGATTCAATTAAAATCTCTTTAAAAAGAATTTTAACTAATCTTTCTATCTAGCTACAATACTTGGTAAAACATACCTTCTATGGCATTTCTAAAATTATGATTGAAATTTGAATACATTTCCGAAACAGACTTATATTTACTTTATAACAGTAAGATACAGAAAATTCTGCAAGTATTAATTACACTAAGGAACGCAGAGTGTTTTCCTAAAAACAGCTGAAAAGAGCTACAGTGTGTCTAGTAGAATCTCAGTCTACAATCTTAATAACTCTAGTTCTATGACCTCAAGAATTGGCTTCACCTCGAAATACTTTCTCACCTGAAAAAAGGAATAACACCATCTTTTCCTCCCTCAATGTGGCTGCTCAAATAAAATGAAATAATATATGTAGCACAGTACCTGCCACGAAGGGTTCAATAAATTATTAGTTTACTTTCTTCAGTCAACACAAAAGACACATTCACAAGATTCAGATTTAAGGAAATCTATTTCCACAAGTCCTCACCAGCACAAAATGCTATCGCTAGTTTGCTCTAATAAAAACTACCATCAGCCGGGCGCGGTGGCTCACGCCTGTAATCCCAGCACTTTGGGAGGCCGAGGCGGGCGGATCACGAGATCAATACATCGATACCATCCTGGCCAACATGGTGAAACCCTGTCTCTACTAAAAAATACAAAAATGGGCCGGGCGTGGTGTCGCGCGCCTGTAGTCCCAGCTACTCGGGAAGCTGAGGAAGAAGAATCGCTTGAACCCAGGAGGCGGAGGTTGAAGTGAACCGAGGTCACGCCACTGCACTTCAGCCTGGAGACAGAGCGAGACCCCGTCTCGGGGGGAAAAAAAAAACCGTCACTATCATTTCACTTTTCTAAGGGACCTGAATCAAGATGAGGGAGTCTACGTGTGATTCTGCAAGAACTCCATTAAGGCTGCATACATAATGACCACTAAATCATTAACAGGAGTCCATAGCAATTGGGCTAAAACATCTGGGAGCATTTATGCTGGTAAAAGAGCTCACTTGGGGGCTAAAAAAAAAGTCAAATTAGGCCCAACTCTAAACGGATCTTTAACAAATCAAGAGAGTAATGTTAGTTTATCCTTCCTGAAACGCCAGCAGTACGATATTAAAATCCACTTAGAAGTAAAAACTTCAAGACGGAAATATGCCACCAACACTGGCGTCAGTAATCCATTTTAGAAAGCCTGCGCGGAGACCACCATTAGCACCGCTGAGGATATTTAATGAAAGCCGTTGGCTGCAAACAGAGGCGAAGAGAGAAAAACGATTATTTCGGTGTTCTGCACACACGCGGAGGCAAAACGCTTTCAGGACCTCAGCAGCCACCGCCGCCAACACCGACAAGCATCTGATGGAATTCACAGTTTTACAATCGAAAGTCCAAAAGAAGGCCATGATACTAGCAAATTGAGGGGTGGGGACCCTTCCGTTGCCTTCCCGAGGGTCCAGACTTTAAAGGCCGCGCTGCGCCCGGGGCCAAGGGTCCACTAGTACCGGCCTACGCCCCCCGCGCCACTCCCTGAGCCCCTTCCCGAGCGACCGAAGGCCCGGGAACCGCGAGCAACAACACCTAAACCTCAACCGGCCCGGGGCCGCGCCCGAGCCCTGGCGCGCGGACCGCGGTGAAGTCCGGGTTCGAGGTCGCCGCGGCGCCTGAGGCCGAGGCGCGGGCGAGGCCGAGGCTGCGTCCGCTGCGGCCCCGGGCGGTGGGGGGGCCGGGCGTGGCCGGTCGCGGACACTCACCACACCATGCCGTAGGCGCCCTCGCCGATGTACGAGAGGTTGGTGTAGCGCGGCCCCACGTCGAACACCTGCCCGCGGACCATCTCCGGGCCCGCGCCCGCCGCCGCCGCCGCCGCCATGTTGGCTGCCGGGCCGCCGCCGCCTCCGCCGCGCTGAGCTCGACGCTCGGCGGCCGCCGCTCAGCTCTTGTCGCCCCTCCCGCAGGGACTGCGCCGCCGCCGGTGCAGCCGCCGACGCTGACCGGGAGGAGGAAGGAAGACGCCGAGCGGGAGAGCTGAAGAGCCGACAGCCACTCGGACCGATTGCCTGCCTGCCTGCCAGACTGACGGGCGGGCCGGCGGGCGGGCGGAGGGAGGGGCGCGCGCCGAGGAGGGTGCCGGGGCGGGGACAAGAAGTGTGCATGCGGATTGGTTCCTCGCGGCTGGGGGCGGGGCCGCGCGGGCCGGCGGAAGCGGCGGGCTTCGGGAGGGGCACTGCGACGGCGTTGACTGAGGGGGCGCCACTAGGCGCGGTCACGTGCATTCGCGGTGCATTCGCGGGGGCGTCGGTGCGGGTCGCGTCTCTTAAGACACCCAGGGAGACAGACGTGGGGCAGAACTCATGGGCTGAAGTGAGAGATGGCTGGGGCCCAGGCGAGCGACCGAGCAGGGTCCGAACAGAGCCAGCGAGGGACCCCGGGCTGTGCTTGAGGCCCGACGACGCGCCATATCCCGGCAGCGCCGCAGCTCAGGCCTCTGCGAATCTGTGGTCCACACGCTGATAAACTTAGAGGCCTCTGCACTGGGGCAGAAACCGAAAGGCATGACCCAGACCGAGAAAGATATTTGCATACTGAGAAAGTGTGAAACACAATTGTCGAGACTAAAAGGAGACACTGAGAGGATACGCCAATCAGGTTAGTTCAGATGTTTGTTGAGCACACTCCATGTTCCTGGGGATCCACCCTTATAGAAGTTACCTTTTAGAGAGAGGAGACAGACAAATACGTGTAATGCTCAAGTTGTGATAAGTACGATGAAGAAGTACAAAGCAGAAGGGAGGGCGCGGTGTCTCACGCCTATCATCCCAGCACTTTGGGAGGCCGAGGCGGGCGGATCACTTGAGGTCAGGAGTTTGAGACCAGGTCTCTACTAAAAATACAAAAATTAAGTCCGGGCGAGGTGGCTCACGCCTGTAATCCTAGCACTTTGGGAGGCCGAGGCGGGCGGATCACGAGGTCAGGAGTTCAAGACCAGCCTGGCCAACATGGCGAAACCCTGTCTCTACTAAAAATACAAAAATTAGCCGGGCGCAGTGGTGGGCGCCTGTCATCCCAGCTACTTGGGAGGCTGAGGCAGGAGGACAAAGCAGAGAGTAAGGGATTAGGGGGTGGTGGGTCGAAACACATGAGAGATACATTTGCGTTCAGAGACAGACCGAGATTGGTACAGATAGGCAGAAATGCTGACAGAGCAGGTAATGAAATAGAAATGCAAAGATAGAGTCACTAAAACCAAAACATCGAGGTTTAGAGAAAAAGAGACACACCAGGTTAAGAAACAGTCACAAACAACAGAGGTTGAAAAAATAAAAATTAGAGTCCTGAAGCAGGTGGATACCAAGGAAAGCTAAGACAACGAGACGGACAATGACCCAGGCACTGCTTCTGAACCTTTTCCCCTGCCATGTTTGGAGGGAGAAGGAAGAGCGGCAGACCCTATATCCTCTTTGTTCAACTCTTCCAAGTTTAAAACCATCAACTCTTGACTTCTAGACATCAACAAAGATTAATTAGTCAATCTCAAAGGAGAATAAACAAAGTTTTTTGTTTGTTTGTTTGTTTAACTCTCTGGTGGAAGCTGGTGTGGTGGCTCACGCCTGTAATCCCAACTTGGGCCCAAGAATTCAAGACTAGCCTGGGCAACACAGCAATACCCTGTCTCTAAAACAGAGAAACAAACAAACAAAAAATCCTGTGGGGGAAAAAGGATGTGACACATGAGAAAAGGAATAAACTGCTCCAGCCAAAATTTACTCCTTCAAAATATATTTAGCCCATGAAGCAGGACCCAATTTTAGAAAATACCTAATTCTTGAGTTAATGGGTGCAGCACACCAGCATGGCACATGTATACATATGTAACTAACCAGCACATTGTGCACATGTACCCTAAAACTTAAAGTATAATAATAATAATAAAAAGAAAATACCTAATTCTTATTCTCAAAAGAGGACATTGCATATTTTTTTAAAAAACAGGCCAAGATAAATGGAGTACCATGAAATTAAAACCACAATAACCGGCCGGGCGCGGTGGCTCACGCCTGTAATCCCAGCACTTTGGGAGGCGGAGGAGGGCAGATTGCCCAAGCTCAGAAACTGGGGACCAGCCTGGGCAACATGGTGAAACCCCGTCTCTACTAAGATACAAAAAATTAGCTGGGCCTGCCGGTGTGCCTGTAGTCCCAGCTACTCGGGAGGCTGAGGCAGGAGAATTGCTTGAACTCGGGAGGCAGAGGTTACAGTGAGCTGAGATCGCGCCACTGCACTCCAGCCTGGGCCACAGAGTGAGACTCCGTCTCAAAAAAAAAAAAAAAAAAGAGGCCGGGTGCGGTGGCTCACGCTTGTAATCCCAGCACTTTGGGAGGCCGAGATGGGCGGATCACAAGGTCAGGAGATCGAGACCATCCTGGCTAACATGGTGAAACCTCGTCTCTACTAAAAATACAAAAAAAAAAAAAAAAAAAATTAGCCGGGCGTGGTGGCGAGTGCCTGTAGTCCCACCTACTCCGGAGGCTGAGACAGGAGAATGGCGTCAACCCGGGAGGCGGAGCTTGCAGTGAGCCGAGGTCACGCCACTGCACTCCAACCTGGGTGACAGAGCAAGACTCCGTCTCAAAAAAAAAAAAAAAAAAAGTAGACTTGATGCAGAAGAGTACATCAGCAATATAGAAGATAAACATGAGAAAATTTTCAAGAATATAGAACAAAGTGATGGAATCCTGTAAGAGAAGATAATGGGGATGGACAGCATCTAGGGATTCTAACTCTAGGCATCCCCACAGGAAGACAGAGCAAATCGGTTAGAGCGAATAATCAAAATTACAATAGGAGAAAAGTTTCCTTAGGTTGCAAAAAGGTCTGAGGTGGAGGTGGGAAATAGAGTGGGTTCACTGAGATTGAGAAAAATTAAGAAGAAACCAACAACACATAATCTGGGAAAATCATTAAGTTTCAGGGATAAAGAACAGACACTAATAGACCCAATTAGGGAAAAAAATGTTATTTATAAAAAAGCTGGCCAGCAGGCACGGTGGCTCGTGCCTGTAATCCCAGCACTTTGGGAGGCCGAGGCGGGCGGATCATGAGGTCAGGAGTTCTAGACCAGCCTGGCCAACATGGCGAAACCCCATCTCTTCTAAAAATACAAAAATTAGCTGGGTGTGGTGGTGTGTGCCTGTAATTCCAGCTTCTTGGGAGGCTGAGGCAGGAGAATTGCTTGAATCCAGGAGGTGGAGGTTGCAGTGAGCCGAGATCGTGCCACTGCACTCCAGTCTGGGCAACAGAGTGAGATTCCGTCTCCGGGGGAAAAAAAGATGGCTGGGCGAGGTGGCTCACACCTGTAATCCCAGCACTTTGGGAGGCTGAGGCGGGTGGATCACCTGAGGTCAGGAGTTCGAGACCAGCCTGGCCAACGTGGTAAAACCTTGTCTCTACTGAAAATACAAAAATTAGCCGAGCATGATGGCTGGCACCTGTAATCCTAGCTACTTGGGAGGCTAAGGCAGGAGAATCGCTTGAACCCGGAAGGCATAGGTTGCAGTGAGCCGAGATTGCACCATTGCACTCCAGTCTGGGTGATAAGAACGAGACTCCATTTAAAAAAAAAAAAAGCTAAAAACTGGCTTTATTCAGATTTTTCCTCTGCAACACTTAAAAGCCAAAGGAAAATAGAACAAGATTGACAACACTTTGAAGGGGTAGGTTTCGACCCTTCATAGATTCATAGATGGTGGCAAGAACGAGACTCCATCTCAAAAAAAAAGCTAAAAACTGGCTTTCTTCAGATTTCTCCTCTGCAACACTTAAAAGACAAAGGAAAATAGAACAAGATTGACAACACTTTGAAGGGGTAGATTTTGACCCTTCATAGATGATTTCATTCACTCCAGTGCCTTAATTCCTCCTAGATCTTTTTTTTTTTTTTTTTTTTTTGGAAAATTATATATAAAAGGAGACGGGGGCCAGGCGCGGTGGCCCACGCCCATAATTCAGCACTTTGGGAGGCCGAGGTGGGCGGATCACCTGAGGTCAGGAGTTTGAGATAAGCCTGGCCAACATGACAAAACCCTGTCTCTACTAAAAATACAGAAAAATTAGTTAGGCATGGTGGCTCATACCTGTAATCCCAGCTACTTGGGAGGCTGAGGCGGGAAGGTCTCTTGAACTCAGGAGGTGGAGGTTGCAGTGAGCAGAGATCACACCACTGCACTCTAGCCTGAGTAACAGAGTGAGACTCCATCTCAAAAAAAAAAAAAAAATAGAGAGAGACGGGGTCTCACTTGTTGCCCAGGCTGGTTTTGAACTCCTGGCCTCAAACCATTCTCCTACTTCAGCCTCCCAAGTAACTGGGACTATTGGTATGCACCTCCTTCCTCCCAGATCTTTTTTTTTTTTTTTTGAGACAGAGTCTCACTCTGTTGCCCAGGCTGGAGTGTGGTAGGGTGATCTCGGCTCACGGCAACCTCCACCTCCCAGGTTCAAGCAATTTTTCTGCCTCAGCCTCCCGAGTAGCTGGGATTACAGGCATGCACCACCACGCCCAGCTAATTTATTTTTTGTACTTTTAGTAGAGGCGGGGTTTCACCATATTGGCCAGGCTGGTCTCAAACTCCTGACCTCGTGATCTGCCCACCTCGGCCTCCCAAAGTGCTAAGAATACAGGTGTGAGCCACCGTGCCCCTCATTTCCTGGATCTTTATTGCTCAGAAGATCTCTCCTGAATTCCAGGTCAGCATGTCCACCTGCACACAGGACAGCTCCATGTGACATCCCACAGGTGTTTCAGTGCCACAAATTTAAACCACCATTGGTTAACTGCATGAGTTCTGTGCTGAGACTGTTTGAATCTTGGCTGCTCTGCTTACCAGCTGTGTGACCTTGTCCTCATTTTCCTCAGACTTAAAATGGGATCACAATAATGCCTACCTCACATAAGTCTGTTGGACAGAGTACATAAGACAACATATGTGAAGAGCCTGACACATATTATGTTATGTACCCACTAAATGTTATCTGTTACCTACCTCACCTAAACCTGTTGTTTATCTTGTATCTGTGGATAGCATCACCTTCACCCAGACACTTAAGTTGGAGAGTTCACTATAATCTTTAACAACACATTTTACCTCAAGCCTTACCCTGTACCCCATCCAATCAATTATGAACTATAAATTCTGTTTCTTTAATAGTTCAGAAATCTTTACTACCTAAAGTCTGATCTCCAGGCCAGGTGTGGTAGCTCATGTGTGTAATCCCAGCACTTTGGGAGGCTGAGGCAGGAGGATTGTTTGAGCTCAGGAGTTTGAGACTGGGCAACATAGGGAGACCCCATCTCTACATAAAATTTTACAACTAGCCAGGTGTGGCCGGGTGTGGTGGCTCACATCTATAATCCCAGCACTTTGGGAGGCCGAGGTGGCGTGGATCGCTTGAGGTCAGGAGTTCAAGACCAGCCTGGCCAACATGTTGAAACCCTGCCTGTACTAAAAATACAAAAATTAGCTGGGTATGGTGGTGGCATGCACCTGTAATTCCAGCTACTCAGGAGGCTGAGGCAGGAGAATCACTTGAACCTGAGAGGCGGAGGTTGCGGTGAGCCAAGATCATGCCATTGCACCCCAGCCTGGGTGACAAGAGCAAAACTCCATCTCAAAAAAAAAAAATACAAATACACCTGTAATCCCAGCACTTCGGGAGACCGAGACGGGCGGATCACGAGGTTAGGAGATCAAGACCATCCCGGCTAACACGGTGAAACCCCGTCTCTGCTAAAAATACAAAAAATTAGCTGGGCGTGGTGGCGGGCGCCTGTAGTCCCAGCTACTAGGGAGGCTGAGGCAGGAGAATGGCGTGAACCTGGGAGGTGGAGCTTGCAGTGAGCCGAGATAGTGCCACTGCAGTCCAGCCTGGGTGACAGAGCGAGACTCCTCAAAAAAAAAAAAAATACAAATACAAAAATTAGTCAGGCATGGTGGCAGACCCCTGTAATCCCAGCTACTTAGGAGGCTGAGGCACAAGAATTGATTGAACCCAGGAGGGGCGGAGGTTGCAATGAGCCAAGATCGTGCCACTGCACTCCAGCCTAGGCAACAGAGCAAAACTCCATCTCAAAAAAACAAACAAACAAAAAACTAGCCAGCGTAGTGGCACCCATGGCCCCAGCTACTCAGGAGGCTGAGATGGGAGGATCAGCTTAGCTGGGAGGTCGAGGTTGCAATGAACCGTGATTGCACCACTGCATTCCAGCCTTGGAGACAGAGCAAGACATCGACAAACATCAAAAAAAAGTATGTCTCGAAAAACAATAAAAGTGGTATCCAGACCAGCAGCATCAGCATTATTCACAAGTTTGTTAGAAATGCAGCATCTCAGACCCAACCTGAATAAAATCAGGATTTTAATAAGATACCCAGGTGATTGATATGCATGTTAAACTTTGAGAAGCACTGTTTTTATTTATTTTACTTTTTTTTTGAGATGAAGTTCTGCTCTGTCACCCAAGCTGGAGTGCAGTGGCACAATCTCAACTCACTACAACCTTTGCTTCCCTGGTTCAAGCAATTCTCCTGCCTCAGCCTCCTGAGTAGCTAGGATTACAGGTGCCCACCACCACACCCAGCTAATTTTTGTATTTTTGGTAGAGACAGGGTTTTGCCATGTTGGCCAGGCTGATCTTGCACTCCTGACCTGAGGTGATCCGCCCACCTCGGCCTCCCAAAGTGCTGGGATTACAGGCATGAGCCACCGTGCCTGGCTGAGAAGCACTGTTTTAAATGTCACCACTTCATCCCCGGTGCCACTCTGCTGGTTCATGTGTTGTGTCAACTCTCTAACCAAGGCTACCACAATATCCTTAATTAAGTTTTCTGCTTTCAGTGTGCCCTGGTCCAATTGTTTCTTTCTCTTTTTTTTTTTTTTTTTTTTTGAGATGGAGTCTCGCTCTGTCGCCCAGGCTAGAGTGCAGTGGCGCGATCTCGGCTCACTGCAAGCTCTGCCTCCCGGGTTCATGCCATTCTCCTGCCTCAGCCTCCCGAGTAGCTGGGACTACAGGCACCTGCCACCACGTCCGGCTAATTTTTGGTATTTTTAGTAGAGACAGGGTTTCACCGTGTTAGCCAGGATGGTCTTGATCTCCTGACCTCATGAGCCGCCCGCCTCGGCCTCCCAAAGTGCTGGGATTACAGGCAGGAGCCACCACGCCCAGCCATTTCTTTCTCCTAAACCCAGATCAATCTTTCCACAACAAATCTGACTGTCCCTCCTCCTCTTCTTCTTCTTCTTTTTTTTTTTTTTAATTTTTTAGGAGACAGGGTTTTGCTCTGTTGTCCAGGCTGGAGTGCAGTGGTATAATCATAGCTCACTGCAGCCTTGAACTCCTGGGCTGAAGCCATCCTGCTGCCATAGCCTCCCAAGTAGCCAGGACTACAGGCACGTACCACCATGCCTGGCTAATTTTTAAAAGTTTTTGTAGAGACAAGATCTCACCGTGTTACCCAGGCTGGTTTCAAACTCCTAGCCTCAAATGATCCTCCCATTTTGGCCTCCCAAAGTTCTAGGCTTACAGGCATAAGCCACCACGACTGGCTGTCCCTCCCCTTCTTTTTTTTTTTTTTTTTTTTTTTTGAGGTGGAGTCTTGTTCTGTTGCCCAAGCTAGAGTGCAGGGGCACAATCTTGGCTCACTGTAACCTCTGCCTCCCAGGTTCAAGCAATTCTCCTGCCTCAACCTCCCAAGTAGTTGGGACTTCAGGTGCATGCCGCCATGCTCAGCTAATTTTTTGTATTTTAGTAGAGACAGGTGTTGCCCAGGCTGGTCTCGCACTCCTGAGCTCAGGCAATCCACCGCCTCAGCCTCCCAAAGTACTAGGATTACAGGCGTGAGCCACTGCACCCAGCCTGTCCCTCTCCTTCTTAAGTGGCTCCCCATCACACTCAGAGTGAGAGCTTTGCTGGCTACCTCTCCACCCTAATCTCCTCTTCTCTCCCTGACCCTTGCTTTCCACGCACCAGCCATGCTAATCTACCCTCAGTACTCTCGTGTCTTTTGGTTTTAGCATGTATCAGTCTCCCTCCCTGTAACATGTTGTCTCTGCGCTATTCCAGCATTGGTGGACATTTAAAACTACCACACTGTTATGGGATGATGCGTCTGACTGTTAATTTTCTCCAGAGAGCGCCTCTTGCCTAGTTCCATGGGCACTAAGCAACCTTATGATTAGAGTTTGGGTTCACTTGTGATTTTCTGATGGGGAAAGTTCCCTGACCAGAGGACAACCCCATTTGGGTCCTATGGCAATGACTGTTCATTCTAAGATGGGGTTTAGTCTCATCGGTCTCTACTGAGTCAGGTTAGCATGAGCCAGGCCCAGAGGGAACAATCATCTAGCTCCGACAACAACAAGTTTCTGGAAACACAGTGGAGAACTAGCCTCTGGAACATGGTAAGACAATAACTAAGCTACCATCTAAGCATAAGGCCGACTACCTGAATGTCTTTCTTACTGACTCAATACGGTGGCAATAATTCACAGATCTGCAGAATCTTAGAAAACAATGGACATCTACCCAGCATTGACTCCTCCTTCTGGTAGCAGCAACCTAGATTTTTTTTTTTTTGAGATGGAGTCTTGCTCTTGTCATCCACGCTGGAGTGCAATGGCACAATCTTGGCTCACTGCAACCTCCGCCTCCGGGGTTCAAGTGATTCTCCAGCCTCAGCCTCCAAAGTAGGTGGGATTACAGGCACTCACCACCATGCCCAGCTAATTTTTGTATTTTTAGTAGAGATGGGGTTTCACCACGTTGGCCAGGCTGGTCTCAAACTTCTGACCTCAGTTGAGCTGCCCACCTCGGCCTCCCAAAGTGCTGGGATTACAGGCATGAGCCACCATGCCTGGCCAACCCAGTTTTTATTTGGTGACCTGTCCCTTCTGCACTCATGTAGTTTGAAGGGCTGGCCTCATCCCCAAGTTCAAGAGAACCATGTGACCCAGGGCTCCCTAATCAGAACACAGACATTGGTTCAAAGGATGGGCATGTGACCTGATTCAAGCCAATGATATTCAGCTCAGACTTTTGCAGAAACTATTAGGAAAAAGGTGTTCCCTTTTTGCTGGGGTGGTGGGAAGTGAATGTGAGTCTGTGGCCAGACATGCCACGATGCAAGAAACACCCTCCGAGAGGAAGACAGAGATGAAGACAATTCCTTCCTGCTGCAGTTTGAGGCTGTATATAGCTAAGCCTGAACTTTAGGTTTCTGTCACTTAAAGCCATAAGAGTTCTGACTAATGCACTACCCAATTAACTCATTTTTCTGCAGAAATTGCTCAGAACTGTGCAATAAATTGTGAGACATGAATCAGAAACTCATGAATGATGAAATGAGAGAAAAGAACTGGCAATGAGCCTTGAAACTAGCTAAAGATAGAGAGATAACGGAATAAAAACACCACTCAGTAGAGACTGATACTGATAAGTTGAAATAATTGTTGCTATGGTAACAAACAAAATGCAAAATAAAAAGTTGAGAACGAAGATCTTTAAAAATAGGGTTTTAAACCTGAGATTATGCAGTGGAAACCAGGGGAGAAGAAAGAGGATAGAAAAGCCAGAGACTATGTCTTTGTTTTATGTAACATGAGGATAAAAGTTATTTAAAAAAATATATAAGTTCATATAATTTTTCAGTGTAAAAAGCCTTATGTATACCTTATAATTCATTACATGAGACGAAAGGAACAACGTAATTCATACAGCAAAAATCAAGAGTCTTAGGAAGTATACTAGATACTTTCCTCACATTTGTAAATTAAAAAAAGAAATGGCAAGAAATTATAAACAAGAATATCAAAACACCAGAAAATTAGAAAATTAGATGAGCAAAGGTTAGATTACGTATAACAAGCCAAATGTAAACAAGTAAAAATGTAAACTTCTAAAATTACTATTTAAAATATTAAAACTTCAGATCACATCAAAAAGCAAACTGAATATATACTGTTGTTTAAAAAGATATGCCTATTTATGTGTGTGTATATATATAGTATGTATATGCATATATATACATATTAGTAGTATGTATACTAATAATATATATAATATAAAAAGGCTTTGTTACTGGACATGGTGGCTCACACCTGTAATCCCACTGCTTTGAGAGGCTGAGGTGGGAGGATTACTTGAGGCCAGGAGTTCAAGACCAGCCAGGTCAACATAGCAAGACTCTGTCTCTACAAAAATAAAAATTAAAAAATTAACTGAGTGTGGTGGTACACACTTGTAGTTCCAGCTATCCAGGAGGCTGAGGCAGGAGAATCCCTTAAGCTCAGGAGTTAGAGGCTGCGGTAAGCTATGATCACATCACTGCACTCCAGCCTGGCCAACAGAGCAAAATCCTGTCTCAAAAAAAAAAAAAGGCATTGTGAAACTAAAGGCACCAAATAACATAACAACACAAAACAAGAAGCAGAGCCGGGTGTGGTGGCACATACCTATCGTCCCAGCTACTCAGGAGACAGAGGCTGGAGGATCACTTAAGACTATTAAGACTGGAAGTTTGAAGCTGTAGTGCCATATGATCATGCTTGTGAATATGCACTGCATTCCAGCCTGGGCAACATAACAAGATCTTGTCTCTTTAAAAAAAAAAAAAAGTCGGCCGGGCGCGGTGGCTCACGCCTGTAATCCCAGCACTTTGGGAGGCCGAGGCGGGTGGATCATGAGGTCAGTAGATCGAGACCATCCTGGCTAACAAGGTGAAACCCCGTCTCTACTAAAAAAATACAAAAAATTAGCCGGGCGCGGTGGCGGGCGCCTGTAGTCCCAGCTACTCGGGAGGCTGAGGCAGGAGAATGGCGTGAACCCGGGAAGCGGAGCTTGCAGTGAGCCGAGATTGCGCCACTGCAGTCCGCAGTCCGGCCTGGGCGACAGAGCGAGACTCCGTCTCAAAAAAAAAAAAAAAAAGTCTATAGGAACACAGCTAATAGAAACACAGTTATAGGCTGGGCTCAGAGGCTCACACCTGTAATCCCAGTGTTTTGGGAGGCCAAAGCAGGAGGATTTCTTGAGGCCAGGAGTTACAGATCATCCTGGGCAATGTAGCGAAGCCCCTCTCTAAAAAAAAAAAGTTTTAAAAATTAGTCACGTGTGGTGGCATGCATCTGCAGTCCTATCTACTTGGGAGACTGACATGGAAGGATGGCTTGAGCTCAGGAGTTTGAGGCTGCAGTGAACTATAATTATAGTAAAATATGATATACCATTATCAGACTGTGACATATAAACAAAAATAAAGATGAGCTAAACAGCAGAATTAGTAAGGTATAAAAACTTACGCTGTGTCCTCCACCTACATAAAATACATCACCACCACTCCCAGTATCTCTGGAACATTGACAACAACTTATCCTTTACTGGACCACAAAATTTGTTTGTTTGTTTTTTTTTTTTTTTGAGATGTAGTTTCGCTCTGTTGCCCAGGCTGGAGTGCAGTGGCACGGTCTCAGCTCACTGCAACCTCCATCTCCCTGGTTCAAGCAATTCTCCTGCCTCAGCTTCCCAAGTAGCTGTGATCACAGGCACCCACTGCCACGCCCTAAGTTTTGTATTTTTAGTAGAGACTGGGTTTCACCATGTTTGCCAGGCTGGTCTCCAACTCCAGCCCTCAGGTGATCTGCCCACCTCGGCCTCCCAAAGTGCTGGGATTACAGGCATGAGCTACCACACCTGGCCCACAAAATTTTTTAATAAATCCAAATAAGCAAAAATTGTTGAGGTCAAATCCTCTGATCACAGCACAGTTTAACAAATGAACAATCATACGAAGTTTAAAATTAACAAACATCCTACTAAGTGCTTTATTAGAACATTAGCAGACATTCTACTAAGATTTCAGTCAGATGGCCGGACGCGGTGGCTTACACCTGTAATCCCAGCACTTTGGGAGGCCGAGGAGGGCGGATCAACTGAAGTCAGGAGTTTGGAGACCAGCCTGGCCAACATGGTGAAACCCTGTCTCTACTAAAAATACAAAAATTAGCTGGGCGTGGTGGTGCATGCCTGTAATCCCAGCTACTTGGAGGAGGCTGAGCGAGGAGAATCACTTGAACCTGGGAGGCAGAGGTTGCAGTGAGCCGAAATCGCGTCATTGCTCTCCAGCCTGGGCGACGAGTGAGACTCCATTTAAAAAAAAAAAAAGGTTTCAGTCGGGAAGCCAGGTGCAGTGGCTAGCACCTATAATCCCAGCACTTTGGGAGGCTGAGGCAGGTGGATCACTTGAGGTCAGCAGTTCAAGACCAGCCTGGCCAACATGGTGAAACCCAAATTAGCCAGGCGTGGTGGCAGGTGCCTGTAATCCCAGCTACTTGGAAGGCTGAGGCAGGAGAATCACTTGAGCCCAGGAGGCAAAGGTTGCAGTGAGCCGAAATTGGGCCGTTGCACTCCATCTTGGGCGAGTGAGACTCTGTCTCTCAAAAAAAAAAAAAAGGTTTCAACCAGAAAGGAAATAATACAGTAACAGGCCAGGAGCATGATGGCTAACACCCGCAATCTCAGCCCTTTAGGAAGCAGAGGTGAGAAAATTGCCTGAGGCCAGGAGTTTGAGACCAGCCTGGGCAACAAAGTGAGACCCTGTCTCTAAAAAAATTCAAAAAATAGGCCGGGCACGGTGACTAATGCCTGTAATCCCAGCACTTTGGGAGGCTGTGGTGGGCGGATCACGAGGTCAAGAGATCGAGACCATCCTGGCCAACATGGCAAAACCCCGTCTCTACTCTAAATACAAAAATTAGCTGGGCATAGTGGCGTGCGCCTGTAGTCCCAGCTATTCAGGAGGCTGAGGCAGAATTGCTTGAAACCAGGAGGCGGAGGTTGCAGTGAGCCAAGATCATGCCACTGCACTCCAGCCTGGCAACAGAGAGAGACACCATCTCAAAAAGAAAAAAAACAGAAAAAATTTTTTAAAAAAATTAGCTGACTGTGGTGGTGCATGCCTATAGTCCCAGCTGCTCGGGAGGCTGAGGGTGGAGGATCCCTGGAGCCTGGGAGTTCCAAGTTACAGTGAGCTATGATTGAGGCTCACTGCATCCTCAACCTCCTGGGCTCAAGCCATCCTCCTACCTCAGTCTCCCAAGTAGCTGGGACTACAGGTGTGTGCCACCATGCCCAGCTCATTTTTTTATTGTTTGTAGAGACAAGATCTTGGTATGTTGCCCAGGCTGGTCTCAAACTCCTAGGCTCAAGCAATCCTGCCTTGGTCTCCCAAAGTGCTGGGATTATAGGTGTGAGTCACTGTTCCCAGCCGAGACACTGTCTCATAAAAAGAAAAGAAAAGAAAAAAAAAAAAAAGGCTGGGTGCAGTGGTTCACACCTGTAATCCCAGCACTTTGGGAGGCAGAGGCAGGCAGATCACCTGAGGTCAGGAGTTTGAGACCAGCCTGACCAACATGGCAAAACGCTGTCCCTACTAAAAACACTAAAAATTAGCTGGGCGTGGTGGCAGGCACCTGTAATCGCAGCTACATGGGAGGCTGAGGCAGGGAGAATTGCCTGCACCTGGGAGGCAGAGGTTGCAGTGAGCTGAGATCATGCCACTGCACTCCAGCCTCGGCAACAGAGCAACACTTTAAAAAAAAAAAAAAAGAAGAAGAAGAAAGAAGGAGAGATAGAGAAAAGCAAAGAGGAGAAGAGAAAAGAAAGAAAAGAAAAGAGAGAGGCTGGGCATGGTGGCTCATGCCAGTAACCACAGCACTTTGGGAGGCCAAGGTGGGCGGATCACGAGGTCAGGAGATCAAGACCATCCTGGCTAACATGGTGAAACCTTGTCTCTACTTAAAATACAAAAACATTAGCCGGGCGTGGTGGCGGGCGCCTGTAGTCCCAGCTACTTAGGAGGCTGAGGCAGGAGAATGGCATGAACCCAGGAGGCGGAGCATGCAATGAGCCGAGGTCGTGCCACTGTACTCCAGCCTGGGTGACAGAGCGAGACTCCGTCTCAAAAGAGAGAGAGAGAGGGAGGGAGGGAGAGAGAGAGAGAAAAAAAAAAGAGAGATGCAGTAACACTCTTTGGAAAATCATGAAAATAATACAACTACTACTACAAACTTGGAAGACAATTCCTTTAATATTAGGCTGGGGTGGCCCCTGGCATTGATATTATATAACATTGCTTTGGCCCAAATAAGAGCAGCTGCCTTTTATCTCCTTTTCGGGGTTCCTCTTATCTGCCCATTCCTTAAATTCTAGTGTGTCCTCCCCTTACCAGTTAGAATCTTTCAGCTGTAAGTCCAAAAAGCCCTAAGTCAAACACGAACAGGACCAGGGTGAGCTGAGTGAGGCACCTGGGGTGTACATTTAAGGAGATGCTCACTCTCAGGGTTGGCAAGTGTAGCATCAGCATCCGAGAGTGAGCACCTCCTTCAATATTCTGTCCTAGGTGCTCAACTAGGACACAACTTTGGTTCTGGCCAAACTCAGTTGGTACAAACAGTAAAGGCACATGCTTTCTCATCTAACACAGGTAGGGGTCTGACTCCTCTTCTCTGCTCTTTTTGAGGCACTGCCCTCCTCTCTGTGTTGGCATTATCCTCAAGCAAGTCGGGAGGTGGCTGTAGTGGATCCAGACAGCACGTGGTACCACACTATTCAAAGGCAGAAAGGGACTGTCCCTCTGGGAGCCTCCTCAGGAGTAAGAAGCCCCCCAGCAGCAGCAGTCTTCCCCTCATGCTTCACTGGCATGCTAGGTTGCATGCCCACCCTATCTAATCACCATTTCTACTTATAGTATTTTCTAGTTTTTTTTGTTTTTTGTTTTTTGTTTTTTTTGAGAGGGAGTCTTGCACTGTCACCCAGGCTGGAGTGCAATGGCGTGATCTCAGCTCACTGCAACCTCTGCCTCCCAGGTTCAAGCAATTATCCTGCCTCAGCCTCCTGAGTAGCTGGGATTACAGGTGCCTGTCACCATGTCTGGCTAATTTTTGTACTTTTAGTAGAGTCAGGGTTTCGCCATGTTGGCCAGGCTGTTCTTGAACTCCTGACCTCAGGTGATCCACCTGCCTCAGCCTCCCAAGTATTGGGATTACAGGCGTGAGCCACCGTGCCCGGTCGAGAACTGTTCTTAATTTAAAAAAATGAATTAACTTACAGTAAAACTGACTTTTAAAATGTACACAGTAGTAGTTCTATTAGTCTTTTGGTTTTTGGTTTGTGTTTTTTTTGAGGCAGAGTCTCACTCTGTTGCCCAAGCTGGAGTGCAGTGGCATGATCATGGCTCACTTCAGCCTTGACCTCCTAAGCTCAAGGGATTCTCTCACCTCAGCCTCCCTAGTAGCTAGGACTATAGGCATGTAACACCATGTCCAGCTAATTTTTTTTTTTTTTTATTGATCATTCTTGGGTGTTTCTCGCAGAGGGGGATTTGGCAGGGTCACAGGACAATAGTGGAGGGAAGGTCAGCAGATAAACAAGTGAACAAAGGTCTCTGGTTTTCCTAGGCAGAGGACCCCGCGGCCTTCCGCAGTGTTTGTGTCCCTGGGTACTTGAGATTAGGGAGTGGTGATGACTCTTAACGAGCATGCTGCTTTCAAGCGTCTGTTTAACAAAGCACATCTTGCACCGCCCTTAATCCATTTAACCCTGAGTGGACACAGCACATGTTTCAGAGAGCACAGGGTTGGGGGTAAGGTCACAGATCAACAGGATCCCAAGGCAGAAGAATTTTTCTTAGTACAGAACAAAATGAAAAGTCTCCCATGTCTACCTCTTTCTACACAGACATGGCAACCATCCGATTTCTCAATCTTTTCCCCACCTTTCCCCCCTTTCTATTCCACAAAACTGCCATTGTCATCATGGCCCGTTCTCAATGGGCTGTTGGGTACACCTCTCAGACGGGGTGGTGGCCGGGCAGAGGGGCTCCTCACTTCCCAGTAGGGGCGGCCGGGCAGAGGCGCCCCTCACCTCCCGGACGGGGCGGCTGGCCGGGCGGGGGGCTGACCCCCCCACCTCCCTCCCGGACGGGGCGGCTGGCCGGGCGGGGGGCTGACCCCCCCACCTCCCTCCCGGACGGGGCGGCTGGCCGGGCAGAGGGGCTCCTCACTTCCCAGTAGGGGCGGCCGGGCAGAGGCGCCCCTCACCTCCCGGACGGGGCGGCTGGCCGGGTGGGGGGCTGACCCCCTCCCTCCCTCCCGGACGGGGCGGCTGGCCAGGCGGGGGGCTGACCCCCCCACCTCCCTCCCGGATGGGGCAGCTGGCCAGGCAGAGGGGCTCCTCACTTCCCAGTAGGGGCGGCCGGGCAGAGGCGCCCCTCACCTCCCGGATGGGGCGGCTGGCCAGGCGGGGGGCTGACCCCCCCACCTCCCTCCCGGACGGGGTGGCTGCCGGGCGGAGACGCTCCTCACTTCCCAGACGGGGTGGCTGCCGGGCGGAGGGGCTCCTCACTTCTCAGACGGGACGGCTGCTGGGCGGAGGGGCTCCTCACTTCTCAGACAGGGCGGTTGCCAGGCAGAGGGTCTCCTCACTTCTCAGACCGGGCGGCCGGGCAGAGACGCTCCTCACATCCTGGACGGGGCGACAGGGCAGAGGCGCTCCCCACATCTCAGACGATGGACGGCCGGGCAGAGACGCTCCTCACTTCCTAGATGAGATGGCGGCCGGGAAGAGGCACTCCTCACTTCCTAGATGGGATGGTGGCTGGGCAGAGACGCTCCTCACTTTCCAGACTGGGCAGCCAGGCAGAGGGGCTCCTCATATCCCAGACGATGGGCGGCCAGGCAGAGACGCTCCTCACTTCCCAGACGGGGTGGCGGCCGGGCAGAGGCTGCAATCTCGGCACTTTGGGAGGCCAAGGCAGGCTGCTGGGAGGTGGATGTTGTAGCGAGCCGAGATCACGCCACTGCACTCCAGCCTGGGCACCATTGAGCACTGAGTGAACGAGACTCCGTCTGCAATCCCGGCACCTCGGGAGGCCGAGGCTGGCGGATCACTCGCGGTTAAGAGCTGGAGACCAGCCCGGCCAACACAGCGAAACCCCGTCTCCACCCAAAAAATACGAAAACCAGTCAGGCCTGGCGGCGCGCGCCTGCAATCGCAGGCACTCGGTAGGCTGAGGCAGGAGAATCAGGCAGGGAGGTTGCAGTGAGCCGAGATGGCAGCAGTACAGTCCAGCTTCGGCTCGGCATCAGAGGGAGACCGTGGAAAGAGGGGAGAGGGAGAGGGAGAGGGAGCTCTTATTTTTATAAAGCTAAAAATATCAATTGTACAAACACCCTAGGGTAGGGAAAAAAAACAAAAAAAACCTCTATTCTAGATAGTAACCAACTTTATCCTAAATGTTGTAAATCTGGCAAAATTTAAGGAAATATGCTGGATAGAGTCCTTGAATACATTTACAAAGATTCCACTTTAACAAATAACATTTAAAGTTAGATGGCTAGGCGCGGTGCCTCACGCCTATAATCCCAGCACTTTGGGAGGCTGAAGCAGGCGGATCACTTGAAGTCAGGAGTTTGAGACCAGCCTGGCCAACATGATGAAACCTGTCTCTACTAAAAATACAAAAATTAGCTGGGTGTGGTGGCGGGTGCCTGTAATCCCAACTACTCGAGGAGGCTGAGGCAGGAGAATCACTTGAACCAGGGAGGCAGAGGTTGTAGTAAGCTGAGATCACGCCACTGCACTCCAGCCTTGGTGACAGAGCAAGACACCAGCTCAGGGGTGCTCCAGTTCCCTTCATCAAAGATATCCCCCAGGATGAAGACGACTTCCGGCTGCAGCAACCACAGAGCTGTCTGGAAGGCTCTCTCCATCTGCCATTCCCTTCGTAATTTGTCCAGCCAGTGGCCTAGGAATTCCCCAAGCAAATGGGTGTCAGCCAAAAACATGGCTTTGAGCACAGGCTCACGTGTGGTCTGTTCACCATCAGAGGCTGTGGTTTTCACTTCAGGCCAATTACACTGAAAGATCGCTAAGTAATAGATTAAAAATTCACAAAATAGAAGCACAGCAAAGACAACAGCTATGAGTTTCAACAGCAATGAACTCTTCCTCTTTAATGGATGAAAATTCTGTCTTCCAAACCCCAATTCGATCATCGCCATTTCTCAAGCAACAACAAATCCATCAAGGGTTCACCACGAGAAAACTGCAGAGCCCTGGGGAGGGTGATGGCATTCAGGTCTTAGCTGGGCACCTATAATTTTCCAGGAAAATCACCAAGTCACCTCATCTTTTAAAGACAGAGAGATTGGTACGAGGCTCTAAGTTGGCATCTGCTCCCCAAAATCAGAATTCATTTATAATAGCCATGCTTTCCAGCTCTGCGCACAATGCCAGGCAGATGGGGAGCACCGGGCGGTGCGGGAGCCCTTTCACCAGGGCAGGGTGGCTTCAGTGGCCAAGGGACCCGGGAACTGCCGCTAATTTTTGTATTTTTTTGCAGAGACCGGATTCCACCATGTTGCCCAGGCTGACCTCAAACTCCTGGTCTCAAGTGATCCACTTGCCTTGCCTTGGCCTCCCAAAGTGCTGGGATTAAGTTCTGAGTCTTAACACATGTATAGAGTTAGTAACTATCCCTACAATAAAGCTATACAAGACTTCATCACCATCCTCCACCCAAAAAACTCCCTTGTGTTGTCCCTTTATAGTCATATTCTCCCCTACCCTGAAACCCTAGCAACCAACCCATTGGTCTGTTTGCTATCACTATAGTTTTGTATTTTCAAGAATGTAATATATATATATGGAATTATAAAGTGTCTTAGTTTGGGCTGCTGTCACAAAATACTATACGCTGGTGGCTGAGACAGCAAGCATTGATTTCTCATGGTTCTGGAGGCTGGGAAGTACAAGATCAAGGCACTGGATGACCTGGTATCTCTTAAGAGCCCACTTCCTGGCTTGCAGACAGCTGCCGTTTCACATATACTCACATGGTCAAGAGACAGCTGATCTCTCTTGTGTCTCCTCTTTAAGAGCACGACTCCTTTTCTTTTTTTCTTTCTTTTTTCTCTTTCTTTTTTCTTTTTTTTCTTTCTTTTTTCTTTTTTTGAGACAGAGTCTCACTCTGTCACCCAGGCTGGAGTACAGTGGCATGATCTCGGCTCTGCAACCTCCACCTCCCAGGTTCAAGCAGTTCCCTTGCCTCAGCCTCCCGAGTAGCTGGGACTACAGGTGTGTGCCACCACATCCAGCTAATTTTTGTATTTTTTAGTAGAGACGGGGTTTCACCATGTTGGCCAGGATGGTCTTGATCTCCTGACCTCGTGATCTGCCCGCCTTGGACTCCTAAAGTGCTGGGATTACAGGCATGGACCACCGCGCCCAGCCACACAATTTGTGTATCCTTTCAGCAATGGAAGGACATTGGTTGTTTTCCAGTTTGGGGCGGTTATGAATACAGCTGCTCTAAACATTTATGTATAGGTTTTTATATGATCATAAGTTTCATTTCTCTAGAGTAAACACTCAGGAGTGGGACTGCTGGATGATATGGTAACTTTATTGAAAAAAAAAAAAAAAAAGGCCCAGCGCGGTGGCTCACGCCTGTAATCCCAGCACTTTGTGAGGCCGAGGCGGGCTGATCACGAGGTCAGGAGATCGAGACCATCCTGGCTAACACAGTGAAACCCCATCTCTACTAAAAATACAAAAAAATTAGCCGGGCGTGATGGCAGGCGCCTGTAGTCCCAGCTACTTGGGAGGCTGAGGCAGAAGAATGGCGTGAACCCGGGAGGCGGAGCTTGCAGTGAGCCAAAATCACGTCACTGCACTCTAGCCTCGGCGACAAAGCGAGACTCCGTCTCAAAACAAAACAAAACAAAACAAAAACTTGGTCGGGCACGGTGGCTCAGGCCTGTAATCCCAGTACTTTGGGAGGCTGAGGTGGGTGGATCATGAGGTCAGAAGTTGGAGACCAGCCTGGCCAATGTGGTGAAGTCCCATCTCTACTAAAAATACAAAAATTAACTGGGCATGGTGGCAGTTGCTTGTAATCCCAGGAGGCTCAGGCAGGAGAATCACTTGAACCTGGGAGGTGGAGGTTGCAGTGAGCCGAGATCGTGCAATTGCACTGCAGCTTGGATGACAAGAGTGAAACTCCGTCTCAAAACAACAACAACAAAAAAAAAAAACTTGCCAAACTGTTTTTCAGAGTGATGGTGTATTTTATATTCCCCACTTATGGCATTGTCAATATTTTTTATTTTAGCTATTCTAGTAGATGTGTGTAGTGGTATCTCCTATGTTTTCTTTCTTTCTTTTCCTTTTTTTTTTTTTTTTGAGATAAGGTCTCACTCCATCACCCAGGCTGCAGTGCAGTGGCACAATCATGGCTCACTGTAGCTTTGACCTCCTGGGTTCAAGGGAATCCTCCCCTCTCAGTCTCTTGAATAGCTGGGACTACAGGTGTACACCACCATGCCTGGCTAATTTTTGTATATTTTGTAGAAATGAGGTCTCACTGTGTTCCCCAGGCTGGTCTTAAACTCCTGGACTCAAGCAATCCTCCAATCTTGGCCTCCCAGAGTTCTAGGATTACAGGCATGTGCCACCATGCCCAGTCTATGTCTTATTATGAAGGTTTTACAGTTTTACATTTTACATATAGGTCTCTGATCCATTTTGAGTTAATTTTTGCATAAGATATGAGGCTTTAGATTGAGGATCATTTTTCTGCCTATGGAGGTCCAATTGTTCCAATACCATATGTTGAAAAGACTAGTCCATCGAATTGCCTTTGCAGCTTTGTAAAATAAATCAATGGACAGAAGATGACATCAGGGAACATGGTAGAGTAGGGATCTATGGGAATCTTTCTGCCCATGGAAACAATAATTGGAGGAGCAGAAACTGCCTGAAGTAACTATTAGGTTGGTGCAAAAGTAATTGCGGTTTTTGCCATTACCGCAATTACTTTTCCACCTACCTATATTTTGGAATTCTGTGATGTAGTAGAATACTTGCATCGACCAGGAGAAAGTTTGATGAACAGGTGGGTAATTTTTTTTTTTTTTTTTTGAGACAGAGTGTCACTCTGTGACCCAGGCTGGAGTGCAATGGCACGATCTCTGCTCACTGCAACCTCTGCCTCTGGGGTTCAAGTAATTATCCTGCCTCAGCAATCCCAAGTAGCTGGGATTATAGGCACCCGCCACTATGCCTGGCTAATTTTTTGTATTTTTAGCAGAGACGGGTTTCACCATGTTGGTCAGGCTGGTCTCGAACTCCTGACCTCATGTGATCCGCCCGCCTCAGCCTCCCAAAGTGCTGGGATTACAGGCGTGAGCCACCGTGCCTGGCCTGTCTTAGTCACCATGCCTGGCTAATTTTTGTAGTTTTAGTAGAGACTGGGTTTTTCGCCACGTTGGCCAGGTTGGTCTTGAACTCTTGGCTTCAAGTGATCTGCCTGCCTGAGCCTCCAAAGTGGTGGGATTACAGGGGTTAGCCACTGCGTCGGCGAGGCGGGTAAAATTTTTTTTTTTTTTTTGAGACAGAGTTTCACTCTGTTGCCGGGCTGGAGTGCAGTGGAGCAATCTTGGCTCACTGCAACCTCTGCCTCCTGGGTTCAAGCAATTCTTCTGCCTCAGCCTCCCAAGTAGCTGAGACTACAGGCGCGCACCACTACGCCCGGCTAATTTTTATATTTTTAATAGAGACGGGTTTCACCATGTTGGCCAGGATGGTCTCGATCTCTTGACCTCGTGATCCACCTGCCTTGGCCTCCCAAAGTGCTGGGATTACAGGCTTGAGCCACCGCACCTGGCAGAGGCGGGTAAATTTTGATTTTACTTTTTCACATAGCAGGGGCTGCCATCTCTTATCCCCCAACCCCATGACAGGCAGCTGTGGGGACTGCAGTTCCCCATTCCTGGTGCAGCTTGCTGGACCTGGGGTGAGCAATAAGGACCTTGTCTTCCAAAAGTCAGAGTTGTGGGTTCTGATTATTGATTGTTGTTTTTGATTGCTGAGAGGCCAGCACAGAAGTTGGCCATTGTTTATATATCCACAGGCTGAAGCAACTTACCAAACATGAGGGGATTTAAAGAAACAGGACCTAGGTACTTTTTCCCTCTTGAGAACCAGACATTTAAAGAAATCTCTCATCAGGTCACTGGCTGACCCCAGAGACAATGGAAGAAAAATTTCAGTGAAAACACACAAGGAATACTTGCTTTACAAAAATAGCTTAGAAAAGTCACAAAAGGATGGTTCCAGCCATCAACAAGCAAAACCCAGCAATTCCTGAGGAGTGAGAGAATTAAGACTGCAGAACTACCACAACATAAGGCTCAGAATGTCCAGTTCACAGTAAAAAAAAAAACTACAGAATAGGCCAGGCGCGGTGGTCATGCCTGTAATCCAGCACTTTGGGAGGCCGAGACGGGTGGATCACGAGGTCAGGAGATCGAGACCATTCTGGCTAACACTGTGAAACCCTATCTCTACTAAAAATACAAAAACATTAGCCAGGCATGGTGGCGGGCGCCCAGCTACTCAGGAGGCTGAGGCAGGAGAATGGCATGAACCCGGGGGGCGGAGCTCACAGTGAACGGAGATCGCGCCACTGCACTCCAGCCTGGGCAACAGAGTGAGACTCCTTCTCAAAAAAAAAAAAAACAAAAACCAAGAACTACAGAATATACAAAGAAACATGAAAGTATGGCCCATTGAAAGGAAAAAAAATTGATGGAAACCATCCCTGAGAAAGCCTAGACATCAAAATTATTAGTGAAATACATTAAACCAACTGTCTTTAGTATGTTCAGTGAGCTAAAGGAAGACATGGAAAAGAACCAAAGTAAAAAAAACTGTTGTCTGAACAAAATGAGAATATCAATAAAGAGATAGAAATTAGCAAAAGTAACCAAAAAGATATTGTGAAATGAAAAGTGTAAAAACTGAAGTGAAAAACTCACTGGAGAGATATAACAGCAGATTTGAGCAGGCAGAAAGAAAGAAACGGTGAATGTGAAGACATTTGAAATTATCTAATCAGAGGAACAGAAAGAAGAAAAAAGAATTAAAAAGACTAAATAGGCCTAGGGAACTGTGGGACATCATTAAGTGGGTAAACATATGCTTTATAAGCATCCCAGGAGGAGAAGAGAAAGAGAAAAAGGGGCAGAAAAAATATTTTGGGGAAATAAAGGCTAAAAACTTCCATAATCTGATGACAGACATGAAGATACACACCCAAGAAGCACAAAGATTTTCAAGCAGGCTATCTCAAGAGAAATCCACACTGAAACATTATGTTCAAATTGTGGAAACTGAAGGACAAAGAGAGAATTTTGAAAGCAAGAGAGAAGCAACTCATCATGTACAAGTGATCCTCAATAAAATAAACAGCTGATTTCTTGTTAAAGGCATGGAGGCCAGAAGGCAGGGAATGGCATAAAGTCCTGAAAAAAAAATGTCAACCAAGAATTCGATTTCCAGCAGAATTATTATTATTATTATTTTTGAGATGGAGTCTCGCTCTGTCGCCCAGGGTGGAGTGCAGTGGCACAATCGGCTCACTGCAAGCTCCACCTCCTGGGTTTCCTCCATTCTCCTGCCTCAGCCTCCCAAGAATTCGATTTCCAGCAGAATTATTATTATTATTATTATTATTATTATTATTATTATTATTTTGAGATGGAGTCTCGCTCTGTCGCCCAGGGTGGAGTGCAGTGGCACAATCGGCTCACTGCAAGATCCACCTCCTGGGTTTCCTCCATTCTCCTGCCTCAGCCTCCCAAGTAGCTGGGACTATAGGCGCCCGCCACCAGGCCCGGCTAATTTTTTGTATTTTTGGTAGAGATGGGGTTTCACCGTGTTAGCCAGGATGGTCTTGATCTCCTGACCTCACGATCTGCCCACCTCAGCCTCCCAAAGTGCTGGGATTATAGGAGTGAGCCACCGCGCCCGGCCCCAGCACAATTATTTTTAAGGAATGAGGGAGAAATTAAGATGTTTCAAGATAAACAGAAGTTGAGAGAATTTATTACCGGTAGACCTGCCCTACAAGAAATGCTAATGGTAGTTCTTCGTGATAAAATAAAAAGATTCTAGGCCTGGCGTGGTGGCTCACACCTGTAATCTCAGCACTTTGGGAGGCTGAGGCAGGTGGATCACTTGAGGTTAGAAGTTCAAGACCAGCCTGGCCAACATGGCAAAACCCTGCCTCTACTAAAACAACTACAAAAATTAGCCAGGTGTGTTAGCATGTGCCTGTAATAATCCCAGCTACTCAGGAGGCTGAGGCAAGAGAATCGCTTGAACCCCGGAGGTGGAGGTTGCAGTGAGCCAAGATTGTGCCACTGCACTACAACCTGGGAGACAGAGCTAGACTCTGTCTCAAAAAATAATAATAAAAAAAAATAGATAAAAAATAACTGCTGGGCACAGTGGCTCACGCCTGTAATCCCAGCACTTTGGGAGGCTGAGGCAGGCAGATCACAAGGTCAAGAGATCGAGACCATCCTGGCCAACACGGTGAAACCCCATCTCTACTAAAAAAAATACAAAAAATTAGCCGGGCATGGTGGTGGGCGCCTGTAGTCCCAGCTACTTGGGAGGCTGAAGCAGGAGAATGGCGTGAACCTGTGAGGCGGAGCTTGTAGTGAGCCAAGATCGTGCCACTGCACTCCAGCCTGGGTGACAGCGAGACTCTGTCTCAAAAAAAAAAGAAAAAAGAAAAAAAGAAAGAAAAGAAATAAAAATAAATAAAAAGATGGCCAGGCGCAGTGGCTCACACCTTTAATCCCAGCACTTTGGGAGGCCGAGGTGGGTGGATGATCTGAGGTCAGGAGTTCGAGACCAGCCTGGCCAACATGGTGAAACCACATCTCTACTAAAAATACGAAAAGTAGCCAGGCGTGGTGGTGCATGACTGTAGTCCCAGCTACTTGGGAGGCTGAGGCAGGAGAATCACTTGAACCTGGGGGCTGGAGGTTGCAGTGAGCTGAGATCACACCACTGCACTCCAACCTGGGGGACAGAGTGAGACTCTGTCTCCAAATAAATAAATACATAAATATAAATAAAAAGATGTTAAATAGTTACTTGAAGACATAAGAAAAAAAGGACACTAGTAAAGTTAATTTCCTATGCAAATACAAATGCCAATATTGGCCGGGCATGGTGGCTCATGCCTGTAACCCCAGCACTTTGGGAGGCTGAGGTGGATCACGAGGTCAGGAGATTGAGACCATCCTGGCTAACGTGGTGAAACCCCGTCTCTACTAAAAATACAAAAAAAGTAGCCAGGCGTGGTGGCGGGCACTTGTAGTCCCAGCTACTCGGGAGGCTGAGGCAGGAGAATGGCGTGAACCCGGGAGGCAGCGCTTGTAGTGAGCCGAGATCGCACCACTGCACTCGAGGCTGGGCGACAGAGTGAGACTCCATCTCTAAATAAATAAATGCCAATATTACTGTACTTTTGGTTTGGTTTTTAACCTCTCTCTTTTTCTCATATGATTTAAAAGGTAAATGCAGGCCAGGCATGGTGTAATGCCAGCACTTTGGGAGGCCAAGGTGGGCAGACTGCTTGAGCCCAGGAGTTTGAGACTAGTCTGGGCAACATGGTGAAACCTCGTCTCCAAAAAAAAAAAAAAAAATTAGCCAGGTGTGGTGGCCTATGCCTATAATCCCGGCTACACCGGGGGCTGAGGTGGGAGGATTGCTTGACCCTGGGAGGCAGAGGTTGCAGGGAGCTGTGATCCCACCACTGCACACCAGCCTGGGTGACAGAACAAGACTTTGAGATGGAGTTTCACTCTTGTTGCCCAGGCTGGAGTGCAATGGTGCCAGCCCACTGCAACCTCTGCCTCCCGGGTTCAAGTGATTCTCCTGCCTCAGCCTCCCGAGTAGCTGGGATTACAGGCATGTGCCACCACGCCCGACTAATTTTGTATTTTTAGTAGAGATGAGGTTTCTCCATGTTGGTCAGCCTAGTCTCGAACTCCTGACCTCAGGTAATCCACCCGCTCGGCCTCCCAAAGTTTTGGGATTACAGGCATGAGCCACCGTGCCTGGCCTAAAAAACTTTTTCTATACGGGGTTTTGCTATGTTTCCCAGGCTAGTCTTGAACTCCTGGCCTCAAGTGAGCCTCCCACCTCGGCTTCCCAAAGTACTGAGCCTGTAATCAGGCTTGAGCCACTGCACTGGCCCTGATTTTAAAACTTACTGTAAAGCCGGGCACGGTGGCTCACACCTGTAATCCCAGCCCTGACTAACATAGAGAAACCTCATGTCTACTAAAAATACAAAAAAATTAGCCGGGCGTGGTGGCGCATGCCTGTAATCCCAGCTACTTGGGATCCTGAAGCAGGCGAATCACTCGAACCCAGGAGGCGGAGGTTGCAGTGTGCTGAGATTGCACCATTGCACTCCAGCCTGGGCAACAAGAGCGAAACTCCATCTCAAATAAGAAAAAAAAAGACCAGGCGTGGGGGCCCACGCCTGTAATCCCTACACTTTGGGAGACCAAGGCGGGTGGATCGCAAAGTCAGGAGATGGAGACCATCTCTACTAAAAATACAAAAATTAGCTCGCTGTGGTGGCCTGCACCTGTAATCCCAGCTACTCAGGAGGCTGAGGCAGGAGAATTGCTTCAACCTGGGAGGTGGAGATTGCAGTGAGCCGAGATCACACCACTGCACTCCAGCCTGGCAACAGAGCGAAACTCCGTCTCAGAAAACAAACAAACAAACAAAAACTTACTGCAAAACAACAGTAATCAAAACCGTGGGTACTGGCATGAAGGCAGACATAGACAAATGGAATTGAATAGAGAGCCTAGAAATAAACTCTCTCATATATGATCAAATGATTTTTGACAAAGATGACAAGACCATTCAGTGGAAAGGACAGTCTCTATAACAAATGTCACTGGGAAAACTGGATAGCCATAATCAAAAGAATGAGATTGGACCCCTACCTCACAGCGTGTACAAATATTAGCTCAAAATGAATTAAAAACCTGAATATAAGAGTTAGAACTATAAAACTTTTAGGAGAAAGCATAGAAGAGAGGCTTCGTGACACACCAAAAGCATAAGCAACAAAATAAATAAATAAATAGATCAGACTTGAGCAAAATTAGAATCCTTTGTGTATCAAAGGATACTATTAAGATAGTAAAAAGGCAACCCACAGAATGGGAGAAAATGTTTGCAAATCATATATCTGAAAAGGGGTTAAAGTCCAGAATATATAGAGAGAATTCCTACAACTGAACGACAACAAAACAAACAACCCAATTTAAAAATGGACAAAAAATTTTCCCAGTGTGGTGGCGCGAACCTGTAGTCCCAGCCACTCAGGAGGCTGAGGCACAAGAATCGCTTGAACTGGGTAGGCAGAGATTGCAGTAAGCCGAGATCATGCTACTGCACTCCAGCCTGGGCAGCAGAGCGAGATTCTGTATCAAAATAAAAAAAACAAGCAAAAAAATGGACAAAAGACTTGAGTAGGTGTTTCTCCAAAGAAGACATATGAATGGCAAATAAACACATAAAATTATGTGGAGATATATTGGAACCCTGATACATTGCTGGTGGGAATACAAAATTATTCAGCCACTGTGGAAAACAGTTTAACGGTTCCTTAAAAAGTTAAACGTAGAATTACCATATGGCTCAGCAATTTCACTCCTATTTGTATACCCCAAATATTTGATAAAAGGGACTCAATGTTCATAGCATACTATTCATAATAGCCAAAAGATGCAAACAACCCAAATGCTGATCAACAGATGAATGGATAAACAAAATGTGCATACAGATACAGTGGAATATTATTCATCTAGAAAAGGAATGAATTGTCATAATTTTTTTTTTTTTGAGACGGAATCTTGCACTGTCCCCCAGGCTGGAGTGCAGTGGCTTGATCTCTGCTCACTGCAAGCTCCGCCTCCTGGGTTCATGCCATTCTCCTGCCTCAGCCTCCGAGTAGCTGGGACAACAGGCGCCCACCACCACGTCCAGCTAATTTTTCGTATTTTTAGTAGAGATGGGGTTTCACCGTGTTAGCCAGGATGGTCTCGATCTCCTGACTTCGTGATCCGCCCGCCTCGGCCTCCCAAAGTGCTGGGATTACAGGCGTGAGCCACCGCGCCCGGCCGAATTGTTATAATATTATGGTAAGTGAAATAAGCCAGTCACAGGCCAGGCACAGTGGCTCACGCCTGTAATCCCAGCACTTCGGGAGGCCGAAGTGGGCCGATTGCTTGAGCTCAGGAGTTGGAGACCAGCATGGGCAACGAAACACAAAATACAAAAAAATTAGTCAGGCGTGGTGGTGCATGCCTGTAGTCCCAGCTCCTCAGGAGGCTGAGATGAGAGAATTGCAGCGAGCCATGATCATACCACTGCACTCCAGCCTGGGCGACAGAGCGATACTCTGTCTCAAAATAAGTAAATTAATTAATTAATTACAAAAATTGACAACCAGTTGGTCTCTATCTTCAAAAAATTCTGCTGGGATTCTAATTGGAATTGTGTTACAGTTGTAGGTTAATCTGGGGATAACTGACATATTTGAGTATTTCAATCCATGAAAACAATATGTCTATCCATCTATTTAGGTCTTCTTTATTAATTTATTTCACCAAGATTTTATAGTTTTTTTTTTTTTTTTTTTTTGAGACAGCATCTAACTCTACAGCCCAGGCTGGGGTGCAGTGGTGCGATCTCGGCTCACTGCAGCTTTGACCTCCCAGGCTCAAGTGATCCTCCCACCTCAGCCCTTTAAGTGGCTGGGACTACAGGCACGAACCACCATCCAGGGCTAATTTTTGTAATTTTCGTAGAGACAGGGTTTCTTTCTTTCTTTCTTTCTTTTTTTTTTTTTTGAGACGGAGTCTTGCTCTGTTGCCCAGGCTGGAGTGCAGTGGCGCAATCTCAGCTGACTGCAACCTCTGCCTCCCAGGTTCAAGGGATTCTCCTGACTCAGCCTCCCAAGTACCTGTGACTACAGGCATGACTACAGGCATTCCTGGCTATTTTTTGTATTTTTTGTAGACATGGGGTTTCACCATGTTGGCCAGGCCTGTTCATATTTTGTTAGATTTATATGATATGTTTCATGTGTTTTGGAGTTATTGTAAATGGTATTTAAAACATCTTTTGTTTCCAATTTTCAGTATATAGAAACACTGTGAATTTTCCTATATCAGCCCTGTATTCTGCAACCTTGGTAAACTCATTGGTTAGTTTTTTTGTTTGTTTTTTAGAGATGGGGTCTCTCTATGTTGCTCTAGCCTGTGCAACAGGGAAATCTCAGCTCTAAAATTCACAGGCACAATCATAGTGCACTGCAGTGTTGATCTCCTGGGCTCAAGTGATCCTCCTGGCTCCACCTCACATGCCATGGCACCTGGCTAGCTCACAGAGTTTTGGAGTTTTTAGCAATCATGTCATCTGCAAATAGAGAGAAATTTATTTCTTCCTGTCCAATCTGTATTTCTTTATTTCTTTTTCTTGCCTTATTGCACTAACTAGGACTTCCATTACAATGTTTGTTTGTTTGTTTGTTTTTAGAGACAGGGTCTCGCTCTGTTGTCCAGGCTGAAGTGCAGTGGCCTGATTATAGCTCACTGCAGCCTCAAACTCCTGGGCTCAAGCAATCCTCAACCTCAGCCTCTCAGAGTAGCTGGGACTATAGGAGTGCACCACCACGTCCAGCTAATATTTTTAAATTTTTTGTAGAGACAGGGTCTTGCTATGTTGCCCAGGCTGGTTTCAAACTCCTGGGCTCAAGCAGTCCTCCTGCCTCAGTCTCTCAAAGCACCTGAATATAGGTGTGAGCCACCGCACACTGCCTTACAATGTTGAATAGGACCCGTAAGAGTGTATATCCCTTGCTTGTTCTCAAACTTAGGGGGAAAGTATTTCGTCTTTCACTATTAATTTTAATGTTGAGAAAGTTCCCTTCTGTCCATAGCTTGTGAAGAGGTTTTTCTCATGAATGGATGTTGAATTTTGTCAATTTTTTTTTCTGTATCAATGGATATGATCATGTGTATTTTTTCTTTAGGCTTTTAATATGGTAAATTACATTAATTTTTGAATAATAAACAAACCTTGCATTCCTAGGATAAACTCCACTTAGTAGCAGTAGTATATTATTCTTCTTACATATTGCTGGATTTGATTTTCTAATATTTTGCTGGGGGGTTTTGTATCTATCTTCATGACGGATATAGTTTTGTAGTTTTCTTGTACTGTTTTTGACTGGATTTGGCATTAGAGTAATGCCGGTCTCATTAAATGAGTTGTGGAGTGTTCCTGCCTATTTGTTTTCTGAAAGTGATTGTGTAGAATTGGAGCTATTTTTTACTTTTTTTTTGAGACTGAGTCTCACTCTGTCACCCAGGCTGGAGTGCAGTGGCGCGATCTTGGCTCACTGCAACCTCCGTCTCCTAGATTCAAGCGATTCTCCTGCCTCAGCCTCCCGAATAGCTGGGATTACAGGCATGAGCCACCATGCCTGGCTAATTTTTGTATTTTAGTAGAGATGGGGTTTCACCATGTTGGCCAGGCTGGTCTTGAACTCCTGACCTCAGGTGATCGGTCCGCCTTGGCCTCCCAAAGTGCTGGGATTACAGACGTGAGCCACCGCACCCGGCCTCTATCAAACATTTAAAGAAAAAATAGTACCTAGTTTGATAGAATTCTCCAGTGAAACCACTGGGGCCTGGAGATTTCTTTTTCAGGAAGGTTTAAACTGTTAATTTCTTTAATAGCTCTAGAACTACTCAGATTATCTATTTCATCTTGGGTGAGTTTGGTACTTTGTGGGCCTTGGGGAATTGAACCATTTAATTTAACTGGTTGAATTATTTGTGTGTGTGGAGTTGTTTGTGGTATTCCTTTATTATCCTTTTAATATCTTTAAGGTTTGTGATTATATCTTCTCTTTCATTCCTCATATTGGAAATTGGTAATTTTGTGTTTTTTTTTTTTTTTTTTTTTTTTTGGTTCGTCTCATTGGAGGTACCATTCATTGATTTCCTCAAAGAAACAGTTTCTGCTTTCATTGATTTTTCTCTATTGTTTTTCTGTTTTCAGTTTCATTGATTTTTGGATTTATTTTTATTTCATACATCTTGCTTGCTTTCAGCTTATTTTGCTCTTCTTTTGTCATTTCTTGAAGTAGGAACTTAGATTATTGATTTGAGACTTTTCCTTTTTTCTAATGTAAGATTTAGTGCTATAATTTTTTTAGCACTCTTTAGCTCCCATACATTTTGATATGCTGTACTTTTTTATTGTTTGATATATTTATTTTGTTTGAGACTCCCTCTTTGACTACTCATGGATTATTTAATAATAAGTATAAGCTGGGCATGGTGGTGCACACCTGTAGTACCAGATACCTGGGAGGCTGAAGTGAGAGGATCACTTGAGCCTGGGAAGTTGAGGCTGCAGTGAGCTGGGATCACACCACTGCACTCCAGTCTAGGCGATATATTGTTTAATTTCTAATAGTCTGGAAGGTTTTTTGTTCTATTTCTCTTATTGATATCAAGACTAATTTTATCATGATCAGGAAACATACTTTGTATAATTTCTATTCATATTTATTAAGGCTTTTTTTTTTTTTTTTACAAAGTCTCGTTCTGTTGCCCAGGCTGGAGTGGAGTGGCACGGTCTCAGCTCACTGCTACCTCCGCCTCCCAGGTTTTAAGCGATTCTCCTGCCTCAGCCTCCCGAGTAGCTGGGATTACAGGCACCTGCCACCATGCCTGGCTAATATTTGTATTTTTAGTAGAGACAGGGTTTTAACATGTTGGCCAAGCTGGTCTTGAACTCCTGTTCTCAGGTGATCCACCCGCCTCAGCCTCTCAAAGTGCTGGGATTACAGGTGTGAGTCACCACGCTCAGCTGCAAACATTCCCTTTTTTTATTTTGTTTTTTGAGATGAAGTTTCACTCTTGTTGCCCAGGCTGAAGTGCAATGGCACGATCTCGGCTCACTGCAACCTCCGCCTCCAGGGTTCAATTGATTCTTCTGCGTCAGCCTCCCAGGTAGCTGGGATTATAGGCATGTGCCACCACGGCCAGCTAATTTTATATTTTTAGTAGAGATGGGGTTTCTCCATGTTGGTCAGGCTGGTCTTGAACTCCCAACCTCAGGTGATCCGCGCCCCCATTGGCCTCCCAAAGTGCTGGGATTACAGGAGTGAGCCACCGTGCCTGGCCGCAAAAATTCTTAATTTCACTTTCATTCCTTAAGGGTATTTTCACTGCATATAGAATTCTGGGTTAATAATTTTTTCTTTCTTTCAGCATTTAGTAACTATTGTTGCACTTCTGATAAGAAATCTGCTGTCACTTGAATTGCTCTCATTTAAGTAATTCTTTTTTTTTTATTGCTGTTTTCAAGATTTCTTTGTCTTTAGTTTTCAAGTTTGATTATTATGTGTCTGGTCATAAGTTTATTTGAAATTATTCTATTTTTGGTTCACTGAGCTTTTTTAATTTCTAGGCTTATATCTTTTACCAAATTCAGGAAGTTTTTTTTTTTTTTTTTTTTTTGAGATGGAGTCTCGCTGTCTGGAGTACAGTGGTGCAGCCTCGGCTCACTGCAACCTCTGCCTCCCGGATTCAAGTGATTCTCCTGCCTCAGCCTTCTGAGTAGCTGGGATTACAGGTGCGTGCCACCCTGCCTGGCTAATTTTTGTATTGTTAGCAGAGACTGGGTTTCACTTTGTTGGCCAGGCTCGTCGCAAACTCCCGACCTCAGGTGATCTGTTGGCCTTGGCCTCCCAAAGTCCTGGAATTACAGGTGTGAGCCACCGTGCCTGGCAAAATTCAGGAAGTTTTCAACTGGTATTTTTTAAATTCTTTTTTCTGCACTACATGCTTTCTCTTCTCGTTGTGTAATTTAGGTAACACAAATACTAGACTTTTCAGCTTTGAACATATCCCTGACACTGTTTTTTTTTCTTCAGTTTATTTTTCTCTCTGTTGTTCTGATTGTATAATTTCTTTTTGTCTATCCTGAAGTTCACTGGCTGTTTCCCTGTCATCTCCATTCTATTACTGAGATCATTCAGTGAGGTTCTTTTTTTCAGTTATTGTATTTTTTCAGTTCTAGTTTTCACTTGCTTCTTCATTATATCTTCTATTTCTTTGCTGAAACATCTTTCCAGTTGTTTCAGTAATGTTTGCCCTTACTTACTGGAGCATTTTAAAAAATAGCAGCCGCTTTAAAGCCTTTGTCAGATAATTCCATTGTCTGTGTCATGTCAGCACTGACATCTGTTGATTTTCTTTTCCCAGGCAAGTTGAGATTTTCCTGGCCTTTTGTAAACTAAAGAATATGTTCTCGGCCGGGCACGGTGGCTCACGCCTGTAATCCCAGCACTTTGGGAGGCCGAGGCGGGTGGATCACCTGAGGTCAGGAGTTCAAGACCAGCCTGGACAACATGGTGAAACCCCGTCTCTACTAAAAAATACAAAATTAGCCAGTCTTGGTGGCGCATGCCTGTAATCCCAGCTACTCGGGAGGCTGAGGCAGGAGAATCGCTTGAACCCAGGAGGCAGAGGTTGCGGTGAGCCGATATTGCACCACTGCACTCCGGCCTGGACAACAAGAGCGAAACTCCATCTCCAAAAAAAAAAAAAAAAAAAAGAATACGTTCTCATTGTTACACATGTATTGGATTATGTCTTGTTCTGTTTGGGCTGCTGTAACAAAAATATCATAGGCTGGGTGGCTTATAAACAACAGAAAGTTATTTCTCACAGTTTGGAGGTTGTAAGTCCAAGATCAAGGTGCTGGAAGCTTTAGTGTCTGATGCATGCCTGTTTCCTGGTTTGTAGACGGCTGTCTTCTTGCTGTGTCCTCACATAGCAGGAATTGTGAGGTAGTTCTCTGGGGTGTCTTTTTTATATTTATTTATTTATTTATTTATTTATTTATTTATTTATTGAGACAGAGTCTTGCTCTGTCGCCCAGGCTGGAGAGCAGTGGTACAATCTCAGCTCACTGCAACCTCCGCCGCCCGGGTTCAAGCAATTCTGCCTCAGCCTCCCGAGTAGCTGGGACTATAGGTGCATGCCACCATGCCCAGCTAATTTTTTGTATTTTTAGTAGATTCAGGGTTACACTATGTTGGCTAGGCTGGTCTCAAACTCCTGACCTCCGGTGATCCACCCACCTCAGCCTCCCAAAGTGCAAGGATTACAGGCATGAACCACTGTGCCCGGCTGGGGTGTCTTTTATAAGAGCACTAATCCCATTCATGAGGGATCTATCTTCATGATCTAATCACTTCCCAAAGGCTCCACCTCCATGCCCTCACACTGTAGATTAGGTTTCAGCATATAAATTTTTTTTTTTTTTGAGACAGAGTCTTGCTCTGTCACCCAGGCTGGGGTGCAGTGGTGCAATCTCAGCTCACTGCAAGTTCCGCCTCCTGGGTTCACGCCATTCTCCTGCCTCAGCCTCCCAAGTAGCTGGGACTACAGGTGCCTGCCACCACACCCGGCTAATTTTTTGTATTTTAATAGAGACGAGGTTTCACCGTGTTAGCCAGGATGGTCTCAATCTCCTGACGTTGTGATCCGCCCGCCTCGGCCTCCCAAAGTGCTGGGATTACAGGCGTGAGCCACCGCACCCGGCCTAACATATGAATTTTGAGGGGACACAAACAGTCTATAGCAGATTTCATCCTGGACACTTAAAATATTATATCATGGGATTCTGGGTTCTGTTTAAATCCTATGAGAATGTGGAAATTTTTGTTTAAGCAGGCAATTGACTGGGTTGGTTTCACGCTGCAAGATTTGACCACTCCTCTGTGGGTTATGGTTTCAATATCAGTTGTGTTTTCAAAGCCTATGTTGTGCTATTCAGCTCTATCCCCTGGGGCACCACCCAGGGGTCAGTCCCATACTTCAGTTCTCAAAGCCTATGGTATGCTGTTTATTTGAGAAGGTGTCTCACTCTGTCACCCGGGCTGGAGTGCAGTGGCGCAATCTCAGATCACTGCAACCTCTGCCTCCCGGGCTCAAGCGATCCTCCCACCTTCACCTCCCGAGTAGCTGGAACTACAGGCACGTGCATCATGCTCAGCTAAGTTTTTTGTTTTTTGTAGAGACGGGGTTTCACCATGTTGCCCAGGCTGGTCTTGAACTCCTGAGCTCAAGCAATCTGCTCATCTCGGCCTCCCAAAGTGCTGCGATTACAGGAGTGAGCCTCTGTGCCCAGCCTGGTTTAGAGTCAGCTCCATACATACACATCTTTGGGGTGAGTCTAGGAATTCATAAACAACTTTCAATCCTCCTAGTCCTTTCCAGTTTGTTGGGGTTCCCTCTTCCAGTCCTCTGTCCAGAAAGGTGTGGCTTTATTTCCTCAATTTCGCCACATACTTCCCATGACTAGATCCATACTGGGAGCCAAGCAGTGGAGGGCAGAGAAAAAAGCCCTGCCCTATTGGGAATCACATCTCTTCTGATCAAAGATGAGGTTTCCTTCTTTCAGAAGTTTAGGCTCCCGAACTCCCCCAGTGCCACTGCTATCACTGTGGCTGCCACCAACACAAAGTTGCCTACAGGATGGTACAAGAAATACTGGGGGGGAAAAGGAAAAAAGACAAATGGGCTATTTCCCTATTTGCTCTGCATGTTAGGAGGCTCCTTCCTCACCCCTCTAGCCAGAGGTAGTGGGTTTCTCCTGAAGCTCTCTCGGTCCACAGCGATACATACTTCGGGTTCCAGGCTGCATTAAGTCTGGACTGAAGGAAACAAGTTGGGGGGAACTCACTACCAGGTCAGTAGCACTTAGAATTCAGTATTCTTCCTCACTGTGCCCATATCATTTGCCGTTTCAAGTTCTTAGCGGGATGCCCTTGCAGCTGTCCAGGTTTTCTAGCTGCATTCAAAGGGAGAGACACAGAGAAGTGTGCTGACTCCACCTTCCCTAGCATATTTTATTCTGCAGGATGTCCCCAACCCAGGGATGCATTATGGCTGTAGGCTGTATGCATTTTTGCACTTTTCAGTCCCTTCTTTCACACACACACACACACACACACACACGAAAAAAAGAAAAAATTTCAATACGTTTCATATTGCATTGGTATGAAGATAAATATAATCAAGGTTGGATTCATTATTGTTATGCTTTTTTTTCTGATTTCAAAATAAATTAAAACCAAAGCAGCCGGGCGCAGTGGCTTATGCCTGTAATCCCAGCCCTTTGGGAGGCCGAGGTGGGTGGATCACTTGAGGTTAGGAGTTTGAAACCAGCCTGGCCAATATGGTGAAACCCCATCTCTACTAAAAATACAAAAATTAGCTGGGCATAGTGGCACATGCCTGTAATCCCAGCTACTTGGGAGGCTGAGGCATGAGAATTACTTGAACCCCAGAGGCGGAGATTGCAGTAAGCTGAGATCGCGCCACTGCACTCCAGCCTGGGTGACACAGTGAGACTCCATCTCAAAAAAAAAAAAAAAAAAATCCCAAACCAAAAACAACTAAAGCATGTTTTGTGTGCCTGTAAAAATCTCCTGGATGAGTCGGCCCTGTCTCAGTCTGGGTCTGTTCAGTGTGTCCTCATGACTCGCCCCGGCCCCGCGTTGTTGGTTGTAATCCTGCAGAAACAATGCCATGTTTCCCCATTGATTCGTGTCAGGAGGCACACGACGATGACTTGGGCATCATGGTGACTTTGGTTACACAGCGAAGTCGGTGTCCACCAGGTCTCTCCACCATGCAGCTCTCCTTGTCTCCTTTGCATTGGATAAGTATTTTGTGGAGAGATATTGGAGACTATACCAATACTCCAGTTGCCTATTTTTGCCTAATTAACTACTCCCAAATTTAGCAACATTACCAAAACCATTTTATTGTGCCTGTGAGCTCTGTGGGCTAGGACTTCAGGCAGGACACAGCAGGTCCAGCTTCTCTCTGCTCCATGATGCCTGGCCCTCCACTGAAGTGACTTCAACTGCCAGAAGCGGCTCCCATGGCTGGTGGATGGGGCATCCATTTCCCTGATGGCTCCTGGGTGGGGTGGCGGAAGGAAAGGCTCAGCAGGGATTATTTGCTGGAGCCACCATCATGTGGCCTCTCCTTGAGGCTTGGGATTTGCACAGCATGGTGGCAGGGCTCTGAGAGGGAACCTGTCAAGAGAGAAGAGCTCCAAGAGACAAAGGCCAAAGCTGCAGGGTCTGCTGACCTGGCCTTGAAGTCACACAGTGTCACTCCTGCCATGCTGTATTGGTTATGGCCAAGTCCTTGCCGTCTGCTCAGATTCAAGGTGAGGGAAACTAGACTGTCCTCCTGATGGGGGTGTGGCAGGAGACCTGTGTGTGGTGGGAGAGTTTTTTTTTTTTTTTTTTTTTTGAGACAGAGTCTCACTCTGTTGCCAGGCTGGAGTGCAGTGGCGCGATCTCGGCTCACCGCAACCTCTGACTCCCTGGTTCAAGCGATTCTCCTGCCTCAGCCTCCCGAGTAGCTGGGATTACAGGCACGCGCCACCATGCCCAGCTAATTTTTGTATTTTTAGTGGAGATGGGGTTTCACCATGTTGGCCAGGATGGTCTCCATCTCCTGCCCTCGCGATCAACCCATCTCAGCCTCCCAAAGTGCTGGGATTTACAGGAGTGAGCCACTGCGCCCGGCTGGGAGATTTTTTTTTTTCCTTTTTTTTTTGAGACGGAGTCTCGCTCTTGTCACCCAGGCTGGAGTGCGGTGGCACGATCTCGGCTCACTGCAACCTCTGCCTTCCGGGTTCAAGTGATTCTCCTAACTCAGCCTACCAAGTAGCTGGGATTACAGGCAACTATCACCACACCTGGCTAATTTTTGTGTTTTTAGTAGAGACGGGGTTTTACCATGTTGGCCAGACTGATCTCGAACTCCTAACCTCAAGTGATTCGCCCACCTCGGCCTCCCAAAGTGCTGAGATTACAGGCCTGAGCCACACTGCGCCCAGCCATATTTTGCAATATTCTGTACCTCATCCACTCTCCACCCACCAGCCTTAGCCTCCCTAGGTCTGTAACCCTCCTGCTTGAATCAGCTTATCAGAATGATACTTACCAAGTGGTGCTTTCTCTATTTTCATCACCCCTCTCCATTCATGGGTTGGCACTGTCCTGTAAGGAAGAGCCTTCCCTTCTCTTCAGTCAGCACAGAATCATGGACGCCTATATTATGCAGTAGTTTGTAGTCTCTCTCTCTTTTTTTTTTGTTTTTTGAGACAGAGTCTTGCTCTATTGCAACCTCTATCTCCTGGGGTCTGGTGATTTTCGTGCCTCAGCCTCCTGAGTAACTGGGACTACAAGCACATGCCACCACACCCGTCTAATTTTTTAAAAAGTATTTCTTGTAGAGACAGGATATCCCTATGTTGCCCAGGCTGGTCTTGAACTCCTGGCTCAAGCGATCCTCCTGTCTTGGCCTCCCAAAGTACTGGGAGCACAGGTGTGGGCCACTGCACCTGGCCATCTGGTCATTTTTATTTGGATGCTCCGATTGTCCCAGACTTGGCCAATGGGAGCCCCTTCAGGCTGGCTCCCACATCTTTATATACACACGTATGAAGAGCCCACACTGACATCTCCAGTGCCTCGGGGCTCTTTTCAGCCTTTCCTCTTTCCATATTTGTAATTCTCATCTCCAGCAGTGAGAAACCTGGCTCCCATTATCCTCAATGTATTTGCTTGATTTTTTATCCACACCAGCTGCCTCCTCAGCTTCCAGCCACGTTGCCATCTCCAAGGAAAGGGAAGAGGGAGGAAGAGAGGAGAGAAATGTGGAGGAAGAGGGTCTTTTTTTTTTTGAGACAGTGTCTTGCTCTCTCACCCAGGCTGAAGTGCAGTGGCACAATCTTGGCTCACTGCAACCTCCGCCTCCTGGGTTCAAGCAATCTCCCTGCCTCAGCCTCCGTAGTAGCTGGGATTACAGGTGGCTGCCACCATGCCAGTTAATTTTTTTGAGACGTAGTCTCACTCTGTTCCCCAGGCTGGAGTGCAGTGGTGCGATCTCGGCTCACTGCAAGCTCCACCTCCCAGGTTCACGCCATTCTCCTGCCTCAGCCTCCCAAGTAGCTGGGACTACAGGCGCCCGCCACCATGCCCGGCTGATTTTTTGTATTTTGGGTAGAGACAGGTTTCATCATGTTAGCCAGGATGGTCTCGATCTCCTGACCTCGTGATCTGCCCGCCTCGGCCTCCCAAAGTGCTGGGATTACAGGCGTGAGCCACCGCGCCTGGCCACTAATTTTTGTATTTTTTAGTAGAGACAGGGTTTTACCATGTTGGCCAGGCTGGTCTTGAACTCCTGATCTCAGGTGATCCGCCCACCTCGGCCTTCCAAAGTGCTGGGATTACAGGTTTGAGCCACGGTGCTGGGCAAGGAGGGTCTTAAACACTTAGCAACGCAGCCCTCCACTCTGTCCGCACTTATTCTGCCCTGACTGCTGCTCATCTGGCCTCTCTGTGGCAATTAGCCTTCAGCCTCTTCCTCAGCTCATTGTCTCCATCTGGTTTCCAAGAAGGTTTCTTTTCTTTCTACTTTACAATTTTTTTTTAACTACAAAAACATTTCATGCTCATTTTTACAAATTCAGTAATGCACATAAAGCACATAAAGTAAGGCACACAAAGCACAGCATGAACGCCCTCAGCCACCCTCTCCATGCCACCTCCAAGAGCCAACCAGACTTCTTCCCTGTTTACCCAAGAATGCCCCTATTGTTTGTACCTAGGATTTGGAGGCTGCACTGAGCTGAGTGGGTCACTGCACTCCAGCCTGGGAAACAGAGAGAGAGCCTGTCTCAAAAAAAAAAAAAAAAAAAAAAAAAAAAAAGAATATGCATAAATGCTTACTTTATTTATTTATTTATTGAGACAGGGCCTCGCTCTGTCGCCCAGGCTGAAATGCAGTGGTGCGATTTCGGCTCACTTCAACCTCCGCCTCCCAGGTTCAAGTATTTCTCCCACCTCAGCCTCCCCAGTGGCTGGGACTACAGGCGTTCGCCACCATGTCCAGCTAATTTTTCTATTTTTTGGTAGAGATGGGGTTTCACCATGTTGGCCAGGCTGGTCTCAAACTCCTGACCTCAGATGATCCACCTGCTATTATATAATCACCACCTGGGATTATAGGCATGAGCTTCCACAACCGGCCCTGAAATACTTATATAATGCTTTTTGTTTTGTTTTGAGTCACGGTCTTGTAAACATAGTTTACTGCAGCCTCAGCCTCCTGGGCTCACATGATCCTCCTGCCTTGGCCTCCCAAAGTGCTGAGATTATGGGTGGTGAGCCACCACATCCGGCCTTATCCATGTGATTTTCAAGGGACATTGTCCAGGAGGCAGCTGGAGATGTGGTCCTCGCCCACCGAACATCACTGGGGCTGGCAAGCCCTGGCTCTTGCTTTATGAGGGTCACTCAGCAGCACAGTTGAAGTATCAAGTATCTCAGCAATGCCTGTGTTAGGGCATTGGTGAGTTAGGGAAAAGGGGAAGGAACATTGCAATTTCTAATCATTTGTCATGTTCGTGTCCCTGAGCTTATCACACACAGGTCTCAGATACTCAACCTTGAAATACAATGTGTCGTGCAAATTGTATCTTAGTTAAAAAAAAAAAAAAAAAAAGAAAAAAAGTGGGGAAGAATATGTGGACCATCTCAGCCAGAGCTCTAGCTTGGTGGGATTTACCTTTTCTTCCTGTGACCCCTCCCACCAGGCAGCTCTGTGGTCCATTGGTGGAGATTTGTTGGGGGTCACCCTGCCTTGTTGAGAAAGACAAGACCTGGGGCTCAGAGAGAGGTGTGGCCCCCCAAGGTTGGGCCTGTGCAATGCACCTGAGAACTTCAGAGGTTAAGTGTGAGGACTAAACTCTGATTTTTTATCTTGCCCAAATTCCTATCTAAGGGGTCTGGGGAGCCAAGCCCTACAAACCATAAATTCTCTTCAGAGGGGTTTTATTTAACCCTATTGTATCATGACTTATTTCCAGCCTGACTCTGGCATAGGATTATGAGACAAGGAAGAAAATAAAAATATTTTACCCCAAAACATGTTTCTTTGCCATATTTTGAAATGGCCCTGCAAAGCTGTTCTTTGTGGTAGAAAATTTGTCTCTGTAAAGAATCTCTGTCCGGCGTGGTGGCTCACACCTGTAATCCCAGCACTTTGGGAGGCCGAGGCGAGTGGATCACCTGAGGTCAGGAGTTCCAGACCTGCCTGACCAACATGGTGAAACCCCATCTCTACTAAAAATACAAAAATTAGACAGGCATGGTGCTGCATGCCTGTAATCCCAGCTACTTGGGAGGCTGAGGCAGGAGAATCGCTTGAACCCAGGAGGCAGAGGTTGCAGTGAGCCGAGATCACGCCACTGCACTCCAACCTGGGGAACAAGAGCGAAATTCTGTCTCAAAAACAAACAAACAAACAACAACAACAAAAAACTCTATTAATATAGCTAGATCTTTTTCTTCTATACCCTCCCAATCCTAAAGAGATTAACTAAGAACTAAGATCTGAAGCTGGGCGTGGTGGCTCACGCCTGTAATCCCAGCACTTTGGGAGGCTGAGGCGGGTGGATCACCTGAGGTCAGGAGTTTCAGACCAGCCTGGCCAACATGGTGAAACCCTGTCTCTACTTAAAATACAAAAAAATTAGCCGGGTGTGGTGGTACACACCTGTAATCCCAGCTACTCGGGAGGCTGAGGCAGGAGAATCGCTTGAACAGGGGAGGCAGAGGTTGCAGTGAGCCGAGATCGTGCCACTGCACTCCAGCCTGGGGGACAACAGTGAGACTTCGTCTCGAAAAATAAATAAATAAATAAATAAAGAGATTAACTAAGATCTGAATAGGAAATATTTGTCATTTATTGTCTCTAAGGGCAGCCACTATAAGTCTTCAAAAGAACTTTGGTCTCCACGATCTTTATCTTAACCAGAACCTTCCCTTTCTATGAATCCCAGGTTTTTAGACAAACTCAACCAATTGTCAACCAGAAATTTTTTTAATTCACCTATTGCCTGGAAGTGCCCCCCCACCTTTGAGTTGTCCCACCTTTCTGGACCAAACCAATGTATTTCTTAAATGTATTTGATTGATGTCTCATGCCTCTCTAAAATAGATAAGACCAAGCTGCGCCCCGACACCTTGGGCGCATGTTCTCAGAACCTCCTGAGGGCTGTGTCACGGGCCAAGTTCACTAATATTTGGCTCACAATAAATCTCTTCAAATATTCTGCAGAGTTCAACTCTTTTCATCGACAAGTCAAAAGAACAGCCACCACGTCTGCATCTATTCGATGTCAGCATCCCCACCTGCAGATGAGGGGAAGGTCCCTTGCCCAAGGTTGCCAAAGTTGGCAGTGCTGAGCTTTGAGCCAGGTCTTTCCTTTCTACCCCTCTGCCTGCCCTGCCTTCCACATGGGAGCTTCCTCCCCATCCTGCCTTTGTTGATGCTGACAGATCAACTTGGTGAATTACATCCTTCATTCAATAGACACAACAGAGTCATGTAGACATCATCTCTGGGACCCAGCCCTGTGCTAAAGATACCAAAGATGATGAGAACATGGCCCCTGACCTGAAGAGGTTATAATCCAATGGTAAACAGGTACATAAAGAAATAAAAAAAACAAGGCCAAGGCAGGAGGATCGCCTTGGGTAACTGTCCAAGGGGTTCACCTTGCCCACTGCCTAGACAGAGCCGATTCATCAAGACAGGGGAATTGCAATAGAGAAAGGGTAATTCATGCAGGGCTGGCTGTGCAGGAGACTGGAGTTTTATTATAACTCAAATCAGCCTCCCTGAGCATTCGGGGAGCAGAGTTTTTAAGGATAACTTGGTGGGTGGGTGGAAGCCAGTGAGCCCGGAGCGCTGATTGGTCAGAGATGAAATCATAGGGAGTTGAAGCTGTCTTGCACTGAGTCAGTTCCTGGGTGGGGTCCCCAAGATCAGATGAGCCAGTTTATTGATCTGGGTGGTACTAGCTAATTCATCAAATGCACGGTCTGCAAAATATCTCAAGCACTGATTTTGGGAGCAGTTTAGGGAGAGTCAGAATCTTGCAACCTCAGCTGCATGACTCCTAAACCATAATTTCTAATCTGTGGCTAATGTGAGTCCTACAAAGGCAATCTAGTCCCCAGGCAAGAAGGAGGTCTGCTTTGGGAAAGGGCTGTTACTGTCTTTACCATCTTTTTTTAAATTATAAACCATAAACTAAGTTTCTCCCAAAGTTAGTTCAGCCTACACCCAGGAATGATCAAGGACAGCTTGGAGGTTAGAAGCAAGGTGGAGTCGATTAAGTTAGATCTATCTCACTGTCTCAGTCATAATTTTGTAAAGGCGATTTCATCAGGAATTCGAGACCAGCCTGGGCAACATGGCAAAAAATATTTATTTAAAAAAAAGTATTTTTTTAATAGATCTATTTTTTTTTAAAAAAGATATATTTTTTAAAAGTATCTATTAAAAAAATACAAAAAATTAGCTGGGTGTGGTGATGTGTGCCTGTACTCTCAGCTACCTGGGAGGTTGAGGTGGGAGGATCACCTAAGCCCAGAAGGTCGAGGCTGCAGTGAACCATGATCGAACCACTGCACTCCAGCCTGGGTGACAGATAATTTAAGATTAAGTTTGAGACTCTGTCTCATAAAAAGATGAAGAAGGAAATAGAGAGAGAAAGAGAAAGAAAGAAAACGGCATATCTCTGTTGTTCAGATGAGAAAAATGAGGCCCCAGGAGGAAGGTGACCCACCCATACCCATGTGGTTTTTTAGGGGCAAGAACAGACCTAGAGACAACTCTGTCCTCTGGTCTTAAAAGATAAGTCAGGGCCAGGCATGATGGCTCACACCTGTAATCCCAGCACTTCGGGAGGCTGAGGCGAGCGGATCACCAGGTCAGGAGATCAAGACCACCCTGGCTAACACAGTGAAACCCTGTCTCTACTAAAAATACAAAAAATTAGCCGGGCGTGGTGGCATGTGCCTATAATCCTAGCTACTTGGGAGGCTGAGGCAGGAGAATGGCATGAACCCGGGAGGCAGGGGTTGCAGTGAGCCAAGACGGCGCCACCGCACTCCAGCCTGGGTGACAGAGCGAGACTCCATCTCAAAAAAAGAAAAAAAAGTCAGGCTGAGGCAGGTGGTTTGCTTGAGTCCAGGGATTTAAGACCAGTCTAGACAACAGGGTGAAAACCCATCTCTATTTAAAAATAATAAAAATATAAAAATTTTTAAAAAGGCCAGGTGTGGCGGCTCACGCCTGTAATCCCAGCACTTTGGGAGGCCAATACAGGAAGATCACTTGAGTTCAGGAGTTTAAGACCAGCCTGGCCAACATGGTGAAACCCCGTCTCTATTAAAAATACAAAAACTAGCCAGGCGAGGTGGTAGGCACCTGCAATCCCAGCTACTTGGGAGGCCGAGGCAGGAGAATCACTTCATCTCGGGAGGCAGAGGTTGCAGTGAGCCAAGATCTCACCACTGCACTCCAGCCTGGGCAACAGAGCAAGATTCCGTCTCAAGGAAGAAAAAAAAAAAAAAGTCAGCTGGATGTGGTGGCTCACGCCTGTAATCCCAGCACTTTGGAGTCCAAGGTGAGAGGACTGCTTGAGCTCAGGAGTTTGAGGCCAGCCTGAGTAACAAATAAGACCTCATCATTACTTAAAAAGGAAAAGAAGAAGCCACCACAGTCAACACACTCACCAACTGCTCACCCTCTTGGGTAACCAAGGAAGTGCAAATTGAAATCACAACACGATGCTATTTTACATTCATTACATTGACAAAAATTTTACAAGTAGGATGGTCCCAAGTGGTGGTGAGGATGAGAAACGAGGTGGTGAGGACAAGAAACAACAGAAATGCTGTGAGCACTGACATTGGGTACAAGCCGATGCATGGCCTAGACAGGTGGGCATGAAGACTCAGTGCAGACTGGCCTTGTGGCTGCACACCTGTGTGGTCCCATGGGGCCTGCACCTGGTTTAATGTGATGCTGCTGCTGTACAGAAATCCCTGATATTTTATCAAGGAACTCTTTTTTTTTTTTTTTTTTTTTTGGAGACGGAGTCTTGCTCTGTCGCCCAGGCTGGAGTGCAGTGGCGTGATCTCGGCTCACTGCAACCTCTGCCTCCTGGGTTCAAGCAACTCTCCTGCCTCAGCCTCCTATGTAGCTGGGACTACAGGCGCACGCTGCCACGCCCGGCTAATTTTTTGTATTTTAGAAGAGACGGGGTTTCACCGTGTTGCCCAGGCTGGTTTTGAACTCCTCAGCTCAGGCAATCCGCCTTCCTCGGCCTCCCAAAGTGCTAGGATTATAGATGTGAGCCATCATGCCCAGTGAGCTCATATATATATATTGCTCATATATATATATATAGCTCATATATATATATTGCTCATATATATATAGCTCATATATATATATATATATAGCCCATATATATATATAGTGTGTGTGTGTGTGTGTGTGTGTGTGTGTGTTTTGAGATGGAGTCTTGCTCTGTTGCCCAGGATGGAGTGCAATGGCACGATCTTGGCTCCCTGCAATCTCCGCCTCCTGGGTTCAAGCAATTCTCTGCCTCAGCCTCCGGAGTAGCTGGAATTACAGGTGCCTGCCACCACGCCCAGCTATTTTTTTTTGTATTTTTAGTAGAGATGGGTTCATCATCTTGGCCAGGCTGGTCTTGAACTCCTGACCCGGTGATCTACCCGCCTTGGCCTCCCAAAGTGCTTGGATTACAGGCATGAGCCATTGTGCCCAGATGAGCTCATATTTTAATTTGTAAATTAATTTTAACTATTTTGTTTTATTTTATTTTATTTGAGACAGAGTCTCATTCTGTCACCCAGGCTGGAGTGCAGTGGCGTGATCTTGGCTCACTGCAGCCTCCATCTCCTGGGTTCAAGCAATTCTCCTGCCTCAGCCTCCCGAGTAGCTGGGATTACAGGCACGTGCCCACTACCTCGCCTGGCTAGTTTTTGCATTTTTAGTAGAGACGGGGTCTTGCCATGTTGGCCAGGCTAGTCGCAAACTCCTGACCTCGTGATCTGCCCACCTCGGCCTCCCAAAGTGCTGGGATTACAGGCGTGAGCCACTGCGCCCAGCCCTAAACATTGGGCCAATTGTGGTGGCTCATGCCTGCAATCCCAGCACTTTGGGAGGCCTGGGCAGGCAGATCATGAGGTCAGGAGTTCAAGACCAGCCTGGCCAACATAGTGAAACCCCGTCTCTACTAAAAATACAAAAAATTATCAGGGTGTGGTGGCGGGCGCCTGTAATCCCAGCTACTCGGGAGGCTGAAGCAGGAGAATCGCTTGAACCTGGGAGACGTAGCTGAGATGGCGCCATTGCACTCTAGCCTGGGTGAGACAGCAAGACTATGTCTCAAAATAAATAAATAAATAAATTTAAAAAATGTTTAGGTCAGGTGCAGTGGCTCTCATGCCTGTAATCCCAACACTTTGGGAGGCTGAGGCAGGCGGATCACTTGAGGCCAGGAGTTCAAGACTACCTTGGGCAACATGGTGAAACCTCATCTCTACAAAAAAGTAAAAAAATTAGCCATGCATAGTGGTGTGCACCTGTAGTCCCAGTTACTTGGGTGGCTTAGGTGGGAGGCCAGATTGAACCCAGGAGGTCGAGGCTCCAGCGAGCCAACTGGACTCCAACCTGGGCAAGAGAGTGAGATCCCACTTGTAAAACAAAAAACAAACAAAAGACCAGGTGCAGTGGCTCATGCCTATAATCCCAGCACTTTGGGAGGCTGAGGCAGATGGATCACTTGAGGTCAGGAGTTTGAGACCAGCCTGGCCAACATGGTAAAATGCCGTCTCTACTAAAAACACAAAAATTAGTGGGGCATGGTGGCAGGCGCCTGTAATCCCAGCTACTTGGGAGGCTGAGGCAAGAGGATCTCTTGAATCCAGGAGGCAGAGGTTGCAGTAAACTGAGAACGTGCCATTGCACTCCAGCCTAGGAGACAGAGTGAGACACCATCTCGAAAAAACAAACAAACAAAAAAACGAACAACAAAAAAAAGGAAAAATTAGAATAAAAATGTAAAATTTAATTAAATTTTAATGCAATTAATTTAATTTTAATTTACAAATTGCATAGCCTGCTCTGCCCAGCATTTTCACTTCTTGGTGTATACCCTAGAGAAACTCCTGTGCATGGAAACCAGGAGACCCGACAAGAATGTTTATGGCAGCTCTGTTTCTGCAAAGATCCAGAAACCCACACAGCATGGATGAATTCGAGAAACATATGCTAAGTGACACAAACATGAAGTATAAGAAAGCAGACAGTAAAATGTCATTTTCAGAAAGTTAAAAGATAAGCAAAACTATACAGCAGTGTGTAGGGATATAGACATAGTGGTAAATCTATGAGGATGATTCTAACATTTAGGATACTGGTTAGAGGGTGAGTGGTGGGGGCGGCCGAGGGTGAAGTCTAGAAGGATCTTCTTATTATGGGCAAAGTTGTTTTGATGTTGGCTGGTGGGTCTGTTTCACTGTTAGGCTTTGGAGCTGATCTGGACATCAATTCTCAAGGTGTTGATGTCAAAGGCTTTGTGTTTTAAAAATGGAAGAAAGCCAGGCGTGGTGGCTCACGCCTGTAATCCCAGCACGTTTGGAGGCCGAGGTGGGCAGACTGCCTGAGCTCAGGAGTGAGTTTGAGACCAGCTTAAGCAACATGGTGAAACCCCATCTCTACTAAAGTACAAAAAATTAGCCAGGCATGGTGCTCCACGCCTGTAGTCCCAGCTACTTGGGAGGCTGAGGCGAGAGAATCGCTTGAACCTCGGAGGCAGAGGTTGCAGTGAGCTGAGACCGCGCCACTGCACTCCAGCCTGGGTGACAGAGCGAGACTCTCTCTCTCAAAAAAAAAAAAAAAGAAAAAAAAAAGGAAGAAGATTTTTGTCTTCCATTTACTGAAATAAAACAGCACCTGATGAACTGCTCATATAGGATTGTCAGGGCTTGATATCTGTGTCCTTATAGACACATACGGTGTAAGAAACTTCCACTATTTTTTTCTAAATGTCTGCCTACAAACTTTTCTTGGTGCAAAAATCTTTCACTTACTGAAAGAAAACAGACCATGATAAGCTGTTCAGAAAAGTCTGCTACATTGTTGGGATCAGGCATTGAGATGGCAGGGAGGGAGTGGGCCCCAGAGGCAGGCCTTTGAGCCTCCTGGGGCTGGGCAGTGAGTGAGGAAGAGGTCCCCTGACTATGGCCACAGTGACTGCCTAGGACAGTGGTCCAAGGAGAGGCCTGCCTGTGATGGGGCTTTGGTGCCACCATGGCTCCCTGTGCTGCTCCTGGAGCTAACACATCTGGCCAGGACCCTCTATGGGGGTAGGACAAATCCTCAGGGCTGGCTCTCGAGGGCTTGTGCCCACTTCTTGGCTGTGGGAGGCCCAGATGTCCAGAACACCGATGTCCAAGTCCCAGGAAGCAGATCCAAGACAGCTTTGTGTATGGAGCCCCCCAGCTGAGGTCCTGTCCTCAACTGGTTCAGAGCCTGGCTCCACCCAAGACCAGCCACCTGTTCTCAAGACCAGGTGAGAACAGGAGGGATCTGCAGGACCACAACGCAGCTGGGATCCAGGGACCTTCTGAGGGAAATCTGGGGCAGGCCAGTCATCAGCCCTCCCAGCCAGGATTCTTGCCTCTGTTTCCCTGGCTCTGCCTCACGTCACCTCTTGCCTGGGGGACCTTGGTTTTGGGCTCCCTTCCACCAGCTGAAGCCTCCATTTGGTGGGTGTGAGGCCCAGTCCTAACCCCCCAGCTCCCCACCCCTTCCCCAGGCAGACTCTGGCCTCAGCTGTCTGTGCTAGACTTAGCTCCAGGTTTGGCCCCCTCCTGACTGAGGGGTTGGCTCACACCCCTTTCACCTCCATCCCCACCCCCACTTGCCACACTGTGGCCTGCTCCCATGGGTGAACCCCCTGTAGGTGCCAGGCAGCTCCAGCCCGTCTGCCTGCCTGTGCACCCTCAGTCCCTTGGGCCTCCCCCCCCCCCACCCAGAGGTCCTGAGAGAGGGTGCTCTCCGGGATCAGCTCTGTGAAAGTGAGGGGCAGACAGAGAGCACTGAGCCACTATCTGGCTGTGAAGATGAGTTTCAGACACATAAGCCAGTTCACCAGAGAACAGTCAAGACAGCAGATACTTAGGAAGGAAATCCTGCTGGGAGCTTCAGAGGAGCAGGGGTGTGGGGAGGAGGACATGGATGCTTGAGTAGGTGTGGTGGGCGGCCCAGGGCCTGGTCCCAGCTCTTGCATCCGGGGCTAGTTCCCCTGCTTCCCTAAGGATGCCCCCTCTGTGACACAGTGGACACAGATAAAGCTGTCTTTTGGCTAGGCGCGGTTGCTCACGCCTGTAATCCCAGTACTTTGGGAGGCTGAGGCGGGTGGATCACAAGGTCAAGAAATCAAGACCATCCTGGCCAACATGGTGAAACCCTATCTCTACACAAAAATTAGCTGGGCGTGGTGGTGTGCACCCGTAGTCCCAGCTACTCAGAAGGCTAAGGCAGGGGAATCGCTTGAACCCAGGAGGTGGAGGTTGTAGTGAGCCAAGATCGCACCACTGCACTCCAGCCTGGAGACAGAACAAGACTTCTCTCAAAAAAAAAAAAAAAGCTGCTTTTCTGGCGCTGGTCCTGGAGAGTTGGAGGCTGCAGCCCTGGGCAGCAGGCACTGCCGGGAGCCGGGGGAGGGGACTGAGAGCTCTCTCAGGTGGCTTGGGAAGGACCAGGAGAAAATGCACAGACAAGGCTACAGACAGGAGAGAGGAGGCCTGCAGGCAAAGTGGGAGTGGGGAAGGCACCGGGCTCAGGCAGCCCTAGGACAGCTGCTCCCATGCGCCCACAAGCCTGAGGGCCTCCCCCACATTCTACGGAGAAGTTCAGGGCAGCACTTTTGGCCGTGGCTGGGCAGTGTCTGCGGGGAGGCATTTCTGATGTTTGTGTGCCCTTGAAGCCTGAGCTCAGCCAGGAGCACAAGGGCGAGTTTCCCGGCCCCTGCTGCCTTGCTTTCTCTTGATTGAGAAAGGAACCAAAGATCAAAAGGCAGTGAAGAATTGGGGACTCTGAGAAGGGTGACTTTCCAAGGCTTGGACCCCTTAGCAGCTTTGCGGCCTAGGGGCACTTGACCCCTGTGTGATAAGCCGAATCCTCTTTGTCTTAGGTGGGGAATTGGTAGCTGGCTCATCCCTTGCCCCAGCACCTGCAGCAGCGTGGCAAACACTTGGCCAACATGCGCTGAAGGACTGGTCGACAGAGTCCCACGACTGGCTGCTTCAATACTGACCCCCTGAGGGCACTGAGAAGGCTCTGAAGCCGTCTCCAAGAGCAGTTTCATGTGTGCTAGGAGCTGCAGCCACATGGGACTGGGCCTGTGCGTGCTATCCTGGGGCTTCAGGGGGAACCAGCCCTCCAGCCTGCTAAGCGACCAGCAGCAACGCTCGGGCCAAGGCCCTGCATTTTGCTGCTGGCCGTCCTTGGGTGGGTGAGGCTACAGAGGTCTGGACTGGAGGTTGTGGTTGGGGGCCACAGGTCTAGAGCAAAGGGAGGCAGGTGGGCGGGCCTTGTGGGGGGTTCCCTAAAATCCATCAGGTGTGGTGGTCCTGAGGTGAGTTTCTGATATCTGTCCAAGCAGCCATCAGGGGCCAGTCCCTTCCACCAGGAACAGTGAGGCTTGCCCACCACCGAAGCGCTGCTCCCCACCCCCTCAGCCTCGCTCCCCCACCTAGTGCAGCCACCACTGCCATTCCTAGTTCTCTACCAGGACCCCAGGGCTTAGCACTGCCCACCCCTGCTGCTGGTGGATCTCTCCAGGTCTTCTGTTAAGGCATTTTTATCTTTTTTTTCCCTTAAAATTCCCATGACAGATTACATAAAAGCATTTTTAAAGCATGTTCACCGTACTAAAAAAAATTAGGATTTAGAAGAAAACCTAAAGGGGGGAGGAAAAAACCCCCTATAACCCTGCCCCTCAGGGAGCACCAGCAGTGAACCTGCAGTGGATTCACTTCTGGGCGGCAGCCGAGCTCCCATGTGGGACAAGTGCCATGCAGGCTTCGAGGATGGCGGAGCGGGGTGGCGGGAGCAGGGGGCAGAAGAAAGGCTCAGTGCTTTGTTCTTTTTTTGAGACAAGGTCTTGCTCTGTCACCCAGGATGGAGTGCAGTGGCGCAATCCTAGCTCACTGCAGCCTCAAGCTCCTCAAACTTAAGCGATCCTCCTGCCTCAGCCTCCTAAGTAGCTGGGACTACAGGCTTGTGCCATCATACTGGGGCTAATTTTTTGATTATCTGTAGAGATGGGGGTCTCCCTATGTTGCCCAGGCTGGTCTCAAACTCCTGAGCGCAAGAGATCCTCCCACCTCAGCCTCCCAAAGTGCTGGGATTACAGGTGTGCGCCACCACACCTGGCCTCAGGAGGTGCCAGGAGGGTATAAATGGTGGGCCTCAAGAGCGTCATGTCAGAGGGTCTCCATCCTCAGGATGGAACCTCCTGGGGCACATCAGGCTCCTGGATAAAATGAGGGGTCCTCAATGCTCCTGTGGCTCCCCAATGTCATGTGAGGTCCCAGGGGCTTAATCCCTTTCCTGTCACCTTCCTGCTGCTGGTGGGGGTGGGCTCAGAGCCCCTCAGGGAGGAAAATCAGGTTGCTGGCTAGACCAGGAGGGTGTAGGCCACCAGGGCTCTCTCCAGAATTTGTCTGCTCGCTTCGCAAGATTTGCAGATGGTCCCCAATATTAAAGCAGCTTCCAAACACATCTGGACATCAAAGGGGACAAGATGCTCAGAAGTCAGGAAGAAGGCAGGACTCGGGCGACAGAGTTCAGAACTTGTGGTTTATTGACACTTCTGCATGGTGGGTCCTTGGGAGACTGCCTTTCTGGCATCTTGGGACTTGTCCCTAAGAATAGGGAAGACAGTCATCCTGTCCTGGAGCAAAGCTCCCCCTTGCACAGGAACACAACTCCCATGCAGGAGAAGCCCACCGAGACGAACGCAGATAAACCCTTCGCAAGGCCTGCACTGCACCGGAATGGCAGAGCTCCGTGCATTTGGCAAAGCTATGGAGCCTTGGCAGAATGCACAGGACTCTGGGGGCTGCCCCCCTTGAGCTACAGAGGCAGAATCGAACCAAAAACACTGCTTCCTTTAACACAGCCCAACTGGCTTACATTTAGCTTGGGACGAGGCTAGGCCTAAGAAGGGCCAGAGCTGTCCTCCCAGCCCTGGGAACACGGCTGAGACGGCCCGGTGCCCACGCTGGGCTCACCATAGGAGAGGAGAGGAGAGGGAGGGGGCCCCATACTGGCCCTGCCGTCTGCACCCCGTCCCTTTCCCCACTAAACACACCCATTTCCTATCCTGGGTTCTGAGGCTGGGACTGCCTCTGGGATTCTGAGGGACTGCCCTCCACCCCTGCAGGCCTGGGCTCAGAGTCAGCCACACCTGTAAGGCAGGCCCTGCTTCCCCAGCTTTTGTATTCCATATACGGTGCTGGCATGTGGAGCTCCATTCTTCTCCAGCCCACTTAATTTTAAGAATAGACACTAATAAGACTTAACCACCCCAACCTGCTGGCAGCAGGAGGGCCCCTGTGTGCTGGCAGCATCTCCCCAGGACACGCCGGCTCACCTGCACCCACAGCGTTCTAGGAGGTCGCGGCCTCTGCAGACTCAGTGCAACCCCTGGGCCTTACAAAAGGGACACTCAGAGGTGCACTGCCTGCTCAGCTCACACAAGGAACAAGTGGAGAGCTGGGCTGGAGAAAGGATTACAATTTACAGACCAGTGTCCCTGGCTAGGGGCCCTCATGGGACTGTGGCTGGAAGAGAAGGTCGCCCCGGAGGTTGGAGGCTGAAGACACCTGGTGCTTCTTGGTGCAGTCCTGGTCAAGATGGAAGAGCGCTCCTCTGTGCCCAGCTGCTGTGCAGGGGTGGACGAGGGCTCCCTCGGCCCCAAGGCAAGGGCGGAGCAGCTCCCAGTGCTGGCACCAGACCTCTGCCAGGCACGGGGCATGGCCATCCTCTGGGGTCCTGGCTCAGGGGTGGGGAGCGGCAGTGCTGGGACAAGCCTGGGGAAAGGGTTTCCCATACACTGAGGCTGCGAGATCTTCCAGTGGAGCCTCAGGCTAGGGTATGAATCAGACCACCAGGTGATAGGAGCCAAACCTCCACATGGTGAAACTTCACTCTCGGCAGCCAGGAACAGAATTATTAGCAAAGAAAAGAGAAAAGCAGATGCCAATCATTCTCTCTCTTCGTCAAGGTTATGCCCACGGGCAGGGTGGGCTAGTGGTGAGGGTGGAGCTGCGTCCCTGACCCCCAGAAGGAGACAGCAGGCCTTCAAGTTAAGCCAAGCAATACTTGGTCATTGTTTGTGGCCAACCATTCTCTGAATGTCTGAATGACAGCGACTATGTTTAAGGTTTTTTTTTGTAAATAAGAGACCTTAAGCAATGCATTGACTGCATGGTCTCAACCTCATCTGTGCTGTGAGAATGAGGGGTAAGGCTGGGCATGCAGGTAGGGCCCCAGCAAAGCTGGCTCCCCGCTCCCTGTGGGACAGAGGGCTCCCACCGGGAAGGCGGCTCTAGCGTGCCTCCTCGGCGAGCTGAGAGGAGGCCAAGGTGCTTGGGGCACAGCTGTGCAAACCTTCCTGGGGCTCTCGCTGTCTGCAGGTGGACTCTGAATGCCTTCATGGGGACCACACAGCCCAGCTTCCTCCCTTTCTCCTCTCCTCCCCCTGCACTGCTCTGACCTGCCTGGAGCAGCCCTGCCCACCTCCAGCTCAGCCCTTCCTGTGGCTTGGCCCTGCAGATGGCCTCTGAGTCCTCCCCTAGCCCCCTGCCCTCTTCCCTCTACCCGACACCCTCCCCCAGCCTTGCCACTTTCAACTTTGCACGCCCTCAGTGAGCTCCCTGAGGCACCCAGGATCGGTCACTTGTGAGCCCCCTCTCAGGGTGCACTAGGGGACGTGGAGCTCTCATGCCTGTTCAGGGCATGGGGCAGAGCAAGGCAGGCGTGCTGCCAGCCACCGCGGCAAGGTGAGGGGCTGTGGCCTGTGCCATGGACTCCCAGCAGCATCCCTGCTGCCTCCAGACTGAGACAGAGACCCACGGGCTGCCTCTGTGCTTGCCTGAGCCTCTTAATTAAGAGTCTTTCCCAATGAGACCAATTTGATTACAAATTCACAAGATATTTGGGAATGTTCCAATCACACAGCAGCAAGGTCCCTCTGCCTGGGATCCAGCCAGGCCCAAGGGGGTGGGAATGCAGGCAGATGGGCCAAGGTCACCCGGGATGCCCAGAGCCCCGCTGTCGGGCCCAGGCACCACTACGTGGCAGTCGCAGCTCCTGCCAGTCACCTGGGCAGCGGGGGGAGGGGAGAACCTTGGGGGTGTTCAGCATCACAAAGAGGCGGAAAACTCTTCCAGAAAGATCTCACCAAAATCATGCCTCCCTAACAAAACAAATCCTGCTTTTCTAAAAACCTCAATGGGCCTATCCGAGCCCACTGCAGTCCTAGTTTCTTCAAAGCTGTGTAAGGCACTTGAATGGCTTATTAACACCACCTGGAAAAGTTCCTGTTTCAATCCTGATTTAGAAAATAAATTCAATAATACTGCAAAAAAAGGTTCCTTGAAAAATAGCTTTAAAAAAGTAAATACTTAAGTTTTCTAAAGAATAAAATAAATGCTAAGCTCTGCTTAAATTATATGACACAACAGGTCATCTTGGCACTGATAAAACAAAGAGAAAACCTGGAATACTGCTTCGGAATTAGACCTCCCTGGAAAAAAACAAACACACCAACAAAAGACACATGTGCGTCGCCGGTTCCGGGCTCAGGGAAGAGAGCAGCCCGGAAGGCCCTGGTGGGCCCAAGCACATCATGGCTGCCCTGGAGTGGGGGCAGGGGGGTGGCTGCTACAGAACAGACCCCTGGCTCTGCTGCGCTCTCCTCTTTGGGACACTGGTGTGGCCGACCAGGACTGGCTGGGCATATCTGTAAATATGAACCCACCTGGCCCTGGCCGCAGAGAGGAGCAATGGGAAACTGGGGCTGGCCACTCCGCTGCTGGGCCTGACCCAGGGGGTGCTTCAAGAGTTTGGCTCCTGGGTCCGCCCCAGGGTCCCACGTGCACAACCATGCTGCCCCATGCACACCAGTGTCTTTGGTTTGGCTGCCGTTGGGCACCTATGACCTCTGGTCCCACCCCGGGCCTAATAGGAGCTGGGAGCAAGAGCCGGTCCATCTTCTCTTTGGTGAGGTCTCCTAAGCTGCCTTCCACCATCTGCCCGCCACCCAGTGCAGTTCCACAGCCACCAGGACGGGCTGCGGGGGGTGTCCCGACTGGCTCTGGGGTGCTGGGGAAAGCACTGTGGGGCGGGCACCCTGTCCACTGCCTGCCACCTGTTGGGTCCTGAGGCTTCTGAGGGAGAGAAGGACAAGGATGGGAGGAAGGGGAGGGCAGGGGCCTGGAAACCACCTAGCTTCTTGGTGGAGCCTGGGTCTCAGGTTCTGGAAGGCTGGAGGGCAAGTCCTGCCTCCTCCCTTCTGCCTGGGGGTCCCCTTCTCCCTGGTTCCCGCCCTCCAGCAGCTCTTGGGGGTCCCTGAGGAAGACCACCATGACCGTGATGTTGTCGTGGGAGCCCCGCTCCCGGGCCGCAGCCACCAGCTCCTCGGCGACACGGAGCCCGCTGCCCTGCTGCCTGGTCAGGTGGCTCTGGACCAGGCCAACAACTTCCTGGTGGGGTACGACGTCAAAGAAGCCATCACAGGCAAGCAGCAGGTAGTCCTCGGAGCCCGTCAGCGCCCGGGAAGCTGCATCGGCCTCCCCAGACACGTAGGGCTTCTGGAAGACATCCCCTGGACAGGCGGAGAAGAGCCCGGGTCAGAGGACCACGGTGTCCACAGCTTCCTCCCCACCTACCCAGGCCTAGACCTCACATCCTGCAGGGACAGAGACCAACCTGCTCTCATGGGGTCTGGGGTCTGTTGCTCCCTTATGCAAACTGCCCAGTACTTCCCACTTGCCTGGGAACGGAAACCCCTGACCTTGGCCTGTGAGCTCCCCCTTTTTTTCTTTTTTCTTTTTTGAGATGGAGTCTTGCTCTGTCGCCAGGCTGCAGTGGCGCGATCTCAGCTCACTGCAACCTCTGCCTCCTGGGTTCAAGCGATTCCCCTGCCTCAGCCTCCCGAGTAGCTGGGATTACAGGCTCGCGCCACCATGCCCAGCTAATTGTTTTTTTTTTTTTTTGTATTTTAGTAGAGATGGGGTTTCACCATGTTGGCCAAGATGGTCTCGATCTCTTGACCTTGTGATCTGCCCACCTCAGCCTCCCAAAGTGCTGGGATTACAGGCATGAGCCACCACACCAGGCCGAGCTCCCTCTTTCTCTGCCCTAGCCGTCCCATCCTGGCCTCACTTCCTGGAGTGTCCAGAGACACAAGGAAAGACACAGCCTGAGGATGGGCTGTCAAGAAGGTGCCACATCTGCCAAAAAGGACAGAATGTTTCAGAGGGGTAGGTGCCAAATCCCTGGCAATCAGCTGGGGAGGGAGAGATTTTCTAAGTACCAGGAAGGAGGTGTGGTCACAGTGCCCACAGCCTGAGACCCGGCACTGACCGCATGCTGAGACAATGAGATGCAGGCTGGACCCACTTTTTTTTTTTTTTTTGAGATGGAGTTTCGCTCTTGTCGCCCAGGCTGCAGTGCAATGGTGCAATCTTGGCTCACCGCAACCTCCACCTCCAGGGTTCAGGTGATCCTGCTGCCTCAGCATCCCAAGTAGCTGCGATTACAGGCAGGCACCACCACGCCCGGCTAATGTTTTTTGTATTTTTAGTAGAGATGGGGTTTCACCATGTTGGTCAGGCTGGTCTCGAACTCCTGACCTCAGGTGATCCACCCGCCTTGGCCTCCCAAAGTGCTGGGATTACAGGCGTGAGCCACCGCGCCCAGCTACTTTTTTTTTTTTTTTTGAGACACAGTCTGGCTCTGTTGCCCAGGCTGGAGTGCAGTGGCACGATCTCCGCTTACTGTAACCTCCGCCTCTGGGTTCAAGCACTTCTCCTCCCTCAGCCTCCCAAGTAACTGAGATTACAGGCGCGTGCCACCACACCTGGCTAACTTTGTATTTTTTGTAGAGAAGGGGTTTCACCATGTTGGCCAGGCTGGTCTCGAACTCCCGATCTCAGGTGATCCGCCCACCTTGGCCTCCCAAAGTGCTGGGATTACAGGCGTGAGCCAGCATGCCCAGCCAGACCCATTACTTTTTAAAATTTTTATTTATTTTTATTATTATTTTTTGAGACAGAGTTTTCCTCGTTATCCAGGCTGGAGTGGAGTGGCGCGATCTCAGCTCACTGCAACCTCCGCCTTCTGGGTTCAAGTGATTCTCCTGCCTCAGCCTTCTGAATAGCTGGAATTACAGGGGCTCACTACCATGCCTGGCTAATTTTTTGTATTTTTTTTTTAGTAGACATGGGGTTTCATCAGGCTGGTCTCGAACTCCCGACCTCAGGTGATCCACCCACCTCGGCCTCCCAAAGTGCTGGGATTACAGGCGTGAGCCACCGCGCCCAGCGAACCCACTTTTTTCCCAAAAGAGAAAAAAGGATTGTCAGCATGAACGCGGGAGGAGGATAAACCTCATTTCCGGAATATTGGAAGCTCTACTTCCAGCCCATAGGGTGGTGAGCCACAGGTTTCTATGAGATTTGTAGGAGCTGTTTTAGGTGAGATAATAACATACAGTGTAACTTACACTCAGACACTGGTGCTGCAGTCTCTGAATCTGCCCTGTTCCCTTCACACTACGAGGGTATCACCCCAGTGCATGACAAATCCCCCTCGGCCCATCACACTGCCTCCCTGAACCCCTGGTGAGCCGCGGGCCACACTCGAGGCCTGGGCTTCCGAGAGACCTTCTCCCACTTGGGTCGGCCTCTTTGGCTCTCACCGATGGCTCTGGAGACGGCCAGGGTCCCGTTGACTCTCCAGCAGTCCATGTGAGACACAAAGCCACCCAATGCTTCAATGCGCGCCTTCTCATCCTGCAGAAACACAGCCAGAGTTGGGGGCAGGGCCGGGGGGATGGGGCGTGAAGCCCCCTGCTGCTACCTGAGCAGAGGCACAGCTGCTTCTAAGACAGCAGCATTCAAAGCCGCAGCACTGGAACAAAGCCAGGAGGCTCAGAGATGCACCCAAACGAGGCTCATCAAAAACAGTGAGAAATTATACACAACCCACAAGTCCTTTAGTTGCAGGAATGGTGAAATGAACGGACCACCTGAGGCCGCCTAGCGGTGCCTGCGCCCCTGGGCAGCATTCTGGGTCAGGGAGGCACTCACGAGGCTTGCGAGCCCGACACAGACAGCAGATCCTTCTGCTTCCCTGTCTCTAGCTCGGGGACACCGTCTCTGCCCTGAAAGCTGCTGGGCCAAGATGGAGCATGTGACGTGAGTGGTCACACAGCAGGGAAGCCTGAGCGAGGCCCTGACGGCAGCCTGTGCCCGCCCAGTTCTTTTTTTTTTTTTTTTTTGAGACAGAGTCTCGCTCTGTCACCTGGCTGGAGTGAAGTGGCACGATCTTGGCTCACTACAACCTCTGCCTCCTGGGTTCAAGTGATTCTCCTGCCTCAGCCTCCTGAGTAGCTGTGACTACAGGGGCGTGCCACCATGCCCAGCTAATTTTTTTGTGTTTTTAATGGAGACAGGGTTTCTCAAAGTTGGCCAGACTGGTCTCGATCTCCTGACCTCATGATCCACCCTCCTCGGCTTCCCAAAGTGCTGGGATTACAGGTGTGAGCCACCGCGCCTGGCCTAGTTCTTGTCCTCCTCTACCCAAGCTCAGCACAGGCACAGTCTCCACTCAGCTGGGGACCACAACACCCCAGGCCTGGGTTCCTCCAGGGACAGGACAGAGGCTTGGTCCACCCACAAGTCCTCTAGAAACCTCTTTGGTCCTATCAGCCTCTGCCCAAAGGAGAGGCTGCCCCGATGAGAGCCTGCTGACTGAAGCCTGCACAACAGCATCCCTGACAGAGTGACGGAGGCACCCTGGGAGTGAGGCACCTCCCAAGTCTACTGGGGGAAGAGGGCATCCCTTACCGGTTTATCAGGTAAACCTCTTGACCCCACGCAGCACCAGCCCTTCTAGTCCCCAGGCACAGCACCAGCTGGGCATGAGAACTCTGATGCCCCAGGTGATGGTGTCCCCTAGACAGATTGGGATATCAGCCAATTCCCTCCCCAGAGCAGACGGACATGCACTGCGGGAGGCCTGGGGGAGGCAGCCCTCTCCAGATGCCTGCACCAAGGACCAGGCCTCTTTATGTGGCTCCCCTGCAGAGGGCATTGTGGTGGGAATGACATGGGTTTGCAGGAGTCCCGGCCTTCCTGGGCACTGCAGCCATGAGCCTGTGTGGGAACTGGACCAGTGCCTGGTAGGCTGGGTGCTCCTGTCCCAGCTGAGGTGGAGAATCAAGCCATGAAGGGGGCAGGAACAGGGACCTCAAGGCTCTCTCTGGGTCTAAGATCTGCCACCTCCGGGGTCTGAGCAGGGCAAGGGAAAGGCAAGGAGGACCAGGAAGGAGGGAAGAGCAGGAGACAGCCAAGAAGAGGGCAGGAGAAAGGGCACGGGGAGAGGCAGGTGGATGAACACAGAGTACGCACGAATGTTCACACATACATGTGCCCACACACACGCGTGAAGGCGCCTGCAGACGGCGAGGAGCTGCAGAGGAAGCAGCGCCTCCTCCCCTGTGCCTCAGAGGCGTTCCCTGGGGAGGGGCTGTGAGCGTGGGAGGCTCCAGGGAGAATGAGGAGCCTTTCTCTGCTTCTGTCTCCCACACACCCCAGCCCACTCCAGCCCCTCAATGTCCCAGAGGCAGGAATGTGGGCAGGTGATGGAGAATGAACGGCAATCTGCTTCCCATGCCCTCTGGAGGTGGCTCTCCCCCACAGGGGGCCATGCAGGCTAAGCTTAGAACCTTCCTACCTGAAGCCCCTCCCCACCACCAGGGATGGCTGTGGGACAGGGTGGAGCCAAAGGGCAGGAGGGCACAGGGGCTGTGCTGCTCCCCTGCAGCCTGTGATCCCCTCTCCTGCCATTCTGCACCCCCTGTGCTGGACAGGCTGCGCCGGCTCCCCGGGCTCGCCCCTCTAACCCTGGCCCTGAACCTGGGTCCTCCTCCCCTCCAGTGGCTCCCACCTCCGTCACACACTGGCCAGGCTCAGTCTGGTCCGGGACTAACATATCCCCAGGCTAAGGGGTCTTGTCCCATTCCCCCTGAGTCTCCTAGTCACTGATTCTTGATTCTGTTTTTTGTTTTGTTTTTTTTTTTTTTTTTTTTTTTTTTTTGGAGACAGGGTCTTGCTTTGTTGCCAAGGCTGGAGTGCAGTGTCATGAACATAGCTCACTGCAGCCTCGACCTCTAGGGCTCAAGCCATCTCCTGCCTTCGCCTCCCGACTGCCCAGCGCCCACCCCCTCAGCAGCTCTTCCCTCTGCTCCTCAAACCTCATCCTCTCCACCTGCCTGAAACAGCTTCCCAGGTCAAAGCTGGAGCCGGTGGCCTGTGGGTTCCTGTGAACAGCCATTTCCTGCTTCCTAGGAGTGCAGTGCTCCACACGGCCAGGCCGCAGCAGCGTCGCCTATGGCACTGCCATCCTCCTGGATGCCCAAGGCCCTCTGCGATGTCTCCACCTGCAGAGCCGGGACTCCTATCTCTCCCAGGCTGCCTGCCAGGCGTGCCAGCGTGACCTGTGACCTTGAGTGACTCTCACTGCCCTCCTGAACTCACTTTTGTGACCCAGCCCTCAACTTGTCCTCCAGTGGCCTGATCACTTCAGAAGCTTCTAGTGAGTCCTTACAGAGTTCCTCCCAGCCTGGGGCAGTCCAGCTTTTCCAGCTGAAGGAGCAGCAGGTGGGTGGTCTTCTCCCCTGCCCCGAGTCTTCTACCCACTGATTCTGGGGCTTGTTTTTGTTTTTTGAAGACAGGGTCTCACTCTGTTGCCAAGGCTGGAGTGCAGTGTCATGAACATAGCTCACTGCAGCCTCAACCTCTAGGGCTCAAGCCATCCTCCTGTCTCCTGAGGCTTGAGAGGTGGGAGGATCACTTGGGGCACACCTCCACACCTGGCCCTGATTCTGGCATAACCTGCCCTTTCCTCCTGGTCTCTCCCCTGGCCTGCAGGAATTGCAACTGCCTGAGATGCGGCTCCATTCCATTCATCTCTCTGCCTCATCCTGCCAGGTCCTTGCCCTCCTCCTGCTCCCCCATTAGACTTAGAGGCAGGAAGTGGGTCCTGTGTTATCTCACTGCCTCAACAAAGTATCTTGTGCAGAGTGGGCACTCAGTGTTTGGAGGCTGAACTGAGTGCAGAGGCAGGAGACTGTTCAGACAGCCGCAGAACAAGGCAGAGCACCACGCACTCCCCCCACGTACTCCTGGAAGCTGCTCTGGGCCGCTGCTGGACCCCCGTTGAAGCTCGCCAAGTTGAGGCCAGTTTCTTGCTCTTGTAACCGACATGATGCTTGTTTTTGTGGGAGAACCTTGGCCTGGATCTGTGATTAATTCTCTAGGGTGGAAGGCTGTGATCAGGATCACAGCAGGAGGGGCCAAGCCTACAGAGCATGGCGGCAGGAAAGGGGAGGTGGGGGGCACTGGATCTGAACTCCTTGGCCCATGCGGGCTGCAGCCAAGAACACAGACACCTGTGTGTGCTTCTCTTGTGCAAGCTCTGATCTCTGTGCTCCACATGCACTGGGACACTCAATCCTTACCCCAAACCTCCAGGGACCCCTGTGTGATGGACTTGGAAGCGGTGGAGCCGGGACCAGGCAAGGCCATCTGTCCATGCTCTGCCACGACGCCATACTGCAGGACTCAGGCAGTGTTTGAACAGAGCCCCCACTGGGCTTTAATGGGGTGCTGAATGCTGAGCCTGTAGGTGTGCAGGCAGCAGGTGGGAGTGGGCCCAGCACGAATCCTGACTTGGCCACATTTCATCTGACTGCATATCCTGGGGAGGAGAGCCCACTAGGGAGCAGGTGCCAAATTCCCCCACGGTGGTGGAGGCAGGGGAGTGGCAGAGACTATCTGTGACTTTGGCGGTGTGCTCTGGGCAAGTGACTGAGCCTCAGTTTTCTCCTCTGTACAATGGGGAGAGGACGTACAGGGGGCCCATACCAGACCGTGAGCCGCAGTGAAAGGCCAAGGAATGTAGCTGCCCCTGACTGTTACAATCATCAAGTCCTGGTGTCTCTATGTGCTTTCCAAACCAGAAGCCACAAAAAGACTACTCAACTACAGAAAAACACAAAGCCTCCATGTGGCAAAAGCCCATAAACAAAAATAAAAGATGCATGGAAAAACATTTGCAAATCATCACAGACAAGGAACCAACCTCCTTCACATATACAAGGAACCTATAAACTGATAAGAAAAACAGGCAAAGGAAAAAAACAGTGTTTGCAGGAAAGGCTGTGTAAATGATCTTCAGCTTTTGAAAACACGCTCAAACTCACTCTGTAACAGAAAAGCAAACTTAACAATTGCCCCAAGACAGGCTTCTTACCTGACAGGAAGAATCCTGCAGCCTGGTGAGACTGTGGGGAAATGGACCTTCTTGGGAATGTAGTGCCAGCCCAGGCTGGCATGGCCTGAGGTGGGAAGCTTGGCAAATCTACCCAGACTGTACGTGCATCAGTTCCAACCTAGCCATCCCACTTCTGGGGATGTGTCCTACAGATATAGGTACACTTGACTCTGAGCAATTAATGCTGCACAAAGTAGGTAGAGATGCATTGTTTTTAGCACCGAAAGACTGAAAAGATCTTCATGCTCACCCACAAGGGACTGCATGATGAATGCAATGTCCGCAGCCCCAAGAAAGGATGGGTGCTCCTATGTGCTGACGTAGAATTATCCACCATGTGCATGGTTAATCAAACATAGCTGGTGGAGAACAGCACGTGGGAAAAGTGGGGTTTGAGGGATAAACAGTCATTCCATGATATCTGAATGCTCGCAATCCAACCTCAGGAGACACATGGATGAGACAGTCTTCTGAGAAGAGGTCTGAGTGGGACTGTCATCCTCATGTCCAGGTGATGACCTGAGTGCCAGGGTCCCAGGCAGCCTCTAGTCAGTACAGCCCCAAGCCAGGTTCCCTCCAGCCTCGGGGCAGCATCACCTCCCTGAGGCCTTCCTCACCCACAGCCTGTGGCCTCCTTGTCCGTGTGTATGATGGGCTCTGGTCTGCACTGGGCTGCACTGACTGCACTGGGATGCCTGTCAGTGCAGAGGGCTCTGCTCTCCCCCGGAGCTCTGGGCTCCATATAGCTGTGACCCACAGAGCTCTCAGGAAGGGCTCACGTGGGACCCCCGGCCACTCAAATCAGGCAGGGAGCCCTCCCTCTTGAAAGGTGCCAGGATTACTACTACCTGAAGTTCCCAGGCTGGGTGGGGTTCCCCTATGGGCCCAGCATGATGGAGGCCAGGAATATCCTGGGCCTGGGCGCAGGGATCCCCTTACCTGCCGTTCTGGTCTGTGTGGCTCCATCAGCTTCACCACCTGTCCCTGCTGTACCAAAATGACCTGGGAATCCCCGAGCCAGGCGACGTGCAGGGTCGCTCCTGCAATGAGCGCACACACACCTGTGGTGCCGCTCTGCAGCCGCTGCAGGGAGAGAGGGCCCATGAGAGTTGAGAGGAGGTAGGGAAGGGCAGAGGATGACACGGGGCAGGATGAAGCTTCCGGGGGTGATGAATACTTCCGTTACTGTGGTGAGGAATCCACAGGTGTATATGTGTATAAGCCAAAACTTGCCAAATTGTGGACTTCAAATATGCACCACTTACTACCTGTCAATTGTATCTCAATAAAGATGTTTATTTATTTATTTATTTATTTATTTAGAGACAGAGTCTTGCTCTGTCATTCAGGCTGGGCTGCAGTGGCACAATCTCGGCTCAGTGCAACCTCCGCCTCCCGGGTTCAAGTGATTCTCCTGCCTCAGCCTCCCAAGTAGCTAAGATTACAGGCGTACAGCACCACGCCTGGCTAATTTTTTGTGTTTTTAGTAGAGACGGGGTTTTGCCATGTTTCTTTCCCAGGCTGGTCTTGAACTCCTGAGCTCAGGCAATCTGCCTGCCTTGGCCTCCCAAAGTGCTAGGATTACAGGCGTGAGTCACTGCGCCTGGCTATTTATTTATTTAGAGGCAAAATCTTGCTCTGTCACCCAGGCTGGAGTGCAGTGGCACAGTCTCAGCTCACTGCAACTTCCATCTCCTGGGCTCAAGTGATTCTCATGCCTCAGCCTCCCAAGTAGCTGGGACTATAGGCGCGTGCCACCATACCTGGCTAATTTTTTTTTTTAATTTTTAGTAGAGGCAGGGTTTCACCATGTTGGCCAGGCTGGTCTCAAACTCCTGACCTCAAGTGATCCACCCACCTCAGCCTCCCAAAGTGCTGGGATTACAGGCATGAGCCACCGCGCCTGGCCAATTTTTGTATTTTTAGTAGAGACGAGGTTTCACCATGTTGGCCAGGCTGGTCTCGAATTCCTAACCTGAAGTGATCCGCCGGCCTCTGCCTCCCAAAGTGCCGGGATTACAGGCGTGAGCCACTGTGCCCAGCCTCAATAAAGCAGTTACGCCTGCTTCAGAGAATCCCTTTTCTACTCTGAGGCTGCCTTGAGCTCAGAGGCCTTTGTCACTTCCTGGGGCTGAGGTGAGAGGCCAGGAGTGGAGGCTTGCCTGCTTTTCACTGGGGTCCTTGCAGCTGCAGAGATTGCATGGTTTTCTATTGAGATGCAAAGCCTGGCTCTGCTAATTTCCATGAAGGTCTGTGCTCAGAGCGTGTGACAAAAGTGCACCTTTCCCCTGGTGTCTTCTCACTGGGGCGGGTCTTTTAAGCAACCTGAGCCTCAGTTTCCCAATGTCTAAAATGGGTACAATATTAGTATTCACCTCACAGGGCTACAAGGAGGACCTAGTGAAATTCTGTGGGTGAGGTTCAGAGTGGCTAAGTTCACAGAGGAGGGGCCTGATGCATTTGTATTCTTTCTTCTTTCAGAAACAAATGCCTCATCCCTGCACATGGCTATAACTCCCGAGGAAGGATTGTTCCCAGAGGACGTCGGTAGCCTGCTGAGACCCTGCCTAGAGGAGGAAGGGGAGGAAGGCAGTAGATTAATCAGGTTTTACATATTCCGCCTTTTATGATGCTTTGACAACTTGGGGCCTTGCTGGTCCTGGAGGGGCTGCCCCTTCCCAGGCCAGCTGATTCCTCGAGACAGCAAATACCTGGGGAGGATGCAGAGACGGCTCTGGCCCAGCTTCCCTCTCTTCTCTCTGCGCCCCGACTACCTCAGTGCTTTCCATGCATGGCTCTGTGAGGCGTGGCCCCTCCTCTCAGGAACTGTGAGTAGTAGACTCTTTGTTAAGGTCCTGGTCTGTGTCTGTCACCTTGCCATATCTCATTAAAACAAAATCCCAGGAACGCTTGACCACAGCTGCCTTCCCCGAGGCCAGCAGACCCTCTGCGCCAGGCAGGTCTGTGTGGCTGAGAGGCCCACCATGCTGGGTCGGGGCAGGCTTTGTGCTGCTTCCGTTCAAGTGAAAACCAAGCCCCTTTAGAAAAAATGGCAGGACCACCGGCAGTGTTTAGTGAGGACCTTCCAGCACCACCAGCCCCTTTGGCGTTTTTCCCGCTGCAGAGGCTGGGACTCTCACTGGCCTCCAAACTGCACCTGAGGCCCAGCGGCCAGTCCTCACCTCTCGCTTGGCTTTCCTGAGAAACATCTGGTCGGTGCGCCGGAAGGCTTCTCTGAGGGCTCCCTCAGGGTCTGTGGGCAGCTCTGGCTGGCGGGCAGCGTTGGTGTGCACGTGGACAGCGGCGTACCTCGCAGCATCCACGCCTCCGTGACCATCAAACACAGCAAAGTAGGCGCGGTTCACAGGGTCCTGGTGGGGATGTGGTGGGAGTCACAGACCCGCGGGACCCAGGGTGCTCCCAGTGGGGCGTGGCGCCAGGCACTGATGGGGTAGAGTCTGGGAGAATCAGTATGGCCTTCGCCCGGCTTATGTGCGTATGAGGGGGTAGGTTTGGAAAAGGACAGCTCGCGGGAGCCTCGGTTTCACCATCTGTTATGAGTTGCTACAAGCATAAAATGAGGGGCTGCCCCAGGTGGCTCCTGGTGCAGGAGTCAGGGGAACGTGGCATCCAGGCCTCCCTCATAACAGACTCACACTGTTGCCCTTCTTAGTCTCTTGCTGGGCAAGTACAGGGGCTGACGGGTGTCTCTCCTGTCTCAGCCTTGGTGGGCAGCTCTTCTCGGTACCTGGGGGGCCCCCACCCTCGCCCCGGTCCTCCGAAGCTGTCCCCAGGGTCTGGACGGGAGCACTCACAGACAAGCCGAAGAGCTGGTTGAAGGAAGGGAGGGACACGTGCCGGTCCTCCATCTTGCGGCGAGTGTTCCGGATGGCGTGGATGGAGACCAGCCACTGCCGCTGTGAGGCCCGGGCAGCCAATGGCACCTGCTTCTGCCACTGGCCGGCGACTTCCCAAAGGCGGTTAAAGAAACTCTGTGCCAGGCTTTGGGCATCCAGCACTGATGGGCACAATGGAGGGATTGTCAGGGAAGTGCCAACCAAGCCAGCTGAGGCCTCGCTGGCTCCCTGACAGCTCCCACAGGGGCCTGCAAAGCCCCCATCACCTCCCGGGGCATTGTGAGCACATCAACTCAATAACGCGCACATGGCAGCCTGTTACCAGAATTAGAAATGTCTAGTTTGGCAACTTGCCCCTTGAAGTCTCCCATCCCACCATGGAGCAACTCTACTCATGGGAACCCACCCTGAAGAAATCATCAGAAACACAAAAATAATTTTAAAGACAAAGTACAGAATCACTTATAATTGCCCATTAATTAGAAATACTATATATCCAATGACAAAGGAATAATACTTAAATTATGATCTAGTCTCGGCCAGGCGCAGTGGCTCACGCCTGTAATCCCAGCACTTTGGGAGGCCGAGGTGGGCGGATCACCCGAGGTCAGGAGTTCGAGACCAGCCTAGCCAACATGGTGAAACCCCGTCTCTACTAAAAATACACAAATTAGCCAGGCATGGTGGCGGGCGCCTGTAATCCCAGCTACTCGGGAGGCTGAGGCAGGAGAATCGCTTGAACCTGGGAGGCGGAGGTTGCAGTGAGCCGAGATCATGCCATTATGCTCCAGTCTGGGCGACAGAGCAAGACTCTGTCTCAAAAAAAAAAAAAAAAAAAAAAGATCTAGTCTCTTGATGAAGAATTAAGCTGCTATTAAATATGATTTTCATAACGAAATATGCAACTCCCATACGACCCCACCGTGGCACTCCTGTGGACTTATCCCAGAACAATGAAGGCTGTTCACATAAAAGCTTGAACACATGAACACAAATGTTCATAGCAGCTTTATCTGGAACAGCCAAAATCTGGAGTCAGCCTAGATGTCCTTCAACGTGGAAATGGTTAAACAAACCGTGGTCGACCCATACCTTTGAATACCACTCAAGAATGGCAAAGAATGAACTCCTGATGCATCAAACAACCTGGGCTAATCTCCAGAGAATTAAACCAGTCCCCTAAAGTTACACATCATATGCTTCCATTTATATGTGTTCTTGAAATAATAAAATGGTAGAAGCCGAGAAGATTAGTAGTTGCCAGTGGTTAGGGATGGGGTCTGTAGGGGTGGGGGTATAAGGGTGGCCTTAAAAGGGTGACAGGAGGGATCCTGGTGATGGAACTGCTCTGTATTTTGACCATGTTAGGATCCTGGTGGTGATATTTTATTATAGTTTTGCAAAATGTTACCATTGGAGGAAACTGGGTAAAGTATACATGGAATCTCTTTGTATTATTTATTACAACTGCATGTGCAGCTATGATTATCTCAAAACAAAAAGTTTAATTAAAAAAAACTAGCCCAGGCATAGTGGCTCATGCCTGTAATCCCAGCACTTTGAGAGGCTGAGGTGGGAGGACTGCTTGAGGTCAGGAGTTCAAGACCAGCCTGGATAACATAAAGAGACCTTGTCTCTTAAAAACAAACAGGCTGGGCGCCATGGCTCATGCCTGTAGTCCCGCGCTTTGAGAGGTAAAGGCAGGCAGATCACTTGAGGTCCGGAGTTCGAGACCACCCTGACCAACAAAGTGAAACCCCGTCTCTACTAAAAATACAAAAATTAGCTGGGCGTGCTGGCATGCACATGTAGTCCCAGCTACTTGGGAGGCTGAGGCAGGAAAATTGCTTGAATCCGGGAGGCAGAGGTTGCAGTGAGCCAAGATTGAGCCACTACACTCCAGCCTGGACAACAGAGCGAAACTCAGTCGCAAATGAACAACACCAAACCAAAAAAAATTAGCTGTGTGTGGTGGTATATCTACTCCCAGCTATTCGGGAGGCTGGGGCAGGAGGATCCCTTGAGCCAAGGACGTCGAGGTTACGGCGATCTCCGATTACACCACTGCATTCCAGTCTGGGTGACAGAGGGAGACCTGGTCTCTTAAAACAGAAAACTAAAAAATGGATTTTAATAGAGTTTATAAGCATGTAAAATGCTTCTGTCATGATACTAAGTGAAAAAAGAAGGAAAATTACATATGCAGTTTAACTACAAGTCCATGAAAAACCACCAGGGCCAGAAAAAAAAAAAGGCGGGAACAGCACACAACCAAGGTGTCAGAGTGGGCCTGCACGTGGCAGTTCCACGGACAGCTTTTTCCTGAAGTACACTTTCTTAATACTTCCCCAGTTTTTCATTACAAGTGTTAGTCTCGTGTGACAGTGGCTTTAAAGCATGTCCACAAATTCTTTGACTTCCCCTTTTGCGAGGTGGAGCTCACTTCCCACTGCTGAGTGTGGGAGCTGGCTGCTTCTGATGAAGAGTGGCAGTGACTGCGTGTGCTTCAGGTGTTACGAAACAAAGAGGCCCTGCGCCTCCCGCCTTGTGTATTCTCACTCTCTTCCTCCCTCCCTCTCATCGCTCAATCTGAGCTGTGAGGATGCTCAAGCAGCGCCACGGAGAGTCCACATGGGACGGGACCAGGGCCTCCTGTCAGTGGCCGTGTGTTGAAACCACCGTGGAAGCAGGCCCTCCAGCCCAGCCAGCAACCATGTCACCACAACCCAGTAAGAGACCCTGGACCAGAACCAGCTAAGCTGCTCCCAGATTCCAGACCCACAGAAACTGGGAGAATAAATGTCTGTTGTTTTAAGCCACTACATTTGGGGCAATTTGTTATGTAGCAACAAATAATATAAGCCACAATACTCATTTGAAAAGAAAAAATACCCAAATCCTACCTAAGCTTGGCTTCTCAAGAAAAGATCAACCAGTAACAGGCCCAAAGGAAACCATGGGGGCTCTGGCTTCAGGGACTCATGTCACTTCAATGCACAAACTCTCCTGGAACTCCTGCCAGCCCAGGTGCATGTGGCAAGCATGGTGAATCAGGGCCAGTCAGCCGAGGGCAGGAGTTGAGTGTCACAGGCCACACCCAAAGGACATGGGGAACTGAGAGGAGGAAAGAGCTCCTGCCTAAAGGCGGAGGCTGTGGAAGAAAAGGAGAAGGGCTGAGGCCAGAGGGGGCCACCGAGGAAGAACCATGAACGCGAGGGCTTATGCACGCAGGAGGTCACAGAAAGACAGGTTCTTGGGAATCCATGCATCAAGGCAGGGGTGGGGGCATCCAGAGCCAGCTGCTGCCGCCATGGCCAACACAGGGGCCTATTCAAGCATTTGGCAAGAACTGGGGACTGGCAAGGCTATGGGTGAAGGAGGGGCCTGAGAACTCATTCAGGCAGGCCCAGCTCAGGGAAGGCAGCTCCACACAAGTTTGGCCAGTGGATCCCCTGCAAACCAGCAGGAAACCCCCCTCGTCCTGCCAGTCCTTGTAGCGCTGCCTCCTCTTCCTCTCGTCTGAGGGCCACTGTGCCCAGAAAACTGCCCCTAAATGCCATGGACTCCTCCTCACTCCCTCTGGAAACTGTGGGCTCCTGGTGCTTACCAGGCCTGAGCTCGGGCTGGGGGAGACTCCGGCCGCCGCTGTGGCTCACGGTCTCGCCCCGGGTGCTACTGCTATTTCCAACAGCCGCTTAGCCTAGACTCTGCTCAGGAAAGGCCAGCGGCTGAGGCAGTGCTGCCCAGCCCACGGACTCCCCATGCCAAGGGCTGCAGCCCCGCAACCTCGCTTCTGGATTCTTCGCTGATCCAGTCACCGGGGAGGGGCTGACTGGCAGCCACACAGAGGTTTCAGCCACTCGCTGCTCTTCAGTGGCAATTCTTATAATACAATCCCCACTCTGACGCAATTTTGTAAGAATGGCTTGGAGTCCAAAAACTTGACTACATTCTACTTCCGTGACAGGGAGAGCATGATCAAGGCCGCTAGGCAGGCCTGCATGCGAGGCACTCTGACAGACGGGGAAGCAAGGGCAGGCGAGACTTCCTTCTAGCTGCGCCCTCCCTCCTTCCCAGGCCTGCAGGAGCCCCGAGCGTAGGACTGGGCTGGTGCCGGCGCAGCAACGCTCCTTCTCACCGGCAGGTGGCGCTGTCTCCCGCGTGGACGGACAGAGACCCATCAGGCGGGGAGGGCCTGGGCGGTGGCGGCGCCCCCTTGGTGGGGCCGCAGAGCGGAGGAGCAGCAGCTGCCACCGGCCGGAAGCCTGCTGGCTCGGCCGAGAACAATGGCCGCCTGTCACTGTGGACAGCTGTCTCCCAGGCTAAGGCAAGGCTGCGCTCCCAGGGAATGCGGGCAGGGAGCCAGGGCGGAGGGCAGAGGACGAGAGCGAGGAGGAGAGCGCGGGCACCCACTGATGCTGGCGGCCTCGGGTATTCGCTTTCTCTCTCTTCTCCCACCTTGTTCCTTTTCCCCGGATGCACGCATGCACTAGTAATGCCGAATTTAGAACAACAGGGAAAGGAAAGGAAATGGCAAAGGAAGGGAAAGGAAATGGCCGACAGGAAATGGCAAGGAAGGGAAAATCCACTGCAACTCTGCTGCCTGCTGGCCTGTCCAGGGACAACTATTCAGCTGGGTGGGACGTTGCTACCCCCTTGTGGCACCCCTGCTGCAGCCTGCGATTCTTACGCCCTGTATTTCTGGTCTAACATCAACCAACACTTTGGCGAAATATAATAAAATGAAATTACTAGGAGAATGAAAGAAAGTCACATGAAATAAAAGCCCTGCTTTTTAATGATTATATCCTCTGTGAAATGGATCTGCAGCCCTCTCCATTTCTGGGTTCCCCTGGCCACACCATGCTTATGGCTGTCCCAGGAGCAGGCTGACAGACAAGCTTCCACCAGCATCTAACCATGGGGCTCATGGACACCGTAGAGCGTCTCCACCCAACAGAATCCTGACTTGGGGGCAGCTGAGGCAGGGGGCCCGAGCGTTGAGGGGACCACGCTGCTGCCCCGAGACCTGCTGGCATGCCACCTGGCCAACCCTGACTTCGCCTGCCCGGGCGCATGTTAACTGAGTTACAACACTGAGGGCACTTGAACCTGGCTGCATGACCAGAGATCGATCACCTGTGAGATCCTCTGTGAAACGGGATAAGCATCTTTAATTTCCTGGGCTGTTCTGGAACTTCAGTCAGACAGGACACAGGAGGGTGTCTGCACCACCCACCCCTGCCTCGTGGGCTGACTGGGAACTATATGACCTGTGGAGGGCTGTGACCGCCACCCTCCACCTCACTGGGGCCGCAAGCCTTCTCTGCTCCTTGATTCTGCTGCCGTTGTGAGCGAGGGCCCCAGCACCCTTAGGGACCCCAATCAATGGGCTTCCCACAATGTCGTCACCCTTTGTTGCCTGCTAAGCAGCCCTGGGGCCACCTCAGAAGAAACAGAACTCACAGGTCACAGGGGCCTTTTCCTCCTCGTCATCGTCCTCCTCCTCTTCTTCTTCCTCCCTGGGCAACTTCCTGAATTCGGAAAGGTCTGTCTGTAGCAGCTGTGAAACTGCTTCGTGGGCCAGAGCAGCAGCAAGTGGTGGCGGGGCCTTCCTAGGGATGAGGAGGGGGAAGTGAGGGGCAGCCCCCAGCAGGAGACCACACCTAGCCCCCCTTCCCCAACTGTCAGCCCACATGCTGAGGGGTCACGGCCAGCAGGGCGGCCCCTGTCCTCAGGGAGCTGGGACAGGAAGGTCACAGGACAGCAAAGGCAGACGCACAACCATCTGGTGGGGAGCTGGACCATACTTGAGCCTGCGGCTAGTTGGGAGGGGGCTGTTGATGGGCAAGTAAACTGCCTGACATCCATGCTGATGATGGCTCCTGGCCACAGGAGGGCAGAGGAATCACCCATGCCAGCTGGGGACCCTGGGGGGTGGGGAGTGTTCTGGGTTGAATTGTGTCCCCCCTAAATTCATACACTGAGGCCCTAACCCCCAGTACCTCAGAATGGAGCTCATTTGGAAACAGGGTCATTACAGATGGAATTAGTTAAGATGACGTCATGCTGGAGCAGGCTGGGCCCCTACTCCAATGACTGATGTCTCTATGAAAAAGGGAATTTGGGCCGGGTGCGGTGGCTCACATCTGTAATCCCAGTACTTTGGGAGGCCAAGGCAGGTAGATCACGAGGTCAGGAGTTTGAGACCAGCCTGGCCAACATGGTAAAACCTCATCTCTACTAAAAATACAAAAATTAGCCGGGTGTGGTGGCGCATGCCTGTAGTTCCAGCTACTCAGGAGGCTGAGGCAGAAGAATTGCTTGAACCTGGGAGGTGGAGGTTGCAGTGAGCCAAGATTGTGCCACTGCACTCCAGCCTAGGCGACAGAGCAAGATGCTGTCTCCAAAAAAAAAAAACAGGTTGGGGGAGGAATTTGGACACAGACACACACACACAGAGAGAATGCCAGGGGAACATGAGGCAGAGACCTGGGGGATGAACCTACAAGCCAGGGAATGCCAAGGGTTGCCCACAAACCACCAGAAGGAGCCAGTTCTGTCAATATCCTGATCTCAGATGACAGCCTCCAGCACCATGAAGCACACTTCTGTTGTTTAAGCTGCTGGGTCTGTGGTCATTTGTACAGCAGCTCCAGGAAGCTGATCCTGGGGTGTGGGACCCATGGGCACACTCAGCAGAGGAAGTGGCTGTGCGTGGTCCACAAGGTCCCTGGGCGGATGGGGCCATAGGAGCTGCCGGGGTGAGGGGCTGTGGGAACAGGGCAGGCCAAGCTTTATGCTAACAGGGAAGCACTGCCATTGGTCTGTGTTTTATTTATTTATTTTTAGAGACAGGGTCTTGCTCTGTCTCCCAGGCTGGAGCACAGCTGTGCAATCATGGCTCGCTGCAGCCTCAAACCCCTGGGCTCAAGAGATCCTCTCACCTCAGACTCCAGAGTAGTTAGGGCTACAGGCAGTAGTTAGGGCTACAGACATCACCATGTCCAGCTAATCTGTAAATTTTTTTGTACAGGTGGGGTTTTGCTATGTTGTCCAGGCTGGTCTTGAACTCCTGCCCTCAAGTGATCCTCCCATCTCAGCCTCCCAAAGCCCTGGGATAATGGCGTGAGCCGCCACACCTGGCCGCCTTTGGTCTGTTTGAAGAGGGACATGGCATGATCAGATGGGGCTTTTAGGCCTCTCTGACCCTGGTGTGGAGGGTGGGCTGGCAAGAAGGGGACGACTGTCTAAAGGAGAGAGTCTAAGACCTGGGCTGGGCAGGGCCATGGTGACAAACAGGAGCAGACAGAGTCGGGCAGTATAAATGGAGGGGCAGGGACAGTGTTGAAGTTTCTATTCTGAGCAACTAGAAGGCTCGTGGTACAGTTAATTACCCTGATGGGGATGGAAGAGTCAGGCAGGGGATGGGCAATGGGCTCTGTTTCCACAGCGACTTGTGTTCCACGGAGGTCAAGAGGCCTGAGGGCCTGCAAGAACATGGTCTGGGCAGGAGATGGAGCTGCGGAATGAATGAGGATAGGGGGCTGAGTCCCACAGGGCCAGAGCATGGCTAGCAAAGTGGGGATGACTCCAGGAGTGGCCTTCTGGGTGCCACGAAGGAAATGTTTTAAGAAGTGAGATTGGGTCACTGCTTTCAATGTCATAGAACAGAGCTGAGCAGTTGAGGAGGCGTAGTGGGTAGAAAGGGAGGTCGCAGCAGGCTGAAAGCAAACCGACAGGAGGGTTAGCGTCTTTTAGCAGGTAGGCAGGGCAGAAGAGAGCCACGGGGCAGATCAGGGAAAGAAACACTGAAGCCATCTGTGGCTGAGAAGGAGGGCAGTGGGGAGGAGTGTCTAAAATTCTGAGCCATCCCTGGCTTTTCTGGGCAGAAGGGGTCGCTCCCTCAGTGGCCCTATGGCCTCTAACATGCATTTTGACCCCTGGAATCTGCCTTCTCACCCAGTGGGGGCCCTGGAAGCTGGACAACACACATTCACCCCTGTGTGCCTGTCCCTGAGAGTGGGGGTCAGGGGAGCATGCCTGGGGTGGCGAGGTGATTCTGCACTGGGCCGACACTCCCGGCTTTAACTGGAAGGCGAGGACCTTCCAACAGCACAGGCTGACAGGTCTTGTTCCATGGGGGCTGGGCACCCAAGGTATCTACTGATGGTCTGAGGAATCTACCGGGATGGATTCCTGATTTTTTTTTTTTTTTTTCTGAGACGGAGTTTCGCTCTAGTTGCCCAGGCTGGAGTGCAATGGCGTGATCTCAGCTCACCACAACCTCCACCTCTCGGGTTCAAGTGATTCTCCTGCCTCAGCCTCCTGAGTAGCTGGGATTACAGGCATGAGCCACCATGCTCAGCAGATTCGTGATTTTTAAAATGAAAGGGTGACTCATGGGAGAAGCCTCTGGAACTGCCTTTGAAAAACAACCAGCCAAGACATGAGAAATTAGTTCCTCTGCCATTTGGGGGTTTCCTGCCAACTGCTGGGTTTTCCTTTTGCACAGCAGGGAGGAAGGACGCCTGTTTCCCTTGGTCCCGGTGAGGCCAGGCCTCAGCTTCCTGCCCACCCGCCACTGCTGCTGGGGCAGGGAGGCAGTTTCCGGCTGTGGGGACCCAGACAATGCCTGGCCAAGGGCCACCATCGTCCTCTTCCTGGACACAGCTCCCGCCTCATCCCAGGGTCTGGCCTGGGACACGCCCTAGAGGCCCTCAGCCCTGAGTCACTGCACCATGCAGATCCACCCTGATTCTGGTCCCTGCAGAGCAGGCTCCTACACAAGGCAAGAAGATGCTCCAGGGACAAGCCAAGGTGTATGCAAGGCCCAGGTGCCTGAGAAACACGTCTCACCGACCTTGGGGCAGGGGCTGTTACAAGAGGCTTATAGTCTAGTGGCAGAGACAAAAACCACACTCAAATCATTAGTGTACGGTATGCACTGCTCAGGGACTCAAATATGTGACAGGAGGCTCCAAACAAGAGCGGAGACAAGGCGTAAATAGCCCCCTGTGGACTGGATGTTCTGACTCCTGGATGGCCTCCAGAAGGATGCCTTTTACGGTCTGTGAAAGAGCTCAGGGACCAAGATGCTCAAAGCCCTTCATGCCCAAGAGCCCCTCCTCAGGCTGGGACACGGGAAGCAGAGCTCGGAGGTGGAACTCGTGACTGTGTATGGGCACATGTGAGTGCGTGTGTGTGGACAGCCAGGCTTAGTGTAGACAACGTGTGAGGCTCAGACCCCAAGTGCTGACTACACCTATGCACATCCACACCTGCGTGTGAAAGAAGATGCTAGAAAAGAACAAAAATAACTTAAAAAATAAATCCAATAAGATGGCTGGAACATATAACAACTTCAAATACTCCATTTTAGTTCACCATGTAAGGTGGGTTCCTGGGGGCTGAGGAGACTCGGGAGCTCTGCACCCCTCCTGCTCGCACCCATCACTAGGTGGCTCACACAGCAGCCGCTCAACAAGTCTGGCTGCTCTCGCATCAAAACCAAAACCCACTGCCCTCCCCTGCGCCCCCAGCACTGACCCCAACACTTTGGTTCGGGGCCCTCCTGGGCAGGTCACCTGCACTGCCTACTCACTCCTCAGCCCTCCAGGCCCTCCCACCTTGGATCCTTCCCTGGGACCCTGCTCTGCGCCCTTCTCCCCCTGCCCAGGAACTGAAGGCTGATGTTGTCACCCCGGTGCTGCGGCCTGTCCGTCTTCAGCACCTGTGCCCCACGCAGGCCCAGCAAACCCCTGGGCTCTGTTGTTCCCCGGGATGGCTTTTCCATCTGATCCCCAGCTTGGGGCTGGCACCGCTTGGCTTTGCCCGGTCACCTCATGCTTGGGCCAAAGTGCACCAACCCTTCTGTCCCGGGCCTGGCTTTTTGCCTCAAGGCAGCAATGGCCCCATGCCACCTCCACGAAGACCCAGTGGCTGCAGAACTCCCTGGTCTGGACTCCCCTGCTCCCTGCAGAGTGCCACCTGCTCCTCTCAAGAAGGCAGAACGTGAGGCCTTTCCTCACCTCCCGTGCATTGGCACCCCTGCTGGGCCCACTCTGCTCCACCACTGGGGGCTGATTCACTTTGTGCCACATATCTAAAATATTTCCTCAAAACAAGCCAATAACACCCTTTGCGCATGCCATGACCTCATGGAGCGTGGTCACCGGACATTTCCTCCTGAGCTCTAGGCAGCTGTGGGGGATGCTGGGTGGCATAGCCCTTGCATGTGGCTGACACTTAGCAATGTTTGTGCCCATGTTGCACAGGGAGAGCACAAGTCACTGACTCTGCTAGGGCCTGGGGTCAAGGAAAATAGGCCCTTGGTGGGTGTCAGGAACAGAGTTGATTCGCTGCAAGGGGCAAAGGAAGTGCACACTTGGGGGATACTGAGGCAGCCACCGAGGATGGTGGCTCTGTCAGAGGGAGCTATGGCTGAGGGCCTGTCATGGCTTCAGGTGATATTTCAGGTGATTTGGGTGATGCTGGGACTGGGGACCATGCGCACATCCCCTCAGCAAGGGACTAGGTTCACAGAAACAGCACGCGGCCCACCAGCCTGCTCACCTCCATGAGCTGTCCCCTGTGCCAGACAGACAGCCTAACTCCAAGACCCTGTCTGAGCAGAGAGGGTTCGAGAAAAGACCTTGTCCTTCACCATCTTTCATGGGACAAATGCTTCCAGAATGAATGAATAAATGAAGGGGAGGGCAAGGGTCTTCCAAGGAAAGGACCTCTGAGTTCAGCCTAGGCGACAGCTACACACTGTCTGCCGGTGGACACCCAACTCTCTATCTTCCCCGAAATCTGCTCGGCTAGTTGTGCTACCTCTCTGTGCCTCAGCTTCCTCACCTGTGGAAGGGGGACAGTGCCAGCTATCTCTCAGATCGTGGTGGCTGGGGTGCCATGTGGCTCTGCCACTCCTTGACTGTAAGGCCTCAGGCCAGCCTCTTCATCTACCCACCTCTGCCTCCTCGTCCATCACACGGATCGGAAACAGGACGTACTGCTTATCAGCTGCTATGCAATAAATTGTGTTCCCTAAAAGGTATGTTGAAGCCCCAGCCCCCTGTGGCTCAGAATATGATCTTATTTGGAGTTAAAGTCTTTGCAAATGTAATTAGTTATGTTCACATGAGGTCACATTGGCTGGAGTGGCTCATGCCTGTAATCCCAGCATTTAGGGAGGCAAAAACATGAGGATCCATGGAGCCCAGAAATTCGAGACCAGCCTGGGCAGCATAGCGAGACCCCATTCTCCACAAAAAGAAAGATGAGATCACACTGTAGGAGGGCAGCCCCTGGTCCAAAATGCCCATGTCCTTACAAGAGGAGGAGTCACAGACACACAGCAGGCAGGGTGGGGAGGTGTGAAGGCACAGACACACACATGGGGAGATGCCGTGTGCAACAAGGCCAGCTAGGAGGAATGAGTCTACAAGCCAAGGACCTCCAGGAAGTCAAGGCCAGGCACTAACAGAAAGGCAGACTCTTCCCTGCAGCCTTTGAGAGAGCATGGCGCAGCTGCCACCTTGATCTTGGACTCTGGCCTCCAGCCCTGTGAAAGAATGAGCTTTGGCTGTGTTGAGTGCCCAGTGTGTGGTGCTTTGCCATAGCAGCCACGGGAGTTCCACATGGTGCTGCATAGGGATCCGGGGCTGCAGATCCCCGTGTGGGGCTGGACGTGTAGGGGAGCAGCAGCCACATCCCTTGTCGGCCCTGGTGCCGTGCCCTTACTCCCCGTCCCCTTTGGGGGTGCACAGGCCTACCTGCTGCCCAGAAAGCCCATGGCCAGCTCAGCCAGCTCGCCCTCCACCTCCTCCTGGCTGAGCACCGTCCCTGGGGCCTTCCATGGCAGAGGGTCCTCTGGGTTCAGCAGGGCTGGGAAGTCTTGCAGGAGCGTGTCCAGGAAGCCTGGGGTCTCCTCAGCTCCACTGGCCATTGGGCTGCTCTTCTGTGGGGCTCCAGAGGACATGCCCAAAGCATCCCGGGGGCCTGCAGCTAGGCCAGGGCAAGAGGGTCTCCAGGCTTCACCCTGGGGAGAAATGTCAGAGTCAGCAGAATCAGGGGGCCATGGCACCAGCAATGCAGGTGCCCACCTGCAAGCACCATGTGGCAGGTGCATGGCCTCATGGTTCAGGGCCACTAGAGGGTGGAGGGACAACCCTGGCCACTGTTTTGACATGAGTCCAGGTGGGGACTTGTGGGCATCCAGAGATCCGGTCTCAGGAGATGGTGCCAGGAGCAGCAGCTGGGTGGACATTGTCAAGAAGTGACAGAGGAGGAAGACTGTTCCTGGCAGAGGGTGGCCAGCGTGGCCAGAGACGAGCAGGACAGGGATGCCGAGGCCAGGCACTGAGGTAGGTGAGGGGGTTCAACCTGATCACGGGTCCCGAGCAGCCAGGAGGGCTCTGAGGTGAGGGAGTGAAGCCACCAGGTCTGTGAGCCTGGACGTGGTGACCAGATGGCAGGAGGGACACCTGTTGGGGCTCTAGTGGTGTTCAGGGGAGGAAAGAGAAGGGCCAAGATGCGGGAGGCCGGCCCAGGGCTGTTTTGGAGATAGGCCAGAGTGGGAGCAGGAAGGGATCCCCAGAGGCTGCTGGGGCCACCCAAGGGGTGGCCAGGAGAGAAGCAGAGGTTTAATCTGGGACAGACAGGAGGTGCTGTGGGACACCATCGAGCCTATTCAATGCTCTCTAATAGGAGGAGGGAATTGTGAGCCTAGAATGGCTCAGGCCTGCTAAGCCCTGGCTGGAAGAGGGGCACTGTGGACAGTTCCAGGCGCTGACCCCACTGTGCGGCATGTGGGCTCTTCCTCCCTAAGTCCTTAGGGATGACCAGAGCTGACCAGCCCTGGGAGTTGCCCCTAACACCCCAGGAGCCAGGACAAGCCCCCATTTCACAGATGAGAATCCCAAGGTTTGGAGAGGGTTAGTCCCTCGCCTGAGGTGTCAGAAGGAAGACAGGGCCAAAGAGGGATCGCAAAGCCTGTGCCTTCACTCCCTCACCGGCTTCTCTCTCACTGGAAAGAGGCACATGGTGCCTCACAGCCTCCTCCCAGGGTGGCTCTGGCTCCTCTTCTCTCCTAACTCCGAATCTCCATAGTCGCCTCCCCAGCCTGCCTGCCTTGCCTATACCCAAACAGCTCTCCAGCGCCCCCCCTTCCATGTTCTTTGCGTCGCCCCGGGGATTCACCTCCAGGCCCCACACCTGGGCCTCCCTGCCAGCACCCACTCAGCATGGACCCTTCTCTCTCCTGCCCCCTTCCTCTCGGGTGCCTGACCCCTCCAAACCCTCCCCACAGCGGGGACTCCACCTTGGGCTTTGTCTAACACTCAGGCTGGGAAACTTTATTCAGCGAGTCCTACGCAGTAGTGGATGAGATTGGATCCAGAAAAAAATAAAAAAGAAATCCTACACAGTTACTAAGCCAGGGAGAAAAACTGCATTCTTTTATGGTGACAAACGGACATGAGACTCTGAGGAACACCCCGAGTTCTAGGGTGGAGAATTTGGGGAACAGTTTCACAGCCCATCACCTTCATGAGGACTTCCAGGTTCTGAAAACTGAACGAAGAAGGCAAGGAGAATCTTCTAGAATCATCAGTCTTAGAATAGCCACAGACTCTGCCTACAAACTTTGCTAAAAGGGCGGCTGTGGCAGGGGCCTGAGGTGCAGGATGAAGAGAGTGGGAAGTAAGAGATGCAGGGAGCTCACAGCCCACAAGAGGGCTGTCCTTATCAGGAATTGCTAACTTGGAACAAGCCTTCTGGAAGCCTAAAGATAAAAAACACAAAAGAGAATGGGGTGGGCAGAGGGAAAGGTCCCAGCACCAAGTTAAATGTCTGATCAGTGAGGGATTTGGAATGCAAGGGGTGAAGGGTGGTAAATTAACAAAACACAAAACCCTTCTCTTCTTTTAGAGGCAGAATTGAAAGGTAATTTATTTAAAGTGGACACATACAAATAACGTAGGAATAGGGGTGCTTGCTACTGAAGGTTCTGGGGATAGACTAAATTTATTGCTATGGTTCACATTTACTCACAAGTAGGAGTAAATTTAATGCAACCCAGGTTACAGAAGGCAAGCAGGTAAAAGGATAAAGAACATAAAACAACTGGCAAGGCGCTGTGGCTCAGGTCTATATCTCAGCGCTTGGGGAGGGTGAGGCAGGAGGAGTGCTTGAGGCCAGGAGTTCAAGACCAGCCTGGGCAGTGAGATCGCCACCCCCCCCCCACCCCCCATCTCTACCAAAAAAGAAAAAAAAAGAACATAAAGCAAAAAAGGAAAAATCACTTTGAGAGCAGGAGGGACACTGACATTCAAACGACAAAGGGAAGACTGTGAGCTGGAGAAATGAGCAGAGGCTGGGAGCCCTAGTAGGTCAATGAGGAGGCGGCACGTCCTGCCAGCCATGCCCCAGCAGAGCTGTAAGGCATTCGAAGATGGCGTGAATTTCCCAGCAAGCTTGGCTGCCCTCAAGCAGTGCAAGCGGCCAAGGGCCCCTCTTCTGCCTGGGACTGCCCTGGCCCCTGGAGCTTCTGGGAGAATGTGAACGATGCAGAGCTGCCCCCAGCAACTGCCAGTGCCTGGGGCCTCCTCCCACTCCCTTGCAATTCCAAGTGATCTGGAGGCTCTACTGTCTCACCACAAAATGTGCTCATGTGAATTTATGATTAGGATCCAAGTGAGAGGACAGCATGCTCCCCGCTAGAGCACACAGAGGGCCCCCCTGGAGAAACCCCTGCCCACAGTGTAAAGCCCCACTGTCAAGGGCAGAATTCAAGACCCTTCACTTCCACCCCATTTGCTGGTGACGTCTGCTGGACCTTTTGGGATGCAGGTGCCTCCTTCTTGCCTCCTGACCTTGGGGTACTCTTTCCTGTGCCGTGAGCCCCTCCCCACAATCGGCCTGTTCCCTCAGGGAGGGTGGCTCCTCCTGTCTGCACTACAGACCCTGATTCACTGTGGCCACCTGCCTGCTCTCTCTGTGCCTTGTGCCCACTATCTGCACATGCCTCAATGGTGTCTGTGCCATGTGTACTAAGTAAGGTCTGGGGGGTGTGATGATGTGTGTGTGTGAAGCTCTGTCTGCATCTGTAGAGGGGACAGGCTGGCTTACTCTCAGGGCCTGTGCCAACTGCCTGCTCTTGTTACAAAGGCAGGGTGCCCAGGGCCATCTTACTTGCTGGGGACCAAGCACCCTTGTTTCTGCATCACCAACCTAAGGCAAGGGGTGAGGAGAGAAACCAGGACACAGCTTTCTCTCCCTGGAGCCCAGATGTCGAAAGGGACAGGAATCATTTCCTTCCTTTTCCCAATAAGCTCCTGAATCTGACGTACACCATGGCACACCCGGCAGGAAGGAGAAATTCCTCACCAAGGGAAACCAGAGGCAGCCCTGGGAGTGCCTGGAGGGGCAGGGGACAGTGCTGTGGTTCTTTGAGGGATCAACTGGAAGAGACAGCATCAGGAATGGCATGGAGGCCAGCGGCAAGCCGCAGGGAGTAGGGAGAGCTGGGAGAGCACCAGAGGCAGCGGAGCCTGGTGCTGGGCTTTCCTGAGCAGGGCACACCAGTGAAAAACTCCGAATAAGAGGGACGTGTGCATGAGCCTGTGCAAATCACCAAGAGCCCGGGGTGGGCATGGGAGGGACATTGGACTCCTGCATCCCAGCACCGCCTGCCTGGACCAGTCTGACCAAATGCGACTGGCAGCTGGTTCCTCCTGGATCAGGGCCCCACTGCACACCAAATGGGTGCTCACCCTCCTAGAACCTATTTAAGGTCCCACATAGGTGAGAAATGGCAAAGCAAACTCATCGGGGGGCAGCTGCAGGGGTGTGGCTGACGGTGCTGCCAGCTGCCATCCGCCCCTGCTCTGAGCACTCTTCCTGGGATGGCTTTTAGCCTCCCAACAACCTCTTGTGGTTATCCCCACTTCACAGGGCAGGCTGTAGCAGAAGAGCTAAGGAACTTGCCCAAAGTCCCAGGGTGGGGTTCATGCTGGGGAACCTGGGCCTTAACTGTGATGACACCTGGGAAGTCATTCTGACTCCTTCTATCCCTGACCTGTCCCTCATTGGCCACCAGCTCTGGGCTTTGGCTCTCTCATGGCTCCTCCTTCCATTTCTGTGTACCCCCCACCCTAGGGCAGCCCCTCCCCTCCTTGTTTTGTGGTGCCCTCCTTCCATTTTGCCTCCCGAGATCTCTCAGATCCTTTGAGGCTTTGCTGAAATCTCCCCATCTTTGGATCCAGCATGCTCTCTTTCATGTCTCTATGGCACTTTTGCTCACATCTGACTTGTAAAAAGTTTTTTTTTTTTTAATTTAAAATATTTATTTTCCTCTAGTGCATTAGTTTTGACTCCTAAGCTTAACGAATGCAGGGTTTAACAACTGCAGTTTTTTAGGGGACATAGAAAAAATACTTGTTGAGTCTTGCTTAACTGCAGAACCAAGGTAATGAAAAAAACCCAGCAATCCTTAGAAAAGGGAACTGCACCACTATAGTGTAACAAAAGCATCATTCATGTTAACTGTTTTTTTTTGTTTTTGTTTTTTTTGAGACAGAGTCTTGCTCTGTCACCCAGGCCGGAGTGCAGTGGCGCAATCTTGGCTCACGGCAACCTCCGCCTCTCAGGTTCAAGTGATTCTCCTGCCTAAGCCTCCCTAGTAGCTGGGATTACAGGCACCCACAACCACGCCTGGCTAATTTTTTTGTATTTTTAGTAGAGATGGGGTTTCACCATGTTGGCCAGGCTGGTCTCGAACTCCTGACCTCAGGTGATCTGCCCGCCTCAGCCTCCCAAAGTGCTGTGATTACAGGTATGAGACACCACGCCTGGCCAACCTTTTTCTACCAAAAGAGATTCTTATTTCTTTATTCATAACTACTAATACTAATAATAGTTAGATGTAAATCCTAGATTTTTTTTCTACATATATAAATTTTTTTTATTGTTGTAAAATATACACACTATGTATCCTTTTAACCATTTCTAAGCGTACAGTTCCATGGCATTAAGCATAGTCACATTGCTGTGCAATGACCATTTCTTTCTACAGGCCTGACTTTCTTGATAGACTGTAAGCTCCCTGTAGTCAGGGAGCCCACGATGGCCCTTTGTGTACAGCAGGTGGTAAGTGTGATGGCAGAGGGAAGAGTGACTGGCGGGTGGCATGGGCTGAGGAAGCTACACCACTCTGAAGGGTGCAGTGGGCAGCAGCGCCAGGTCTTAAAAGACTCGGTTGGCTTCAGGTCAGATGGTATCCTTTTTTTTTTTTTTTTTTTTTTTGAGAGGGAGTTTCGCTCTTGTTGCCCAGGCTGGAGTGCAATGGTGGGATCTCAGCTCACTGCAACCTTCGCCTCCCAGGTTCAAGCAATTCTCCTGCCTCAGCCTCCTGAGTAGCTAGGATTACAGGCACCTGCCACCACGCGCGGCTAATTTTTGTATTTTTAGTAGAGATGGGATTTTGCCATGCTGGTCTGGAACTCTTGACCTCAGGTGATATGCCTGCCTCGGCCTCCCAAAGTGCTGGGATTACAGGTATGAGCCACCGCGCCCGGCCTTCAGGGGGTATCTTAAAGGAATTCCACAAATGAACTTGTGTAGAGGTTCATGGCTTTCAGAAATGCATTCGTTTTGTTTACCTCTCACAACTACGCTGAGAAGTACATACTGTCAGGCTACACTGCAGATGAAGAAATAGGTTATAGGAGGGCAAGCACCCATTTAAGGTCTCACACAGGTGAAAGGGCAAAGCGAACTCAATCAAGGTCTCTGGATGCCCAATGCCTTTGGTATTTCCACCTCGCGTGCAGGAGGAAAAGAGCGAAATTTGACAACAGAAGAGACTGGAGATGGCCTCAGAGTGCTGGCCGGCCCCACTTTCTATCCCCCGTGGTGAGAGCTCAGCTGGGCCCAGAGAACTTGTCCCGGGGAATGCCACCACGACATGTGTGACTCTGTCCCGCAGGGTGGAAGGCTTCGAAGGAGCCCGCCACCATGCAGTGGGCCTCACTGTGTGTCAAGCGCTGTGCCGAAATCCCTGCAGCCGGAGCCAGTTCTTCCTGTTGTACAGACAGGTTCAGGGGCTTGCCTGACCGAACCCAGCGGCAATGTGCCCGGCCTCCGCGCCTGAGGCTCTGGCTCACAGACCTGTGGCTGAAGCAGCTGCAGCCCGAGCACTTGTGCAGCTGACGCTCGCTTCACGGACGCTTGGGAGGCCGCGGAGCCGGGGGCCATCAGGCAGACTGGGCCCCTGAAGGTGCAGGGACTGGGGGGATATGGGGCAACGTGCCGGCCCAGAGGCTCCTGGGGGGTGGGGAGAGGCCAAATCTCGGAAAATGGGGCGCGTCCCCCTCAGCACCCGATTCTGCCTCATAGCCCTCGGTCCCTACCAGGCCCTCGGCTCGGCCACACCCCCGCCTGCCCCCCAGTTCTGCCCCCTTGGCTCCCCAGCCCCCCAACTCCCAGCCTCGGGTTCCTCATGTCCGCAGCGGCCCCTCTTGCTCCTCGGCCCCCCGCACTGCACCCCCGCACCCTTTCGGTGCACCCATGTGAGCCTCGTCTCGGCCTCCTTGCCTCCCCAGCCCTCTGATTCCACCCCTCCGGTTCCTCGGTCCCATTTCACCCCTGTGCGCCTTGGGCGCTCGCCTGACCCTCGTCCCAGCCCCGTCAGCCCTCTAATCCCGTCCCCCCCGGCCTCCTCACCCCTGGTCTCCGCGGGCCTCAGCTGTCTCCTCGCGGCTCCGTGTCCCGCAAGCTGCTGCCGGCCGGCCCCGCCCACTTCCCGTCCCTGGCCGCCGCGGGCGCCGCGGGCGCCGCGCAGGCGCAGTCGGGCCTCCAGGCTGGCGGGGCCGGACCTCTGCTGCCCCCTGGCGGCTACGTGGACGGTGACTGCGGCCCTTTAGTGGTAGGCGAACTGCGGCTCCACCTGGGCTCCGGAGCCGCCCCAGTCACCAGCCTCTTGCTTCTCTTCTGCAGCTTTGGGTGGGCGGCTGGATGGGGAAAGCAATCCCTAGGTCACAGCGCCCAGAAATTAAGCAACTTCTGCCGTCAATAGCTGGTAAGTGACAGAGCAGGGATGCAAACCCAGACTGCCCAGGCAGGCTCATCCGTCCGGGAAGGAGGCACAGTCCCAGGCTCATTATGAGTTGTTTGTTTCCACAAACGTTGAGGCTTTTGTTATCTTTCCGTTCTGGAGGTCAGAAGTCCACTTAGCCTCAGTGGGCGAAGATCCAGGGATCGCCAGAATGCGTTCCTTTCTGAGGATTCTAGGGGAGAAACTGTTCCCCTGCCTTTTCCAGCTCCTAAGGGCTCCCTGCATACCTTGGCTCGTGGCCCCTTCCTACAGCCTCGAAGCCAGCAATGGCCAGTTGAGCCTTTCTCACACTGCCACCTCTGGTTCCCTCCTCTGCTTCCTTCTGCTACTTCTAAAGACCCTCCTGATGCCATTGGGCCCACCCAGATAGTCCAGCATCATCTCTCTAAATCAGTTGATTAGCAACCTTAATTCCCCTTTGCCCCTTATTATTATTATTATTTTTTTTTGACACGGAGTCTCACCCTGTCACCCAGGCTGTACTGCAGTGGCATGACCTCGACTCACTGCAACCTCTGCCTCCCTGGTTCAAGCGATTTTCCTGCCTCAGCCTCCCGAGTAGCTGGGACTGCAGGCACGCACCACCATGCCCGGCTAATTTTTTTTGTATTTTTAGTAGAGATGGGGTTTCACCATGTTGGTCAGGCTGGTCTCAAACTCCTGACCTCAAATGATCTGCCTGCCTCGGCCTCCCAAAGTGCTGGGATTACAGTACAGGCGTGAGCCACTATGCCGGGTCTGCCATGTAATCTAACACAGGCACAGGTATAGGACATGAACATCTCTGAAGGGCCATTTTTCTGCCAACACAGAGGCTCTTGAAAATATTCTTTTTCTCTCTTTTTAGAGACAAGCTCCTTCTCTGGTGCCCACACTGGAGTGCAGTGGCATGATCACAGCTCACTGCAGCCTCAAACTCCTGGGCTCAAGTGACCCTCCCCTCCTGCCTCAGCCTTCCTAGTGTCTGGGAACACAGGCAAGCACCACCACGCCCAGCTGATTAAAAAAAATTTGTAGAGACAGGGTCTCTATGTTGCCCAGGCTGGTCTTGAACTCTTGGGCTCAAGTGATCCTCCTGCCTCAGCCTTCCCAAGTGCTGGGATTATAGGTGTGAACCATTACACCTGGCCAAAATATTTTATTTTAAAGGCAGAAGAAAGAAACCTTTATGTCAAAGAAAATGTTTTAATATATGATATTAATATATTCACCTTTATACCAATGCCGTTGGAAAGTATAATTTTTTAAATGGAGGATGGGGCACCAGATCTTATGTGGCTCTGCCCACCTGACCTTCAGGTCCGCAGGCCTGTGTCCTTGCCAGGAATGAATGTCTCTGGGATGCTTCTCTAACAGGAGGAACCTGGAGTGAGACCAGGAACCTGGAGAACTAGCAGCTGGGTGACTGGAAAGGAAACCATCTGGGGTGGGGTTGGGTCTGCAAGGCAGGAGGTGTCTGGGCAGAGAAAGCAGGGCTGGGGCGGAGGGTCCTGCCTCATCCCATTCTCCTGCTCACTCTTTCCTAGATCCCTGTCAGGGCAGTAACCATGAGCAAGGCTTGAGGCTACTTCTTATAAACAGTGGCCCTGGGCACATTCCTTAGCTCACCTGAGCCTCAGTTTCTTGATGAGAAAAAATCGGGACAATAGCAACCAACCTATCTCAGAGGGCTGCTGTGAGACCCTGAGCCACTGTTTCTCAAACTGCCCCTGAGATCACCTACAACAGAATGGCTGTAGGGTGAAGTTTGAGAACCGCAGTACAGGTGAGGTGGTGCGTGGGGCAGGCCCTCCCACACTGTAAAGTGCAGTGTGGTGCGGTAAAAGCTGATATTCCCGCAGGCATCCTCAGAGTGGGCCCAATTAGACTCTTGAGCACTGATTCCATTCAAGGTCTGCGGCTTAGAGAGGATGGCAAAGTGAGGCACCACCAGGAGCTTGTCCCTATGGGCTCCAGGCCAAGGACGTGCCTGGAGATGACTCCTGCCTTGTGGCGCTGTCACTGCCTCACTGTCCACATTCCATCACGCCTCAGATCCTGGCTTCCACCCTGGTGAAAGGAATCTTTCAATATCACCCACCCAGCCACAGACGCTTCTCTGCTTCTCTGGCAAGGCTGCACCCCTGGCTAGGTGGGCAGGGCCAGGGGCTCCTTGAGACAGTCTGCAGCCACTGACCTCTCCAGCCTCCAGGGCAGAGGTACAGTCCCATGGAGCGTGGCTGATCTGAAGGCAGTTCTGGCCTAAAAGGGGTCTTGTCCCTTCCTTGTCCTCATTGCTCCCAAGGCCAGGTTGGCAGCAGTAGCAGCGGGGTTGGATGCTATTGGATGGGAGAAGGTGAATGGACTCGGAGTGCAGAATCAAGCTGCGGAAGCCAAGGGCCTTGAAGGAGGGTCACACACAAGGGACAACTGCAGAGGAAAATAAAGGAACACTTTGTGATTAGCCCTGCCTGTGGCTGAAAGCGCAGTGCAGAAGCATAGTAAGGAAGGACTGGGTGGTCTGGGTTTAAGACCTAGGAACCGTCTCTGCTCCTCCAAGCCTGAATGAGCCCTATAACCTAAGGGTCCTGGAGGTCTTGAAACCTTCTGCGGAGAAGGCTCCAGGTCCACTGGGCCCTGTGGGTGGAAGAGCAGAGTCACAGCCCCGCACTGGGGACCTAACAGGTGTGGCCTTGCTAGGGCCCCAGAATGGGACCAGAGTGGGTGGGAGGGGGCAGAAGCTCTGAGAGCACCCCCTCCTTCCTGAAGCCTGTGCTTCTGAGACACATCCCAGGACCCTCTATGTGGTTCCCCATGTCTCTGTATTTTCATTCAGCTTCGAGTAGCTCTCCAAACTGTGTTCCAGGGAACCCCCGTGTTAACCTGTGAGGGCCTCCAGGAAGGGGGTCCAGGGGGGGTATGCTTGGTGGGCTCTGGGTTTCCTTACAGGAGCTCTCATATAAGTCCTGGTGCAGCCTGGGAATCTACTACTGAGTTGGGGCGGGGGCGGGTCTGAGTCCGAAACATTCCTGACCTGCCCCTCAAAGAAAGGTCCCACTGAACAGTCTGGAAAGCTGTTTTGCTGAGCTCCCGTCATCACTCAATGAGGCACGGGCGGAGTGTGGAGGGAGTTTCCAACACACAGTGGATCCCGCACAGGTGTCTCTCCTCGGGTGGCTGGGGAGGGGAGCACAAGAAGGCACTGAGGTCAGAGGGCAGCTGCCACCAGCACCTGGCACCACACGGCAGTCTGGCCTACAGGGTATTTTCTAAACCTGGCATGTGAATGGGTTCCATGGGGCACCCAGCTGCCTCTAAGACCATAAGGGCTTGTTGTGAGAATGGGAATTGCAGCAGGTCCTGGGAAGCTGCCAGACGCACACGGGCACCATGTACAGGGCTTCTCAGAGATGGGAGCAGGGAGCAGGGGACGGAGAAGTGTGGGGTCAAGAGCGTGGCCCTGAGCAGGGGGCTGCAGCGAAGACCAAGGGGATTCATAAGCCAGATCCGGGGAGGGGGTCTCCCAGCCCCACCTGCTCCACTAGACTCCTCTCCTGCCGGAGCCACAGCTGTCAAGGCCGCCTTCCTTAAGGCATCAGGGCCACTGCTTGTGCACACAGCTACCATCAGCAGCACGGATTGAGATGGGGTGTGAGTGCAAACTGGGTCTATTCCCCAGGGCTTCAGGGTTGGGGCATCCCTGCCCGTACTGCCAGGGTGTAGGGATAGCAGGGAGCACTCTGGGCACGTGTATGCAGGCTGAAGGGAGACGTATTGGGTTTCGGAGAGGGAGAGAGGGCCCCACAGGTGCCCAGGGACACGGTAACGCTCTGACATCGCTGCACCAGCAAAGGGGCCCCAGCTCTGGATAAGATAAAATGCATTTTAATAGTTTGAAGTGCCATGAGGTGTCTGCATGGCACTGCAGCCTGGGTGAGGGAGGACAGGGTCATCATACAAAGTAGGCGGCCAGGGCTGACATCTTGTCCTTGGGCCGTCTGGGGTTGGGCTTCCCAGGGGGCCTCCTGGCCCGGCCCCGCCCTCGACCCTGCCTTCTCCCTGGTCCACCGCGGTGCATGGGGTGGCAGGAGGCCGCATGCTTCAGCTCCACCAGCTCCTGGAAGACGGGGTCACAAAAGACGCAGCCCATGTGCTGCGTCTCATCGCCCGGGAGTGGGGACTTGGCCTTGTTGAAGTCCACATCAAGCAAGGCGGCCTCACAGACACTGCAGGTGTCGGCGGACACCCGCACGCGGTGGGCGTTCTCGAAGCAGTGCGCTACCACGTTGCACTTGTTGCAGGCCACCTTCCACTTGGGGCCCGAGGTGGGGTCCAGCACCAGCACCCCGCTCTCACATTCCACGCACTGGCCGATGCCCAGCATGCTCAGCGAGTGCTGGCAGGAGGGGTGCGTACACTCGTTGCAGCCCATGCCTGGCGGGAGAAGGGAGCCCTGTAAAGGCACGCCCACTGTGCCCACCTGCCCTCTGCTGCCTGCTCCCAATGCCTCAAGCTCCTGGATCCCTCGTCCCAGCAGAAGGAACTCTTCTTGGCCTTGCTCTTGGGGACAGCCTTGCTCATGTTTCGGCTCCTGGCTGCCATTACCCCTGTTTTCTGCTTACCTGAAACCTCCTCAACTTTCAAGGCCCCTCGCTGGCACCATCCCAGTGGGTTTCAGCTGACTCCATCCCCCCTTTGCTTTGCTGCCAGCTTGTTACTGGTAATGCCACATGACCCTCATGTCACTGGGCCACATGGAACCACCCTGTCAGCTACTCTGGCGGCAGCAGGAGGGCAGGGATGGGGTCTCACTCCCGGGGCAGCCTGGGTGCAGACTGAGGCCTGAGGGAGCTTTCTGCAGAGCACACGGTGAATGTGGGCAGATGCCTCACTCCCGCTGATTCCTGGTCTGGCTCGGTGCTCTGTCCTGCCTGCCTGGACATGCGCTCCCTCCTCCAGTAATGAGGACGAGGATGAGGATGGAGGACGGTGGTGGACGCTGACTGGGGGTGCCCGCTCACCGGGTGGGTCCCCCGACTGCTGCATCCTCTTGCTCACTCAGCTCCAGAGGGAGCACTGCACACCTGTGCCCAGGTCCTGAGGGTGGACTAGGGTTGCCTGCTCGATTCTGACACAGAGAGAGGGTGGCACCACTGGCTGAGGCCTAAGCAGTGCCCCAGCTACATCCAGGGTCTCTCGTCTCAGTGCCAATGAGTGCAGGAAAGGCCAGGGTGAGGGGTCCCCTCAGAGTCCAGCCTGGTGCAAGGCAGGGGTTGGCACTGAAAAGAGACTGCAGCTACCTGTGGACAGGAGGGAGTGGCTGCACTCACCTTTCTTCATGTCTCGGAAGGGTGGGTGGTTGTAGCAGTAGGGGCACAGCGGGTAGCTCTTGCCCCGAGAGCCTGATGACCACAGGACCAGCTCGAAGTCATCCAGAGGGCAGCGGAGCTCCTTGTAGAGCTTGATGGTGCCGTTCTGGGGGAGCGTGTAGGTCTCATCGCAGTGGGAGCAGTGCAGGCGGCTTGGCTTGGCCTGCGGCAATGCCAGGCAGGTGGCGTGAGGGTCACTGGGGCCACCGACTTGGCACCCACCCCCACTCCTCTCATAATACAAAGTATGTAATCTGTCATGCAGAACCTGTGACACACTGCCAGGCAAGGAGCATGAGTCTCTGGCTCTTGCTCCACGCGTGCAGAAAAGGCAGTTCTAAAATCTCTGTGTGTACATTAATGCCCATGATGGCAAGTGGCATGGTGTTAGGGAAAAATGCACCATGTGTGTTTGCGTGGCCTAATGGCTGTGTATTCTAGGGGACGTGGGGACACTGGGTATTTTTTGGCAAGGCCTCTTTATGTTCCATCATTCTTTTGTGACAACCAGGACAAAGAACATGATTCCTGCTGATCAACGATAAAGCTGAGGCCTACAGGGGTGAGGCAGCTTGCCTGAGCTAGTGTTCCCTGCACCTACCTGGATGTACTTCATGAAGCGGTGGCACTTCCCACAGCGTGAGAGGGGCTTGCCTGTGGCCGCCAGGGGCGAGAAAGACACCTCCATCAACTCATCCATGCCTGCGGGCAAGCAGAGTGCAGGAGTCATCTCCCTCCCAGTCCCCAGCAAAAGGCTCCGCAACACGTGGTCAAGGGTCTGAGTGTGAAAGGGTCCCTATAGGCGGTGGTTTCTACTGTCCTGGCAGCACGGCAGGGCAGCAGCCCTGTGCGTCAGAGGCACGTGTTCCTGGCCATGTGTGGTGTTAATGCACCTGCTCTTTCAACCCAGCCAGGAGGTGTCACTGACCTGGCCTACGGAGGCCTGAAGCCCAGATCTGGGAGCTGGTCCCACGTGGGGACCTGGGTCCCCAGGTACTGGCCTTGCTGACAGAGAGACACCCCTCTGGTGAGGGGCAGGCCAGAGGCAGACTCTACCAGCAATGGAGTCGACAAAGTAGTGGAACTTCCTCTTGAACACGTCCAGGGTGTGGCCCAGGACCTGGCGGTAGTCGGCCTTGCCCTGGGCGATCAGGTTCAGCTGCTTCTCCACTGCACTGCGGATGGTGGGGAGCACCAGCTCTGCATCTGCAAGTGGGCAGGGGGCAGATATTGCCCTGAGCACTCGCACCCAGGGCCATGCCACCCCTTCCCAGGCAGGGATACTGCCCTGTTCACCCCTCCCGCTCTGGCCCGTCCTCCTGGCCTCTGCCCTACCCACCAGTCCACAGCCTCAGATGGTACCAGGCTGGCTCTTATGACCCCAGACCTTTCCTGATTTCCCACCTGGAAATGTCAGGCAGAGTGGCCAGGGATGTCCTGTGGCTAGAACCACATCACACATGAGCTCCAGGCCGCCCTTGGGCCAGTTTTGTGCTCCTCCCTCTCCCCTTGGCCCCTGGGGAACCTCCAGGGAACAGGGCTGAGGCAACTTCGCCTCCCTTTTTGGTTCCCTCACACATCTGTTCAGCCTTCAAACACACTGAGCTCCTGCTCTGGGCAGGTCCTGGGGGTCCTGGGGCAGCACCCCTTCAGCGGGTGTTGAGGGAGTGTGTGTGGGGCTGGGGGATCACTGTAGGGCAGGGGCCTGTCTGGAGCGGGCAGCAGAGCCAACATCCAGGGAGAAGCCAGGGAGCCTCGGTGGGCCCTGGGGGCAGGACTGAGGAACTCACCAATCTTATAGTAGCCGTGCACCAGGACGATGCCGAGGTTGGTGGGCTTGAGCCGGCGCCCGCTCTCCACCGTGACATAGTTGCGCTGGCAGATGTTGTTGATATGCACAGGGATGCTGGCATCCGTGCCTGCAATGTACAAGGCCCCAGGGTTCCTGGCCTGCCTTGGACATGCCCCACTGAACCATGTGCTGTATCACCTGTCACGGGGCCCCTGGTGCTCAGGCCCTCTCACTGCTCCCGGTCACAGGAGGGAGGGCTGTGCCCTGAGCTCCCCCTGCACTGTGCTGGGCACCAACTGCATGCATTTCATGTTCTGCCTTGAGAACACAAGGGCAGCCCTCCCTGTACAGGGCGCCTACTCCTGCTTTATGGCAGAGACAACAGGCTCGGAGGTTAAGGAACTCTCCAAGGTCACAGTGCTTATTCTGCGCCTGGAAAATGTGACTTCTATGGCTTCTCCTGCCTGGGTCCTGTGGCACCCACCTGCTCCCGGAGCCAGAGCCCCACTCCACCAGAACACGGAGGTGCTTACAAGCTCACTGCAGAGCTGCCCTCCCCTAAACCTGGACAATTCTGTCCACTTCCTGTCTCCCACCTCCTCCCTCTCTGCAAGGCCCGTCACGATCCCCAGGGGAGGCTCCCAGTCCCCAGGATTCCACTCTCCCACCCAGAGGAAGTTTCCTGGCAGAGGGGCGCAGCGGAGGCTGAGGCGTTTTGACTATGGCGGGTGCCAGTCAGAGGGGCAGAAAGGAGGCTGGGGCTCCCTGCATGCTCACCAGCATGGACAGGTGACACACACCTTCCCAAAGTAGCTCGGAGAGAATCTCACATGGGAAGAAACTGGCCTCTGGGGGCTAAGGAGCCTGCCGAGGGCCCATGGCTCTTGGCACGAGGCCAGCTCTGCACCCGGTGTGGCAGGCTGTGGGTGGCGTGTGCCACTACCACCCCGAGTCTGCCGGGCGCCATGACGCGTGGTGTGGGCTCCTCTGTGGCGGCTCTGGTCAGGCCCTTTTGACACACTCCTGGGGGCTCAGTCACAGGGCCACCCTGACCACTCTCCTGTTCAGAAGGTAACACCAGAGCCCTCTTCACTGTCACAAACTTGTATTGGTGATTGGGTCTGGCTCACTGGCTAGCATAGGGCTGCCAGGAGCCAGTGTCCCATCAATGCGAGAGGGCAGAGGACACGGGGGAGCAGAGCCCACACTCCACAGTGGGCTGAGGGCTATTTCAGGACCCTGGCAGGTGCCCTGGACCCCTGAGAGGAGCAAGCCCAGAGCTCTGCTCTCCTGCCAAGATCGCCATGGTCACCAGGACCCCAGCCTGGGAAGAGACACTCCCTGAGAGTCCACCTATATGACCACTGCTGGAGCAGAGCCTGGACACAGTGGCTGTGACATCCCACAGGTCTCCAGAGCCTGTCAGCCAGGGGTAGTGCCCCAGGGAACAGGCAGTGCCCAGCGGCGCGAGTGCCACCTGGGGAGAAGGCTCCGGCAGTGAGGCTGGCCCCCAACATGTGAGACATCTCACAGCTCCAGGCCTGGGGACTTGTGAGGCCACCACTCCTGTGAGGAGTGTGCACTGGTGACTACACTTTTGCTTTGATAAACTCCCTGGGCTGCCCATTTTTGCGTGGAAACTTCCTGGTCACCCTTTGGGGAGCCCTGTGCCTGGGACAGGCATTTCTGTTCTCTCCCAGGGAAGCAGCTCCTGTGAGATCTCATTTCCCTGTCACCTGATTTCAGGACAGCCCAGGCTGGCTGTGTGGACTCAGGGGACTGCCAATATGATTTCTATGAGTCACCTGGCATCTGGGCCAATCTTCAGCCTTGTGGGCGTTAGTCGGTGTGTGCACACCCCACAGTGCACGAGGGCACATCTGGGCCTTCACAGGGAAGGCCAGGTCCTGAATGGAGGCCTCAGGAGGGGATGCCCGCTGTGGACCTGCCTGGCTGGCCACACACTGGGTCACCAGTTTCCAGATACCAGCCCATGGAGGGGTGCTGGGCTGGGCACACAGGGCTGGCGGGGCAGCTTTGTGAGTAGACTCGAAGCCTGAGTACTGGAGACGGAGCCGGCTCTGGGGCCTGGGCAGGCGCACCCACCGATGCCATGCTTCTCCATGAGCGTGATGAGCTCGGCCTCCGTCAGGTAGTCGGGTGGGTTCGTCTGCTTCTCCAGCATCTTCACCTCGCCCACAGGGAAGGCATCACCCCGCTGGCAAGTGGGCAGGCTCTCCTCCAGGGGCACGCTCTGCCAGGGCATGACCTCCGTGAAGCCTGGAGAGATATGCGCCGCCACTCAGGGTCCCCAGCCTGGGTGGCCGGGGCCTCAGACCCTGGGCCTCCCATCCCCAGACACGATGTAGAATGTTTGTCTGCCCATGAAGGCACAGAGGAGGAAGGCTGGGCCCGTGGTGTGACCTGGTGAGAGGACGGTCTTCCCGGAGCAGGTGAAGAGCTCGGGCCCAATTCTGAAGGAGATGGTGCTCTGCAGGTACTTGCAGTCATGGCTGACCGTGGCGATGAAGTGTCTGGTGATGTACTCATAGAGCCGCCACGCGTCACCCCCTGCAACAGGCCAGGGCTAGTCAGTTGGGAGCCAGCTGGGGGCTCTGGCCGTGAGGAGCCCCCAGTACTCTCGCTCGAGCAGCAAGCTCCTGCTTACAGAGCCGCTGTGCAGGACACACTGCAAATCCTGGGGAAGGAGGAAAGAAAATGTGCAGGAAGGCCGGGCGTGGTGGCTCATGCCTGTAATCCTAGCACTCTGGGAGGCTAAGGTGGATGGATCACTTGAGGTCAGGAGTTTGAGACCAGCCTGGCCAACATGGTGAAACCCCGTCTCTACTAAAAATACAAAGAAATTAGCTGGGTGTGGTGGTGGGAGCCTGTAATCCCAGCTACTCGGGGGGCTGAGGCAGGGTGAACTGCTTGAACCTGGGAGGCAGAGGTTGCAGTGAGCCGAGATCGGGCCACTGCACTCCAGCCTGGGTGACAGAACAAGACTCTGTCTCAAAAAAAGAAAAAAAAAAAGCAAATGCGGAGGAAGGGAACACAAGCCTCCATGCCTCAGTGGTTTCTTTCTGGCTGCGGCTCCCACCATCCTGCACAACCTCCTGTCCCTGCTTCTGGCGGGACTGCTCTTCAGGCATTGGCCTGTCTTTCCATTGTCTCGTGACATGACACCATTGCTTCAAACTCAGACTGTCCACAGGTGGCTCCTGTCTCTACCTGCACTGCTCTCCCTTCCTCATTTGCCTTCTCCTGGCACTCGGACCACTGGTACCACCTTAGGCCAGCTGGGAGGTAGGAGGTGTGCTGCCCCCTCCCCCACACCGCCACTCTCTACCCTGGTTTCATTCATGTCCCCTGTGGCGTCTGCCCCCTTGCCTCCCTGCAACAGCACCTGCTGCTACCTCTTCACTCCTGTCCTGGTCCCATAGCAATGGAGCTCATCTTCCAGGTGGCCCCCCATCCCCACAGCCAGGGCAGGCAGAGGCTGAAGGAGCCCCCACATTGCCAACAGGGCCTGCAACCTTCACTGTCGCAGCTCGCCCTTCCCTCCCTGGAAGCACACCGGGTATGGGATGAGAGCGGTACCTAATTCGGCCTCTGTGGCAGACTTCATGGGGGTGATGGGGGGATGGTCGCCGGCGTCATGGCCTTTCCGCGGGCGGTTGATACCTTCTGCTAACAACCGCTTCACCTGAGGGAGAGAAGACAGAGCAGAGTCTGTGGCTGGGCTCGGCTGCCTGCCTGGGTTTGGCTGACGTACCAGACCTGGTCCCAAGGCCTCAGTGACACACACACATGCTGAGGCCGGCCCGGCTCCACTCACCGTGTCGGCCCAGTAGGGGTGGTTGGCCTGCTGCCGCAGAGAGCCCTTCAGGTCAAAGTTCTCAGGGTAGTGGGTGGTCTCTGTCCGTGGGTAGCTGATGTAGCCTTGCGTGTAGAGCCGCTCAGCCGTCTGCATGGCGTGCTGCGGCCCCATGCCTGCGAGAGACAGGAGGTTCTCAGAGGGCCAGGTACGTGGGGATGGCCAGCTGCCTGCCCTGGCCTATGCACTCAGGCTCCCCCATTGTGGCCGGCCCCTCCTGGAGGGTGACGGTGGCTCTGAGCAGGCACAGCTGGAGTGCAAAGCTGCTGGCCGGGTGGGCACCTATGCCACACAGTCTTGTATGAGGCTGAATCCCGCACCCGTAAGGCTGAATCCTACACCCAGGATGGGCCTGATGGGAAACGCCACTCACTCTACCCCACGGTGCATCCTCATGGGGCTCATGGCCATGGGGATGACACATGGCCTTCAGAGCACCACTCCCCATGCATTGTCCATGGAGCCATAACCATACCTCGGGGTTGGCTGACGACAGAGTTAGCACGCAGCCCCATTTTGAGCCCTTGGGTGTTTCTGTCCTCACAGCACTTTGGGGCCACTCAGGGGGGCTCGTCCTGCTACTCCCTGACCAGCAGAGGCAGGCGCTTAGCTAGCAACCACTCCCAGCATTGCTGCCCTCTGAGGACGCTGGAGCCACCACTCAGTGTCCACTGAGAGGACACTGCCCATAGTTCCCTGCGGGGGTGGGGGGCACCAATGCCTAGGGGCTGACAGCTGCCAGAGACCACCAGCTTTCCAGCCCAACCCCCTCCTCGTTACTAAGGAGAAAAGACTGAGGAGATGAGGCTGAGGGGCGACGTTCACACTGGTTCCCTGAAGGTGACATCTGGCTGGGGCCTCTCCCCTCACCAGGGATAGCTGCTCAGGGACTCTAACATCAGGAGGTCCCCTCAGGTGGTGACCAACTTTACCACCTTTACAACCTAAGGATAAGTGAAATCCTCCTGAGGCTCAGATCCCCTTGAAGCCTTGGGCACCATCCTGCAACCCTGGGCACTCGCTGCTCCAGGCTGAACCTGCCTCAGGAAGCCTTCTGGTGACTTGAGAGAAATGTCCCTACATACCCAGAGAAGAGCTGGCCACACGCAGCATCTCCACAGTGTTCAGGGCCAGGGGCCTCTGCTTGGCCTTTTCTTTCCTGCTTGTGGCCTCCACCTGGAAGACAGGACAGTCAATGATTTGGGGAAGGAGGAAGACACCACCATAGAGGGAATCAAGATGTGTGGACGAAGGGTCTGGTTTCATTCATCTGGTCTCCCTGTTTCTCCAATTCATTCTTCCCAACAGTCTAAAGACTTGATTGAATATTTATTCAGGACCAGGAAAGGAAAAAGAATGAAAATTCTTTTTTAAAAAAAAATTTTGGCTGGGTGTGGTGGCTCACGCCTGTAATCCCAGTACTTTGGGAGGCTGAGGCGGGTGGATCACCTGAGGTCAGGAGTTCGAGACCAGCTTGACCAAGATGGTGAAACCCCGTCTCTACTAAAAATACAAACATTAGCTGGGCATGGTGGAACGTGCCTGTAATCCAAGCTACTCGTGACGCTGAGGCAGAATTGCTTGAACCTGGGAGGTGAAGGTTGCAGTGAGCTGAGACCACGCCATTGTAATCCAGCCTGGGTGACAGAGCAAGACTCCATCTCAAAACAAACAAACAAACAAACAAAAAACCAAATTTTGTTTTTTTTAAGAGACAGGGTCCTGCTCTGTCGCCCAGGCTGGAGTGCAGTGGCACCATCAGAGCTTACTGTAGCCCTGAACTCCTGGGACAAGTGATCCTCCTGCCTCAGCCTCCTGTGTAGCTGAAACCACAGGCACACACCATCATGTCTGACCAATTTTTTTTTTCAATTTCTTGTACAGACAGGGTCTTGCTATGTTGCCCAGGCTAGTCTTAAATGAACTCCTGGCCTCAAGTAATCCTCTCGCCTCAGCTTCTCAAAGTGCTAGGATTACAGGCACGTGCCACCATGCCCGTCTACTTTTTAAATTATTTTTTTCAGAGACAGGGTCTCCCTGTGTTGTCCAGGCTGGTCTCAAACTCCTGGCCTCAAGTGATTGAATATTCTTTTCTGGAGAATTTTCTAGGGAAAGAGAAAACCTGGAAGATTGAGGAGGAGTCAGAAGGGCTGCAGATGGAAATCCTACAGAAGCCAGCATCAGCCAAGCTACAGGGATGGCAAGTGGGGCCCGTCCCAGGGGAAGTACCACTCCTTGTTGTGGGGAGGGCTGCTGCCTGCACCTGCTAGTATTGCTACCTCTTCTGATTTTTCAAGAGAAGCTAGAAGGCAGAATTTTAGTATGAAATCTCGTAATTTTTAAGTGCTGGTAACTATTCTGGAATTTGTGTAAACACCATGCAGGTTAGTGGAGTGCATCTATGAGCTGTGCTTTGTTGGGGTCCTGCCACTCTCTACCTCTGCTGAACACTTGTCGGAAGAGACAACTCTTTGTTTTGCCTATGGCAAAAACAATCCAAACAACTCAACCCCAGGCCCTGGCCCTTGCCAATCCCACGTAGGCTGGTCAGGGCAGTGCCTTCTGCATTCCAGACAGACAGATGTGGGTGCTAACAGAGGCCAGTTGTTATGTGAAGCTGGGCTCCCCAGCGTGAGGCCTGGAGGTGGCAACAGTGTCTCTGCAGGAATGTGATCAATGCTGACAGCCTGGAGCAGCTTTAGAAGTTTCAGATGCCTGAGACGATAGCATGGCGGGCAACAGGGCACTCAAGGAAGGCCAGAGAAGGACAAGGAGAAGGCGGCTAAGGAGGCCAGGCTGTGTCTCGACGGATCTGGTAGCTGTCATGCCTGTAGCATGTTTACTTCAATAGCCACAGATGTGTCCCCAACCCATGCAGCCAGGTCACCTCACCGTTTTCCTAACAGCCAAGCAGCATGTCCTTTCAATTCATAGAAGCCCTGAGTAAGAAACATAATCCCATAAAAGCACGCAAGCTGATTGCAATTGGAATCTCAAGACTTTCCCCTGCTAGCTGTGACCTTGGGCAAGTTCATCAGTGTGCACCAAGGTCCCTCTACAGTTGTTAGTTTGAATCTCTGTGTGAAATGGAGTCCTGCCACACGGAGGTAATGCCTAGCGGGTCACGTGGAAAGGGGAGAGTGGAAGGGGTCCGACAAGGTCACAGGTGTGGACAGTGCCTGGTATGGAGCGGGCATGCAGTACACTGTGACTATTGCACTGGGCAGAAATATCTTAGGAGTATATGAGGGAGTAACCATTCAGCTTTCCAAAAAGATGTCTGTGTTTCAGAAAGGGGGAGAAAGACGTGGACTAGGATCACAGGCTGTTCCTCCAGCGGGAGGCATCCAAGGGCCACCCTCACCCAAGGCAACTGTGATAGATGTGGGTGGAGCAGGCACACCTGGGCTTCCTTCTCCAGCTTTGTCATGTTTAAAAACATCTGTGCGATCTCCCGGTCAAACACTCTTACTCGGTCCCAGTCCAAAAGGAGAGATCTGTCTTTGTCAGTGTTAACCTGCAGGAAAAAGGATAAAGGGTGAACGCACAAGAAAAAGTCTCCAGGTGAGCCCAACGCCAGGAAGAACCAGGACAGATGAAGCTGGTCCTTGTCTGGGAGCCAAATAGCCCTGGCTGTAATGGCTCACAGCTGTACCTGTTCAGGTGGGCAGATACGCAAGCTGACATCTGGCCCTCTCCACCACTTGCCCCAAAACCAGGCAGCCAGTCTCAGGAAGGTGGCCCAAAGCTGAGGCTGATGTGTCCCTAAGAAGCACCTGAGCCCCTACTTCTCACACCACCCCTGCCTATCCCCAGTGCCTGGCCAGTGGTAGGTATGGCCACCGCCAGGGTCCCAAGCCCCGTGTCAGCCACAGCAGCTCCAAGACAGTGTCTCACTGTGTTGCTAGGCTGGAGTGCAGTGGCACGATCGTAGCTCACTGTAGCCTTGGACTCCTGGCCTCAAGCAATCCTCTTGCCTCAGCCTCCCAGGTTGTTGGGATTACAGACATCAGTCACTGTGCCTAGCTGTATTAAGTCTTACAGTGAGCTTCTGTGGAGGCTTTTATTTGAAGAAAGGGTTCTAGGAATTTTAAAAAGTTTGAAAGCCAATGGTCTCAGTCCAGTGCTTGGACCTGACCACTGAAGCCACTGATTCCTGTGGGGTGACCTCACCCTGCACTGCCAGAGCTGAACTCATTCCCACTTATCCAGATTCAGCATATACAGGCCCAGTCTCTTCCCACTGCCCCCATGAAGGCTGGGGTCCCTCAGCCCTAGGCACCACAGACCACTTCCAGGTACAGCCGTCCACACTTCTGCCCTCAGCCCGGGGCCTGCCGGCTGATGATGATGGAAGACTCTCAGAATCCATGCCCCAAACCCAGAAAGCCCCAGCATGAATAGAGAAAGGCAAGGAACCTTGGCCTGCAGCACCCAGTAGGTCTCTGGTTTGAAGGACTGGATTTTATCATGTCTCTCCACACAGAATCCCAGGGTTGGAGTCTGACACGGCCCAAAGGAGATGAGAGAGCTGTCTAAATCACCGTATTTCCCCTGGAAATATTTAGTCTGAAACCTGGAGGGAGTGGAAAGATATTTTGGTCACTGATTCACTCAAGACACTATTATGGCCACCCATGTGAGTCCAGCCCAAGGCCAGGGGTGGTGCATGAAGGAGGTGGCATCAGGTGGTGTCCCCACTTAGAAGCCAGTGGGAGCAGAGTGGGCATAGCCTTAGGGAGGATTCATGTGTGTACATGGGTGACAGAGCCAGTGAGAGAGGAGACAGAGGTTTCTACTGTCTCAGGCCAGGGAGCCTTCTATTCTATTCCATCTACTGCACACTCTCCTCAGGACCCCCAGAGCACAGACAAACACACTTTATCAAGCAGGGCATATGTGATCTCTGTCAGCTAAATAAACAATTTTCTTTAGGTCTCTTTTGTTTTTGTAGAGACAGGGTCTTGCTGTATTGCCCAGCAGGAGTGCATTAATGGGGATTCACAGATCATTGCAGCCTTGAACTCCTGGGCTCAAGTGATCCTCCCACCTCAGCCTCCCAAGTAACTGGGACTACAGGCTCACACCACCACACCCAGCTAATTAAAACAAAATGTTTGGACAGGCACAGTGGCTCATACCTGTAATCCCAGCATTTTGGGAAGCTGAGGTGGGCGGATCACCTGAGGTCAGGAGTTCGAGACCAGCCTGGCCAACATGGTGAAACCCCGTCTCTACTAAAAGTATAAAAATTAGCCGGGAGTGGTGGCAGGAGCCTGTAATCCCAGCTAGTTGGGAGGCTGAGGCATGAGAATCACTTGAACCCAGGAGGCAGAGGTTGCAGTGAGCTGAGATTGTGCCACTGCACTCCAGCCTGGATGACAGAGTAAGACTCTGTCTCAAAAAACAAACAAACAAAAAAATAAATAAATTTTTGTTTAGCCTGGGCGCAGTGGCTCACATGTGTAATCCCAGCACTTTGGGAAGCCAAGGTGGGCAGATTGCTTGAGCTCAGGAGTTTGAGACCAGCCTGGGCAATACAGTAAAACCCTGTCTCTACAAAATGCATAAAAATTAGCCAGGCATAGTGGTGCACACCTGTAGCACCTGTAGTGGAAGGCTCAGGTAGGAGGATCTCTTGAGCCTGGGAGGCAGAGGTTGCAGTGAGCTGAGATTGTACCACTGCATTCCAGCCTAGGCAACAGAACAAGACTCTGTCTCAAAAAAATAATTTTTTTTTTTTTTTTTTTTGTAGAGATGGGGTCTTGTTATGCTGCCCAGGCTGGTCTCAAACTGCCAACCTCAAGCAATCCTCCTATCCTGGTCTCCCAAAGTGCAGGGATTACAGGTGTTAGCCACTGTGCCTGGCCTTCTTCAGGGTTGGTGAAATCCCCTGTTGCTCATCCTGGCTCGAGGAGGCCTAGGGGCCCCGGAGGGGGACCAGTAGAGGCAGGTCTCTGGCTGAGGGAGAGTGAGGGTGTGCCCAGGACTCTGCGGGTGTGGCCAGCACCTGGTGAATGCACAGCCGATTCGCAGGTCCAGCTCCTGGCGAGCATCCACTGAGAGCGCCTCGTTGTGGTCAGGCTCGCCTAGGCAGGCCATGGCATTACAGATGTCTGTGTCCGTGATGGAGCTAAACCTGGCCCGGAACACGGTCTTCTCGCCACCATGGGCCTTGTTCATGACGGGCAGAACAGCATCAAGAACCTGGGGGTGGGGAGTGGCCAGCTGTGACCCACCTCCCAGATCCCTGCCACAGCTCCCCACCCCACTGTGAAGCCTGGTTCCTTCCAGGAAAGAACACGTGTGCTCGGCTCCCTCTCCTGCCCCTGCCAGACCCTCCTCTATCCCCTTTCCTGCACCTGCCAGACCCTCCTCTATCCCCCTGCCTTTCCAGAAGCCCTGAGCACTCCACAACACCCCACCACATGGCTTCCTTTACTCCCATCTAGAAACATACTCGAACACTCCCTTCTTACTCCCGCCCTCTCTTCTAATCCTCTGCTTTCATCCCCACCAAATCAGGAAATGCTACTGCCAAGTACATGAGGGACCTCTTAGTCCCCAAACCCATCCCATGTGACACGATTCCCTGCCTTCTAGGAGGGAGGGTTTGGAGGGGTGGGTGGAAATTTTAAGAGGCTGAAGAAAAGACAGGGAAGGAAAAAAGAATGAAGGGGAAAGGAAATGGGCAAGAGCAGGAAGGCCACGGGTGGTCCTAGCTTGTGGTGGGGGCAGCTCGGGCTAAAGCACAGCAGGGGTCCTGGAGCCGAGACTCACTAGGAAGGCCGTGCAGTGGGACTAGGGTCGCCGCCGGAGCCTGGCCACGCAGCTTCCTTACTGGGAATAAGTGGCTTCATTTCTGAAGGGAGAAAGCCCCATGAGCTGCCCCCATTCTCCATTCCCAGATGCAAAGGCCCCCAGGGAGGAGCCGCCCTGCAGGGGAGGAGAGGGTATCTGGGAAGAGACAGAGTGTGATCGCATTTGCTGAGGGTGCTGTACTGCAACGCCAGGTGCCTCAGCTCTGTCTCACTGACCAGCTCTTGAGCCACGGGTGAGAGCTGGGGGTACAGGAGCACGGGGGCGACCCATAGAACAACAGTCTGAAGGGCACCAAGTGAGACCAGCAGTCATGGCCACTGTGAGGGCACCATGGCCGGGGCAAGCATGGGGCATGGGGTGTGCACAGGGAGCAGCTGCCACCTGCTTCTCTGCAGGGCTCCCAGGGTTGGCTGGAGGCAGGAGGCATCCTGGATGAGGCAGGAGATGAGCAGAGCGAGGCCTGCAAAAGGAGCTCAGTGCTGAGGTCGGGAATCAACCAGCATCAACCCAAGGTCCCTGAGAAGTCACGCTGGGCACAAGATGCTGAACACCAAGCTGCCCCAAGACAATCCCATTCTGAAACCTGCATCCACCCAGACAATTTGGCCCCTCCTATGTTCACTCATACCGTTGAGGCCTCAGCAAGCGGAGGAACAACTGACCACCTTTAATAGAGCCTATGCAGTTAAAAGTATCTGTGGAGTTTCAGAATAAAGGGAGGGGAGAGGTGTTTTTAAACCGGTACAGTTTACTCCCTCCTTTGGCCCCAGGAGTGATGTGACTGACTGCTGGTGTCAGTTTGGGGCTGGTGTCAGAAAGGCCAAAAGTGAGGAACAAAGTGAGCCTCACACTCACCTCAAAGCAGATGTTCTCCCCCTCCTTGTCGCAGTCCAGCCACAGCACGATGTAGTCGCAGCCTCTGCCCTCCACCTGCCACACAGCACAGGTTCACACGTACCTGCTGCAGACCCGGTCTGTGCCACCCGCCCCCAGTGCTCCCATCCAGGACAGGGCTTGGTCCCAGGCCCTGAACCTCAGTTAGGAGGACTGGTACCTGGGCTGGGTAAGGAGCTGGCTGTGTTGAGGCTGGCTCAGCCAACAGAAAAGAATTGAGTTTATAATTGATGTTTTTTGGACCAAAAAAAAAAGTATAAATGCAACATGATCTTATACCCCAAAACTGCCCAGAAGAAGGGTTAAAATGAAATAACCCTAAATGATAACAGCAGTCGTCTTGGGTAATATGATTATGCATAATTTTTCTGTCTTTCTACTTATCTGCACTTTCTAATTTTCCATAATCTGTATGCATTTGTTTTAAAATTAAGGAGAAAAACCCCCCGACCAAACAAGCTATTTTAAAAGCAGAAGGCCTGCTCTCCAGGACTGAGGGTTGGCAATGGCAACTGCCTTGTGTGTTGGGGGTGCCTGCAGGTGCCTCGTGGGCCAGCAGGGGGCACTCACAGAAAAAGCTAGCAAAGGCCCCCCTGTCCAAGGGGGATTAGGACTCAAGCAAGGGTGGGCAAAGACATGGCAGCTGTGGAGGGTGGGGAGCCCCGGTGTGCTCATGCCCAGGCCAGCCCCACGCACCTGCAGGAACTTCACCATGTTCAGCTTGGGGTTAGCTTCTTTCTTCTCCGTGGGAGCTTGGCTGAACAGTTCTGCGGGGTCCACTTTGTCCCATTTGTTGTATTTTCCTACAAACCAGTCACAGTGACATTGAGTCACAGGAGCTCAGCCTCCGAGACCATCATAACCCCAGGAGGATGTTGGCCTCATCCCACAAATGAGGAGGGGAAAGCTTGGAGAACAATTTGCCCAGGGTCATCCTGATGATCAGAGGCAGAGCCAGGATGTGGGTTCAGGCCTTTGGTAACCCCCTCCCATCCAGCCTCCTTTCTGCTCGGCTGCTGAGCGGACCCACCACACCCCGGCCAACCACAGGAGCCAAGCAAGCTCTCGGGGGGCTGCCACTCTGGCCTCACTTCCGGGACTTTCCCTGTGGCTGGGAGCACCATTCCTGGGCTGGGTCTCTTTGCCTGAGCACTGGACCCCACAATGGTGCCTTCATTGACACTTCCAACCTGAGTTTCTGGAACTTTGTCCTTCCACCCAGCACTCTGTGGGGGCACACATGTGTGCAGTCGTTCCTGTTAAAGGACCATCTTTTTGAGCCTCATGCCCAGCACATTCACCTACTCATCTACAGAGACCCGGTTCTTGCATGCTCAGCTGTCTGGCTTTCTTTTAGGCCCCATTTCTTTTTTTTTCTGAGACAGGGGTCTCGCTCTATCACCCAGGATGAAGTACAGTGATACGATCACGGCTAACTGCAGTCTCGACCTCCCAGCCTCAGTCCATCTTCCCACCTCAGCCTCCCAAGACTACAGGTGCGCACCACCATGCCAGCTGATTTAAAAAGAATTTTGTTTTTTTTTTTTTTTGTAGAGACAGGGGTCTCACTATGTTGTCCAGACTAGTCTTGAACTCCTGGGCTCAAGCGATCCTCCCCAGGCCCCATTTCTTGCATCCTGGGAGAATGGGGTCAGACAGAGCCAAATTCAAATCCCGGCTCCCCACCTGCCAGTTGGAGATAAAACTTGGGGTCCAAATGCTCAGCCACACAACTCAGTCACCATCATTGTCATCACTGTCATCAATGAGCAGCAAGAACAAGGGCTGAGGCTTTGCTGTGTGTCGGGCCCTGTGCTGAGTGCTTTGCCCTCACTGTCACACTGAATCCTTAGCCTTGGGAAGCAGATGGCATTGCTGTGAGACCCATTTCACTATGAGAAGTGTAAACTCAGAGGCCGTCATTGCCCACATCCCCAGCCAGTGAGCCGGCAGAGCAGGGGGAAAAGCCTGGATCAGACTCTTGCCAACCACATGGCCCCAAACCTACACCCAGCAGGTCACTAATACTGGCGCTTCCAAGGTAATTGATAACAGTAACAATATAGGAATGACAACGACAGCCACCAAATGACCGACAGATGACGGTCAACTTGGCAACAGCAGCAGCCTTCTCTTAAATGCCTGCACAGGTCAAGCCCTTCCTAAGATAGGTGCTGCCACTTTGTCTACATAGGAAGGCACACAGGGAATGCAGCGACTAAGGGGTGCCGCTATGATGGGGACCCAGGGCTGAGTTCCAGAGCCTGGGTTCTGGGCACCGCACCAGGGACCCTCTCATTGCTACTTCATGATCTGCTGGCCTTATGACTCATGGAGTTGGGACAAACTTCCCTGCCTAGAGGCATCTCCTGGCTTCAACTGGACCCTGGCCAGTGCCATGCAGAACTCCCTTCAGTAGGATGGAGGGTAGAGGGGCTTACCCAGGAAATCCAGGGTCATCACGTGACCACAGACAGACGTCATCTTGAAGCGCACTGGCTGGCCAGCAAAGGTCCCAGTGTACTCGTGGACTGAGCAGGCCCCGTTCAGCCCTTTGTGTGAGGACAGGCTCCCTGGGGATGAGGAAGCACAAAGTGACTGGCTGCTTCAGCTGAGCTGAAGACCCTGTGGAGACCCCAGCCCGGATGCCACCTCCCAGAGGGCCAGAGTCCTCCTTCCCCAGAGTGGTGAGTGACGACATTCCGCAGACTGGTGCGGGTAGTTGGGCACTGAGAGGTGGGACGGCGCTCAGGGAAAACAGCATCTGCCAACAACCTAGCACAGAGCACTCTCGATGCAGAGCCCCAGGCTGCCGGGAGCCAGGAGCAGGCAGGGGTGGGCTCTTTCTCTGTATTTATGTTTTCACTCTTCAATTCCATTTTTGCCTCACTTCATTGAAACGTTATTCATCGTTTACTAAAACAGACTCCAGATCTACTCTCGGTTACCAGGGACCTTCTAATTATCGAATTCTCACCCTCTCCACTGACCATACTCAGCTGTACTTTCTCAGCTTCTGGGCACCGGGCACCACTTTTGGGGCACCGTCCCCTGCGGACCATGCCTTCTCAGCTGAACGAGGGTCTCTTCCCCTCTCAACTGCTGGACCAAGGGGAGGCCAGGTAGGTGCCTGTCATTTCTGGGTACCCAGCATCTAAAACTCTTCCTATTTGGAGGGAATTCAAAGATAGGGGGAAACAGCACCCTACCAACCACCCCAGTGGCCAGAGTTGGGGGTGAGTGGCAGACATTCCCTCTCGAGCTCCCTGGTGTCTCAGTAGTGCCTGTGGCCATAGCTCAGTCCATTGGCTACTCTGGAGTGACGTGAGGTCCACAGGACAGTGGGAGTATCCAGGGGTGACAATGCCTGGGGCATAGCCTCATCAGACCTTGACTGGGGTGTAGTCCTGGCTGCGTCTCCTTCCTTCCAGGGCTGGTTTCTACTACCTGTACCTAATAGCCCCACCAGGCCCAGCATATGGATAATGACTGTCCTTCAATTTCATTGTAAATTGTGCCTTGTGCCTTATGGGAACCCCAGCTTTGGCACATTGCCAGGAGTGGAAGCAAATGCACCCCACTGTGACATACTGAGATGCTTCATTACCACCTGCCGACCCGAACCAAATCTACCCCAGCCAGGGTGGAATCACATTAGGAAAAAATGTCCTGTAACACATAAACGACCGTGCTTACAGACCAAAGCAGGGCTGGTCTCTCCTACCTCTAGAGAGGATTTTGGCAATTGACTGTGCCAAGGACGGCTTTTCAGCAACCATGAGCACAGTCTTCATTTTGTCTCGGTCCTTCACACTCCAGTTTCGGGGCACTGGCAATGAAAAAGTTTAGACTCCACTCTTCCGCAGCACAGCACTATTACCAATGCTGACTCCTAAAGAGAAGAAAAGACACTCAGGATAGCAATGCTGTCAATAGAACCTACACCACTACAAGGAAAATCACTTTAACAAAGAAAAAACAAGACCAACCTGAGGCAAGAAGAAGAAAAATTAGGGAATTAGGGAAACTTGAAGACATCTGAGATTAAAAACAAGAAAAAACTACCAGGTCAGCTGAAGTGGCTGAGATGATCCTGGGAATGTGGCTCCATTTGGGGGAAGGTGAAGTGGCCCCAGTGATCTCAGGTCAATTTTATTCCTAAATCCATGCTAGGAAGATGCTGGGGCCTGGGGATCTGGAGTGATGGGTCAGGCCAGGTGGATGCCTGGCCCTCCTCTCTGGACTGGCTCTTCCACCTACAGGTGGACTCACCTGGAAAGAGGAACTATCGTGGCCGAGAGCAGCACCTCCCGCTCAGCAAAGCACTTGGACGCCCCAGGACACTTTACAAAATGCAGATGCCCAGGCTGGGCCCCCCAGGTCCTTCTGATCCATGATGGGCCTGAGACCCTCTGGCTAGTCGGTCCAGCCCCAAGCAGACATCAGGACTCTGTCACATCTATCTCCCACCTATTCCACTCCACCTTTTGCTTTGCAGGTCATGCTCTGGCCAAATTAAATCAAATATCATCATCGAAGCAAACACGCACTTGAAGCCTCTGTGCCTGCGCTTCCCTGCCTGAGAGAAAGCTCCGCCAGGCCTGGAGGATGCAGCTGGATGGCCCACAGGCCCAGCTCAAGTCTCCCAACACCACTGGCAGGGTAAGTCAGCCCTCCTGTGCCCACAGCTCTTGGGCTAGGTCTCCATTCCAACCCACTCACATCATGCCATCATCAGCGACTACTTCACCCCCAAAATAGGACACGATGGGCTTTGTGTCTGAATCACTGTTGGTCTTTGCAACAGCTTTCTGTGCCTGACACATGACATTCAATACCTGCTAGCCAAGTAAAAGAAAACCACATGAACCCTTTTTGTTTTTTCAGTCATTATAAATGTAGCACTGATGTTTATAAACATAGCACCGTATTAAAAAAGAAAAAAAAGACTCGTATTGAGACAACTGGGAAATCTGCTGTGAAAAAAAATAAAGTTAGACTCCTGCTTCCTAAATCCCACTAAAACCGATTCCAGATCTAGCAAAGGTTTGAGTAGAAACAATGAAACCAGAAAATATTAGGAAAAACATGTGCTTTTAAAATAAATCTCACAAGCCAGGTGTGGTAGCACATGCCTATAGTGTCAGCCACTCAGGAGGCTGAGGCAAGAGGATCGCTTGCTTGAGGCCAGGAATTCAAGGCTGTTGTGTGCCATGACTGCACCTGTGGATAGAACAGCCACTTCACTCCAGCCTAGGTGACAGCAAGACCCTGTCTCAAAAAAAGTAAAAGCAAAATAAAATAATCTCAGCATAAAGAAAAACTACCACCTAGATGGGCACAGTGGCTCACGCCTGTATCCCAGCACTTTGGGAGGCTGAGGTGGGTGGACCACTTGAGGTCAGGAGTTCAAGACCAGCCTGGCCAACATGGCAAAACCCCATCTCTAATAAAAATACAAAAATTAGCTGGGTGTGGTGGTGGGTGCCTATAATCCCAGCTGCTTGGGAGGCTGAGGCATGAGAATCGCTCGAACTCAGGAAGTGGAGGTTGCAGTGAGCCGAGATCATGCTATTGCACTCCAGCTTGTACAACAGAGTGAGACTCCATCTCAAACAAAAAAAAAAAAAAAAAAAAAAGGGAAAACCACCACGTAAGTACCTTTGTGGTATCACATCATGTCCAACAACACTCGCAGAAGAAACTCAGAACTACAATGAGCTTGTGCTTATCACATAGGGAGAGACTCAAAGTCGTTGCACACACAGCAGATGAGGGCATGGGGAAGTTAAATGGGAACAACCTCTATGTGCAGCAATTCAGGGATCCCTCTCAAAGTCCGAGTGCACATCCCAGCAATTCCACTCCTTGGAATGAACTTAATAGTCCAGTTATTTATTGAGTACCTACTGCATGCTTGGCCTAGTCCAGGATGCAGGGAATACAGCACAAAGCAACACCAGGTCCTGCCCTCCCAGAACTCATGCTGTAGTATGGGAGCAGGGGAGGGACAGGGCAGGGCTGGGTGACACCTGGGAGAAGAGTCCAGGCAGAAGGAGCAGGGAAGGTGAGGTCCTTGGGGAGGATATGGCTGGGCAGGGGGGCTCATGGGGCTGAGGGAGGGAGCAGGGGTGTAGAATGTGGGTCTGCTCTAGGGGTGCTGGGAGGCAGCAGAGGGTTTGCATAGGTGTGGGATAATCTGACTTCAAGTGTTAAAGGGACCTCTCTGGCTGCCACATAGAAGAGGATGAATGGGCCCTGGGTAGCAGTGGTGGAGGATGCGAGGGAAGTCAGAATCCAGGCAGACCTGGGATGGCGGGACATGGGAGGGGGAGGGGAAGGTGAGTCAAGAATGACCTGAGGCAGAGCTGGGCATGGGCTCACACCTGCCATGGGCTCACACCTATAATCCTAGTGCTTTGGGAGGCGAAGGCAAGAGGACCACTTGAGGCCAGGAGTTTGAGAAGAGCCTGATTAACACAATGAGACCTCATCTTTACAAAAAAGCAAAAGGAACAACCCATGGCTTTGGCTTAGGCATGACAGGAAGGGACTGGCAGTCTGATGTGGGACTTCAGGTGTGTTAAACGGGACCTGCCCATTGGACAGCCTGGGTGGCCTGGAGGAGGTGGCAGCAATGTGGAAGGAGCCCAGGCTGGGGGTCGGGAGATGAGGAGCTAGCAGGGTGAGTCAGGAGGGGTAAGGTCCTGAAAGCCACAGGAAAGAGCACTTCAGGGCAGTTATCACCATGTGGGGGACACTGACAGGCCAGGCGAGATGGCAGCTGAGACCTGACTGTAGGGTCTGGCAAACAGAGCCCTGGGTAATCCTGATGGGGCCATGTGGTGAGTGACAGATGAAAGCTGCATGGGGTGAGCTCAACAAAACCTGGGAGATGGGAGAAGGCTGGTGCACTGTCCCCTCTTGTTTCAGGATGGTGGCTGTGCCAGCATGTTCTCCGCTGATGGGACTGCTCTGGCGAGAAGGAAAAGAGAAGCTGCGTGCCGGAGGGGAAGGAACTGCTGCAGTGATGGCCTTGGGAGGGTGAGGGGCAAGAGAGGCAGCCGGTCAGCATCCAGGCGATGCAGAGCTGCCACAAGGCTGCACTTCTCTTGGTGGAGGAGGAGGCATGGTACGGCTGTCCACTGAGGGAGGACAGGTGGTGATGCTGCGGGCAGGCCCACAGCAGAGGAAGCACTGGATTTAGTTAGATGGGAGAGTCCAGGTGAGTAGGAGGGAGAGGGAGTGGGTCAGGGTTCGAGGGGAGAGATTACAAGGACAGAACCTGACTCTGAGTTGGGTGAAGAGGGAGGTGAGGGTTGGGGAGGGTCCACAGAGGGTGTGCTCTGTGGGGTCCAGGAAGTGAGGCACAAGAGCAGGAAGTGGGAGTCAAAGAAGCAACTCCCAGAGGGTGGGAGGCTCAAACAGGAATTACAGAGGGGCCTGGGTGGTGGCATGCTGACCCAGGGAGGGCAAGGGCTGTGAGACAGGTAGAGAGTGAAGTCACCTGGGGAGACTCACAGGAGTCAGTGGTGGGCCCTGACAAGACTGTCCATGTGGACTCTGAGTCCCCAGGAGGTAGGACAGGGCAGCGCTGGAGTGGCCTCAGGCTGGGCACGGTGGTGCCTGTGATGAACCACATCACTGGGGAGTTCTCTGCAGCATTATCAATCATGATAAAAGGTTAGAAACAAGCTGGTGTCTGTCAACAGGGAGGTGGTTAAATAAAAGCATGGCATTCTCTGGCCGGGCGCGGTGGCTCACGCCTGTAATCCCAGCACTTTGGGAGGCCAAGGTGGGCAGATCACGAGGTCAGGAGATCAAGACCATCCTGACTAACGTGGTGAAACCCCGTCTCTACTAAAAATACTAAAAATTAGCTGGGCATGGTGGCAGGCGCCTGTAGTCCCAGCTACTCGGGAGGCTGAGGCAGGAGAATGGTGTGAACCCGGGAAGCGGAGCTTGCAGTGAGCCGAGATTGCGCCACTGCACTCCAGCCTGGGCGACAGAGTGAGACTCCATCTCCAAAAAAAAAAAAAAAAAAAAAAAGCATGGCATTCTCTACAGTAGAGCACCTGGCAGCATTACAAAGGAAAGCATCTGCTTGGTACATACTAACGTGGATCAGATCACTGAAATAAATCATGCTAAGAAAGCTGGGCATGTAACGGTGTGTAGAGAGCACTGCCATCTGTGATCACACATATGTGTGCACACGTGTGCACTTGATTATGAAGAGGCGATATGTCTGGATGGAACGCAAAACAAACAGTCCAAGCAATCACCTGGAGTGGGTGTTAGGGCCTGGAGGTCAGGGCTGGGGGTGCCTCCTCACCACATTCCCTTTTGCACCTTTTACATTTAGCGCCTGGACACAGGTGACTGAGGGACAAGAACTAAGACAAGGGACTTTACAATAAAACCAGAAAAATAAAGGAGGGTTGTAAAGGGCATTGTTCAGAAAGGATGCCAAAGGAACTCCCTCACTAAAGGGGCTTCTGCTGCTCATCATGCTGTGCAGGGGAAGAGGTCCAAGGTCGGCCTTGGGCTGTCAACCTTGTTCCCCACTTAAGAGATCACAGGACTACAGTGAAATCAGTAATCTTGACCAGAAAGCTGTCCCAAATAAAATGACAATTTGCTTTTTTCCTCAAAATAAGTAAGTGGATGTTCCCCTTAAATGTACAACCATCCCACAGTGAAAGAGCCGAGGCCTTGTGGAATGACGACACTGTCTGCAGATGAGCTCTCTGGCCCATGACAGCTCCAGCTGCATCTCCCAAGGCTCTGCTGCGCACCCACCTTTCCTCCCTGTGCGCCAGCAGGCTTCGGCCTAGGCCACTTTTCCCCCTTAGTCTACTTGCTCTGACCCCTGCCCCTCCCCTCCTGAAGACTGCATCTGGCGTCAGCAGTCTGTCTCTCCCACAATTGTCAGGTTCATTGCCATATTTCTGGCACCCAGCATGCACTAAATGCCTGCTGAGGGAATGAATGAACAACCAAGGTGATTATGACTGGCCTCTGCTCTCCGTTCTGGGGAAGTTTTGATTCTACCAAAATCAGAGGCCCAGAAGTGAGGTTTAAAAGAGATTTAGGGACTCCCCTTCTCTCACCCTGGGAAGCCAGAGGCCAAAAGGGAAAACTCGCAGCAGAGGGGCATTGTTCTGTGAGGGTCTGAGTTTCCCATCTCTTCCAAAGTAGGAAATTTTGTCCTAAAATGTTTCCTCAGATTTTCTCATGTCTATGCCACAGAGTAGTCAGCAATTATGTATGACATAATGAGGACACACCAGGGACCAGGCAGTCCTGCCAGCATCCTAGGCAGGGATGCTAATAGGTGCTGCCATTTTATTGGCCTAGACTGGGACTGTGGGGTCAGAGAGACCAGAGCTCCAGTGGCTGGACTTGGTTGTTCTAGAACCCGTGCCCCAAGCCTGATCCTGTCCTGCCTCTGTGAGCACTCTGATGGAACAGCAGCCCAGCTTTGCTTCCTTGTAGCACTCATCACTACACTTGGTACAGCTTCCATCTACTTATTCAGCTCTTGTCTTACAGCTCCTAGAAAGTAAGTAAGCAGCAGGAGAACACGGGTTTTGCTTTGTGCATTCTCACGGTAAATAGACAGTGAGCAAATACTTTGCGAGGCTGAGGCAGGTGGATCACCCGAGGTCAGCAGTTCAAGACCAGCCTGGCCAACATGGTGAAGCCTGGTCTCTACTAAAAATACAAAAATTAGCTGGGCGTGGTGGCGCATGCCTGTAATCCCAGCTACTCAGGAGGCTGAGGCAGGAGAATCACTTGAACCCGGGGGCGGAGGTTGCAGTGAGCTGAGATCGCGCCACTGCACTCCAGCCTGGGTGACAGAGTGAGACTCTGCCTGCAACAAAACAAACAAAAAAAGAAACAAGCAGATGTGGCCTGGGAGTAGGCCTAGCAGTGGTCTGAATAGCATTAAAATTCCTAGGATTTACCACCTCAGTAACTTTACCAAATGCTTCTAGAATCAGGAAAAGAGGGAAACAACCATTTCTTAAGCTCCTCCTTTGTAGTAGGCACACCATAGCTATCAACACTATTCAATCTCGCCAGCAACCCCATAAGGCAGGTGTTGTAATTTTTTAAAACTGTGAGTAAATGGAGGTTCAGAACAAGTCACACTAGTGTCAGGTGACCTTGGCAAAAGAATCCCAGGACTGGCTGGCCATCAAGCCCAAGTTAGGCTGGCCTCTCAGGTCCTGTTTCAAAAGGTGAGAAGATAAAAAGGCAAGACTAGGAACATCTTACCTTTCACTTCTGCGAGAAATTATTGCCCCTGGATTCCAGCTAATTTGTTCACAAAAGTACCCTACTTCATTTACAGATAACAGGTCAGAGAACCTGGGTGCCCTCAAAACCCAGCCAGGGCCTAGGGGGCGGCGAGTGGAAGCTGCCTGGGTGTGTACCGCACCGATCTGGGCCCCGGTGGCTGCACAGCTTCCCTGAGCCTCAGTTTCCCTACCTGTGAGACTGGTACAGCAGATCTCACCCTAAAGAGCTGTGGGAGGGTTCGAAGAAGAAAAGTATTAACCACAGCGCCTGCTCCCTGCAGGCACATGGCGGGCCCATCTCCACCTCCCTGAACCCCCACAGCAAGCCCCGCGGGAGAGTATCACCCCCGCCAGGGAAGAGGCAACAAGAATGCAGAGCCCGGCCCGGGCGCTCTCCCGAGCTCGCGGGTCCTCCGCCGGCCAACGTTCAGGAAACAAGCCAGAAAAATGCGTGCGCTTCCCGCCTTTCTGAGCCGCCGGGCGAGGGTCCCGCAGCCCGCCGCTCACCCACAGCCGCACCGCGGATCCAGCTCCGGTCCTTGTTCCCGGGGCGGCTACCGACAACCCCTATTTCCGGGTCCAGCCGCTTCTGGCGTCCCCGCGTCCGGTGTGCCAGCGTCTGCCCTCCGGCTCCGGCGGGTCGGCGTTCTTAGGTTCCGTGGCTCGCGGATTCCGGGAGCACCCCAGGGAGTGGCACTTGCACGCCGCGGACCGCAGGGATCCCCAAGCCCTGCACCCAGATTCTTCCCCGCCACGGAGAGACAATCATGACAATTATCATTACAATGATTATGAAAACTGGCATGAAAACATTTATGCTGTTAATAATTAAAATAATAAAAATGTACCGATGTGTGTATAGCAGGCTTCTTTTCGATGCTGTAAAAAAATCTGTGGAATGAATGAATGATCTGTGTAAAATATATTTGGAAGATGAATTCTAAAATTAAGTTATTTATTTATTTATTTATTTATTTATTTTGAGACAGAGTTTTACTCTTGTCGCCCAGGCTGGAGTGCAGTGGTGTGATCTCGGCTCACTGAAACCTCCGCCTCCCAGGTTCAAGCAATTCGCCTGCCTCAGCCTCCTAAATAGCTGGGATTACAGGCGTGCGCCACCACGCCCAGCTAATTTATATGTGTATGTATATATATGTGTGTGTATACATATATATATATATTTTTTTTTTTTTTTTTGAGGCGGAGTCTCACTCTGTTGCCCAGGCTGAAGTGCAGTGGCGCAATCTCGGCTCACTGCAACCTCCGCCTCCCGGGTTCAAGCGATGATCTCGCCTCAGCCTCCCAAGTAGCTGGGACTATAGGCGCTTGCCACCACGCGGGCTAATTTTTTGTATTTTTTTAGTAGAGACGGGGCTTCACCGTGTTAGCCAGGATGGTCTCGATCTCCTGACCTCGTGATCCGCCCGCCTTGGCCTCCCAAAGATTTCTATATTTTTAGTAGAGACGGGGGTTTCACCGTGTTAACCAGGCTAGTCTTGAACTCCTGACCTTAGGTGGTCCGCCTCCCTCGGCCTCCCAAAATGCTGGGATTACAGGTGTGACTCTTCACGCTCGGCCAACTAATTTATTTGTTAGAGCATTAGGATTATGGAAGGTTTAAAATACGTTTTATGATCTTATTTTAAATAACATACACACATTGCCCTTGTTCCTTGTAGATTTTCCCAACCTGCTGTTTTTTTTTTTTTTTTTTTAAAGACAGGGTTTCACTCTGTCACCCAGGCTGGAGCGCAGTAGCGAGATCACAGCTCACTGCAGCCTCGATCTCCTGGCGTCAGGCGATGCTCTCACCTCAGCCTCCCCAGTAGCTGGGACCACAGGTGCCAGCCACCAAGCCCAGCCAATTAATTTTTTTTTTTTTGGTAGAGATGGGGTCTAGGGGGAGGGTCTCACTATGTTGCCCAGATTGGTCTCAAACTCCTGGCCTCAAGTGATCCTCCTGCCTCGGCCTCCCAAAGTGCTGGGATTACAGGGGTGAGCCACTGTCCCGGGCCCCAACCTGCCTTTATTGGAATGATCTGTGTAAAGTATATCTGGAAGATGAATTCTAAAATTAAGTTATTTATTTATCTAATTTATTTTGATAAATAATAAGTAGTCTGGATAGAGGCTCTGGAAAAAGAAAAGTTCTATAGGCAAATTAAGGTTTGGAAATGTCACAAATTATGAGTCACGGTGAGACTTCACTTTCAAAGCAGAACTCCTGATTCCAAACCCACACCTTGGTAGGTTCTTCGTCTCCAAAATGGCAACTCCATCTTCCTGGTTGCTCAGGGACAGAGCCTGGGAGCATCCTGGACCACCCACAAATCCTGCCATTACTGTCTTTACAATACAGATGCTCCTCAACTTCAGATGGAACTACATCCACATAAACCCATCTTAAGTTGAAAATATTGTGACTCGAAAGTACGTTTTTGACTTATGGTATTTTCAACTTACTATGGGCTTACCCAGATGTAGCCCCATCATGAGTCAAGAAGCGTGCAGAATGCATACTGGTTTTGTAGTTGAAAAATCCTGTAGGTGGAAATTGTCCTAAATCGAAGACTGTATATCGGAGATCCCCTCAAGTCTCCCTGCCTCCCTGCCACCACCCTGATCCGAGCTCCTCCTCTCCCTCCAGGTCTCCACCTTGCCGCCCTGCAGTGTGTTCTCCACATACCAGCCAGGGCTAAGATTGGCTCTGTTGGGTGCTACCAGTTGGCTGAAAGAGAAACCCAGAGGCCCTCAGCTCATTCCATCAATCCAGTTCCAGAGTTCATTGTATGGAGCCCTAGGAAGGACCTGAGGCCTGGGCCAGCAGGAGGCGCTGAGTGGTCAGCTCTGAAGGCCAGGGCGTCGGGAAGTGTTCTTGGTCAGAGCAGAGAAACTGCAGTTGCCTTGTGCTTTCTTCCCGGAGAGCCCTGCAGCTGACCCTCTGCCAGAGCTTTGGGTCAGGCTTTCTGACTGACCCTTAGGTTGACAAATGACCCAGATTCAGAGGAACCCTTCAACTTGGAGGTGTCTCCCTATTGGGACTCCCCCCAACCCCAGCTCCACTCTGACCAGGGAGATGGTGGCCTAGGATCGACTCAGCGAGAGGGGCCGTTCTTCTTTCCCCATGGCTGGGGAGAAACTGACTCCCCTAAAGAGTAGCAGCAGACTTGCCTGCAGAGGCCTCCTCTAAGGAGTGTGCAGAGGCCATGAGAGAAACTCAGGTGCCCAGACACCGCCATGGGACTTCAGGAAGCAGAGCCCTGGGGTGTTTCCACCATGGTCTTGACTTTTCTCCTCTTCCTTACCCTCCTCACTTACTGGGCAGGTGCCTGGTTATGGTGGATGGGATAACTGAGGGCTCCTGGACCTCTCTTCTCTCTGGTTCGGCATAGGCTGGTCCATGATTTTGATAATACTATTAATAGTTAACATCATGCAGTGCTTACTTACTCTGTTCTAGGCACTGTTCTGTTACTGACACAATCCTCATTACAACACTAGGAATTAGATATTATTATTATCCTTATTTTACACATAAAGAAGCAGGACACATAGGCCAGGCGCGGTGGCTCACGCCTGTGATCCCAGCACTTTGGGAGGCTGAGGCGGGCGGATCACCTGAGGTCGGGAGTTAGAGACCAGCCTGACCAACATGGAGAAACCCCGTCTCTACTAAAACTACAAAAAATTAGGTGGGCATGGTGGCGCACATCTGTAGTTCCAGCTACTCGGGAGGCTGAGGCAGGAGAATCGCTTGAACCCAGGAGGCGGAGGTTGCAGTGAGCCAAGATCATGCCATTGCATTCCAGCCTGGGCAACAAAAGCAAAACTCCATCTCAAAAAAAAAAAAAAAAAAAAAAAAGAACCAGCAGGACACAATGATGGAAGTGGCAGAGCAACCTAGTTCCAGAAGCCACTTTTTTTTTTTTTGACGGGGTCTCACTCTGTTGCCCAAAGTTCTGGGATTTATGGGCATGAGCTACCGTGCACAGCCTTAAAGATTACTTTTTTTTTTTTGAGAGGAGTCTTGCTCTGTCGCCAGGCTGGAGTGCAGTGACACGATCTTGGCTCACTGCAACCTCCACCCCCTGGGTTCAAGCGATCCTCCTGCCTCAGCCTCCCGAGTAGCTGGGACTACAGGCACACACCACCAAGCCCAGCTAATTTTTTAAATTTTTAAATATTTTTTTATTTTTAGTAGAGATGGGTTTCACCATGTTGGCCAGGATGGTCTTGATTTCTTGACCTTGTGATCCACCTGCCTTGGCCTCCCAAAGTGCTGGGATTACAGGCGTGAGCCACCGCGCCTGGCCAAGATTACTTTTTGAAGTTTGAATAAAAGGGCAATGAAACCTGCGCTGAAGAACAGGAAATTGACTGGCTGTGTGCTGAGGCCATCCTTCTCCCCTGTCTGGGAGGGGGACTTCTGTCACTCTGCTGTCCCCAGAAGTGGGTGGAGCTTAAAACGTCACAGAAGCCCAAGTCATTTGCAGGGTACATGGAGAAACAGCTCTTGGCAGCCTGTCCTATGACCTGAACTCAACATGTCTTTTTTTTTTCTTTGAGACGGAGTCTCGCTCTGTCACCCAGGCTGGAATGCAATGGCGCGACCTCGGCTCACTGCAACCTCCCCTCCCGGGTTCAAGCAATTCTCCTACCTCAGCCTCCTGAGTAGCTGGGACTACAGGTGTGCGCCACCACGCCCAGTTAATTTTTTAAATTTTTAGTAGACATGGGGTTTCACCATGTTGGCCAGGTTGGTCTTAAACTCCTGACCTCGTGATCCGCCCACCTTGGCTTCCCAAAGTGCTGGGATTACAGGCGTGAGCCACCATGCCAGACATCACCATATCTTTATACTCCTTTCTTCACAAAAGAAACAACTGAAGAACAACCAGAAGGTGCCAGCATATTCTGTGAACACCAGCAAAAAACCCACGTAAATAAATGGTGGCAAAAGTGAACTCTTTACACAGGAGAAGCTACCTCCCTGCCTCGCCTAAAATGTCAAAGGATATCATAGTGACAAACATGAAGCCGATATCCATAATAAATTTTATTTTGCCCAGTGACATAAAAGGCAAGTCAGATTACTGTTGGAATGATGAATTGTGTTGATTTCAATTCTTTATAATATTTTCTTATTTTAAGAAGAAATTCTTGTAGTGGTAATTTTGGGATATGACTAAATGAATGTGCCTTTCATGTGGAAGAATAAACAAACAAGAATATTGGGCCAGGCATAATGGCTCATGCCTGGAATCCCAGCACTTTCAGAGGCCAAGGTGAGGGGATCACTTGAGGTCAGGAGTTTGAGACCAGCCTAACATAGTGAGACCCTGTCTAAAAAAAAAAAAAAAAAAAAAAGATTAGCTGGGCATGGTGGCATATGCTACTCAGGAGGCTGAAGCGAGAGGGTGGCCTGTTCCCAGGAGGTTGAGGCTACAGTGAGCTATGATTGCACCACTGCACTCCAGCCTGGATGACAGAGTGAGACCTTGCCTTAAAAAAAAAGTCAAGGAGGATGAGGAGAGAATGGGGAGATAAAAATGTTACCAGCTAGTACAAAGCCACAGGAGCCCAAGACAGGCCCATGAGATAGATGGAAATGAGAGAAGGAACATCTCTGAGAGCTCGCCGCAATAGCCATGTTGGAAAACATCTGTCCACTCATATCTTCCTTTATTCTCACACTCATCCAGTATTTTTTGGGTACCTACTAATTTCCAGGCATTGTGGATACGATGGTGAATGAAACGGAAAAAAAGTCTGCTCTCTTGGGCCTTACTTTCTAGTGATCTGTGATAATTATCTCAGAAAATGTATATCAAACACACAGCACAGTGTATGACAGTCAACAGTCAAGGGCTGGCCACCACTACTTTGATAATCATGTTGGTTTCATGTTTGCAGTGACCAAGAGTCAGGGGTTAACTGAAAGACCCAAACACGTATCCATTACTCAGATAACTTTCTCTGTGCTCCAAGCTGACTTTGCCAAATAGTACAAGCAACACCCCTAATGCTGCAGGGTGCACAGTGTCTCTGTAGTGATGGCGTGAGTGGTTTCTGGGGGTGCAGGCGCCACCTGCTTCCTCGGTTGTTTCTGGGGAGCTGGCACATGCTGCCTTTGTGTGTGGAAGTGGGTGTGGTGCAGGCCGAGGCAGGAGGATGCTTTGGAAGCAGGGAATATCTGGGAAAGCAGTTGATCTGGCCCTGGCCCAGAGATCCCTACCCACCACAGTCCTGCTTCTACAGGGCAACAGCAGGCAACCCATTCTTTTCCTCTAATCCTACTGAAATGTTTGGCTTTCTCCCTCCCTCCCTTCTTTTTCCACTCTCCCTCTCCTCTTTCCTGCATTTCCTCTCTTGACTGAGGCCTGCGTGGGGCTTGCTGGTGCATCGTGCACCTACTGCTTCTTCCTAGGGATCCCCTGGAGATGACTGTCCACTCACCACCAAGATGGGGAAGGACTTATTGAAAAAGACCCACATGACCACCACTCTCCCGAAGATTTTCCATGGATCATTTCCCTGAATGCTCCCACCAAGCCTCCCAGCCAGGTTCCTCTGACCACTCTACTTTGCTATGGGAACTCAGAAGTGTCCCTTCTTTTCCAAGAGGGTTTACTAGATGCCAGGCACTGTTCTCAGCATGTAACCCTTCTAAATAAGTAACTTATTCAACACACACGTAATGGTGTGAGGTAAGGACTATGATTAACTTTGTGATTCAAAATTCTTAAATTCATAGATGAAGAAACTGAGGCACAAAATAGTGGATGCAAATCACAGTCAGCTCTCCTAACCCCAACCCAGAGGTTGAGTTTTGACCCTCGGCCTGGACTGCAGGAAACCTTCAAGCAAGCTCTCAAGTGGGTGCAGCAGGAGGAAGGTCTTATGATCTTGGGGAAATTTGGTCCAGATACTTCCAGGAGCAAGCATCCTCCCATATCTGACTAAAGAGCAATACTGACTCAGGCAAGAAGAAAGTGAGTGGTCAGGGTAAGGAGGAAAGCGAGGCTGAGGTCATGGCAGCACCTGTGCCCTGACACTGCTGGAAAGACATGTCACCAGAAGGTACCTACAGGAAGCAATGGGATTTCATTCATGCAATCTGATCTTACGCTCTGATAGTGTCATGTGGAGCAGCTGCAGTTACATGCCTGCGTGGCTGCATCGGAGAGAGGCGCATTGTGTGGATCAGAGGCAATTAGCCAGTCAGGGTTTGGGGAGGCATCTGATTTTTTCAGCACAGCAAGGAACGGCACAGTACATCGAGCCCCCAGTGCATTTCTCGGTATCTCGATCTTCCTCTACTTGCGCTTTTCTGTTCCTCTGCCTGGAGGTTTTGCCTCCATTCTAGTCTCTGCTCTAACACAGACCTTGTGTGTACTTTATCGCAAACAGTTCCCTTTCCACCCCTCAGCAGCGGGCCCCACTCCCTTTGTTTTGCCCTTTCTCAATCTGAAGACGTGTCATTTACCTGCCAGCTTGCTTATCTGCATGGAGCCCATGCTCCACTAGGGCACGAACTTGGAGTTATTTCTGCTGCATCCTCTGCCCTTGCAAAAGTACCTGTCACCTGGGAGGCACTTAGCAAGTACTTGTTACCTAAATGGACAATGTGAAAAATCACCATGCTCCACTCGCAGGCCAGGCTGCTGGAGATGACTGTATGGCCTCTGGACTGGCCCTCTGAGCGTGACCGATACACAGAGGAAGGTGGGTGCACAAGGACTGTGCTATTCTGTAGGAATCCTATGAGGAATCTGCTGGGCACTATCACAACCTGGAGTCAGGGTAGTTCAGGAGGCGCTGAGGCTGCTGCAAGATGGCTCATGAGAGCAGGCAAGCTCCCTCGCCTGGATGGAAGCAGCACTCAGCAAGCAAGGCACTGAGGACCCTTCCGCTAAGTGAGGCTTTCTTACCTATCTCTGGTTCCAGGGTTTACATGGGTGGAACCAGGATGCCTACAACAGAGCTTCAGCAAGGACAGGCAAACAAACAGAAACTGACAAGTGGACTAGCAGAATGGACTGAAGGCTGCTCTGTAAACTTCTCCCACCCAGCAGTAATACTCTGGCTTTCTATGGCCCTGTGTGTCAGTTTGGTCCAGGCCTTTCTATGAAGCCCCTGTACATATCTTGGTCACTCATAAGTTCCCCTGCGTCTGCCTTCTGTCTCCATCTACATCAGCCTTGACTATATTCCACCCACATGGTGCTGGGGGCCTGGGCCTGTGAACCTCTGACCTGTCCTCTCCTGCCAGACTCAGGCCCAGCTCTCAGCTGCTGCTGTTGCCGGGCCCCTCCCAGGGTGCCTGACTCCAGATCTCTGCCACAGATTCAGGACTGGACTCAAAGGTCTCCTCTCTGAGGTGCCTTCCCTGACCTGCTTTGGCAGCCACTCCTGATTCTTCTGACTTTGCCCTGTTGTAGGGACTTCCTAAACGGTTGTGACCCATGCTCTCCATGTATGCCCGGTCTGAGGACAGCAGCGCCTGGCCCAAGCACACGCTCGATGGTGATCAGCTGACTGATGGCCGCGTGCTCTGGGTTTGGTGCCAGGCATGTGCCTCCTTCCAGTCTCCCAACAGCCCCCAGAGCTGTTCAGACCTCCAGTGCACAGCTCATGTCCAAAGGTGGGGAAGTCAGCTAAGGACCCACTTCATTCTACCCAGAAGCATAAGACAAAGAGAAACTGAGTGAGTGGCCAGAAGAGGGAGTGTTCGCCAGGGAGGGCTGGACCTCTGGGGTCTCTGGTGATCTGGCGGTAGAGCCACCTGGATAACGTGTGCCGATTGAATGAACAGGTGAAACAGGCCAGGCTTTCGACTGGGGAAGGGGAGCGAGAGGAATGAAGAAAGCGCCAGATAGTTCCCATGGAAGTTTATTTTATGTTCCTTGCAAACAACATGTGGCCTCAGCTGTGATTCCAGCTGCCCTCTCTGACTTCTGTTCCCTGAGCCTGGCTCCTGTTCTTCATTCAAACTGCACCAGCTGCATAAGCAAAGACAGTGGAGGGGCTCCACTGCATGTCAGCCTGCTGCATGGCTTGCAGCTGCTTCTGTATCTCGGCCTGCAACTGGCACAGCTTGTCCTCGTTCACAGGACCCCGGCAGACGCCATGCAGGTAGATGCAGCAGTCAACTGGGATGGGATAGAGTACCTGCTTCAGCTCCATCAGCCCCATGGTGTGCTCCAGCAGGCTCAGGAGGCAGGCACTGGAGATGGGGTTGTCGGAGAGGCTCAGGGAACTGAGGTGGGAGCAGCGGCACAGGGCGGGCAGGAGGGCACTGAGGTGGGCATCCTTCAGCCAGCAGTGTTTCAGGTCTAGGTGCTGCAGTGTCCCTGAGACTGCCCTCAGCAGGGTACCCAAGGGCCCAGGGATCATGTAGGACAAGTCGTTGACGCTCAGATCCAGCTTCTTCAGGCAGGTGGTATGATGGCTCCGGGACAAGTAGGTGATGTCAGTGTCCAGAAGCTTGCAGTTGCAGATCTCCAGGGAATGTAGTGGGACCCACAGACAGCTGAGGAGAGAAGGGTGGCTCTGTGAGGGGAGGGCCCAGGCACCCCACCCGGAACACCTATTTGTCCATGGAGGAGGCTAGTCCTATGGCCACCCCCTCATCAGGGAAGCCATTTACCAGCAGGGTCAGGAGCATGTCCTTTGGTGTCCCAAGGCCTGGCTCTCTCTCAACAGACCTACCAGGTCCTCCACGAACCCTTCTAACTCTAAGTTTCTCTTCGGTGAAAGGGAGATGCACATTATCCATACCTAATAAGACTGCTGAGAGGAGCCATTTGAAAGCGCTTATCTGATGAGAAGTAACCATAGGCTGAGGCCATTATTCCTCAGGTTTGGGTTTGGGGAAGCTGCTGCTCAGGCTTCCATTTAAGCCAGGGCTGGGGGTCCTGAATGCCCTATCTTGAAATTTCTAGGAGACGTGCACAGAGTGGATACTGATTGTCCTTCAGGGCTCTGTACCCACCTGTCTGGGGCAGTATGAGCTCAGAAGAAGAGGCATAACCTGTGCTGTGTCAGGATCTTTTCTTGGGGACCAGCATAACATTCAGCAGTGCCTGAAAATGTTTGTTGAGTAAATAAACATATTATTAGGAAAGGCGCAATGGCTCACACCTGTAATCCCAGCACTTTGGGAAGCCGCAGTGGGTGGATCACCTGAGGTCTGGAGTTCAAGACCAGTCTGGCCAACGTGGTGAAACCCCATCTCTACTAAAAATGGAAAAATTAGCCAGGCATGGTGGCCCATGCCTGTAATCCTAGCTACTTGGGAGGCTGAGGCAGGAGAATCACTTGAACCTGGGAGGCAGAGATTCCAGTAAGCCGAGATCATGCCACTGCACTCCAGCCTGGGTGACAGATACTCTGTCTCAAAAACAAAAAATTAAAAAATTAAATGAAATTCATGGAAGACCACTGTTTTGGACTAAGCTCCTGCACTAGACCTCAAAAGACCAGAGCAAACCAGAATGCAGTCACTCGTGCTAAGTGCCAGGTAATCAAACTGAACTTCGAAACTGGTCAGTTTTCCAAAAAACAGGAGATTCACACCAACCAATCAGAAGGGGCCCAGGATGATAAGGAAGTGCCCTCTGTTTTAACCCCATAAGGAAAGTAACCGTCAACTGACCAATCTGCTTTTTGTTTTGGCTTTTTTCATCACTTTTATGCTTATAAAGCCAGTCTCTTCTGCTCAGCTCATCAGAGCTCTTATTCTATTTTATAGAATGGGAGGCTGCCCCAATTTGTGAATCACAAACCTAAGCCAATTAGAAGGCCAGGCATGGTGGCTCATGCCTTTAATCTTAGTGCTTTGGGAGGCTGAGGTGGGAGGATGGCTTGAAGCCAGGAGCTCAAGACCAGCCTGGGCAGCAAAGCAAGACCTTGTCTCTCCAAAAAAGTTTTTAAAAAATTCGCAAGGTGTAGTGGTGCGCATCTGTAGTCTTAGCCGCTTAGGAGGCTGAGGCGGGAGGGTAGCTTGAGCACAGGAGTTTGAGACTGCAGTGAGATGTAATCGTGCCACTGCACTCTAGCCTGGGTGACAAAATGATGCCCTGTCTCTAAAGAGTAAAAAAAAGCCAATTAGATCTTTAAACTAAATTTGTTGTAATTTTTTTTTGAGACGGGGTCTCACTCTGTTGCCCATGCTGGAGTGCAGTGGCACAATCATGGCTCACTACAGCCTCAAACTCCTGGGCTCAAGCAATCCTCCTGCCTCGGCCTCCTGAGTAGCTGGGACTAAAGATGCACTATGCCCAGCTAATTTTTCTTTTTGTTTTTGTTTTGTTTTTGAGATGGAGTCTTGCTCTGTTGCCCAAGCTGGAGTGCAGTGGTGCAATCTTGGCTCACTATAACCTCCACCTTCTGGGTTCAAGAGATTCTCCTGCCTTAGCCTCCCGAGCAGCTAGGATTACAGACACATGCCACCATGTCCGGCTAATTTTTGTATTTTTAATAGAGATGGGGTTTCGCCATGTTGGCCAGGCTGGTCTCAAACTCTTAACCTCAAGTGATCCGCCTGCCTCTGCCTCCCAAAGTGCTGGGATTACAGGCATGAGCCACCGTGCTTGGCCTTAATTTTTGTATATTTATTTGTAGAAATGGGGTCTCACTTTGTTGCCCAGGCTGGTTTCCAACTTGGCCTCAAGTGAGCTTCCCACTTCAGCCTCCCAAAGTGGATTTTATTTTTTATAGCAACATGCATCTTTCCCCATCAAATATGTTTCCAAAGCAGATCCCAGCCATCAGCTGCATCTGAACCCTCAGTTCCCAGGCTGTGCCCACAATTCCATGAGCATCTAAGAATAAGCCCCATTTCCTGTCTTGTTCCCCTGACCTGACCTCACTTGGGAGTATTCAGAGGACTCTTCCGACGCCCCTGCCTACCCATTCACCTGAGTATGTAATGTAGTTTGCCTACGAGGTAGGAGTGAGACAGGTGCAGCTTCCGGAGGTGGCCCAGCATGGTGAGCTGGGAGAAGAAGTAGCTGGAGGGCCGCCTGACCCATGAGGAGAAGGCCCACTTGTAGTAGAAGAGCTTGAGGCTGCGCAGGTTGAAGATCCTTCCCAGCTGTATGGCAGATAGGTTTGGCTCTGCCAATACCAAGAAGTCTCTACACCAGTAAAACACCTCCAGCTCCTGGATGAAATCCAGCCTGAGTGTCTTCAGGATCCTCAGCAGACTGTCGACGGCCATCTTCTCAATGTGCAACTTCCTACAGCAGAGATGCAGGGCCCCGTGGCTCTGTTCCACTTTCGTCAGGAGGTCGGAGAGGAACTTATCTAACTTGAAGAAGCCTCATAGGAAAAGATCAATGTGTATTTCCACTGCTTCCCATGGCTGCTTTCATCCTTTTTTCATGTTCTTTGCTGGCTTGGGCCTGGCCGTGGCCTGGGGCGTCTCTGCCTTGACTGCTGATGGTAACCAAAATGGGAACTTGGCCAAGGCTTCAGAAGCCCCTTTACCACAGTAAAAGACTTGCTCAGAGTCCAGGGTGAAATCCAGCATCCTCAGTTCTGACTTCCTGCGGGGAGAGGGGTGTGATGAGATGCTGGGGAGCCCAGGTAAGATGAGTGGCAGCAGCCCTGGGCTGCTCCCCAGGCCCCAGCACCAGCCCGCCTCGCCTCTCCTCTGCAATAGGCTTTTCCTCCCTCACTCAGGCTCCTTGTCAGCCCCTATTCCTCATACAGCTTGTACCACCACCCCTAGAAAGTAAAAAGCCCTCTCCTTAAAGCCTTCTAGCTGTACCATCAACCACTTAACTCAGAAACATATAGTTTCCCCACTTGTCCCTCTAGCCAATTTAACGCTCCCCTCCCCTGGACCTCAGCTCACCCTCCTTCTGGCTCTGAACTGAGGTCTTGCTCCCAGCATCCCCCTTACCTGGGACAAGCCCTGTGGGCAGAAAAGGCCTCCAGCCCATCCACCACAGCTTGCAGGCTGTCTTGGTTGGGCCACTGCACTATCAGAGAGCCCAGATGGAGAAACCGGAAGGGCCAGGCCTGCACCAAGGCCTTCAGAGCCTTTCTGTGCCCCTTGGCAAATGCAGCAGTGAGTAGTGGCGGGAAAAGGTTCACTGTGAGCTGTTCCAACACCAGTGGAACTGAAGCCTCATTGCTCAGCAGGCTGTGGGCTGCAAGTTCCAAGAGGCTGAGGGGTGCTGGGTGGTTCACCTCCATGGACCTGGAGCAGAAGAAGGTAGAAATCCTCAGAAGACTAATGGCTCAGCATCACTCCCAGGCCAATGTGGGAGATGCAGGCCTTTCGCATCTGTCACAGAACCAAATGCTGGCTCCTCCCTCCATTCAAGACCAAAACTCCACAATTCAGGTCTTGTAAGCCTGAGACCCTGGAGCCCTAAGACCCTGGGGACATGGGATCCAGAACCTTAGGGGTTTAGATCTATTCCTTGCTAGGCTGTAGAGGCTTGGAATTGACCCACACTTTCCTCTTCTGCCTTCACCATTAACATCATGAACACCTAACTAAGGACACTGTCCCAAAACTCCACATCAATTCTCCCAAAGCGTATGTAGATTCTGAGCAGTTCTCATCACTTCCAGTTTTACCAAGCCATTATCTCTTGCCCCCATTACTGCAGTGGCCTTCTAACTTGTCTCTCTGCTTCTGTCCTTGTGCGCCCTGTGGTCAAAGTCAGATCATGACATTCCTTTGCTCAAAACTCTAGTGGCTTCATTTTCACTGTGAATACAACCCACCCTGCAGCTGCCCTCAGAGTCTAGCATCCGGGCATCTCAGGGCCCACCTCCTGTCACTCCCCTCACTATTCACTCTGCACCAGCAACCTACACTGGACTCCATTTCTCTCCTCAAACACCAGCAACGCCCTGCTTCAGGGCCTTTGCACTTCCTGTTCCCTCTGCCTAGAAGTGTCTTCTCCCAAATATCCTCATGGCTGGCCCCCTTACTTCATTCAGGTTTCTGTTAAAATTTCACATGAGAGGCCTTCCCTGACCACCCAAGTAGAATAGCACTCCCATCCCTTAATTACAGCTTTATCTTTCCTAATCTGATTTACAGCACTTCTTATATCACCAGTTTTCTGTTTCTGTCTCTCTTATACACATACACATACGCAGACACACACATGCGTGTGCACATAAATGCACACAGTCGTATATTATCTGTCTCCCCTCTGCTAAATTATAAGCTCCATGAAAAAAGGGGCTGTGTCTGCTTTCATTACTGCTGTAGTCTGAGTGATAAACATAGTTCCTGACATACACCAGACAAGCAGGATATATTTTAAATGCATTTCAAGAGCAAGTTTGCACAATACACGCTTACCACAATCCCACTGATGGAGTTGAGGGTAATGTGGAATGGAGGTTTTTTTTCTATGCTCTCACAGAGCATCAGGTTCAGGTTAGTTATGGATTCTTTCAACTGCCCAAATTCCTCTTTTTTTTCTGCCCAGTGAAATGCGGGAGTGTAGCCCCATCCCATCACTTTCCACGGTCCACCACAGAGCAGGGCTTTGTGCAAGGAGGGGGATGTTCTAGACCTGCACTGTCTAATGTGGGAGCCCCAAGCCACATGTGGCTACTGAGTACTTGAAATGTGGCTAGCATGACTAAAGGACTGAATTTTAAATTAAATTAAATTCTAATTAATTGCAATCTAAATAGCTTCATGTAGCCAGATGCTACACTTCTGGACGGCAGAGTTCTAGGATCTATGCTAGTCAGAGACAAGAAACATTCATTCACAGTCTCACAAGCTATGAAATCTATTTGTATGAGGCCACTACGGCCTTGGCAACAAACTGGGCAAGGACAGAGGACAGTATAAGAAAGGACAATTATTGGCCAATCATACATAGGAAGCTATCTAGCAAAGGCTTAAATACTAGCAAATCAAATCAAACGCCTGGCACACTAAATCTATAAATATCTCTTACAAATAGTGATCAAGAACGATTGAGCAAGAATGGTTAATGTTAGGTTTATTAATTATTAATGTCAATGCATTTGAGAAAATCAAAGAAGAAATAGAAGGCAAGGTTCTGAACCTGATATTTAGTAGTGGTGTTTTATAAACATTGCTTTTTTTTTTTGAGACGGAGTCTTGCCTGTCGCCTAGGCTGGAGTGCAGTGGCACAATCTTGGCTTACTGCAAGCTCCACCTCCTGGGTTCACGCCATTCTCCTGCCTCAGTCTCCCGAGTAGCTGGGACTACAGGTGCCCGCCACCACGCCCGGCTAATTTTTTGTATTTTTAGTAGAGACGGGGTTTCACCATGTTAGCCAGGATGGTCTTGATCTCCTGACCTCGTGATCCACCCGCCTTGGCCTCCCAAAGTGTTGGGATTACAGGCGTGAGCCACCGCGCCCAGCCAACATTGCTTTTAAAGTTAGAAACAAGATGAAGATGGTGTGGCCACCATGAGAGTGTGCCCTGCACCTCCAACTCAGGAAATGCACCTGAACCAAGGGCCCCACCCACTGCCCTTAGGAATCCCTGGCAGCCTTAAGGCCCAAGTCACACCACCACATGCTGCTCACCAACAATGACTGGGGACAGATCAGTTCCTGGGAGACAATGTGACAGACTAGTTCCTGGGAGACATCACTCCTCTGACAACCACCTTTGGCTTCAGGACTCCCTGATAGCTTTGCTAAATCTTCCTGAGTGCACACGTTTCCACCCAACCTTCCCTCCAGTTCTGCTTCACCAAACACAGCGATGTAGGTCAGTGGGGTCTCCATGCCTTCCCGCTCACCCCTCAATGCCCCTCATAGGGGGCTCCCCTAGTAAAAATCCTTGGATGTTTTTCCATCTTGGTATCTGCTTCTAGCAGGACTTTGATGGAGTTTAGGATGTGCCTTCCCAAAATACAGCAACTTGGCATACTGAATATTTTAAGCTGAAGGAATTTGAGAAATGGCATGGGCAGGCAGGATTTTCTGACCTTCCCCTGTAGTAGGTATAAGACCCTCCTGTGAGAGGTACTCCCCCTATACAGGAAGGAAAGGCATATCCTTATTTCCAAAGATGAACGCTTGCCAAGAGGGATCTGAACACACAGGCCCGCTGTTCCGCCATTTTATTACACTTGGCTCATACTCTCATACTTCTTTTGTCTTATCATTATTTCTCCATGACTAATCAAAATTTTTTTCTCTCTCTATATATAAACATATATATATAATATATGTGTGTGTGTGTGTGTGTGAGAGAGAGAGAGAGAGAGAAAGACAGAGAGACAGAGAGAGACAGAGAAAGAAAGAGAGAGGGAAAGAGAGGAGCTGTATCATGGGTATTTTTGTTGATGTCTGAATTAGAAACAAGCATGCACACTATCAACATTGTTTGGGAAAGTTGTAGCCGGTGCAGTAAGACACATAACAATAGGGTTGTCTAGGGCAATAAAAAGAGGCAAACGATTATGTACATAGTGTAGGAAAAAATGGTGTTGCGGCTCAGAATGTCACCCCGAAATACGGAACTTTGAAGGTGTCTCTCTGACTTTTCCCTGCCTTTCTGTGTGAGAGCTAGTCATAAAGGAATTCTTTGACCTTCCTTTCCTGAAAGTAGGCAGTGAGACCTCCACCCCATGTGACAGGTGTCCTGTCCTATTACCAGGAGGAAAGAAATGCTACACAGAGGGGCCAAGAAGAATCTGAATGAACAGGCCTTGCTAAGTTCTCCCCAGCTTATTACCATTAGACCACAGGTTTTTTGTCCAATCATACTTGTACATGACTGTCCATCCTTCATCAAACCTAAGCATACATATATACAGATAGTCAGGTGCAGTGACATGCACCTGTAATCCCAGGTACTTGGGAGGCTGAGGCAGGAGGACTGCTTGAGCCCAGGAATTCAAGGCCGGTCTGGGCAATACAGTAAGATCCCAGTCTCTAAAAAAAATTTTAAATTAAGAACTACAGTTCTCCCTGGGTCTTTGAGTCTTCATTTCTGAAGGTTCCTGTATCACGCAAAACTTTGATACATTTGTTATGGTGTCCTCTTGTTAATCTGCCTTTTTAAAATAGGGGTATCAGCAAAGACCCTTGAGATGGGTGAGGAAAAGCTATGATTTTTTCTCCTCTACAGTGGAAAGCAATGGATCCTCTGTAATGTACCCTTCTGGGTTATCAGATTTGAGTCCTGTTCATTATCTTTGAGCTATTTTTTAACTTTATAAGTTGTAGGTAACTGATAGACATATAAATTCTGTCTGGTCTGGTAATGATTTTCTCCTAACTTCTACCTGTGGAAAATTTTGTCTCCATCTGAAATTCATCTCAACATCCCTTCATGTCATATAAATATGTGCTGTCTTAACTCTTCTTTAACATCTGCCTGGTACTTCATATTATATGAGTAAAATAAATTCTTTAATACATGTTCATTTCTATATCTGTATAAAGTCACAATTCTACTTTTCTGAAAATTATCTTTTAACAATTGGAAGCTAAAAAGGATAAAATAGGAAACAGTTAATATAATTAATAGGAGTATTTCTGCTGATGTGACTGCACAAGAGTGCCCAGTATTTCCAGCAAGAACTGAGCTGTAAATGTATAATGGCAGAAGTAATGTAGATGTATGAAATAAACTATTCACTCACTTTTTTCTGTCATCTAGGGATGACAATAAATGTGAAAACAGTATTAAGAATTAAAAAATTAATGTAATGGAGTAAAATTAATAAATGGAAAGATGTAAATGGATGAGGAGAGCAAATATTGAAAAGATATAAATATTGTTATAGTTAGGACATTTTAAATAATGTCTAATTATGACTTTAATCTAGAAGAAATAACAAAAACAAAACTAAGAGAAGACTATTGAAGAGATACTAATGTGAAATTAATTCAAACTGGCTGGGCGTGGTGGCTCATGCCTGTAATCCAGCACTTTGGGAGGCTGAGGTGGCTGGATCACCTGAGATCAGTTTGAGACCAGTCTGGCCAACATGGTGAAACCCTGTCTCTACTAAATATACAAAAAAGAAAAAATTAGCCATGCATGGTGGTGCATGCCTGTAATCCCAGCTACTCGAGAGGCTGAGACAGGAGAATCACTTGAACTCGGGAGGCAGAGGTTGCAGTGAGCCAAGATCCGGCCACTGCATTCCGGTCTGGGCGAGACAGTGAGACCCTGTCTCAAAGAAAAAAAAAAATTCAAACTTAAAGTTACTGGAAATTGAAATTATTCTGAGCCTTGAGAGAAATGTGGCTATGTGGCCTGAGTCATGTAATATGCAGCTGCAACTTCTACTTCTCTGATTTAAATCAACTTTCTTCCTTATTCTTGTACTATAGAAAATTAGGAAGACCTAATGGCACCGGATATAGGACCCCTTCAGATCACTACCTCTTCTCAGGGAGTAACAAAGTAATCTTTCTTGGAATATAGCATTCTATAACCAACCAAATCACTGTAATGAATGCACTGGTTTTGTATGGAAAACTCTGCAATCCTGCTAAAATTTCTCTGTCTCTGCCTACATAAGTGAAACCTTAACTTCACTGCTTTGGAACGCTGACCCCGTTCATCTGGAGTTAGTGTTTCCTGGGTGGCTATACTCAAGCTTTGTGCGCAAATAAACTCTATATTTAATCATGTGTTCTGATCTCACTATTTAACATTAACACTAATATTACCATATGTTTACATAAAACAATATTATGTTGACCTGAGAACAGAAATCAATCCGTGAAAACACATAGAGCAAGCTCTCCCAAGAGCTTGTAGAATTATTGAAGGATCTGATTTTCATTATCCACAGAGCCTGACCATAGGTAGCTTAGGCAAAAAGAGGAACTTTCTGGGAGAGGATTCCATTGTAGCTTACCTAACTGAAGAAAGCTGTCTAACGAAGTCAAGGTCTTGGCAGCAGGAGACCCTGTCTACCCTCTGTTCCCTACCCTTAGAGCTATGCCATAAACCCAGCAGCAAAAAACCCTCCAGGATGGTTCCCTGGCTCTGTCTTCTCTTGCCAAATGTCAAATGGCTATGAGACAGGTAGATTTGTAAGATGCACCACCTAGGAAAGAAAAAAAACTCCTGCCAATAAAACTGATACCTATGAAGGTAAGACCCATACTGATTTTTCTGAGATTTCAATCTCTGACACATCCGTAATGAACAATGAGTGGGACTCCTTGGTTGGTGAATGAATAGTGCTAAAAGGTGGAGTACAGTGTTACAGTGAGAAGATAATTTTTTGGCCAATAAACATATAAAAATGCATTCACTATTACTAATCAGGGAGACACAAATCAAAAATACAATGAGCTATTACTTCATATCCATTAGGATGGCTACCATCAAAAAAACAAAATAGAAACAAATGTGTTGGTGAAGACACGGCGACATTGCAACCCTTGTACGATGCTGGGAATGCAAAATGGTCGAACTGCTGGGAAAACAGTATGGTGGTTCCCCAAAAAACTAAAATTAGATCCAGCCATTTCAATTCTAGGAATATACCCAAAAAGACTAAAAGCAAGGCCTTGAAGATATATTTGTACACCCATGTTCACAGCAGCATTATTCATAACAGCCAAAAGGTGGAAGCAACACAAATGTCCATCAGCAGATGAATGGATAAACAAAACATGTATATAAATACAATGGGATATTAATCAGCCTTAAAAAGGAGGAAAATTCTGACACACGCTACAACACATACGGACCTTGAGAACATTAGGCTGAGTGAAATAAGCCAGTCACAAAGGACAAATACTGTATGACCCCACTTGTATTTCCAGATTGAAGATTATTTTAAAATGAAGACATTTTAAGATACAGCAGATGCAGAAAGAAGCCATTTCAGAGCTTCCCTTATCTGGCTACAGGCAGAGCCTTCTAAGAATGAAGTTGTCATAAATCCTCTCTTTAGGAGAGCTTCACTCCCAGACAGGGCCACTTGCAATGGGATGAGAAACTGTATAAGCAAACATTATCACCAAGTGTCATACCTTCCATTTATTCTCCTAAAAGACCATTTATCTTTCCCATGGAAACCCTTTCTCCCTTCACCCTTTCCCCTATAAAGTTGGTGTATAAATCCCTATCTCTAGTTCTTCAGGGAGCTTCTCATTTAAATGCTGCCCCACACACATGTAAAGAAATCTTGTCTTTTCTCCTGTTAATCTGTCCATTGTTTGGTTACCTTTTTCCCCCTGTTAATCTGTTAATTTGCTCATTTGCAGCTCCCACACACTACTGGACCTGAGATGGCAGAGGAAAAGCTTTCCCTCCCAGCACAGTTATAAAAGATATCTACAATAGTCAAATTCATAAAGACAGTAAGAATGGAGGTTTCCAGGAGCTTGGGTGGGGGAGAAATGACACAAGACAGGGACCCCCTCTTAGGAGCCTGGAAGCTCCCAAACATAAAAAAATTTAAAACTCTTGAGTTCCTCCAAGGGAAATTCTAGATATCTAGCTAGTCCTAAAAAATAAATAAGTAACTTGGGGCTGGGTATGGTGGCTCATGCCTGTAATCCTAGCACTTTGGGAGGCTGAGGCAGGCAGATCACTTGAGGCCAGGAGTTCAAGACCAGCCTGGCCAACATGGTGAAATCCCGTCTCTACTAAGTGGTTCATGCCTGTAGTCCCAGCTACTCGGGAGGCTGAGGCGTGACAATCTCTGGAACCCAGGAGGTGGAGGTTGCAGTGAACCAAGATTGCACCACTGATCTCCAGCCTGGGTGACAGAGCAAAACTCCCTCTCAAAAAACAAATACATAAAAATAAATAAATAACTTGATAAAAAGGTATCATGTTTTGCAGGGTCTTATTTTAAAAAAAAGATAATAGTAGCCTAAAATAATTGCCAAGGAAATTAGATCTAAAGATGTTCAATTTTCCTATAAAAACTAAAAATAACATCTTAACATATATCTCTGAGTTGTCTTTCAGAAGCCTGGACCCTCACCAAATGCAACTGTTGGCTCATGGACCTTTGATAAGAGAGTTGAGGACTGAACTTTGACCACCATTCTTTGTTCTAAATTTCTTCCTGAGGGGGCCGGGTGTAGTGGCTCACAGCTGTAATCCCAGCACTTTGGGAAGCCGAGGTGGGTGGACCATCTGAGGTCAGGAGTTTGAGACCAGCCTGGGAAACACGGCAAAACCCCATCTCTATAAAGAGTACAAAAATTAGCCAGGCCTGGTGGCATGTGTCTGTAGCTCCAGCTACTTGGGAGGCTGAGGTGTGAGGATCACTTGAGCCTGGGAGGTGAAGGTTGCAGTGGGCCAAGATTGTACCACTCCATTCCAGCCTGGGCAACAGAGTGAGCCAAGATTGTACCACTCCACTCCAGAGTGCACCATTCCACACCAGAGCCTGGGCAAAATCAATAAATAAACACATGTTAAAGATGTTATTTAACTGGTTAGTGAGGAAACTGAGAAGGTGTTAAAATCAGTTCTAGGGAGAATCCAAAATAAGATCCAGAATATTGAAATGAATATGCAAATGGAGGTAAAATTGGCTTCCAGTAGGGAGAGAAGCCAATTGAATAGGACAAAATGTACATGTCTAGAGACGAGAATTATGTTGCAGTGCTATCACCAGTCTTCTAAAGTAGCTCAAAACAATGAAAGACGAGAGACAACCTGGAAGGGTTGTGATCCACTTCAGTGGAAAACTATCCTATCCACCTAGGATAGGATAGAATCCATCATTCAGCCAGCTTATTCATCCCAAGTCATACTAGATTCAAGTTTGAGTTCTACGAGACAGACTAAAATTTACAGGGCTATTTCATTACCAAATTCGAAAACATAAATTGAAAATGATGTCTCTAAAAATTAAACTACTGACCAATCTCACTTACGAATATCAATGCAATGGTACCGTTAAGACAGTTAATTGGGAAGTCATGAGGCTAAGATGTCTCCAGCACCTTGAGTTTCTACCTAAGCCAACCAAAACCCAATTCAATGTAAAAAGTAAAATGAAATTTAAGCTTAACCAATCAGAAACTGCCAACTAACCTCTAACTAGGGACTTCCCACTTTAACCAATCAAATATGTTTTCTTTGTCTTGTTTCTGTGAATACTTTATCAAATTTCCTCTGTTGCCCCCTTTCCTACCCACCCACAGTGGAGCACTGAACTACTTGTGGTCTGGTGCTGCCTGATTCATGAATCAATGAATGCTCAAATAAAGTCATTCAAATTTTATTGTGCCTAAATTTATCTTTTAACAGCATCCAGCAGCACATGAAAATAATAATGGAGTATGAGTAAATGAGAAATATTAGTAATGCAAAGAGAGTCCAATATGAGCAAATCAAGTCACCATATGTAATAAAATTTACCAAGTTAATAGGACAAAAGAGGGAAAAAAGAAACACCTTGGCCGGGCGCGGTGGCTCACGCCTGTAATCCCAGCACTTTGGGAGGCCGAGACGGGCGGATCACGAGGTCAGGAGATCGAGACCATCCTGGCTAAAACGGTGAAACCCCGTCTCTACTAAAAATAGTAAAAAATTAGCCGGGCGTGGTGGCGGGCACCTGTAGTCCCAGCTACTCGGGAGGCTGAGGCAGGAGAATGGCGTGAACCCGGGAGGCGGAGCTTGCAGTGAGCCGAGATCGTGCCACTGCACTCTAGCCTGGGCGACGGAGCAAGACTCCGTCTCAAAAAAAAAAAAAAAAAAAAAAAAGAGATTGAATGTGTGGCGAGGCCCTTCAGGGCCCAGGCGTGGAGCCCTGTACTGGGTATTCATAAACCATTTCTGCAGGCTAGCCTACGTTGGCCCTGAAAGGCCCAGGAAGCTGGGAGAGCCAGGGAGAGACATGATGGAGTTGTGGCAGGGTGAGATGTGCCCCTTCCTCCTCCTAGGACTGGACGCAGAGAATTTGTATAAAGCTCTTTACTAACCGGAGTCTTAATTAAAGGAAAGAATTAAGGAAAGCCCTAAAGGATCTATGGGAGTGGGTATCTCCACCGTGGCCTTGGTCTCAGCCATTCCTCTTTTTTATTTTTTTGGGACAGGGTCTTACTCTGTTGCTCAGGCTGGAGTACAGTGGCACAATCTTGGCTCACTGCAACCTCTGCCTCCTGGGTTCAAGCAATTCTCCCACCTCAGCCCCCAAGTAGCTGGGATTACAGGCGCGAGACACCATGCCTGGATAATCTTTGTATTTCTTGTAGAGATGGGGTTTCACCATGTTCCCCAGGTTGGCTTCGAACTCCTGAGCTCAAGCCATCCACCCGCCTCGGCCTCCCAGAGTGCTAGGATTACAGGCGTGAATCACTGCGCCCAGCCTCAGCCATTCCTCTGGGGGTTTTCTTACAGCTTAGGAGTTATATGGCAACACAAGCTGCAATCTAAAGTCATAGGCTTGGTGGCTCATGCCTGTAATCCCAGCACTTTGGGAGGCTGAGGCGGGTGGATCACCTGAGGTCAGGAGTTAGAGACTAGCCTGGCCAACAAGGTGAAACCCCGTCTCTACAAAAAATACAAAAATTAGTCTGGTGTGGTGGCGTGCACCTGTAATCCCAGCTACTCGAGGGGCTGAGGCAGGAGAATCTCTTGAACCTGGGAAGCAGAGGTTGCAGTGAGCTGAGATTGCACCACTGCACTCCAGCCTGAGCAACAGAGCAAGACTCCCTCTCTAAAAATAAAGCCACACAGATCTGTGCTTAAATCCTGGCTATGTGTGATTTTGGTAAGTTACTCAAGTTCTGTAAACCTCCTATTTTTACATCTAAAATGCGGAAAGAAATTATATTTGTTTTAGAGTTATTGTTGCAAAATATATACACTACAGAGCACAGAGCCTTGTGCCCAGTAAGTGCTCAGTTGACACATGTGCTTTTAACATTATGTGCATTGATGCAAACTCTTTTCTACTTTGCTTTATCTTTGTCCTAGTGGCATACGGCACCCTCTTGGCAAACCAGCTAGGCCAAAACAGAAAAGATTCATCACAGACTGAAAACTCTTTTATTTTAGGAGAGGATAAATAAGTTGGTTCACATTGTGTTACAAAGGGCAAAATAACATTGGAAGGTAGATTGTCACCATAGTTTAGGGCCTTTAGGTTCACGAAAGGATTTCCAGGGAAGAGGCATCAAAATGAAACAATGGAGCTAAGGAGGAATGAGCCCCGAGAAGAGAGGATAAACTTTCCAGGCAAATGGAATGTGTGAGAAGGCCCTGAGATGAGCTGGAGCATGGCAGGCTTGGAGAACTGAAGTCAGCCCTGTTTGAACTGACTTATTAATGAAGGAATGGAGAGAAGTCTGGATACAGAGGAAAGCAGGCCAGATCTTCTATGGCCTTGTAAGTCACGTTAAGGAGCTGTCATTCAAATTATCCTTCCTGATCATGTAGTTGTAATGTATGCATTAGATTAATAAATATATCTTAAAATATAGACAACATGGAATTAGCAAATTATAGCTACTTCACATGGTAATGAGGCCAGCTTTCCATAGAATACCAGGTAAAGTGACATCTCAGTTTTATACATGATGTGGCATGAAGAAATGCTCTACTTTAAGCGGTTGGTTGTGGCTTTTTCGGGAGCCCCCTTAGAGAGGATCTCGGAGGTATCTGGATAAAAATCTGGCTTGTAGCTGTTATTGCTAATTTAGCCTCATTCAGCAACAGTTTTGAGGATGTATATCCCACATGCCGCACTAGAGAAAAGGAGAGGGAATGGGAGATACAATTTTGCTTCCTGAGAGAACCTTTCCGTCATCTTACTTCAGGTATTGGCAGCAACATCTAAACCACGGTGATTTCACATGGACAAGACAGAAACACAGTGGTTATGAGTGCGGTTTTTTCATGGGGTCAAGCTGCTTGGGCTTGAAACTTTACTCCCAACGAAGTTATTTGAGTAAGTTACCTAATTTATTTGACACCCCCCCTTTTTTTTTTTCTGAGACAGAGTTTCGCTCTTATTGCCCAGGCTGGAGTGCAATGGCACGATCTCAGCTCACCACAACCTCCGCCTCCCGGGTTCAAGCAGTGCTCCCGCCTCAGCCTCCCAAGTAGCTGACATTACAGGCACACACCACCACGCCCAGCTAATTTTTGTATTTTTAGTAGAGATGGGGTTTCACCATGTTGGTCAGGCTGGTCTCGAACTCCTGACCTCGTGATCCGCCTGCCTCGGCCTCCCAAAGTGCTAGGATTACAGGCATGAGCCACCATGCCTGGCCTATTTGACCCTTAATTTCCTCATTTATAAAATGGGAACAGGAGTCTCTTGATCATGAAGTCGTTAAGAGGAGTTAGTAAGATATTTCACAGCTAGCCCTACCCTAATGCCTGGCACATAGTAAGATCTCAATATATCCTATTCATTATGATTATTAGTATTTTGCATCTTTTAATCTTTCACTTTTTTTTTTTTTGAGACAGAGTCTTTGTTGCCCAGGTTGGAGTGCAGTGGTACAATCTTGGCTTACTGCAACATTCACCTCCCAGGTTCAAGTGATTCTCCTGCCTCAGCCTCCTGAGTAGCTGGGATTACAGGCGTGCGCCACCACACCCGGCTAATTTTTATATTTTTAGTAGAGTTGGGGATTTCACCATGTTGGCCAGGCTAGTCTGGAACTCCTGACCTCAGGTGATCTGCCCGCCTTGGCCTCCCAAAGTGCTGGGATTACAGGGGTGAGCCACCACGCCCAGCCAATCTTTCACATTTTTAAAAGCCTATGATCACTAGAATTTTACAGCTTTGCTTAAGTGAGTATTATAGGATCAGAAAGCTGTACTTGGTAAACTTTCCTGGCATTAATTTAAATTCTCTAACTTATTTCTTTAAGGTATTCTTTTTTAAAGCTTCTTTTAATGGAGACACAAAAGTAGGAAAAAAATATTACAGCGGATCCCATGTACTCATAATTCAGCTTGAATAATTATTCTTTGCTGATTCCTTTGTATCCACACCCACACCCTCCTTCCTCCATATAGCTCCATTTGCAAATATTTCAGCAGATGGAGTATAAAATATACCATCTTATCATGTGTAAAAAAATTTAATACTTCTGGCCGGGCACGGTGGCTCACGCCTGTAATCCCAGCACTTTGGGAGGCTGAGGTGGGTGGATCACCTGAGGTCAGGAGTTCAAGACCAGCCTGGCCAACATGGTGAAACCCCGTCTCTACTAAAAATACAAAAATTAGCCGGGCATGGTGGCATACCCCTGTAATCCTAGCTACTCGGGAGGCTGAGGCAGGAGAATTGCTTGAGCCCAGGAGGCAGAGGTTGCAGTGAGCCGAGATCATGCCACTGCACTCCAGCCTGGCTGACAGAGCAAGACTCTTTCTCAAAAAAAAAAAAAAAAATTAATACTTCTGTAATATCATTAAATATCCATGCTCAAACTTTGAATCATCTCATAAATTGTCTGTTTAGATCAGGATCAAAACAAGGAACACATTGTGATTGGAGTTATCTTTACAATTTTTGAATTGATTTTGTCATTTTAATATGTATAGATTCAGTCTTTTTTTTTTTTTTTTTTTTTTTGAGACAGAGTCTCGCTCTGTCACCCAGGCTGGAGTGCAGTGGCACAAACTCGGCTCACTGCAACCTCCGCCTCCTGGGTTCAAGTTATTCTCCTGCTTCAGCCTCCTGAGTAGCTGTGATTACAGGAGTGTGCCATCACTCACACCTGGCTAATTTTTGTATTTTTAGTAGAGATGGGGTTTCACCATGCTGGTCAGGCTGGTCTCGAACTTCTGACTTCATGATCTTTCTGCCTCAGTCTCCCAAAGTGCTGGGGTTACAGGTGTGAGCCGCCGCACCCGGCTAGATTCAGTCCTAACCTGGCTGCAGATACCATCTCTTCCCCTTCTTCTTTATTTTCCTTTACACGACTTGTTAATACCTGTCATATTTGTGTGCCTGGTGTATTGTCTCTCTACCTGCCCATCATAACAAAAGCTTCATAACAGCTTTATAAGAAAACTGTGGAGGGGGCAAAAATCAGAATGTGCTTAATCAATGTTCTCTTCTAACATAAGTGATTTTTCTCTTGGAACTTTTTCTTCTTGAGATAGTGTGGGAGAGAGGTGTTACATTTATTTTTAATGATGATTGTTCTTTTCTAAGCCGAAGGGATTTATTCAAAGTGATAGGCATAGCAAGTCTTATGATGAGATTTTTTTTCAATGATACCAATCAAAATTCTAGCCTCCAAAATCAACTCTGACAGGATTAGAAAAGGAAAATGGAGACAAACATGTCTGTGGGGTGAGGGGGGCTGTTTGGAACTAGGATGTGTGGCATGGAGGTTTTGGCTTGGAGCAGGAAGTAGACTAGTGTGAAAGACACAATACATTAGACAATTAAGGAGAAGATATTATTCAGCTTATTGCAGTAGAGAGAGCACCCCAGATCCAATGGCTAAAGTGTCTCAGCACAGTGGTTCTACCTTAGACTTTTATAGCCAGGGGTAAACAAGTTGCAGAAGGTGTTGTTTTGCAAGTAGGGGACGTCTTGGTTATCTGAACGTCAAATGTTTTCTCTGTGGTCAGTTTCAGTGGGATAGACTCTTCTAATCTGCTAATCAATCAAAGAATAGGAGGTTGGAGCATCTGGGTCTAACCTTGTGAGCAGGCTCAGGCAAAAGGGACTGTTTGGCTTTGCCAAAGGAGTCATCTTTGACTCATGGAAGTTGTGAGAAAGTAGATCATGAGTCTTATGTAAGTCATATGGGGAAGAGTAGTTCTTTGAGGTAAACTCTTTCCAGAAACACAAGGATTTTTTGAGGGGGGCAGGGAGCGGTCTAGAAAACAAAAGGATGGGGGTACTTCCTAGCCATCACTGTGTCCTGAGAGCACAGGGCTCAGGTAAAGTTCAACCTTGTCATGAGGTTGCCTATTGGAGGACAGAATAGGTGGGGGGGACTGCTAGAGTTTCACTGCCTTGGGACAAAAAGTGCCCCCAGAACTCAGCGTTCTGAATCAGGTGTATTCAGGTATAAAACCTGGGATGCAGTTTAAGGCCTGGCTTGTGGTGAGCTGAGAAAAAGTGGAGAATGGTCTCAAGGGAGTTGCTTTCTCATCCTTTTACCTCCAAAGCACAGAACTGAGCAGTTACAGTCTGATAGTCTCCCCCAAGACTGCTTCTCTTAAGAGGCAGAAGTTGAAGACTGGTCCTGAGTATTTAGTAGGGTGGGCAATGACTGTTTTTTCTGGTGCCCTCCACCCAAGGGTTCATCCACTCTGTATCCCCTCAGCCAGTTGGAGATGACAGGGTTTGGTATCTGGTCTTTATCCATTTCTTTGCCGTATATAAGAGCCTGCTGTAGAGGGAAATAAGCTCAGCCATTTCAAATGCAAAAGAGCATACAGGATTAAACATGCCACCAGAAGCAAATACGTTAGAAAAGAGGAACACAGAACTTAAAATTAGCCTAAATAAGCATATTAACAGGGGTAAAGGGTGCTTTAAACTAAAATGAGAAAATAAGAGAATTAAGCAGAAATATGCATACAGAATAGCTGAATCAATTAAAAAAACCACTGCTATGGGGAAAATGGATAGAGCAAGGAACAAATGAGTGCATTTGAAGAAGATGTTGAGTAAACAAGCTGGAAACGAGGGTGACAAACTGTCCCAGTCTGCCTGAGACTGCGGGGTTTTGAAGACATGGGACTGTCAGTGCTAAAACCAGGAGAGACCCGGGCAAACCAGGACAGCTGGTCACTTTTGAATAGACATAAAGAATATAAAAGCAAAACTAAGAGCAATGGAGGAAAAGAAGTGCAAACATCCAGATAATTGTGATCCCAGAAGGACAGGGAAATGAAACAGAGAAGAAATACTTGAAGAAATCATGGAGATACCTTTCGTAGATTAAAAAGAAAAAGCGAGGCTTCTGGTTTCTGGTCTGAAATATAAGAAGCTTGGAAGTCATCACTCCATCCTAACAAGTAGTAAGCTGAACAAACTGAAAAATCAGTTCTTCTTAGATCCGCAAGAGAAGTGAGGCCACAGGGCAAACTGTTTCCCCCCAGATTGAAGATACAGATGGGCAGATACAGAGAATTACAATTTACCAGAGCAGAAACCCATGAGCAGGAACCTCCACAGGAATCAGTGCTGGGTAGAGAAAACTGAATTGTAATCGATGAATTACTGGAGGCTCAGTGTAGATATATCTGAGAGATAACTCCAGGGGGACCCAGCTATTGGGTGGGCCTCACTTTTCTGAGTTTTACTTCCTGAAGCTCTACCAGTTCTCACAGTAAATATCAGAGAGAACTCTCAGGCTTTGGTAGAGAGAGGAAAAATGATTTTGAAACATTCCAGATAATTCTGTTTTTTTTTCTTTTTTTTTTGAGACGGCGTCTTGCTCGGTTGCCCAGGCTGGAGTGCAGTGGCACGATCTGGGCTCACTACAAGCCCCGCCTCCCGAGTTCACACCATTCTCCTGCCTCAGCCTCCTGAGCAGCTGGGACTACAGGCGCCCGCCACCATGCCTGGCTATTTCTCTTTTTTTTTGTATTTTTAGTAGAGACAGGGTTTCACCATGTTAGCCAGGATGGTCTCGATCTCCTGACCTCGTGATCCGCCTGCCTTGGCCTCCCAGAGTGTTGGGATTACAGGCGTGAGCCACCGCGCCCGGCCAATTCTGTTCTTTTTAAATTATTTTATTATTATTATTATTATTTTGTAGAGACAGGGTTTTGCCATGTTTCCCAGGCTGGTCTTGAATTCCTGATCTCAAGCAGTCCTCCTGCCTCAGCCTCCCAGAGTGTTAGGATTACAGGCATGAGCCATTGCACCTGGCCAGTTCTGTTCTTTTTTTTAATTATTTTTATTATTTTTTAAAAATTATTATTATTATACTTTAAGTTTTAGGGTACACGTGCAAGAGAGACTACAGTAAGTCCTCAGTGTCATCACTAGGTTCTTGGAAACTGCAACTCTAAGCAAAATGACATACATATGGCCATGAATAATGTCCATTTGTTCAATGTCATTTCCTTACAATGGTGATGAGGAAAAAAAAGTTGGTTTTGCTTAAAGTCATAGTCAATAGTTTCCAAGAACCTATTGATGTTAAGTGAGGACTTACTGTATTTAACCAGAACCTAACCTGTTAGGGTTTTATCAGAGCCTAATGACCTGGAAGAAGAGAAAACCTCAGCTCCAGCCAGCTGTAGCCATCCTTTCCCACCTAACTGGGGAGAAGAACTGGGAAGCACCTGTGAAGTTCACAGTCCAGAGGCACAAGCTCACTAAAAGATCAAGACCTAGTCATGAAAATACTGACTACTTTCCTCCCCTCACACCTTACCATATTACTAAAAGCCTATTTATTACAGTTCTTTTTATCCTATACGTCATGTTGGGCTATCAAGAAAAAATTACAGGCTGGATGCAGTGGTTCACACCTGTAAATCCCAGCACTTGGGAGGCTGAGGCGGGTGGATCACTGAGGCCAGGGGTTCAAGATCAGCCTGGCTAACATGGCAAAACCCGTCTCTACTAAAAATACAAAAAATTAGCCGGGCATGGTGGCGCACGCCTGTAATCCCAGCTACTCGGGAGGCTGAGGTAGGAGAATAGCTTGAACTCAGGAGGCAGAGGTTGCAGTGAACTGAGATTGTGCCACTGCATTCCAGCCTGGGTAATACAGTGAGACTGTGTCTCAAAAAAAACCAAACCAAAACAAACAAAACCCCCCGAAATATATAAGAACTCATACAACTCAACAGCAAAAACAGAACAATTAAGAAATGGATAGGCCTGGTGCAGTGGCTCACGCCTGTAATCCCAGCACATTGGGAGGCCAAGGCAGGTGGATCACAAAGTCAGGAGTTCGAGACCAGCCTGGGCCAACATGGTGAAACCCCGTCCCTACTAAAAATACAAAAATTAGCTGGGCATGGTGGCGGGTGCCTGTAGTTCCAGCTACTCGGGAGGCTGAGGCAGGAGAATTGCTTGAACCTGGGAGGCGGAGGTTGTAGTGAGCTGAGATCGCACCGTTGCACTGCAGCCTGGGCAACAAGAGCAAAACTCCATCTCAAAAAAAAAAAAAAAGTATAAAGGACCTAAATAGACATTTTTCAAAAGAAGATACGTAAATAGTCCACAGATACATGAAAATATGCTCAACATCATTAATCATCAGAGAAATACAAATTAAAGCCACAGTGAAATGTCACCTCATACCTGTTAGGATGGCTATTATAAAAAAGTCAAAAGATAACAAGTGTTGGTGAGAACATGGAGAAAAGGGAACCCTTGTACATTATTACTGGGAATATAAATTCATATAGCTTTTATGAAAAAACAGTATGAAGATTCCTCAAAAAATTAAAAGTAGAAGTACCATATGATCCAGCAATCATATTTTTGGGTACGTGTCCACAGGAATAAAATCACTGTCAAGAAGAGGTATCTTCACTCCCATGTTCACTGCAGTGTAATTTATTGCAGTATTGTTTACAATAGCCAAGAAACGGAAACAACCTAAGTGTTCATTGACAGACGAATGGATAAAGAACATGTGGTATATATACACAATGGAATATTATTCAGCCCTAAAGAAGAGGAGAAAAATTTGGACCCAAAGAGAGAGGGATGACAAGCATGTGACGATGGAGGCAAAGGTTGGAGTTACATTGCCACAAGCCAAGGAATGTCTGCAGAGACCCAAAGGGTGTAATAGGCAAGGAAAGATCCTTTGCTAGAGATTTCAAAGGATGTATGGTTCTTTAACACCTAATTTCACATTTCTAGCCTCTAGGACTCTGAGAACAAATTTTGGTTTTAAGCCACTCAGTTGGGTACTTCTCTATGGCATCACTAGGACATGAATACACTACCCAAAGTGACTTACAGATTCAATGCAATCCCTATCAAAATCCCCATAGTGTGGCTGGGTGTGGTGGCTCACGCCGATAATCCCAGTATTTTGGGAGGCTGAGGCAGGCGATCACCTTAGGTCAGGAGTTTGAGACCAGTCTGGCTAACATGGCAAAACCTTGTCTCTACCAAAAATACAAAAATTAGCTGGGAGTGGTGGTGCACACCTGTAATCCCAGCTACTTGGGAGGCTGAGGCAGGAGAATCGCTTGAACCCGGGAGACAGAGACTACAGTGAGCCAAGATTGCGCCATGGCACTCCAGCCTGGGCAACACAGCGAGACTTCATCTTAAAAAAAAAAAAATCTCTACGGTGTTAGGCAAAAGATGGAAAAACTCATCCTAAAATTGATATGTAATTTCAAGGGATCCTAAATGGCTGAAACAATCTTGAAAAAGAACAAAAGTTGGGAGAACCCAATTTCCCAATTTCAAAACTTACTGCAGACTGCGTGCAGTGGCCCATGCCTATAATCCCAGCACTTTGGGAAGTCGAGGTGGGAGGACTGCTTGAATCCAGGCATTTGAGACAGCCTATGTAATAAAACGAGACCGTCTTTACCAACCTCCCCCCACCACCAAAACAAAAAACAATCGGGAGGCTGAGGCAGGAGGATCACTTGAGCTCAGGAGGAGGAGGCTGCAGTGAGTCATAGTCATGCCACTGCACGCCAGCCTGGGTGACAGAGCAAGACCCTGTTCCCCCAAAATTAAAAAACTTACTATGAAGCTGCAGTAATCATAAAAGTGCAGTACTCGTTAAGGTAGACACATAGACCAATGGAATAGAATGGAGAGCCCAGAAATAAACTCTCGCATCTATGATCATTTGATTTTCAACAAGGGTGCCAAGCCTATTCAATGGGGGAAAGAACAGTCTTGTCAACAAAGAAACTGTTGGGAAAACAGGATATACACATATAAAAAAATGAAGTTGGACTCTTTCTACTGTATACAAAAATTAACTAAAAATGGATTGAAGACCTAAATATAAAGGTTAAAAGTACAAAACTTTTAGAAGAAAACATAGAGACAAATCTTCATGACTTTGAATTTGGCAATGGTTTTTTTTTTAACTTTTTAATTTTATTAAAAAAAAAAATAGAGACCATGTCTCGCTATGTTACCCAAGCTGGTCTTGAACTCCTGGGATCAAGCAATCCTCTGGTGTTGGCCTCCCAACGTGCTAGGATTACAGGCATGAACCACTGTGTCTGGTCTGGCAATGTTTTTTTTAAACTGATACTCAAGGCACTGCAACACAAGAAGAGATAAATAAGTTGAATTTCATCAAAATTTAAAACTTTTATGCATCAGCAGACACTATCTAGAATGTGAAAAGGCAACCCACAGAATGGGAAAATGTCTGCAAATCATAAACCTGATAAGGGCTTAACATACAGAATATATAAAGAATTCCTATGACTCAACAACAAAAAGAGAAACACCCAATTATAATATGGGCAAAGGATCTGAATAGACATTTCTCCAAAGAAAATATACAAATGGTAAATTAACACATGAAAAGATGCTCAACATCATTAGTCATTAGGAAAATGTCAATTAAAGCCAGGGAAGATAGCAATTCACACCTACCAGACTATAGTCAAAACAAAATGGAAATAAGAGGTATTGATGAGGATGTAGAGAAAGGATAACACTTGTACATTGCTGGTGGGATTGTTAAATGGTGCGGACCCTGTGGTAAACAGTTTGGTGGTTTCTCAAAAGGTTAAACAGAATTACCATATAACCCAGCAATTCTGCTCCTAGGTATATGACAAAGAATTTGAAATAGGGACTCAAACAGATACTTGTATGCTGATGTTCACCACAGTACCCACCAGAGCCAAACGGTAGAAACAATCCAAGTTCCCATCAACAGATGAATGAATGAACAAAATATGGTACATACATACCTAGAAAGGAATGAGGTTCGGATACATCTGCAACATGGATGAGTGTTGAAAACATTATGCTAAGTGAAGTCAGCCACAAAAGGCCATTGTATTAGTTTCCCAGGGCTGCCGTAAAAAAGTACCACTAAGTGGTTGGCTTGGAACGATACAAATGTATTGTTTCACAGTTTTGGTGTCCAGAAGTCTGAGATGAAGGTTTCAGCAGGGCCAGGCACTCTCTGCAGGCATTAGGAAAGAAAGGATCTGGTCCAGGTCTCTGTCCTAGCTCCTGGTAGCTTTAGATGTTCCTTGCTTTCTACCTGTGACTTTTTCACAGTCAAACATTTCCCTCTGTGAGTGCATGTCTCTATGTCCAAATTTCCCCCAGTCATAATGGACTAGGGCCTACCCTAATGACCTCATCTTAATTTTTTTTTTTTTTTTTTTTGAGATGGAGTCTTGCACTGTCACCCGGGCTGGAGTGCAGTGGTGCGATCTTGGCTCGCTACAACCTCCGCCTCTCGGGTTCAAGAGAGTCTCCTGCCTCAGCCTCCCAAGTAGCTGGGATTACAGGTGCCCGCCACCATGCCCAGCACCCGCCACCACGCCCAAGCTAATTTTTTGTATTTTTAGTAGAGACCGGGTTTCACCATGTTGGCCAGGCTGGTCTCAAACTCCTGACCTTGTGATCCACCCACCTCGGCCTCCCAAAGTGCTGGGATTACAGGCATGAGCCACTGTGCCTGGCTGACCTCATCTTAATTTTATTACTTCTGTAAAGTCTCTATTTCCAGATGAGGTCACATCCTGAGGTATTGGGGATTAGGACTTCATTACATCTGCTTTGGAGATTTTCAACCCATAACAACCATTTACTGAGTGATTTCCCACATACAAAATATTTAGAATAAGCAAATTTATAGAGACAGAAAGTAGATTAGAGGTTATTGGAAGTGGGAAGGTGGGAGAATGAGAAGTTGTTGCTTATGGGTACAGAGTGTCTGTTTAGGGTGGTGAAAATGTTTTGGCAATTGATAATGGTGATGGTTGCAGAACATTTTGAAAAGTAACAACATGAAATGGTACACTTAAAATGATTTAAATGACTACTTTTGTTTATATATATATTTTATCACAATGTAAAGGTTTATTAATTTCCATAGAAGAACAGAGAAAGTTATCAAAAACTACCATGCAGGAAGCACCAAGCCAAGATAGTTTTATAGGGGAATGCTACTAAACTTTATCCTGAACAGGGACATCTCATTCTAAATGAGATGTGTCGGAGGCATATCTCACAATGTCAGGGAAGGGACAAGGACACCCACGTTCATGTATTCTAATTAATACCATACTGGAGAGCCTAGTCAGGGTGCTAAGGAATGAAAATTATATTAAAGACACAGGATTAGAAATGAATAAATACAATTGCTGTTATTGCAGATGACACGGAAAACACAAAAGTATCCATAAATTATTTAAGAATTAGAAGGAAGAATAGCAATAGAAGTTCTCAAGGAGTGCAGGATGGGTGAGGGGCGGCATGGGAATGAGACATGCATTTAGTATCAGTAACGTATGCAACAAAAATATTAAAACAATTCCACTTAATTAGCCTGTTTCCACCTTAATCACCTGTGTTCCATCCCAGTTGCTTCTTCTCCAGGTGACTTCACATGAAGGGCCAAGGGTTCCATGACTCTCCATTTGCAGCATCAAAAGTTTTGGCCCATCTTTCATCCTCCACTTCCCTGATTCCTTTTTTTTTTTTTTTTTTTTTTGAGATGGAGTCTCGCTCTGTTGCTCAGGCTGGAGTGCAGTGGCATGATGTCTGCTCATTGCAAGCTCCGCCTCCTGGGTTCACACCATTCTCCTGCCTCAGCCTCCCGAATAGCTGGGACTACAGGCGCCCACCACCACGCCTGGCTAATTTTTTTGTATGTTTTTAGTAGAGATGGGGTTTCACCGTGTTAGCCAGGATGGTGTCGATCTCCTGATCTCGTGATCCACCTGCCTCAGCCTCCCAAAGTGCTGGGATTACAGGGGTGAGCCACCGCACCCGGCCCTATTCCTTCTTGCTGTGCCTCTCATTTCTCTGCCTGAGAGGCCTCTCCTTATCTCTCTTGATGTCTGGCTGCTTCTCAACCCTCACCCATCAGTCACTGGTAACGTTCACAGACAAGCCTTTGTTCTCTGACCCTCACTGCTCCCCACGACTCAAGTAGAGTAGCCCCCAACCCACAACCCCAGTAGCCCTCCGTACGGGTCTTCTGTTGTTCTCACAGCACTTCTCTGAAATCAGCTTTCTTAATGGTTTGCTGACTTGTTTAGTGTTCTCAATCCCTTCGGCTGGTCAGAGTCCAGAATGTAAACCAAAAAGGAACAGACGCAGATCTTAATCAATTTAGAGGGAAAAAGAAACACAAGTCATAGTAGAATCTGTATCCTGTGCTTTATCCAAAGAGGGTTTTGAGGACTTCAATATTTAAAGGGGAAAGGGTAAGTTAGAAAGGAAGGAGAAAAGGAAGAAGCAGGAGAAAAATCAGAGTTGTGGGGTAGGCAATGAGGCAAATGGTAACATTCTTGTGACCACTCAGTAGGGACAGGCTCAGAGGAAGCAATTATAGATGAGTCTGGATGAGCTCAGTGAATCTACAGTTTACATATGAAAAGAAATGAGTGGGGGAAGTCAACTATGCATGCCTCTTCTGAATGGTGAATCTACATTTTACATAAGATGAAGTCAATATGTGAAGTTGCAGCTACCTCTGTGAACACAAGGAAGGCAGTTTTTGCACAACTCGGTTCCCAGGTGTAACTTTACCTTTGGCATAGTGAATTTGGGGTCCTGATATATATTTTTTCCTTTGACAAGGGATGCATTTTTGCATTCCTTTGAATGCAAAAAATTCTCCACCATTGGGACTTGTAGAGACTAAGAATTAGTAGTACTTCTTCTGGGCATGGTGGCTCACACCTGTAATCCCAGCACTTTAGGAGGGGAAGGCTGGCCGATCACCTGAGTTCGGGAGTTCGAGACCAACCTGGCCAACATGAAGAAAGTCCGTCTCTACTAAAAAAAAAAAACACACACACACACACACACAAAATTAGCCAGGCATGGTGGTGCATGCCTGTAATCCCAAGTACTCAGAAGGCTGCGGCAGGAGAATCGCTTGAACCCGGGAGGTGGAGGTTGCAGTGAGCCGAGATCATGCCATTGCACTCCAGCCTGGGCAACAAGAGATAAACTCTTGTCTGAAAAAAAAAAAAATAGTGGTAGTTCAAGTCCATGCTGGAGTCTTGGGATGCAGATATTTTGATGACCGCACCATGACCTGGCCACTCTCCTCTTAGTTCTCCTCACTCTGCACAGGTGAGGGCTGACCTGCCGTGGGGTGAGGACTCCACAGAGACCCTACCCATGCAGCAGCAACACCTGGGATATGCCCCCAAACTCCTGATCTTAGGAATAACAACTTCTCCTCAGGGATCTTAGAGATTCCCTGGCTCCAGGTCAGGCAGTTTGGCCTCCTCTGGGCTCCAGCCTGGGGATGAGGCTTGTTATCACTATTTAGTACAGGACAGCAGCTTTCAACAATGGTTGCATTGTGTTGGAGGCCCACAAGGAAATAAAATAAAAACCTGGGGGCTTCCTCTGACTTTTTCAGGCTCATGAAGAAGAGGCCAATGAAATGTGAGGAGATGTGGCCTGTGGGTTTCTGGTGGGTGGTGGCCTGTGGGTTTCTGGTGGGTGGTGGCCTGTGGGTTTCTGGTGGATGGTGGCCTGTGGGTTTCTGGTGGGCAGTGTTTTGTGTTTGAAGGGGCTGTTATCTAAAGGGGCTCTTTTTAAGTTGGGAGTACTACCAAAACTCAATAAATCCAATTAAGAATGCTTAGAATTATTCATTAGACACATATTTATATGCAACAGAATTCTAAATATTTTTGGGGTGTGATACTAGGCATTCCATACATTGTAAAGGACAGCGAGTCTAGACGCATCTACTTGGCCCTGATTGAGTTTCAGAAGAAACTGAGAATGCTGCTGGAATAGCTGAGGGAATCGTCACTTACCTGCTTTTTTCCCCTATCTTTCAATTCCATGTAGTGACCAGGGAACAATTATGTAGATTGTCTATCATTAACTGTGTCGATTGGCTCCTTCCTGTCATCTCTGGCACAGGAACAGTGATCCCCTAACACAACTTTCCTCTTTAGTTTTCAGGAACTGAGTCTCTTAACTTGTGCCTAGATCTAGAGCCCCATCTCCTCCTGTTTCCAGCAGTCCTTGAACTCAGCTGTTTGAGGAGAATTAAGGGTGGCCATGAGGGTACAATGGAGTTAACTCCCACGGAGCGCTTGTGCTTGGGGAGGATCTGGACCACTGAAGCCTGACCACAAGAAGTGATATCTGCTACGATGTCTTTAGGGTTAATGAAAATGAGCTATAAGGGATGATGGTGGAATGTTCCAGGCATTGTTAACAGCATTTGTCAATAATATTTTTGAAAAGAATATCTGGTTGTTGATTCTATTTACTAAGAGAGCTTGCATTGGGCCTAAGTGTGGCAGATCTCAGTGGGGACAGGGTCAGAGGAAGCCACTCTAGGTGAGTCTGGGTGACCTAAAGGAAGGATGTGAATGGATCATTAAGAGGTCGCATATGCTTGACTGCAGAGGCCATGGTAGTCACTGAAGTGTCCTCCTCTGGCATCTGTGAGCTCTGTAGGTACAGAGTGGAGAGTGGATTAAAGGGTAAACTGAGGCAACATCTGAGACTGGGAGAGTAGTTAGGCATCAAAGACAATATTTCACGGAGAGATGACAATATATTTTGTTAGATTTGTGACAGTGGAGAAGAAGGGAAGTTAGCAATCTACAATCCAGAAGGAAAGAGTAATTGGAGAGAATTAAAAATTAAGTGTGTGCCCCGTGGCAGGAAAAGGAAGGCATCTAAGATGACTCCTACGTGTCTGGTTGGAAGTTACTATATATATAAATATAAATATTTATATATATAGTAAAGCAGAAACCAGTGAAGTCATGTGATATTTGTAATTTGTTTTAATATCATTCAGTGAGAGATTAGCATGAGAGGTAGAAGGAATGGTTGAGGCTAGTCTATGCCTGTGGAGAGTTTGTTGAACTAGTCTCTATAGTTTATGTAACTTCAAAAATTACCTGATACACACACATACACACACACACACACTGTCACAGGTGGAATTCTGAAAGTTGCCAAAATATAAGCTTCCACCCTGACTTCCAGTTGAATCCCATCTCCCCCCAACAGACAGAGGGGGAGCTGGTATGGAGACCATGGAAGGGACAGAAACTCAGGATTCCCATGACAGAGAAGTGAGTAAGGCTGGAACCCCAATCAAGGGGAGGGGCTGTGAGCCAGTCAGAGGCCAGACCAGGAATGTGCCTTAGGGAAGCTGGGGAGTGTGAGTTTTATACAAACAGCAATGAGGAGTCAGTGCAGGATTCTAATCCACGGGGTGACCTGCCCAACATGAATAAAAACATCTCTCTGGATGTTTGGGAAGAGAGTACCTGGGGAAGAAGGGGATTTTGTGTGTAGGTTGTTACTGGATGGGCCCATGAGCTGAGGATTTGGGGGATCATTCACACAGTTAAAGTAAATTTGGATATGGAGTATGATGAGGAGGTGATGATTTCTAAATTTTCCTGTTCAAGTTTTCTACATGTCTACAAACACATTAAAATGTCTCTCTTAGCTTCATAATTAACCAAAACAAAGAATAAGCAAATACAGGTTTTTTTTAAAAAAGGTTTAAATGTAAACACATTATATGACACTAAGTCCAAATTCTGATATAAAATATCTGGAACAACTATTTAGAAAACTACAAACTTTAAAAAATAAACCTCACTTCATAAAATAAAAAGTGTGTATACACTATTAACTAGTGTATTAGGCCTACCAAGACCATGACTATTAGTAAATCACATCTAAGCCCTATCAAAACTCTAAGAGCATTGTGTGCTGTTAGAGGTAAAGCATTGTGTGAAATGTTTGCTGAGAATTGCCATCTTTTAAGAAGGCCACCAACCTTATCTCCTGGGAATTTTCCATTCAATGCCATTCCCTGAACAGCCCCTACACATGTTTGAAACCATCAACTGTAACAGTGTCTGTGATGCTGACCAGATGGCACACGTGGGTCATTCAACTTTTTCCAGAATATACTCTGGGGGTACAAACACCTTAAAAAGTTACATTCACAGCAGTTTGTACCACATAGAAACCAAGACTCCTTTTGGGAGTGAGAAACTACAATAATAAAGTACAACATATCAGGATCACAGAAGGTAGGATTCGGATGATGGATGTGTGAACAGAGATGATGGATGGTGAACTACAGAGACAGGCTGGGCTCTCAGGTCTCTGGGCCACGGAAGGAGTGTGTCCTGTAACCAGCACAGGACACAGCTCAGTAAGAACCATATACTCCAAGGAGCTCGGGGCTTGGAGCTGGGCCCTGTGCTCACTGATGGGGACTCAGCAGCTGTGTCCTTTCTGGCCTGGCAGAGTCCCCTGAGCAGGGACCTGTGTATGGTCTCAGCAGGTGCTTCCTCCCAGGGCCCTCCCAAGGCGGGAAGTAAACCTTCCTCCTCCTCAGGCTGCAGTGTGAGCTGAGCTCCAGCTCCAGGGCTCAGGGAGGGGCTGGGCAGTCCCCTGATGGAAACACACTTGCATGAGCAGCCCCTCCTCTGCAGAGGGTGGGGAAGAAAAGGATGCCTGGGGCAGTCCAGCCCCACGGTGTGGTGGGGTCAGGGGCTGTGTCCACCATGGACTTGACTCCTCCCCTCCTTGTGATCCTGTCTCACTGTACGTGTCGGGACGGGCCTCAAAGACCAGCCTACATCAGAAACTTTGACTGAGGCCCCTGAGAAATGTTACCCTGAACTCTGCCTTAGTATCTGGATGTGTCTTTTCACCTGATAGAGTTATAAAGATTTTCCCAGTTAAAAACAAAAGCAAAGCTCTGCCAGACTCGTGTTCGTGGCTCCAAATCTGCTTCAGCCACTGAGCAGGAGCTGAGAGGGAAGAGAGAGAGAAGAACACAAGATCCATATGGGGAAGGATTTCTATGAGGGTGTGGCAGTGAGAGCGGGTGGCAAGTTGCCAAAGAGGCCTAAGCCACAGAAGTGGGTTTCATGTGGGACTTTCGGAATGAGCAGGAGGGCGATGGGTGGAGGGTGAGGGTCAGAAGATTCTAATCAGAGGTGAGAACCCAAAGATGAGTTATTGGTCATTCAAGTCAAACAGTGAAATTACCTTGGCCTGTGCCTCCAGTCAGTGGAGCAGGGAAGGGGCCAGGATGTGCTTCCTGCAGGTGTTACTGGAAAGGGGTCCTGATTCAGATCCCAAGAGAGGGTTCTTGGATCTCATGCAAGAAATAATTTGGGAGGAGTCTATAAAGTGGAAACAAGTTTATTAAGACAGTAAATGAATAAAGGAATGGCTACTCCATAGACAGGGCAGCACCAAACACTGCTGGTCGGCTATTTGTATAGATAGTCCTTGATCATATGCTAAATAAGGAGTGGATTATTTATTAGCTTTTCAGGAATTCTTTTTAAAAATATAGACCACATAAGGTAACTTGTGGATGTTGCCATAGCATTTCTAACTGTGAGGACAACCAGAGGTCACTTTCCTCACCGTCTTGGTTTCAGTAGGTTTTGGCCGGCTTCTTTAGCGTATCCTGTCTTATCAGCAGGGTCTTTATGACCTGTATCTTGTGATCCCAGTCTGGTTGACTTCCTAGCTCATCCTGTGACTAAGAATGCCTAACCTCCTGGAAATGCAGGCCAGCATGCCTAAGCCTCATTTAATCAAGCCCCTATTCAACATGGAGTCACTCTGGTTCTAACACCTCTGACTTAGGGTGGCTGCAGAGCTGGAGGTGCAGATTGGGGCAGATCAGCCTCCTGAGAAAAGCACACAGAGCCACTGCGGGGCTGTGAGGTGGGAGAGATGAACTCACATTGGCATTTGATCAGTGACTCTCCAGCTGTAATGAGAATAGAATGGAGAGGCCTGGGACAGGAAGACAGGATGTGGTTGCTCATGCCATCCTGGTGGGAAGATCTAGGTGAGTTACTGTGGGGTAAAGAGGAGAGAGCAGATTCCTTGTCACTTTATGCTGTAGAATACATTGGACATGGAGAGGGCTTGGAGCTTGTGTGTGAGAAAAGCAGATCTATCTCGGCTGACTCCCAACAAACTGGCTGAGAATTTAGATGGAGGATTATTATTAAATAAAAGAGGAAGACTGAAATGAATATTGTCATCGTATTTTTTTACCCAGGGTTGGGATAGGTGGAAATGTGTGTGTGTGTGTGTGTGTGTGTGTGTGTGTTTAAATATTCACTAATTTTTCAATTCAAAAATATTTACTGCGTGACTACTAAGTAATAATATTATACAGGTTTTAGCGTTACCATGGAGAATCAAATTGTCAAGGTCACAGGCATCTTTTTGTTTTGTGTGGATCACTGTGAAAGATACTATGCTAAATTTTTTCTGAATCATGCAGATGAAAGCATTAAACACATACACAAACATTTACGTTTGTGTGTGTGTTGTGTGTGTGTGTGTGTGTATGTGTAATCTATCTCAGCATACAATGCCACTGAAACTACACTTGCGGATTAGGTCCTCGGAAAAATAATCGTGTTAACATTCACGATGCAAATAGAATGGTACCTGACACAAAGTAAGTGCTATAAAAGAATACTTGAGGCTGGGCGCGGTGGCTTATGCCTGTAATCCCAGCACTTTGGGAGGCCGAGGCCGGTGGATCACCTGAGGTCAGGAGTTTGAGACCAGCTTGGGCAACACGGTGAAACCCCGTCTCTACTAAAAATACAAAAATTAGTCAGGTGTGGTGATGGGTGCCTGTAATGCCAGCTACTCGGGAGGCTTAGGCAGGAGAATCGCTTGAACCTGGGAGGCGGAGGTTCAACAAGAGCAAAGCCCATTCTCAAAAACAAAAAATTTGAATGGTTAAATCACATTGGACTGTGAGTAAAGGGCTTAGACAAGGTGTCTCGGAACTTTTGGGTCATCTTCTTGATCTTTCCATAAAACTCTAACCCTTCTATTCTTAACCTCCCCCATTCCCAATTTCACCCTGATGTGCACATCCTACCTGGTGCCTAGTCATCCCGGTGGCCCCTCTCTGGGCTGTATCTAGGGAGAGTGGTGACCTTGGTCATCTTCCTCAGGTCCAAGTATCCATAAGAGAAGCAGACTTTTCTCTCTTTCATAATGATGGTCTCTTCTTGAATAATTTCCCTGTGCATTTTCATTAAGGGTCTCACCCCATCAAGGGTGTGATGAGGACAGTGATGAGGGTCACGGAGCCCGGCCTCCCACGGGGGGATGTGGGGTATGATGAGAGAGAGAAGCAGGTGCCCTCAGGCCCATATGGAGGCTGGGGAGGGTTGTTAACCCTCCTGCCCTCCTGGCCACTGGGTGCAGGACATGTTCTCTCTGAGGCTCACTCACCTATGGCCCCAACCACACAAAAATCTAAATGGGGAAGAAGCAGAGGATGACTTCATGCTGAGGAGGCCCATCTTGCAGCGAGAAATGTGCTGTGGTGAGCACCTGCAGCACAAAGAGCCTGGGGTGGGGGTGGAGGGGCGTGAGCGCTGCCTCTGTGTGGGGATGGTGTGCGCAAGGCAGTGCTGAGGACCTTCAAGCCAGTCAGGAATGAACCTGGGCTCTGAGACAGTGGAGGGAAGTGTGGCCTGTCCCTGAGGGTCTGTGGGGGTTTCAACTGGGAAACCAGGCCCTGGACCCCTACCCTGGGCCCTCTGCTCTGTGCTTTCTGGGGCCCAGCAGCTGGGACCTCCCAGGAGCAGAAGAGGCTCCTCTAGCCCCACCCCACACTCAACTTTCCCCAAGTTCAGGCCCAGGGATAGCAGGGGGAGGGGTGTGATTTGCATGAAGGGTGCTCTGTGCCCTCTTAGGAGGAGAGGATAAGAGAGACTCTGTGCAGTTCTGCTCAGCTGTGGGCTTAGGAAGCAGAGCCTGGGGCATCTCCACCATGGCCTGGACCCCTCTCCTCCTCCAGCTTCTCACCCTCTGCTCAGGTGACTGCCTGTGGAATGCCAAAGTGATTATTGGGGACACATGGGATGACTTTTCTCTTATATTTTAACATTGTGGGGTGGGTAGTGAACCCAGACTCACCTCTCTGTGCCTGCCTCCTCTGTTCCAGGGTCCTGGGCACAGTCTGCGCTGACCCAGGAAGCCTCGGTGTCAGGGACCGTGGGACAGAAGGTCACCCTCTCCTGTACTGGAAACAGCAACAACGTTGGAAGTTATGCTGTGGGCTGGTACCAACAGATTTCTCACGGTGCTCCCAAAACTGTGATGTTTGGAAATTCTCTGCCCTCAGGGATCCCTGACCGCTTCTCTGGCTCAAAGTCTGGGACCACAGCCTCCCTGACTATCTCGGGCCTCTAGCCTGAGGACGAGGCTGATTATTACTGTTCAACATGGGACTACAGCCTCAGTGCTCACACAGTGCTGCAGGCACATGGGGAACCGAGACAAAAACCTGCCCTTGGCCTGTCCCGAGGCTGATCACTCCATACTTGCCTATGACAAACAAAGAGGGTGCCTGTGGCTGATCGTACAGTTTAAGCAAGGGAGGAAGTGAGACTCAGCCACAGGCCCCTGCAAAGGGTCAGCGGGCCTTGTTCCCACATTGTCTCTATTTGAAAAAGTGAGATAAATTTCACTTCGTATAAAATGTACAATTAAATTGTCTTATTGTGTTTACAGAATTATGCATCTATCACCATAATCTAATTTTAAAACGTTTTCATCACCCCACAAAAAAACCCCCACAATTAGCAGCCACCCTTCACCCTTTCTCCCCAGCCACTGGTCATTGCTAAAGACTTTCTGTAAAGAACATGCATTTAAAGACCTAAGAAACTCAGTGATGCCAAACAGCTAGGTTTTTCAAATGCCCAAGCATGTAATAATAGATTACTGAAACCAAAGATAAAGACACAATTATGAAAGCAGACAGAAAGCTTTATAATATATACAGAAAATCAACAATTCAAACAATGAGAGGTATTTTATGAGTATACATTGAGGCCAAATGGCAGTGTTATGTTCTTACAAAGTCAAAAGAAAGAAAGAAAGAACTGTTGAGTCATAATGCTATATCCAGGTAAAGATTTTTTTTTTTTAAAAAAGGTAAAAAATAAGACTTTGTCAGATGAAGAAAACCTGAAAGAATTCATCTAAAAAAAATCAAAACAAATCAACTCTAAGAGAAAATTTTCAGGTGGAAGATAAATGATAATGGAAACATTGAACCCAAAGAATGCAGGAAGAATAACCAATAAATATAGTAGTAAAAGACCAAATTTTTAGCTCTACAGTTCTGGAAAATATGCATATCAAAAGCTAAGTTATAGCATTTTTGATATAATTTCTACTTATGAAAAATATTATATATACATATATACACATATATACATATATATACACACACACACACACACACACACACACACACACACACACACATATATATATATACATGAAACTTCAACCAAAAGAAGGAACTGTAAGGGGTCTACATGACTGGGAAAATATTAGGCCTATTATTAAATCTAAATAGATCATGAATAGTTACATGTACATGTTGTAATCTTTACAGCAACCAATGTAAAACTGTGCAGAGATACCAATATAAAATCAATATAAAAATCAAAAGAGCCCACTAAATAATACTCAAATAATCCAGAAGTAGCAGAAACAGGGTGGAGAGGAACAAAAGTTATAAAGAGAAAAAGGAAACTTACACTAAAATTGTAAGCTTAAATCCAACCATGTGAATAATTTCATTAAATGTAAATGAACTAAGCACATATATTAAACACAGAGTTTGTCACACTGAGAAAAATAAAAAACAAGAGACAAGCATGCGATTCTATAATAAACTCTAAATAGAAGTATATACACAAAAGTAAAATGATAACACAAATAAACACCTAGTTAAAATGGCATAAAGCATTACTTCAATGTTAATTGCATCATTCTGATTTTCTAAATTGCATATTGTGTTGTAAGATGCCACTTTTGAGGAAAACTGGTTGAAGTGTAACTAAACCTTTATTACATATTTTTTCACCTTAATGTGTATCTATAATTATGTTTACAGAAAACATTAAATGAAAGTAAAAGGATGGAAAAGTTTTATCATGTAATCCTGAATTAATAACACAAACATATAGTGTGGATATTTCTTTGCGTTTCTTTTTTGTTGTTGTCGTTGTTTTTTGAAAAAGTCTCATTCTGTTGCCCAGACTGGAGTGCAGTGGCACAATCTCGGTTCACTGCAACCTCTGCCTCCCAGATTCAAGTGATTCTCCTGCCTCAGCCTCCTGAGTAGCCGGGATACAGGCGCCCGCCACCACACCCAGCTAATTTTTGTATTTTTAGTAGAGATGGGGTTTTGCCATGTGGGCGAGGTTGGTCTCGAACTTCTGACCTCAGGTGATGTGTTCACCTCGGCCTCCCAAAGAGCTGGAATTACAGGCATAAGCCACAACGCCTGGCCTTTTTTTGTTTTGTTTTGTTTTTGAGACAGTGTCTCACTCTGTTGCCCAGGCTGGAGTGCAGTGGTGCAATCATGGCTCACTGCAGCCTCAAACTCCCAGGCTCAAGCAATCCTCCCACCTCAGCTTCACAAGTAGCTAAGCCTACGGGCACGCACCACCATGCCTGGCTAATTTTGCTTATTTTTTGTAGAGACAAGATCTCACTATGTTGCCCAGGCTGGTCTGTAACTACTGGGCTCAACTGATCCTCCTGCTTTGGCCTCCCAAATTGCTGGAATTACAGGCATAAGCCACCACACCTGGCCCAGTATGGATAATTCATGGGTAAAAAATGTAATACTTGAAAAACAAATTAGATGTTTTCTTATTATTTCCACATAGCAGAGTACTAACTGTAGGACATTGGGATGTACTTTTGAATAAGAAATGAAGGTTTAAAAAAAGATAAAATAAAACAAAATAAGTGCCTAAAACTGACTGGTGAGGGGTTTACCCAATGCATGAGCAGTAGAAAGAATTTAATTTTTTGCATCCAGGATACTAAAAAGTGGAAAGATAGATTTCTTTTTTTTCCTGTTTTACTTCTTTTGGGTTGCTCTATTTGATCTAATTAAAAAGCCTATTACTCCTATGCTATGCTGATGGAAGAGAAGTCTTCTCTAACTTAGTCCCAGTGAGATTGCCTCCTCTGGGCCAACAATGCTCATCTAGAACTTGGAATTTCGATAAATCCATTCTGAGGTGATGAGCAGCAGCAGCACCAGAAAAGTTGATCCAGGCCATCTAGGACCCTCCAGGGAAGGGCTCAGGCCTGTCAAAGAGGCCTGATAGAAACTGGGGCCTGCAGTCAGTCAGGGACATTGAAGCTCTCCTGACACGGTCCCACCAGCTGGGAAAACACTCGGGGTCTCCCTCGGGTTTGATCAGATGGCAAGTTCCCCATTCCCTGATTGGCCCAAAGCTTTGACCTGTTGGACCCGGGGCCTATCAAAGGCCAGGTGTCCTCTCCCCATTGGAAACCTCCCTAGGCTCAACTCTTCTCTTCTCATTCTCCTGCTGGCCTGGGAGCATCCAGGCCAAGGGGTGAGGTGGGGACAGCCCTACATTAAGTTTTTATTTCAAGGTAGAAAATCTGTCCCCTTGATTGTTTGGGAAACTATAAAAAGACTAGGGCAGCTCAGGGTCTAAAATACAGCTTCAGGGAGTACAGAGTTAGAGTGCAGAAACTTCAATTCCATTTACTCTCTAGCAATTTACCTAATATCAAAACATACAGTTATGTTATGTTTACAAATATGCACGCACCTCTATTAATATGTGTTCATAAGTACATACACATGCACCATTACGTTTACACATACATGCATGTAACACCAACTGATGTAAAAATCATTGTTTTATGTACTCAGTTTTCCTTTGAGTTTACCCTCTTTTCTCTACTTTTTAAAATATTTATTTCTAATTTGGGGAGCTACTAACTGAGATTATTTTTCATCTCACTGAAAAACAGTTTTAGAATTTCCTGTAGAGCAGTTCTGCTGGTGGCAAATTCCATCGGGTTTTGTCTGAAAAGTAGCCATTTTCTCCTATTTTTTCTGTTTATTATATAGAAAGATAACTTATATAAAGTAAAATTCACAGGTCTTAATTATACAGTTTGATGGTTTTTACAAATGCAGATGCTCATGTAGCCAACAGTCCGATCCATTCTCACAACATCTCCATTACTGCAGAATGGAGACATTCTGTTCCAGTCAATGTAAATTATCCCATTACACCTACCAAATAGAACGTGTATGAGAGACACCTTTCTCCTGAGGACTTTTGCAAAGTGGGGTGGATCATGTGTCCCGCTCCCACTGAAAAGGGCTAAATGGAAAACTAAAGTCTGAAATAAAATAGGAGGCTGCCCTGACGAGGGGTCCCACTTTGCCCTTGGACAGAGAACAGGCCGTGGTCAAGGCCCTGGTCCGGGCAGAAGCCTCTGTCAGGACCCACTGGCATCTGGTCACAGACACGATGGACCTGGGCCTAGGCAGAAGGGGGTGCTGTTGGTCTGCTGCTGAGGGCTCTGTGGGTTTCTCAGCTGGGAAACCAAACACTTGAACTTGGTCTCCACGCAGGGTTCACTGGGGCCAGCAGCTGGGCTCTCTCTGCACCCTTGGAGAGCCTCAGGCCAGGCCCAGCCCAGGTAACCCCTCCCAGAAATGTCACCCCACCACTGGGACTGACACTCAGGCACACGGAGTGATTTGGTTGGGCAGAGGAAGAGGAGCACATTTGCATGAAGGGCCCCTCTCTCTCCTCTGGGACTACAGGGTGGGTAAGAAATACCTGCAACTGTCAGCCTCAGCAGAGCTCTGGGGAGTCTGCACCATGGCTTGGACCCCACTCCTCTTCCTCACCCTCCTCCTCCACTGCACAGGTCAGGATGGCCCTCAGCACCCTGACCTCCAGCTCACTGATACCACCTCCCAAACTTATGCCAGGAATGTCCTTCCCTCTTTTCTTGACTCCAGCCGGTAATGGGTGTCTGTGTTTTCAGGGTCTCTCTCCCAGCTTGTGCTGACTCAATCGCCCTCTGCCTCTGCCTCCCTGGGAGCCTCGGTCAAGCTCACCTGCACTCTGAGCAGTGGGCACAGCAGCTACGCCATCGCATGGCATCAGCAGCAGCCAGAGAAGGGCCCTCGGTACTTGATGAAGCTTAACAGTGATGGCAGCCACAGCAAGGGGGACGGGATCCCTGATCGCTTCTCAGGCTCCAGCTCTGGGGCTGAGCGCTACCTCACCATCTCCAGCCTCCAGTCTGAGGATGAGGCTGACTATTACTGTCAGACCTGGGGCACTGGCATTCACACAGTGACACAGGCAGATGAGGAAGTGGGACAGAAACCTCAGCCTGCTCAGGGTCTTGTTATATGACAAGTTTTAAATTTTCAAATATGTTTTATATGTACACACTCCACTTGGAAGCACCGTCTGGTTTAAAATGTTTCTACTCTCAATTTCTCATTCAAGTTTTCTGAAGTCTCAGGAAAACTAAAAACAGAAACAAAAATATCATGATGACTATGAAATATTACCTAATTTTCCAAATATGCTGAATTCAGTGCCTGTGGAGCTAACCATTTTCTCTTGACAGAAGAAAAATGAGCCTTAGAAATTGTTTCCAAATCCTGAAAGAGTCATCATTCCATGTACTCAGGACAGATTTAGAGAGTGCTGACCCTGCCCTTTGAAAGATGTTATTTGCCTCTTAGTGCCCAAATAAGGAAGGATAATTAGGAATCAGAAGCCTACCTAGGGCTCCCCTCTCTCCTCTCAAAATTGCACTTGGTGTCATATTGCCCTAGAATTTATGCCTGGTGCTGGCAAATATTTTTAAATTTATTTTTTAATCTTTTCCTTTTCTGCAATCAAATTTCTTGAGGGGCTGAGAAGAAGAAATAGGCCCAGAGAGAAGCAAGGCAGTCTGGGTGCAGGCTCTAGACAGCCCAGGGAGAAGAAAGAGGGAGCAGCTCCCTGTGTCCTGGAGGGAGCCCTGTCCCCATTGGGCTTCCTGCTCTGATGTCCCCTAGTGGAGGCTCCTCAGGGAGTCCAGCCTCCCAGAACTGCCCTATAAACCTCACAGTGAGCTAAGCAAGTATATCCAGGAAGGAGGGTCTGTGGAGATGTGAGACTAAGGTGTGTTATGGCCTAAACACTGCCCATCTCCATCCTTCTTGGGGATGACAAAGTGAACAGTGGAGGAGACAGGATACATGGGTGCATCTGGACCTCAAGCAGTAGGCTGTTCTGTGGTCTGTCCCTAAATCTTGTGCTGGAGACCCCATACGAGAGCCACTCCCTGACCCTGGGCTGGAGCCCTCTACCCCCTGCTCACAAGACCAGCAGCTGTTTCCTTATAGGCCCCCAGGGAGCCACAGAACAGCATCAACCAAGACCATCCTCTTCATGTGTCAGCTTTTCAGGGAGGGATCGAAGTCATGGCCCAGGAAAGGGCTTGGACAGCCCAGGGGAGGAGGCTGGTTGGTATGAAGGATGCCCTCCTCACCCTGAGCTGCTGGAGGGAGTACAAGGGACTTGGAGAGCCCAGGCTCAGTTGATGATCCTCAGGATGTAGAGCTATGTATGGGTCTCCACTGTGGTCTCTCCCCCGCCTTCTCCTTCACTGCACAGGTGGCTAGGGCTCAGTGTCAGGGCTGGTGATCAAAAGACCAAGGTTTATGCATGTGTCTCTGTCCACTGACCCACCTCTCACCCTGTGTCTGTCTTAATGTCCAGCGTCCTGAGCCCAGCCTGTGCTGACCCAGCCACCTGCAGTGCATGCATCTGTGGGGCAGGTGGGTACCAGCTCCTGCACTAGAAGCAGCAGCAATGTTGGGCACGGGCATGTGCTCTGGTACAAACATGCCTCCGAGAGACCCAGAGCTCCACATATATAAAAGCAGTCATTGACCCTTAGGGGCATAGGCCCAATGCTGAGGCTCCAGGTTGGAGAACATGGCCTCTCTGAGCATCTCTGGACTCCAGGCAGAGGAAAAGGCTGATTTTTATTCTCAGCTTGGGACACAAGCACCAAGGCTCAGGCAGTACTTCAGGCCAGTGGGGAAGTGGGAGAAAAAGCTGCTGCCCATCCAGCAATGGAGCTTCTCTGTGCAGCCCCCACTTCTTGGGCAAGTCAGCTGATTAACGTTGCTTTTCATTTGTTTAGTAAAAATTTAGATTTTAAAACTCACTCCAGTGAACGCAGTGTGGAGAATGTGTTTCTGTCCTCTCAATTCTACCCTCACACCCAACCCTTGGCAGTAACAAATTGTCGTATTGTCTCATATTAAGAGAAATCCCTCAATACCAAGATCAGGCTGTCCTGGAAACCAAATCCATAATGGGTCAAAACAGGACCAGGGTCATTGTGTCTGACTCAGGATAGTCGACTCCCAAAGGTCTGTTTATCCACCTCATTCACTGAGAAGCTACTATGCACCAGCCTCAGATCCAGGGATTCAAGGTACATGATGAACAAGAGAGGAAGGGGCCCTGTCCTCATGGAGCTGACACTGAGTGGTGGAACAGATAAGGCAATCAAGTAAAAATGTCAATGCGACAATATGATGTCATCACACAGTGAGGAGAGCTCAGTTGGGGGTAGAGGAGCCATCAGAAGGTTGGGCAAGGAAGACACAGGATCTGACTCAAGTTTATGAAGAAAAGTCCAGATGCCTCAAAGAAGATGAACAAGGAGACAGCAAGCATGAAGGCCACGGGGCCAGTTGGGGTCATTGGAGAGAAAGGTCAGGTCTAGCCTGTGTTTGTAAGAGGAGGGACTGAAGCCTGGGTGAGGAGAGAGGGCTCAGGAATAGCCTTGGAAAGTGGAGGGAGTGGATGCGAAACCCCTGCTGAGGGGGCCTCCATGAGCAATGAGGCTGGGGGAGGCCCTGAGCTAATCACCATGATGGAAACTCAGACAACAGCCTCCCAGCCTCTTTCAAAGTTGTCACAGGACGCTTTTCTCTCCAAATGGCAAGGGGGGAATCCCACTATGAGTTTTATTTGAGATGTCTCTTCTCCATGTCCTGTCCTGTCCCTAGGCTAAATTCCCATGCGCAAACAAGATACTGCTCAGTCTCAGGTATCACATTCACACACAAATGCTCCAGAATGAGGGAATGCACTCTGACCAACCCACCAGGAATTTTTGCCTTTGAGAATACTAGATCAGATCACTCACACCATCTCCCCTGACACCATCATGTTGACCAGTGGGTTGTCTGATCGGTTTGGACAGCAGAATGCAGATGCCTGTAGTTGCAGCTGGGGTCAGTCACATGCTCATCTCATGGCTGGGAGACTTTGGGTCCAGACAACAGGAAAAAAAGGAGGTTTGCCTACGTGATCCCACAATGTGCATCACTCTGTCATCCACTCCCATCCTTAGTTCATGTTGGGTTTTGTCCTGTAGATGCTGGGACCTGGACAGGATCACAAGCCAGGCGATTTCTGGCTCACAAAGTTACAGCTCAAGCTCCCTGATGTTGCTGACATTCTTCCCACAGACCAATTTTAGACAGACACACTATTGCCATGCAGGCACTGACCTGAGATACAGGTAGTCTCAGGAGAGGGAGGAAGCAGATACACATCCCCATGATGGCCTCCTTGTCCCAGAGTGGGTAAGAAAGGCAAGGAGGCCAGGAAGCCACAGGAGTGGCCACTGCCCACCACCTGTGCACCTGTCCCTCCCTCAGGTGAGAAGCAGCCTGAGGGTCCAGCACCTGCACCTTTCCCAGTGCCCACACACTTCCAAGTGGGGCCTCCTTCTGCTCACCTCCCAAAGCTACTGCTTTCCGGGACATCTGTGTCATTGCTGAGAGTCTACTTTTCATGGGGCCCTTGTCCCAGTGGTCTGGGATCAGTGTCAGCCTGTTTAATTCAGCACTGTCTCTGTCCTTTCAGGACACCAATCTAGCTATTAAAGCTCTAATTGAATTCTCCTTTTTTTGCCCTGAAACTTTAGACTCTCCTTCTCAGTGTCTCTCTAGAATATTTTGTCTCTATCCAATAAGATCAAGTTATGTCTTCAGGCCTACAGCCACTTCTTTCCCCAAATTCTGCACCTTCTTTTAAGTTCTTATTCCCTCTTATGGCTTATTTTCCACTAACTAGCTAATGATGCCAAAACATTTATCTATTTTACCTCCTTCAGGAATAAAAAAGAAAAGCATTTATCAATAGCCCATTGTCACAAAGAAAGGAACAGAGGAGAGATATCTTCTAGAAAAATACAGGTGAACAAGGAAAAAGTTTTAATTCCTCATAGGAACTACTCCATGATCCAAGAAAATAAATTCCAGAGATTCAAGAGTTCACTCCTTAGAAACAACAGTGTAAATACAAGGTAGTAAATTTTCTTGGTTTTCTCAATGAATAACCTCAAAAGGGTTAGAGTATGATTATAATAAAAAGATTATACATTACTTTCAAAAATGTAAGATGAACATGTCAAAAATTTTAATCGACTCATATTTCTGAAAAGACCAGTAAAATGGTGAATAATTTTAAAGAACATTTTAAAACACACAGAGTTTCTATTCCACGAGGGCAGGACCTGTGAGGATAATTTCCTGTGTTAGAGAAACACTGTCCTAAACAACAATAGTAGAACTCTCTAAGCTCTGAATTTATCTTCTCCTGTAAGAAAAAATCTACAAAGTGACAGGATCCAATTTATATAAAATATCTAGCAAAGATTTTGGACATTCCCATCTCACACCTCCTCTCCAGGCTCTCCTCAAGTGAAATCTACTCTCCTTCTGCCCGTGTTCTCACCTTTCTGCACGCTTCCGCCTGCTGACACATGGCTTCTCCTGCTTTCCTTTCCAGTAGCCCTAACAGATCAGGCCCTGCCAGTAAGTAAGCTCCTGGCCTGAGGGAACCACATCGCATGTTACTGGATTTCTGAGGCACTTGCCCTGCCAGGGTCTCTCTTTCTGAATCACAATCCCTGTATTCCTGGGAATTCTCTTCTCCTGGATTCTGTTATTCAGCTCTGTGTTTCTCCCTCCATATCTACTTTGTGAATTTCTCTACATCTTCACCTGAATCCCAGGAAGCCTAAGGACATGCTGATGCTTCCTCAGTTCTCATGTCACACCCTGTTCCCTCCTCCTCTATGATCCCACCAGGTCATCCTGCATCAGAACCCTGAGTGCGGCAGAGGCTTCTCTGGCCTCCTTACCCCCAGTGGCAGAAGGGAGGAAGGGAGGTCCCCTGTGGCCTCCCATCCTTGTGCTCCCATTAGGGTCAGCATGAAGCAGGAATGAGGCTGTCTATATCATCATGGCATTCCCAACACTAAACTCTGTGCCCAGGAGAAGGTAGGCACTCAATAACTATTTGACAATTGAAGAACTGCCTCTCACCACACTGGCCACATTGTACTGGACTCAGGATGGGGCTGAACTGGAAGAGTCAGCTGTGAACCTGCTCTTGTCTCTGCCCTCAGCCTGAGAGCTGAAGGGGAACCTAACAGGGAGAGCACCCATGGGCAGGGAAGGTACATTAGTAGCCTCATCCTGTTTGTGAGGCTCTGCTCAGCCTTGGGAATCCCTGTTTATTCAAGGCAGAGAAGAAGGAAAACAATTAACCAGGCCTGGCCAACAGGCAGCATCTACAAGGCGATGAGTTGAGGGCCAGATGGTCAGAGTTGGTTCTGGCATCTCTCAGGCGCCTCTCTCCATGTTGCCCTTTTTTGCGATCCAGGGGTGAGGTTTCACCCCACTGAGCCCCCACCCATCTAGATGGGCTCTGCTGAGAGAAAAACCCATTTTCTAGATGAGCCCACTGAGGCTCAAGGGGCACATGTACTTGGTGATGCACCTTCTTCCTTTAGAGACTGGTCAGCCTAGAACACCCCCTCTCGAGTGGCCTTCTGGTCCCTCATCTGCCCAGCCCCACCCAGATCTCCATGAACCTGAGCTGTGTGAGAGAAGAGGGAAGAGTAGGAGGAAGGGAGGAGTCCAGGCCATGGTGTGGATGTTGCAGGAACCCCTGGGTCTTCAAACTGAGGCTGGACACCGCAATGTTCTTTTTATCTCCCTCAAATTTTTTGGTAAAATGTCAGTGCTTGTCTGGTCCATTATTCAAACCTGATTCTTTTTACCACCATCATAGGCATACATTTCTGAGTCTTCATCCCAGAGAACAGCTCCTCTCTAAAGGGGAGGTGTAGGGTGGCTGTGAGTTCTGAGTTTGCCCCTGGGGAGGAAGCACCTGCTCCACCATGTGCACAGGCCTGTAAGCAAGAGTCCAACTTTGTTGAAATAGGAACCATTTGAGTTTGCTTCAGGCCTTGCTGACCTCAGAAGTTTCACATTGTCCCCTGGTGACCTCTTCACAATGATGTTAGTGGTGATGGAACAATGCAGGACAGAAGGCCTTCCTTACTTTCTTTCAACAAAAAAATGGTGTATTATCTAGCCTGACAGTACCCTAGCTGGAGACAGTGAAAATAATTTACATTTTAAACAAATAATGTTTGTTATTTTTTCAATCTCATGAGTGTAAGATAAAAGTAATCCTATCTCAATACCAAAACAAACAAACACGAAAAACCAGAATCTGAGGAGACTGAAGTGTGTTGATTGAGAGACAGTAAGAATAACTTAGTCCAGCTCCCCTGCCTGGCTGTGAAATCCAATGATCCAGTGTCCCACTCTACAGACAAACCTACAGGTTTTTCACCCAATGCAGACAGAAGACATGGTATTGAATTCATGAGTCCCCGCTGAGAGTCACAATAGGCTGGTGTGGCACAATGCATTATGGGAGGCACAGAATGAAGGGACAACATGTATTCAGTGGATTCTGCTCTCTTATCAGACTGAGTCACTGCACAGACTGCTCACAGGGTTTCTCCACTGCATTCTGCCTCACATAAATAAACACCAAGAGCCATAGGATATTAGTCAATTATATTTTCTCCTTCAGTGTCATACTTGAGATCTCTATCATATTTGAAATTGGACTCAGAGAGCTTCAATTATTTTGTTGCAATATATATTATCTTTACAAAAATTACCTAGACTACTGTGTTTCTGAAAAATAAATCTTACAATTTATTTTACTTCCATGATGGTATTAAACTTGAATGGTTAGCATATCAGCCAGTAGTGTGTCTGGGGCTGGACAACAGAGAGTGTTTGGGGTCCATTCCTGAAGGGTGTGTGTGTGCTCAGAGCTGGCATCATCCACCTATTCTGACTCCTGCCCTCTGCTAAGTCCTCACAGCTGTGAACTTCCAAACCCCTGGGACAACACAGCTCCACTCCTGCTCATTCCCCTGATCCCCAAAGGCACAGGGCCCTGATCCTGACCCAAACACAGAGTGGGATCAAAAAGCTGAGAGGTTGTCACTTGCATAGGTGGATTTTTTTCCTCAAAGAGTATAAAGAGAGGGAGAAAGATTGGGAGAAGCTCTGCGGTAGCTGTAGGCACAGAAGGCAGGAATCAGGCCAATCTCCACCATGGACTGGTCCCCTCTCCTCCTCATACTCCTCACTCACTGTACAGGTGACTAGACACAGGCCCAGGGGAGGAGCCCTGGGAAGCCCAAGGGACTCTGCTTTCTCATCTTGTCTCTAGAACAGTATCACCACTTCTGTGTCTCTTCCACTTCCAGGGTCCTGGGCCAAGTCTGTGCTGACTCAACCTCCATCAGTGGCAGGGGCCCCAAGATAGAGGGTCACTATCTCCTGCACTGGAAGTGCCACCAGCACTGGGGGTGGTTTTCATGTTAATGAGTACTAGCAGCTCCCAGGAATGGCTCCATAGCTCCTCATTTGTGAAAACAGCCATTGGCCTTCAGGGTTCTGTCCTGGTTCACAGGCTTCGCTGAGCATTTCTGGGCTCCAGTCTGGGGATAAGGCTGACTATTTTTCTTTATCTTGGCACACAAGCATTAATGCTCACACAGAACTGTAGGCCACCGGGGAAGGAAGACAAAGATATGCTGTCTTTCCAGTGACAGAGTTTCCCTGTGCAGCCCCCAACCCATTCACCAAATAAGTGCTTAACTGTGATTTTTTTTGGTGGACAAAATGTGGAGTATGAGAAGCACTGAAGCAAACATGGTCTAAATAATGTTTCCCAGTCCTCTCTCAATTCTACCCCCATATCCAACCCTTGGCAATAATAAATTGTCATACTGTCATATATTGAAATAAATATCTATATTAGTCCATTCTCACATTGCTATAAAGAACTACCTGAGACAGGGTAATTTATGAAGAAAGGCTCACAGTCTTTAATTGACTCACAGTTCTGCAGGCTGTACAGGAAGCATGAATTGGAGGCCTCAGGAAACTTACAATCATGGAGGAAGGACGAGGGGAGCAAGTACATCTTGATATGGCAGAGCAGGAGAGAGAGAGAAGGGGAAATACTACGCACTTTTAAACAACCAGAACTCACAAGAACTCACTCATGATAGTGAATCTTAAGAACAGCAAGAAAGAAATCTGCCCCCACGATCCAATCACCTCCTACCAGCCCCTCCTCAGCATGAGATTTGGGTGGGGACACAGAGCCAAGCCATATCAATTCCTCAATACCAGGGTCAGGCTTCCCTGGGAACCAAGTCCATCATGGATCAGGACAGGACCAGGAACACAGCACCCACTGTGTCTGACCAAAGAGCCTCAACTGCCAGACGTCTGTCCATCCACACCATTCAATTAGCACCTACTATGTGCCAGCCTTAGGTCTAGGGGCTCAAGAAACAGGGTGGACAAGACAGGAAGTGTCCCTGTCCTCATGGACCAGACACCATCTGGTGGAAGAGATGAGACAATTGAGTAATAATATCAATACAATAAGATGTCATCACTTAGTGAGGAGAGGAGAGGAGAGCTCAGTAATGGTGGTAGAGGAGCCATCAGAGGGTTGGACAAGGAAGACAGAGGATCTGAGCTAAGTTTGTGAAGAAAAGTCCAGATGCCTCAGACAAGATGGACAAGGAGGTGGGAAGCATGATGGCTGTGGGTCCAACTAGGGTCACTGGGGGAGACTGTTTATACCCAGCATATGTTTGTGGGGAGGAGGGACTGAAGCCTGGGTGAGGGGAGAGGGCTCAAGGCTGGCCTTAGGACATGGACAGGATGGTATTGAGTCACGCTGCAGAAGGAGCCTTCATGGGCAAGGGGGCTGGGGGAGGCCCTGAGCTCATTACTCCAACGGAAATATCAAACTGCCTGTTAGCCTTTGTCAAAGGTATCAAAGAGACTTTTTCATTCAAGATGGCAAGAGAGGAATCTCCCTCTTAGACTTCTTTGAGATATTCTTTCTTCATGACCGTTTCTTGCCCCTGGATGAATGCTCACATGGGAGCAAATTACCTCCTCAGTCCCAGGATTTCAATTTGCACACAATCCCCCCAGAATGATCGAGACCTGCCATCCCTGACCCACTGATCAGGAATTCTGGCCTTCAGGACAACTTGACCAGATCAGTCACACCATGTCCCCTGACACCATCGTGGTGACTGGGGTGAACTGTCAGACTGGTTTGGGTAATACATGTCCTGTCCCTGGAGTTGCAGAACCTGTTCAGAAAGATAATGGTGTGGATGGAGGGAGGCTAATTCCAGCCACATCAGAAAGCAAGAAAGACATGGAGACCACCCTTGAGCTGGCACAGCATCCTTGGGTCTCACATGTGTCTCTAGCGACTGGAAAAGGAACTCAGATTTAACTAATTCTATTTTCTCATCTGTCACTCTCCCTTTCACTACTGACTCCTGAAGCCCCAACAAAAGCAGCACTATGGGATTATGGTCATGGAATAGAGGCCTTGCTGCTGAACTTTTCTTTTTTATTCTAAAAAGTACAACACAGATAATGCATATTAACTAAAAATTATAAAAATGTATTTAAATGATGTGACAATGAATGTATAAGGGGTTAATAGGAGAAAATAATAAACAATGTTAAAAAATACAAAATACCAATACACTATAAGAGTTATACTATGTCATGGATTGTATAAATCAGTATTGTAAAGATGGCAGTGTCCTAGGATTAATCCATCAAATTAATATAAGTGTAATTAAAATTTCAGTAATATTTTAGGAAACTGCTTAACTTATTTTAAAACTCAAATTGAAAATTGAGATAAAAATTACCTAAGATTATTTACCAAAAATTTGTAATGGAAGTGATACCAGATATTGAGTTATTTGACCAAGCAATATTAGCTAAAATCATGCATGATTGAGATCTTGACATTTACATAATTCTCTTAAAAATTAGAGTAGATAGGACTGATGATTTTTTATGTGACCTTGGAAATATGGCTAACTCTGTTCATAAAATTAAGTAGAGTACCTAATTCATACTTTTATTAAAAAATCCAAACAGATTTAAAATATAATTTAGAAAAGAAAAAGTTTAAAAACTTTAGTTTGGAAAAATAGAAATATTATTTTTATTTCATATGAGAAAGTACTTCTTAAATAAACCCAAAAGTCAATTCATAAAAGAAAATTTGAAGTATTTGGTTGCAATTATTTGAAGCTTTTTTTTTCCCAAAGAGGACCACAGTTGGTAAAAAGAGAGAAGGATATGCAAGAGTGGAAAGACATTGGCAAGGACAAAGTATTGCTGTTTGCATCCAGAAGACAACTTTGAAATGAGCGAAGACAGAAAAAAAGGAAACCCAGTAAAAATGTTCAAAGGACACAAACAAGCCATTCACGGGTCTCAAAATGAGAGCAGATAAATGTGACATCAAAATATGTTAAATTCCACCAGAGACAAAGAGAAGGGAATAAGATCTTCAAGTAGAAATTGTGGAATGAGCCAAGCATGTCTGTGCATGGGGAGCTTTCCAGGCCTTGCAAAAAGCAAAGAGAGTAAGAAAAGAGCAAGAAGGGAGTGAGAAGCCCTTTTGTAGAGAAACCAAGAAAAGAAAGTTTAGAGTGTTAGAGCCTGGGCCAGAAAGATAAAAGAGAGAGAAGAGGTAGATAATGTGGGATTTGAGTGACCTTTGATTCCTGTGGGCATACTTCTGAGTAAGACATGAAGCCACTGAGGGTGGAAAGCTGTTAAATGATATTGCAAATTTAAATAAAAAAAAAAGATGCCAGTGAGGATGTGGGGAATCCCAAACTCTCACTCACAGCAGGTTGTAAAAACAAATTCAGCTATTTTGAGCAAAGTCCCTCAGCACGAAGATACCTTAAGAGGGTGAGCATCTGTCTTGCACCAAGTCCACTCTGTACAGAGACACAAGGAAATGTTTATGAGAAGGTCCTTACTAGGGGAAAAGTATAAAAAACAAGCTAGTTGTCAAACACAAGGGGAATTTATAACCTGCAGTTAGCTGATGGAATGCTAACTAGTTGGAAGTAATAAAATAAAAGTATTATTATGAGTTTCAAAGGCAATAAATATATAAATAAAATTAAAAAGCCAAGAGCTAAAGAAATAAATTATTTTAAAATATGAACATGCACTATAATTTTTTTTAAGTTTATACCATGAGCTATTTGAAAGTTAGACTGGAAGCACATTATATACACTTATGTAAGAGCCTCTGAAAAAGATGGAAACACATACGAAGGTTAAAAGATAATTTAAAACAATAGAGAGTTATTTCAGTAGCTGAAGATATGAGTGCCAATAAAATGAATGCGATTCAACCCTGTGAGCATTGCTTTCATAAAAAAATTAAAACAGAAAATGAATATTAATAGATGACTTAAGTGAAATCACAATGTATGTGGTGATACAGCTGAAAGACAAACGTTTTGTTAGTAAGAAGGGCATCGCTAAGCCTGATGAGTGCTTTGTTTAGAATTCCCAGCTACCCTGGATTCCTCTCCAACCTCATGAACAGCTTCAGAAAAGAGGATCAGGACAACCGATGCTCCTCTCATTGAAATGCCCGGATGTGGCAGAGAGGCAGGAAATATTTTGGGTCTGAGGACAGTGAGGATCATCACTGAGATGATCCTGCCCAAATGAAAACCACTCAGGGCCTCCAAGGGAGTTCAGCCATCAGCTCACTGGACTAGGTTTGGGATGCAACACTGACCTGCCCCGACCCAGAGTCATAATGAGCCAGGCCACCTCCACCCACTGGGTCAGCTCATCTCCTCTTTATCTTTTCTCCTTCTGACCTGTGAGTACCCAGATCAGGGTGGACAAGTAAGAGACACATAGCAAGGTCTTATGTGAATACAGTGACTCTACCTTACGACGTTTTTGGGAGATACAAAGGTACTTAGAGGAGCTCAGTTTCCAAAGCAGTGCTCCAGGAAGCTGGAAATCTGCACTATGCTCTGGGCTCCTCTCCTCCATCTCCACCCTCACTATTCAGGTGAGAAAGAACCTTATGTCGGGGGATCCACACCCAGCTCTGCTCCATACCCCCTCACTCTCTGGCTCACTGGGTTGTAAACCTGCTCTCATGGCCCTCTCTGTCCCCCTGCAGTGTCTGTGGCCCAGGCAGGGCAGACTCAGCAGCTCTCTGTATCCAAGGGCTTGGGATAGACAACCACACTCACCTGCACTGGGGACAGCAACAATGTTGGCAAAGATGGAGCTGTCTGGCCGCAGCAGCACCAGGGCCATGCCCCCAAACACCTGATCAACAGGAAAAACAGCCAACTCTCAGGGATCTCAGAGAGATTCCCTGGCTCCCGGTTAGGAACATGGCATCTCTGACCATCTCTGGCCTCCAGACCAAGGACAAGCCTGCCTATTACTGCTCAGCCTGGGACAGCAGCCTCAGTGCTCACACAGCGCCTCAGGGGAAGTGAGACGAAAACTCAGGAGCTCCCCTAGCTTCACTCGGTATGCGGGGGCGTCATAGAGCACTGTTTAAACTAAACCAAAAATGACAAGGGCTGGTTTCCACGTGACAAAGTGTGTGCTATTCAAAACTATTAAAAATAATATCATAAGTTAAAATAACTAAATCTGCAGTATTAATGAATATTTATAGGAAACATTGTTGTGAATATATTTGTGGCTAGATACTTACATGAACATACACATGCATTAATCAGTAGTAAAAATGAATGCAAGGGTAAACTAAGGAAATATTTATTTTCCCAGATTTTCCTTCTCTTTTATTTGGAGATGCTGGACTAAATGCTCAGAGGTTCCGGTGGTCTGCCTTTGAGTGTGTGTTCAGCAGGGTCACCTCAAGCTTATCCCACCTTCTTATGACCTGGGCCCATGCCTGTCCTCTCATTAGAATCCCCTTTCCCTCTGTCACAGAGCTCTCTTTATTCCTTCTACAGACCCAGACTTGTTCCTCACACTTAGTTGAGGCTTCCTGGGCCCCACGTCCCTGTTTGCCCCCAACACCCACACAAGACAATGATCCCATGTGTGTGCTCTTGTTGTGCCCTTTCCTTATCCTCTGACATACCTCAGGCAGTATCTGGAAAGAACAAATGAAGTGGGAGCGTTAGCTTGTAGTTGAAAATGATTTTTGATATTTTGGGGAAAATATCTGGTTTAAAGATAGTTTTCCATCGAGATAAAAATGCATGTGTGACAGCACCACATTTCTAATGGCGGACCAAAGCCCCCCACATCTTTGCCCCCCACATGGCTCCAGGGACATTGACTTGTTAATATACAACCCAGGAGAGAGCACTGTGTCCTATGCAACTGCAATGCAGAGGCAGGTTTCTGCCCGCTCCTCCAATGAAGTGAGTAGCAACCCCAACCCCATCTTCACCCATCATTTAGATGACCCCCATACAACCACAACATAGAAACACATTGATCAAAGGGCCTTTTTCTCTTTGCAGAGACCCCTATTTGTTTATTTGGCATGTGAGATTTTAGACTTTTACCAACAATTAAAATATACTTTATTAGAAAAGTTACACTTCTTAAGAAACTCTGATTCTTACTGTGAAGTTAATACCTAATGCATCCTATAAGCATAGTAAGTGGAAAATTGTTCTGTAAGGAGAAGATTAATCAATGAAATAAAATACAAGTATTTGAGAGCAATCTAATAGGTAAAAGATTAGAGGACATAATTGTGAATGCCAGGTGCAATATAAAGGAAATGTGGGCCGGGCATGGTGGCTCAACCCTGTAATCCCAGCACTTTGGGAGGCCGAGGTGGGCGGATCACCTGAGGTCAGGAGCTCGACACCAGCCTGGCCAACATGGAGAAACCCCATCTCTACTAAATATACAAAAATTAGCCAGGTGTGGTGGTGCATGCTTGTAGTCCCAGCTACTCAGGAGGCTAAGGGAGGAGAATCACTTGAACCCAGGAGGCGGAGGTTGCAGTGAGCCAAGATCACACTATTGCACTTTGGCCTGGGTGACAGAGTGAGGCTCAGCCTAAAATAAAATAAAATAAAATAAAACAAAGGAAATGTGAATACCTAGAGTTGATTAAATTGTGGCCCCTCACCTTCAACACTCGAAAAGCTCAGAGTGGGTAGAAAAGCTTGTTGAGTTATCTTCTGATGTCATTGACAAGATAAATCAGGGACAATAGAAGGAATATGTGGAAAGAGGTGCCAGAGGCTAGAGGGGAAAGTGTGAAGTAGCCAGCAGAGAGGAGCCTGCTGGCTGACTACTTGTGTTAGTAGTAGCAGGTGGTGTTGACGCCATCTCCCAGGGGAAAACCCTGGGAAACAGGAAAGCTAAAAGCAGGCTCACCATCCTCATCCCTAACAGAACCACTGAAGTGAGCACACCAGAGTGTGGGGTTCCCTCCCGGCTCTTCAGATGACATTGTTATTTGGCACCAAGCTGATGTTAGTATGTTCTTTATAAATATATATTGCACAAAGAATTGCATAAAACCTTCAATAATTTAATGAGGACTTTCTCACTTAAAAAGGTTTTTATGTCTCTTCTGTGGCCCCCATAGGTAGCCGGGGATCCCTCACTGCATTTCAGTCTGACAACTCATCACATGGACAGAGTCCACCGTGTGTGACTGTGTGTCTGTGATAATAGGTGGCAAAGCTTCACTGTCATAGCCGCACCTGCTTCATTGCCTGGTGCTTGCCTTTCTGAAATAGGAAAATAAACTCTTACCAATGTGTCATAATTAGGTTCTATTTAAAATCTCCTACCAAAGTTAAGAGCAGCCTGCACAACTGGTCCACAAAATGAGAAACCTCCAATTTATTTGGACTCTTTTCTCTACCCTACCCAGTGATCCAACTGGTCACCAGCCATGTGGATTCTCTCTCCAAAACGCTTTTAAATTCAACTCTCCTGTTTACTTTCCATTCTCATGTCTTATGTCAAATATTCATGTCACTTACCTAGTTCTGATCAGTTCTCTGGCTCCATGGACAGCTCCCCCAACTCTGCCTCCCTGACCGTCTCTGGGCTGCGGATTGGAGATGAGGCTGACTTCTCCTGTCAGTCTCATGATGAAAGCTACAATCTCACAGTGCTGCAGGCCCATTGGGCAGTGACAGGAAAACTCCCCAGAGCGCCCTCACCCTGAGTCTGCCATCAGCCTCTCCCCACCAGCATGGGTTGCTTTTTCCTGTCCCCTGTTTGAATGTTTGAATTCAAATTTTCTGTTTATGTGTCTCTCTATTTTCTTTCCAAAATACACAACTTTTTCTTTCTTGTCTTCATGGATGGTTTTTCTGGTCCCTGTGAAATTACTTTATGAAGAATATTTAGTTTAAAACATGGCTTCTGAACATTGTCATTTTAACATTGTGCACTGGGTCATTCATTGTGTGAGGGGGGCTGTTCTGTTCATGGTTGGACATTTATAAGATTATTGGGACTCACACATCAGATGCCTATAGCACCCTAATTCCCAAATTCTAACAAACAAGCAAAAAATGTAGACATTGCAAAATATCCTAGGGAGACAGCACTGCAGAATCACCCTTGTCTGAGAACCACTGGATTAAAAGGACATGGTTTCACGTATTGGGCAGCCTTTTGTGTTGAACCCTCCTTATCCCATTCCACTGAATATAAGGCTACATGCATTATATCTCGATAGTTCCAAATTTCCTCTTAAACAAATGTGTGGGATACAACTCCAAAGGTTATGTTGACAGATGAATAATCCTCTGAACACCATTAGTTCAGAAAACCTGCTACCCAATGTACAGCATCTCTTGCTGACCAGAGTGTGGAGTGAAACATTTGACCAAACTGTGTGCATAATTGCTAATTCAAATTTTTAGGTAAAACACCTAAAACATAACACATTCTTCTCTACTTATCCTCTTAGGGGTTGCTTTTCAAGCATGGTGTACAAAATTATGACAAGGCCTCGTATGTGTGGAGTTTACATTTTAGAATGGGTAGACGACAGTAGACAAGAGCAGCCTCAGAACTGAGCAGTCAGTGAAGTCCTTTTTTTAGCCCTAGCGCTGGATGCAAATTTTACCAGCTGCCATTTGTGTTTTTGGGCTTGCTCCACCCAGTACAGTCCCCATGAACTGCATGTTGATATGTATATTTCAAAGTTAATTAATTAAAACTAAATAAACTTTAAAAAATATTCCTCAGCCACACCAGCTTCATTTCACCTGCCTCCTGGACTCATGCTCTCCATCCATGGCTCTCATGCTGGAGAGTTCAGACACAGGGCATCTCCACCATGGCATAAAGTTCTACTGCAGAGCACAGTCTGTGACAATCTATTTAACACTTCCTTAGGCCAGTTTCTTCATTACCTGTAATGGGGATATAGTAACACTCAAGTTCTCTTCACAGTCTGGAACACTATTCTCTGTGGGAGTATTACCTCGGCCCCTTCTTCCTACAGAACGGAGGAGTGATAATGTAACTAGTATTGGCCAATAAGATGAACAGAAATGAGAGGTGTAATTTCTGAGCAGTAGATGTAAGATTAGCCTGTGCTTTGTCAAGTTCTATCATCTCTGACGTAACACCCACAGTGTTCTCACAGAATTCTCTCAACCATCCTGCATCCTGGGATGAAGGTGAAGTGAACTGAAGCCCCAAGCATTTCAATCAGAGATGGGAATGGTGGAGGAGTGAGAAATATACATTCGTTGTGAGTCACCAAGATTTCTGTCAATTTCTCACTGCATCCAAGCCTAGCCAGTACTGAGTGCTATGGAAATTATAAGTGAATGTGGGGAGCCACAATGACAAAATTAACATCTATCTATAAATATATATAATATATATTAATTACATTATATCATATACTAATATTAATATATAATAAATATATAATATATAACACTTACATATTATATAAGTATATAATATATAACACTTACATATTATATAAGTATATAATATACAATAATTAATCTATATTACATATAATATATTAATATAAATATATATACATAATTTGATTTGATGCAATACTGTGAACATTTAGTAGACTACGGAGATTGCATGATGTTTCATTTTATTCATTGGCAAATATTTAATTAAGCTGTCACCATAATAAACATTAAAACACACAGAATTGACAAAATAATTCTCCTGAGCTGTGGATATACAAGTTAGACAACTGATTAGAAGCATAGGTTCACTCCTGTGCCATTTGTGGAATTTTTACAACTTATTTACTTTAAGTGATGATTTTAAGCATAATTGGTTTTTGTTCTTGCTTTTTATTTATTCAAGCAGAAGAAAGACACAAGAATGATAACCCACATACATACAGAGTAGTAGAATGGCAAGAGCTAATTATTCTCAAACACAAATTCTTAAAGATAAATGTAAAATATTTGAATTAAACATTTTGCTATCCAAAAAAAGGTATGCCGTTTTTTTCCTGAGTACTCCAGGGCAGGAAAGTATATTCATCAATCCCCCTGGTGTCCGCTTTCTTAACACATTGTTCATATTGGTATATATTTTTTTCTTATTACTTAACTTACTCATCCTATATATTGTGTTTCCTAAATATATTTCAAATTCATTCTCAGCCTTGTGATTTCCCTCGCCCTCATTATGTCCCATGTCCTGCTGGGGCTCCCCCATACCACCCCTCTCCTCATCTGTAATGCCCCCTCCCAGTTCCTGCCCTCCTGGGAACTGCTGTGCTCTTTTCTGCCCTGAGCCTTGTTACCTCCTTCTTGTACTACCTATTTGTCTCAGTGAGCTCCTCTTCCATTCTTCAAAGGCTCCAGAGCCCTAGAGAAGAGCATCATCTCAAAAAATTTCCCAAGAAGCTGCAAGTAATGAGAGTGTCTAAGACCACTCTTTCTGCTTTATGGCAATTTTATATTTAACGTGGTATTGAGTCTTGCTGAATTTTCAGTCTGAAGTCATAATGTGCTCAAATATACAAATTCCAGAGACACAGAGCAGAATGGTGGCTGCCAGGAGCTGAGGGGAGGAGGAAATGGGGAGTTGCTGGTCAACAGGTGTAAAGTTTTAGTTATGCAAGAATATGTTATAAAGATGTGCTGTGCAACACTTATCTAAATATTAATTATTAATCAAACAAAAAATTCAAAATTATTAACACACATTTCCCCCTGGGTTTACTGGACAGATGATTTTATATTTGTCTCTGCTAAGTAGACTAAGGTGTAAGGATTTGGCACGAAAGTTGTAAACCACAAACCCAGCCAAAAACAAAATATTCTTTATACAGTTTTTCAATAAATAAAATTAATTTAATATTGCTAGTTTAATAAAATAGCTGTGTCTTCTAAGTTATAGATAAATTTTGCATATTTTTCACTTTAAGGATCTTACTTAGGTAAACAACTGCATATACCAACTACTAATATTACTAAGAAAAAATGATTTAGAGAAATAAAAATAATTTTCTTGTGTCTCAGTTTTCACATATAATCTAAATAAATTTTTAAGTAACTAAATTAGATGAATATAAATGAAGTAAACACTTCTATCTAAACTTTTTGTATAATTTAAAATCTTAAAAAATAAATTAAATAATAGGTACTCTTAAAAAAGTGTAGGTCATTTAAAATTAAAAATATATATTTTGGATATAGTTATAAAAATATTAAAATAGTTCTCATGTATAAAAGATGAATTTATGAGAGACAATTCAAAGTTTCTTACATCCTAGGTTTTGAGTAAAAATTATTGTTAAAATAATTAAAAATTCTAATTAATATATAATTCAATATATAAAATAAGACAAAAATAAAAATACTAAATATATGTTTTTAAGTTAAAAAAGCAAAGTCATAAAATATATGCTTTATTAAAATAATTTTGCCAAGTTAAGATGTTATATAATGGTTACTTATAAAGCAATATAAAATAAATTAGAGAGATATAAAATATTATAAATATAGATATCTTTTTGTAAAAAACATTAGAACATAATTTTATATTGAACAATCTTATATAATTTTTGTCCTAAAATAAGATGATTTACTATTTTAAGAAGACAAATCAAAATGTCCCAACAAGTCTTAGTCTATGTAAATTATAATAAAATACATTTGGGAATTATGTCCCAACATATCTTACTCTATGTAAATTATAGTAAAATACATTTGGGAATTATTTAATAAAATTAAGTATAATTAACAGGACTATAATTTTAAAAATTATGTCTTCCTAAATATTAAACTTTAATATTGAAAATACACAAATACAAAACTGAATATTTTGATTTTCTATGTCCAAACACAGTTTTCTTAATATTAATTTACTCTAAATAAAAGAGTTAAACATTGATTTTTAATTTTAACATCTATTTCTCTTTAAAACTTCTCAAAATTACACTTCAAAAGTTCAAATTTTGTTAATATTTTCACACATAATTTACAGACTTTTATTGTCATACCTTTCAAAAAAATGTAATTTTTTTACTTCACTGGGACAATAACTCTTTTCTTTAACCTTTTTTTAAATTATTATACTTTAAGTTTTAGGGTACATGTGCACAACGTGCAGGTTTGTTACATAGGTATACATGTGCTATGTTGGTTTGCTGCACCCATCAATTCCTCATTTATATTAGGTATTTCTCCTAATGCTATCTCTCCCCCAGCCCCCCACCCCCAAACAAGCCCTGGTGTGTGATGTTCCCTGCCCTGTGTCCATGTGTTCTCCTTGTTCAACTCCCACTTATGAGTGAGAACATGCGGTGTTTGGTTTTCTGTCCTTGTGACAGTTTGCTTAGAATGATGGCTTCCAGCTTCATCCATGTCACTACAAAGGACATGAACTCATCCTTTTTTATGGCTGCATAGTATTCCATGGTGCATATATGCCACATTTTCTTAATCCAGTCTATCAGTGATGGACATTTGGGTTGGTTCCAAGTCTTTGCTATTGTGAATAGTGCCATAATAAACACACACGTGCATGTGTCTTTATAGTAGCATGATTCATAATCCTTTGGGTACATACCCAGTAATGGGATGGCTGAGTCAAATGGTATTTCTAGTTCTAGATCCTTGAGGAATCACCACACTGTCTTCCACAATGGTTGAACTAGTTTACAGTCCCACCAACAGTGTAAAAGCGTTCCTATTTCTCCACATCCTCTCCAGCATCTGTTGTTTCCTAACTTTTTAATGATCAACATTCTAACTGGTGTGAAATGGTATCTCATTGTGGTTTTGATTTGTATTTATCTGATGACCAGTGATGATGAGCATTTTTTCATGTCTGTTGGCTGCATAAATGTCTTATTTTGAGAAGTGTTTGTTCATATCTTTTACCCACTTTTCAATGGGGTTGTTTGCTTTTTCTTGTAAATTTGTTTAAGTTCTTTGTAGATTCTGGATATTAGCCCTTTGTCAGGTGGGTAGATTGCAAAGATTTTCTCCCATTCTGTAGGTTGCCTGTTCACTCTGATAATAGCTTCTTTTGCTGTGCAGAAGCTCTTTAGTTTAATTAGATCCCACTTGTCAATTTTGGCTTTTGTTGCCATTGCTTTTGGTATTTTAGTCATGAAGTCTTTGCCCATGCCAATGTCCTGAATGGTATTGCCTAGGTTTTCTTCTAGGGTTTTTTATGGTGTTAGGTCTTTTTTTTTTTTTTTTCTTTGAGACAGAGTCTCGCTCTGTAGCCCAGGCTGGAGTACAGTGGCGTGATCTCGGCTCACTGCAAGCTCCGCCTCCCGGGTTCCTGCATTCTCTTGCCTCAGCCTCCCAAGTAGCTGGGACTACAGGCACCTGCCACTGCGCCCGGCTAATTTTTTTTTGTATTTTTAAATAGAGACGTGGTTTCACCGTGTTACCCAGGATGGTCTCGATCTCCTGACCTTGTGATCTGCCCGCCTCGGCCTCCCAAAGTGCTGGGATTACAGGCGTGAGCCACCGTGCCCGGCCATGGTGTTAGGTCTTCATTCAAGTCTTTAATCCATCTTGAGTTAATTTTTGTATACTGTGTAAGGAAGACATCCAGTTTCAGCTTTCTACATATGGCTAGCCAGTTTTCCCAGCACCATTTATTAAAGGGGGAATCCTTTCCTCATTGCTTTTTTTAGTCAGGTTTGTCAAAAATCAGATGATTGTAGATGCGTGGTGTTATTTCTGAGGCCTCTGTTCTGTTCCATTCGTCTATATATATGTTTTGGTACCAGTACCATGCTGTTTTGGTTACTGTAGACTTGTAGTATAGTTTGAAGTCAGGTAGCATGATGCCTCCAGCTTTGTTCTTTTTGCTTAGGATTGTCTTGGCTATGCAGGCTCTTTTTAGGTTCCATATGAACTTTAAAGTAGTTTTTTCCAATTCTGTGAAGAAAGTCAGTGGTAGCTTGATGGGGATAGCATTGAATCTATAAATTACCTTGGGCAGTATGGCCATTTTCATGATATTGGTTATTCTTATCTATGAGCATGGAATGTTCTTCCATTTGTTTGTGTCCCCTTTTATTTCATCGAGCAGTGGTTTGTAGTTCTCCTTGAAGAGGTCCTTCACATTCCTTGTAAGTTGGATTCCTAGGTATTTTATTCTCTTTGTATTAATTGTGAGTGGGAGTTCACTCATGATTTGGCTCTCTGTTAGTCTACTATTGGTGTATAGGAATGCTTGTGATTTTTGCACATTGATTTTGTATCCTGTGACCTTACTGAAGTTGCTAATTAGCTTATGGAGATTTTGGGCTGAGATGATGGGGTTTTCCAAATATACAATCTTGTCATCTGCAAACGGAGACAATTTGACTTCGTCTTTTCCCAGTTGAATACCCTTTATTTCTTTCTCTTGCCTGATTGCTCTAGCCAGAACTTCCAACACTGTGTTGAATAGGAGAGGGCATCCTTGTCTTGTGCTGGTTTTCAAACAGAATGCTTCCAGTTTTTGCCCATTCAGTATGATATTGGCTGTGGGTTTGTCATAAATAGCTCTTATTATTTTGAGATATATTCCATCAATACCTAGTTTATTGAGAGTTTTTAGCATGAAGGGCTGTTGAATTTTGTCGAAGGCCTTTTCTGCATCTATTGAGGTAATCATGTGGTTTTTGTCGCTGGTTCTGTTTATGTGATGGATTACATTTATTGATTTGCATATGTTGAACCAGCCTTGCATCCTAGGGATGAAGCTGACTTGATCGTGGTGGATAACCTTTTTGATGTGCTGTTGGATTTGGTTTGCCAGTATTTTATTGAGGATTTTCGCATCAATGTTCATCAGGGATATTGGCCTAAAATTCTCTTTTTTTGTTGTGTCTCTACCAGGCTTTGGTATCAAGATGATGCTAGCCTCCTAAAATGAGTTAGGGAGGATTCCCTCTTTTTCTATTGATTGAAATAGTTTTAGAAGGAATGGTACCAGCTCCTCTTTGTACCTCTGGTAGAATTCGGCTGTGAGTCTGTCTGGTCCTGGACTTTTTTTGGTTGGTAGGCTATCAATTATTGCCTCAATTTCAGAACCTGTTATTGGTCTATTAAGAGATTCAGCCTCTTCCTGGTTTAGTCTTGGGAGGGTGTATGTGTACAGGAATTTATCCATTTCTTCTAGATTTTCTAGTTTTCTTGTGTAGAGGTTCTTATAGTATTCTGATGGCAGTTTGTATTTCTGTGGGATGGGTGGTGATATCTCCTTTATCATTTTTTGTTGTGTCTATTTGATTCTTCTCTCTTTTCTTCTTTATTAGTGTTGCTAGCGGTTTATCAATTTTGTTGATCTTTTCAAAAAACCAGCTCCTGGATTCATTGATTTTTTGAAGGGTTTTTTGTGTCTCTATCTCCTTCAGTTCTGCTCTGATCTTAGTTATGTCTTGCCTTCTACTAGCTTTTGAATGTGTTTGCTCTTGCTTCTCTAATTCTTTTAATTGTGATGTTAGGGTGTCGATTTGAGATCTTTCCTGCTTTCTCTTGTTGGCATTTAGTGCTATAAATTTCCCTCTACACACTGCTTTAAACGTGTCCCAGAGATTCTAGTACGTTGTGTCTTTGTTCTCATTGGTTTCAAATAACGTCTTTATTTCTGCCTTCATTTCGTTATGTACCCAGTAGTCATTCAGGAGCAGGTTTTTCAGTTTCCATTAGTTGAGTGGTTTTGAGTGAGTTTCTTAATCCTGAGTTCTAGTTTGATTGCACTGTGGTCCGAGAGACAGTTTTTTGTGATTTCTTTTCTTTTACATTTGCTGAGGAGTGTTTTACTACCAATTATGTGGTCAATTTTAGAATAAGTGCGATGTGGTGCTGAGAAGAATGCATATTCTGTTGATTTGGGGTGTAGAGTTCTGTAGGTGTCTATTAGGTCTGCATGGTCCAGAGCTGAGCTCAAGTCCTGGATATCCTTGTTAACCTTCTGTCTCATTGATCTGTCTAACATTGACAGTAGGATGTTAAAGCCTTCCATTATTATTGTGTGGGAGTCTAAGTCTCTTTGTAGGTCTCTAAGGACTTGCTTTATGAATCTGGGTGCTCCTGTATTGGGTGCATATATATTTAGGATAGTTAGCTCTTCTTGTTGAATTGATCCCTTTACTATTATGTAGTGGCTTTCTTTGTCTCTTTTGATCTTTGTTGGTTTAAAGTCTGTTTTATCAAAGACTAGGATTGCAACCCCTGCTTTTTTTTTGCTTTCCATTTGCTTGGTAGATCTTCCTCCATCCCTTTATTTTGAGCCTATGTGTGTCTTTGCACATGAGATGGGTCTCCTGGATACAGCACACTGATGGGTCTTGACTCTTTATCCAATTTGCCAGTCTGTGTCTTTTAATTGGGGCATTTGGCCCATTTACATTTAAGGTTAATATTGTTGGGTTTGAATTTCATCCTGTCATTATGATGTTAGCTGGTTATTTTGCCTGTTAATGATGCAGTTTCTTCATAGCTTCAATGATCTTTACCATTTGGCATGTTTTTGCAGTGGCTGGAACCTGTTGTTCCTTTCCATGTTTAGTACTTCCTTCAGGAGCTCTTGTAAGGCAGGCCTAGTGGTAACAAAATCTCTCAGCATTTGCTTGTCTGTAAAATATTTTATTTCTCCTTCACTTATTAAGCTTAGTTTGGCTGGATATGAGATTCTGGTTTGAAAATTCTTTTCTTTAAGAATATTGAATATTGGCCCCCACTCTCTTCTGGCTTGTATGGTTTCTGCTGAGAGATCCACTGTTAGTCTGATGGGCTTCCATTTGTAGGTAACCTGACCTTTCTCTCTGGGTGCTTTTAACATTTTTTCCTTGATTTCAACCTTGGTGAATCTGACAATTATGTGTCTTGGGATTGCTCTTCTTGGGGAGTATCTTTGTGGTGCTCTCTGTATTTCCTGAATATGAATGTTGGCCTGCCTTGCTAGGTTGAGTAAGTTCTCCTGGATAATATCCTGAAGAGGGTTTTTTTTTTTTGGTTTTTTTTGAGACAGAGTCTCCCACTGTCACCCAGGTTGGAGTGCAGTGGTGCGATCTTGGCTCACTGCAAACTCTGCCTCCTGGGTTCCCACCATTCTCCTGCCTCAGCCTCCCGAGTAGCTGGGACTACAGGCACCCACCACCATTCCCGGCTAATTTTTCATATTTTTTGGTAAAGACAGGGTTTCATCATGTTAGCCAGGAGGGTCTTGATCTCCTGACCTCATGGTCTGCCCACCTCGGCCTTCCAAAGATCTGGGATTAGGAGGCATGAGCCACCGCACCTGGCCCTGAAGAGTGTTTTCTAACTTGGTTCCATTCTCCCCGTCACTCTCTGGTACAACAATCAAACATATATTTGGTCTTTTCCCGTAGTCCCATATTTTTTGGAGGCTTTGTTCATTTCTTTTCACTCTTTTTTCTCTAATCTTGTCTTCTTTGTTTATTTCATTAATTTGATCTTCAATCACTGATATCGTTTCTTCCACTTGATTGAATCGGCTATTGAAGCTTGTGCATGCGTCACGAAGTTCTCATGCCATGGTTTTCAGCTCCATCAGGTCATTTAAGGTCTTCTCTACACTGTTTGTTCTAGTTAGCCATTCGTCTAACCTTTTTCAAGGTTTTTAGCTTCCTTGCGATGGGTTAGAACATGCTCCTTTAGCTCAGAGAAGTTCGTTATTACCGACCTTCTGAAGCCTACTTCTGTCAACTCGTCAAACTCATTCTCTGTCCAGTTTTGTTCCCTTGCTGGCGAGGAGCTGTGGTCCTTTGGAGGAGAAGAGGCACTCTGTTTTTTGGAATTTTCAGCTTGTCTGCTCTGGTTTCTCCCCATCTTTATGGTTTTATCTACCTTTGGTCTTTGATGTTGGTGACCTACAGATGGGGTTTTGGTGTAGATGTCCTTTCTGTTGATGTTGATGCCATTCCTTTCCGTTTGTTAGTTTTCCTTCTAACAGTCAGACCCCTCGGCTGCAGGTCTGTTGGAGTTTGCTGGAGGTCCACTCCAGACCCTGATTGCCTGGGTATCACCAGCATAGGCTGCAGATCAGTAAATATTGCTACCTGATACTTCCTCTGGAAGCTTCGTCCCAGAGGGGCACCGCCTGTTTGAGACGTCTGTCGGCCCCTACTGGGAGGTGTTTCCCAGTCAGGTTGCATGGGTGTCAGAGACCCGCTTGAGGAGGCAGTCTGTCCATTCTCAGAGCTCGAACACCATGTTGAGAGAACCACTGCTCTCTTCAGAGCTGTCAGACAGGGACGTTTAAGTCTGCAGAAGCTGTCTGCTGCCTTTTGTTCTACTATGCCCTCCCCCAGAGGTGGAATCTACAGAGGCAGTAGGCCTTGCTGAGCTGTGGTGGGCTCTGCCCAGTTCATGCTTCCCTGCCTCTTTGTTTACACTGTGAGCTACTCAAGCCTCAGCAATGGCAGGTGCCCCTCCCCCCATCAAGCTGCAGTGTCACAGGTTGATCTCAGACTGCTGCACTAGTAGTGAGCAAGGCTCTGTGGGCCTGGGACCTGCTGAGCCAGGCAACGGGAGGGTATCTCCTGGTCTGCCGGTTGCTAAGACTGTGGGAAAAGCGCAGTATTTGGTCAGGAGTGTACCATTTCTCCCAGTACAGTCTGTCAGGCTTCCCTTGGCTAGGAAAGGGGAATCCCCCGACCCCTTGTGCTTCCCGGGTGAGGTGACACCCCACCATGCTTCAGCTCTTTGGGTTGCACCCACTGTCCAACTAGTCCCAATGAGATGAACCAGGTACCTCAGTTGGAAATGCAGAAATCACCTGTCTTCTGCGTCGATCTCACTGGGAGCTGCAGACCAGAGCTGTTCCTGTTTGGCCATCTTGGAAGAGACCTTCCCTGTGTATTCCGAGCCTTCTGCATTCTGCCATCACTGCAGCCTCCTCATGTTGGATGGACCTGATATTTTTGCTTTTCTAGTAATTCAGAAATCCTCAGTGGAAAGGCTGTTTATTAATATGAGTTATCTCCAGACAGGGCAAAGGTGTGGTCTATGGATGCTGTGGATTAGCAATGACCAGGCTCTCAGGTGACTCCACTCATGTGATTTTCACAGAAAGACTGCTGTCTGGCCAGTGAGCAGCACAGGGCACTGTGAGTCACACTCAGTGTCTGCACAGTGAAAACCCAAAACTTGCCACCCCCCCCAAACTCCCCAGGGCTGGGTAGATGGAGTCTGCACTCACTGACACAGATTTAGCAGCTAGATATGGTCCCAGCACCCCCACCTTCTTCCAAGTCCTGTGTGCCAGACACCCCGACAACAGCTCCCAGATACTGATAAATCCATCGGGAGAGTTGGGGGTAGGCAGTGGGAGCAACACACTTGCATCCATAACCCCTCCTTTGTGAGGCCACTGAAGGGGATAAGAGAGGCCTGGAGAAGCCATTCCAGCTCTGGACCTCAGGAGGGCTGTGTCCACTGTGACCTGGGCACCTATTCTCCTGTGATATTCTATCATTTCTCAGGTAGGGACAGGTCTCACGTCCTGGGGAAGCCCCCTAGCCTGAGTTCTTGCCCTGTGTTTCACTCTCACCCTTTGTCCTGATTCCTCACCCACGATCATCTTTGCTTGCAGGTTCCCTCTCTCAGCCTTTGCTTATTCAGCTGCCCTCCCTCTCTGCACATCTGAGAAATGCTATAAGACTTCCCTGTACCCCAAGTAGTGGCTGCATTGTTGGAGGCTGTCACATATTCTTGTACCAGCAGAAGTCACGGAGCCTTCCCCAGTATCTCCTGAGATACTACTCAGACTCAAGTAAGCACCAGGACTCTGGGGTCCCCAGTCACTTCTGTGAATCCAAAGATCCCTCGGGCAATGTGCAGGGATTCTGCACATTTCTGAGCAGCCTGAGATCAAGTCCGACTATTACTATTTTACATATCACAGCAACAGTGGCACTTTCACTGTGCTCCAGACTTACGGGGAAGTGAGATTAGAACCTCCCCTGCATTCTCTCTGCCTTGTGCAGGCAACAATACACTGTCTGGGACCGAGTGTGGCTCATCAGTAGCAGCTTTGTTGTTTGTATTTTTCATTCTTCAGTACAGGGTGGGACCTTTCTACTGGCCTCCATTAATAGTGAGAGTCAAACAAGACAGTCTGTGGGTGACTCCAAAGTCTAACTCAGGGTTTCCTTATGTTAGTTAGCTTGGACTACTCTTGGCTCCTCCCCAGAGATCTCAACTTCTCTGGAATTCTCCAGGTGCCACAAGCACTGATTTCAGTCTTGGCCTTGCACCTCCCCTGAGCAGCTTCTGACTCTCCTCTCATTACATCTCCATTTATGGCCTGTCACCCACTCAATGTGTTAAAAGGTAAAGCATTTTGCAAAGTACTTATCCTGAACTTTAGCCCCAAATCCACCCAGCTTCCCTAGCCCAGGCCAGCTCTGCTTCTTATGAGGCTGATGAGAGGTACAAGGGCTGCGACCCTTGCTGAGTCCATTCCTGAAAATGCCCCCAATAAAGCCTGATTAGTGCCAATGCCACAGGACATTGTTCTGTTTCCTTTGCAGGTGGTGCCCAGTGAGGAAAGTTCTTCCTCCTGAATATGAATATTTTGGAGCATGAAACAGCTGAGCTGATCTGGGGAGGGGAGGCAACCCCTTGTGATGGTGGTCAGATTGCTTGGTTGGGATTGTCACAGACCATGTGATAATGGGATTATATTGCATATCACAGATGCCCTGGACCCTCAAGTGTGCTGGGGAACTCTGGTTAAAGAATAGAAGTGATCCCTTTGTTCATATTCACTATGCTGGATGCCCTTTTGAGATCCCTGCAGGACGCTAACCCTCTGACTGCAGCAGCCTTGCCCTTTGATCTGAAGCTTTTATCATACATTGTCCTGCTCAGGGGATTTGGGTGGGGCGTTACTCCTATATATCATCACAAGAAAGGGATTCTCTGGAGACTAAATGCAAACTGGAATATCCCCTGGAGGCTGTCCCCCTGATTGGGAAATATGAAGAGACTAGGGGTGCTCAGTGTTTAAAATAAAACTTCAGAGAGTAGAGTCTGAGTGTAAACCCTTCAATTCCATTTAATCTCTACAAATGTATATAATGTCAAAACATAGTTATGTCATATATTTACACATGTGCACACAAATCTATTAATACATGTTCATAAGTTCACACATATGCTTTATGTTATACATATATGCATTTATACATCAACTGATGTTATTATAATCATAGTTTTACAGACTCAATTTTCCTTTGGGTTTTTCCACATTTCCCCACTTTCTTTAACACTTATTTCTTGAAAATTTTGGTGGCTGCTTACTGAGATTTTACTAAAAAAGAGCTTCAGAATTTCATTTAGAGTAGATCTTGTGGCAAATTCTATTTTTTTGATCTGAAAAAATGGTATTTTTTCTCTTTTTTATTTTTAAAACTTATCTTGAAGCATAATATGTAAAGTGAAATTTGCAGATCTTAATTGTAAATTTCAGTGTGCTTTTTATGAACACATATACTCATGTGCCCCATGCGTACTCACAACATTTCCATTGCTGCAGAATTAAAACATTTTGTTCTAGTCAATGAAATTATTCCATTACAGAATAGATATGTGTACCACATAGAATGTGTACCTGAGACACACTTCCCCTGGGGACTCCTTATAAAGTGCGGTGAATTGTGTGTCTTTTTTCCCATTGAGGAGGCCAGTGTGGAAAACTAAAGACTGAGATGATGTAGAAAACTGCCCTGAGAGGGAACCTCACTCTGCCCTGAGGTAGGGAGCCAGCACTGGTCAAGGCCCCGGTGGAGGATGGCAACTCTGTTGGGTCCACCTGGCCTCTGGTCACAGGCACGATGGACCTGGGCCTGGGCAGCAGGGGGCGCTGTGGGGCTGGCACTTAGAGTCTGTGGGGCTCTTAGCTGGGAAATGATACCTGGCCCTGGCCTCTGCCTAGGGCTCACTGGGGCCAGCAGCTGGGTCCTCTCTGGGCCCTTTGGGAGCCTCAGTCCAGGTACATCCCAGGCCTACTCTTCCCAGAAATGACCCAGCCACTGGGACTGCACACGGGCCCAGGGAGGGGCACGCTTGGGCAGGGGAAGAGGAGCACATTTGCATGAAAGGCCCATCTCTCTCCTCTAAGGCTAGAGGGTGAACACGAGAGACCTGCCGCGTGGCTTCCTCTGCAGAGATCCGGGGAGTCTGCACCATGGCCTTGACCCCACTCCTCCTCCTCATTGTCCTCCTTCACTGCACAGTCCAGGACAGCACAAAGCATCCTGATCCCCCAGCTCACTGACACCACCTCCCAACTCATGCCAGAACTGTCCTTCCCTGTTCTGCTTTATTCAGTGTATAATGGCTGTCTGTGTTTTCGGGATCCCTCTGGCAGCCCGTGCCGACTCAGTCGACCTCTGCATCTGCCTCCCTGGGAGCCCTGGCCAAGCTCGCCCACACTCAGCAGTCAGCATAGCAGCTATGCCATTGAATGCTTTCGGCAGCAGCCAGGGAAGGCCCATCAGTACCTGATGCAGCTTAAGAGTGATGGAAGCCACACCAAGGGGGCTGGGATTCCCAGTCACTAGTTCTCAGTCTCCAGGACTGGAGCTGACCACTATAGTGTCATTTCTACAATCCCGTCTGAGGATGGAGCTGACTATATCTGTGGTACAGATTGTAGCATTGGTGTGCCGTTTGGGTAAAGCACAGATAAATGGGGAAATGAGACAAAAACTGTTTTTCTACTCTGCTACCAAGGTTGAAAAATGGCTCTCAGAACCAGTGTCTGCTGACCTGCATACTCAAATATGTTATGTGTGTGTGTGTGTGAATGCGTGTGTGTGTGTACTTTAATTTTACGAGTAGAGAGCCAGATATTTTCTGATTCCTGCTTCAAGTTCCCTTGGAAACAGCTTTTTAGGCCAGGCCTCTAGGGAGTGCACTCTGATCTGTAACTATTGCGCAAATATTACAACAGAGCCTGTCTCCTCCTGCTGGTCTGGTGTATTGTGGCTATATAGGGGGGTGCAAAGAAATTCTCCTTTTCATATTCAGACACTGGGACTCAGCTGCATACCTCAGTCCTGTCTTATTGAGATCATTTAAATGATCAATCTTAGAAGAAAACTTCTGACTTAAATAAATTTTAGAAGTCTATCAACATGCTAGAAAGCATATTCCAGATAAATAAAAATAGAATAAAGATTTATAGAGATTGAGATGAAAAGCTTTAAACCCTTTGGGGGTTTCTGAAGGTATTCTCAGGTGTTCAGTGCCTGGGATTTGGGAGTAAGGGATAAGGAGGAGAACTTATTTCCAACACACTGAAGATGACAACAGATAAGCAGAAAGTTACCAAAGAAGGAGGAATAGAAATAGCCATGAATATCATCCTGGTAACCCTGATCTGGAATGAAGGATTTCATTTATTTACTTATTTATTTATTTATTTTCAAAATAAGTACATCTCATGGAGTCCTTGGCAAAAGCTGAAGGAAGTATTGCTTCAGGAAATATCTGTCCAGTAATTAGGAAACTACTAATGTGATTGAGCAGAGACTTCATTAACTTCACATGCAAAGAATACAGACTTGCAGAACCCTCCTGGAAAACCATGAAACAATACATCATCAACAATAACAACTATAGCAAAAACAGCAACAACATCAACCAAAACGCTTTACAAAAAAGTTCTAATTTCCAGAACTGTCACATTATATTATTTAAAATTTCCATTTGTCAAAGCAAAATAATGAGGTAGGTTCAAGACACAGGAACATATTGCCATATATAACGGAAAATAACAAAGAAAAAAACATTAAAAAAACAAAAAAATTAAAAGTTGACAAAAACTATTTTCAAAGAGGCAGAAACACTGGTCTTATTTGACCAATACTTCAACTCCATTATTTCTCCATTTGCTCAAAGAAATTTTAAAAATGTAAAAATGTTCAAAAAAGCATGAAAAGAATGTATCTCCAAATAAAGAATATTAATAAAAGATATAAAAGAAAGAGTCATTGAAATAAACATAGATTAATTGATATTATCCTATTACAGGAATAGAATGAAATAAGGGTGGAAAAATACGCAGGACCTAAAGACCCTCTTGACACCATCAAGTGTACCAATATACACATAATGAAAGGCCCAGAAGGGTAAGAGTGAGGAAAAGAAACAGAATAATGTAATTGAAAAATGGTAACCAAAACTTTCCCAAATTTGACAAAAAGAAACATACTCAATCCCTAAAAAGTTCAATAAACCTTAATCAGCATTAATCGGAACTCATAGATATAAAACTTATGGAAAGCGTCATGGTGGGATAAAGCTTACTAAGTTCTAAAAAGTCAAATAGACAAAGACGGTTACACCAAAAGTGTGTCAATTTCTGTTTCCTGCCATGATGCAATAGATGGAGTTCTTACACCATAAACAACACTTTAAGACATAATCGAGTGCATGTAATGACTATTTCCAGACAGTGAATATTGGCCAACAGGGATAACTTGATTATGTAACCTCAGAGAAAGGACCCTAACACGCAAATGAGCACTGCAGTGGACACGGATTTCTTTTTCTTCACTTTTTTTTTTTCGAGTTAGGGTCCTGCTCTGTCGCCCAGGCTGGAGTACAGTGATGTGATCTCCGCTCACTGCAAACTCTGCCTCCCAGGTTCAAGCAATTCTCCTGACTCAGCCTCCCGAATAGCTGAGATTATAGGCACTCACCACCATGCCCAGCTAATTTTTTTGTCCTTTTAGTAGAGAGGGGGTTTCGCCATGTTGGTCAGGCTGGTCTTAAACTCCTGACTGATCTGCCCACCTCGGCCTCCCAAAGTGCTGGGATTACAGGTGTGAGCCACTGCACCCAGCCAACACAGATTTTTTTTTTTTAATTATACTTTAAGTTTTAGGGTACATGTGCACAACCTGCAGGTCTATTACATATGTATACATGTGCCATGTTGATGTGCTGCACCCATTAACTCGTCATTTAACATTAAGTATATCTTTTTTTTTTTTTTTTAGACGGAGTCTCGCTCTGTTGCCCAGGCTGGAGTGCACTGGCTCTATCTCGGCTCACTGCAAGCTCCGCCTCCCGGGTTCACGTCATTCTCCCGCCTCAGCCTCCCGAGTAGCTGGGACTACAGGAGCCTGCCACCACACCTGGCTGATTTTTTGTATTTTTTTAGTAGAGACGGGGTTTCACTGTGTTAACCAGGATGGTCTCAATTTCCTGACCTCGTGATCCGCCCGCCTCGGCCTCCCAAAGTGCTGGGATTACAGGCGTGAGCCACCGCGCCTGGACCACAGATTTTTTTTTGGAGACAATTTTTGGCCCAGAAGGAGGTGGTGACCAAGATAATCGTGAGCTTTTTACACAGCTCAGAACACACAGATGAGAAGTCAGAAAAACATAGATGGCTGAGACTTTCAGAGCAAGACACCGAAAAGCAGGCAGCTACACAGAGCAAGGTCCCTGCGCTCTGCATGAGGCCCCTTTGGATTTGGTTGGGCAAAACATGACACCTTGCAGGGGGCTCTAATTTAATGAATAGGCCTTCCCCTACTGGGAACTAAGATTCATATTTTTTCTCTCTGTCCTGTTTTTTCACCACTGTATCTACAAACCCTAGGACTCAGCCTAGCGCAAACAGCCAATTAATACCATGTTTGTTGAACGAATATGTGAATTCACCTAAATAGAATTCTCAGTAAGAGAAAAAGATCTGAGGAAAATAAAGTGATTTTTACTGCTTTATGTGTATTTTGAGTTTGGGTTGTGAATTGATTCAAGGGGATATATTAAATTAGAATGTTGACTTCTGTGTTTAGAGAACAAGAGAGGAATATGAACTTGAGTGCTGGAAAGGTGACCAGCAGGATGGACTGGGTCCCATGGGTTTGTGCAGAGACCATGGAAAAGGATGAGCCTCCAGTTACTAAGTAATTGAACAAGATATATTTTAGGTAAACACTTATTTTATAATCACCTGTTGGAATGGGTGATAACTGTAGATGTGACTGTTATTCATTGACTCTCTGAAAAAATTATTTATTCAAGGCAAGAAAGATTGGAGAATAGTTTTATCTTGAAACACTTTTCATAAACATGACATATTCTTGCTAAAGCAGATACCATATTCATCTCCAAGCTGGAAGGGTTATCTCATCTTCCCAAACATGCACCCCTTATAGTATATTTTATCTGCTTTTATGGCATGTCCACTTTCTTGGTCACAGACATTGTAAGCCTCAGAGTTTAATTTGTTTCTCTACTGTATACGTATGGCACCTCCAGTTGGTCACTGAAGCTGGAGATTGAAATCCTCTACATCCCCCAGATCTGTCCTCTGGCTCTATGGCGCTGTCCTGTTCCATCAGACCTACATTGCCCTTCCTTGTGTGAACCCTAACCTAAGTCCAATCTCTACTCCATGAAAGCTGTCTGTAACAGAAGCCTGGCACCTCTTTCTCCTTTTTATGAAATAAATATCTATTTCTATAGATAGATCTAGATCTAGACATTAATAGCTCCAAATCTGTAGAGGACAAAGTGCCTAGTTCTCAGGTGATAACCAACCCACATCTTCTGTCCTGGAATATCCAGCCCCAGATATCACCCCATTTTCTCCTCCCTGTCTCGCTAAATATATATTCACCCACCAAGCCACTGGGTTTGTAGTAATTTGTCACAACAAGAACAGAAAAATATGTGGAAAAGAATGGAAGAGGAGTGTTGCTGTTAAAAAAAATACTTAAAATATGGAAATAGTTTTGGAAGCAGACAAGAGATAGAGTTTGGCAGAATTTTGGAAAGCATGTTAGAAAAATCCTAGATTGCTTTGAGCATGGTGTTAATGCAGATATGGTTGCTAAAGACTTGGCTGGGATGGGCTCAGTAGGAAGTCAGAAGCATGGTAGCGAAAAAGCTACATTTTCTTTCTTTTTTTTCTTTCTTTTTTTTTTTTTGAGACAGGGTCTTGCTGTGTTGCCCAGGCTGCATTGCAGTGGTACAATCTTGGCTCACTGCAGCCTCCACCTCCTGGGTTCAAGCGATTTTTGTGCCTCAGCCTCCCAAGTAGCTGGGACTACAGGTGTGCGCCACCATGCCCGGCTAAGGTTCGTAATTTTAGTAGAGATGGGGTTTCACCATGTTGTCCAGGCTAGTCTCCAACTCCTGACTTCAAATGATCTGCCTGCCTCAGCCTCCCAAAGTGCTGGGATTACAGGCATCAGCCACTGTGCCTGGTCTAGTTACATTTTTCTTAGCAAATACCTAATTATACATCTACAGACTGGAAGTAGAAATACAGCCAGTACCAGCACTTTGGGAGACCAAGGAGGGCAGATCATAAGGTCAGGAGATCGAGACCATCCTGGCCAACATGGTGAAAACTTGTCTCTACCAAAATACAAAAAAATTTAGCCAGGTGTGGTGGTGCATGCCTGCAGTCCAAGCTACTCAGGAGGCTGAGGCAGGGGAATCACTTGAACCTGGGAGGTGGGGGTTGCAGTAAGTCCAGACAGATCACACCACTGCCCTCCAGCCTGGTGACAGAGTGAGACTCCATCTCAAAAAAAAAAAAAAAAAAAAAGAAAGAAAGAAAAGAAGATAAAAGAAATACATCCAGTAAAGGAGCTCCTGGTGCACTGATGGGAGTTCACAGGGAATTAAGAGCGCTCTTTTGACTTTTGTGGGAAAACCGGAGGAAAGGGGATCATTGTTTTTTGGTGGAAAACAGGTTGGCTGGATTGTTTCATGCAATTGTATGGAAAGCAGAACAGGTGAGCAGCAAACTTGGATATTTAGCTGAGAATATTTCCAAGCAAAGTATTAAAAGTATAACCTCATTCATTCTTGCTGCTTACAGTAAAATTTTGTGATAAAAAATGTGAAGTAAGGGAGGAAGTCTTAAATGGAAAGAAACTAGGGCATGATAATTGAGGAGATTACTAGCATATTTCACCAATTACTTGCTCATTCCCTCTTTTCTGGGAGACCCTAAAAGTAACTCATCATTTACTGTTTTCCATCCGCTTCCTTCCTTGTCTAGAATATGGGCCTGGACCCTCCACAAGATGCGTAGAGAAGTCAGAAGGCCTTGTCCTGTGCAAGCATTCAAGCATCCACTCCTCGCACTAATATTTCTAGACAGCAAACTGGTGATCCTTGCTCACCTGAAACATACATACGGGTTGGAGGAAGACAGAACCTAACACACCTTACCTGTGTGATGTTCAGGGCTGGCCTCTAACTTCTGAGAGCTTCATTTCACTCCACTTCCTACAAGGATTGCTCATGCCCTCCTTCACTTGTGGTGAAGTTCAAACAATACATTAGATTTGACATCTTTGCCAAGAGCTGTAGAGTGCAAGGTGCTCACCCAGAGCTACATCTTCCAGCAGATGAGGCTCACAGTTAAATCACTGCTATGGTGTCCGTCAACTCAGGCACTGTTGTGCCTTTTCACAGAGCATCGCCTGTTAACTGCTTCACCCACCCACTGTGGGAGTCCAGGTAGGAGGACAATGCCTCCCCACTAGCTGGCTCCTCTCTGGTTGTACCTGTGGGTCACACATGCAGGTGACGGTTTGTACTACCTCCTACCTGGCTGTACTCCCCAAAGCCAGGGCTGACACCCCTCACTGCACTTCCATTCCATCCCATCAGTCACAGGAGGCAGCTATTGGCTCATTACCCTTTGCAAGGAGTTCAAGGGTAGAAGTGGCCCATTTATAAGAATATTTATATGGACTATCTTGTATATCCTGTGAATCATGATACTGTTAAATCAACTCTAATACATCATGTTTATGTCCACTGAAATGATGATGATAAAAGGAAAAGTGATATCTGGACACGCAGACTGAAAAAGATCCCAAAGATTCTGCACACAAGGCCCCTATTCTCTGGGGACATGTGGGAATTCAATGGTCTTGCTGACATATAGAGTTTGCTTCACTCTGTGTCAATCTGAGGCATTTGTGACCTCAGAGTTGTGTTTTCTAAGAATTTACCATGTGTGGCAGCTGGACTTCAAGTTATACCTAAATATCTCTGTCTCCTAGCACTCACATCCCTGTACATATTGAAAAGGGATCACTAGTACAATTGATAGGATATTGAGAAAATGACTGATGCCAGGCCATAATACACTTTGAGTTTTGCGTTCTGCTCTCTCAGATCACTTGCTTTGGGGAAAGCCAGTTGCCATTTGTGAGGACACTCAAGTAGTCCCACAGGGAGTTTCATGCAGCAAGAAGCTGAGGCCTCCTGCCACCAGCTTTGTGGCTCAGTGAAACTGTAAGTTGATTCTATTGCCTTGGTAAAGTCTTCTCATGGCTTTAGTTCCCCCCACTGAAATCCTATTTTCAACCTCATGAGCCTATCTGAGCCAGAGCCACCTTGCTAAACTGCTCCCAGGTTTCTGACCCACAGAAACTGTGGGATTGCACATCTTTGCAGTTGCTAAGTTTTGTAGTATTTGATGTGAAGTAATTGAAACTGGATGCATCGAGAGAGGGGAATGGAGGTGGCAGAGTGGGTGGAATTAGGCCTGGAGGTCTGCTTTCAGTGAGATGTGATGGGACCATGGCAGACACCTCCCTGTTTCTGATTCCAGTGGATTGCTTACTGGGCCTGGCCTTTTTCTTATACTCCATGACTTCATTGTTAATACCCTACAGGAATTCTGTATGCGCTATGTCTTATCCATCTTCCTTGGGTAAATATTTAAATATAAATGAATCAAAACACATGGGCCACTTTCTAATCTTGATTGTTCAAAACTGAATTCCTCAAATTGAGGGGTATGATTTTCTTTATTGTCCTTGGTGCTCGTCTGCCAGTGTCTATCAATGGTAGAATCATGTAAACAGTCCCCTCCCCTATTTTGTTTCACTCTCTGAGGACGAGAGAGAAGTCTTGGCCTTCAACAGAAAATGGTCAAACTAGAAAGAGTAACACTTTTGAGCTCCTCAGTGAATGTGGCCTTGGAAAACCCCTTCACCTGGGCAGCAAAGGAAGAGGGAGAAAGACAGAGCCTGAACTGGTAGGAAGTCCTACCTCAAAAACATCAGTCAGTCCTCACATGGATGGCCAGGGCATTAAGGAGAACTAATTAAGTTAATTTCACATTCTCCATGACAAATGCTGTTGTCATCAGTAGGGACCTCTCCTCTCTTTTTCCATCCTCCTACCTGTTCTCACTGTCCCTGACTTACCCACAGTGAACTTTATGTTTTCACCTTTTATATCCCTATGCCTGGTCCTCTGCTGGCCTGTGCTGATCTTTTCATAAATATTTTTGAAATGAGAAGACGCATTTTCTTAAGTACCATGAAAGTCGACATCACATCCATCTTTCAGGGTCCTGCTCCCAGACTCTTCTGACTTATCTGTTCACTGTGCTGGGTTGGCAGGGAAAAGTCATCTGCAGCAGAAAAAGTGACAAAATGGAGATACATAGTGTGTCTTGGCCAAAAATCAGCCAACAGATGAGAGAGATCTAGGATTGTGAGAAGTTCTGCCGTTCCCCAGCACCTCACACTATTTGATGTCTCAATGTTTGTACATATCACTATATTTTCTAGAAGATGCACTACATCTAGAAATAGTGTTTGCTTTGTTTGTCCCCAAGCAGGACCCCACTCTCCACTCAGAGCCAGTTCACAGTTGCCTTCTTCCCTGGCCCCTGTGGAAGGAGCTGCTCAGGTGTTTGCTCCCAGAGCCCTCCGCATTTTCCCCTTACTGCGGCCTCCTCACAATGAACAATTGTCATGTTTTTCATTTCTCCTGTTCCTGTTATTCTAGAAATCCCTCAATCAAAAAGGATGGTTATGAATATAAGTTACCTGAGACAGAGCAGGGGTGTGGTCCATGGATGCTGTGACCTGACAGAGACCCAGCACTCAGGCCAACTCCACTCACATGATTCTGACTGAAAGACTGAAGTGTGCAGCAGGGGGAAATCTGGGTCTTTCCAAGCTCTGAACAGTGGTGCCCACATATCTGTTATCCCTGGGCAATGGAGCCTGCACTCACTGAGGAAGATACCACAGCTGTGTCTTCTCTGGGCTGGGTAGAGTCTCCTACTCACAGGTCTGTGGAAGGTGCAGGAGCTGCTTCCTCACTTACTCCTCCCGTGGGACAAACGCTGAATCTCACCCACCAACCCACCATATCTAAAGAATCATGCTCAGACTTCAGCTCTTCCTAGGGTGGAACAAAGATTACCAGGAGGATACACAAATTTGTGTGGACAGATCCTCCCTTTTCAGGCCACTGGAGAAGATAAAAGAGGCCTGAGTTAAGCAGCTTCCTCTGTGGGGCCACAGGAGGCGGTGTCCACCATGGCCTGGACCCCTCTGCTCCTCATGTTCCTCTCTCATTGCTCAGGTGAGAACTGGTTTTAGGTGTCTAGGGTTAGCTCCTTAGCTTGCGTCAGCCTCTCTGGCTCAGATCCCCAAGACATGTATCTCTAGTTCCTGCCCCAGCCCCCATGAGTGTCTGTGCTTGCAGGTTCCCTCTCCCAGCCTGTGCTGACTCAGATGACCTCACTCTCTGCATCTCCAGGAGCATGAGCCAGACTTACCTGCACCCTGAGCAGTGGCTTCAGAGTTGGTAACTTTGCAATATAGTGGTCAGCTGAAGCCAGGCAGCCGTCCCAGGTGTCTCCTGAGATACTACTCAGACTCAAATATCACTCAGCACCCTGGGGTTCCCATCCACTTCTCTGGATCCAATGATACATTAGCCAATGCAGGGATTCTGTACATTCCTGGGCTGAAGCCTGAGGGTGAGGCTATTACTGTTGTACGTGTCACAGCAGCTCCAAGTCAGCACTCCAGACCCACTGGGAGGTTACAAAAACCTCTTCTCTGATCTCCTGGCCTGGTGTAGTCACTCCTGCTGGTGGCTCTAATAAAGTCTATCTCACTGGGTGACTTATATTTTAGATCTTCAACCAGCACCTGATTCTTTTTTTCAGACAAGTAGATCTGAAAATGTGACTTTATTTTCTTCAATTCCACTTTCATATTGATTCATGCTCATACCTTCTCATTTCTTTCTGGTTTTCACAGGCAGAAATCCCTTGCTCAGAGACAAAAATTCTCTAAATTGAGACTTTGGAGGAGACCAAAAGAGAGTGGTTCGGGCCATGCCCGGCTCAGAGTCTAGGAGTGACTCAGAGATGCTTCTGGTCCCAGAGCTTCAATCTAGGCATTGGATACAATACCAGCATTCACAATGGAATTGTATTCTCTATATTAGCAACAAACCATCACAGATTTTGAAATAAAAAGAATATAATTTATAATAACATCAATATAAAATATTTAAGGGTAAATATTAAAAAATGGAAAGTCTTAAACTGAAAACTATAAAACGTTGAGAGTCATTACAAAAAAACCTTAAAATAACTGATATTCCTTGTTTGTAGTTGGAAAACTCAATGTGATTATAATTTTTATAATGACAATTCTTTCCAAAGTTATCTAAGGAATCATTGTAAGGTCTTCAGTAAAAATAGGTTTGCAGGGAATGAGGAGATAAAAAAATCTCAACAAAGAAATGAAAACTGTAACAGAAAACATCAATGAAACAACAGACCTGGGATAATCCTTCTCAGCTGCCATGGGATCTAACTGTATTTAAGAAAGGGGTGAGTAGGAAGGCGGCTGCCAAATCCAGGAACACAGATGTCATTTTGAGTGACCAAGGTGAGCCAAGGGAGGACAGCTTTAGTCAGAAGAGCATAGACCAGGAGCAGAACTCACATATCTGAAGCTGATGGGCAGAGTGTGGGTGCAATAGGCCTGGCATTGGGTGCTGCTGAGCTGAAATTATGCTGTCACCTGCAGTGCGCCCCTGGGGTGACATGGTTCTGGTTGTTCTTCACCCCAGGGAAGGACACTGTGACCTGTTATCTGTTGGAGGATGAGGACTCAGAAAGCTCTTTATAAGAGAGGGCACCAGTGTGATATGAGGGTCCCTGATTGTCTTTCCAAAGGTTGGAAATTGAACCCGCATCTTTCATTTTTGTGTAGAGAACCCAAGATCCTTTTCTACATAATCAAGGGTTATTTCCAATAGCTGCCTTGGCCTGTCTCAGAAAGAGTGTGGGTTTGTCTTACAGCAATGGTGCCCACTATTTATGGGAACGTCTTGTATACCCTGATCTATGCTTTCAGGTCTTTGACATCTCAGGTTTTTGGCCTACCTAATACTAGCCATACGTCTGGGTACTGTGATCTACCTCCTACTACACATATAAATGCCCATCTCAGCCTCATCTCTCCTTGGGATATAAATGTGTGCAAGGGATTTGAAGCAGCTCTGCCTTCTTTTTGGGTCCTAAGGATCAGGGTTATGGGTGTCTCCATCCTTCCCTGGGTCTTCTCCTCCTCACTGTCCTGAAACATGACCCAGACACAGGCTCCTGAGGCTCCTGCAGGCCTTCTTCCCTGCTTTTGCCAACTGCAGGTGGACCCTGCCCTGTGCTCACAGGTCTTTGTATCTCTCCCTGCTGGTCAATTGCCCTGCAGGGGCTTTTCTTATTTCTCCATTATGAGAATTCCTTTGTTTTTGGAGGAAATAATTTTTATCTAATTTTTGATTTACTTATCATAATCCTAGAATTTGTATAAAAACTCCTGTTTTTGCATAATGAAACAGTTGCTATCTCATGCCATTTTATTCAAAGTCATGTGCTTCTGTTCACTTACTGGTTAGAACTGTTGTTTAATCATTGACAAATATTTATCGAACACCCACTCTGCGCCATGTTCTCCTATGTCAGGTGCTGGGTATACATTGATGAATGAAACAGACTCTATCCTTATGGAACTTGTGTCTAGTGAGCTTAGAAGTAAATTTTGTGAGTGCTAGGATGGAGAGTCAAGCTAAGGACTCTTAGTTCTGCCAGCATTTAACATGTTGTTCTTATACATTTTAAGAATAAATTACTCCAGAAGAATCTTTTTTTTTTGTTTTGTTTTGTTTTGTTTTGGTGAAGAGTATCCACATAGACACACATAGCAAAGACCTTATAGAATGCATCAGAGATAAACAAAATAAAATGTAATGTTTCCCAGAGCTGGATGTAGTTTCTGGTTTGATTTATTTTAATGACACACAGAAGAAATCACTTTATAATGAAGTAAAATTCCACACTACAGAAACAGAGTAAAAATACTTTCTTGAAAAAAATGCCAAACCTACCTTTAATCCCAAGGAAAGAGAATTGCTTGAATAGATCTGTTAGTATGAAACACATAATAGACAACCTGCTGTGTAAAATTACTTGGAAGTCATATTTTAGAAGGTTTTAAACATTCTTAATATACTCTGTTTTTGATATTACGTCTTATATTTTTCTCTGTGGTGGAAATTTATTTCTAAGAAATAAGAAAGGATATTAGAATGGCAAAAAATATTTGTATAAATGTGTTAACATTTTAATGGTAACTATATATGAATAAAATAAAAACATTGTTAAAAATTTATTGGAATGAATAATAAAATTATCAAGTTTATAATTAATAAAATCAAGTATATTTCTTCTTATGCAATTTAAAAATAGTGCAGAATGTTTATTATTCTGGTATCACTAAAAATGACAAACTTCATTCATATCTATAGAAAAATAATTATAAAATTCAGCAAGTAATACAGGAGATAATTTGAACAAATATTGAAACATTTTCTTACTTAAAGACACTAGGTAAAAATTTCAGCAATGAGTAGAGAGGTTATCAAGGCGCATTTTATTATTGATGATTGATATATGTTTTTTCTCTCGAGAAAGTGCACAGGTGGGTATCAGCAGAGGAGACAGTATAGGCTCCCCAGATGTCAAAGCAGGGATGCGCCAATACCCATCAGTCATCATCATAAAAGACAGACTGTGCCTTCCTGTGTCAGGCTCTGTGCCAGGAGCTGTGTGCCCCACGTTCCCTTCCAGGGTCCTGCCTGAAGTCTGTGCTCACTCAGCCAGCCCCATCATCTGGAAGTAACAGTCCCCTCCTCCTGCACTGGAATAAGCAGAAGATTTGGGTGGACAGTGTGGCCTGGCCCCATCAGCTCCCAGGAGAAGCTCTCTGTCTCTCTCTCATCCTGCATGCCAGTTAATGACGATAAAACCCACCTAACCAACCCATCTACAACACTCAGCTTCATCCCTATCTCTCTCTCACACTCCATCAAGGGACACAGTCATCCCATGGGTTTTTTCCCCTGGCATCTCTCACTTTCTTCCTCTTCCAGATCCCTGGGATCAGCTATCACCCCACCCGACACCCCTTCTCCTGCTTGGCTGCCTTCAGGCTCTTTGTTGAGCCTGACACCAAAGGATGTCTTTCTAAAGTGTCAGTTTCATCTATTCTGCCCCCAGTTCACAACCTGAAACAACCTCCGATAGTGAATCAAGCCAAGCCCCTCACTCTAAAGCACAGAGACATGCCATGAATTCCTAAGGGGATGACAGAATACATCATTGATGAGAAGATTGAACAAGTGAAGTGTGAGTGGCAAGTCAGGTGAGGACATTTGAATCCAATCTGGCATTTAAAATGTCTCTTCATTTCCAAAGTCCTATCTCTCCCTAGTAATGTTGTTTGACTGCTAGTCCCAGAGCAGGACCCCACATCCCAGTGACAGCCAAGTCACAGTCGCCTCCTTCCCTGGTCCCTGTGGAAAGAGCTGCTCAGGGCTTTGCTCCCAGAGCCCTCTGCATTCCCAACTTCCTGCAGCCTCCTTTCATTGGATGGGGGTGATAGTTTGCACATGCCTTTCTAGTAATCCAAGAAAAACTTACTGAAAAAGTCTGTTTGTTCATGTCAGTAATCAGGGGCATGACCAGGGCATGGCCCATAAATGCCTCTGGACTGATACTCACCAGGCTCCCAGGCCAACACCACATACATGATTTCCACTGAGAGAATGCAGTCTGGACAGAGAGCAGCAGGGTACACTGTAGGTCTGCCCAGTGGGCATCCACAGCTGTGCCAACCCCTCCCACCCCACAAATTCCTCAGGGCTGGGCAGTGGACCCTGCCCTCACTGAGCCTGACTCAGCAGCTCTGTCCTCCCTGGGTGTGGTCCCAGCACCCACTTCCTCCCAGGTCTGGCCTGCCAGACTCCCCCCTCCACCAGACCCTAGGACTTGAATAAATACATAGGGTAAGGTAGAGGCAGGCAATGTGGGGGACACATTTGGGTCCATAACTCCTCCTCTGTGAGGTCAGTGGAGGGGATAAGAGGCCTGAGGCAGCCCACTACGGCTGTGGACCTCAGGAGGACTGTGTTGACCATGGCCTGGGCCCCTCTCCTGCTGTTTCTCTCTCAATTCTCAGGTAGGCACAGGCCTCCCATGTCCAGGGCATGTCCCTCAGGCTTCACCAGTCCCCTCTGGCTAAAATCTTACAGCAACTTTATGCTGGTAGGTGGCCCAACTCCCATGTGCATCTGTGTCTGCAGGTTCCCTCTCCCAGCCTGTGCTGACTCAGCCGCCCTCCCTCTCTGCACCTCCGGATCAGCCAGACTCTCCTGCACCCTGAGCAGTGGCTTCAGTGCTGATTTCTACTGGATATACTGGTACCAGCATAAACCAGGGAGCCTCCCCAGTATCTCCTGAGCCACTACCAAAATTCACTTCATGACCAGGGCTCCGGGGTCCCCAGGCACTTCTCTGGATTAATGGAAGGCCGGTCCAATAAAGGGCTCTTGCTCATATCTGATCTCCAGTCTGAGGATGAGGCTTACTATTACTGTATGATCGAGCACAGCAGAGCTTCTCATGCTGACACACACAGGTGGGGAAGTGGGACAAAATCTCAGCCTGCTCAGAGTCTTGTTCTCTGATGAAATTTAGATCTTAAAATAACTTATATCACTTGTGTGGGATGAGTGAGATATCCCGAGCTCACAGGAACTGTCGATGAACAGAGTCGAGCTCTGTAAAATATTGAAGACATTTATTCCAAGCCAAATATCAGTGACCAATGGCCCACAACGCAGCCCTCAGGAGATCCTGAGAACATGTACCCCAGGTGGTCAGGCTGCAACTTGGTTTTATACATTTTAAGGAGACATGAGACATCAATCAACACATGCGAGATGTACGTTGGTTGAGTCCAGGAAGGCAGCACAACTCAAAGTAGTGGGGCTCCAAAGATCGTCTTTTTGATAATTGGTTAAAAGAGTTAAATTATTGTCTAAAGACTTAGAACCAAAGGAATGCCTGGGTTAAATTAAGGCATTGTAGTGACCAAGGTTTTGTTGCTCAGAGGAAGCCTCCAGGTAGCAGGCTGCAGAGAGAATAGATTGTAAATCTTTCTTATCAGATGTAAAAAGTCTGTTCTCTCAGAAATTCCAAAAATGAGGAGGCATATCTGGCTCCCCGTTCCCAAGATGACCTGAACTCTCTTTCAGATTAACTTTGGAATGCCCTTGGCCAAAAGGAGGGGTCTGTTCAGATGGATGGGAGTCTTAGAATTTTATTTTTGGTTTACAATCCTGTAACACATCCTGTAATTTGCTGCCCAGAGGTCATTAATGGCCTGGAAGAAATAATGTGCCAGCTGCAGTGTTGTCCACAGAAAGACTTACTCATTCTGCTGCCCTGAGTAGTGATATCAGAAAGATCCATCTGCCAACAGTCAGAATGCCCTTCCAGGAGGGTTGCACAGTACCAGGGGTGCTGGAAGACCTGGGATCTGAGGCAAGCAGGGGGCACTGTTGGATGGATCCCAAGATGACAGGATTACCAGGCCACACAAGGATTAAACAAGAGACAGTAACAGTCCACTGGCTCTTACACACTTGGATAAGCAGTGACCTCCCTGAAGAATGACTTTCCTGCACCTGGGCTGAAGGACCCACATGAGCACTGGGTTTTGGATAAAATAGAGCAATTTCATTTATGAACATAGATGTGAAAATTCCTCAGCATATTCACAAGTAGAACCCATGCTGGACCTCTGACCTCTAGGATTTAGGCTGAGAACAGGACATTTGTGAGGTCGGTGGGGAATAAGCATGAACTTTGGAGGGACAGCAGGTATGAGGGGTGCTGAGCCGTATGTTAGATGCCCCAATCAGGGAAAGAGCCTCGAGGCTTCCAGTGCAGCTTCCCTGATACCCTGTGGGAGAGAAAGATAGATACTGGATATGCTGCAATAGAGCTCACTAATGCTCTAGTAAAGAGCAGGCAGCTTGCATTAGCACAGTCCTTCAGGAGAGAAAACGCAGCCCCAGGAAAGCTGTCAGAGGCCAAGATGACTCATTAGTCACATTGAATTCATAATGCATTTATGATGAAATATATGATAAATGTCTTATCCTTTTGTTCTTTTTTATTTTTTATTATCGTGGGTACATAATAGGTGTATATATTTATGGGGTTTATGAGATGTTTTGATACAGGCATGCAATGTGAAATAATTATATCATGAAGAATGGGGTATCCATCCTCTCAAGCATTTATCATTTGTGTTACAAATGATCCAATTACACTCTTTACATAATTCAAAAAAGTACAATTAAGTTATTATGACCATAGGTATCCTGTTGTGCTATGAAATAGTAGGTACTATTCATTCTTTCTAACTACTTTTTGTACCCATTAACCATCCCCACATCACCTCCTACTCCCTGCTACCTTCCCAGCCTCTGGTAACCATTATTCTACTTTCTATGTACATGAGTTTCAAATGTTTTGATTTTTAGATTCCATAAAAAAGTGAGAATATGTGATGTTTGCCTTTCTGGGCCTGGCTTATTACACTTAATATAATGATCTCCAGTTCCATCCCTGTTGTTGCAAATGACAGACTCTTATTCTATTTTATGGCTGAATAGTACTCCATCGTGTGTATTTACCACATTTTTTATGCATTCATCTGTTGATGGACACTTAGATTGCTTCCAAATCTTAGCTAAACAGTGCTGCAGCAAACATAGGAGTGCAGCTATTTCTCTGATATACTGATTTTCTTTATTTTGGATATGTATCCAGCAGTGAAATTGCTGGATCATATGGTAGCCCTATTTTTAGGTTTTTTGAGGAACCTCCAATCGTTCTCCATAGTGGCTGTACTAAATCCAAGAACATTCAAAATCATATTTATATCAGTGCTAAAAAGTGTGACTTGACTTCAAACAATAGCCAGTAGTTGGTAGGAATACAAGTATAAGTTTGCTAAAAATATGATTTGTCATTTATATGAATATTTCTGTTCCCAGAACAATCTCATGTAGACTGGCTTCTGGAATCTCTCCTACCTCCTACTGAGCTGACTCTCCTGGAGCCTGGCCGTAACGGTGCAGGGCTGGAAGCTATATACTACAAGCACATGCTGTATGGCATCCAGCACTAACCTGGGCAGATGACGGCGAAACAATGTGTGATATTTCCATTTGATTTATTTTCCTTCTTTCTCTATAGAAAGTGTTATTATAAAACTGTTATGTTGAAGGAACACAAAATTTGAAGGAAAGGAATCAAACATAAATGTTAAATGTTTATGTGTGTTTATACTGTTGATCTATGATATCTCTTGTAGTTACTGTTCAACATTTCTATTTTATATGCTTTTGTAAAATAAACAACATATTTTATACAAAAACTCTCATGTGTGCTAGTTGAAAGTAATGCCACCTAAATGCAATAACAGAATTTGAGGAGACTAAAATGTGTTGATTTGAGAGACAGTAAGAGTAATTTAGAACAAGTCCCCATCTGGCTCTGAAATCTAATCCTTTGCTGGTATCCCTACACCTGAAAACCTGCAGGCTTTGCACCCGCTGCAGACAGATGACATTGAGTTAAATTCATGGGTCTCCACTGAGGGTCACAATAGGCTGGTGTGGCACAGTGCATTCTGGGAGATACACAACTGAGGGACAGTAGGCTGGGCGCGGTGGCTCACACCTGTAATCCCAGCACTTTGGCAGGCCGAGGCGGGCAGAACACGAGGTCAGGAGATCGAGACCATCCTGGCTAACACGGTGAGACCCTGTCTCTACTAAAAATACAAAAAATTAGCCGGACATGGTTGGGGGGCACCTGTAGTCCCAGCTACTTGGGAGGCTGAGGCAGGAGAATAGCATGAACCTGGGAGGAAGAGGTTGCAGTGAGCCGAGATTGTGCCACTGCACTTCAGCCTGGGCGACAGAGCAAGACTCTGTCTCAAAAACACAAAAACAGACAAACAAACAAAGAACTGAGGGACAGTATATCCCCAGTGGACACCGATCCATAATCAGCCCCAGTCACTGCACAGACTGGGTGTATGGTGTCCTCAGTGCCTGCTGCTCCCGTGTAAATGAACAGCAGGAGATCCTAGGGTATTAGTGAATTATATATTCATTTCCAACGTCACACTCAAGATGAAGTCTCTACAGTATTTGAAATTGAACTTGGACAGCTTCAACTATTTTTGTTTCAAAAAATATTATATATACAAAAATACCCTATTTCTGAAGGTAATTGGAGTTTATTTTACTTCCACAATAATACTAAACATAAATGGTTAGCGTATTATAAAGTGGTGTGTCTAGGCATGGACAGCAGAAGGCACTTGGAGCCTGTTCCTGAGGGTCTGGGGGTGTTCGGAGCTGAGACCAGCCACTTCCCCTGTCTGGTGCTCTCTGTTCAGGGCTCACAGCTGTGATCTCCTCACCCCTGAACGGCTCACAGCACTACTCATACTTATCCCTATGGCGCCCTCAGGCAGAAGAGTCTGATCCAGAGCTCAGGGTGGGATCAGAAAAGTTCCCATTTGCATGAGGAGATCCTCCCTGCCTCAGAGTATAAAGAGAGAAAAGGAGAGAGTTGGGAAAAGCTTTACTTCAACTGTGGGGCAAAAAGGCAGGACTCAGGACAATCTCAAGAATGGCCTGGTCCCATTTCCTGCTCACCCCCTTTATTCACTGCACAGGTGACTGGACATGGGGCCACGGAAGGGGCCCTGGGGAGCCCATGGAGAGCTGCTTTCTCCTCTTATTTATAGACCCAGAATCACCATGTCTGTGTCTTTCCCACTTTCAGGGCCTTGGGTCCCATCTGCGCTGATTCAGTCACCCTCAGTCCCTGGGGCTCTGGGCCAGAGGGTCACCATCTCCTGCACTGGAAGCAGCTCCACTTTGGTTATTGGTGTGATGTACACTGGTTCCAGCAGCTCCAAGGAATGACCCCCAAACTCCTCATCTATAAAAACAATTGGTGACACCTGTGGGTCCCTGACAATTCTCTGGCTTCAAGTCTGGCAACTCCATTTTTGTGACCATCACTGTGCTACAGCCTGAAGATGAGGCTGATTATCACTGCCAATTCTACAAAAACAGCCTGAGTGCTTTCACAGTGCTCCGGGTTGAAGTAAGTCAGACCAAAACACACAGTGTGCCCAGCCATGAAGCTCTCCCATGCACCCCCTACTCTGCAGCTAAGTCAATGTGTTCTCTCACTTGTTTGTCCTAAAACTGGGGCCTGAGAACTTCTTCAGGGTAATTTTTCTAGGGAATGTGTCCTCACCCTCTCAATATCTGCCCCAAATTCACTCTTTGGCAACAATACCATGTGCTCTTTTCTCAGAGGTAGCAGCTGGTACTGAATGCCAGAGGCCAGCTGCCCTGTGGTGGAGTACATATGGGTGAATCAGTCGGCTGGGGCTTCCACAACAACACACCACAGACTGGAGTCTTCACCAACAGATATGTACTGTCTCACTGTTCTGGAGTCTGAAAGGACCAGATGAAGGTGCCACCCCGTTTGGTTTTCTCTTTGCCCTCTTTCCTTTGCTTCCAGATGGCTCTTTTCTCACTGTGTCCTCACATGGCCACCCCCAGGTCTGCATGTGGTTTTTGTACACATTTCTTATGAAGTCTTTAGTCCTTTTGGATTAGAGACTCATTCCTATGACTTCATTGAATCTTAATAATCTTAGTGTCCAGATCTCCCAATACAGACAAATTGGTAACTTAGTTATAACATAAAAAATCAGGGGGCCAGGCTCGGTGGCTCACTTCTGTTAATCCCAGCACTTTGGGAGGCTGAGGTGGGTGGATCACGAGGTCAGGAGATTGAGACCATCCTGGCTAACACGGTGAAACTCCATCTTTACTAAAAATACAAAAAATTAGCTGAGCATGGTGGTACATGCCTGTAGTCCCAGCTACTCGGGAGGCTGAGGCAGGAGAATCACTGGAACCAGGAGGTAGAGGCTGCAGTGAGCCAAGATCACCCACTGCACTCCAGCCTGTGTGACAGAGCAAGACTCCATCTCAAAAAAAAAAAAAAATTCGGGGTGGATGCAATATAATTTGTAACAAAGGATCAGGGGTCCAGGGACCCAGAGTCCATCTGTGTCTGACCCAGGAGAGGTGATGCTGCAGAGGCCACCTGGTCACTCCATTCCTCTGAGCTCCTACTATGTGCAGATTCTGGATGTGTTCTTGGTGCTCAGGGTACAGCGTGGATAAGACAGGATGGTCCCTGTCCTCCAGGAACTGATGCTATTTAGGGGAAAACAGAACACATCAGTAAATGTATCAATAGGAATATGACATGTTTTAGGAAAATGAAGAGAGGTGTGTTTTGGTGAGGTGGGGTGAGCAGACTTAGAGGAGTTGACGACAAAGATGCAGCGACTGATTAAGGTTGTAAAATTCACCTGCTGCAACATAAAGTGAACTAAGAGGAAGTGAGGGTCCAGGCAGGGCCATATGAGGCTCTGGTTTTGACACAAACATTAGGCTGTGGAGTCCTGGACATGGGCGGAACACGCAAACGGTGAAAGGTCATGTCTGCATGGTTCAGAAGTGGGAGGTGCTGAGGAATGGAGTGTGGGGAGACAGGGACCACAGCTGGGATCTCGGGACCTGTGAGGGGTATGGGTGAGCAGCAGCTAAGTGAGAAAACATTAAGGACCCTGTGTAGTTGACACAAGATTATTGACATCTTAAGTTTTCAATAAATACAATCAGCGCTGACAAATGTGGCCGTGCCTCAGAAGAGCTAGAAATGTTTATGTCTAGGTAACTCTCATGTTCTGTAGAACTTCACTTGTATTTTTTTGGTTTTAAAGGATTATTATAAGAGCAGACGTTTATGAATATACTCCATTCTTTTATCCTCAATATTGCCCATCTCTTAAAATCCTTTGGCTTTACACACACCTACAACAAACTGATCTTCAAAAATTGATAAAAATAAACGATGTGTAAAGGATACCCTATTCAATAAATGATGCTGAGAAAACTGGCCTACAATGCAGAAAAGTAAAACTGGACCCCTACCTCTTACCATATAAAAAATTAATTCCAGATGAATGAAGACTTAAATGTAAGACCTCCAACTATTAAAATCTTAGAAGAAAAGTTGGAAAATACTCTTGTGGACATTGGTGTGGGCAAATAATGTATGTCTAATCATCAAAAGAAATTGCAACAAAAAACTTGACAATCAGAACCAGATAAAACTAAGGAGCTCCTGCATGGCAAAAGAAACTCTCATCAGAGTAAACAGACAGCCTACGCAATGGGAAAAATATTTGCAAACTATGCATCTAACAAAGGACTAATATCCAGAATCTATAAGAAAGCTAAGTCAACAAAAAAATTTAACTCCATTAAAAAGTGGACAAAGGACATGGTCACTTCTCAAAAGAAGACAAAAAAGCAGCCAGCAAACATGAAAACATGCAGAACTTCACTTATCAGAGAGGTGCAAATCAAAACCACATGGGATATCATCTCATACCAGTGAGAATGGGTATTATTAAAAAGTCTAAAAATAACAGATGCTGGCAAGAATACAGAAAAAAAGGAATGCTTATACATTGTTGGTGGGGATGTAAATTAGTACAGCTTCTGTGGAAAGCAGTTTGGAGATTTCTCAAAAAAAAAAAAAAAAAAAAAAAAACTACCACTGGACCCAGGAATCTAGGTGTGTACACAGAAGAATATAAATAATTCTACCAAAAAGATATCTGAACTCATTCGTTTGTTGCAGCAGTATTCACAATAGCAATAACATGGAATCAACTCAAGTGCTCATTAGTAGTGGATCGAGTAAAAATAAAATGTGTGATACGCATTCACCATGGAATACTATGCAGCCATTGTGAACAACAAAACCATGTTCTTTGCAAAATATGGATGTAGCTGAAAGCTACTTTGCTTCCAGATGGCTCTCTTCTCACTGTGTCCTCACGTGGTCACTCTCAGGTCTGTGTGTTGTTTTTGTACAGATTGCTTATGAAGTCATTAGTCCTCTTGGATTAGAGACTCATTCTTATGACCTCATTGTATCTTAATTATCTTAGTGTCCAGATCTCCCAATACAGATAAATTGTTAATTCAGTTATAACGTGAAAATTCAGGGTGAACACAATATAATTTGTAACAAAGGATCAGGGATCTCTTTGGCTTCTCGATGGATCATCTGCCAAGGGGCAAGGGGGTAATTTTTACAATGATAGGCGCATAGCTCTTAACACAAGACAGAATTACCCTGTTGAATGCTTCATTCAAATGACATGTTAGGGAGGAGGCCAGTTGGATGATAAAGCTTTGGGAATGAACATTTAACAGCACAGGATCTAAAATGCAGAAGAAAAGAACCTCTGATGCAAACTTTCTGAGTGGAGATAAACTGTCTGATATCCTGCAGATTAATAAAACCAGAAACTTCATCTGCCCCCTCTAATAGAAATCTACACATTAACACAATTTCACTATATGAAGTTTCCAGAAGATGATGTGGAGCTTGCAGGTGAGCTTCATTTTACACTTTCCGCCTATTCATTTCTGTGGGAGGACTTACTTTCCCTCTTTCAATTTTCTCATGTGCTGTTCATGTCACACCCTCTAATTCAAGGCTCCAGCCCACCTTTCCTGCCAACACCAACACTCTCTGTAGATGAAAACCCACCAGTCAGCAGCCTCCTTGGCCTGAGAGAGGTCATCTTCCTGGGTTTCTAAGACTCTGGTCCTGCCGAGATTCTCCTTCCTCAATCCTAATCCCGTGGTCTCTGGCAGCCCCTTCACATGGACCTCATCGCTCGTCTCTGTGTTCCTCCAGCTATATCCACGTCAGAAACTGCTCTTCATCTGCACTAGAAATAAAGAATTATCCTCTCAACTCTTAAATGTTTGCTCTGATTCTCTCCTCTTCTTTGAGCTCAGGCACACCACCCCCTCTCAGATTCCTGAGTGTGGCAGTGTCCCCTCTCCAGTCTCCCTACCACCTCCAATGGTGAAGGCGAAGAAAGGATGTCCCTGCATGTATCACATCCTCATCCTTCCCTTCAGGGTCAGCTCCCTGGGTAGGGAAAACACTGTTCCCTTGAGGCTCACATACCCACTGTCAAAAAGCACCCAGCACATGGTAGGCACTCAATAAACCTTTACCAAATGCAGACCTGCCTCTCACCACACTGGACACATTGTAGTGAGCTCAGGATGGGGCTAAACTGGGAGTATTAGCTGTAAACTTGCTCCTCTCTCTGTCCCCAGCCTGAGAGCTGAGGGGGCACCCACGAGGGAGAGCACCTAGGGGCAGGGAGGGGTCACAGGCAGCCTCATCCTCTGTGTGAGACACTGCTCAGACTGGGGGATCCCTCTTCATTCAGATGGGAAGAAAAGGGAAACAAAATTCGGTAGGAACTTCTACGCATCCACACAGAGGAGGCAATGACAAGAAAACACAGGATGCAAGCACAGTGGTAATAATGTATTTCTACCTAATATTGAATAAAACTCAATATTGCCTGTATTCTGTAAACAATAACTATTTACAAAACTGACTGTAAATTATGCTTTTAAAAACCACAGCTTATGAAGAAGAGAAACCTCAAACAATGACACCCCTGAATTGCAAATCTAAGACATGGCACACATTTATTTTCAGTTCCATATGTGGCCTGGATTTATTTACAAGACAATATTATGATATTATATGTCACTATTCCATTTTAGATGGTGTATTTAAAATCTCACAGTACTGCAACTGCCTAGTAATCTACTCATCAGTATAAACATCAATGTGACAATCCTGCTATCCTTCTCTACCCCTGCATAACCCCAGCAAAAATTCATTATGAATTCACAGAATGTAATATCAGAACTGTTGTAGCCACATACACAGTTTGTTTCATTTTATGTTTTGATAAAGTAATCTTTTTTGTTTAAGCTTATTGTTTTTTAAAAAATATATTACATACTAGATGTCATTACAAATCAGAGATTAATAATTTCTCTTATGCTTATACTACTCCCACAGCACTCATTACTGAATGTAAACCATATTTATATTTTCTTTCTTTTTTTTTTTTTGAGACAGGGACTCACTCTATCACCCAGGCTGGAGTGCAGTCGCACAATCTCGGCTCATTGTAACCTCCACCTCCCAAGTTTAATTGATTCTCCTGCCTCAGCATTCTGAGTAGCTGGCATTACAGGCACCCGCCACCATGCCCAGCTAATTTTTGTATTTTTAGTAGCGATGGGGTTTCACCATGTTGGCCAGGCTGGTCTCGAACTCCTGACCTCAAGTGATCTGCCTGCCTCAGCCTCCCAAAGTGCTGAGATTACAGGCTTGAGCCACCTGCCTGGCTCCATATTTATATTTTCTAAACATCCTACTTGGAGTGGCTGATCCTACCAGCTACCATGTTTCCACCTCACCTGGGATCAAACACTGACAATTGGTAATTTTATCTCTTGCAGTCTTCAAATATTGAGCAAATTTGCCATTTTTGCTATTCAATAAAAATGCTGCAAAGTTATTTGCCATGCCACTGACTCTGTTCAGTGCTTGGAGGACAGACTCCTAGGAGTGAGAAGTTGACCACAGCATCTGAATAGCTATTACCCCAAGTCTGTGGAAATTAGAGAACAAAATTTTACCAGAAATGCCCCCCAGAGCTTCTCCCCATAACCTCACCACCCTTAGAGAAGAGAGCTCCTGTTCTCCTCAGTGCTGCAGGGTCCACAGAGGAGGAAGAGCTCTGGCCAGCAGGGAGGAGCCACAGAAGAAAGGACCTGGTGTCTCCCGTGACCAGGGTAGTGAGTCATGGGAACCAGTCACTGCTCTGGACTTGACCTGACCTAAGAGGACTTGGTATAGAGTCACCACTTCAGTCCTCACCAAGGAACATCCAAAAAGCCCTGGACAGATTCACCCTTAAGGAGACCAGTAAAGCATGAACTGCCCTGAGTTAATGAGAAGGTCACAAAAAGGGTCTGTCTGGCCTGGTGCTGAGCCTGGGGGCAGTGATCAGAGCAGGGGGAATGCACAGCTGGCTCTGGGGACATCTGGTCATCATGTCACAGGAGAGTGTGTCTGGATGTGGACACCTGGGGACATGAAGGGCTCATTACCAAGTGATCTAGGGGAGATCAGAGCTGCGATCAGCTAACTGCCTGCATGGTGCCCTCTGCTCAGTGATCACAGTGGTGAGCTCCTGATGCCCCGGAACACACAGTTTCACCCTTGCCTGCATCCCTGATATCCACGAGAGGGGCCTGACCCAAGGCCAGCGTGTCATCAGAAGGCTGGGGGGCTCTAATTTGCATGGATGGACCCTCATTCTCAGAGAATGAAGAGGGGAAGGGAGAGATTTGGGGAAGCTCTGTCTCAGCTGTGGGCACAGAAGGAAGGCAGGACTCAGGACAATCTCCAGCATGGTCTGGTTTCCTCTCCTCCTCACTCTCCTTGCACACTGCACAGGTGACTAGATATAAGGCCATGGCTAAAGCCCTAGGAAGCCCATGGGCCCTGCTTTCTCCTTTTGTCTCTCAACCCAGAATCACCATGACTGTTTCTCTCCCACTTCCAGGATCCTGGGCTCAGTCTGTGCTGACTCAGCCACCCTCAGTGTCTTGGGCCACAAGGCAGAGGCTCACTGTCTCCTGCACTGGAAGCAGCTCCAACACTGGGACTGGCTATAACGTAAACTGTTGGCAGTAGCTCCCAAGAACTGACCCCAAACTCCTCAGGCATGGTGATAAGAATTGGGCCTCCTGGGTATCTGACCAATTCTCTGGTTCCAAGTCTGGCAGCTTGGCCTCCCTGGGCACCACTGGGCTCTGGGCTGAGGACAAGACTGATTATCACTGCCAGTCCCGTGACATCTGCTGAGTGCTTGTACAGTGCTCCAGGCTTGCAGGGGAGTGAGACAAGAACCCCCTTCCTCCTTTCCCAGGAGGGTGAGTGCCCAGCAGCTACTGCACAGGCCTGGCCTGTGGCTTCTGCAGTTGCTGTTTCCCCAGTGGGCCTGGGAGCATCCAGGGCCCCACCTGGGAGTAGATGCTTCTCCTCCCCTCCGTCCTCAGAGTCACCCACAGCAGTCCCTTTCTAGGAAAAGGGCCTCCAGAAAACAGAATGTCCTGTACCCTGCAACTTGGGACACAGGGTCTCTGCTCTAAAGTCCAGGGGCTGGAGTGACAAATCCAGCAGTGAAATCTCAGATCTACATCTGATGGGGAACCTGCATCTCCATCATCCTTTTGCTATTTCCAGGAGTTTTCAAAGCAGTGTCTTCCTCTCACTGGTCCTCAGTGTGTTTTCCTGTTCTTTTTGTTTCAGCCTATTTTTTTTTTTTTTTTGAGATGGAGTCTCGCTCTGTCGCCCAGGCTGGAGCGCAGTGGCGCGATCTTGGCTCACTGCAAACTCCGCCTCCCGGGTTCACGCCATTCTCCTGCCTCAGCCTCCCGAGTAGCTGGGACTACAGGCGCCCGCCACCATGCCCGGCTAATTTTTTGTATTTTTAGTAGGGATGGGGTTTCACCATTCACAGGATTGTCTCGATCTCCTGACCTTAAGTGATCCGCCCACCTCGGCCTCCCAAAGTGCTGGGATTACAGGCGTGAGCCACCATGCCGGGTCTGTTTCAGCCTATTTTTTATGTGTCTTTTTATTGAGGAATAATTAACAAAATAAACCCCTGATATTTAAAGTGCCCAATTTTGTGTGTTTTAAGATATTTATACACCCTTGGATAATCACCACAATGAATCAGTGATTCCATCAGAAGAAATCGGTGACTGGTTCTGGCAGAATCCAGGGAACCCTATCTAATATCTCGTGAACTTCTACTTGGACTCAAGTAAGAAACAGGGCTCTGAGGCTCCCAGCCACATCTTGGGATCTAAAGATGCGTCGGCCTGTGCAAGGATTTTGCACGTTGCTGTGCTGCAGCCTGAGAATGGGTCTGTCTCGGGGTCTGCACAGGGGCAGTGGATTTCACAGTGGCTCTGAGGCTTACACAGGGCTCCAGGCCCATGGGAAAGTGAGACACAAATCTTCCCTCTGCTCTCTAGGCCTGGTGCAGTGATCCTGGCTGGAGGCTCTGATAAATCTAGCTCAGAATGTAACTTCTGTTGTGAACATCTGATTTTCCTTGGACAAATAGTTCTGACAATATCTTATTTCAGTTCGACTAGTATATCGATCCATTGCTCATACTTCTCATTCCATTCTTGCTTTCGCAATCGGTGGACCCTGTCCTGTGCCCACAGTTCTCTGCATCTCTCCCTGCTAGTCCAGCCTCCTGCAAAGGTTCAGCTCCCAGAAGAGACTCCTACATCCACTGCCCTGGAAGAAGCAACACTATGAGTAGAATGGCAAGATTTTGTCACATCAGCACTGGGGATAACTCATCACTACTCTGGGCCCATTGAAGCAATCACATACTCTCTGAACCTCAGTTTTCATTTTTGGCAGCATGTAACCCTACCTCAGCAGCTCTTGCTTTCAACATGGGGATGAGCTGAAGAAGAGGCTTGTAAATGACAAGTATCAGTCACTGTTCACCGTGCAGGGGTGTCTGTGTCCTTCTGTGTCAGGCTTTGTGCCAGCAGGGCTGTGCCCCGCAAACTCTTCCAAGGTCCTCCATGCAGTCTGTGTTCCCTCATCTGGCCACATTGTCTGGAAGTTAAGGTCACCTCCTCATGCACTGGAACAAGCAGCAGAGTCGAGTGGACAGCGTGGCCTGGCACCGCCAGCTCCTACGGGAGCCCCAGATGGTAATGCCTGCTGGTCTCCAGCTTGCAGGGTTCTGATTTTGGGCTCTTGCTCTAGGTCTGGCCACTTGGGCTTCTGCAATACTCTGGGATCCTGTATGAGGATGAGGGTGATGATCAGTGTTCAGGATGTGGAAAGAGCCCCAGGTTAACCCAGGACACCTGTCTCATGGGGACATGAGGCACAAGCCTCCCATCTGATCCCACAGCCTGGCCTATAGACTCACTTTAATTTTGTGTGACTGTCACCTGACTCAGGACATTCCTGCAGTCATTTTTTCCTCCAGGACTGATGGAATGAGGCCATTCCCTGGGTCTGTCGCCTCATATGCAGTCGACCTATATACTGGGCTTTCAGGATAAAACATTCCCAGCCTGGGCATTGCAATACAGACAGGCAGGTAGCTCAGACAGAAAATACTCTTGTTGATTCCAGATTTCTGGGCACATGGACTTGGTGTGTGTTTGTGTCCATGACTAAGGTCAGGTTTGGGGTTGGGAGTGAGAGTGGTCACCACATGGTCCAGGAAGAATGTGTTGTCAAAGATAAAATTCGTACACCTTCCTGCCCTTCCCTGTACCTGAGGCAGCTTCCTGAAGCCTGCAGGTTTCTGAGATTCTCCATAAATGGAGAGGAAACATCCCATAGAATGGATGGGTTTTTTTTGTCCCAGACAAAAAGACAAGACAGGACGAGGGTACAGATGTCAGCAAGGGTTAAACAGCAAGTATGCACTTGATCATGCCAAAGAATACTGAAATAGCTTTGAGGGTAATTCAGTGTCCTTGAGAATTAAAAACAAATTGGAGATTGAGGGCTTCAAACCCCCATTAGGTCCTTGTGCAAACAGATGCTGAATTCCAACCCACATTAAGAAAGAGGCTAAAAAGATGAGACAAAATCTCTGAAAGACAGGTGGAGGGGATTTCTGCAGTTTCTTGGTGCTTAAGAGACAGGGACCTGCCAGGCACTCACCTGAGAAATCCTGCAGGGTCACAGCACAGGGAAGGGAATGTGTCGGGTACATAAGATGACTTTGATGTTGAAAACACCACCTCTACCACTGATAATGGTTTTCATCATTCATACTTAGGTGCATGTACAACCTCTAGCAACCATAATTACCACAAAGGACAGGCATTGTGTAAACTTTTATGAGGTTCTGTGTTATAAAATAATTACACAAAATGTATAAATAATGTGGGCACTAATAAGGTGAGGTTATATGTTGCAATATCTGGGGTTCCTATTGAATTTATAGAATGTAAAACTAAATAGGTGCTAATGTAAAATGATACAGTTAGAAATACTTGATTCATGAAAAATAAAAAGTGAGCGAAAAGAAATAAAGCAAAAAGCCCAAATAAAATAAAGAGAAAGGTAAACTCACACACAATATCAGCAATTATATTCAATGTAAATGTGTTGATGAACCAGATAAAAATAATTTCCTTAAAATAAAGTTACTTGTGTGTTATATTTTAAAGGATGCTAAAAATACACTATGCAAACATTTACCTGCAGAAAGCTCTTGTGGTTATCTCGGTATCAGACCAGATAATTTCAATGAAAATTATTTACATCAGGAAATGTGGGACATTTTATGTATATAAAATGAAATATTTGACAAGAACACATAACAATTATAAAATACACATCAGTCCATGCATGGTGGCTCACGCCTGTAATCCCAGCCCTTTGGGAGGCCAAGGTGGGTGGATTGCTTGAGCTCAGGAGTTCTAGACCAGCCTGGGCAGCATGGCAAAATTTCATCTCTAAAAAGTACAGAAAAAAAAATTAGCCAGGCACGGTGGCATATGTGTCTGTAGTCCCAGATACTTGGGAGCCTGAGGTAGGAGGATCCCTTGAGCCTGAGAGGTGGAGGTTGCAGTGAGCCAAGATAGCGCCACTGCACTCCTGCCAGGGTGACAGAGTGAGATCCCATCTCAAACAACAACAAACAAACAAACGAACAAAACAAACCAAAAAAGCACACACAAATAAACAAACCAAAAAACATGTCCCTAATAATATAATCTATATAAAATATAAATTAGCAGGACTAAGGAAGAGAAAAGAATCAATTCCCAATTATAGTTATAAATAATAGCACACACTTCTATTAACTGAGTGAATCAGCAGAAAAAAAATTGCACATAACAATATGTGAACAACCTGAAAAACCAAATTCACCCACTGACGCCAGGAGCCCAAACCTGAGGAGTAGTTGGCTAATGAATATGTATTACTGAAACGATTGAATAAGTGCTAGAAGAAATAAATGAGGCATTCATTATTTTTACCCGATTTGATGCTTCTCCTCTCTGTCCTGTGAGCAGGGGGCACTCCCATGTCTATTCCTAGTCCCATTCTTATCCCCTCGTCTCTCTCCCCAAGACTGAGCTGCATTCTGCAGGGTGGCTCCCGTCCCCCTGGAGTAAATGACTGACGTGAGGAGCCCTGCCTTCCAGTGCTGCTGTTTTCATCGTGCTCTGGTTTGAATGTCTCCCTTCCAAAAGGATTTATACTTAATTGCCAGTGTGATAGTACTAAGAGGTAGGCCTTCAAAAGGTGATATAGTCTTGAACACGGAGACCTCACGGTTGGGATCAGGTCTCTTATATAAAGGCTGGAGGTAGCGGTGTGCTCTGTCTCTCTTCTTGCCATGTGAGGACACAGAAAAAAGGCACTTATCAGATGACAGTGCCTTGATCCTGAACTTCCCAGCCTCAAAAACTGTGAGAAGGCCAGGTGCGGTGGCTCATGCCTGTAATCCAAGCACTTTGGGAGGCCAAAGCAGGTGAATCCCTTGAGTCCAGGAGTTCGAGACCAGCCTGAGCAACATGGTAAAACCCCATTTCTATAAAAAATACAAAAATTAGCCAGATGCAGTGACAGGCACTTGTAGTCCTACCTAATCAGGAGGCTGAGGTGGGAGGATCACCTGAGCCTGGGAGGTCGAGGCTGCAGTGAGTTGTGATTGTGCCACTGTACTCCAGCCTGGATGACAGAGCGGGAGACTGTCTCAAAAAATTAAAAAATAAATAAATAAAAAATAAAACAGTGGGCGAGATAAAGAAAATGTGTTACTTATATACCACGGAACACTATGCAGCCATAAAAGAAAGTTATGTTCTTGGCAGCAACGTGGATGGAGCTGGAGGCCATTATCATAAGTGAACTAAGCCCCGAACAGAAAACCAAATGCTGCATGATCTCACTTATAAGTGGGAGCTAAACTATGAATATACCCGAACATACAGAAAGGAACAACAGACACTGGGAATGACTACCAGACCAAAAAAAAAAAAAAAAAAAAAGAGGATCCACCCTGTGGATCCTCTGCCCACTGCCTGGGTCATGAGGTTGTTGGGACCCCAAGCCTCCGTGTCATGCAATCAACAGATGTAACTAACCTGCATGTGTACCCTTTAAACTAGAATAGTAAGAGTAAAGAGCATTGAAAGAAAAAGTCAAGATCAGAAGCGAAGAAAATAATAAATGAAAAAACACAATCTATAGTTATCCAAACAATCCATGACTGTCACAAACACAGAACAAGGACCCAGTGGACAGAATGAGGCAGCCAAATACTCAACCCAACATGATACATAGGGAACACATTTTTCAAAACACCAAAAAGACACAATGGGAAAGGGAGAGTCTGGTTCAAGAAGTGATTTTGAGAAAACTGAATATGCACATGCAAAACACTGAAATAAGACCTTTGCATTGCACGATACACAAAATCAACACAAAATAAATTAAAGACCTAAACTCAATCTTGAAACTGCAAAGGTCTTATAAGAAAACATAGGTTGGGTGTATATTTTAGGAAGCCTGTATCTATGCACACAGGCTGCAAAAGGTGAAAAATAATCATAACACTAAAGGGAAAATTAGGGGAACTACATGCACAGACAATGCAATGGCTTGGCTATATATGTGTGTGTGTATGTGTGTGTGTTTTGTAGGGTGGAGGTTTGGATACAAAAATTACAGCTAACATGCAAATATAAACAAAGACACTAGTGACACTTTAGAACTTCTACAGGGGGAAAGAAACAATGAAATAAACAAACAAACAAAATGCATCCTAAAGACTAGGAGAGAATTATGGAAAGTCCTACCTCTGAAAGAGATTGTTATCTAACACCTACAATAAACTCACTCTACTAAATGAAAAACAACAAAAACAACAACAACAAATACCCAAGCTAAGAGGATCTGAATAGACATGTGTGTAAAGAAGACAGGAAATTGACTCACAGGTTAACAGTTTCTCAATATCACTAATCCTCACAAAAAAGTGAATCAAAACCATACTCAGGTACCATATAATTCCAGTTAAAATGAATATTGCAAAAGATAAAAATAAAAATTGTTGGAGGTGATGGCTGGTGTAGAATTGCAGGAAGGAAAACTCTTGTACGCTCTTTGTGGGAATGTAAATTAGTATACACACTATGCAAAACTGTTGGAGGTTCCTTAAAAAAGTAAAAGGTCAAAGTACAACCACCACTCCAGGTTAACAATCCCACCACTGGGTACACATTTAGAGGAAACAAAATCCCTGCATTGAAGAGGTATCTGCCTTCCCATGTGTCCTGAAGCACTAGTCACAATAGTCAAGATATGGAATCAACCTAACTGTCCATCCACAGATGAAGAGATAAAGGAACTGGATATATACATGATGGAAAGCATTTCAGCCATAACAGTTTGGGAAATCATTGATCTGCAGCCATGTGGAGAAACCTGGAAGACAATTAGGGGAAATGAAATGAGCCTGTTAGAGAGAGACCCATACTGCATGACATTAGGCAAATGGAATCCAAAAAACACTGTCTTCTAGAAGCAGAACTTTCAATAGGGGTTACTAGAAGCTGGAGAGAGGAGGGGGCCTGGGCAGGGATTGGTAATGGGTACAGAGTAACACTCAGAGGAGAGGAATCCATTCTGATGTTCTATTCCACAGCAGGGTGACCAGGGTCAACAATGTCTAGGGGAATTTTTCAAAAACAGCTGGAAAGGATGGTTCTGAATGTTCTCTCCACAGGGAAATAATAAGAAGCCAGACACCATGATTTGATCATGACACTACGTATACATATATCAAAATGTCCCTTGCACCCTCTGGTTATATACATACACTCTATAGTAATGAAACTGCCATCAAATGTTGGTAGTATTCATTCTAACTGGAGTGACATAGAATCTGAGTGTGGTTTTCAATCATGTTTTGGTGTGAATCGGCCATGTTGATAATCTTATCTTTTACCTGTGCATCAACCTCATGTCTTCAGGTCCTCTGCCCACTTTTACACATCAAATTCAAAACAAATTAACAATAACATGGCAAATATAACTAATCACACACACACAGAAAATGAAAACCACCACTCAGATTCCATCTCACTCTAGATGGAATGGATACTACAAAAAAAAAGTTGAAAAATATTAAAAGACAAAAAAACGATGGTGTGGATTTCCAGAGGGGGAACTTGTCTCCGCAGTTCGTAGGAACATAAACTAGTACACACACTAAAGAAACCACTTGGAGGTCCCTCCAAACCTTAAAACCACAACTACCATTTCATCCAGCAATCTACTACTAGTCGTATATACAGAGTACATGAAATCAAGCCATGGAAGAGATTATCTGCGTTCCCAGGTGGAATCCAGCACTATGCAGAATGGCCAAGATGAGAAATCAGCCGACCTGTCCATCTGCAGATGAAGGGATAAGGAAACTGTCCCATGCGTAGACACTGGAATACTCTTCAGCCAGAAAAATACAATGAATTCCCATCACGGGAGCCACACGGTTGCACCTGGAGGACATGATGGTAAATGAAATGAGCCAGGCAGAGACAGACAAACTTTGCATCCTCTCACTCATGCAGAAGCTGAGAAACTTTATCTCAAAGACCTAGAAAGCATAATCATGGTTACCAGAGGTTGGGGGGAAGAAGGGGAAGGGGCAAGGATTGGAAAGGGGTAGAAAGTTCCACACAGATGAGAGGAAGGAAATTCTGTTTTTCTATTCCACAGCAGGGTGACTAGGGTTAATAGCATCATTACATCTTCAAAACAGCTTGAAAGGAGGATACTGAAGCTTCTCGCCACAAAAGAATAAACAGTGGTACGAAATAACAGAAAAAATAAATACCCTGATTTCGTCATTCCACAATGTATGCAAAGACCAAAATGTCGCACTCTACCCTCTCATTGCATTCCTTTACTATTCAGCAAATTTGTTTAAAGAAATATAAATACATGATGCTAGAATTCACATGGGACCATGAATCACCCTGAATTTCTTCCAAAGCAATCCTGAGACATTCAGACTACATCAGATGCATCTCACCCACCGATTTCAAATTTCATGGAAAAACTGGGTACCTGCTTCCACACAGAGCAGTGGAACACAAGAGAGGGCCCAGAAGTAAACTCACACACCAAAAACCATCTGATCCTTGACAGAATCCACAACAATAAGCAAGGGGGAAAGGATGCCCTATTCAAACAATGGTGCTGGGATAAGTGGTTAGCCATATGCGGAAGAGTAACACTGGGCCCCGACCTCTAACCAGACACAAAAAGAAACTCCAGATGAATGAAAGATTTAAATGGAAGACCTCAAACTATTAAAATCCTGCAAGAAAACATACAAAATACCTTTCTCCACACAGGTTTTGGCAAAGAATCTATTTGGCTATGTCCCCAAAGGAAATGACAACAAAAATGGACAAGCCATGCTTAATACTCTAAAGAGCCACCACACAGCAAAATAAATTAGCAACAGAGTAAGAGACAGCATACAGAGTGGGAGAACATGTTCCCAAACTGCATCTGATCAAGGTCTAATATCCAGAATCTTCAAGGATCTTATGCCAATCATTCAACAAAAAACAACAAAAAAATCCCATTAGTGTATGGGCAAGGGATGTGAACACACACTTCTCATAGGACAATGTGCAAGTGACCAACAAAGAGGGAAACATGCTCAAACTCACTCATCAACAGAGAAATGCCAATCAAGAGCAGGTCGAGATACCATCCCACACCACTCAGAGCGGCGATGACTATGCAGACAAAGAAAGAAAGAAAGATACTGGCGAGGCAGCTGAGGAGAGGAAAGGCTGATATGGTCTTGGTGGGGGAAGCAAGCTAGTACAGACACTGTGGAAAGAAGTTTGGAGATTTCTCAAAGAACTTAGAACTACCATCCAACCCCACAATCCCTCTCCTGAAGATCTACCCAAGGAAAATATATCCTTCTATCCAAAAGACACAGGCACTTGTATGCTCACGGCCGTGTTATTCACAATGGTAAAGAAACGGAATCAACCTAGGCATCCATCAACAGTGGATAAGATAAAGAAAATATGGTATGTATACACCACAAAACACTACACAGCCCCCAAAAATCACATTTTTGGCAGCAACATGGATGGAGCTGCAGGTCATTATCCTAAGTGAACTCAAGGCCAGAACAGAAATCCAAATGCCACACATTCTCACTTATAAGTGGGAACTAAACTATGAATGCACCTGAACGTAAAGAAGGGAATGATTACATTAGGAATAACTACCAGACCAAAAAGAAAATGCAAATGGGAGGGAGGGGGCGTTGCGTCCTGAAGACCCACCTTGTGCGTCCTCTGCTCACTGCCCGGGTCATGGAGTTGTTGGGAGCCCAAGCCTCAGTATTATGCAACCAACAGATATAATTAACCTGTGTGTGTACTCTTTCATCTATAATAAAAGTAGAAACTATTACACACACACACACACACACACACACACACACACGAAGAAGCTTAAGAGCTACATAAACAAAAAAATAAGTAAAATCTATAGTTATCCAAACAATCCCTCACTGGCAAACACACAGAAACACTAACCTATGGACAAAATGAGAAAGCCAAAAATGCAGCCCAAAATTACATATGGTGAATGCATTTTTCAAGAGAACACCAAATATCACAACAGTGAAGAGAGAAGTCTGCTAATTGTCTTTGAGTAAAATGAATTTCTACCTGCAAAACACTGAAATGGATCCTCATGTTACATAAGACAAAAAAATCAATGCAAAATACAGTAAAGATCTCCACCCAAAACTGAAAACACAGGGTGTTTTCACACCCTAGAAGAAAACACAGGGTGAGCGTTTACTTCAGTGAAACTTTAATCTATGTACACAGATTGCCAAAAGGAAAGAAAACAAAAGGGAAAAGTAGGAGGAAGAAACCCACAGACAATGCGATCTTTTTTCCTTTTTTTTTGTGACGGGACACCAAAGTCACCACATGCACATGCAAATAGAAACACGCAGGACTATGGAAAGCTTTAGAGATGTTCCACAGGAATGAAACCAATGAACCGAAAGAGAAGGTGTCCTACAGATTTGGAGACAGATCTGAAAAACTGTATCTCTGAAAGCGGTTGTTATCTAACATGTCCAAGAAACTAACACCACTGTGTTTGGAAGCAACAACAACAACAAAAAAGACAAAACAAAACAAAAACACAACAACACATATGCTGAAGCAAAACTGGGCAAAGGCCCTTAATAGACATTTCTGAAAAGATGACATGAATTGACTAATGAGTCAAAAAGAAGTTGCTCAACTTTATCATTTCTCCCGCAAAGGTAAGTCCAAACCACAGATTCTCTGGGATTCTGGAGAATGTGAATTCTGACTCAGTAGGTCTGGAGTGAGCCTGAGATTCTGCGTTTCTAAAAGGTTCATTTCCCCACAAATCCACATTATGTGTATTAATATTACCAAGTAAATAAGAAAGGTCAAAAATAAAATGGCAAGCCATTAGTAGATAACCTTAGTCTTCCTCCTCATCCTCCTCCTCCACTGCATGGGTTAGGATGGTCCCCAGCATCCTGATCCCCCAGGTCACTGACATCAGCTCCCAAACTCATGCCAGGAATGTCCTTCCCTCTTCTTCCTTCAGGCCATAATGGGTATCTATTTTTCCAGCATCTTTCTCCCAATCTGTGCTGATTTAGCCACCCTCTGTATCTGCCTCCCTGGGACAAAGGGTCAAACTCACCAGCACTCTGAGCAAGAGCTACAGCAGCTGCCACATAGACTATCCCCAGCAGAGCTCAGTGATGGACACCAGGTTCACAATGCCAGTGGGCAGTGGTGCTGTTTACTGCATCCAGTGGGGATGGAGTGGTTGTCCAGGCACAGACAGATGGACAATCACACAGCAGGAACAAATGTACATTCTGAAATTTAACAAAGACAGAATAAGGGACTCTTGGGGAATAGAGGTCTCAATTGCAGACATAGTGAGTGCCTCAAAAATTAGAGAACTGGGGCCATCTCTGTCATGGCCCGGATTCCTCTCTCCTTCATCCTCCTCAGTCATCAAAGAGATTCCATTAGGGGGCAATCAAAGGATGCTGGGGCCTGCTACTAGCTCCCAAAAAACACCACAAGCATTTCAGCAGGGAGAAAAGAAAATGCTCACAAGGATGGGGTTAGATTTAGTTATAAACCAGATTGTGTGGCAGGAGGGAGGACATATCCCCCATCCTTTGGCCACTCCAAAATTGGGAGAGCTAATCTGGGGAAAGGCACCAACACCTATTCATTAGTGTCTCGGTCCTGTGTGATCATGGGTCTGTGTGAGTTCTCAGCAGCTGCCTCTCTCAAGGTCTCCCCACAGGACAGCAGGGTGAAACCTGGGGCAGGAAGAGAGGGGAAGCTGATTTGCATAAAGAACTTTTTTTATCCTATTGGGTCTGGGGAGGCATGAAAAGGCCCTGAGGAAAACAAACCCCAGCTGGGAAGCCTGAGAACACTTAGCCTTCATGAGTGTCCCCACCATGGCCTGGATGATGCTTCTCCTCGGACTCCTTGCTTATGGATCAGGTCAGGGGAAGGGACTCTATCCCTGGGGGACCACAGAAAACAGGGTCCAGGTTACTCTCATCCTCATGATCATAACTGTGTCTCTCCTGTTCGTTTTAGGAGTGGATTCTCAGACTGTGGTGACCCAGGAGCCATCGTTCTCAGTGTCCCCTGGAGGGACAGTCACACTCACTTGTGGCTTGAGCTCTGGCTCAGTCTCTACTAGTTACTACCCCAGCTGGTACCAGCAGACCCCAGGCCAGGCTCCACGCACGCTCATCTACAGCACAAACACTCGCTCTTCTGGGGTCCCTGATCGCTTCTCTGGCTCCATCCTTGGGAACAAAGCTGCCCTCACCATCACGGGGGCCCAGGCAGATGATGAATCTGATTATTACTGTGTGCTGTATATGGGTAGTGGCATTTCCACAGTGATTTAAACCTATGAGGAAGTGCAACTAAAACCTCTTTATATACTGAGAACAGTTCAGCCCTTACAGACAGGAGGGAAAGTGAGAGGGTGGAAATGGTCAACACGGTGAGTGAGGAGTCTCCTCGCCCCAGTCTCTGACGCAGGGGTTCACTGCCAGGTGCCTCACCCAGTCTCTCCCCGGGTGTGTCCACCTTCCCAGTGTGGCTTTTCCATGGCTGTGCTTCGTCTCCACTGAGAATAATGTGGAGGGAGAATTATCTACAAAATATATAAGCTCACAGTGAGTCACAGACACCCCAGTGCTCCAGGAAGACGCTTCTTATTCAAAGAGAATTAACAGGCATATGCTCACTCATTAATTTGACCATGGAGGCTGACTGAATATTTTATTTATCACTGAAGTGGGAGCATTTTCAAGGGGCTTGTTAAAAATGTAATTCTCTAACCTAAACCTACTAAGTCAGAAACTTGTGTTGGTGACAGATAGCCTGTATTTAACAAGCTGTACATGAGATTTTTATTAGCGTTAATGTTTGGGAAGAACCTACTTTTATTATCATAAAATTATTCATAAGGATCTCCATTTATAATGATGTCAGGTTAATATTCCATAATCCTACTCTCCTAAATTCCCATTCAAAGCCCCCAAATACTCAGAAACAGATTTTAAATCTCAAGCCATAGCAAAAATTATAACTTGATTTATGCAGACAGAGTAGGGAGGAATTTCTAAAACCGTAAGTTCCTAGGTGCCAGGTGTGCTGACTCATGCTTATAATCACAATACTTTGGGAGGTTGAGACAAGAGGACTGCTTCAAGCCAGGAGATTGAGACCAGTGTCTTCCACATAGCGAGAGTCTATCACCACGAAAGAAAAAAAAAAGATATAAGTCCCTTCAGGAATTTCCAAAAACTTGTTTCCTTAGGGTATATTTAGTGGTCCATATGAACATCTGTTACTGAAAACCATCCCGTAGAGGACTGGCTTCCAGAATCCCTTCTCCCTCCCACTGAGCTCACCTACCTGTGGCTCTGGCTCTCAGGGTCTTTATAGGACACAGGGCTCAGCCTCTTATCACCGATTGTTCCACAGGATCATGGTTCCACTGAGATCCTCTCAGCATAGATACGTACCTGTCCTGAACAGTGTCTTTTAACATAATGTTGGCAAGATGGGAAGGACTAAGGGGTGACGGAGCCTTGGAGCCACCAGAAGATGGCAGTAACCTCACTGCTGAGCTTTGCTAGGCCAGACTCAGGCTCCCACCCTCCTCCCTTCCTCTGACTCTTTCTTCTGGCCACCCGGGGTCCAGGAGCTTTTTCCACTCAATCTGGGCTCAGGGGTCACCTCAGAGAACCTCTCAAGACAAAGGAGGTGCTTCAGGGGATCTAACACAAGTGAGGGCAGATTTTAAGACTGTCCATGCACAGAAAATCCTGTGAAAAGAAACAAACCAGCCCTACTTGTGTCTGCGCACCTGAGTCCTTAGGACTGTTTTCTCCTGATCTCCTGGCTGAGTAAAGATTGCAAATGTGCGGTTCATTATCCAGATCCAGAGAAATCCATGAGAGTTTATGAAGACAAAGACGACAACTACCCTATCTACTTGTCACACAATGAAGACACTGGCCTTAGATCTGTCAGTGCCCTGGAACATTCTGGAAGAAGAGGGTGAAGGTTACTTGGCATACGTTGGGACTCAAACATGAGGATCTCATGATGACCCAGAGGGATAAAGGTGGGATCAGTTGTGAGGGTGGAAAATGTGGATTTCTTAAGGCCATTTTGTTAATCCTTTTCTCATTGCAAAGGATTTAAACTGAAATGAACACGATTTTTCTAATAAATGCTTATGAGGCTTTCCATTAAATTTAATCATATTTCCTGCCTTTATGAAAATAAATATAGAAATAAAATATACTTCCATAATGCATTACTGATTGTGTATCTTTAAACTAGAGGGAACCATTACTTCTAAAGAAAAATTACTAGGATTGTTTGCATTTTAATCTGGGATCCTACATGATGGCTACAGATACAGCTGTTGTTCAAGGTTTTAGCCTGGAATCTCTGCCAATTCAATAACGGAGGCAATAAAAATAGACACTAGTATTATAAAGACAGAATTCATTTATTTTGAAAGTTTTGAAAGCTATGAATATCTACCAAGAATAAAATAAATTGTACTGAAAATATATTAGAATGAATTAAAAAATGCCAAATTCACAACTAATAAAATTTATTATAAAGTTAAAAATTCTTATATTTTTCTGTCTCAGTATAAAAAATAAACATTTAATGTATCTATTAGAAAATAATTAGCAATTTTGTAAATGATATCAAAGAAAATTTGAACAAATGGTGAAATATTTTCTTATCTGCGGACACCAAATTAAAAAAATTCAGGCCAGGTGCAGTGGCTCACACCTGTAATCCCAACTACTTTGGGAGGCCAAGGCAGGAGGATCTCTTGATCCAAGGAGTTTAAGACCAGCCTGGGCAGGGACGGGTGCAGTGGCTCATGCCTGTAATCCCAGCATTTTGGGAGGCTGAGACGGCAGATCATGAGGTCAAGAGATCAAGACCATCCTGGCCAACATGGTGAAACCCTGTCTCTACTAAAAATACAAAAATTAGCTGTACATGGTGACGCATGCACTCCTGTAGTCCCAGCTACTTGGGAGGCTGAGGCAGGAGAATCACTTGAACCGGGGAGGCGGAGGTTGCAGTGAGCCAGATCGCACCACTGCACTCCAGCCTGGTGACAGAGCGAGACCCCATCTCAAAAAAAAATTAGCCAGGCATGGCTTCATGTGCCTATAGTCCTAGCTACTAGGGAGGCTGAGGTCGGAGGATTGCTTGAGCCTGGGAGGTCGAGGCTGCTGTGAACCGAGATTGTGCTACTGGACTCCAGCCTGGGTGACAAAGTGAGACCCTGTCTCAAACAAACAAACAAACAAAAAACCAAAAAAACCCCAAAATAAAACAAAAATTCAACAGCATGTAGATTAGTAATGTTAGTGCTTTATTTTTAAAAATTATTGTTAACTTATATGGGTTTTCCTCTGAGAAGGTGCACTGGAAGGTGTCAGCAGAGCAGATAGCACAAACTCCTCAGATTTCAGAAGCAGGGGTTTATGGTAAATGAAAAATGCCAGTCACTTGTCAGCATGCACAGGTGGCTATGCCCGCCCTGTGTCAGGCTCTGTGTCAGTAGTAGGGTGCTCCATGCGTCCTTTTCAGAGTCCTACATGCCATCTATGCTCACTCAGCCAGGCCTGTCACCTGGAAGTAACAGGCAACTCCTCCTGCACTGGAATTAGCAGCAGAGTCAGGTGAATAATGTGGCCTGGCCACACCACCTCTCAGCAAATGTCCCCAGTGGTGATGCCCGATAGTTCCCAATCCTCCTTAAGTAATTAATTCACTTCAATTGAATTAAAAAAATCAATCACTTCCCTATGACACACAAGGACATTCACTCTCTGGCTTTAACTATCCTTGCCTGCCTTGTTATTATCATTCCATGTGCCCAATACTGTCAAAAGATGTATTTTTGCCATACCCTCCACATGCATTTCATATGTGTGATTTTTATTTTCAAATTCTATATCTCTTCTAGGAATATGGTGTGTTTTATTTGTCCTGCTGCAGGACTCCCCTCTCCACTCAGATTAAATTATTAAATTCCAGATAAAAAATTAACTTGGAATACTGTTGAATCAATAGTAGAAGTAACCAAAATAATAAAGATATTTCAAAATGAAGATTGATTTTTAAAAGTAAAAATGTCACATACTCCACCTAGAAGATAAGAGACTGTACTACAAATTCATTAGAACATCCCCTTCATGTCATGGGCCAGTCATGTCCCTGAACTTAACCTCTGTCTTCTCGGGTGATGTTACAGGCCAATGCAGCATCAGCTGCCCACACTCCTAGTGGTGGAATCTGGGAGCACAGGCAGGAGTCTGCGCCTGTGGCCTTGGCTGGGTGAAAGATGACATTTCCAAGACTTCTTGCTTGGCAGCCATCCTCACGTGCAGGTGGTCTGGCAGCAGCACTGCAAAACCCAGGCAAGGGATGCCCCACTGCAAGGCCCAGTGGTAACTGTGGTGGCCATTGGCATTGGGGGCAGATGCAGCCATGTGAGTTGGTGGGCTGTGGCAGCCACCCTAATGATGGTTTCCACCCCTCCCAGCTGGTGGTGGCTAAAACCACCCGGTAGGAGTTTCAAAAGCAGTGGCACCATTAAGCGGAGCTCCTGGAGGAGGACTGGAAGCAACTGCTTGCATTGAAGGAATGTAGCTATAGTGGAATTATTGAACCACATCATATTTGCAAAGATGCAGAATGTATTACAGATTACGAGATATGGAAGTTGAGGTTAATCTGGTAGAGAGCAGTGAATATGAGGAGGAAGCTCTCTATTGGGCGGGTGCTATCATAGCTGCAGAAGGTGATGGTGCAATGCTTCTGCCAGTGAGTAAAGTCTTGTACAAACTTAAACCAGTTACGGGGTAAAATCTGATCCAGGACTACCTGAGGGTCACTTATGTTGGCCTGTTCAATACACACATTTCTTTCCAGGAGCCTTACCAAAGGTCTATAGTAGTGAGTTCAGTATGGAGGCAGTAATCAGATCATATCTGGAAGGAACTGGCATAAACTCCAATCCTGTGGGACATCATGGACAGCAACTAAATTCGAATCAACAGAGTAGAGCCCTTGACATTGGACAAGTTCGTGGTGAAAGATCTGAGGCTTTAGGACTCCGACATTTGTGAATGACAGCACTAAATGAAGTCTTTACTGGTGAACGTCTATCCAGAATACCTTATGCTTGGGCTGTGGCAGTGGATAATTTAAGTAGACCCACTCTATTTATTTATTTATTTTGAGACGGAGTCTTGCTCTGTTGCCCAGGCTGGAGTGCAGTGGCGTGATCTAGGTTCACTGCAAGCTCCGCCTCCCAGGTTCACGCCATTCTCCTGCCTCAGCCTCCCAAGTAGGTGGGACTATAGGCACCCATCACCACACCTGGCTAATTTTTTGTATTTTTAGTAGAGACAGGGTTTCACCGTGTTAGCCAGGATGGTCTCGATCTCCTGACCTGGTGATCCATCCGCCTTGGTCTCCCAAAGTGCTGGGATTACAGGTGTGAGCCTCTGCGCCTGGCTAAGTAGACCCACTCTAAAAGACTGGTTTCTTACTGTGAGATTTCAGTTGGTAATGGTCCATGGGAAAAATGGAAGACTTCAGGGCTCAATTTGTGAACTGGAGCAAGATCAAAGGCAACAGGGTTGCAAGTCAGGCTGTGGAGCATGATTAAAATATTGCAAATGACAAGGACGTTGGAGTCTTGCATTCAACTGTAAAATGACAGAATAACAAATAAATATAATGAATCATTGTTCTAGAGTCCAAAAAGGGCCAAAAGTAATTTTCAGTATTCAAGAACTAAAAAGCAAGCAGTTTTCTCGAGCACCCATGAGCATTGTTTCTCCTGAGAGATTTGTCCTCGTTTTCATTGCTGGAACACCTGCATGGTTGTAGATGGAGGAATGTCTTTTGATGTTCCTATTTTTATATCAGACAAGCTTTAAAGCAACAACAGTTATAAAAGACAAAGAAGGAAATTTTATAATGATAAAAGGATCGGTCCAACAGAACAATATCACAATCCTAAATATATATGCACCTAATACTGGAGCTCCCAAATTTATAAAACAATTATTACTAGACCTAAGAAATGGGATAGATGGCACCACAATAATAGTAGGGGACTTCAATACTCCATGGACAGCACTAGACAGGACATCAAGGCAGAAAGTCAATAAAGAAAAAATTGACTTTAATTATATCCTAGAACAAATAGATTTAGCAGATATTTACCTAACATTCTACCCAACAACTTCAGAATATACCATATTTTAATCAGCACATAGAACGTTCTCCAAGATAAATCATAAGATAGGCCACAAAACAAGTCTCAACAAATTTAAGAAAATTGAAATTATGTCAAGTACCTTTTCAGACCACAATGGAATAAAACTGGAAATTAACTCCAAAAAGAACCCTTAAAACTATACAAATACATGAAAATTAAATAATCTGCTCCTGAATGACCTTTGGGTTAACAATGAAATCAAGAAGGAAATTTAAAAATTGCTTGAACTGAACAATAATAGTGACACAACCTATTAAAACCTCTGAGATACAGCAAAACTAAGAGGACAGTTCATAGCATTAAATAGTCTGAAACAGCATGAACAGACAATCTAAGGTGACACCTCAAGGAACTCAAGAAACAAGAACCAACCAAACTCAAACCCAGAAGAAAAGAAATAACAAAGATCAGAGCAGAACTAAATAAAATTGAAACAAAAAATACAAAAGATAAATGAAACAAAAACTGGTTATTTGAAGAGATAAACAAAATTGACAGACCGTTAGTGAGATTAACCAAGAAAAAAAGGGAGACGATCCAAATAAGCTCAATTAGAAATGAAATGGGAAATATTACAACCAATACCACAGAAATATGAAAGATATTCAAGGCTACTATGAACACCCTTATGCACACAGACTAGAAAATCTAGAAGAGATGGATAAATTCCTGGAAAATAAGTTATTATTTGAAAAAGACACTTGTATGGCCGGGCACGGTGGCTCATGCCTGTAATCCCAGCACTTTGGGAGGATAAGCGGGCGGATCATCTGAGGTTAGGAGTTCAAGACCAGCCTGGCCAACATGTTGAAACTCCATCTCTACTAAAAATACAAAATTAGCTGGACATGGTGGTGCATGCCTGTAATCCCCGCTACTCTGGAGGCTGAGGCAGGAGAATCGCTTGAACCCAGGAGGTGGAGGTTGCAGTGAGCCAAGATTGCACCATTGCACTCCAGCCTGGGCAACAAGAGCGAAATTCTGTCTCAAAAAAAAAAAAAAAAAAAAAAAGAAGAAAAGAAAAAGACACTTGCACACATGTTTATAGCAGTACAATTTGCAATTGCAAAAATATGCAAACAGTATAAATATACATCAACCAATGAGTGAATAAAGAAAACGTTATTTTTTTATTTTTAGACGGAATTTCGCTTTTGTTGCCCAGGCTGGAGTGCAATGGTATGATCTAGGTTTACCGCAACCTCTGCCTCCTGGGTTCAAGTGATTCTCTTGCCTCAGCCTCCCGAGTAGCTGGGATTACAGGCATGTACCACCACGTCCAGCTAATTTTGTATTTTTAGTAGAGACAGGGTTTCTCCATGTTGGTCAGGCTGGTCTCGAACTCCTGACCTCAGATGATCTGCCTACCTTGGCCTCCCAAAGTGCTGGGATTATGGGCATCAGCCACTGCACCCAGCCAAAAATGTGATTTTATATATATATATATAATATACACCATGAAATACTACTCAGACCTAAAAAGGAATAAAATAATGGAATTTGCAGCAACCTGGATGGAGTTGGCCTCGTTTACTACTCTGGGTTTCTGTCTGAGGATGAGGGTGATGATTGCTGATCAGGATGCGGAAGGAACCCAGTGCTAACCCACAGCATCTGCCCCACAGGGAAATAAGGCACAAGTCTCTTGTTTGATCCCACGCTATGACCTCTAGACCTACTCTTCCCTCTTGTCACCAAAACCACAATCAGGAAAAATTTCTGCAGGCATTTCCCCATCCTGGAACAAGGATCTGAGACTCTTCACTGAATTTGTGACCTTCTATCCAGCCAATATTTATACTGAGCTATTAAGATTAACATCTTAGCCTGGTCATTGCCACACAGGCAGGCAAGGCAGCTCAGGTGGAAAATACTTTTGGTCATCCCATGTGTCTGGGCATATGGCCTTGATGTGAGTTTATGTTCATGCTCAGGACAAGTTATGGGTCAGGGGACTAGTCAGCTTATGGGCCAGGAAAAGGTGCTAAGGTTTGTGGAGTCAAAGAGGGAATTCACACATATTAATGCTCCTTGTTTCCACCTAAGGCAGTTTGTGAAGTCTGTGGGTTCTGTGACTGTCCACAAATGGAGCAGGAACATTCCTTAGAACGGATGATTGGGACCCCACAAAGGAAAAGACAAGAGGAAGCACAGGCTACACAATGAAAATACACTTGGTCATGCCAAAGGCTAGGTCATGCCAAAGGCTAATGAAAGAGCTTTGAGTATAATTCAGTGCCTTTGGGGTTGAGTGGAAAATACAAAAACCATCTTTGCCCTGCTCTCACACCACAACAATCAACACGTTTCCATGACCAAATGTGTAGGATTTCTCCCCACCCCCTAGAAAGCAAGCCATTGGTTTTGCAGCGGACACCACACAGGTGCCCTCTCATTGAATGCAATTCTGACACTATCCACATGGAGACAGGGTCAGATCTTACAGTTTGAGGGCTATTTCCCCAAGACTGTGCCCCACTACTTACGCCAATCCCAAGCCTCAGATTGCTTTACCTGTGCTTCTGTCCAAATAGCTGTAAGTTGAAGATTTCACAACATCTCCTTGGCTTCTATTAATTTGCTAGAATGGCTCACAGAGCTCAGTAGACACTTACAGGTTTATTAAAAAGGATACAACCAAGCATATAGATGAAGACATGCATAGCACAAGGTATGGGAAGTGGTGCACCACCGTCCAGTAATCTTCATGTGTTCAGCCTTCCAGAAGTTCTCCCAGCCTAGCTCCATTTGGGTTATTTTATGGACGCTTCCTCACCGAGGCTTTATGGAGTAAACCACTGCCCATTGGTGAATAATCGGCAGCCCCTCTCCCCTCCACAGAGGTTGGGAGATGAGGCTGAAAGTCCCATCCCTCTAACCCTGCCTTGGTCTTTCTTGTGACCTGCCCCCATCCTGAAGTTACCTAGGGACTGTCAGCCAACAGTCATCTCATTAGCATACAAAAAGACTCTGGTGATTTTAAGTATTTTAGGAGTTGTATAACAAGAAATGGGGTCAAAGACCAAAACCATAATTTATAATAACACAGGGATGAAAAAGAAAGTAGAGGTTGATGATTTCAAGCCCACACTAGTCCTCATTATGACAGATGTGGATTTCCAACCCATAAGAGGCAGGAGGCTGAAGAGCTGAGACGAAACCTGTGAAAAGCAGGGACAGGGGACATTTCTCAATTTCTTGTTACTGAAGTGATAGAGCTCCACCAGGCCTCACTTGGATTGACAAACTAAATTAAAAGATACACTCTTTAAATAAAAAGCACTTCTGAGCATACATCCAAAAGAATGAAAATCAGGATATTGCAGAAATATTTGCACATTTTTATTCATGCAGCATTAATCACAATTTCAAAGACATGGAGACAGCATAAGGTCCACTAATCATTGAATGTTTACAGAAAATGTGGTGTATAGCTGCAATGGATGCTGTTCAAATTCAAGAAGAATTAGGCCGGGCACGGTGGCTCCCGCCTGTAATCCCGGCACTTTGGGAGGCCAAGGCGGGCGGATCACAAGGTCAGGAGTTCAAGACCAGCCTGACCAATATGGTGAAACCCCGCCCCTACTAAAAATACCAAAATTAACTGGGTGTGGTGGCAGAAGCCTGTAATTCTAGATACTCAGGAGGCTGAGGCAGGAGAATCTCTTGAATCCGGGAGGCAGAGGTTGCAGTGAGCTGAGATTGCGCCACTGCACTCCAGCCTGGGTGACAGAGTGAGACTCTGTCTCTCAAAAAAAAAAGAATAATTAAATTTTGCCATATGCAGCAACAGGGAAAACCCTGGAGGATATTACACTGAGTGAAATAAGCCAATCTTAGAAGGGGAAATGCTGCACGGCCTCATTTATATGAGGTATCTAATTTTTTTTTTTCGAGACAGAGTTTTGCTCTTGTCACCCAGGTTGGAGTGCAATGGCGCGATCTCAGCTCATTGCAACCTCCACCTCCCGGGTTCAAGCGATTCTCCTGCCTCAGCCTCCTGAGTAGCTGGTATTACAAGTGCCTGCCACCACACCTGGCTAATTTTTGTATTTTTAGTAGAGACACAGTTTCACCATGTTGGCCAAGCTGGTCTCGAACTCCTGACCTCAGGTGATCCGCCTGCCTCGACCTCCCAAAGTGCTGGGATTACAGGCATGAGCCACCACGTCCGGCCTATAGGAGGTGTCTAATATACTCAACCGAGCAGAAATGGAGTAGAATGCTGGTTGCCAGGGGTAGGGAGAGAAGGAAATGGGGAGTCACTGCTCAAGGGCTATGAAGCTTTAGGTTTGCAAAATGAACAAGTTCTAGAGATGTGCTGTACAACACTGTGCTTACAGCTGACAACACTGTATTATGTACTTAAAATTTTATTCAGAGGGTATATCACACATTAAACGTTCTTATTAACATGAAAAAGGGATAGAAAATACCATGAAACCACTTACAGAAAGCAAGTATGGCAATCCTCTGTCCTTTGTCTTGGGAGAAAGTTTTGGCCAAGAGACAATTTAGGCAAAAAAGAGAATTTACTGAAGAAAAACAGAGAGCAAATAGTTTATTTAGAGAGACAGTGTACTCTGGAAGATAAGGCAGAGCGGGCTGCTGATAGAGAATGAGCCAGCGGCCCGAGAAATGTGCACTGAGTTTTTATGATATTGCACTTTTTCTTGGAGTTCCCACCTCTGTTTTAAGTCTCCACCTTTTTTTCTTTCTCTAGTTTTTCTGCTTCAGCCTTAAGTCCCTGCCTTTTCCCCACATAGTTTCCAGCCCAGGCTGTGGGACCCTCCCTTAACACACACATGGGCCCAGTGTTTGATAGGAATTCTACCTAATGGCTGCATTGCTCATTACTGCCACCCCAGGAAGGTTGTATGGTGGTCAAATCTATACTTACTGTACCTGCATCTCTCTTAGAAATTTCTCCTTTGCTCTCACCCCTATTATCAGCATGCAGCTAGCTACATTCTGACAGGTTAACTTCAGAGTGAGTGAATACTGGGTGTCTTAAGGGGCTTTGTTCTGGCATAGGTATTTACCCTAATCTCTGTTCGTATCTAGCATGTGTGCTTTGGGTGGTCTCTGGGGTGTGAGATTTTCCAGAACTCCCTTTTCTCAGGGGCTGCCCCTCCTGCTTCTGTCTAGCTATCTGCCTACTCTAAAGTTAGTATTAGTATGAAAGCTTTTATGAAAAACATTTTTTTCCAAGAAAAGGGAGGCATTTTATACTGGTGAAATAAGGTGTTCAATGACAACACATAACAACTGTAAATTGTATGCACCTAATAAAATAGCTTTAAAGTATTTGAAGCAAAACTGTCTCTTTTAGCAGAATTAAAAAGAGAAATAATCAATCCATAATCATATACACAGATATTAATACAACTCTCTTATTAACTGAGTGAATGACATGGAGAAAAAAGAGTATACATACAAATACGTGAAAACCATGATTAACAAAATCAATCCAGTGACACCAGGAACCCAAGCCTGAAGGGTAGTTGCTTGAGTATGCATTCATGGATGAACGCATCCAATGAATCATCACAGGAACAAACAATTGAGGCCTTCGTTTATGTATTTCTAACTGATGTTAAGTTTTTCCTTCCTATTCTGTGAGTAGAGGTGGATCCCTGTGGAAGGAGCTGCCCGGGTCTTTGCTCCAGAAGCTGTCTGCATTCTCCCCTCACTGTAGCCTCGTCACATTAGGCCATTGTTATATTTCCCATATGTCCTTCTTCTAGTAATCCAGGAGCCCTCAATGAAAAGGCTGTTTATTAATACCAGTAGCTCAGGACAGAGCAGGGGCATGGCTCATGGATGGTTTGGACCAGGCCCTTAGATGACTGCACTCACATGATTCCCACTGAGACTGCAGTCTGGCCAGTGAGCAGCAGGGGCACTGTGGGTCTGTCTCACGGTCTGCACAGTGGCTATTCATAGCTGTGCCAACCCCTAAACTCCCCAGGGCTGGGCAGTGGAGCCTGCACTCACTGAAGCCGACTCAGCTGCTGCATCTTCTCTGGGTGTGGTTCCAGCACCCACTTCCTCCCAGGTCCTGCCAGACTCTCTCATCCACCAGTCCCCAGGTCTTGAATAAATGCATAGAGTGGGGTGGGGGCAGGCAGTGGGTGGGACACATTTGCATCCATAACCCTTCCTCTGTGAGGCCAGTGGAGGGGATAAGAGAGGCCTAGGGCAGCCACTCCAGCTCTGGACCTCGGGAGGGCTGTGTCCACCATGGCCGGGGCCCCTGCTCCTCCCTGCTGCTCCCCTCTCACTTATCAGGTAGGGACAGGCCTCAGATTCCTGGGAAAGCCTCCCAGTCTGAGTTCTTGCCCCGTGTTCCACTCTCACATTTCATCCCTGCTTACTCACCCATGAGCATTTGTGTTTGCAGGTTCCCCCCACCTCGGCCTGTTCTGACTCAGCCACCCTCCCTCTCTGCATCTCTGGGAAATTCTGAGGCTCACATTTACCCTGAGCTGTGGCTTCACTGCTGGTGGCTAGCACATATCCTGCTACCAGTAGCATCTAGGGAGTGCTCTCTAGTATCTCCTGAGAGATGATATATCTCCAGTGGGATAGATATCTCAAGAGTGGGCTCCTGATAAAAGGATAAAGTTCAACCCTATTTACTCATTTTCACACTCTTCTTTGCCCTTTTTCCCTGAGATAATGCAGCAGAAAGACCCTTGCCAGATTTCAGCATCTGCTTGTGGACTTCTAAGGTCACAGAAATCTCAACCAAATAAACTTTTAGTCTCAGTAAGTTACCCAATATATGGTATTCTATTGTATCAGAAGAAAATGGAGAAAATGGACTAGGACAGCACGTGTAGAACAGTCTGCTAATCTGACTCAAGTAAGCACCATGGCTCCAGGGTCCCCGGTCACTTTTCTAAATCTAAAGATGCCTCAGCCAATGCAGTAATTCTGCACATCTCTGGGCTGCAGCCAGAGGATGAGGCTACTACATATCTCAGCAGCCATGGCACTTCCACAGTGCTCCAGAACCCCAGGGAAGTGAGACTAGGACCTCCCCTGTGTTCTCTCTGCCTGGTGCAATCACCACTGTCCTGCCTGGGACCAACTCTGGCTCAGGGATTGATTCCTGTTGTTACTTTTTCAGCCAGTGTCTAATTTTCCTAGGATATATAGATGTAAAATGTGTTTTTTTCTTAAAATGTTAATTTGATATATTTTTCATATCTTTTCCCCTTATGATGCCTACAGTGGAGTAGGTCAGTTCTTAGAGCTAAGTTTCCCTCCAGGAAGATTACAGAAGAGGAAGGAGATGAATAACCTACACGTGCTGTCCTAGTCCATTTCCCCCATTTTCTTCTGATATAATAGAATATCATATGTTGGGTAACTTACTGAGACTAAAAGTTTATTTGGTTGAGATTTCCGTGGCCTTAGAAGTCCACAAGCAGATGCTGAAATTTGGCAAGGGTCTTTCTGCTGCATTATCTCAGGGAAAAAGGGCAAAGAAGAGTGTGAAAATGAGTAAATAGGGTTGAACTTTATCCTTTTATCAGGAGCCCACTCTTGAGATATCTATCCCATTGCCAGGATAAGGGCACTAATCCATTCATGATGGTGGAACCCTCATGACCTAATCACCTCTTAAAGGTCCTGCCTCCAATTACTTTTACCATGATAATTAAATTCTACCATGAGTTTTGGAGGGGATATTCAAACCATACACATGTCCAAACTAGGGCCTAGACCTGACTTAGAGATGTGTGTGGTCTGAGAACTTCTGATCAGCTGGTTGGTCCAGCATGCCCCAACCCCAGCTCCACTGACCAGCTCCAGGAGTGAGTGAGGTCACCTTCCTCACAACTGCTCATTCCAGCCTGTCTCTGAACTGTTCACTCCTCTTGAGGTTCAGAGGATGCAGGTCTTTGTGGTTCCAGGGATGTTGGGCAAACAGTCTTTTCCACAGTGGAATATGACTGTGCTTGTGACTTCGCAGTGTGCAGAGGACACTCAGCACCTGCCTCTCCCCACCGACTTTGTCAGGCCCATGATTATCACCCTCTCCTTCATCCCAAGTTCATCTGATACGCATGCCAAGATTTCAGTGAGGCTGGGGACACATAAGGATGATGATACTAAAATGAACAAGTTCCATTTCATAATAGTGGCAGAAGATCAGAGATCTGTAGGGGAGTTGTGCCCCCACTCTGAGTATTTAGGAAGCAACTCTAGGGACATCTTGCTCTGCTTCTCCCTTCTCTGCACAGGTGAAAGAAGGAGCCTGTGCAGACAATCGTTCATTAGAAGCTCCTGCCTTCTTCCTCTTTTCCACCCCCCAGGACTGGATGGGGCCTTTGTAATGGCTTCAAATTATAGTGAGAGTCAAACAAGACAATTGGTCAATGACTCCAACATCCCTCTCAGGGCTGCCTGACATGAGACAGGATGGATTGCATCTGATACACCCCCACCCTTCTTTCTTATCGGTATATTAGGTTTTTCTTATTGATGTGAACACACTCTACATTATACAAAATAAGTTATATTTATATTTCAAACCTGTGATGGTGATTTTTAAATTATAGTAAAAATATACATATAAAATTTACCATCTTAATCATTTTAGGTGTACAGATCATAAGTATTAACTATATTCACATTGCTGTGCAACAGATCTGCAGAAATTATCCATCTTGCAAAACTGTAGCTATTGAATAACAGCTCCCCATTTTCCTGCCTCTTGTGGTGGTTTTAAATACAATGCAATACATACTAGCTGAAAATGGAAAAAAGAAGTATATGAAAATGTTAAATGCATAGCACAAAAAATGAATAATAGGGTCACTTTGGTTATAACTTTAAATGAGAAAACTCAAAGTAAAACAACAATCTATGATATATCATATAAAATGCACAATTTAAAATTTTTAAAATTTAATATTAACAAAAATATATGTAATACACCACATAAGTATTCAATAAAACTAAATACAATTATGTTTAATTTTTTTAAACTGTGAAAAAGATCCTATTAACTTTTGAATATTTACGCAAGGAAACCAAGTACATCTCTTCTTGAAAAAGTTTGATTCCAATTGTTTTTTTTCTTTTTTGAGACAGAGTCTTGCTCTATCACCCAGGCTGGAGTACAGTGGCGCTATCTCGGCTCACTGCAAGCTCCGCCTCCCGGGTTCACGCCATTCTCCTGCCTCAGCCTCCCGAGTAGCTGGGACCATAGGCGCCCGCCACCGTGCCCAGCTAATTTTCTTTTGTATTTTTAGTAGAGACGGGGTTTCACCGTGGTCTTGATCTCTTGACCTCGTGATCTGCCCGCCTCGGCCTCCCAAAGTGCCAGGATTACAGGCGTGAGCCACCACGCCCAGCCAGTTTGATTCCAATTTTAACAGACAGGTGTTTTTGACAACCAGTTTATTTTCTTACTGAAATTTTCTTTTTCTTTTTTTTAAAAATTTTAAATCTTTAATTTCCGTTTTCACTTATTTTCTTCTTGCTTCCAAAAGGAAAGGAGTGCGTAGCTCTGTTGCCTGTACATCGTCCACAGCCCCCGGCTCGGGGCAGGGTCCCCTAGGCCGCCCGGGGGTCCACATGCAGCCCCTGGGGGGCCGGCGCGGGGTGAGGTCCGGGGACCGCCTTATTGCTGAGGTCTGGCCGGTTGGGGCCGCCGCTAGGCGCGCTGGCTGGGCAGCTCCTGGGAGATGAAGCGACGCAGGCGCTCCAGGTACTGGCTGTAGAGCTCGATGTCGTTGTGCCCGGCGCCCTCCACCCACAGCGGCTCCACCGCCTTGGGGCAGCGCTCGTAGAGCGCCAGCCCGTGTGAGAAGTCGATCACCTCGTCCTCCATGCCGTGGATGATGAGCACGGGCGACGTGATCTTGGACACCTTCTCGATGTTAGGGAAGGCGTCGAAGCAGTAGGTCTTGGTGTCGGGGAAGGCGACGGGCATGCCCGAGGTGAGCGGCAGTGCAGCACCACCGCGGCACACTCGTAGCGCGAGGCCAGGTCCACGGTGGGCACCGTGCCGATGCTCTGCCCGTACAGGATGATGCTGTCCGGGCTGATGCCGTACCTGGCGGCGCCCGAGCAGGGTCAGCCGCTGCCTCCGACGCGCGCGCACCCTTCCCACCAGCGGGCGTCCCCGGGCCCAGCTCCGGATGCGACCCTCTAGTCTCCCCACTCAGCCAAGTCAGTGGGTCAGGCCCAGGCTCCACACCAGTCCCGAGGGCCACCCCCAGCCCCCCAACACCACGGCGGTGGGCGAAGCCAGCGGCCCCGCCCCGTTCCCTGGCGCTGCCGTTCACTGGCGTTTCCTAGCAAGGATCTGCAGGGATCCCGCCTACGGAGTGCCCCTGGGGCGGGGGTAGGGGAGGCCCTGGCGCCTCTTCTCCTCCTGGTCACCCCTAGGTGCACACTGGGAACTGTGTGCCCCCCACATCCTGAATGCGTCACGCCTTCCTGCCCGGGTTAGAAAGCCGTTCCTGGTGCACTGGCCAGGACAGCGGACACTCTTCCTTCCTGCAGCCCTTGCCCACCCCCTTGGCCATGAGGAATTCAGGCAGCTGTGTCCCCAAATGTCTCCACCCAATTTTGGACTCTCGGAGTCCCCACGCCCAATGAGATGCCAGTGCAACCCAGGTCAGCATCGAAGGTGGTGGCTGCGGAGGTGGCACCCCCTCCCACCAGCACCTTCCCTTGGGAGTGGACAAGTCCTTGGCCACCTCAGCACCACCAGCTCCCACCCAGGGGCACCCTCACCCCCAGGTCACTGGTGTGCGGCCCTTGACCCAGCTGATCCAGCACCAGTTACAAGGCCTCCTCGTGCCCAGTCCCAACCACGCGGGACCCACCTGCTACCCTGCCCATGCCGGGACCCCACAACTCTCCTCCCACACGCTCTAGGCTCTGATCCCAGGTAGATGCCCTCTTGCAAGGCAGGAGCATGGGCAGGTGTGCGTCCCCTCTGCCTGGCATTCGGACTCCACCAGCGGGCTGTCCCCGTCCCTGGCCTGGAATCCCAGCCTCCTGGCAGCACTCCACAGCTCGCCACTCACCCATGCCCCAAAGGATGCTGCCTGGCTGGTGCCTGTGGCCCCAGCTCTGCCTCGGCCTCCCTGGCCTGCTCCCTGGCAGCCATGGTCAGTAGTGTGCTGAGCCAGCCCAGCCCTGTCACCTGCTACAGGCAGGAGCCCCCAGCTGCCACCTGGATGTCACCACTCAAACGAACGGGACACATCCCCAGTGGAGGCCCTGGGCACGCTCTGGCCTCCCCCTCACAGCTCTGGGCCTAGGTTCCTGCAGGACAAAGTGGCAGCAGGACAGATGGCCGAGCAGACGAGCTCAGAGCTGGCCATGGCGGGTGTGACTCTGCCAGTGGCCCAGGCAGTAGAGACAGGAGGGGCCGAGGAAGTCGCATGAAGTGGTACTTGGTGTCAGCGCCCCACACTGCTGGGAGGCCCCCAGAGCCAGGGTGGTGCCAGGGGACCAGCTCCCAGGCCCACAGCAGGGACAGCCTGCAATATCACCAAGGCAACGAGGACCCCACCTCCCCAGGGCCTCTGACTTCTCAGAGTTGTGCCTGGTCCCCTGCAGGAGCAGGTCAGACCAGTGGGCTGGGCAGGGCCAGGACGAGACAGCCCCAGTGGATGGCGAGCAGGAAAGGCCACCAGAGGCCCACCCGGGTCTCCTCGTCCAAAGCAGCACTGGCCCGGGCGGTGCTCAAACACCGGTGAAGGGCCCAGGCAAGCGCAGGGCTGGGGACCTGGATGACTAGGAGGGCTGGATCTGGAATCGAGGCTGGCCCAGACCTCGGGTGTGTGCTGGGGGTCTGCACCCTACCCTGCAGGCCCTGCCCCAGGATGGCCAAGCTCCGCAGCCACAGGGCCTCGTGGGCCAGGCCTCGGGACCTGGATGCAGCAGCCTCGCCTCACTTGGCCCCAAGTGCTGCCTCGGCAGATGGGCTCCCAGCCACACGTGCACAGACCCCCAGACCACCACCCACTCCCTCCCACCGGGTGGCATCCACGCCCCTGTGACAAGCTCAGCCCCTTCCCGTCCTCAGGCCAGGGGTTCCAGGGAGCCTGGCTCCACAGGCCAGGGTGTGGGAGGACCGCCTGGCCACACCTCAGCCATGTGGAGGTGGCACCTGCACACCCCAGCTCGCCTGTCCGGCTCTCTGGCCCTGTGCATCCACTGTGGCTCCCCTCCTGCAGGGCCGCCCAACTTCCTCCCAGGGAAGCCCGCCCCCCGGCCCCCGGCTTGGTCCCCTCTTGGGTGTGCCCAGGCTGAGCTGCCCCCAGGGTCGCCCTCACCTGGTGCGCAGGGCCTGCCAGGCGGCGTCGATGTCGGCATAGAGGTTCCTCTCGGAAGGCCTGCCCGCGCTGGCACCGTAGCCGGAGTAGTCGTAGAAGATGTTGCAGTGGAGGCGGGAGCCCAGGCCAATGTAGAAGCTGCTCATCTGGCCCAGGTCCACGGCGTTGCCGTGCGAGAAGAGGACCGTGTACCTGGCACCAGGCACGCAGCGAACATACATACAGGAGACGCGGTTGCCGCGGGCGCTCTTGGTGGGGAAGACCTCGATGGTGTCCAGCTCGCGCTGGCTGTACTGGAAGTCGGCGCGCTCCGCCAGGTGCAGCTTCCAGCGCCCGGGTGCGCCCGAGGAGGCCCGCAGGGTCCCCGAGGGGGCGGCCCCGGCCCCACCAGGCCCCGGCTCGGGCTCAGGCACCAGGGAGTAGGTGGCCTCCGGCGGCAGGAAGGCGAGCTTGGCAGCGATGCGGCCGGGGCAGGGCGGGCAGCAAAGGCAGCAGAGCTCACTCAGCGACAGCCCATTCATGGCGGGCGCCGCCCGGGCCGGGCCTCCACCGGGGCCCCCGCCAACAACGCCGCCTGGCCTGGCCCGGCAGGGGAAGCGTGGGGGTGCTCCGAGTCGCGGGCAGGGGGGAGAGCGCCCCCCCAGCTACCGCCCCAGACGGCAGCCCCGTTAGGAGGCCAGGGCCCACCCCCATCGCGGTCCAAGCCGAGCCCCAGGGAGCCTCGCAACCACAGGTCTCCATGTCGTGCCCTGGGAAGCCCATCCCGGCCCGCGCCCCCGGGCCCCAGGGCCGCGCTCCATGGCTCCCGGCCGCCCGCCCGTGCATCCGTCGGTCCCTCTGCGCCCCGGCCCGGCCTCCTGCACCGCCACCGCCGCAGCTCCCCCACGGACGGAAGTGAGTTTACTGAAATTTTCAAGCCACAGAAAGAACAAAAGAAGTAATATCCATTATATTGTCCAAAACAATAGTACCTGGAAGATCTGGAGGCAAAAATGAAGCCTGAGAATAGCAGGACATAGACATATTTCATAACATAGACTCACAGCAGAATAATGGTTATGTTGGTTCATTAGGGAAGAAAACACTAAACAGCTCTTGCAAATACACTCAATATACAGTAAGATAGCTTGTGATTTTAACGAGTTAGCAAAGCAGAACAATGAGGCAAAAGCAAACAGAAACACTAAAAGAAATCCATTCTCTAGAATCATTTTTAAAGACTTTGCTAGATTTACCAAATAATTCAGTATTGACTTATTCTGTCTCCATTTTATTTCATAATGGAACCCGTCTAATTTTATGCTAAATGTATGCTGTAAGGACACCTTGCTACTCTGAAAAAATAAGGGATCAGTGGATAAAAGACCATATTTTATTAAAAAAAGAGTGTGTTTTGATGCATGATTTTGTGACTCTACATTTTTAAGTAAGGATGAAGAACTTGGTGATTAATTAAATGATTCCTCAGTTGCTCATCAATGCCATCAGATGCCTTGAATATACTGTGAGGACAGCATCTGGAAGAAATGGAGGAGATCTGAGTAATAATTCAGATGGAGCCAATTTCCACAATCTTATTTTCCCATTACCTGCAGCTCTGAATTTAACTAAGTCTCTGTGTTAACAACTTGTATTGTTTATCTGGGTGAATGACCTCAGAAGACACCAGGCAGCTGGATGCCTGCACTTCTTTCGTGCTAATGGTTCATATAGTCTCCTCACCCCCAACACTTTGATACTTCCTTGAAACTGGATTACATATGAGATAGAAACAAAGAATGCAGGTGCCATAATGACTCTCAGGAGTCACTGAATCTGTGTTCATGATGCATTACTGTGCCAGCTGCCTCCCTCTTCTTGTGAAGGCCCTTCTTTATTCCTTGAGATGTGCTCATCATGAAATAGCTACAAGCATATCATCTGCTTGCCTTGCCCGTTATAGCAACCATGAAAATAAATTTGCAGCATCATATATAGCCCAAATATTCTCGAAAGATGATCCTAATAGCTCTAATAACAAAATAAGTTTTCTACAGAGTAGCTATATGTACCTGCTCTCAGCTTATGTAAACTTGTGTTTTTATTGCTCTTAAAGCAAAATTTTTCCTAAAATTGAGAAAAGAACTAAAGTTCTTTGTCATTATATGAAGAAAGATACAGCATCTAATATTGTGAACTTCTCTATTTTGAGATGTTTTCAGACATCAAGACTGGATAATAGGCTGGGCACGGTGGCTCACGCCTGTAATCCCAGCACTTTGGGAGGCCGAGGCAGGCGGATCACGACGTCAGGAGATTGAGACCATCCTGGTTAACATGGTGAAACCCCGTCTCTACTAAAAATACAAAAAAATTAGCCGGGTGTAGTGGTGGGTGCCTGTAGTCCCAGCTACTTGGGAGGCTGAGGCAGGAAAATGGCGTCAACTCGGGAGGCGGAGGTTGCAGTGAGCCGAGATCACGCCACTGCTCTCCAGCCTGGGCGACAGAGCAAGACTCCGTCTCAAAAAAAAAAAAAAAAGACTGGATAATAAAATTATTTAACAATTCGGAACATAAATTTAGAATTGAAAAAAGCTTTATACTATACTATACTATACTATACTATACTATACTATACTATACTATACTATACTACTAACACATTTTGTTTGAGCATGGTTGCCTTATAAGTTTTTGGTAGTTCAATGAAAATAATGGCTACTTGTGAGAAAACTGAAATAGACTAGGACATAGTAGATAGAGATAGAAAGAACAGGTAAATTAACTGTCTATGCCACATGGCAAAGAAAGTTTACAGTACGTAGTCATTAAACGTACATGCTTATAAATATATAACCAATGATGAATAATTTTAAATGCAATTTAGCAGAATTCAGACCGTTTTATATTAAACATATATTTCTGAATGAAATATAAAATCTATTGAATGAGGGAGACACTTTATATGTGTAATTAATCTCATAAATAGAGAAGACTTTTACAATAGTTTGTACACTTTAGCTATAAACTGTAATTCAAGAGATTCAGTAAGAGTAGCTTTTTGTAACTTAAATATTCTATATTTTCCTTGCATACATTTTTGCCTTTGATCATGTATTTTATTTAGCCTGCTAAGATGGTAGAGAAGGTACAGACAGTAAGCTTTTCAACCTGACACATAAATTCAGGTTATTTGAAAATGGAATGGTAAAGTGTTACTGAAGAACTTTTACTATGGTTCGCATTTGGTAATATTTCCTAATTATTCTATAAACAAAATCCAAAAAAACCTTGATTTCATAACATAAACTTCTGAGGTCTAAATTAATCAATAAAATAAATTTGTTTTAATTAATTATATTTTATTTTGATGCTAATTTCATAATAGATTAAATACTAGCTGAGGCTCATTAGAGGTAAACTAGAGAATTATCATCCCATTAAGATAAATTTTGATTCAGGGAAGTAACATCTTGGAAGTTTACTAAATTTAAATTTAGGAGGAATTTACTAAATCAAGTACCAAGATTTTATTTCTGCACCAAATGGAAGACATATGTAAAATTTAAATACATTCCATTACTTAATTTACTCTTTACTATCATGAGAATTAGTATAGACAGCATATTTTACACAGAGCATACAAAGCCTTATCTTCATTGAATTACAAGTAAAATATATGTATGTACATATAATTATATATGTAATTTAGATATTAAATGACAGAATTTACTTATTTACCTGTGTGTGATGGAATTTGATTCTAGTAATTATTCCAGGTACAGTAACTGGTTGAAAATGGGACATGAAGTAAACTGATATGCTTACAAGTAATTACAGCAAGCGAATTCATTGTAATGTCTCCAAGCAAAGCAAGACTACCCACATGAGATAAGAAATGAGAGGCTACTTATTTTGACCAAGTTAGCTCGGTGACTTGGGGACCAAGGACTACATGCACATGGATGCTTCTTTTGTACCCCTACCCCTGCCAAAAAATATGTTTCCATGGCAATATTTGGGAACCCATTATTTCCCAATTGATGCTTTTACTTTCATATAAGACAACAGTTGATACTCCAAAATCAACTTACATTTTAATTAACCAAATACAATGTTCCTAAAGACAAAGAGAAACATTTCATAACAATAAGAGTTAAGCCAACAGAAAGATAGGGAGTATGAAAAAACAGAGAAAATCAATAAACCAAAATTAAATGCTTGAAAAGACAACACAATTGGCAAATGTTTATTTAGGCTAAGCAAGAAAAAAGCAGAAGAGACTCAAGTTTCTAAAATCAGCAATAAAAGAGAATCCATCACTGCTAGTAATACAAAATAAAAATAAAAGACAATGCAATGAAAATCTTATGCTAAAAAAATTAGATAGCCTAGATAGAATGAAGTCCTAGAAAGACACAAACTAAAACAGACTAAAGGACTAAGGAGCAATAGAAAATCTAAATAGACCTACAAAAGGTAAAAAGATTGGATTGTAATTTTAAGAACTTATAATAAAATTCCCATCTCAGGTAGCTATCACTCTGAGAAATTAATATCAATTGTTCACCAACTCTTGCAGAAAATAAAAGGGGAGAGAACACTTCCCAATTCATCTTATAAAGCCAGGATTACTCTGACACCAAAGCTATATCACAAAACAATATATAACAGTATCTTTCTTTTTTTTTTTTTCAGATGGAGTCTCACTCTGTCGCCAAAGCTGGAATGCAGTGGCCCAATCTCGGCTCACTGCAACCTGTTTCCTGGGTTCAAGTGATTCTCCTGCCTCAGCCTCCCAAGTAGCTGGGATTACAGGTGTCTGCCACCACGTCCGGCTAATTTTTGTATTTTTAGTAGAGATGGGGTTTCATGTTGGCCAGACTGGTCTTGAACTCCTGACCTCAGGTGATCTGCCAATCTCTGCCTTCCAAAGTGCGATATAAGTGTGAGCCTTATATCACGGTGAGCCACTGTGCCTGGCCCATTGTTTAAATAAAATTAAAAATCTTCAACAAAATACTGGACAAACTGAATCCAGCAACATATAAAATAGATTATACACTATATGCAGATGTGATTTACCCCAGCAATGCAACATTGATTTAATATTTGAAAATCAATGCATACAAAAATCGTATTAATAGAATAAAACACAAAAATACATGAGCATCTCAACAGAAAGTATTTGAGAAAATATTACACATTTTCATCATAAAACACTCCAGAGTTATGGACAAGAAGATAACTTCCTGAAACTAGTGGTAGTTATCTATGAAACCCACAGCTATCATTATACTTACCAAGGAGAGAGTGAATGACTAATCAGAATGACCACTCTTGCAAATTCTCCCTTTTTCACCTTCCTGCTCTCATCACCCTCTTTTGCTCCTCCATCTTCCCAAAAACATTTTCCCCCATCTTTTCCCAAAGCCTTCTCCCCTCTCCTGCTGCTCACCACCATTTTATCCCCCTCCACCTACCCCAAAACTTTTTTCTCACACCCCCACCATCTTTTCACAATGCCTTCTCCCCACTCCTGCTTACCAACCTCTTTTCCCCACTCCTGCCCCTCTCCCATATGCCACTCTTTTTTCACCCTCCATCTACCCCAAAACTATTTGTCTTCCCAACCCTCCTTCCCCTCATGCTCGCCACCATCTTTTCCCCCTCCATCTACCCAAAAACTTTTCTCCCCACTGTCTTTTTGCAAATCCTTCCCTCCCTCCCGCTTGCCCATTTTCCCCACCTTTACCAACCTCTCTTTACTCCTCCCACTTGCCACCCTCTTTTCCCCCTCCATCTGCCCAAAAACTTTTTACCCACCATCTTTTCCCCACCCTGTTTTCACAAAACCTTTTCTCCCTCCTGCTCAGCCCCCCGTTTTTCCCTCTCCTATTTGCCAACCTCATTTCCCCCTCCATCTACCCAAAAACGTTTTTTTTTCCCACCGTCTTTTTCCTATTGCCTTTTTGCAATGCCTTCTCCTGCTTGCCATCCTCTTTTCCCGTTGGTACTCACCACCCTGTTTTCCTCCTCCATCTACCCCAAAACTATTTTCCCCCTCTTACCACTCCGGTCGCACTGCAGTCGCCATCTCGGCCACCACCCACAGTGAGGCGAGCCGCGGTGCCGCAGGCTGCAGCCTCCAGCATTTGGCAGGTGTCTTCCTTCCCCTTCTCCTCTGCCTTTAAGTTGGGCACAGAAGAGCTGTGTAGGCAAACAGGAAAGAACCCGGGATGGTCTGACTCCCCCACCTCAGCATACTTTATATGCGGAGTTATGCAAATGAGTTCTGGGACTACATGTTCTGATTGGATGAGAGAAAAACCTCTAGGCATACTCAGATTTGGACTTTGTTATCATGTTCTGACTGGATGAGAGCAAGTCTTAAAACGACCAATCAGAACATGATAATAAAGTCCAATCAGAGTAGGCCTAGAGGTTTTTCTCTCATCCAATCAGAACATGCAGTTCAGGAATTCATTTGCATACCCTCCCTGTATAAAGCATGTTGAGTGGGCAGAGTCAGGGTCTTCCGTATATTCTCCCCGTACCGTCCGTGCTCGGCTTAGTGCAGGAAGAGGAGAAGAACGGGAAGACAACCGCGGCACAGCAGCTTACCTGCTGATGTTGGCTGTGGTGATGGAGCCTGCTACCGGAGCCACAGTGGCCCACAGCGGGAGCATGGCCAGAGTGGTAGAAAGACAGTGGGGCAGGTATGCTATCAGAGCTGCGCTGCCCGCGGTGAGGGCAGATTGGGGGCGCTATCTGGGGTTGCATTGCCTAGGTGGGTTCTGTGCAGTATCGGGGACTACGTTACTTGCGGAGGTGGAACAGGGGAAGGGGGTGGGGTGGGGGGTACACTATTGAGGATGGGATTAGGTGTGCTATCGGGGGCCGTGCTGATCATCAAGGCGGCTTAGGTGTGCTATCGGGGCAGGGGACACGCTGCTCCGAGTTGGGGGATGTTACAGGGGCTACACTGCCTGTGGCTGGCAGGGGTTAGGGGCACTATCTGGGGCTGCACAGCCGGTAGTGGGTGGCGTGTTAGGGACGCTATAAGCTACTGTGTTGTCTGTGCCCCAGGGAGGGTTGGGTGTGGGGTTGGGTGTGCTATCGGAGGCTACAGTGCTAGCAGACAGGTTAGGGGCACTGTTGGGTGTTGCACCGCTTGTGCCAAGGGGTATGTTTGGTGTGCTATTTGGGGCTACAAGGGGCAGGTTGGGAGCACTGTCGGGTGCTGCACTGCCCATGGCAAGGGGTGGGTTGGGTGCACTATCAGGGGCTACACTGCCCAGGGCGGGGCGGGTGGGGGGGGCGTGCTATCCTGGGCTTCACTGCCCATGGCGGGGGGCTGGCTGGGGACGCTGTCATAGGTTGCATTGGGGTGGTAGGGGGCGGGTTCGGTGTGGTATTGGGGGCTGCATTGCCAGCAGTGTGGGGGGGGGGGTGGTTGGGGGCACTGTCAGGAGCTTGCGCTGTCAAGCTAGTAGCAGGTTAGGTGTGCTATTGGGGGCTGCACTGCCCGAGGTAGGGGGGCGGATTAGGTGCGCTATTGGGGGCTAAACTGCCCACAGCTGGCGGGGTTTGGGGGCTCTGTTGGGGGGTTGCAGTGTCAGAGGCGGGTTAGGGGCATTATCAGCTGCTGCACTACCCGTGGCAGGAATCAGGTTGGGGGCACTATCGGGTGCTGCAATGCCTGTGGTGGGGACGGGTTGTGGGCATTATCGGGTGCTACACTGCTGGCGGTGGAGTGGTTGGGGGTGCTATCGGGGTCACACTGTCAGCGGCGGGGGACAGGTTAGGGGTGCTATCGGATGCTACACTGTGGTGGAGGGCAGGGGGTGGGGTGTTGAGAGCGCTATTTGAGGACTACATTGCTGGCAGCGGGGGGCGGATTAGGGGCACTCTCAGGGCTGCACTGCCGGCAGCAGGCAGCAGAGGTGGCAGTGACAGCAGTGGTCTCCACGGAAAGGACAGTCCTTCCCTCCCTGGACTCCAGGCTTTACAAAGCGATTTTCTCCTGCTTAAGTACAGAGGACATACAGTGTTTCCGCAGGAATACTGAGCACGGCAGGGCCCCCCACATCTGCTGTGGTTCCCTGGGTTACACCCTCTCGCTCTGTGTTGTGGATACTGCCTGGGACCCCCAGGCACCGAGTAACGTGCACCACGTGGGGGACGGTGCTCTCTGGGTGGAGGCTCAGGAATGAGAGCCCGCACTTGGGTGGGGAGAGCTGGCTGGGTCTGACTTTTTGCTGCTTCCGTTCCCCTAGGACCGCAGCTCTGGTGGGCCCAGTGGTTCCTGCGGAGTGGGGAGCCGGGCACTGTGGTGTCTCCAGTCCCCACCACAGGCTCCGATTCATGGCCAGCTTGGGCCGAAAGGGGAGGGTGGGTGTCAGTGCCTTCGCTGAAACTGGCACCTGCCACCCAGTGGCCAGCATGACCAAGGTGAGGCTTTAATGCTACCACTCCCTGCATCTGTTCTAGGTTTTTCTGGCTTTGCCTGCCCAGCAGTCTGTGCCCACCTAGAGGAGTAGGAGGGGCCACCATGCCGCATGCTGGAGGCTGGAGCCCGCAGCCTGCAGATGGCACAGTACTACAGCTCGCCTTGCTGCGGTTGGTGGCAGTGATGGAGACTGCAGCTCGACCCCAGCGATGGAGGCTGGAGGTAGGAGGGTACCTGGTGGTGGCCACGTGGTAGGAGCCTTGTAGGGTGGGGCTGGTGCATTGAGAGCAACAGCAGCAGTGGTTGTATTGGCATGGGCATTAGTGGTGGCAGCAGCAGCAAGTCTGTGAGCCGGGAAGGGGGTAGTAGGAGCCCTGCAAGGCCCAGCTGGCCTGGGGTGGGTAAGAAGCAGTGGGTGCTGCAGCGTGGGCCTCGGTGGCAGCAGTGGAAGTGCAGCCAGGGCAAGGAGTCCTCCCCCACCTTTCTGCAGTCTCTGGAGGGCGCCCACCTCCTGCTGGCTCCTGAGCCAGGCATGAGTGGCAGCATTGTCTCATTCTTAACAAAATTTAGGGAATGACTATTTGTGTATCTTTTTGCTTGTTTTTTGTTGTGTTAATCTTGGACTTTTCGAATTTCATGAATCAGGGAGTGGATAAAAGGTATCATAATAGGCCTTCTAACTCTATCACCTGATTTTTTTCCTTTCTTCCAGTCTGTTTTTTCTTATCACCATCATCTTGTTCTTTATTTTCTTATGCTGCTGCCTATATTTCTGGTTTCTATTCTTGTTTCTCTTTCTGGTCCTCCTGCTTTTTGTTTTCTTTATCCCAAGCAATGGCCTTAACAAACTGAAACTGAGTTAAAAGTAAACTACTTGCTAGTGTGTTGTATTTTTAAAGTAATTGGTCCATTACTGTGTTTTAGAGATGAGAAAGTAGTTGCATAATGATTTAGTTACTTGAATAGCTTTGCTTTCGTGATCCTGTTAATGCGTTGTAAGTAGTTATGCAAGGAATCAAAAAATGAAGCATCAAATAAAATACTGATAGCAAACAGTCATTTCATCTCTCTCCCATATAGTCTGGAGATAAATGCAAGTCAGGGGGTTAATAAGTTCCAAAAATTTATGAGATCGTTAAGTGAACCACATTCCCTTCATTTTATTTTTCTGCCACAGTTTTCAAGAGCATTGTCATTTGCATGAGCAAACCTTGTTCACCACATCTTTGCAACAGGGAAGGGAAGGGGAGGATCATATGTACAATGTTTTAAGGCAAAAAAATTCACAACCAAAAGCAAGGCTTTATTAACTTTCACCTTCGAGAAGCTGCAGTGTTGAGCCCTGTTTTATTCCTAGTATTACTGCCTTTGATACGAACTCTTAAGTGATCACTTTAGAAGTTAATGCATTTTATTGACTGCTTTCAAGAAACAGTCTATATTGTATCATGCATGTTTTTCAAGCCCGCAGAATTGTATAAGGCCTATATATACATAGGGCCTATAATTTTGACACTTTTTAATGATTTATAAGGTTACGATCATGTAAAATCCTGTTGACACGTGAGAATATGCCTAAGTACCGCTAGATAGCTTATTTTGAAGAGATAGTTATTTTGAAGAGATAGAAATTGGTTGCAGTTTGTTAGGTGTATTTGTCAATGCATTGCCTCAATGCTTTAAAGCATATAGAAGTTTGAATATGCTTTAATCTCATGTAGTCCTTTGTTTATAGGGTGTTTAATATTTTTAAAGACTAAAGATGTCACAGCCCCCTTTAAGGTTCAGTAATATTAAGATTGGAGATTTATAGGGTTAGAATCCAACAAATTCAGAGGAAAATTGTTAAATTATATAGCTGTAGAGCAGGAAATGAAACCCAGGTTCTAAGCTCTAAGGGGACCATGAGCTGCCATACCAAGTGCATCAGTGACTGGGCATAGAGTTGGCAGAATTACAGGATGGTTAAGAGAGTGAGCTGTAGAGCCTCACTCTATGTGAACATGAATTTTATATAAGTATGTATGTATTTATTTATTTTGAGATGGAGTCTCACTCTGTCGCCCAGGCTGGAGTGCAGTGGTGTGATCTTGGCTCACTGCAACCTCTGTCTCCCAGATTCAAGCAATTCTCCTACCTCAGCGTCCCCAGTAGCTGGGATTACAGGTGCACACCACCATGTCTGGCTAATTTTTGTGTTTTTAGTAGAGTTGGGGTTTCACCATGTTGGCCAGGCTGTTCTCGAATTCCTGACCTCGTGATCCACCCACTTCAGCCTCCCAAAGTGCTGGGATTACAGGCAGCCACTATGCCCGGCTGTGAACATGAATTTTTAAACTGCATGGTGCTTTGGGTCCCAGCTTCTCCATCTGTACAATGGGGACAGTACTAAGGTTTTCTTTTTCTTCTCAGTTGACTGAATTATTTCCATAGTCTGTCTGTCTTGCCACTCTTGTTACCCACACGAAAGGACCTAAGGTAATTTCTGACAGCCTGGGACTCCTTGTGCAAAACAGAAGGTGCCACAGACCTCATTTTAGGAGAAACCTTTGTTTTCCTCTTGGAACCCCAAGAACTGTAAGCAGACAGGTCCATCTCAAAATCCAAGGCTCTGCTCTGTTTTGCTTTGCTTTACCTGACTTTTTTTTTGATTTGGGTGGGCATCAAAAATTAGTAGGGGAGAGCTAAAGAAAGTTGTGGATATGAACATGTATTTATGGTAAGGTAAGTTATGAAGGAGAGAAATCTTAGGATCTTGTATGGCAAATTCTTGCACTAAAGTAGATAATGACTAATTAGGAAAGCAGGAAATATAGGACAAGTCAGAAAGTCATAAGATGGGAGAGAAAAGCTTACGCCTGGTAGATCCTCTCCTGTCTAGAAGTGTCGTATGTGTGATGTTTATATGAAGGAGCTCTAATTAATTGGATTAAAAGATAATGAAAGCTCTAAAATTGTCAGAAAAATAGAAGCTCTAATGCCTTTTATTTCACGTGACTTCAGCAATCTTTGGGAAATGAGAGTTTTAAAATTATTGGTGGTAAAAAGTCTTCAAAAAGTAGACATTTGGTCTAAATTAAGTCAGAGGTTAAATTGGCTAAGTGCTTTAATGTCATAAACTGCTTCTTTGACTTTGGAAAATTGTTCAGTTTACCTAATTTGGAACTGTTAGATTTCTAGGTAAGGCCTGGGGAGAGGTGGAGTTAGCCATGTCTCCTAGCTATGCTGGAAGAGTTAGACTTTATCTGCAGTTCTGTCATGTATCCTGGACTCTGCACCTGGTATGTAATTGAAACTGCTTACATTGAAAAGAAAAATTATGTGTTTTTGGTTTTAAAAGGGGTGGGAATATGGTTTTTTCCAAAAAGTGAGTTTTGGCAAATTTAGAAAGTTTAAGAATTATTTTTAGTTGTAAGAAAATAAAGTTTAAGCAAGTTATAGAAGGTTTATGAAAATTAACTTTGTAAAGAATTGTGTGTGTGAGCAAGTTGACTAAAGGGACAGTAATGTTAGATGTAATAAATGCAGGTACCCTTCCACTTTATCTTCTGTTTCTTAGGTTATAAATATTCACTACCTACGTTTCTAAAAACTCTTTCACTGTAATATTAACACATAACTCCATTCTCCTTGTATTGCCTGCTTTTTCATAGTATCCTGAAATTGCATTAGTAGATTTAGATTCAGAAGATGGTGGGGAAGCATCTTATGAGTGTTTTAAGTAAATTTAAGGCAAAGGGTTTTCTGTACATGGGTGGTTATCACAGCATCACTTGTTGCAGCAAAACACTGGGTAACAACAATGTTTATCAATGAGAAATTGTTCGGATAAATGATGATTTGTGCCTTGCGAGGCTCAACTATTCAAAAGCACCCTCTTTTCCTCACTTGCTTTACCTTTGGTTCTGGGCCTGGAGCCTTTCAGAGGTTACTCAGGACAGTGGACTCCTGTTTCCTGTGACTAATCTGGACAGCGGCTTCCTATTTCATTCTTCAGCATCTTCCAAAAATTTCTGAAGATAATTTCTTCCTTTGTGACCACCCATACTCTTGGTTTACTTTGCAGTTAACAATTTCATGCCTTCACTGGATTATCTGTGTGAAGGTGTGGGGTGTATGTGTTCATACTCTGGAGGGAGCAGAGGAAAATAGCCACAGCCAAAGGAGTAATCTTGCACTAAATACTCATTATAAGAATGTTGATACGTTCATAGATGGTAAATCTGTCAGTAATTTTTACTTGTATGATTCTTGGTTAAGACTGCACTCACTGGTGATAAGCGTGCTGAAGGGATCATAGGTGCTATACTTATGTGTGGGAATTGCATTCAAACCACCAATGCCTGTCTACTCAAGTTTTGTTGCCTTTTGATTAAAAACTCTTGGGAATGTTTCCCTGGCATGCAAATATGGGAACTGCAGTTTGATTCTAGGTAGAAACTCTTTGGTAGTTGAAATGCCATAATAAGAGACACAGCTGTCAATGGGCAACAATTCACTGTTGGTAAGGAATTTACAGTGCTACTTGCCATATTCTTCTTTATCCAGACTTTGTGCCAAGAAAATGAAATTCTTTTTAAAAATTTTTTTCTAGAGTAATCCTACAATATTGCTGTTATCAAGCCTGATGCTGTAATTAGTAGAAAATGTCTAGAAATTAAAAGAAAAGTAGTATTTTCCAACTATGGTTAAATTAATTGCAAAATAACTTCCTCTTAATTGTCAGATTGGAGACAAGCTTATTAAGAGTGAAATAAAACATAATGTGTTGCTGGTGCTAGGTACCTCTAAAGCCTTTGAGCACTTTCTTCTTTATAAAGGCTCAATCTACTCATGTGTCCTGTAAATAATCCTGCTCTACCAGCATCCTATGTAAATTTTAAAAATTATAGTTCATATATTAGATTGTAACAAATGTTGTTCTTCTTTAATTATATGCAATGCAATCTTGTTATAGACTCACATTAGCTTGCCTTATTCCCTGTATGTTTGCTGTAAAATGTATAGTCCTTTTCAATATATGATAGCTTAAAGATGGACTTAATATTTTGTTTTAGAACCAAAATCTTTTATCTTATATACAGGAAAATTACATTGGAATTCAGAGATCAGCAAACATTTCCTGTAAAGGATGAAATAGTAACTATTTTCAGGTTTGCTCAGCATGTGGTCTCTGACAACTAAACTCTGAAGTCATACCAAGGCAGCATCAGTAATGTTTAAATGAGTGAATGGCGCTGTGTTCCAATAAACTTTATTTACAGAAACAAGTGGTGGGCCACATTTTGACTGCAGGGTATAGTTTGTGGACCCCTGAACAATGGCTTTTTCTGAAACAACACAATTGAATTGAGATTTGAAAGAATGTTGAGGCAGCATTGTTTGTCTGGGGTAATACCTGAGGTTTGTCATCTCACACCAGGGAAATCAGGGATGTGGACACACAAGAAGTGAGTTCAAGAGTGGATGATTAATAGGTGAAAGAAAGAGAAAAGAGAACAGCTCTCTCTCCTGCAGAAAGAGAGAGGGGCACCTGAGTGGGTCTTCCGGTTTTGTGGTGAAAAGCACAAGGTTTTATAAAGGAGCTTGAGGAGGTGGTGTCTTGATTTACACAGGGCTCTAGAGACTGGTTGGACCAGGTGTGAACGTTTGCATAGCACAGGGAGAAGCTGGCCATTGCACCCTAATCTTTTATTATGCAGATGGGTTCTTTACCTTACCAGGACCATATTGTCTGTTCCTTACTGTACCTGTGGTTGACAGAGAAAAGGGAAGATGGAGCCACCATGTTGAACATGCCTGGCCCACAGGTAGCCTTTTCCTATTGGCACAGCTGCTGGCATTCCTATGAGAGCTTATCAATGTCTGCAGCCCAATTTTACAAGATGCTCTTTGTTAGAAAATAAATGATATGGGTTTTTTTTTTCATTAGTAGGAAAACTTTACACTAGGACTTCCTTACTTTCAGTATCTGCCTAAATAATTTCTTTTTAATTCCTACATCAATGTTGCATGTGCAATAGAGAAGGTGACATGTAGGGAGCTGTGTCAGCAGGGGTTGCATATTTCTTGATGAGCATCCCATGATGCATTCTTCTTCACTTGTGGCAACATTAGCATTAACTAATCTACAGTAAAGTAGATGGGTCCACAGGTCATGGGACATACACTAGCTCTGCCAATTACATGTTGATTTAAATAATATCATTCTCTAAGGACAGCTTTTTTTCCCCCAGATCCTGGTATGTATGTGGAGTTGGGGAGAGACACCAAACTGTACCCCATTTCCTCATACATTGCTTATACTTTTAGAAGTGTTTGAAAGATAATATCACATACTAGTAGTTTACTGTTTCTTATTCAAGTTAGTTTTAATAGTCGCTAGGGTGAATGTTTTCAAAATTGTATAGATATTCGGGTTGAGGCAATACTATAAATTATGAGTTCATCTCAGTTTTTTTGTGCTAGCGTAATGACATTTCGGAGACATAATGCATATGTGCAAAATACTTCACCTCTCTGGAAAACAGTAAAGGGCTACATAATAGGACAGACAAAAATAAAGGCTTGGCGTAATGGCTCACACCTATGATCCCAGCACTTTGGGAGGACAAGGCGGGTGGATTGCTTGAGCTCAACAGTTCAAGACCAGCATGGGCAACATGGCGAAACCCATGTTTACAAAAACGATAAAAATAAGCCGGGCGTGGTGGCATGTGTTTGCAGTCTGAGATACTTGGGGGACTGAGGCAGGAGAATCGCTTGAGCCTGGGAGGTCAAGGGTATAGTGAGCCGAGATCGTGCCACTGCACTCCATCCAGCCTGGATAACAGAGTGAGACCCTGTCTCAAAATAAGTAAAAATTTATAAAACAAAGAATGTTTCTAACTGTAATAAAGGAGAAGTGATCAAGCTTAAGTGTAGCTTAGATTTAATCTTTGATTTCCGGGTACTATATTACTTAAAAATATGATTTGGATATTTAGAAGTTGTTCAAATTAGAAACTCAGGAGTGGGGTCACTGGTCACTAAGGTGCTGAATATTTTTAATACCTTAGTGGATATGTAATCAACAAAGCCAACGGAACCAATAGAGCATTTGCTTTCATAAGAATTTAAGTGTTGCTGGGTACTCTTAAATCGAGCTCACATTATTGGTGTCATTTAATATAATTACTGAATTTCTTTGAACCCAGTTTCCACTTTTTAAAAATTATTTAGCTCATTAGGCTGAAAACTTCTCTTTGTTACATTTTATTACACTTCAGTGTAATATGTGTAAGATGTACATTGCTTCTCTCTAGAAAGGTGAGACAAGTTGAAGCAGGGTTGGGGGTGGGTGCTTCCAGTTCATAGGTAAATAGGAGACAAACGGTTGCATTCTTTTGAGTTTCTGATTATCCTTTCACTGAATACACAATTTACATGCAAGATGCCATAGAGGAATAGTCACTTATGCCTGAGTCTGGCTTAGTGAATCTGCATTTTTACATAAAAAACTGGGCAGAGAAAGCCAATCAGATACACATTTGTCTCAGGTGAGGAGAGGGATGACTTTGGGTTCTGTCCTTTGTCCCCCACCTGTAAAGATAATCTATCAATTGCCAATTTATATTGCCAGGGTCAAATTCAACAGAACTGTTTTAGTGTAAAGATCTTGAGGCCCACAAGAAATTTCCTTTCTGACAAATTATGAGGGAGGTATATAGCTTTCGAAATCTTTGTAGTTATTTTTTTATTTTATTATTTGGGTTTTTTTTTTCTTTATTGACAAATAATTGTATATACTCACAGGGACATAGTGATGTTTCAATACAGAAAAGTTATAGTGAGCAGAGCAGGATAATTTCATATCCTTTGTTAAAGGAAAATAAATCTCCGGGACACCCCACTAAGCCAAATAATAGTTATCTTATTTAGAAATAAAATGGGAGGCAGGTTTGTTTGATGGAGTTCCTAGCTGAGGTGGGAGAATTGCTTGAACCTGGGAGGCCGAGGTTGCAGTGAGCCGAGATCGCGCCATTGCACTCCAGCCTGGGCAACAAGAGCGAAACTCTGTCTCAAACAAACAAAGACTATAGAAAAGCTATTTGTGAAAATGCTTTTTGATGTGCTGTTTTATGTCACAGAATGCAACCTGTGTTTTGATTCAGCAAGTTCAAAACACTCTTTTTGTGGAATCTAAGAATTGATTATTTTGATCCTATTGAGCTTTCATAAGAAAATATGAATATCCAGTTGTAAAAACTAGAAATAAGCTATAAGCTATCTGTGGAATGCTTTGTGAGGTGCTGTTTTATATCATAAAATTGAACTTGTGTTTTGATTGAACAAGTTGAAATTACTCATTTTGTAGAATCTAAGAAGTAACGTTTTGGAACTTCTTGAGCCCTTATTAAAAAATAGAAATATTCAGTCCTAAAAACTAGAAACAAGCCATCCGTGCAAATGCATTGTGATGTTCTGTTTTGTATCATAAAGTTGAACCTGTGTGTTGATTAAACAGGTTCTGAACACTTTTTTTTGTAGAATTTATGAAGTGGCATTTCTGAGCCTATTGAGCCCTTATACAAACATACAGTTTTAAAAGCTAGAAACAAGCTATCTGTCAAAATGCTTTGGGATGTGCTATTTTATGTCACGGAATGAAACCTGTGTTTTAATTCAATAGGTTCAACACATTCTTTTGGTAGAATCTGAGAAGTGACATTCCCAAACCTCTGAGGCCTTTAAAAGAAAATACGAATATTTTCCTCTAAAAACTAGAAACAAGCAATGCGTGGAAACGCTTTCTGATCTGTTAGTGTCACAGATTGGAAACTTTGTTTTGATTGAGCAAGTTCAACGCACTCTTTGTAGGATCTAAGTAGTGACATTTCCAAACCTATTGAGCCCTTATAAGAAAATATGAATATTTAGTCCTAACATGCTATCTGTGAAAATGCTTTTTTTTTTTTTTTTTGGCACAGAGTCTTGCTGTGTTGCCAAGCTGGAGTGCAGTGGTGTGATCTCGGCTCACTGCAACTTCTGCCTCCTGGGTTCAAGCAAGTCTCCTACGTTAGCCTCCCTAGCAGCTGGGACTACAGGCGTGCACCACCACGCCCAGCTAATTTTTGTATTTTTAGTAGAGATGTGGTTTCACCATGTTGGCCAGGATGGTCTTGATCTGTTGACCTCGTGATCCGCCTGCCTCAGCCTCCCAAAGTGCTGGGATTACAGACGTGAGCCACCATGCCTGACTGAAAATACTTTTTGCTATGCTGTTTCATAACACAGAATTAAACCTGTGTTTTTGTGAGACAGGTTCCAAACACTCTTTTTGTAGAATCTAAAAAAGTGATGTATCCAAACCTTTTGAGCCATAATAAGAAAACATGAATATTTAGCCCTAACTGCTGGAAACAAGCTATCTGTCAACACACTTTGTGATGTGATGCTTTATATCACAGAAATGAACTTATGTTTTGATGAAACAGATTCAAAACACTATTGTAGAATCTTAAGAAGTGACATTTCTGAGCCTATTGTGACCTTATAGGAACATACAAACATCCAGTCCTAAAGTCTACAAACAAGCTATCTTGGAAAACACTTTTTGACGTGCAGTTTTATAACACAGAATTGAACCTGCATTTTGATAAAAACACGTTCCCAACTCTCTTTTTGTAGAATCTAAGAAGTGACATTTCGAATCTATTGAGCATTTACAGTAACGTATGAATATCTTGTAATAAAAACTAGAAACAAGCTATCTGTAAAAACACTTTGTGATGTGCTATTTTATGTCACAGAATGGAACCTGTGTTTTGTTTCAGCAAGTTCTGAACTCTTTGTAGAATCTAAGAAGTGACGTTTTTGACCTTATTGAGCCCTTATAAGAAAATACAAATATCCAGCTATAAAAACTAGAAACAAGCTATCAGCGAAAACACTTTTTGCTGTTTCATATCACAAAATTGAACCTGTATACTGATTAAACAGTTTCCAAACACTTTTTTTGTAGACTCTTAAGAAGTGATGTTTCTAAGGCAGTGAGGCCTTATGGGAACATATACATAATCCAGTCCTAAAAACTAGAAACAAGCTATCTGTGATAACCATTTGTGATATGCTGTTTTATGTCAGAGAATGGTACCTGTGTTTTGATTCAACAACTGTGAGACACTCTTTTTGTATAATCTAAGAAGTGATGTCACCAAACCTATTGAGTTTTATAAAAAATATGAATAACCCTAAAAACGAGAAACAAGCTATCTGTCGAAAATGCTTTGTGATGTATTTTTTTATATCAAATAATGGAACCAGAGTTTTGATGAAACAGCTTCCAAACACTCTTTCTGTAGAATCTAAGAAGTGACATTTCCAAGTCAATTGAGTTCTTACAAAAAAAATGCAAAATCCAGTCCCAAAAAACTAGAAACAAGCTACCTGTAAAAATGCTTTGGGACATGCAGTTTTATGTCACAGAACGGTTCCTGTGTTGATTCAACAAGTTCAAAACACTCTTGATGTAGAATCTAAGAAGTGCTGTTTCCAAACCTATTGAACTTTTATTAAAAAAGTAAAAATATCCATCCCCAAAAACTAGAAACAAGTTATCTCTGAAGATGCTTTGTGACGTGATGTTTTATGTCACAAAATGGAAACTACGTTTTGATTTAGCAAGTTCTAAACACTTTTTCTAGAATATAAAAAGTGACATTTCTGAGCTTATTGAGCTCTTAGACGAACATACAAGTATCCACTCCTAAAAATGAGAAGAAAAACCTATCTCTGAAAATGCAATGTTATGTGCTATTTTACATCACAGAATGAATTTTCAAACACTCTTTCTGTAGAATCTAAGAAGTGAAATTTCCAAACCTGTTAAGCCCTTATAGGAACATATGGATATTCAGTCTTAAAAACTAGAAACAAGCTATATGTGAAAATGCATTGTGAAGTGCTGTTTTATGTCACAGACTGGTCCCTGTGTTTTGATTCACCAAAGTTGAAACACTCTTTTGGTAGAATGTAAGAAGTGATGTTTCCAAACCTATTGAGCTTCTATAAGAAAATATGAATATCCAGCCCTAAAAACTAGAAATAAGATATCTGTGAAAACACTTTGTGATGTGCTGTTTTATGTCACAGAATGGAACCTGTGTTTTGAGTTGACAAGTTCCAAACACTCTTTTTGTAGAATCTAACAAAGTGACATTTCCAATCTTACTGAGCCCTTATAGGAAGATGTGAATATCCAGTCCTAAAAATGAGAAAAAAAGCTATGAAATTGCATTGTGACATGTTGCTTTATGTCACAAAATGGAATCTTTGTTTTTATTCAACACTTTCAAAACTTTTTGTAGAATGTAAGAAGTGACATTTTCAAACCTATTGAGCCCTTATAAGAAAATGCAAATATTTAGTCATAAATATTAGAAGCTCTCTGTGAAAATGCTTTGTGATGTGCTGTTTTATATCACAGAATTGAACCTGCATTTTGATGAAACAGCTTCCACTCACTTTTTTATACAATCTAAAAGGTGACATTTCCTAGCCTCTTGAGCCCTTATTGGAGCATATGGATATCCTGTCTTAAGAACTAGAAACAAGCTAGCTGAGAACATGCTTTATGACATGCTGTTTTATGTAACAGAATGGAACCTGTGTTTTTAGTCAACAAGTTCCAGACACTCTTTTTGTAGAATCTTAGGAAGTGACATTTTCTATTTTTATTGAGCCCTTATAATAAAATATTAATATTTAGTCCTAAATATTAGGAAAAAACCTACCTGTGAAAACGCTTTGTGATGTGGTTTCATATCACAGAATTGAACCTGTGTTTTGACAAAGCAACTTTCAAACACTGTAGAATCTAAGAAGTGACATTACTGAGCCTATTGAGCTTTTATAGGAACATACAAATATCCAGTTCCAAAAACTAGAAACAAGCTCTTGGTGAAAACGCTTTGTGACATGCTGTTTTATGTCATAAAAATGGAACCTGCCTTTTGATGAAACAGCTTCCAAACAGGTTTTTTTTTAGAATCTAATAGTTGACATTTCTGGCCCTATTGAGCCCTTATAGAAACATATGAATATCCAGTTCTAAAAACTAGAAGCAAGCCATCTGTGAAAATGCTTTGTGATGTGCTGCTTTTTGTCACGGAATAATACATATGTTTTGATTCAACAAGTTCAAGACACTCTGTAGAATCTAAAAAGTGAAGTTTTTGAACCTATTGAGACTTGATTAAAAAATACGAATATTCAGCCCTAAAAGCTAGAAGCAAGCAATCTGTGAAAACACTTTGTGGTATGCTGTTGTATGTTATGGAATGGAACCTGCATTTTGATGAAACAGCTTCCAAAACACTTTTTTGTAGAATCTAAGAAGTGACATTTTGGAGCCTATTGAACCCTTACAGGAAAATACGAATATCCAATCCTAAAAACTACAAACAAGCTATCTGGTAAAACGCTTTCTGATATGCTGTTTTATGTCTCAGAATGGTACTGGGGTTTCAATTCAGCAAGTTTGAAACTTTCTTTTTATGGAATCTAAAAAGTGACATTTGAGAACCTATTGAGCCGTTATAAAAAATTCAAATATTAGCCATAAAAATTAGAAACAAGCTAGCTGTGAAAACGCTTTGTGGTGTGCTGTTTTATGTCAAAGAATAATACCTGTGTTTTGATTTGGCAAGTTCAAAGCACTTTTTTTTCTAGAACCTACGTAGTGACATTTACAAATCTGTTGATCTTTTATAAGAAAATATGAATATCCAGCCACAAAAACTAGGAAAAATCTGTGAAAATACTTTGTTATTTGCATTTTATGTCACAGAATGAAACCTGTGTTTTGATGAAACAACTTCCAAACCCTCTTTTTGTAAAATCTAACAGTGACACTTATGAGCCTATGGAGCCCTTATAGAAGCACTCAAATACCCAGTTTTAAAACTGGAAACTGTCTCAAAAACACTTTGTGAGGTGCTTTTTTATGTCACAGAATGAAACGTGTGTTTTGAGTTGAACAACACACAAGTTTCCAACACTCTTGAATCTAAGAAGTGACATTTTCAAACTTGAGCCCTTATAGAAACATACAAATATCCAGTCCTAAAAACAAGCAAAGGCTATCTGTGAAAATGCTTTGTGATATGCTGCTTTGTGTCATGGAATGGAATCTGTGTTTTGATTCAAGTTTGAAACACTCTGTAGAATCTAACAAGTGATGTTTTGAACCTATTGAGTCATTATAAGAAAATGCAAATATTTAGCCATAAAAATGAGAAACAAGCTTTTTGTGAAAATCCTTTGTGATGTGTTTTCTATCACAGAATTGAACCTTTGTTTTGTTGAAATAGTTTCTAAACATACTTATTGCAGAATCTATGAAGTTATATTTCTGAGCATTTGAGCCCTTATAGGTACACATGAATATCAGATTCTAAAAACTAGAAAGGAGCTATCTTTGAAAACTATTTGTGATGTGCTGTTTTATGTCACAAAATGATAACCATGTTTTGATTCAAAAAGTTTGAAACACTCTGTAGAATCTAAGAAGTGACATTTCTGAGCCTATTGAGCCCTTAGTAAAAAAACAAACAAAAAACGAATATCCACTCCTAAAAACCAGAAAAAAGCTATCTGGTAAAATGCTTTGTGTTGTGCTGTTTCATGTGACAGAATGGTGCCTGTGTTTTGATTAAACAAGTTTGAAACACTTTTTTTTTGTAGAATATAAGTAGTGATGTTTTAGAATGAATTGAGCCCTTATAAGAAAATGCAAATATTTAACCATAAAAATAAGAAACAAACAACCTGTGAAATCACTTTGTGATATCCTTTTTTTATGTCACAGAATGGTACCTGTGTTTTGATTTAACAAATTTGAAACACACTTTTTGTAGAATCTGAGATGTGACATTTACAAACCAATCTTAAGCCAGTTAGATACTCTGATGAGCCAGCTGTGTGTGTATGTGTGTATGTGTGTGTGATCTTTGATTATTAAAACTGAAAAAATAATCGTATATTCATGACTAGTAGACACAGTGTTTTAAAACTGATTCTGAAAGATTTGAGGGTTAGGCTTGTTTTAAAAACAATTGCATAGGTCCTGGAAACACCAAGAATTAGTGGCTTCTCATTCCTAGTCACATGAAAAATATTTTACTACTCTTGTGAATGGCCATAAATAATATGCAGAATTTTTTCTGTGTCCTAACCTTTTATATAATTGGTTCTACAGTGTACATCACTGTGTGCAACTTTGTTTTGTGTGCTCAGACTTACATTTTCCAGTTTTCTCCACTTTGATACAATTGGTCTGTGTTTCATACATTTTGTATTTTCTATAGCGTTCCTTTATATGACTCTACCACATTTTATTGAGTCTCCTCATGCTGACAGGTAAGTAGATGAATTAATAAATGAATGAATAAATAAAAATGAGAGCAAATTTCAAACAGGTGATTAATTTAGTGATTGTAACCATGGACTCAGCAGGTTAGAAATAAAAACTGAAAGATTTAGAATGCAAGCAGGCACATCATACCTTCTAATAGCCATTGGAACTATGACCCACAAACCATTAGCCTAGAATGATGGGACATATCTTGTCTCTAAAAAAAGGTCACTGTTCAGTTCTCAAAGAATGGATATAAAAATGGCAGATACCATTCCACATTATTCTACTTCCTTTAACCTCTACGCATAAAACTTGAGCTGCAGGGAATGTTACCTCCTGTTCTTAAAAAGACTTGTAGTTCAGTGAGGAACTCACTCCTTTCTTCATTCATGTGTTCAAATAATATAGGGAAATGAATGGAAAAGTGAAGAGAAGTTGAAGACTATTATGGGGATAGCACAGGATTAGTCAGCCTCATGGTATTATTGATCTGCCTTATTCCACAAATATTTACCAAGCACCTGCTACATGCAATTTGTATACTAGGTGCTGGGGATACAGGAGATAACAAAGTCCCTGCTGTCAATGAAAGGGGTCAGTCCTTTGATTCATCTTTAGTTAATTTTAAGCACACAACAACTATCTCAAACTTTCTTCACACTTTCCAAGCTCCCGATCCTTCATGCACTCTTGGTAGATGCCTGACCTTACCTCTTACCTTACTAGAACCTAAGACCACCTGGTATAAAATCCCTTAAGCACACTCAGATTTGCGTGATTTTACAATGATGTCTGTTCCCAAAGCATCCTCACTTCTCTTGGAGCTGAGGGTGAAGAGCTCCTCTTTCTTCCCATCCGTGATCTTGGAACATGTACGACTACACTTGTGACAGTAAATGCTTAATACAGGCAGAAGGTTTGTTCCTTATTTCCTCCCTGGGGCCTCCCTCCAGTGAATATCTCTTCTAGCATTGTCAGTTGTATCCAACAGAAAAGCAGAGATCTCTCCATTGGTCCAAAAACCTAAGATGGACTCTCACTGCTAAACTTCTCAAATGAAAATTCCTCCACTTTAGTCCTGATTACCACTCAAACACTGTTAGACTGGGCAGGTCACTACCCCTGCCTAGTTCTGTTTCCCCATCTACATAACAGAGAAATAATTGCGCCTTATCTATCCTACAGAAGTGTGAAGAGGTTTGATGTGACAGCAGTGAAAGCAATTTAAAAAGCACAGAGTGCTATACATAAGAAGACATTTTCATAATTATTCCGCTCTAACATGATATCTGTATTCATACGATCTCAAAGTACTTACCCAAGCATGGATTCTAACTCTTGTGTATGTAAGCAAAGGTGTAAGTCTGTCACCCTCCATGCAAATAGAATCTCCCCTCCCTTGGCCCCTGCATCTCACCATATACAGGAATTAACTCAAGATGAATCAAAGTTTTAAATGCAAGACCGCAAACTATGAAAATCCTTTAAGATAACCTAGGCCATACCCTTCTTGACAAAGGCTTTGGCAAAGCATGTGTATGTCTAAGTCCCTAAAAGCAATAGAAATAAAAACAATTATTGACAAGTGAGACCTAATACATGAAAGAGTGGCTGCACAGTAGAAGATATTACCAACAGAGTAAACAGACAGCCTTCACAATGGAAGCAAATGTTCCCAAACTACATCTGACAAAGGTCTAATATGTACGATCTACCTTAAGTCCTTAAATCAGATCAAAAAGTCCAATTAATGGTTAGAGACATGAATACACACTGCTGAAAAGATGTAACAGCCACCAGTAAACATGAAAACATGCTCAACCTCGTTAATAGAGAAATGCAAATCAAAAGCACACTGGTCAAAATGGTGATTATAACACAGTCCACAAGAACAGATACCAGCAGGACAGAGGAGGGCACTGGGGCAATTGATCATGATTCTTATGGATAGTCATTTAGTGTTATTAATGAATTTCATAACAAAATGATCACCATACAAAAAATACAAAATGTGTTTTCTTCCCTGAGAAAGGAAAATAAAAACTTGGAATGCCGATTCACTATGCCAAAAGGAAAAGTTAAGCTGAAAGCTGAGTCATGCAAGAAACTGCCTTTCTTTTTTTTTCCTGAGCAGACAGCTACTGATAAATAGTTAAATTTCTCCACAGGTAGCTACTCTATGTTCATCTCATCTTACTTAAAGTGCTGATTTACTGAGCAGGAGAAAAATATATAACTGACTATTCCTTTACCTGTTTGTTTTCTCTTGCAACATGTGGATTCAGCAACGTGACCATACTCTCCCTCTTTTCCCCGCAGCCTGCTTTTCTCTTCTAAACACTGAAACCCTAAAATATTTTTGGAGAAAGGCACAGACCTCTGTCGCCCAGCCATGTCTTTAACCTTGGAAGAAGAAACTTCTAAATTGATAAGAGATCTGTCTCAGACACTTTTTCGTTTACATCCCGTTATCTCAGAAAGCAAAACAGGCTTTGTTCCAACCCAAAGTAATTTGTGAATATTCAAGCGGTATCATTCTGATGTAAAATTTACATAAATTCTTGGGTTTACCAAAATGCAAATGGGCAAGCAGATCACTATTTACAGATAATGGCCTAAAAAATGGTAAGAGTAAATGCTGTGGAGCTAAATGTTTCTGAGTCTGCCATTTCCTAGTTTTGTAGTTTCTCTCGGGCAAGTTACCCAAAGTTGCTGTATGTTATTATCTTGACATTTAAAATAGAAGTAATAACTTTATTATAAATAATAGTTAATACCATAGGGTCATTAGGAAAGTGTCTGGCATATATAGTCACAACCCAGTGAATGCCATTATTGTTTTTGCTATTATCAGTATAATAATTGATACTAATTTTGATGCTGAGGTAAAATAATATCTGGCAGCTTTTAATTTGCTAATGTTAAATAACTGAAAATAGCTTTAAAAAGTGAAAATATCCAAATCAATGACAATATTTGATTTATATAAAATAAGCTTCATTTTTTTTAGTTTTTTTGCTCCTAATTATTACTTCACTCATCACACTGATATCTGAGCACTTTTTAAAACATATCCACCCTTCTCAGTTGTACTACTTATTCCCTTTTCTTGTAATCCCAGCCTTCAAAGATCCTTTCTCATTTTTCTAACTCATTTCACGACTCCCTCACCTTGACCCCCAGTTATATCTCTCTTGAAGTCAATTCCATTGAATTGACTACTTGGCCCAAACTTCACCCCAACTCAGTCTCTCTTCAGGAAGGAAAGTCCCCACACAAAAAGGAATGTGTCTTTCAACTCATGCGCCCTTTTTGAAGAAGCTTTCCAGACAGCTTCCTTACAGTGATCTCCGTTATCCATCCTTTAGATCGCTGTGGAGTCCTACAGGGGCGCAATGTGGACAGTCATTCAAATGAAGCACACCTAAGTGCTTGCATTTTCTAAAGGCCCATTGATTCATGTAACTCCCGTACTTGCACAGATAAGATGTTCCTGCCTGAATGCAGCAGATGGAAATGAAAATTGTATTCTCTGTCAAGGCTGATTGTATTACAGCTTAATGATTTGCATTTTAAAACTTGGAAGTTCTCATAAATATTAAAGTGAAAGAACAATTGGCTACATTATTAGGTAGGTTCGGCTGTTCGTATAACCTGGTGCTAACTATCTAACCTGCCTGAGTGAGCCTCAGTCTTCATTACTGCAGCATTTGTAAGATATCAATGCCTGCTTGAACTCATGTCTTACTAAGATTATGGCCAGGATTGAGTAACATATGGATATAAAAGCACTTGACAAATCAGAGTATTTCATAAATGTAATAATAATATGCTACATTTATAACATCTATACTCTTTTCCTGTGTCTATCTTCATTTAAACCTTGCAGTTTCTATCATAATCAAAGATTTTGTAATCAGGTTACAATGAGTAGGATTTAACCCATAAGCAATTTTCAAATTTCCTAGATATGTTTTCAGTTTTCACATTTATGTTGGTGACAAAATTCTGTTTTCAGTTTTGGTGTTTGCATCTTCTAAAACAGTGTCTTGGGTACTTGCTCTTTGATGAGACACTGTGCAGACATAAAGAGTGTAAGAAAACAGAACAGTTTATCTCAGCTTTTTGTGGTCTAGATAACCTGCACACTGCTTTCTTGGCTCACTGCAACCTCCTCTTCCTGGGTTCAAGTGATTCTCCTGCCTTGGCCTCCCGAGTAGCTGAGACTACAGGCATGTGCCACCACGCCCAGCTAATTTTTGTATTTTTAGTAGAGATGGGGTTTCACCATGTTGGCCCGGATGGTCTCGATCTCTTGACCTTGTGATCCCCCTGCCTTGGCCTCCCAAAGTGCTGGGATTACAGGTGTGAGCCACCGTGCCCGGCCTGCACACTGCTTTTTAATAAGCTGATCTGTCTTCTTGTTTACATAGGCTGTGCTATAGTCATTTAAAGTTCAAAATTACTGCTAAAAAGTAATTAATCCTTTACTGAAATATTCCTGCTATTTCATGAGCTGTCTTACAATTTGGAGGAATCTATTTGTCACTGATGTTTAAAAAAGAAAGTCACAGCAGGGAGGCTTTAGCTTCATTGAGGAACATTATTATAAAATAAAATGATCGAGGGTAATTTTTTTTTGTCCTTGTGGTACTGTTTCTGCAGATCTACATTAATCTGAGCATTTAAAGTAATAATAAATTTGTTATATCCTCTTTATTATTCACTTCACCATGGTAGCCCCTAGTGGTAAAAGGAGATGTAAATTGCTCAGTGCTCACATTGCAGGGAATTTTTTCCTCAGTTGAATAAAAAGGAGTTAAGCCTCTTTGGAAATGAGGGCTATAGCCTGTCAATAACTACATATATTCCTGTTTTTAAGAAATCAGAATTCTGGTGTCCAGTAAATGTAGATGCCAGCATTATTAAAAAGTGATTGAGCAGAGAAATGAATTGAATTTTTGACCCACTCTGGCTTCCAGCTTTCATGGGAGCCTATACAGGGGGATGATGAAGAGGGATATAAGAGAATAAATGATTGCTCTATTAATCTACTTTAATTGATACTAAAATCTGACAGCGAATTACAAGTTCCAGGCAGTAAGGCTTACCAATTCATTGGTAATTTCAAGGTTCTACTTTGCTTTCTTTTTGCCTTCAGCTCCTTGCAAAGGACACCTTTTTTTTTTTTTTTTTTTTTGAGATGGAGTATTGCTCTTGTTGCCCAAATTGGAGTGTAATGGCCCTTAACATCCGCCTCCTGGGTTCAAATGATTCTCCTGCCTCAGCCTCCTAAGAAGCTGGGATTACAGGCATACATCACCACGCCTGGCTAATTTTGTATTTTTAGTAGAGATGGGGTTTCTCTATGTTGGTCAGGCTGGTCTTGAACTCCTGACCCCAGGTGATTTGCCTGCCTCAGCATCCCCCGCCCAAAGTGCTGGGATTACAGGTAGGAGCCACCACACCTGGCCAAGGACAGCCTTTTATAGTTCAGTTTCTCAGTTTATCTTTGACTATTCTTAATTAAGCTTGACCTGGTTCTCCACCACTGACGCTATTGGAGTTGCAAAGCATTTTGCTGTTATAATGATAGCTCCCTTGATGGCTGTTCATTATTAACTGGTTTTCAAAAGTGCTGCTTTTAACTTTCATTTTATAAATATTTAACTCAATTTTTATAAAATGTGCATAGACTATAGAGGTTCTGCTTACCTGTTTAATACAGTAAAAAAATCCCTTTTGTAATCTTATATAATATTAAGAATGTGTCCTTAATTCATGCTTAACATAAATTCTTACACAACTAGCAGTATCTCAAAAAATAAATGATTTAATAGTTTATGACCCTTATACATATAATTAATTGTAGTAAAATATCTTAGAAAATAGAATGAGTATTTTTTATAAAGATAAAAAATCCTGATTTTTTTTTCTGGTCTTAATATAAAATTAAATGTGTTAAAGGGAACTTATAAATTACATAGTAGTTCATTGCTCAGGAAAAGAAATGACAAAGTAATTAAGAGTGTAAAATTAAAAGGATTAATTTTTCTTAAAGGCCGATGAGTTAACAACACGCATCAATCTCTCTTCCTTCTCCAAACTTCAGACAAATGATGGCAAAGTAATTTTTAAGAAGTCAATTTATAGAGGCAAAAAACCTGAAGTACAGAGAGTAGGAAAGACAGTAATAGAATTGAGAGCAGTTGACATCCATAACATTCCTATTATTACCTCCATTTTCTGGATAAGAATATGGAGAAGAGGAATCGTTAAGCAATTTGCTGATTGTCACATATTCAGTAAGTGGCAAAGTTAGTATTGAAACCCAAGTAGTCTTGTTTTAAAGTCATACACTCAATCACTGTGCCATAATTCAATAAATTGTGAAGGATGGGAAGCAGATGGAGAAGTGATTGATGAAGCAGGACTGAGAAAGTGCTGCCTATGTGCCCACAGTGTGAAGACCCTACAAGACATCAGAACATCATCCAGTGAAGCTGTGAGCAGCTCACCACTTGGAAAAACTGAGTGTTTTGGAAGGCAGGGATAAAGTGCAGTTCTGAAAAGAGAAAAATCCATCAAGTTCTAAACGGTCGCGCTCTCTTACCCCACAGTGGGCAATGGTCTCTCCATTCATCATTTTCTTTTCCCTGAGTCCCTTGAATCTTAAATATACTATTCTGTGAATTAAACATGGTAAACATTAGACTTTGACCAGCGCTATTATCAGAAGTTCACATACCTAATCAAAGGACCTGTAACCTTCTTCCCCTCCTTAGTTTCTACACCACCAGTAGCCAATTATACTATCCCAGCTCCCATCCTAAAATCCCCTTCTAAAATAGAAGGCAAAAGATCATCAGTCATTTGAGCAAAATTTCAGCATGACAGCATGAGTAGTTGAGACCTATAGTAACAACTAAAATGGACTGGGATAAAACAAATAATGTTTGGAATCAAAGAACAGGAAAAATACAACCGATATTGGAGCAAGAAAAAATAAAAAAGAATATGAAAAATAGATAAGAAATAGCTATTGGAAAGGTACAAGAAATACAATTTTAAAACCAGTGGAACATAAGACAAACCACAAAATGAGAAAATTCTATTAATAAAAGGTCGGGGGTCGGGGAACTGTATTCTTTTTTTTTTTTTTTTTTTTTTTAAGACAGAGTTTCGTTCTTGTTGCCCAGGCTGGAGTTGCAATGGCGCAATCTCGGCTCACTGGGCAACCTCCACCTTCTGGGTTTAAGCTATTCTCCTGCCTCAGCCTCCCAAATAGCTGGGATTACAGGCATGCGCCACCACGCCTGGCTAATTTTTGTATTTTTAGTAGAGATTGGGTTTCACCATGTTGATCAGGCTGGATGGTCTTGAACCCCTGACCTCGGGTGATCCCAAAGTGCAGGGATTATGGGTGTGAGCCACCGTGCCCGGCCACTGTATCTTTTAAAAATGTAATTGTCATGGAAGGCAAGAAAGGTTTAGGAGGCTTTCCATATTGAAGAGGACTGAGGAGACATGGCAACTAATTGCAATACATGATTCTAGACTGCATGCAATACTGGAGGAAAATCATGCTATAAAGAATTGACTCAATTGATAAAATCAGAATACTAGCAGTAGATTACATCAAAGTATCGTATCAATGTTACATTTACTGAATCTGACTACCATACTATAGTTAAGTAAGAGAATATTCCTATTTTTAGGAAATACAGAAGTGTTTAGAGGTAAAGGGTCATGATATATACAACTTAACAAAAGACTTAGACAAATATGGGGTATTTAAATAAAGGAGAATGACGTGCAATCTGAGAACAAGAAGTCCAACAGAGAAAAGCAAAAATAGGGAGTCAGCGAGCAACCAGTGAGATGGGAGCAGAAGGATGGAAGGGTGGAGGAGTGACATCTAAACATATTAAGAACTCAAATATGTTGATTATTTTGTATATCTGAAGTTTGAAATTATCACTGACAATCTTCTAAACTTCAGGAAAAATGAGGATACTGTGCTACAAATGTAAACTTAAGAACAATATTTACATAGTCATCATAATGTAATTATGAAATACTGATTTCACCAAAACCAATTTGATTTAACACATCGAGAGAACAGTGGGAATAGAGTCCTGTAATTGGTGCACCTGTCCTAATTCCTATGTAGGTATTATAATAGAAAGTTAATAGGTAATGTTTAAAATTGATAAATCAAGATAACAATATCAGCATGTTAGGTTAAAAACAAGGTAATTACCAAAAGCACCAGATAAAAGAGCCAAACATTGCTTTCTCTATTGAACGGGACTACAGCATAGAGAAGTGTTAAGCAAGCTGCCATTATTCTTTTGCTCTTATTATAAGCCTCTTAATACTATTTGATTACTAGCTCATGAGCTCCTATTTATAAAAATAAAAGCAAATTTTCGAAGTCAGAACAATTCATGCTGCTACAAAATCCCTAAAGTCATTTCAACAATACAGCACACTGATGATTATATAGACATTTTTCTTGTCTGAGTTCTTTGTCTAGAAACTTTTTAAAAGAAACGTGGTCCTGTATTACATGTAGCATGCTTTGGAAGAAAAACTATCTCCAATCAAAAAGTTTTTAAAAGAGCCCAGATGTTATCGTCCTTTGTATCTCTAAAAGCAATTGCTTTTATAAAATTAGGATCTACTCTTTTTTGAAATTTGAATGCTGAAGTTTTGTGGGTTTCAGCAAAAGATAGGCATAACATACATCTCTACATTTTATTAAATATGATGGTGCAGATGTTAAAAATATGTTTGAAATGCAGTACCTTCTGTTCTTGCTTTCAACTCCTACCCTAGAGTAAATGAAATGCTAATCACCTCTTGTGTTAGTGATAGAATTTGTGAGTTTCCACAGATAAAATATGTTTACTGTAATTTCCAAATAGTTGATAGCCAGTAGCAATATCTTGACTTCAGCAACTGGTATGTAAGGGTCTATATTAAAGTGTTTATATTATGACTAGTATAACAGATGGTATTATTTGTTACAGCAGGTCATAACACTAAAAAATAAAACTATTACACATCTACAATTTGATCACAAATTTTAGTGGCAGTGATCACTTATTTTATGAAAGAGAGGCAGTAATTGCCGAAGTACTGCCTAAAAATGTAAGACAATTCTCATTACAGGGTAAGGTAAAATTATTGACTTATTAACCAGAAATTCACATCTATCCCGCTACAGGAAAAAAAGTGTACATTTAATATCTACTACAGTCAGTTGAGTTTTCAAAGTAATCTGTCATCTCTACCATGAATATGGGGAACAGGAGAATAACTGCTGGATTTTTGGCATTTGACACCTAATATATAGAACTTTAAAGGAGGTTATCTATTATATAAATAATCTTTGAAGAAGAGCAATTTATGTTTTTGGACAACCAAAAAATTACTTGTTTAGCTTCACAGGAATTTTAAAGCATGTTTTCACTTATTATTAAACAGTAACATTGAATATACTGCTCTTTTATCAGTTCTCATTTTTTTCAACATTCAGTAGATGACTTTAAAGAACTCTCACCTTCCTGGTTTTCTTTCTAAACTGAGATTATTTCTTCTCTCACTTATGCACCTATTTTCTAATGGCCATGTCTCAAAAAATTTTTATTCTAGCGTCTTTTTTCCTTTTATCTTGGTTTTGCTGTAGTGCTAGATAGATGGTTACTTGTGAGACTTTCAAATCTATATACCAGGCTCCAACTTCTCTCCCTCTCCCTCTCTTTTTGAGTAAGGGTTTGGCTCCATCACCCAGGCTGGAAGGTCATGGCTGATTGCAGCTTTGGACTCCTGGGCTCAAGGGATCCTCCCACCTCAGCTTCCTGATTAGCTGGGACTCCAGGTGTACAGCATCATGACTAGCAATTCCATTGTTTTTAGAAATGGGGTCTTGCTCTGTCGACCAGGCTGGTCTAGAACTCCCAGCCTCAAGCAATCCTCCTGCCTCAGCCTCCTAACGTGCTAAGATTACAGGCGTGAGCCACCACACCTGGCCAACTTCTAAGTTTCAGTGCTGTAGTTTTAAATTGTTTCTCATACTTATCTAATATTTTTTCCCACCATGTCAAACCCTTAAAAACTCAGTATGGACAAAATAAATATTAACTTTTTTGAGATTGATAATTGTATGATAGTGCTTATTACCTCAAAAGAATTACTGGGGCAGCAGTATAATCCAGTAGATGGGGGAAATAGTGGATATTAAGACCGAAATGGGATCATAACTTTTTAGTTGTATTTGCCCACATTAATTGTTTTAAAGGGGGTAAAGGCCTGGAATATGAAAACAGGAGGATATAAAATATATGGAGGTTGTGAAAGATGACTCAGAACTTGAAACAATTGTTTCACTGCAGTAAATACATGTTGAATGCATAGAACAGAGAAAAACAGAAGAAAAGAAGAAGGAAAAACAAACTCCATGATTTAAAATATTGATGAATGTGACAATAATTGTATCTTTAAAATAACTGAGAAATGGTAGAAATAAAAATTATAAGCTTCAACTGTATATTACTTATTCTTGACAAAGATGATAGTTGCAAGCTGAAGCCAAAATTTCTAACTAGGACTAATGCAAAGATTTCAAGAGAAACTTTAATAAAGAATTATTGATGCAAGCGCTTTCAGAAAGCAAAGGTAGGGACTAACCATTAGCTCTTGTTTAGAAAGATAAAGGTCACAAATAAAATTTGTGTTTTAATCTATACATTTTCAGCATTATGTCATCATAAATTTGCATGTTGTTTATTACAAATGGGAAAAGGTTTCCTGTAATATATCAAGATGAGTTTTAATAGTTTCAAGGACCATTGATTTGTAAACTTAAGACTATTATAGTGTTGTGGAAAATTAAATATAATTGGTGTTTTAGGAAAAGTTGTTCATTGAAGTTTCCATTTTATGTGCCTTAACAGATTAATTTTGCTTATTAATTCTGTGATATTTAAGCACTGCTGTAAGCTTCACAGATTTGGCAATAGCCACTATATACTTAATGAGTACAAACTATGGAGTATTTCCATATTAAGGTAGAAGAAATATTTAAAAGCACTTCTACTTGTGATGTCATTGGGGGTGCAACACAATATAAAGTACGCACATTGCTGGAGGAGAAGCATAAAATAAAGAACTCACGGGGCAGAAACTTAAGACACACCTAAATCAAATCTTTGTTTTCAGCATTATCTTTCATTACTATTCTTTGTTACAAAAAAACATTGCTATCTGTCCTTTTCTATATGTTCTCTACATTAAAACTTATTATTTGTATACATACTGTTCCCTACATCTGCAGTGCCATTCCCAGCTCACATATCTGCCCTCTTAAATTTATATCAAATTCAACTCCCTTCAAAAAGCCTTCTCAGTTGCTTTAACCCAAGCCAGTAGTCTGTCTTCTAGAAAACAGTTGATGCCGATGCCTCCTTTTCCTTTAGCAACTGAAAATAATATTATAGTTATTTAATGTGTGTGTGTGTGTGTGTGTGTGCATAACATCATACTATTTAGTAGTATCTATATCTATCAAGTATCTGCTACAGTGGATGATAGATGACTTAAAGACAGAAATATGTTATTCATATCTACTTCTCACAGGTCTAGTGCTGTTGCAGGATATTTTTTAAGGAATCAGAGAGACTGATGGGGTTCAGGAGGATATTTATTATTTAGGTGCACCAGCCCAGTCGGATTAACATCCAAAGGACTGAGCCCTGAACAAAGAGTTAAGTTACCTTTTAAGCATTTTGTAGGGTGGGAGGAGATCTGTGCAGGGGGAAGCATGTTAGAGAAGTGAGAAACAAAGACAGTTATTCAATTAATTGAGAAATGCGTTACATCATTTCTTACTTTTCAAGGAAAAACATGTTTTGCGACTTTTGTTTATGTGTCTAGTGACTTTGCAGCTGCCCAGCTAGGGAATCAGGGTCTTCACAATGCCTGGGAATGGAGGGGAGAGAAAGCTCATTAGCCACAGAAAAATAGGCCGTTAGTTTTTTAAAGGACTCTAGCTCTTTCTCTTTCTCAGGGGGAATTGGATTTTCTTACATACAACTGAGGTTCTGCTTACACATTCTTTAATTTCTTTTAATTCCTGTTCCAGTGCAGTGCAATGTTCATAGTAGATGCTTAATATTTTTTGAATTATTGTATCTTTAGTCATTGCGAGCCATCATTTTGAGAGTCAGTCTCATTCTTTTAGCCCTAGATTATTTTTATTTTCTTGAGATACGTGAATAAAGGGCACAGGAAAAAAACACAGTTGAGAGTTTTGGATAATAGTAACCTAATTCACCCAGATTTTACTTCATATTGGTTGGAACTCTAAGTTGGGTGCAACTAACATGAGACTTGTTTTGATTTATTGTAAACATATTCTTGAATGACTAATGAACAGTGCTTCATGTGAACAAATTTTCACCTTCTGATAATTTCCAATATTACACTTTGAAAAACATTCCCATTGTAGTGCTCTAGAAAATATAATTTCAATTGTTAAAATTCAATATTACTGTAATTGAGGATATTAAATAACTTGTTGTTACATGATGCTAGCTGCAGCTTAAATTTCAGATCATGAGTGTTGTTAATATTATATAGTTGGAATTAGTTCTGAGATCAATGAATCAATGCTGTCTTACTGTTTTGTCTTTAATTTTTATACCACATTTATTTTGTGAGTGGATTTCATAAAAGGAAGTTGCTTTATGTTGCCAAGCTCATTATCTTGGGTTTTTGTCCAGAGCTGAATTCCCTTTTTCATCAAAGGACAGAGAGAGCCCATTATAAACTATTGAGTAATGCTGATTTGATGGGTAGGCCACTTACCTTTAAGTGGAAAGGAGGCCAGGCGCGGTGGCTCACGCCTGTAATCCCAGCACTTTGGGATGCTGAGGAGGGCGGATCATGAGGTCAGGAGATCGAGACCAGTCTGGCCAACTTGGAGAAACCCTGTCTCTACTAAAAATACAAAAATTAGCCGGGCGTGGTGGCGGGTGCCTGTAGTCCCAGCTACTCGGGAGGCCGAGGCAGGAGAATGGCGTGAACCTGGGAGGCGGAGCTTGCAATGAGTCAAGATCACACCGCTGAACTCCAGCCTGGGTGACAGAGCGAGACTCCTTCTCAAAAAAAAATTACACAAAAATGTTAGACTAATAAATATTAATAAACACTAAAGGAAGAAATTTAGTGGAACATTTATCAGAGGCAACAGACCAGGAAGTTATAGTTACCCTGTGAAAAGGCATCATCTAGGATTCATAGAAAACATTTGCAAATTGGCAACAACCACCACCACAACAAACTAAAACAAATGAAAGAAATAGACATTTATACAGGGAAAATATAAATAGATAATAAGTGTAATAAATTTTGTGACTTTCCACTTGAAAACAAAGAAATGGAAATAAAACCTATGTAAAGAAGTGGTGGAGTGAGCCGAGCTGGGGTGGGAGGGGTGGGGGCATCCCAGGCAGAGGGAACAGCAGATGCAAAGGTCTGGAGGCTGGAGCAGGCTGTGAGGGGTGAGAGCAGCAAGTACATGAAGTCTAGACCACAAATCGATGCTTCACCCTCAAAAATAGCCTCTCACTGGCCACCACTCAGGCCCAGATACATGTGTAAGGTGGGCAGCCTTCAGGAAAAGTGACCGCAAAAGTGCACCACATTGGGAATTCTGAGGTGTTTGAGAAAGTTATGGATGAAGGGTGAGGTAGACTCTAGTGGGGAATGTCCTCTTGCCACTTGGACTTCTCTGTCTATTTCATGGGCTATTATCAACTTCTAAAGAGCCAGTGGTTTGGGTGCACATTTAGGTGTAAGTACCTCTTGCCTCAAGCCTTAACTCTCTTTCCAATGAGTCAAGTGAGCTGTTGTGTTTAAGTAACTTCTCTTTATTGTGAAATCTTTCCTATCACTTTAAGAACCTTCTTCTTCAGACCCAAGTAATCCCAAGGCACCTATAATGTCCCTCCTGGAGAAGACAAAAGGGTGTCTTCTATTTCTGTGTGGCCCGATATTTCAGGGCCCCTAACCAGGTTAGTTCAAGGTGCTCAGCATAACCATGAATCTGCTACCCATGTTTCTCAGGTGGGTCATAGGCCCTGGAGGGATTGTGGCTGTGGACCAAGCAGGGGGTGCTGTGGGCTGTTCTGAGAAGGAGGGTTTTGGAGTGTCCAAGCTGAGAACATAGAGGCCCCAGATGTTGTATGAGTAAATTTTCATCTGACAGAATTATATTTTCCTAACTGAAAACATGAAACAGAGATGTAACAACTGTGCCTCTTTGGCTCTGTCTTTGCATGCTGTCATCAGCCACTGAACAGGAGCTGAGAGGGAAGACATAAAGAACAGAAAACCCATGAGGGGGATGGTCCATGTGGGTGTGGAAGTGAGGGTGAGTGGGGATTTGGCCAAAGAGGCCTAATCCACAGGAGTAGAGTCTCATGTGTGACTTTCAGAATGAGCAGGAGTGAGATAGGTGGAGGGGGAGTGTTGGAACATCTCATCAGAGGTGAGAATCCATAGAAGGAGACACTGGTCATTACAGTCAGTGAGAAAAGTGACTTTAGCCTGAGCCTAAGGTCATTGGATCAAGGAAGGGGCCAGGAGGAGCTCCTTGAAGGGAAGCTGTGAGCTTGAGAGGCAGGCTGAGGCAGATCAGTAGAATGAGCCCCCGAGAAGGGCTCACAGAGTCACTGAAGGACTGTGAGGTGGCAGGGACAAGCTCACATGGCCTTTGGTCAGTGAGTCTCCAGCTGTAATGAGAATGAAATGGGGAAGATCTGGGACAGGAAGACAAGCTGGGGGCGCTGGTACCATCATGGGGAGATGATGGTGGGTGGCTCTAGGTTAGTTAGAGTTGGAATGAAGAGCAGAAAGCAGCTTCGTGATACCTTTATGTCATAAAATACATTTGGCATGGAGAGGACTTGGACTTTGTGCATGAAGGATATGGATGTTTCTAGGCTGACTCCCAAATGTTTCTAGGCTGACTCCCAGAAACTAGGATGTTTCTAGGCTGTTCCTGGCTGAGAATTTGGATGGTAACTATAGTCCAAAGAAACAAAGAACACTGAAATCATATCTTATTTTTTTTAACTCACAAAATAGAGGCAGGTAGATATTTATATGTGTTTTGTTGGCTCAATGATTTTTTTTAGTAATAAACATATTTACTTAGAAACTACTGGGTGTCTGTATGCTCTGGGATTTTTTTCTCCTGTCCTGATGACATCTCTTTCCTTTCTCTGGGTTCAGGAGTTACTTCCCAGGTTGTGGTGACACAGGAACATTCACTTTCCACAACTCCTGGAGGGGCAGTCACCTTCACCTATGGCTCCAAAATTGGGGCTGTCATCAGAGCATCTCGACAGCTGGGCCCAACAGAACATCTGGCAATGTCCCCAGGGCAATGGTGGGCACAAGCAGTCAGGTCCTGGGACCCCTGCACAATCCCCTGGTTCTCTTCATGAAGAAAAAGCCACTCTGGTTATAATGAGGACTAGACCAAGAATGAGGCCCAGTGTTACATGCTCGGTGTGGTGATCTGAAATATCACCACAGGGACAAATACAAAAATACAAGTGGGAAACTACACTCAAACCCTTGGATCAAGCCTCAGTCCTATGCTTCTGAAGCAAATTTCTTGTTTTTGGAGTCTGGTTTTCAACCACTGTAGACTCAGATCATTTATTCTTCAGGCCCCCAATGGGATCATCACAAGCACTTTTTCTATCAATCATGGCAGTCACTTGAGATCAAAGGTGAATTTCTTCTTCCTCAAGTTATAAGCAACACTTTGGCATATTTGGTGAACTTCAAAGAAAATGGCTAAGATAGAGGATGAGAGACATAAGAGGCTTCAGGAATATTTCAGCAGATGCAAAGCAGACTACAGGGTAACTCATTTCCCATATGATTTGATTGATTGCAAAATGTGAAATTAAATGCATACAAAGGGGAATGTGTGTCATTTTTCCTCTTAATGACAAAGTAAAAAAAAAGCAATAAAACAAAAACAAGCACTATTTCATGTGTCTTGATAAACTTGTAGAAAGTCTTATAATATCCACAATATCTAGGATACAGTAAAATAACTTTCCATATGAAGAACCAGAAGAACACAACTTAAATGAGAAAAGACAATTGATAGACACCAATACTGAAATAATTTAGGTGCTGATGTTATGTAACTGAGATTAATTAAGGAGTAATTATACAATTCCTTCAGTGAGCAATTTTAGACATTATTTTTTGAAGTTTTAGGTTCAGGGGTTCATGTGCAGGTATGTTACGTAGGTAAACTTGTGTCAGAGGGGACATTCTTGAAACAAGTGGAAAAGAAGCAAATCCCGAAAAGAAAAATAAGTCATAGAAACAAACCAAATTAAAATTAGAAAACAGAAAAATGCAATAAATTAAAAAGAACAGTCTGGAGGGACTCTGGAACAGGTAACAGTGAAATTAAAGTTCAGGCATTAGAGGAATTATTTACCGTTAAGTAGGGAAGAAAGTACAAACAATAGCCATCTAAGCCCAGCAGAGGGAGCTGTGGATCTTCTCAGAGGTGAGCAAGGCCGGAAATGAACTCCCGGGGCTCTCATTTATGGCTCCTGGGTCCATACTCACTGGCCCGAATTGGGGTTTAGAGCAGGTGCTTTCTCCCAAAGGGCAAACTCAGAGTTCCCAGCAGCCCATCCTCCCTGACAGAGCGGCTGCTGCCTGGCTGAGCACTCAGAACTTAGGGAGCCGGTGGTTTTGGTAGAGGCCCCATGTTTGCATAATGTCCTAACCAAACACACATCTACCCGGGGAGGTGACGAGGAGTTAGAGGAACTGTCCCAGGGTCCAGAAGTAGCCGGGGGTTCTGGGGATCCTTGGAAAGTCCACACCATAGCTTGGATGTCTATCCTCCCCTCTCTCCCTCCTCACTGCCCAGGTTCATGTAGATTTCAAAGACAGGACTTTGGAGGGATCTGTCTGCTGTGATTCCTCACACATAACATGTATCTGTTTTAGTTTCTTGGTTCAGTTCTCAGGCTGTGGTGACTCAGGAGCCCTCACTGACTGTGTCCTAAAGAGAGAGACTTATTCTCATGTGTGGCTTCAGCACCACAGCACTGAATTCAGCAGAAGCCTGGTCAAGTCCTCAGGACATTGATGTGTAACACAGATAACAAACACCCCTGGATGCCCACTTGATTCTCTGGCTCCCTCCTGGGGGAAAGCTGCCCTGACCCCTCAAGGGGCCCAGCCTGAGGATGAGGCTGAGTATACTGTGGGCTACACCACAGTGGTCCTTAGCACAGTGAGAGACCCAGATGGGGAAGCAGGACATGAACGAGCTTTTGGCTGATCCGGGGTACAAACATGAACGTAGGATATCAGGATCACGTGGCCAGACACCTGAGCTCTCAAGGACACCTAAATTTTAACTATCCGTAGAGAGAAAGGTGGGTGGAGGGGTGTAAATTGATTCCTGTATCTGTTTGAATTTTAAAGTGGAAAATATTTGTGAATCATTTGGGAGATGCAGATTCCCAAAAAGAAGAATTTATGTTTATATTCCAAACAGAACAGTAATAGTGAGATCAACTCTAAAGACTAAGGTCAAACACACTTCATCCAGAAAGATGGATCTCAAAAGATTTTGTTGTTGTTTTGCCTATTAAAAGCTAAGAGAGGAAATTATATTAATAAAGTTTATTTCATGTTCTATGTTAATAGTGTGTATTTCATAGCTTTTTAAGCATTAAAAATTATAAAAGTGTTAAGAGGGATTCTCTTCTCTAATGTTATATAAGAAAGTATCCACCTAGGAAAATATTTTGAAGGTCTAACCCCCAGTACTTCTAAATGTGACCTTATTTTTAAAATAGTGTTATTGCTTATGTAATTCTTAGGATGAAGCCATCCTAGAGCGAGGTGGCCTCTTGATCCAATGTGCCTGGTGTCCTTATAAGATGATGGTAGTAAGGAGATTGGAAGACACAGAGAGAATGCCGTGTGACGACGAAGGCAGAGATTGAATTTACACAGCTGCAAGATAAGGAGCACTAAAGATTGCTGGCAAACCACCAGCAGCCAGAAAGAGGGAAGGAAGGATCTCCCCTCAGGTATATATGGAAACATTGCCCTTTCTATGAATTTTGGGAGGCTAGCCTCCAGAACTGTGAGACAATACATTTGTGTTATCTTAACCAAACTTGTGTTTAATACATTCTGACAGCAGTTCTAGGAAACCAATACACCAGACAATAAATTACACAATACTTCTGAAATTGATTGTACTTCTTTCATTTTGGCAACCAGTTTTTCCATGAATATGATTATATCTGTGCTCATATTTCTAACTTTATAAATATGCTTGTAATTTAAGGTTAAGATAAGAAATCCTTGTGTCTTAAAAATCCCTAAATATATGAGAACTGAATAATAATATTAACATTATGAGATCTAATGGAAAATTGTAGCTTTTACATAATTCCACTTGTTCACTAGTATCAAGATGTGAAGGTGGGAAGATCACCTTGTTATTAACAAAACACTCCTGGTCATCTCTGTGGATTTGAGAGTGCAGGGGGAGACACCTACATATTGTTTGGGAAGTCACAAATGCAGCATGCCCAGAGCATCATGTACAACAGTGTGAGTTTGCTGGACATGTGGGCAGGACGCAGAACAGACTGGGGCATGAGGAACCACCTATCACCAAACCCACCAGCGCCTTCCTCCCTGGATCAGCCCAGAGCTGCTCAGACTTGAATGTGCACATGGATCATGTGGGATCCTGGATAATGTGGATTCTGATCAGTGGGTCTGGACTGTGGACTGAAATTCTGCGTTTCTAGAAGGCCCCTTCTTCCAAAGATCCACATACATGTTTTAATATTACCATATTCATAAGAATGGTGGGAAATAAGGGAAGCCACTTTCAGACAGAAACCAAATAGAAATTTATCTGAGAGGGAGCTAAAGGATTATGATCAAAGAGAAATCCCCAATTCCAGGCAGGGAGCTGATCACAGAGGGCAGATGGGAAGTTGGGAGAGGTTCTATTTTTTTTTTTTTAAGAAATAGAAATGAATGCAAACACAACTCAAACCTCCTCTTGATCCAACATCCCTGCTGGCTCCTGCCCAATTTCTGCACTGGCTTCTTCTCCAGTCTTTTCCCAAGCATGGACCCTCCTCACCCTCTCTGCTTCCCCATCTCAAACTCACAACTTCCCTTCTCAGTTCTCCTGTTTCTCTCCCTTTCATTCCACTTCCTTCTTCTCTGTGACCTCCTTAGACAATCACCAAAATATTTCTAGAAGAAAAGCCATGGGTATTTTTCATCTTTTCTTGAAAGTTGTCACTCACATTCCCTCTTCGTTCTTCAGCCTCTCTTACCCCTTACTACAAAAGATGCCTGAGGCCACTGTTTCTCTTTTCCATCCCCTCAAATAGCTTCTCCTTCCAACCCGTTTCTCTCCTCAGTTACTAGAGCATTCAGTGAAGCACTCAGTCAGGTTAAAGGATCCTCCCAAATGCTCACCCTGCTCTCTATGTGTGATCTCCTGAAGAATCAAGTAGGGAGAGAAACATGGCTTCATGAGTTTGTGGGGAAGTGGGTGCATGGCTGAACTGTCCTTGTTCTCAGCAAATGTACTTTATTTCATGCACAGTTTGTATATGAGACAACCTTCTCCTGCGGACTCCTTATAAAATGGGAAGAATTATGTGTTGTGTTTTCACAGAGGAAGCCCAAATATTCCATGCTCATGGGTAGGAAGAATCAATATCATGAAAATGGCCATACTGCCCAAGGTAATTTATAGATTCAATGCCATCCCCATCAAGCTACCAATGACTTTCTTCACAGAATTGGAAAAAACTATTTTAAAGTTCATATGGAACCAAAAAAGAGCCCGCATCGCCAAGTCAATCCTAAGCCAAAAGAACAAAGCTGGAGGCATCACACTACCTGACTTCAAACTATACTACAAGGCTACAGTAACCAAAACAGTATGGTACTGGTACCAAAACAGAGATATAGATCAATGGAACAGAACAGAGCCCTCAGAAATAACGCCGCATATCTACAACTATCTGATCTTTGACAAACCTGAGAAAAACAAGCAATGGGGAAAGGATTCCCTATTTAATAAATGGTGCTGGGAAAACTGGCTAGCCATATGTAGAAAGCTGAAACTGGATCCCTTCCTTACACCTTATACAAAAATCAATTCAAGATGGATTAAAGACTTAAATGTTAGACCTAAAACCATAAAAACCCTAAGAAGAAAACCTAGGCATTACCATTCAGGACATAGGCATGGGCAAGGACTTCACGTCTAAAACACCAAAAGCAATGGCAACAAAAGCCAAAATTGACAAATGGGATCTGATTAAACTAAAGAGCTTCTGCACAGCAAAAGAAACTACCATCAGAGTGAACAGGCAACCTACAAAATGGGAGAAAATTTTCACAACCTACTCATCTGACAAAGGGGCTAATATCCAGAATCTACAATGAACTCAAACAAATTTACAAGAAAAAAACAAAAAACCCCATCAAAAAGTGGGCGAAGGACATGAACAGACACTTCTCAGAAGAAGGCATTTATGCAGCCAAAAAACATACGAAAAAATGCTCACCATCACTGGCCATCAGAGAAATGCAAATCAAAACCACAATGAGATACCATCTCACACCAGTTAGAATGGCAATCACTAAAAAGTCAGGAAACAACAGGTGCTGGAGAGGATGTGGAGAAATAGGAACACTTTTACACTGTTGGTGGGACTGTAAACTAGTTCAACCATTGTGGAAGTCAGTGTGGCGATTCTTCAGGGAGCTAGAACTAGAAATACCATTTGACCCAGCCATTCCATTACTGGGTATATACCCAAAGGACTATAAATCATGCTGCTATAAAGACACATGCACACGTATGTTTATTGTGGCACTATTCACAATAGCAAAGACTTGGAACCAACCCAAATGTCCAACAATGATAGACTGGATTAAGAAAACGTGGCACATATACACCATGGAATACTATGCAGCCATAAAAAAGGATGAGTTCATGTCCTTTGTAGGGACATGGATGAAATTGGAAATTATCATTCTCAGTAAACTATTGCAAGAACAAAAAACCAAACACCGCATATTCTCACTCATAGGTGGGAATTGAACAATGAGAAAACATGGACACAGGAAGGGGAACATCACACTCTGGGGACTGTTGTGTGGTGGGGGGAGGGGGGAGGGATAGCATTGGGAGATATACCTAATGCTAGATGATGAGTTAGCGGGTGCAGCACACTAGCATGGCACATGTATACATATGTAACTAACCTGCACATTGTGCACATGTACCCTAAAACTTAAAGTATAATAATAATTAAAAAAAAAAAAAGAGAGTTAAAGGCTGAGATGAGGTAGGAGGCTGCCCTGAGGAAGGGTCTCATCCTCTGGCATCTGGTCACAGACACGATGGGCCTGGGCCTGGGCTGCAGAGAGCACAATGGGGCTGCTGGTGGGGGCTCTGTGCGGCTCTCAGCTGGGAAATAAAGTCCATGAACTTTGTTTTGCCTCACGGCTCACTGGGGCCAGCAGCTGGGTCCTCTCTGGGTGCTTGGGGAGCTTCAGGCCAAGCTCAGCCCAGGCTGACTCCTCCTAGTAGTGTCACCCAGCCACAGAGGCTGTACACAGGCCCAGGGAGAGTTAGGTTAAGCAGGGGAAGAGGAGCACATTTGCATGAAGGGCCCCTCCCTCTCCTTTGAGGCTAGAGGGTGGATAAGAGAGACCTGCAGCGTGGCTGCCTCAGCAGAGCTCTGGGGAGTCTGCACCATGGCCTGGACCCCACTCCTCCTCCTCTTCCCTCTCCTCCTCCACTGCACAGGTCAGGAGGACCCTCAGCATCCTCATGCCCCAGCTCACTGACACCATCTCCCAAACTCATACCAGAAATGTTGTTTGCTCTTGTCCTTCCTTCAGGCCATAATGAGCGTCTCTGTTTTCAGGGTCTCTCTCCCAGCCTGTGCTGACTCAATCATCCTCTGCCTCTGCTTCCCTGGGATCCTCGGTCAAGCTCACCTGCACTCTGAGCAGTGGGCACAGTAGCTACATCATCGCATGGCATCAGCAGCAGCCAGGGAAGGCCCCTCGGTACTTGATGAAGCTTGAAGGTAGTGGAAGCTACAACAAGGGGAGCGGAGTTCCTGATCGCTTCTCAGGCTCCAGCTCTGGGGCTGACCGCTACCTCACCATCTCCAACCTCCAGTTTGAGGATGAGGCTGATTATTACTGTGAGACCTGGGACAGTAACACTCACACAGTGATACAGGCAGATGAGGAAGTGGGACAAAATCCTCAACCTGCTGAGGCTATTGTTCAGTGACAATTTTTAATTTTAAAACATTTTCTGTATGTAAAAAATCTATCTGGATGCATCCTCTGATTTAGAACAATTTTACTCACAATTTCCCATTTAATGTTTCAGAAGTCTCAGAAGAAATTAAAACATAAACAAGAACATAAGCCTCCTGATGACACTGAGATGTCTGCTTATCCTTATGGGCTGATACCAAAGTCTGTGAAGCTCACCTTTTCTCTTGAAAGAAAAAAAGAATGAGCCTTCCCTTGAGCAAATCTTGCTCAGAGCCCAAACTTCAAGCCCACAAATGGACAGTCCCCTGCAGCATGGGCTCTTGTTCTTCAAGGGGTCAATGAGGAGACCTCCCTTTCCCACCCCAGGTGTCTGTAGTCAGGGCTGCCTGATGTTCCCTGCATCCTGGGACTAGGCACTCAGGTGTGTAATACCCCAGAGGACAGGCCTGGGAGTAATTCCAAACACAGAGCTGGCCTGATTCACTTTCAGGTTCCTTTATTTTAAGTTAAAATGTCAGGATAGAAAGAAGTTGGGTATGGGGTTATTCATGAAACTGAGGCCAGAAGATGTCTTTGTGGGCTGTGAGAGGGTGACATGGTGGCTCCACCATTGCTAGGGGAATGTTGAGTGAGCTCCTAAGAAGTTTGGGGAAATCGGTCTTGTGAGTGTGGCTTCCCTTCAGCTCATTCCACTCAGAAACATGAGGACACCCATGGGTGGATTTTTCTGAACTCACAAACACTGACTTGTGTCCTCTTTTTTCTTATCCCATTGGAGATATTCAGTAATCTACTCTGTGAGATGGGGTCTACAGGAGATCATGGAGAAGAAACTCTTCAACCTGTGCAAGTGAAACTTCCTTGTGTGAAGCTCTTGATGTGTCCAGATTCCAAGGTCACCTTCTCCTGCACAGGGGTCAGCAGAAACATTGAATATTACCATGGAAACTGGCCCAATGGCTCCAGAGAAATCCTGAATTTGTGACTGAGAACTGCAGTAATCAACCTTCAGGGATCTCAGCCTGATTCTCCTTTTTCAACTTGACTTTCCTTGACTGTGCAGCCCGAGGGTCAGGATGACTATCACTGTCAGAGCTGAATACAACCCGATGCTGCCATGAGCTCCCATTCCATGGGGAAGTGACATAAACATCTGTCCTCCATTTCCCCCATCAAATCCGTCACTGCCCTGTCCCTGCCTGTGACCGACACCTGCTCAGGTTGTGGATTCTGCTGTCACTTGTGATTCCAGCAAGTCTGATGCTTTTAACTTGGTGCATCATTATTAGGGAAGCCACTCCCTCTAAATCCTCAGAAGATGCCCCCAAGGAGTTCCCGGATCCCAAGGTGCAGGATCAACCTCCCAGTAAGGAAGGCTCTCTGGGCCCCATCACTGTTCATCTGTTCTACTTTAATCCTAAGAACCTTGAGCCTTCATTATTTCCCCTTTCTGCTTATTTGGCTGGAACGTTGCTGGAATGCATCTCAGTTCTTTGGGGACTAGAGGGATAAAAAGCACAGCCCATAGAAAGCTTTCACCTGGTTAAGTAGCATTTCCTAAGAGCCACGAGGGCATCTGCTCACTGCTCACTGCTCATCCTTGCATCATAATGGGTTCCTGGACCCTGGGCTCTCCTGGCTCATTGAGTTTACCAATCCCTCCACACTCCACTCATTGCTAGGGCTGGCTAGAGGGAAGGATAGTAATTGTCCAATAGGGAGATAGTTTTAGGGGGGATTACAGAAACTACTCCCCATAATCTTTGTTGATAACATCTTCATCTTGATGTTTGCTCCCCAGGATCTGATTGTGACAGTGGAAGTCTGACACTTGAAGAAATGTAGGTTTACCCTTCTGAAAGGCCTGGCCCTGGCTTGGCCTAGGGCTGGAAGGAAGAGGTGCTGAGCTTTGGGCAACCAAGGCACAGCTGTCAAGGGGCTGAGCTCTCTGCAATGTGGGCCTCCTGCAGAGACATCCCTAGGGAGGCTGAGACCTGACGATGATGCAGAAAAGCAAATTGAAGTGAGCAGGGGATGGTCTGTGGGGGAATCAGATGACAGGTGGGGGGCCAGATGTGATACAGATGGTGCAACATGAAGAAAAGTGTCTTTTGTGATTGTTCTGAGGAGAAGGGCTCAGTGCTAGAGCAGTGATAATGAGGCAGGAGCTGGGTCCTGAAGCCACAGGGGAACCAGGTCTTGGGTCTTTTTCTGAGGGTCCCTAGGGAAGATCACATGACAACCAAGTCCCATGTTATATGTCCAGTGCTCGGTATCCCAGATGCTGTCCCTCCCAGAGCCTCTGGGTGTCCTCGTCCCACTCTTCCCTGTGATCTGTTTTCAGCTCCAGGAGCAGGTTCATACTCTGTGCCAAGAGTGGGGCTTGCATGGCTGAGTGGAGAACAGATTTGCAAGAAGATCCCACCTTGCAGTCTGGCTCTGTGTCCTGGGTGTGGGTGGTAACTGAGGAGATGTAGGCATTTGGGCTCCACTAGAGACCACAGGGAGCAGAGCTCACAGGGGCTCCCCACAACCCGGGCTCCTCCCTTCATCCTCCTCCCATTGCCTTCCTCACTGGGGTTCGGGCCAGGGGAGAACCCAGGGCTGCTTCAAGGGCCCTGCTCTGCAACCATGGTCTTTATCCAAGTCATTGTCTCCAAACTCTGTAAGGGCTTTCTCTGAAACTGTAGGAGCATTTTTTTTCCATATGCCCAAGGCAGGCTTACAGGGTGCTGACCCCACCCCTTAAAAGTGCTAATAGTCTCTCAATGCTCAAGACAGGAGGGAGAATTAGGAATCAGGAGCCTACCCAGAGCTTCCCTCTTTCCTCACTTTCAAAATTGCACTGTGTCTAGACATAGAATTTATGCCTGGGTTGGGAAATATTTATTTACTTATTAATGTATTCATTCATTAATCTCACTTTCTGCAATCTGTGTAAGTGAGGGGCAGAAGGGAAGAGGGGCACAGAGGGAGAGGTTGAACCCAAGGGCAGGTCCTGGCAGTCTGGGCACAGGCTCTGATCAGCCAGGGGGAAGGAAGAGGGAGCAGCTCCTGGTGCCCTGGAGGGAGGGGATGCCCTGTCCCTGCTGGGCCTCCCACTTCGTTGTACCCAGGGAATGCTTTTCAGAGAGGCAGAGCTCTTAGCAGAGTCCCGTAAACCATACAGTGAGTTGGGCAGGTGAGTCCAGGGGTAGGGGCTGTGTGGAGACCTGAGACCAGGTGTGGCCTGGCATGGACACTGCCCAGCTCCATTCTTTTAGGGAGGACAAAGTGGACAGAGGAAGAGACAGGAGACATGGGTGTGTCTGAGCTTTGGGCAGCAGGGGATGCTGTGGCCTAGCCCTGAGGGCTGTGCTGTGGATCCCAGCTGGGAGCCACCCCCTGGTCCTGGCCTGGAGCCCTCTGTCCCCTGCTCACTGGGACTAGCAGCTGTGTCCTCACAGGTCCCTGAGTACCCACAGAATAGCCACACCCAGGTCCACACTCTCCCGGGGTTAGCTTTCCAGGCAGAGGTCAAGAGTCAGAACCCAAGGTGGGGTTTAGACAGCCCAGGAGAGGAGGCTGGTTTGCAAGTCCCTCCTAACCCCCTTCGCCCTGAACTGCTGGAAGGATAGGAGAGACTTGAAGAATCCAGGCCCACCTGAGGGTCCTCAGGACACAGCTGTGTGGCGGGTCCCCACCATGGCCTGGGCTCGTGGCCTCTTTCCTTTTCTCCTTCACTGCTCAGCTGGCTGGGGCCAGGCGTCAGGGCTGAGGATGAAGGGACCAGGATTGCTGTGTGTGTCCCTGTCCACTAACCTGTGTCTCTTACTCTTTGTCTGTCATGATATTCAGGGTCCTGGGCCTGTTCTGTGCTGACTCAGCCAACTGCAGTGTCCAGGTCTGTGGGACAGATGACCCCAGCACCTGCACTGGGAGCAGCACCAATGATGGGAGTATGCACGTGTTTTGGTACCAGCAGTCTCCAGGCTGTGGTGCCTCAGAAACCCTCCTAGTCAACAACACCCTGCCCAGCAGGAGCGGGCCATGCTCTGATTGCCCATCTGGGGTAGTGTCAGTGGGGCTCAGTGAGCAGCTGAGCTTTCACCCCAATATCCTCAACCAGGCGAGCATGGCAGGGCTAGTTTGAGCTGGTTTATCCTCCCATCCACCTATGCCTGATTTTGGCAGGGCCCAGTCAGGAACTGAATTTCAGCCCCCATCCCCAGCAATGAGTTGAATGAAATGGTACAAGGCAGAGCACACCAGCCCTCAGTATTCCCTCCCTGAACCCAGACTCTGGTGGTTATGGGGGCCAGGGAGGACCAGAGCTTTGTCTCCCACCTGGCAATGAGAATACTGGTTGGGGATGGAAGTCAGTGTCGTTGGCACACCTGCTGTCCCCCTCCCTGCCCTGGTGTCAGTGAGTCCTCTTTTTCTCATGAAAGTGTCAGCAGCACTGGAGTACTGAGAGCCAGCGTTCTGCCTTTGCTTTGGCAGTGGGAAGCTGAACCTACAAACCTGTGTCCTTCAACAACTCAACAAGAAGATCACCTGATAAAAGGGAGATTAGTGGTGCCTAGAGGCTCAAAATACAGTATTTAAGGTGTCTAGCATTCAGTTCATGAAATCATTGTCACATCAAGAATTAGGACATTCAGAACCCAAATGAAAGAAGACAGTGACACGCATGGACACTGAAGCAAACTCAGATGCTAAAATCATATGACGGATTTTTAAAGCAACAACCACAAAATCCCTTCAATGAATAATTAAAAACACTCTTGAAACAAATGGAAAAGAAGAAAATCTCAGAAAAGAGAAGTTATAAAATCAAACCAACTGGAAATTAAAGAACCTAATAAACTAGAGCACATTTAAAAAGAAAGTTAAGGCAGGACTCAAGAACTGGTTACATTTGAGATTCAGTCACTGGGTGAGGTGTTCCACACGACATAAAAATACAGTAAAAATAAGTAGGTAAACACATGAAAATCAATGATTCTGGTTTGACTTGGGAAACATTAAAGTGGAAAATATAAAGAATAAAATAGCATTTATTTATTGAAAGAAAGAACTACCTTTAGCTTTTTATCGTTTCCCCATTAATACTCTCTTGAAGATGTTCCCAGGGGACACTGTGAGTCTTCTCAGAGGTGAGAAAAGCCTGAAATAAACTCCCACGAATCTCATTTAATGGGTCCTGGGGCCCATGCTCACTGGTCTGAGTTAGAGGTGATAGCAGGTGCTTCCTCTCAAGTGGTGAAATTAGACCTCACAGCAGCCCAGCCCCCCTGACAGTAGAGCTGCTCTCTCAGCTGAAAACAACAGAAGCAGATGGTGTTGGTGATGGTTTTGGTAAAGTGCTTATTAATGTGTGAACCAAATATATGCCCTTCATCTAGGGAGCTGCATAGGAGATAAAAGAACCATCTCAGGGTCCAGCAGCATCTTAGAGCTCTGCAGATTTTTGGAAAGTTTACATCATGCCCTGGATGCTTCTCCTCCACTTCCCCATCCTGTTCAGTCTTTGCCCAGGTTCATGGAGATTTCAAAGACCAGCCCATGGAGAGAGCCCTCTGTTCTTCCCCATTCCTGTCGTGTCTGTTTCGGTTTCAGTATCCAGTTCTTAGGGTGTGGTGACTGAGGAGCCCTCACTGACTCTTTCCTGAGGAGGGACAGTCACTCTCACCTGTGGCTCCAGCACCAGAGTGGTCACCAACAATTTCTATCCACACTGGATGCAACAGAAGTCTGGCCAACTTTTTGAGACATTGATTTATGATGCAAGCAACAAACATTCCTGAATGACCACCTGATTCTCAGACCTTCCTGGGAGCAAAGCTGCCCTGAGCCTCTGGGGGACCCAATCCATAGGCTAGACTGAGTACTACTCAAGCTACACGACAGTGGGGGTTACTGCAGTGAAAGATCCAGATGGGGAGCCAAGACGTAACCCTGCCTCTGACAGCCTGGGGAGAAAATGATCACGTGATATCAGGATCACATGACCAGAAACCTGAGCTCTCAAGGCGGTCTAAATGTTGCCTATCCTTAAAGAAAAAGGTAAACAGAAGGGTCTACATCAATATTTATTCCTGTTTGTGTCCAAAAGTTGAGGAAATCCATCAATGAGGAGGAACTGTTCCAGAAAAGCGGATTCCTAATATTTTGTAATCCAAAAGGAATAGTATTGCCTACATCAGATCCAAGGAATAAATTTAAATATATTTTTTTGCAGGAGGAATAATCTTCAACGATGTACTTTGCCAGCTAAGAACGAAAGGAAGAAACGTTCTTTGGTATATTAATAACATTTTTTATTAGGTTGTAATTAAGGTGTATTGCACAATTTAAAACATATTAAAATGATTTTTTGTAAGAAATTCTTTTTTCTATATGTTATGTGTTGTATTGGACTCTAAAGAATATATGTTAAAGCCCTACACCCCAGTATTCAAGCACATAAAATCATTTGAAAATCGGATCATTGAAGATATAATAGTTAAGATGAGGTCATTCTGGAGTAGGGAGGTCTCTTTATCAGTGTTCCTGGGTCCTTGTAGGAAGTCAACCATGAGAAGACAGAGAGGCACAGGGAGAAAGTCATGTTAATATGGAGGCATGGAGTGAAGTTACTCAGCTACAATACAAGGAACACCAAAGATTACTAGCAAAGAGGAAGAGCTGCCAGGAAGAATCCCAGGAAGGTTTTCTCTACAGGTGTCAGAGGGAACATGGCCCCGCCCTATGGATTTGGATTTCTAGCTTCCAGAACTGTGAAACAATAAATGCCTTTCATTTTAAATCACATGTGTAGGGTTATTTTTATGGCAGCTCAAGGAAATTATTACACCAAACAGTCATTGTAACTATTTCTGAGTTTGCATGCATTCTCTCATCTTGTTTCTCAGTTTTTTCAACAAATGTGACCATGTCTGTCTTCGTATTTCTTCCTTGTATAACTGGCATTGAAGGTTGACGTAAGTTATTCTCGCTGTCACAAAAATTATATAAACATGTAAATAAGGCTTAATTTTATTTTGTTCGTAGGTACAAATGCAAAACTAATTCCAATTGTTTTGTAAGAAATTTTTGTAAATATTTTTCTCATGTAAATTAGAAGGGTCTCTTGAGTTACTGAAACACTTCTGGCCATTTCTGTGATCTTGTGGTGTCAGGATGAGATGGCTACCATGTTCAATGAAAGCTTCAAATACATTATTATTTTTTCTAGGTTTTTAAAATTTAATACAGTCTAATTAAATAGTAACAGCAGTAACTAAATGCACTGAAAAACAGACAGGTGCCTGCCTATATCTGGAATAAAATTACATCAAACTAGTCTCCATGGTAAAAAAAAAAAAAAAGACAACTGCTGATATCCATGGTTAGACAAGTCAAGGACAACTTGGAATTTCTAAAGCCATTTTTCTAAAAATCAACAGCAACAGGGACACAACTACTTCAAGGGGTAAAATATCTATATCTACATTGTTTTTTATTAACGAAGATTGAGTTGCACCTAAACAGCATGGCATTCTTATCTTTAGCCTTAAAGGAAAAGTGAAAGTATTTTCCATTTGCACCAGTTTGAAATATTTCTGAAATAAGGATTACTTCAAATGAATTATTACATTACTTATACACATAAGAGGGTCTCACATATAGTGAAAAGGCAAACCCAGGATTTTAACGTCAACCTTTTAAAGTTGATTTGATTGCATAAAATGAGAGAGAAATTCTCACACGCATAATCTGTTTAACAAAACTCCTCGGTGAATCAGGATGCAAAATATAAAATGTTCTAAGGAGACTCTGATGAGCAGGCATATAAAATTGAAGTGAAACCCATGTCAGCTTCGTTCCTCCCACTTCTTTGGTGCTTCTATGAGGAGCTCTTTCTCTACTGCAAGAGCCTGGACTTTTGACCTAATGGAGAAGAACCTCAGGAAGGCAAGGCATTCTGATAAAATGCCCCTTCAGCCCTTACTTGAGACCTTTTATTTTTTAATTTAAAGGGATCAACTGGTCTTGTTCAGCCTTAGGAAAGAAAGCATCACTCAGATAAAAGTATTTGGGGAAACTTTAAATACCTGGCTACCTCTTGATATATTTAAATTAGATTGACTTCAGCTGTTCTTAGAAAGCATTCTGCATAGTTATCCAGAGCAGCCACTGAAGTTCTGGTTCTCCTTACATGGCTGCATTCAGAGGTACTCCACATGAGGCATGTTTAGAAAAAGAAGGACCCTTATACTTGGGAGTTTTTGTTCTTCCACGTAACCTGTTAGTACTGTTGGTAAAGGCAGTCCCCAGATGGCACCAGTGCATTTTGTCAATGGTGAGTCTAGACAGTGTTGCAGGGGTGTTGCTGATGAGTAGAACAGTGAGCAGATAAAGGTGAGCAGTGTTGATCTAAAGGCTTTGGGGTCCATCTGCTTATCCTTGCACACCTGAACAAAGTCATCAGATGTGCCACACCATCAAACTGTTGAAGCTTGGACTTGATACATGATAGAGTTCCATGCCAATTGCCCATCTTCATATTCAACTTGCAGATTAGTTGGTCCAGCTGATATTTTAACAGATACTGTTAGTAGATCATCTGAATGTGAACTATCTCTAACCAAGAAATTTCCTTCTGGTGTCTCTTTTAACTTTTCTTTGGCTTCATTAACAATCATCCTTCCCCAGTGCCATCCTGTTTGAGCTCCTACGGGGACTTCACCAGATGCACCACCTCCAGGGAAGGTTCCTGTGCTGACCCTGCTCCTCACTGGCTCTGCATCTATTCCCTGCCATTCCCAGAGGGCTGGAGACACCACAGGGTCATGGAAGTAAGGTCACTGAGGCAAAGACAGATGGCCACCCAAACTGGGTGAGAAAGGAGCTTTCATTTTTCCTGGAAGTCAGTGGGAACCCCCCCAATCAACCCTATGGGTTTCTGAACTGGTGGAAGATGGGGAAGGAATGAAAAGCTGCCTGTTTTTCTCAACAGGTCCAGGTTGAGGGATGACAAAGTTCCTTGCAGATGCATCACCCACAGATCACCAGCAGGAGGATCCTGAGGCTGCGGTCAGTGCCCTGGCACAGGACACATGGGCCATGTCCCATGCAGCACCGGTGGCTCCGAGTGAGAGGGCTTATGCTGCAGGGGAAGCCAAAGATTCCTGAGCCACAGCGGTAAGACATGAGATGACTTAAATATCTGTCCCTCAAGTATATTATTCTTAATATTTAATGCACAAAATAGTGAAAGAAGAGATTAGCTTGCAGTGCAAATTGAACAGATTCAGTATAGCTTGAGGCATGAGAAACAACAGCTCTATTACCATTTACCAAAAATACACCCTGAATGGACAGGGGGTGCCCGTGAGCTGGAGATAGGGTGCCCCAATTGAGGAAATATAAATACTGGTTATCAGTTAAATTTGAATTCATGTAAACAACCATTTAATAGATTTTTATTTTTAGTATAATTATGTCCTATGCAAAGTTACTTATCTTTAATTCTAATGTAACTGGATGTCTTGCATCTTGTGAGATACCATTCCCAGCATTCCCAGCTGGGCTCTGACATCTGAGTCTATGCTATTTACCTCAAAAACAGAGTTCCTGTAACAAAGTTATCCCCAAGTAAGTACTTCGGTTAGAAATAAATATGTCTGGGCTGGGCACAGTGGCTCATGCCTGTAATCCCAGCACTTTGGTAGGCCAAGGCAGGCAGATTACTTGAGGTCAGGAGTTCAAAACCAGCCTGGCCAACATGATGAAACCCTGTCTCTACCAAAAATACAAAAGGTAGCCGGGCGTGGGGGCACCTCTGCAGTCCCAGCTACTGGAGAGGCTGGGGTGGGAGATTCACTTGAACCGGGAGGTGGAGCTTGCAGTGAGCCAAGATTGCACCACTGCACTTCAGCCTGGGTGACAGGGCAAGTCTCTGTCTCAATAAATAAATAAATAAATAAATACATAAATAATTTATAAATAAGTGTGTCATCCCATCCACCTCAAGGCTGTAAAACCTAGCATGCCTTATCCCTCCTCACTTTCTTTTTTTTTTTTTTAATTATACTTTAAGTTCTAGGGTACATATGCACAACATGCAGGTTTGTTACATATGTATACATGTGCCATGTTGGTGTGCTGCACCCATTAACTCATCATTTATATTAGGTGTATCTCCTAATGCTATCCCTCCCCCCTACCCCCATCCCATGACAGGCCCCAGTGTGTGATGTTCCCCTTCCTGTTTCCAAGTGTTCTCATTGTTCAATTCCCACCTATGAGTGAGAATATGCGGTGTTTGGTTTTTTGTCCTTGCGATAGTTTGCTCAGAATGATGGTTTCCAGCTTCATCCATGTCCCTGCAAAGGACATGAACTCATCCTTTTTTATGGCTGCATAGTATTCCGTGGTATATATGTGCCACATTTTCTTAATCCAGTCTATCATTGATGGACATTTGGGTTGGTTCCAAGTCTTTGCTATTGTGAATAGTGCCGCAATAAACACAGGTGTGCATGTGTCTTTATAGCAGCATGATTTATAATCCTTTGGGTATATATCCAATAATGGGATGGCTGGGTCAAATGGTATTTCTAGTTCTAGATCCCTGAGGAATAGCCACATTGTCTTCCACAATGCTTGAACTAGTCTACAGTCCCACCAACAGTGTAAAACTGTTCCCGTTTCTCCACATCCTCTCCAGCACCTGTTGTTTCCTGACTTTTTAATGATTGCCATTCTAACTGGTGTGAGATGGTATCTCATTGTGGTTTTGATTTGCATTTCTCTGACAGCCAGTGATGGTGAGCATTTTTTCACGTGTCTGTTGGCTGCACAAATGTCTTCTTTTGAGAAGTGTCTGTTCATATCCTTCACCCACTTTTTGATGGGGTTGTTTTTTTCTTGTAAATTTGTTTGAGTTCTTTGTAGCTTCTGGATATTAGCCCTTTGTCAGATGAGTAGATTGCAAAAATTTTCTCCCATTCTGTAAGTTAACTGTTGTACTTAGTTGTACTGGGTTTGATCGTAGTTTCTTTTGCTGTGCAGAAGCTCTTTAGTTTAATTAGATCCCAGTTGTCAATTTCGGCTTTTGTTGCCATTGCTTTTGGTGTTTTAGACATGAAGTCCTTGCCCATACCTATGTCCTGAATGGTATTGCCTAGGTTTTCTTCTAGAGTTTTTATGGTTTTAGGTCTAACATTTAAGTCTTTAATCCATCTTGAATTGATTTTTGTATAAGGTGTAAGGAAGGGATCCAGTTTCAGCTTTGTACATATGGCTAGCCAGTTTTCCCAGCACCATTTATTAAATAGGGAATCCTTTCCCCATTTCTTGTTTTTGTCAGGTTTATCAAAGATCAGATGGTTGTAGATGTGCGGTGGTATTTCTGAGGGCTCTGTTCTGTTCCATTGGTCTATATCTCTGTTTTGGTATTAGTACTATGCTGTTTTGGTTACTGTAGCCTTGTAGTGTAGTTTGAAGTCAGGTAGCATGATGCCTCCAGCTTTGTTCTTTTGGCTTAGGATTGTCTTGGCAATGCGGGCTCTTTTTTGGTTCCATCTGAACTTTAAAGTAGTTTTTTCCAATTCTGTGAAGAAAGCCATTGGTAGCTTGATTGGGATGGCATTGAATCTATAAATTACCTTGGGGAGTATGGCCATTTTCACGATATTGGTTCTTCCTATCCATGAGCATGGAATGTTCTTCCATTTGTTTGTGTCCTCTTTTATTTTGTTGAGCAGTGGCTTGTAGTTCTCCTTGAAGAGGTCCTTCACATCCCTTGTAAGTTGGATTCCTAGGTATTTTATTCTCTTTGAAGCAATTGTGAATGGGAGTTCACTCATGATTTGGCTCTCTGTTTGTCTGTTATTGGTGTATGAGAATGCTTGTGATTTTTGCACATTGATTTTGTATCCTGAGACTTTGCTGAAGTTGCTTATCACCTTGAGATTTTAGGCTGAGAGGATGGGGTTTTTTATTTTATTTTATTTTATTTTATTTTATTATTATTATACTTTAAGTTTTAGGGTACATGTGCACAATGTGCAGGTTAGTTACATATGTATACATGTGACATGCTGGTGTGCTGCACCCATTAACTCGTCATTTAGCATTAGGTATATCTCCTAATGCTATCCCTCCCCCCTCCCCCCACCCCACAACAGTCCCCAGAGTGTGATGTTCCCCTTCCTGTGTCCATGTGTTCTCATTGTTCAATTCCCACCTATGAGTGAGAACATGCGGTGTTTGGTTTTTTGTCCTTGCGATATTTTACTGAGAATGATGATTTCCAATTTCATCCGTGTCCCTACAAAGGACGTGAACTCATCATTTTTTATGGCTGCATAGTATTCCATGGTGTATATGTGCCACGTTTTCTTAATGCAGTCTATCATTGTTGGACATTTGGGTTGGTTTCAAGTCTTTGATATTGTGAATAGTGCCACAATAAACATAGGTGTGCATGTGTCTTTATAGAAGCATGATTTATAGTCCTTTGGGTATATACCCAGTAATGGGATGGCTGGGTCAAATGGTATTTCTAGTTCTAGATCCCTGAGGAATCACCACACTGACTTCCACAATGGTTGAACTAGTTTACAGTTGAGACGATGGGGTTTTCTAGATATACAATCATGTCATCTGCAAAGAGGGACAATTTGACTTCCTCTTTTCCTAATTGAATACCCTTTATTTCTTTCTCCTGCCTGATTGCCCTGGCCAGAACTTCGAACACTTTGTTGAGTAGGAGTGGTGAGAGAGGGCATCCCTGTCTTGTGCCAGTTTTGAAAGGGAATGCTTCCAGTTTTTGCCCATTCAGTATGATATTGGCTGTGGGTTTGTCATAAATAGCTCTTATTATTTTGAGATACATCCCATCAGTACCTAATTTATTGAGAGTTTTTAGCATGAAGGGCTGTTGAATTTTGTCAAAGGCCTTTTCTGCGTCTATTGAGATAACCATGTGGTTTTTGTTTTTAGTTCTGTTTATATGCTGGATTATGTTTATTGATTTGCGTATGTTGAACCAGTCTTGCATCCCAGAGATGAAGCCCACTTGATCATGGTGGATAAGTTTTTGATGCCCTCCTCACTTTCAAACAGTACAACAGTTAACATTTCCTAACCATTGGAGATATTAAAGCACAGATCTTTTATATGAGATTAGTTAAAATTTTTATCTTTAATGCACAAGAGTTTGGGAACATTAGGAATTTGTACATATGCTAAATTATATGTAAATGAAATGATACGATGTTTGGAATATGTTTTAAAATTAGTTGAGTGTGTGGAGTGAGGGGTAAAGAGGGATGTAAGATGAATAAGACAATTTTATGTTGATGATGATTTAGTTGGGATGCTGGGTCCAGGACATGCAATGGGCTTTTCTCCATAGATGTCTGCAACTTCAAAAACATCCACAGTGACAAATGTGTAAAAAAAATTCTGTGAACTCTTCTGTGGTGGTGTGTGTATTGAGGTGGATAAGGGACCCCCTATTAAGGGCCTGACTTCTCCCCCTGAAGCACGGAAATAAAGGAGAATCTTGAGTTTCTTCAAGGGAAATTTCAGGTACCTCACTGTCCCTGAGAAGAAAACCTGACTAGCAAAAAGGTTAAAGGAGCTTAAAACAACCAAGGAAGTTAGAGGCATGGGATGTCTGGGTCCCTATAGAAACTAAAAACAACAACTTAACATATGCCCCTGAGTTGTTTTTCAAACACTCAGACCACCTCCAAAAGTCTCGGCTGTCAGTAGGCCTCAGATAATGGGAAACTGAGGACTGAGGTCTGACTGCCCTTCTTTGTTCTAAGTCTCTTACTGAGGGGCCCTGAGGAAATCACGCCCATGAGCCAGAGCTAACATTTCTTTCTGTTGACCCCAATTTTTTGGACAAAGCTTTACGACCTTAACCAGTTGCAAATCAGGAAATTTCTAAATCTACTTACCTTTGACCTGAAAGCCCCTGCTTCAAAATACTCTACTGTTTTAGGCCAAATCAGTGTATAACCTCTATATATTGATTTACAGTTTTGACTATGACTTCTGTTTTCTGAAGATTTCCCCTGCTTTTAAACACCTTTGCTTTCAGGCCATCAGGGAGTTTGGGTCTTAAGCATGAGCTGCCCGATTCTCCTTGCTTGATGCCTGTGATAAATGTCTCATTCTCTTGCTGCAATCCTGATGTCAGTGCTTAGATTTGTATACCTGGTCAATGGATTCAAGTTTGGTCCATTAATAGTGTGTCTTGCTTTTAACAGACACTCAGAGTTGCCAGATGGTGTGCCTCCACCCTGACCTCCAGTTGAAGCTCATCTCCTCCCCGCACACAGAGGAGGACTTGGTGAGAAGGCCACAGAATGGAAAGGAGCTCAGGGTTTCCCAGGAAAGAGAAGTGAGTGATACCGGAGGCCCCAGAGCAAGAGGAAGGGCTGTGAGGTAGGCAGGGGCCATAAAGTGAAGGGCATGCTGGTGGGGCTGCAAGGTCCAGGGTTTATGTAAACAGCAATGAAGAACCACAAAAGGAGTTTAAGCCCAGGAGTAAGATGAACAGGCTGAATGAGAAGGATGTCTCCAGCTGCCTCGAGGAGAAAGGCCTGAGGGCACCAGGGGATCCTGGTCATAGATTATTCACTAAGAGAACCTGTGAGTCTAGAAGTTTGAAGACTATTTGCACAGTTAAAGCAGATTTGCATCTGGGATACAGTGAAGAAGTGATAATTTCTGCATTAATCTGTCCAGTCATTCAACGTTTCTGCAGAAACATTAAAAGGTCACACTTATCTTTCTTAGTAAGCCATGAAAAAAATGTAAGTAGGGAAAATTAGGTTTAGAATATAAACAAATTGTATTCTATCTAAAACAAAATTCTATTGAGAAGTAGATGAAACAGATAAGCAGAAAAATAAAAAGGTAGGAAGACAAAACTCACTTCATAAAATAAGAAATGTGTTACACCATGAACTGGTAAATGTTATGCCTACCCAAATTATTTTTTCACAAATAAAATCTAGTGAGTATCAACATGCTAAAATCATGGTGTGACTTAGGAAATGTTTTCTGGGCCAGGTGCGGTGGCTCACGCCTGTAATCCCAGCACTTTGGGAGGCTGAGATTGCGCGGATCACGAGGTCAGGAGATCGAGACCATCCTGGCTAACATGATGAAACCCCGTCTCTACTAAAAATACAAAAAAAAAAAAAAAATTAGCCAGGCGTGGTGGCAGGTGCCTGTAGTCCCAGCTACTCAGGAGGCTGAGGCAGGAGAATGGCATGAACCTGGGAGGCGGAGCTTGCAGTGAGCTGAGATCGCACCATTGCACTCTAGCTTGGGCGACTGAGTGAGACTCCGTCTCAAAAAAAAAAAAAAAGGAAATGTTTTCTGAATTGCTGGATGTTAAATCTATCACTGAGGTGATTCCTGAAACAGTCCCCTTCTATGTCATTGCCTTGAACAACCCCTTCATGCCACTCAAGTCAGCACAACTGTTTCAGCATCTGTGGTGGTGCCATAGTGACGTATGCAGGTCATTTAGCTTTTTCTAGAATGTACTCTTGGGGCACTGGCACCTTAAAAGGTTATAAAATTTTTAAACAGTTATAAACGAACATATTTGCTCCTCTCATAGATCAAGACTACTTACAGGAGTGAGATACTGGCTAGGCATCTAGTAGACCACGTCATCATCACAGGATATAGGATTCAGGACACAGATGTGTATACAGAGGAATAGTGTCCTGGTGAGCTGCAGAGATCAGCTGGGCTCTCTGGTCTCTGAGCCATGGGGAGGTGAGTGTCCTGCTATCAGCAGGCTGCACTGTGGGACTTGCCTGTGGTGTCTGCACAGCTGCTCTTTAAGAACCATTCATTCCAAGGAGCCTAGGTCTAGGGGCTGGGCCTTGTGCTCATTGATGGGGACTCGGCAGCTGTCTTCTCTGGTCTGGCAGAGTCTGCTGAACAGGGACCTGTGTATGGTCTCAGCAGGTGATATCTCCTAGGGCCCTTCCAAGGAGGGAAAGCAAATCATCTTCCTCAGTCTGCAGTGTGAGCTGGGCTCCAGCCCCAGGGCTCAGGAAGGGACTGGGCAGTCCCTGCATAGAAACACATTTGCATGAGCAGCCCCTCCTCTGCTGGGGGTTGGGAAGAAAAGGAGGCCTGGGGCAGCTCAGGCTCACTGTGGTGGTCAGGGGCTGTGTCCACCATGGCCAGAACTTCTCTCCTCCTCCTGATCCTCTTTCACTGCTGGCCTGAACTTCTCTTCTCCTTATGCTCCTCTCTCACTGCACAGGTAAGGACAGGCCTCGGAGATCAGGACTCAGTTTTCAGCCTGCATCAGTCCCTCAGGCTCAGGAACCCATGACAAATTTCATCCTCATCTTAACCCTGTCTCTTATTTGTGTCTGTGTTTACAAATTCCCTCTCCCAGCTTGTGCTGACTCAGCTGTGTCCTCCCCCCCACTTCCTGTATCTCTGGGAGCATCTTCCAGACTCACCTGCACCCTGAGCAGTGGCTGCAGTGTTGACATTTATCTCATATCCCGCTGTCAGCAAAAGCCAGTGAGCCCTTCCCAGTATCTCCTGATCTACCTCTCAAAAGTCAAGTAAAACTAGGGCTCTGGAGTCTCCAGCTGCTTCTCTAAATCCAAAGATGCCTTGGCCAGTGCAGGCAATTTGCTCATCTCTGGGGTCCAGCCAGAGGACAAGACTATCTGTTCTATCTATTACTGTCAGACCTGGGATATTGATACTTCAGTTACACAGGCAGATGAGAAAGTGAGACGAAACTCAGCCTACTAAGAATGGAACTATGGCTCTTTTTCCAATTGTCAAATAATTTTCACATACACAAACTATTTTGGAAGTAGCTACTGATTCACAATGGTTCTCTCAATGTCCCATTCAATGTTTCTGAGTCCTCAGGCAAACTAACAACAAAACAATGATAAAACATATGACAAAACATATGATAACACTGACTCTTTCCCTGCTGAACCACATGTAATAAAACCAGAGGAGCTGGTTTAATAAAACCTGAGGAGCTGACTTTTCTTTTAAAAGAAAAGATGACAGTCTTTTGGAGTCTTTTTCTTGGTCAAAATTTCCTAGACCATCCCAGCAGGTGGACAGTCCCCTACAGAAGACACGATCCTGGGAGGAATCCCAGGTACAGAGCTGGCCTGCTTCACTTGTGGGTACCTGCCACTTCAATTGTGAAATCAGGGAGGGGAGAGTAAGCATAGGGGGTAGGTGAGGATCAGGAAAGGGGCAAGGCCACTACATTTCATTAACCACCTTTGGACTCCAGTGCAAGATAGAGGCTGATGATCCCATCACACAGGTGACTACAACCTCCTTGTCATCAACAGCTCCTGCCCATGGGGAAGCGAAATGAAAATCTATCCCCATCCCTCTCTTCTTACATATCCCTGTCCTGCCCCTGCCGGTGACCAACACCAGCTCAGGTTGAATTTTGTTTTGTCACTTGTGCTATTAAAGAAAATAACTCCTTCTCTTACTGGTCTCCTAGTTCAGACAGAATCAGTTTGTTTCCAGAAATAGAAAACGCTGCTCACACACATGAGTGTAAAGTAAGGATGACAAAAAGAAAAAATCCAGGCTATGTGGCCCAGAGACCCAGGTGCCCTCTGATTGGCCTCATAGATGTCCCCTCCTCCTGGCCCAGGTTTGCTTGTCATTCCTTAAGCTCTGGAACCTTGAACTACATGGGTTCTGTCTTCATAGTTGCAGAAGAAAACCCTCCCCAAGAAGGAGATGGTTCCCAGAACCAGCACATGCTCACTTTTCTCTGTTTAATTCCACACATCTGACTTATTTTTGCTTCCATGAGCCTTTGTTGAAGATATCACTGAATACCTCTCATTTCTGTTAGGTCTACAGCCTATGGACCTATCTCCATTATATTTGTGCTTATTTTTCTAACCTTTATGACTGATTATCATTTAAGCTTAATATGAGATATGCATCTATATTAAAGATATATAAATATGTCATCAATGGTCAATATTATTAAAGTTATAAGTAGTAATGCAAAATTGTAGCTATTATATCATTTCACTTGTTCACTAACATTAATATGTGAAGTGAGAAGATCACTTTATTAATCACGCACTCCTGGTCATGTGTGCGGATGAGTAAGCTCAGGGGGGATGCTGCCATGGTCCATGGGAAGCCTCAAGAACAGCAGACCTGGCACATCAGGCACAACATGGGACACAGGGAGTGAGCCATGTCAGCAGAAAGCAGAATAGACTGAGGCATCAGAAACAACCCATTGCCAAACTCTCCACTGCCTTCCTGCATGGGTCAGACCAGAGCTGCTCAAACATAACGTGCACACAGATCATCTGGGCTCCTGGAAAATGTGGACTCAGGGGTCTAGGATGAGGACTGAGATTCTACACTTCTAAAGATCCCTTCTCCTACAAATCCACATATGTGTTTCTGTATCACAAAATTAGTAAGAATGGGGGAAAATAAGAAGGAAAGCCATTTGTAGACAGGAAGCAAAGAAACATCTTTCGCGGAGAGAACTACAGAATTTTCATGAAGAAAGACTTCCAGTTGAGGCAGGCAGACAACCAGAGAGGACAGCCGAGAAGACTGAGGAGGCTCCTCTTTCTTCACAAAACAAACAAATGAAAGCAAAAAGACACCAAGCCTCCCCCTTACCTGCCCTGCCCTCTGGCTCCTGTCCAATCTCCCCACCAGCTTCTCCTTCAGCCTCTTCTAAATTGTGGACCCTCCTCACCTTCCCTTCAGGAGATGCCCTGAGTCCACTGCTTCTCTTTCCCAACCCCACTAGCACCTTCCGCTACTTCCTGGGTTTCTCCTCAGCTACCAGAGAATGCAGTGAACCATCCAATCCAAATAAATTATCCTGTTAAACATTGACCAGTAGGTCTCCTTTGTGCGGATCTGAGGAATCAAGCAGGGAGAAAGAACCTGACTTTGTGAGCTGCCTGAGAAATGAGTTCATGGCTGAAGTGTCCCTTTTCTCAGCTAACATGTTTTATTTCATGCACAGGGTGTATACAGAGACAATCTTCCCCTGAGGACTCCATAAAAGATGGGGAGAATTGTGTGTCCAGTTCCCATTGAGGAGACACACACAGAAAACTAAAGGCTGAGGTGAGGTAGGAGGCTGCCCTGAGGACGGGCCTTGCCCTGCCCTTGGTCAGGGAGTGAGCAGTGTTCAAGACCCTGGTGGGGACAGGAGGCTCTGTCAGGACCCCGGCATCTGGTCAGAGACACGGTGGACCTGGACTTGAGCAGCAGGGGATGCTGTGGCCCTGCTGCTGAGCCCTCTGTGGGGCTGTCAGCTGGGAAACCAGAACCCTGTGTGGTCTGTGCTCAGAGATCACTGGGCCAAGTAGCTGGATCCTCTGTGGGCTCCTGGGGAGCCTCAGGCCAGGCTGGATCCTCTGTGGGCTCCTGGGGAGCCTCAGGCCAGGCCCAAGTTAGGCCCACCCCTCCCAGAAATGACACAGCCATTGCCGCTGCATACAGCCCCAGGGAGGGGTACGGTTGGGCAGAAGAGAGACAAGTTTGCATGAAGGGCCCCTCTCTCTCTTCTGGGACTACCGGATGGATAAGAGGGACCTGCATCATGTCAGCCTCAGCAGAGCTCTGGGGTGTTTGCACCATGGCCTGGACCCCACTCTTCCTCCTCCTCACCCTCCTCCTCCACCACTGCAGAGGTCAGGATGGCCCTTAGCACCCTGATCCTGCAGCTCACTCACACTGCCTCACAAACTCATACCAGGAATGTCCTTCCCTCTTATCCTTACTTCAGGCCATAATGGGCGTCTATGTCTTCAGGGTCCCTCTCCCAGCCTGTGCTGACTCAGTCACCCACTGCATCTGCCTCCCTGTGGGAGCCTCGGTCAAGCTTACCTCCACTCTGAGCAGCAAATACAGCACCTACATTATTGAGTGGCATCAGCAGTAGCCAGGGAAGGTCCCTTGGTACTTGATGTATGTTACCAGTGATGGAAGCCACAAAAATGGGATCCCCAGTTACAGTTCTCAGGATCCAGCTATGGGGCTGATCGGTAGGTCACCATCTCCAACATCCAGTTTGAGGATGAAGCTGATTGTATCTGTGGTGCAGATCATAGCATTGGTGTGACATATGGGTAAGGCAAAGTGACCCCAGTGAATGAGGAAGCAGGACAAAAACTGTTTTCTCTGCTCCACTATGAAGGCTGCCACGTGGCCCTGAGAAACAGTGCCTGTTTTCCTTACTACTCAAGAAAGATAGATAGATAGATAGGCAGATAGCTAGCTAGATAGATAGCTAGCTAGACAGATAGGCAGATAGCTAGCTAGCTAGCTAGCTAGACAGATAGATAGGCAGATAGCTAGCTAGATGCTAGATAGACAGATACCTAGATAGCTAGATAGATTTTTTGCTTTGGGTTCCTTAGGAACAAGTTTGCTAGGCCAAGCTCCTAAGGAGTACACAAGTCTGTATTAATGTGGCCAATATTAAGGCAGATCCTGTCACCCCCTGCATGTCGATACATTGTCACCACATGGGAACTGCAAGGACATTTTTCCCTGTGGATTTAAACACTGGAACTCTGCTGCATGGCACACCCCTGCCACATCAAGTTTCATTTTAACAATCACCCATAAGATATAACTTCTTAAGAAAATTTTGAATTCTAACAAAATGCTAGAAATCACACTGTTGATACACAGCGATGGAAATAATGAAAATTTATAGACAGTGAAATAAAAAGATTTAAAATTTTTGGTGGTTTATAAAGGTTTTCTCAGTTGTTCAGTGCGTGGGTTTTGGGATTAGGAGAAAATGAGGAGAAACTGCCTCCACCACATTGAACATGACAACTGATTTGCAATAATCTAACAAAGAAGAAGGATATAAATAATCATTAATGTCATCCTGACAGCCCTGATCCTAAATGTCAGAATTTTATTTCTTAACTTTTTTCTCCAAAAAAAAAATGTAGCTTCAGAAAAACTTCTGGAATGGTGGTATGAGGCCATCAGAAAACCTGATTCACCATACAAGCAATGAGAACAGCAGTAAAAATGATATAAATCTACTTTTCAGAACTCTGTACATTACCAAAAGCTTACAAAATTCTGGGAATCATAAAAAATAGTAATAACAGCCAGACATGGTGGCTCATGCCTATAATCCCAACACATTGGGAGCTGAAGCAGAGCGATTGCTTTATCACTCCTGGGATTTTGTGATCAGACTGGGCAACAGAGTGAGGCCTCTTCTCTAAAAAACATTTTAAAAAAGTAGCTATATGTGGTGGTGTGTGGGTGTAGTTGCAGCTACTGGGGAGGCTGAAGGTGGAGGATCACTTGAGTCTGGGAGGTGGAGGCTGCAGTGGGCTGTGATTGTGCCACTCTACTTCAGCCTGAGTCATAAAGCAATACCCTGTCTGAATCAATCAATCAATCAATTAAAATAATGTGGAATCTCTGTAAGAATCTGAAGCTTTGTGGTGATTTTATTTCTTTTGCTCTCTCCCAAGTTCCACAGTAGCCTTAAAAACCAACAGCCTCAAATCTCCTGGATCTAGGGAAACTAGAAAAATAGCATTCACTGAAGCAACCAAATACCAGATCTGGAATTTTCTCAAAAGCCCCATTCCCGTGCGACTGTCATTATTTGAGCTTTCCAAAGCTCAGAAAAGCTTCACGCTCTGTACTTTTCTAAATGTGAATTGTCTCAGAGCTCGCTTGGTTTAAACAGCTTCATCCTCAATACATTTATCAAAACAATCAGTGAGATCTGTTAAGGTCCTGAGTCAGTGATACAAGATGGGGTCAATAAAAGGCTGACCAAAAACCTTGAGAGAAAAAAACTGGGTGTCAGAATCTGTAGAAGATTTTGATGAGCTCTGCCATATTCCTGGAAAGACAGAAGATCACTCTCATGCTCAGAGTTATGTGCATGGCCAGGTAAAAATTAGGAAAGTCCTTAATTTTCGACACTGGCTGAAATCAACAAGGAAGGCTAAAATAGAGTTGTAAAGTGGCGGGGTTTTGCAGTCATGACCCAACCCCTGCACAGAGCATTCGGCAAATGCTGAGGAATGTGTTGTTCGAGGCGTTTAAGAACATGTCTGTCCAATAATAAGCTAATGACTGATATAATTGAGCAGAGACTGCAGTGGCTGCACAAGCAAAGAAAACAGACTTAGAGAATTATTCCAGTACCGTGAAACAATAAATCATCATCAACAATAACAACTACAACAAAACCAGAAGCAATTATGACAAATATTTTAAGGAAAGAATCTGATTTCCAGAATCGTCACATTGTGTGACTGAGAAGCTCCATTTGGCAAAGTGAAATTTTGAGGCAGGGACACAGCAAAGTACTGTCCATACACAGGGTTAAAAAGGAAAGCAAAGCAAAACATAAAAACAAACAAACAACATTAAAAATAAGTTGACAAAATGATGTCCAGAGATGCATTTGGTGGTTACTACATAAAAACTTCAAATTAGCTTTTGTAAATGTGGTCAAATAAATAAATAAAACAACGTTAACAATTGTTAAGGAAAGTACGGAAAGAATGCCTCATTACAGAGAGAACATTGGCGGGGTGCAGTGCCTCACACCTGCAATCACAGAACTTTGTGAGGCCAAGGCAGACAGATCTCTTGAGCCCAGGAGTTTGAGGCTAGCCTGGGTAACATGGCCAAACCATGTCTCTACAGGAAATACAAAAAAGCTAGCTGGGCATGGTGGTGCATGCCAGTAGTACCAGCTACTCAGGAGGCTGAGGTGGGAGGATTTCTGGAGCTTGGGAGGCAGAAGTTGCAAGAGCAAAGATCATGTCAATGCACTCCATCCTGGGGGACAGAGCAAGAGTCTGTCTCTAATAATAATATAATAATAATAACAATAGAGAATACTAATAAAGAGGTATAGAAGAAAGGATCATTGAATTAAAGACAGATAAATTGATAATTATTCTGTTCCAAGAATAGAAAAAAATGACAAACAGTCTGCACAACCTGAGAGACGATGTGACACCAATCAAATGTTCCAATACACACATAGTAAGTTTCAGTCCTTCCACCATGTGAGCTCGCAGTGAGAAGATGGCAGTCTATGAACCAGTAAGCACATCCTTACCAAACACCGAAGTATCTGCTTGTACTTTGATTTTGGACCTTCCAGCTTCCAGAACTAAACTCTGACCTATTTTTTTTGGACATTTGCATAGTGTGGGCCTCAGAAGGAAGCTGGCTGGAATTTGACATCACAGCCACTAGTAGTCTGTGGGTTGTAACCCCACAGCATAACATGGGGCTTCAGCTGAGCGTAGTGACAGAGGATGGAGTCCACATCCACCCTCTAGCTGCAGACCTGGTGGGCAGAGACAGCACTTAGGCTATGCAGCCCTTCATGGTGGCTTTCTTCAAAGTCATTGTGGTCCATGTGTGCATCACCAGGTCAGCCTCTGGCTGGCGTTGACAGCAGAGTTGTACTCACTTTACCCAGTCCCACTACGTGGCTCAAGTCTCCAGTACTTCAGATTACATCAGCAGCAAATTAAAAACAGCCTGCAGGAAGCATGAGCTATATGTGAGCTTCCAAGACCTGGATGGCAGGACTGGTTCATCGCACCCAAGGGCTATGCTGCTAATTACTGTGATGTAGAATGCTCCTTCCCAATCAATGGACATGTGAATGCAATCAACCATGTGATCATTCAGACCTTGGTTCACCTTATAGATCCTGAATATGTCCCAAAGCTGTGCTGTGTGCCAACTAAACTCAATGCCATTTTGGTTCTTTACTTCAATGACAATTCCAAAATCACCTTGAAAAAAATACAGAAATATGGTTGTAAGAGCTTGTGGATATTGCTAACTTGAAACCAGATGCTGGGGACACACATTCTGCCTTGGATTCCTTGGTCATAGCTGCCTTAAAAAACATACAGAAGCACAGTGGAGGTGGAGGGATAAGACTTTGAAACCATCTCATGCTGATGCCTTACTGCCCGAGAAAAATTTTAACGGACCTTGCTAATAATTTGCTCACTTGGTAAGTAACATGAGTAGTTGTTGGTCTGTACTAAGCTGAGTTTGGTTGTCTGGTAACTACAGAAACTTAAACTTAAAAGGTACCCCCCAAGCCCACCAAATTTAATTTTAGCTATAGTTCAAGCTATTTGGGTTATTAGTGAGTAAATAGGGAAAATAATCTCAATGGAGTTAAATGTATTCTTGGGTAAAGTATCAGCTGGTTTATTAGTGTCTATCAAAGGTACATTTTACAGATAGTGAAAGTTGGGGAAGTAGGAATAACTCCTCTATTCACAGATTTCATTCCCAGGAAGGCAAATTTTATACTGGATCCACAGTCCAGGCCATAGCCCGGGCTCCTTGGGGATGCCTCTGTCTCAGTCTTTGCTGTTATGAGTTTGTGCTGGAGTTCTGTTGGTGTGAAAATATACTTATTTCAGTCAAAACAAACCATATCATTTTCACATCTCAGTCCTCCATTTGCTGTATTCTTTGCTAGTACCCAAAGTAGACTGATTAAACTTTGAAGTGAGGCTTAGAGGAGTGGAAAGCATTTGTGACAGGCTCCATGGTAACTGTGTAACATGTGAAAGCAATGCTGCACCTCTTCTTTATTGGAATGACTTTTTGACCAGCACATTAACTTGAGGACTGCCGACTCTAATATCTATTTCAGGAAAGCGGTGCTTTGTCTTTTTACTACAGAGCATACCACGTGATTGGGTTAGAACCAACAAAGGAAATAAAATGGGAAAGGGTGCCCCACCTTTAAGAATGGCTTTAGGGGGATGAGTGTGCCATTTATGAATGGAAATTATGATTTTCTCTTGTAGAAAGGAAGGCTCAGATTAAATTTTAGAATATTTTTAAAATATCTTTTTCACCAACATGTACTGGGAAAGCAATTTCATACTAAACTGATTAAATGATAGTTTTATAATCTATAACTGCAGTAATGGTTTTTTTGTAAATATGAAGTATAATTTATTTTATATCTGTTTTGCTGTAACATTGAAGGAAATACCAGACATTTTCTTTAAGTGTTTATTTAGAAAGTACCAGGAGATGGTTCCAAGATGGCCAAATAGGAACAGCTCCAGTCTACAGCTCCCAGCGTGAGTGACGCAGAAGATGGGTGATTTCTGCATTTCCAACTGAGGTACCGGGTTCATCTCACTGGGGCTTGTTGGACAGTGGGTGCAGGACAGTGGGTGCAGTGCACTGAGTGTGAGCCGAAGCAGGATGAGGCATCGCCTCACCTGGGAAGTGCAAGGGGTCAGGGAATTCCCTTTCCTAGCCAAGGGAAGTGGTGACAGATGGCACCTGGAAAATCGGGTCACTCTCACCCTAATACTGCGCTTTTCCAATGGTCTTAGCAAACGGCACACCAGGAGTTTATATCCCGCACCTGGCTCAGAGGGTCCCACGCCTACGGAGCCTCACTCATTGCTAGCACAGCAGTCTGAGATCAAACTACAAGGTGGCAGTGAGGCTGGGGGAGGGGCGCCCACCATTGCTGAGGCTTGAGTAGGTAAACAGAGTGGCCAGGAAGCTCGAACTGGGTGGAGCCCACCACAGCTCGAGAAGGCCTGCCTGCCTCTGTAGACTCCACCTCTGGGGGCAGGGCATAGCCAAACAAAAGGCAGCAGAAACCTCTGCAGACTTAAATGTCCCTGTCTGACAGCTTTGAGGAGAGTAGTGATTCTCCCAGCATGTAGCTTGAGATCTGAGAATGGACAGACTGCCTCAAGTGGGTCCCTGACCCATGAGTAGCCTAACTGGGAGGCACCCCCCAGTAGGGGCAGACTGACACCTCACATGGCCAGATACCCCTCTGAGATGAAACTTCCAGAGGAATGATCAGACAGCAACATTTGCTGTTCAGCAATATTCGCTGTTCTGCAGCCTCCGCTGCTGATGCCCAGGCAAACAGGGTCTGGAGTGGACCTCTGGCAAACTCCAACAGACCTGCAGCTGAAGGTCCTGACTGTTAGAAGGAAAACTAACAAACAGAAAGGACATCCACACCAAAAACCCATCTGTATGTCACCATCATCAAAGACCAAAGGTAGATAAAACCACAAAGATGGGGAAAAAACAGAGCAGAAAAACTGAAAATTCTAAAAATCAGAGTGCCTCTCCTCCTCCAAAGGAATGCAGCTCCTCACCAGCAATGGAACTAAGCTGGACAGAGGATGACTTTGAGGAGTTGAGAGAAGAAGGCTTCAGACAATCAAACTTCTCCGAGCTAAAGGAGGAAGTTTGAACCCATCACAAAGAAGTTAAAAAATCTTGAAAAAATATTAGACAAATGGCTAACTAGAATAACCAATGTAGAGAAGTCCTTAAAGGATCTGAAGGAGCTGAAAACCATGGCACGAGAACTACGTGACGAATGCACAAGCTTCTGTAGCCGATTTGATCAGCTGGAGAAAGGGTATCAGTGATTGAAGATCAAATGAATGAAATGAAGAGAGAAGAGAAGTTTAGAGAAAAAAGAATAAAAAGAAATGAACAAAGCCTCCAAGAAGTATGGGACTATGTGAAAAGAGCAAATCTACATCTGATTGGTGTACCTGAAAGTGATGGGGAGAATGGAACCAAGTTGGAAAACACTCTGCATGATATTATCCAGGAGAACTTCCCCAACCTAGCAAGGCAGGCCAACATTCAAATTCAGGAAATACAGAGAATGCCACAAAGATACTCCTCGAGAAGAGCAACTCCAAGACACATAATTTTCAAATTCACCAGAGTTGAAATGAAGGAAAAAATGTTAAGGGCAGCCAGAGAGCAAGGTCAGGTTACCCACAAAGGGGAGCCCATCAGACTAACAGCTGATCTCTCGGCAGAAACTCTGCAAGCCAGAAGAGAGTGGGGGCCAAAATTCAATATTCTTAAAGAAAAGAATTTTCAACCCAGAATTTCATATCCAGCCAAACTAAGCTTCATAAGTGAAGGAGAAATAAAATCCTTTACAGACAAACAAATGCTGAGAGATTTTGTAACCACCAGGCCTGCCCTAGAAGAGCTCCTGAAGGAAGCACTAAACATGGAAAGGAACAACCGGTACCAGCCACTGCAAAAACATGCCAAATTGTAAAGACCATCGAGGCTAGGAAGAAACTACATCAACTAACGAGCAAAATAACAAGCTAACATCATGACAGGATCAAATTCACACATAAGAATATTAACCTTAAATGTAAATGGGCTAAATTCTCCAATTAAAAGACACAGACTGGCAAATTGGATAAAGAGTCAAGACCCATCAGTGTGCTATATTCAGGAAACCCATCTCACGTGCAGAGACATACATAGGCTCAAAATAAAGGGATGGAGGAAGATCTACCAAGCAAATGGAAAGCAAAAAAAGGCAGGGGTTGCAATCCTAGTCTTTGATAAAACAGTCTTTAAACCAACAAAGATCAAAAGAGACAAGGCTGTTACATAATGGTAAAGGGAGCAATTCAACAAGAAGAGCTAACTATCCTAAATATATATGCACCCAATACAGAAGCACCCAGATTCATAAAGCAAGTCATGAGTGACCTACAAAGAGACTTAGACTCCCACACAATAATAATGGAAGGCTTTAACACCCCACTGTCGACATTAGACAGATCAACAAGACAGAAAGTTAAGGATATCCAGGAATTGAACTCAGCTCTGCACCAAGCAGACCTAATAGACATCTACAGAACTCTCCAACCTAAATCAACAGAATATACATTATCAGCACCACATCACACTTATTCTCAAATTGACCACATAGTTGGAAGTAGAGCACTCCTCAGCAAATGTAAAAGAACAGAAATTATAACAAACTATCTCTCAGACCACAGTGCAATCAAACTAGAACTCAGGATTAAGAAACTCACTCAAAACTGCTCAACTACATGGAAACTGAACAACCTGCTCCTGAATGACTACTGGGTACATAAAGAAATGAAGGTAGAAATAAAGATGTTCTTTGAAACCAATGAGAACAAAGACACAACATACCAAAATCTCTGGGACACATTTAAAGCAGTGTGTAGAGGGAAATTTATAGCGCTAAATGCCCACAAGAGAAAGCAGGAAAGATCTAAAATTAATACCCTTACATCACAATTAAAAGAACTAGAGAAGCAAGAGCAAACACATTCAAAAGCTAGCAGAAGGCAAGAAATGACTAAGATCAGAGCAGAACTGAAGGAGATAGAGACATAAAAAACCCTTCGAAAAATCAATGAATCCAGGAGCCAGTTTTTTGAAATGATCAACAAAATTGATAGACTGCTAGCAAGACTAATAAAGAAGACAAGAGAGAAGAATCAAATAGACACAATAAAAAATGATAAAGGGGAGATCACCACTGATCCCACAGAAATACAGACTACCGTCAGAGAATACTATAAACACCTCTATGCAAATAAACTAGAAAATCTGGAAGAAATGGATAAATTCCTCGACACATACACCCTCCCAAGACTAAACCAGGAAGAAGTTGAATCTCTGAATAGACCAATAACAGGATCTGAAATTGAGACAACAATTAATAGCTTACCAACCAAAAGTCCAGGACCAGATGGATTCACAGCCGAATTCTACCAGAGGTAGAAGGAGGAGCTGGTACCATTCCTTCTGAAACTATTCCAATCAATAGAAAAAGAGGGAATCCTCTCTAACTCATTTTATGAGGCCAGCATCATCCTTATACCAAAGCCTGGCAGAGACACAACATAAAAAGAGAATTTTAGACCAATATCCCTGATGAACATCTATGCAAAAATCCTCAATAAAATACTAGCAAACTGAATCCAGCAGCACATCAAAAAGCTTATCCACCATGATCAAGTGGGCTTCATCCCTGGGATGCAAGGCTGGTTCAACATATGCAAATCAATAAACGTAATCCAGCATATAAACAGAACCAAAGACAAAAACCACATGATTATCTCAATAGATACAGAAAAGGCCTTTGACAAAATTCAACAGTCCTTCATGCTAAAAACTCTCAATAAATTAGGTATTGATGAGACGTATCTCAAAATAATAAGAGCTATTTATGACAAACCCACAGCCAAAGTATCATACTGAATAGGCAAAAACTGGAAGCATTCCCTTTGAAAACTGGCACAAGACAGGGATGCCCTCTCTCACCACTCCTGTTCAACATAGTGTTGGAAGTTCTGGCCAGGGCAATCAGGCAGGAGAAAGAAATAAAGAGTATTCAATTAGGAAAAGAAGAAGTCAAATTGTCCCTGTTTGCAGATGACATGATTGTATATTTAGAAAACCCCATTATCTCAGCCCAAAATCTCCTTAAGGTGATAAACAACTTCAGCAAAGTCTCAGGATACAAAATCAACGTGCAAAAATCACAAGCATTCCTATACACCAATAACAGACAAACAGAGAGCCAAATCATGAGTGAACTCCCATTCACAATTGCTTCAAAGAGAATAAAATACCTAGGAATCCAACTTACAAGGGATGTGAAGGACCTCTTCAAGGAGAACTACAAACCACTGCTCAACAAAATAAAAGAGGATACAAACAAATGGGAGAACATTCCATGCTCATGGATAGGAAGAATCAATACCGTGAAAATGGCCATACTCCCCAAGGCAATTTATAGATTCAATGCCATCCCAATCAAGCTACCAATGACTTTCTTCACAGAATTGGAAAAAACTGCTTTAAAGTTCATATGGAACCAAAAAAGAGCCTGCATTGCCAAGTCAATCCTAAGCCAAAAGAACAAAGCTAGAGGCATCATGCTACCTGACTTCAAATTATACTACAAGGCTATAGTAACCAAAACAGCATGGTACTGGTACCAAAACAGAGATATAAACCAGTGGAACAGAACAGAGCCCTCAGAAATAATACCATGCATCTACAACTATCTGATCTTTGACAAACCTGACAAAAACAAGAAATGGGGAAAGGATTCCATATTTAACAAATGGTGCTGGGAAAACTGGCTAGCCACATGTAGAAAGCTGAAACTGGATCCCTTCTTTACACCTTATACAAAAATTAATTCAAGATGGGTTAAAGACTTAAACGTTAGACCTAAAACCATAAAAACTCTAGAAGAAAACCTAGGCAATACCGTTCAGGACATAGGCATGGGCAAGGACTTCATGTCTAAAACACCAAAAGCAATGGCAACCAAAGCCAAAATTGACAAATGGGATCTAATTAAACTAAAGAGCTTCTGCACAGCAAAAGAAACTACCATCAGAGAGAACAGGCAACCTACAGAATGGGAGAAAATGTTTGCAATCTACTCATCTGACAAAGGGCTAATATCCAGAATCTACAAAGAACTCAAACAAATTTACAAGAAAAAAACAACCCCATCAACAAGTGGGCGAAGGATATGAACAGACACTTCTCAAAAGAAGACATTTGTGCAGCCAACAGACACGTGAAAAAATGCTCATCATCACTGGCCGTCAGAGAAATGCAAATCAAAACCACAATGAGATACCATCCCACACCAGTTAGAATGGCGATCATTAAAAAGTCAGGAAACAACAGGTGCTGGAGAGGATGTGGAGAAATAGGAACACTGTTACACTGTTGGTGGGACTGTAAACTAGTTCAAGCATTGTGGAAGACAGTGTGGCAATTCCTCAGCGATCTAGAACTAGAAATACCATTTGACCCAGCCATCCCATTACTGGGTATACACCCAAAGGATTATAAATCATGCTTCTATAAAGACACATGCACACTTATGTTTATTGCGGCACTATTCACAATAGCAAAGACTTGGAACCAACCCAAATGTCCATCAATGATAGACTGGATTAAGAAAATGTGGCACATATATACCACGGAATACTATGCAGCCATAAAAAAGGATGAGTTCATGTCCTTTGCAGGGACATGGATGAAGCTGGAAACCATCATTCTGAGCAAACTATCGCAAGGACAGAAAACCAAACACCACATGTTATCACTCATAGGTGGGAATTGAACAATGAGAACACTTGGACACAGGGTGGGGAACATCACACACTAGGGCCTGTCGTGGGGTGGGGGTAGGGGGGAGGGATAGCATTAGGAGATTAATGTAAATGACGAGTTAATGGGTGCAGCACACCAACATGGCACATGTATACGTATGTAACAAACCTGCACATTGTGCACATGTACCCCGGAACTTAAAGTATAATAATAATAATAAAAAGAGTCAGCCCCCTAGCCTGGCAGTGCTGCTCTACAGGCACCCTCAGCCCTGATCCCTTCACTGCACCTAGGGGACACAGTTTACAGGACTGAGTCAGTGGGACACCCTGTTCCTTTACATTCCCAGTCATGGGCTCAGATTCTGCACTTGTCTCACTGCTGGAGGGAGGAGCCTGCATCAGTCACCCTCAAAGAAGACATGAAGTTATTTCACCTGTAAAGGCAAGAAACTGTTCGCAGCACTGGGGGCAGGCTTGGGGAAGATGAGGTTTGTGAGGATGTTGAGAATTCATGCAGCTCATCCTTCAGCCCTATAGCTTTCCAGAGAAGTGTATAATGGGGGTCACTAGGCATGTGAGTAACTGATTTGGTGAAAGATGCCACTTCAGATCAAAAGTGCATTTCCCCTTCCCCAAGGTGTCAGCAACACTGAAACATATTTGACTAACTTTATAGAGGAAGATTAAGATAGAGGATGAGAGAGACATAAGGCCTCAGGAATATCTTAGCCAATAGAAAGCCTGCTGGAAGATGCATTTCCAATATGATTAGACTGATTGAAAACCTTGAAACTAAACACTTCCAAAGGAGACTGGGACCCATTTCTCCTGAGAATGACAACACAAAAAATAGTAGAGGAAACCAACAAACCAAAAGCAGACACTGTTTCAGATCTATTGAAAATCCTCAAGATAGTCTCATAATATAATATTCAAAATATCTAGGATACAATTCAAAGAAACACTTGTTATATCAAGAAGTAGAAAAATTCACCATTTGAATGAGAAAAGGCAATCCAGACATCAACGCTGAGATGATTTAGGGCTGAAATTACCTGACAGATATATTGAAATCAGCCACCATAAAATCCTGTTGATGAGCAATTTCAGGCATTCTTGAAACAAATGAAAAAGGATAAATTCTCAGAAAAAATAGAAGTCATAAAATCAAACTAAATATAAATACAAATAAAATAAATGAAAAATTTAAAAATACCTCTCTGGAGAGACTCAAGAACAAGTAACTATGAAACTAAAATCCACGCATTAGAGAAGACACTTAACACTGTTAACTAGAGAAGCACAAACCATAGTTATCACAGCCCAGCAGGGCGAGCAATCAGTCTGCTCAGAAGTGAGAGGCCTGAAAAAAAACTCCTGGTGTCCCTGATGGTGAAATCTGGCCCCTGATCCCAGGGTTCCTCCCTCTTCGTGCTCAGAGGGCTAGACCTAGCAGTGAAGGGTTCCCAACCTCACCCTATGTGGCCCCTCCAGAAGGCAGAGCCCATTCTTGCTGATATTCCCGATCTCCAATAACACAAAGTCAAAGAGAATGTCTTAACCAGAGTACTGAGTCTTGGCCTATCTGAACATATTTCAAAGTTTAAATGTACAGTGAGCATAGGATGCTGAGCAGAGGCCCCCTGGACAGTGGCTGGAGTTGGGAGCAGTGCAGGATGGAAGGACAGGTCAGGGGCCCTGAGCACCTGTACCTGCACCTGCACCTGCCCAGGGTGGACATGACTCCCACATCCACCAGAGGGCGCTGTGGTCTAAGCAACTAATCAGAGCTCCCCAGATCCTCTGCTGTTTTCCCTCCACCTGCTGGTGTTTCTGTGCCCTCCAGATGGTGTTGCTCCTCCCCCTTCTATGACCACTTTTCAGCCATAACCTTGTCTGAGGTCAAAGGAGGGGGTTGTGCAACCTCCAGAAAGGGAGAAATTTGCATGGAGCCCTACCACTCTGAGGATACGCGTGACAGATAAGAAGGGCTGGTGGGATCAGTCCTGGTGGTAGCTCAGGAAGCAGAGCCTGGAGCATCTCCACTATGGCCTGGGCTCCACTACTTCTCACCCTCCTCGCTCACTGCACAGGTGGCTGCCTGCAAGGAATTCAGGGAGCGTTCCTGGATGTCACCTGGGCTGATGATCTGTTCCTCCTGCCTGGGAACCAGTCTTCATCTCTCCCCACTGATCTCTGTGTTGCTCTCTTCTTGCAGGTTCTTGGGCCAATTTTATGCTGACTCAGCCCCACTCTGTGTCGGAGTCTCCGGGGAAGACGGTAACCATCTCCTGCACCGGCAGCAGTGGCAGCATTGCCAGCAACTATGTGCAGTGGTACCAGCAGCGCCCGGGCAGTGCCCCCACCACTGTGATCTATGAGGATAACCAAAGACCCTCTGGGGTCCCTGATCGGTTCTCTGGCTCCATCGACAGCTCCTCCAACTCTGCCTCCCTCACCATCTCTGGACTGAAGACTGAGGACGAGGCTGACTACTACTGTCAGTCTTATGATAGCAGCAATCACACAGTGCTCCAGACCCATGGGGAAGTGAGACAGAAACTCCCCAGAGCATCTCTACCTGGGCCAGTCTCAGCCTGTCTCCACCGGAGAGGGTAGCTCTCCCATCTCTCCTGTCTAAGTGCTTGAGGTGAACTTTGCTTATGACTTCCTCTTTTCCTTTTCAAAATACCAATCTGTTTTTCCACACCTTGATGGCTGATTTTCTGATATGTGCACGATCAATTGTGGGATAAATGTAGTTTATAATCGGGTCTCTGAGCCACACCATGATTGATGTTCTGGTTGGGGCTGCCTTGCACAGTATAAGTTATTGACTTGCATCTCTGGCCTCTACCCTTAGATACTATTAACACCCTCCCCTCATTTGTGACAACAAGACTGTCTTGAGACACTGCCACATGTCCCATGCTTGGGGACAAAATCAGCCCAGGTTGAGATACTCAGTTAAAGAGCATGTCTTCAGCTACTAAGAAGCTTGGCTTTGAAATGTGTTTATGCCATTCTGCTGAGCATGAGGCTGGTTTTCTAATTTTTGTTTCTGGTTCCCATCTATGAGACAAAACAATAACACCAAACTTCAATGTTTTGATGGTTGAATGGTTTTTCCAAGCAACAAGAAGTCAGAGATTGTGCTACTTAGAGGTGTAGAAGCCCTAACCAGATCCTGTAACACAGAGTTTAGCTCTGACTAGGACAGCACACAATGCCTTCCATCAATCTCCAACCCACAGCCCGCAGGCTGCATGCAGCCCAGAAAGGCTTTGAATGTGGCCCAACACAAATTTGTAAACTTTCATAAAACATTATGATTTTTCTGCAATTTTCTATAGCTCACCAGCTATTGATACTAACAGTTAGTATCAGTTTTATGTGTGTTCCGAGACAATTCTTCTTCCATTGTGGCCCAGGGAAATCAAAAGATGGGACACCCCTGCTTTGCACTTTTGTACAATGCACATGGAAATATAATAGAGCCTTCTTCCTTCTAAGGTCATGTGACTCAGCCATTGAAAGGTGGAAGTGCTGAAATGAGCTCCATATGAACGGACCTTGAAAAATTATGCTCAGTGAAAGGAACAAATGCAAATATCTAGAAATGAAATGTCTAGAAATGACTGTATTTATAACAAATGTCCATGATACGTAAATTCATGGAGGCTGAGAAGATCGAGATTATCCTCAAACCTTGTGATAATTTAGGTGAAAAGGATGATTTCAGAATTGGATAGAAAGTGATCTACTTCAAAAATAAGCTGGAAATGCCTCCACGAACAGAGGCGATGCTTTGCGGAATCCTAGGTGGAGAAGTGTATCAGGTGCAGATGAGGTCTTTAAGAATACTTCTTGTTTTGTTTTGTAAAATTAAATATGAATAAGAACACTGTGGGCCAGGCGCGGTGGCTCACGCCTGTAATCCCAGCACTTTGGGAGGCTGAGGCTGGTGGATCACGAGATCAGGAGATCGAGACCATCCTGGCTAACACAGTGAAACCCTGTCTCTACTAAAAATACAAAAAAATTATCCAGGCGTGGTGGCAGGCACCTGTAGTCCCAGCTACTCGGGAGGCTGAGGCAGGAGAATGGCGTGAACCAGGGAGGCGGAGCTTGCAGTGAGCTGAGTTTGCGCCACTGCACTCCAGAGCCTGGCTGACAGAGCGAGACTCCATCTCAAAAAACAAAACAAAACAAAAAAACACTGTGCTTGCTCGCTTACCTCCTCCTCAGGTCATTTCCTGCAGTCTCTAAGAACAGTCCGCCTGGCTTCCCCATCTCCTCCCTGAGCGCCAGCATCTGGGGCGTGAACAGCACAATCAAGGCCACACCTGTGAGACCCTCAGTGAGTCAGCAGGGCTGTGTCCTGGTGATGTCAAGGGACACGGGGTCAGCAGGGGACCTGTGAGGCTGTCTCAGGGGGTGAGCATGTCTGGCCCTGCCAGCTGGGAAGGCCCTCAGGAGGTTGAGGGGAGCTGAGCACACAGTGAGCTCACTGAGCTGAGATGGGAAGTGACTGCAGCTGTCAGGACCTTCAGGGACACTCAGTCTAGGATCAGGCTCTCTCACCCTGTGGGGCCTGGTTCAGGTCAACTCCTCATCCTCCTCTTCTTCCTCCAGACAAGAGAGACATTGCCTATGGCTGAGGGGTCCTGGAGGTGATCCGGGTGCAGGGACATATTTGAATGTAGGAAATTCTCTCCCAGTGAGACCTGTAGAGACTAAAAGAGCGTTAGGAACATTCACTGTTACTGCTGGAGTCTTAGGGTGCAGATCTCTTGAGCACCTGCACCATGGCTTGGCCCCTCTGCTTTTTGACCTCTTCCCTCCCTGCCCAGCTGAGGCACATCCTGCTCTGGGGAGAAGGGTCTATGCGGTCCTCAGCCCACCTCTGCTCCACTCCCTTTCTCACAGGGCTCATTGTTTTCTCTTTCTCTCCACCCTCCTGGGTCTGTGGTCCACATGGCACTGACAGCCTCTTTCACTGACCAAGCCTCCGGGACTGACAATTACAATCACCCACCCTGGAAACAGCCATAATACTGTCAATCAAGGCACAGCTTGGATTCAGGAGCACCTGGGACATGTCCCCAAACCTCAGACCCAGAGGGGGTAACAACCATCCCTCAGGGACCTCAGGGAATTTCCCAGCCCCATGTTAGGCAGTTTGGCCTCCCTGGCCATCTCTGGGCTCCAGGCTGGCGACGGTGCTGATTTTCACTATTTAGCACAGAATGGCAGCCTCGCTGATTATTCTCTGATTATCTGGATGCTCTGTGACTCCTTCTGTGCATCTCTGGGATCATCATTCAGACTCACCTGCACCCTGAGCAGTAACATCAATGTTGTTTGCTATGACATTTACTGGAAACATGACAGGGCAGGGAGCCTTCCCTCCCTGGTATCTACTGAGATTCTACTGAGATTCAAGCAGAACCAGGGCTCAGGGTCCCCAGCCTCTTCTCCGTGTGAGTGGGTGCCGTCGCCAGTGCTGAGGTTTTCCATATCTTTGGTCTCAAGCTTGAGGATGAGGCTACTCATGGCACAGTAGTGCCTCTCACAGTGCCATGGATGGGATGTTCTCTCTAAAATAGAAGTCTTTTTTTTTTTTAGTTTGGCCCCTTTGATAAGTAGATTCTATAATAATTAAAGAAAAAAAGTAATGTCTTTTTTGGAGGGTAGAAACACTGGTGAAAGAGAAACCGGGAAGGACTTGGCATGGGGGGTGGGTGGGCTTCAGGCCACGGCTCTGACCCCCACGAAAGGAGAGAAGGAAGGGGGATTAGTAGGAACTGCCCCAGCCCACAGGCAGGTCAGACGTCAGACAAAGCCTCAGCCGACTGAGTGGGTTCTTTCCCAGGGGTGCCCATTAGAAGTGCCCTGCTTCCTGCAGGAAGACCTGGCTGGAGGGACCCTGGGGTCCTCATTGCCTGGAGCCAGCCCAGGGGCAGGGGACATGTTAGTCACTTGTGGTCCTCCTGCAGGTTCTCCCAAAGAGGCATCTGAGTGGGACACTTCCATAGCCGCCACCAGCACTGCTGCTGCATTCCCCCTCAGGACAGGGGTAGTGCCTTCCTTCCCTGGCTCATCTACCTGAGCCCCATGTGAAGTCAAAGCTTAGGTGTCTCAGGGCTTTCCCCCAACAGGCCCTGCAGCCACTGAGACCCTTATATACCCTGAGCTGCATGCTGTGGAGAGAGGGTCTGTGGAAGACCTTGGCTCTTAGCCATCGACTCCTCTGGGGAACACCATGAAATCCTCAGACTGGGGATGTCCTCTGGAGCCATCTTTATCCTCTTCTTCTTCCCAGTATCTCCTGCTCCATGATCTGGGTCCTGTCCCTGGCCCTGTTGCATCTCCAGTGTCTGATCCATGCCAGCCCTTCCTTAAATATGTGTTGAACCCATTTCCCATTTGCCCAAGAAATGAGTGCTGGCAACGAGCTGCACTTTTTTTTTTCTAAATGGGAAATGGGTCAATAAATGAATGAATGAATGAATGAATGAATAACAACGCAACCTGAGTCTCCTGTCACATGGTTATTTTAAGACCTGCATTTTTCTTTACCCAGGAGGAAAATGAGTCCCTGCAGCTGTTATTGCCTCTGAATTGAGCTAACTTGTTTCTACACTGTCATGCCATGGTCACAGTGGGACAGATGTACACCAAGCCTACCATAGCTTTCAGCCCTGCCCTTCCACCCGCCCCGCCTGTGGCAGTGATGGCATCAAGGCTTCCCTCAGAGTCGGCCTCTACCCACCACACACTCTGGGCCATCTCCTGCTCTCTGACAGCCTGGGGTTCAGTGATCCCTGTCCATGTGTCCTACCTCAGAGACACCTGCCACTCCTCCCCTTCCCTAATTTCTCTGCCATCCTGTTTCTCCAGCCTCCCAGGAATGTCCCCTGCCCAATCTCCTGTCTCAGGTTCTAGAACTTGTCCTGGAACTTCCCCAGAGCTGAGTCTCTAATAGGAGAGCTGATGACAGGCACAGCCGCGGTCAAGCCCTCTAGCCAGCAGATGGAGGAGAATCAGCCTGAGGGCCCTGTGCATCCTCCCTGCTGCACACCTGGGCCCATAGCCCCCTCCACCCTCCATATGCTCCTGCAGCCCCCACCTCAGTGTCTGCCTCAGTGTCTCCTCCCAGCACCTTCCTCAGGAAGGGCCTGAGATCTTGCATGGTGTGTTTCCCCTTGGTGAACTCCTAGTCACAGCAGCATCCTGAGTAAGAGCCTCCTGGTGAAGAGATCGTCTTGGTGCTCCACCCTGGCATTGTGTCCTCAGCTCCAGGGCAGGTCACATGCTTTCCTGGACCAAGATTACATGCAGTCCACCCCTGCTGGCCCCTGCCCCACAGAGGGAGGCCCGGGGTCAGGGGTGGCACCAAGACCACAGCTCCACTGATCCCTGTAGGAATTCTTCCTGCATGTTTGAAAGACAAGAGTTACAGAAACAAAGCAGAGGGAAGATTCTGGATCATTGCAAAAGGAGAAATTTGCCTGCAGACCAGCAGGGGGCGCGGTGAGAACTTCTCTGTGTATTTCTGCAGGACAGGTGCTCACAGCTGGGGAGCCCTCAACTGACAGAGGCCCAGGGCTGCTCCTTCACTTCCTCCTGGGACTCTGCAGCCTTGTCTCATCTGTGCCTGGCAGAGTCCTCTACACATGACCCTGTGTGTGGTCCCAGCAGCTGCTGCTTTCTCTGGTCCCACCCGTGGGGCAAACTCTTGCTTCATGCCAGCCTCCCTGTCCAAGGGTCTGGTCCCTGCGAGTGCACCTGCGGGAGAGGCAATGGGGAAACACATTTGCATGGTCAGCCCCTCCTCTGTGAGCCCAGTGACGCTGGGATAAGAGAGGCCTGGGGCAGCCCACCCCTAGGTCTGTGGCCTCAGAGGCAGCTGTGTCCACTATGGCCCTGACTCCTCTCCTCCTCCTGCTCCTCTCTCACTGCACAGGTAGGGACAGGGCTCAGAGCCCAGGGTGGTCCCCAGCCTGATCTGTCCCTCATGGCTCAGATCCCTCAGCAGCTGCGCCCTGACCCTGCTCCTCACTGTGCTGTGTCTGTGTCTGCAGGTTCCCTCTCCCGGCCCGTGCTGACTCAGCCGCCCTCCCTGTCTGCATCCCCGGGAGCAACAGCCAGACTCCCCTGCACCCTGAGCAGTGACCTCAGTGTTGGTGGTAAAAACATGTTCTGGTACCAGCAGAAGCTAGGGAGCTCTCCCAGGTTATTCCTGTATCACTACTCAGACTCAGACAAGCAGCTGGGACCTGGGGTCCCCAGTCGAGTCTCTGGCTCCAAGGAGACCTCAAGTAACACAGCGTTTTTGCTCATCTCTGGGCTCCAGCCTGAGGACGAGGCCGATTATTACTGCCAGGTGTACGAAAGTAGTGCTAATCACAGTGAGACAGATGAGGAAGTCGGACAAAAACCAAGGTTTTAAGCTTGTCATTTTTACTGAACTGGTTAAGAACTTCAGTGGTTAATAAAATCACATTAAATACTGGATTGTTGTTAAAAATGGTGGCACATTATAACTCTCTCCCATTTTTTTCACATAATGCCCATAGTGACTCTAAGCAGCTAAAATCAAAACACAAAAACTTATACCAATACTAAGAAATACTAACATTACTAACCAATTTCCACTAGTAAAAGAGTTGTGAAACAGCTGAAATACATCCAGATGGCATAATACATAATACCACTATATACAAGAGTTGTATAAAATTATGTATCATGTATATATAAAATTATGTATCATGTATATGTATAATATATGAAATAAAATGTCAGCAGACATTACCGTCTTCCCACCAGTAGCCAGCAATTCTGCCCTGCCTCTAGAATAAATGGTTACCATGGGTTGAATAGGTGAACAGCCCTGGCAGCTCTGCAGGATGACTCTCACTGTTTGTTATTGTTTTATTTTTAAGATTGCTTTTCTTTCCTTTTTTTTTTTGAGGCAGAGTCTTGCTGTCAGCGAGGCTGGAGTGCAGTGCAGTGAGCTGGGCTCACTGCAACCTAAGCCTCCCTGGTTCAAACGATTCTCCTGCCTCAGCCTCCTGAGTAGCTGGGATACAGGCGTGCGCCACCATGCCTGGCTAAATTTTTTGTATTTTTTAGTAGAGACGGGGTTTCACCATGTTGGTCAGGCTGGTCTGGAACTCCTGACTTCGGGATCCGCCGTCCTCGGCCTCCCAAAGTGCTGGGATTACAGGCGTGAACCACCGTGCCCGACCTCTTTTTTTTTTTTTTTTTTTTTTGGTTTTGTTAGTTTAGTTTTGTTTTATCTCTTTAACTTGACAGAGATGATCCATGTGGATCTCTGCATGGGTCTGGGAGCTGCAAGGCTCCTGGTGCATGGCCCAGTCCCGCCTGCCTTGGCAGGGCTCCTCCACCTGGCTCCTGGAGGAGCTGCTGCGCCCGACTACCCTGCATGGAGCCCGCGGCTTAGCGGCAGCTCGGGAGGGGCCTGATAGAAACTTCCCCCTGAGCAAGCAGCGCCAAACCCAGGCCGCCACCCAGGATGGAGGCTGCATCACCCCCGGGGAGCCCGGATCCTCGCCAGGGTCCACCAGGAGAAGAGCACATGGCGGAGATGAGCCTGCGGGGCTGGGAGAGAGAGAAGACACGGCGAAGATGCAGGTGAAGACGCTGCACTAAGGCCCCACCCAGAGGCTGAGGTTCCCCGACCAGACCAGCAGCAGCGAGGCTGCCCAGAGCGGCGCCAGCAAGGTGGTTCTCTCCAGGTCGGATCACAGGAGAAGCTAGCCTTGCACCTGGCCCAGGCGAGAAGCAGGACATGGGCTTACGCAGAAGAATCAGCACCGATTCCACATCATTCCCCATGGCAACGGCCTCTACGGTGCTGTCAGCAAGACCCAGTGCTAGACCCGAGCCTGCACCAGGAGCTGCGGAGCGGAGGGTGCGCCCCATCCCGATCGTCTCCACCACTTTAGCTCCCTGGGTGAGGGTGACACGGGGAAGCTTATTATCGCGGCTGCCCAAAACGGGGCGTGGCTGGGTACCCTGTGTACATAGGGTAGATGCTGAATGTGAATAGCACTGAACTACTAGAGGGAGGCTGGAGAGGCCCACAGTGTCTATCTACCATGATTCATTATTTGGGCCCAGAGGATTGCCTAAAGCCTAGTATTTGGCTCAGTTGGCTCAGTAACGGGCACTAGGATGCAGTATTTGATCACTCCTATCCTAACCAAGTACGACAACTGGTGCAAACAGACTCAAAAGCAAAAGGCAACGCAATGAATAACTTGCTCACTCTGGGGCCACATATTCTGAATAAAATGCCTACCCTTGAAATGTCTGAAAACCTTACACCCTGGGAAAATTGCATACAGAACTTGTGCTTGGAGAATGACATGAACTCTAATCAGGGTAATAACACTTGTAAAGTTCCTAACAGCTTTTCTTTCCTTTTTTTTTTTTTTTTTTTTTTTGAGATGGAGTTTCGCAGTGTTGCCCAGGCTGGAGTGCAGTGGCGCGACCTCGGCTCACTGCAAGCTCCGCCTCCTGGGTTCACGCCATTCCCCTGCCTCAGCCTCCCGAGTAGCTGGGACCACGGGTGCCCACCACCACGCCCGGCTAATTTTTTGTATTTTTAGTAGAGACGGGGTTTCACGGTGTTAGCCAGGATGGTCTCAATCTCCTGACCTCGTGATCCACCCGCCTCGGCCTCCTACAGCGCTGGGATTACAGGCGTGAGCCACCGCAGCTGGCACTTCCTAATAGCTTTTCTGTGAGTGTAACGCCATAATCATCTTTTAAAATGTTTTCTCGGAACTAAAAGTTGCTGGGCGCCTAAATGATGTTGCATGATAGTTTTGGGTGATTTTACTGCATCTGTAATTTTCTGTTTAAGTGAGCACTGCTTAATTTGAAAGCTAATTTCTCACAGTGTAAATCTGTTCATTCCTGGTAGTCTATTTTCTACAAAAGTGTATTTTTACACAACATTAAAAAATGGTGTACCTTCATCTATGACAGTACATTACTTTTGACAAGCAGCTTTCAGGCAGAAATTAAGAGAAGTGTTTTATATAAAATTTATTATTTTGAACAGAGTTTGTGATTTGGTAGTTACGCTGTTGAAATTTGAATTTTACAATTCTTAGAAACTTATATTGATGCATTCTTGTTACCAAATGATTGGCCCATTACATTTTGATACAAATAGATTTGTTGTTTTGGAACCATTATTTGTTTAGAAATGGTCAATCTTTTAGAGAGAAATACTTAACAAAGGATTGTGGGAAGTTTTTTTTTTTCTTCTTCTTTAACGGATTGTACCAGGTCTTACTTGAATGAAAGTCTGATGCTTGCTGATGGCAGAGTGACTAATCTGCACTAGATTGATGTTAGAGCAGAATGTTGGGTGATCTCAATTGTTTTTATTTATGTTTGTGATTTTGTTTTAAGGTAATCTTAACATGGTATAAGACTCTGTGACAAGCTAAACCTACTGCAATATAGCATGTTGGAGTCCCCTAAGAGTTTTAAAAGCTAATGGCATAAATGCCTGGAGCCAACCTCGGCAGTTATTTCATAGCAGAAGATACCGTCTTAATACTCCTTTTAAATTCTTTTAAAAGGCAAAATAGGATCATCCTATTTTATAATGTACAAATGTCTGCAGAGATTGTATGGTTTGTTGTGTTAATGTTTCCCACCTAAAATCTATCATATTGCCACTTTGCCTAATTGTAGTCACATTTATTAAGTAATGCAGTTTGTACTTTTTATTTTGTAACATTCTGTGATTTTTGTACAACATTGTATTTGTACAATACAGCAATTCCCAGTTGATTGAATGAATAAATAAAATGTAAAATCATACTTTATAAAAAGATCTATGTGGCTGATAGAATTCTGACATTCCCCTCCAAATGGAAAGTGATGTGTTTCTTTAAAGTAAAGGTAGAGGAGTCTTAAATATAGGTGTTCCTGCCCCTATTGAGAGGTTTTCAAAACATGCTCTTAATTTAACGTTTAAATATACCAGAGTCTTAGAATGTGAGAATAATGAAATTGGTTTGTTTTAATTTTGTGATAATATTAAATCTACTGGAAAGAATATTCTCCTTTGAAAAGATTCTCAGCTCAGTGATCATAGAACCTGTACTTGCGTTTAATTCAATGAGGAAAGACATAGAAATGCCACGTTAATATCCTCATTTAGGTGGTTTCTCCCTTCACTGATCAGCCTATGAATGTGTCAATGCAGTACTCCCCAGTTTAGGCTTAGGTACTTATTGAAAGGATGCTGCCTGAGCATTTTTAATAATTGCTATTTCAAGATCACATTTTGGCCGTGAGGCAGGCTGCCACTCACTTTAGGCTCTGCCTAGGCAGGAATGGGTCCTGGAAGACACATGTTCTCTCTCTCTCTCTCTCTCTTTCACACACACACACACACACACACACACACACACACGCACACACACACCCCTCTCTTCTCTCTGGGTACACATTATTCTGGACATCTTCAGTTTCCAGGATTCTCTATGTCTCCAGCTAGAAGTCAGGGCTTAGCCTGTGGTGATCCAGCCACCCTCAGGTTGAATCTCGATGAAGTCACAGGAACCACCAGTGGCATGGAGGGTAAGGGATCCTGCTATCAGGTTCAGCCAGGAAATGCTCTGGACACCTGCTGGTGGAAAAGTTTAATGCTGGGCAATCACAGGTCAGGTCCCTTCTTCCAGTCGGCAGTTCAGCCTCCCTGACTTTCTCTGGGTTCCAGTCAGTGCATGAGGATGATGGTGACATTTATTCAGGGGCAGCACAGCAGCCTCAGTCACCACCAACAGTCACTGTCATATGAGAAAATTAGATAGAAATTGGCCTTCCAACTCTTCTGTCAGATCCATCTTTGCCCTTTTTCTGCCTGCTTGAGTGAATACTACCAAGACCAGCTCAGGTTTTTGCTGATGCTATCACACGTGCTCCTAAAACCAGAGGGCTTAATGGTATTTTCTGTTTATCTTTACGGATTCAATGAAAAGACACCTTTTCTTACTGGTCTCCCAATGAAAACATAATCACTATGTCCACAGTAACAAAGATAGCCCTCGTTGTTGTCTGCTGGGATGAGAAGAGCAGCAGAAGTTTGGCAGGTATGGCCCTCATGGGCTTCACATGTCCCTACATCTGGCCCTGGCTTTGCTGATCACCCTTTGGGCTCTGAACCCACAGAGAAGTTAGGTTTCTCTTTCTTTTGAGATTGCCTCTGGAAGAGCTGCTCTGTTCCCAGGTGCAGGGCAGCCCCTCCGCAGTAAGGACCCAGCTCTCAGAGCCATGAAGGCCTCAAGCCTCCAGGTTGACTCCACATTTCTAGTGCTTGTCTCTGGTTCTTTGGTTGGAAAGATGTTGGATGAATAGAAGTTCTCTGAGACCTAGGCTTTGTGAATCCAATCCCCATTAAATCCAGGGATCTTCTTAACGAATAAAATGAATCAGGGCCCAGTGATGGTGGGGAAATGGGACGTGAGGGTTCCTCAGGCCAGTAGTATGGGGAGAACATCCAAAAAGAAAGGAGGGGTTCCACTTTTGAGAATTGTCTTTTTATATCCATCCACATATTGACGAAAATTATAAAATTAGACTAAAATACCTTAAATATATAACATGGTCAAAAGAAAAGAGGTATTACCAGGATAATATTAAATAGCAAAAGAAGTCAGAGGCGAAACAGAGCAAGAGACACTTTTTTTCTGACAGCATCATTCTTATGGGCTATAATGCCAAGGCTTGTGCAGTAGGAGCTGAAGGAATCTCACAGGCGACCCTCACGACAATAACGACAATAACAAAATAAGTCAACCTCTAAAAGAAGCCCATGTAGAATTATCCCCAGGTATGAACCACCTGGAGGCTCAGCAGAACATTAAGCCTTAGATTGGGTTCAAGATGACCACAGACTGGTGATGACCACAGGCCCCTGGGAGAAACACACTCACACGCCTGGTGATGCTGATATCTGGTAAATCATCACTGTGCATCCTGAAACACATTCTGTGATTAGCTCTTTGCAGACCATAACTAACGTGAAAGAAATAATGTCTCAGCTGTAAACACTGCAGAGAGGACCCACTCATTCTACTCCCTTAGGTCATGAGTTGAAAGATCCATTTGCAATGGTCAGGATGTCCTTCCAGAAGAGCTGGGTCTGTGTCTGAGGGGCCACCCGACTTGGGATCGGAGCCAGCAGGGGGTGCTGTTGGACTGTTCCTGAGAGGGAAGGGCTCTGGGCCAGGCCACATAGGAAAATACTGGTTCTCATACACTTGAGCAAGCAGTGTCCTCACTGAAGTATGACTTCCTGCACCTGCACCACCGAGCAGGAGCCACTTCCTGCACCTCAGGAGCCACTGAGCACTAGACTCACACTCCAATGCTTCCTATTTTATCCTCCGCCCTCATGGAGTCCTTGTCCAAGCCTGCCCTTCAAGCAGAGACAAATCACACAGCAGGAACAAATTTGCTCAAAGGAACTTGAACTACAATGTTTCCTGGGCACAGAATGAGAAACACTTGGAATTGGGGAAGTTCCCATCCTAACAACTTAGACTCAGCAAGAAGAACCCTGGAGCTTCTCCAGCATGGCCAGAATCTCAGTCCACTTCAAAATCCTCAGTCTTTAGATCAGGAGTTCTTTTAGGGATGAGGTCAAGGTTTCTGGGTGCACATTACCACTGCCTTTCAGTCCTATCGTCTGGGCATGAGGAGCTTGTTATCTCGTTCTATCCATTATTTCTAAACCTCCTTGTAGAGGGCTGGGTTAGAGAGTGCTAACTGCCATTTATACAGTCTGGACCTTTGTATAAAATTATAAACACACACACACACACACACACACACACACAAACACACATACTTATTTTGATGTTCCAGCGAAAGAGTAAAACTAAACTCAACAGAAACAGAAACAGATTTGAATAATACAAGACAATCTCATTAATGAACATAGAAGCAAAACTTTCTCAGAATATTAGCAATTAGAGTCCATTTTATATCAATGAAGGATTATCTTGAGCATCTGGGAGGATGTGGGTTGAGACATTTGCACAGTCATTGGAAGACAGTGAACATGATTTTTGAAAAAACAGCATGTTTAGAGATATCAACCAGAGGTCAGATGCTTCAATCAGAGAAAGATCCTCTGAGTTCTCAGGGCTGCTTCCCTGAAAAGCTACGGGAGAAGGAAATGGAGTGACTGGACACAATGCCAGGGGATTCATTGACCCTTTGGCTTCCCATGGGCAGCATGCATCAGCATGGTCTTACAAGGATGAAAAAGGGCATCCCTCAAAAAAGACCGACCATTTCCCCAGAAATTAATAAAGAAATATCATGGCCGGGCGTGGTGGCTCACGCCTGTAATACCAGCACTTTGGGAGGTGGGCGGATCAGGAGGTCAGGAGATCGAGACCATCTTGGCTAACACAGTGAAATCCCATCTCTACTAAAAATACAAAAAATTAGCTGGGTGCGGTGGCAGGCGCCTGCAATCCCAGCTACTCAGGAGGCTGAGGCAGGAGAATGGTGTGAACCCAGGAGGCGGAGCTTGCAGTGAGCCTAGATAGCACCATTGCAGTCCGGCCTGGGCGAAAGAGCGAGACTGTCTCAAAAAAAAAAAAAAAAAAAAAAAAATCACAGTATTTTCACCAGTGCATTTCTGTTTGAGCGAATATGTTGGGTGAAGAAATATATAATATATACTTTTCTAAATGAAATTTTTATCTCACAAAATTGTAGAATTAAATTTTTGTTTTGGATAAGAAATCAAGAAACAATCACACACATTCTTATGATCTCATGAAAACCAGGTATAGGAAAGGAAGTGACGACCCCAAAATTCATCTAAAAAGTGAAGGTTTTGGTTCAAAGATAAGAGGGTTGTCATGTTCAAGACAAAGTCACTACCATTCGTGGTATTTAAAGCTGTTGGTACAAGTGCCTATCATTGCCGATTCCCTTCAAATTTCTTGTGTATGTTTGGATCTTAAACATGAGCACACACAAAAAGAGAAACAGCAAAACTAGAAAACAGATTTACCTTTTTGAGTTTCCAACTGGAGGAGAAAATGAACAAAGAGTAAGAATATCACATGATAATGGGAGGAGGAGTGTTAGGAAGGTGATGAGGAGCAGTTCAGCCTTCCCAGCTTGGGGACAGTCTTAGTGGAGCAGAGAAACCTCCTTCCTGCTGCCACCTGACTCTCTAGAGTAGATGAAGAATAAATAACTAAACATAAAAAGCCCTTAGGAAAAAGATTGTCATGATGTCAGTGCTATTAATAGTTCAGTTAATAATTCTGTAAGAATATGCAAAAACTTACTGGCTTTTTAAAAATTTTTATTTATTTATTTCTTTTGAGACGGAGTCTCGCCCTGTCGCCCAGGTTGGAGTGCAGTGGCGCGATCTCGGCTCACTGCAAGTTCCGCCTCCAGGGTTCAGGCCAACTTACTGGCTTTTATATTTGGAATCACAACCTGAAAGGCTGCAGAACATGAAAGGAAGAAAACTCAGATTGCAGTGTTCATTCTCTTTTATATTATGAGTTTCCTGCAAGAGCTACATCTGTTATTATGCAAAAACAAACAGATAAGGAAACAAGAATTATCCAGCCTCAAGAGTGGAATAAAACATGCACTTTTTTTGCTTGTAGGCATAGGTGAGTAATTCAGACACGGCTGCTGTGGGTGACTCATTTCCCCTTATGATGGAGCCTCAGCAAAAAAGCTTCACAGATTGGGGCTGATTTGGTATGAAGGGGTTGGAATCGACTGAAGGTGACCTCATTGAGAGTCTGCAGTGAAGCCGGCCTTGGCTGAATGACCTACCTGAGGCCTCCCATGTGGCCTGGGTTTCCAGGAAGCTGGGCAGTCCCAGAGAATTCAGAGCTCTGACTTGGTTTATAAAGTGTCACTTCCACAGAAACTGTCAGTGCCGAGAGATCACTAGTGCCAGATCTGGTTAACAGGGAGGGGCCTGATCTCACCCCTCAACGGAAGGTGACGGGAAAACAAAGGAAAAGCTGTCTTCACATCAACATGGGCAGATACCACTTTAAAGCATATTCTGTAGCAGGGTTCCCACTCCAGAAGCTGTGGTACAGGATGTGTCTCCTATGGCATGGGCCAAGGGAGGGTAAAGGTGAGTTTGACATCTGTCTCAGTCACCATGAGGTTTTTCTGACAACTAAATATAAATATGTAAGGTGTCTCACAGCACAATCATGTGACAATAAATGCAGTGCGTGCCTTCAATATTGCTCTATCAAGGAGGCTTTCCCTCCACTCCAGGTGTGAGCACGTGGCTTGCATGTCCCTCCACTCCAGGTGTGAGCACGTGGCTTGCATGTCCCTCCACTCCAGGTGTGAGCACGTGGCTTGCATGCCCCTCCAGCTTCCTGCACTGTGGTCATACTGCTGCTGCCTCATTCTCAGCCTGAGCATCCCTACACAGGCACAAACTCTATGGCTCAGGCTGGTCATCACTCTGGGTCCACAGTAGCTGGTCAGAGAGAAACTGTCTTCAGCCCTGCCCAGCAGGAGAAAAGAGCATTCCAGACTGATCAGCTGGGTTCCTGCCATCCAGAAGTCCTTGTCTGTCTGGAGGCTCAAAACATGACTGTGATTCCTTTGAGGACTCCTCCCATACCCAGGCTGTGGGCTTCGCTGCCCTCCTCAGGACCCGTGCAGCCTGTTCTATCCCTGCCTCAGCTGCAGGCAAAGCTGCTTGCCACAAGCTCCCTGCTCATAGGATGCCGGAGTCCTCCCAAGGGCTGCTCTTCCTGGAGAAGAAGGAGAACCAGGCAGTAAGGTCTACCTGAGCATCATGGGAAGGAAGTGATCCGATTCTGACTCCGGTGGGCGCACACCCTTGGTGCTTTGTGTCTCCTGCTATCCCAGCCACAGGAGTGGGGGAAATGTGTGAGTTGTAGTCCTAGCCGGGAATAATCCATAAAAGGTGAAGGTGAGAGAAGGACACTATGCATGGTGTCACCTTGTTTTCCTCGTTGTTTCAGCGGCCTGAGTCCTGTGTTTCCTGAAAGATCTGTGGCTCGAGGTGACACGCCCTATCAGGGGACAGGAATCAAAGAGGAGAATCTCTGATGGAAAAATTCACAAAGGAAGAGGGAGATAAAAATTGGGCAACATGCTCAGGGTGAGAACGATGGCTTTTTGTCCTTGTGATAGTTTGCTGAGAATGATGGTTTTCAGCTTCATCCATGTCCCTACAAAGGACATGAACTCATAATTTTTTATGGGCAAGGACAAACAACCAAACACCGCATGTTCTCACTCATAGGTGGGAATCGAACAATGAGAACACATGGACACAGGAAGGAGAACATCACACACCGGGGCCTGTTGTGGGGTTGGGGGAGTGGGGAGGGATAGCATTAGGAAATACACCTAATGTAAATGATGAGTTAATGGGTGCAGCACACCAACATGGCACATGTATACATATGTAACAAACCTGCACGTTGTGCACGTGTACCCTAAAACTTAAAGTAAAATAAAAAAAAAAAGACGGCTTTGTGTCAAGGGCTATTTATTTAGTGTCTCTCGTTCCCATTATTAAATAATTTAACAACAAAAATTGCCTTTTCTATGAATTTTCAGGAAATTCTAACCATCATTCCTTTATTAAATATCTAGATATGTACATCTACACATATGCATATACATGTGCATATATAGACATATATTATATTATATATATTTGTGTGTATGCATGTGTGTATATATTTATATATATATACATGCATGTGTATATACACACACAAAGACAAATTAAGAAATATGGGAATATAGTATACTTCTTTAATTTCTTAATAATGTCCATTTATATCTAAAAAAAAGATACCCCTAAGGTTGAACCACTAGAATCATTTTATTTTTAATGTGGAACAATAGAAAGCTTATGGCCCATAAAGATATTGGATAACATATTTTTCTAGCAATATGAGAAATAAGCAAAAGTGTAAAACATTTAAATACAATAATTTAATTCAAAAATATGAAATAATTTGTATTTTTTAGTTGCTATGTTTATCTACCAAGAAGGCATTATATTATTCTGATGTTCTTACACATTGTTGAATTAAAGCTTGTTAAATACAAATGTTATCATATGTGCAAATAGCATATCAACATTTCTTTTTCTCTCATATATTTTCAGAAATCACTTTAAAATGTAGCAGTTCATAATGTTGACAAAATATCAAAATCTATAAACTCTGGGTTTAAAAAACAATGAAATACACAGTACACATAAGAAAATAGTGTCAAAGCTCACTACTATAAGAGACAATGATCAATATTGAAATTTTCTCTTACATGAAGACGCTCAAAACATTTTAGCAGTGACTAGTGAGGTTGTATCCATTCTCTTATGTTTATATTTATGTTTAAAATATTGTCCTTGAGAAGGAGTGTAGGTAGGTATAAGCAGAGGTGGCTGTGCGGATCCAAGATTCTAGCCTGCCCCCTTGATACAGCCCATTACCCTAGTCCCATCCAATCTCACACATGGCCCATCATCATCTTCTGACTTGAGCGGGGAGAGAGACGGTGGGTAGAGAGGGAGGAAAGGAGTTAGTTCAGAGCATAGGAGACGTGGTCAGAGAGTTGGCAGAGGGAGGGAGGGAGGCAGATACTGTGGGTTCACGTGGTGCTTTGACAACTGTGGATTTACTTCTGAATGAAGCATGAAGTCATTGAGAGTGTGGAACAGTAAAATGATATTGCAAAATAAAATAAACTAAGATTCCAGTGAGCATGTTGGGAATCACAAACACTCACAGCTGGGTGAATAAACAAGTGCTGCCATCTGGAGAAAAGTTCCTCAGCACACAAGGAGAAGTGTGTTTGCCTCTGTCAAGCAGAAGTCCACCTATACAGAGACACAAGGAAATGTTTATAAAGAGATCCTTATTCGGAGCAAAGTATTGGAAGCAACATAGGTGTTCAACACAAGTGGAATTTATAACACAAGGAGAAGATAAAATGCTAGCCAGTTGGAAGTAATACAACTTCTTATGCGACACGAATAAAAATATAATTATCAGTTGAAAAACAATAACAACAAACTCCCACCAAATTAAACAAAATCAAAAGCTCTCAAGAAAAAAACAATGTGCCACTTATTTTAAAGCAGAAACATGCATAACGAATTCTTCAAGCTTATATAACGGGCTTTTTGGAAAGTAGACTGGAGGCACATTATTTCACATAAATGGGTGTCTTAGGAAGAGATGGAGACACGTATAATGGCTAAAAAATGAAATAAATCCATAGAGAGGTTTTTAGTGTCTAGTGATAAAAGTACTAATAATATTACGTAATTAAATTCCAAAAAATTAATACAGAAAAATATTCTTGATTTGGGGGTGGTAACAGATGATTAAGTAAAGCGAGTCTACATGAGCTGCTGATGCAGTGGATGACAAGCTCTCTGCAGCTCATTGTTAGTGAGAAGGGCACTGCTTTGCCAGAAACCCCTTTTATTTAGATTTCTCATGGTCCCTGGGTCCCTCTCCAACACCATGAGCAGCTTCAGAAGAGGATCAGGATAACCAGTGACTCTCTGGCTACCATGGCCCAGTTGTGTCCGAGAGGTAAGAAAGGTTTGGGATCTTGGACAGAGTGGGACAGTGGGAGAAATTCCTGAGATGGCCCCAACCAGCCTGGAAACCACTCAGAACCTGCATTGAAGTTTAGCCATCAGGGTGCTCTTGAGACTCGGTTTGGGCTGCAACACAGACCTGTGGGGACAGGGGTCACCATAAGCCAGGCCACCTCCACCCCTGGGTCAGCTCATCTCCTCCCTCTCTGCTTCAGATCTTTGAGTAACCAGCACATGGAGGCCCGGGAAAAGTCAGAGAGCAAGATCTTATTTAAATGCTGTGACTCCACCCCCATGAAGGCTTTGGGAGCTATAAAAAAGAGACTTAGGGGAGCCCAGTCTCCAAACAGAGCTTCAGCAAGCATAGTGGGAATCTGCACCATGCCCTGGGCTCTGCTCCTCCTGACCCTCCTCACTCACTCTGCAGGTGAGAGTGGACCTTACCCAGGGATCTGCACCCACCTCTGCTCCAGCTTCTCCACTCCCTGGCTCAGTGGACTCTGATCCTGCTCTCACATTCCTTTCTGTCCCCTCTACAGTGTCAGTGGTCCAGGCAGGGCTGACTCAGCCACCCTCGGTGTCCAAGGGCTTGAGACAGACCGCCACACTCACCTGCACTGGGAACAGCAACATTGTTGGCAACCAAGGAGCAGCTTGGCTGCAGCAGCACCAGGGCCACCCTCCCAAACTCCTATCCTACAGGAATAACAACCGGCCCTCAGGGATCTCAGAGAGATTCTCTGCATCCAGGTCAGGAAACACAGCCTCCCTGACCATTACTGGACTCCAGCCTGAGGACGAGGCTGACTATTACTGCTCAGCATTGGACAGCAGCCTCAGTGCTCACACAGTGCCTCAGGCCAGTGGGGAAGTGAGATAAAAACTCAAGAGCTCCCTCGGCCTCACTGAACAGGCCTCACAGAGCACTGTTTAAACTGGACCACCCAAAAGACAAGGGATGCATTCACAATAGTGTACACTATTTAGGACTGTTAAAAATAGGAACATGAAGTGAAATTAGCAAGCCTGCCTTATTAACAAATGTGTGTAGGGAACATCATTGTTTATATATTAGTAGTTACATATATATAATACTAGTGCATGAACATACATATGCACTAGCAATTAGTAAAAAAGAAACACTAGGTTTAACTAAGGAAATATTTATTATTCCAGAGTTTTCTTATCCATTCCATTTGAAGATGCTGGGATCAAGTCACCGAGGGTGCTGCTCTCTGGCCTTGAGAATCCACTCAGCAGGGCCACCAGCAGCCCCTCCCTTCTGTGGCCTGCTCATGCCCTGTCTTCTCATTAGAATCCCCTTCCCTGCTGTCACAGGGATCCCTGGACTCCTCCAGATCCAAATATGTCCAATACATTTGGTTGAGGCCTCCTGGGCCCCACATTACTGTGTAATCTCAACACCCACACACTCAAAACAGTGTTCCCATGCGTATTCTTCTTTCGACTCATCACTGTCCTCTAACAGCCATGGGCAGTGTGTGGAGAGAGCAGGTGAAGTTGGAGCTTTGGGGTACAGTTGACAGAGATGTTGACATTTTGAGAAAAAGAAAACACCTATATAGCTGTTTTCAGGATAATTTTCCATCAAGATAAAAATCCACGCATGAGAGCATCACTCTTCCAGTGATGAATGCATGGAGGATCCTTCTCACTCTATTGTTGGGTAGTGACACCTGGGAAACTTACTGTGTTATTTAGTGTGCAGACAGCTGGTAAACCACTCAGCTGACTCTAGGGAAGTTGACCAAACAGTGTCCCCACTGATGTGTGACTTTTCTCCACCCATGAGGCCCCACTACCCTGTCACCTCCTGAGTCCACCTTTCCCATTGCGTTGCTTTAGATTTGAGGCATCTCTCTCTTACCTCTTTAAAGTCTTTACCCAAGTCTGGTTCAGGAAGTGCTGATACACGGTGAGAACCCAGGGTGCATATGGATGGAGTGATTCTGTGCCTAGGAGAGCCTGGCCAGGGGATCCAACACAGCTTGTGGCCATCCTCCCCGCAGTGGAGCTTCTGGAGACAGAGCTCTGAGGTGTCCCCACCACACCCTGGGGCCTTTCTCCCTCAGTTCTTTATAAAAGGGATATTTGTCATGGGCTTAGGGGAAGAGGCCGCTGAGGTCACACAAGACCTGCCTTCTTGCTCTGGCTCACAAGGCACAAGTGAGCTGTGACCCTGGACTCTGTGTCAGTGCTGTGGTCACTTGGTCAGAACTAAGGGAAGCTGGAGAAATGTGGGTAGCTTTGATGCAGTCTGGCACCAGAAGCTCCATCCTGAAGCACTCTGAAGGTGCTGATGGCTGTTCACTGTGCTGCACCCTGAGCAGGAGGATGATCATCATCGCAGACCTAGGGTGACAGCCTCAGAGCTGAAATATTCCTCCTGGCCCTGAGAAAAGTGGGCTAAAGTTCTCCCTTCTGCGTGTGTTACCCAGTGGTTTGCCCCCCTTTCATCACCTGTGACCAACATGGGCTCATTGGGGATATTTGTGCTGTCATTTCTGGCACAAGAACCCAAAGATCTAAGACCATAAAATGCATTTGGTCTTTCATACTGTCTATTCCCATCAGGGCAGACATCTATCCATTAATACATTTTATTTAATTTTCTTGTCTTATATTTTCAGAGCAATGATGAGTAATGAGTGAGGTAAGGGGTACCTTTGCATTTTTTTGATCTCAGGGAAAATGTCCTCCATGCAGTAAGATGATGACTCCGGACCAAGACAGGTGTGTGTGTGTGTGTGTGTGTGCGCGCGCGCGCGCGTGCGCGTGCACACGTGCACACGCATGTGTGTTACCATATCATAAACAAATTTATCTGTTTCTGTATTCTTACGTGATTTTTATTAGGGATAGATATTAAAATTTGCCAAACACATTAAAAATCTATTGATACAATATGATCTTTGGTTGTGATGTAATAATATGGTATTATACCAAAACTTTTATTAATGTTGAACCCAACCATTATTTTAAGTATAAATCCCACTTGACAATGGTGTATAAATGCGTAAATCTGGTGTTGAAATCAGTTCGTTCCTCAAATTTCCTGGTTCAAGTGATCCTCCCACCTCAGCTCCTTGAGTAGCCGGGATTCCAAGTGGGTGTCACCATGCCTGGCTAATTAAAAACAAATCTTATTTGTCTCAACATATTGCCCAGTCTGGTCTCGAACTCCTGGGCACAAGCGATCCTCCTGCCTCAGCCTCCCAGAATGAGTTAACATTTTATTTTAAAATTTTGCATTAATATGTTTATTTTATTTTTTATTTTTAAAATTTTTAACTTTTATTTTAAATTCAGGTGGTACATGTGCAGGTTTGTTACAAGGGTATATTGTGTGATGTTGAAGTATACAATTTTATCTTTTTAAATTGCTCTTAATACATATTTTTAATTTAAATTTCAACTTTTATTTTAAATATAGCAGGTACACGCGCAGGTTTGTTACATGGGTGTATTGCACCCGGGTTGTGAGCATTGTACCCAACAGGTAGTTTTTTACACCATTCCCTCCTCTCCCTCCCCCTCCTAGCAGTGCCCAGTGTCTATTGTTCTCATGTTTATGCCATGCGTGCTCAATGTTTATCTCCCACTTAAAAATGAGAACACGTGGTATTTGGCTTTCTGTCCCTGTGTTAGTTGCCTAGGATTATGTCCCCCTGCTGCATCCATGTTGCTTCAAAGGACATTATTTTATTCCTTTTTATGGATGCATAGTATTCCATGGGGTATATAAACTATATTTTCTTTATCCAACCCACCACTGACGGGCACCTAGGTTGATCCCATGTCTTTGGTATTGTGAATAGTGTGGTGGTGAATATACAAGTGCATGTGGCCTTTGGGTATAATGATCTATTTGTCTTTGGATAGATACCCTGTAATGGGATTGCTGGGTCAAATGGTAGCTCTGTTTTAAGTTCTTTGAGAAGTCTTCAAACTGCTTTCCACAATGCCTGAAATACGGTGTATACGTGTTTTCTTTACTCTACAGCCTCACCATCAGCTGTTGTTTTTTTACTCTAATTATAGCCATTCTGACTGGTGTGACATGGCGTCTCATTGTGGTTTTGATTTGCATATCTTGATGATTAGTGATGATGAGCATTTCTCCACAGTTTTGTTGGCCACTAATTTAGTGCAGTTTTAAGTTCATAGCAAAATACAGAAGAAGGTAGAAAGATATTCCCTATCCTCCCTGGCTCCACACATGTCCAGCCTTCCCCCTTATCAACGGGTCCCATCAGAAATGTACATGTCCTGTAATTGATGAACCACATTGACAGGTCATTATCACTACAAGTCAGTATTTTCCTTAAGGAATTTTTCTCGCTGATGCACATCCTATGGCTATGGGTTTGTGCAAATATATAATGACATATATCCACCATTACAGTATCATGCAGTGTATTTCCCTTCCCTACAAATCTTCTGGCTTTACTGATTCATCTCTCTCTCTCCCCTAACCTTTGGAAGTCGATGACTTTTCTACTTTTTTCCTTTGTTTGACTGTAATACACTTGAAATTATTTCCCCCTTTTTGGACTGTAATATACTTGGAATCACGTATCATGTCATTTGCAGGTCAGCTCCTTTTACTTACTAATAAGCATTTAAGTTTCTTCCATGTCTTTTCGTGGTTTGATAGTGTGTTGTCCATAAACATGTAGAATATATTAATATAAAGTACTTTGGAGCTGATCACATCACTGGCCATTCAGGTTTTTCAATTACTGTTTGTTGAATGACAGTGACCAGTCAGATGACAGGAAGTCTTAGACCCCCTGAGAACACAGAAGATGGACTGAGGATGTCAGGGTCACCGAGGACTGCACTGGGTGCTCTCATGGAGGGCTCAGTAGGGGTGTCCTCTAGTTCCAGTGAGCCTGGACTGTGATGGGCACTCAGAGAAGGGTCCTCTCTAGCCTAGCAGAGCCCCTGCTCACAGGCCTACCAGCTGTCCCAGCAGCTTTCCCTCCCAGGTCCTTCCGTGGGGCAGACAGAGTCTCACTGCCTGTTAGCCCTTCCTACCCACAAGACCCTCAGCAAAAGATCCTTATTCAGTGCTCAGGGAGAGGTGGGGCAGATAGCAGCTGGGGCCACACCTGCATGACCAGCTCCTCCTCGCTGAGGCCTACAGCAGGTAATAAACTCAATCCATCCCACTGGACCAAAGGGAGCTGTGTCTACCATGGCCTGGACCCCTCTCGTGCTTGTCCTCACTCCCTGCACATGTAGGGAAAAGGCCTAGAGACCTGGGGCAGTTCCCAGCTTGTGTCAGCCCCTCTGGCTCAGACTTGCCAACAGCTTAACCCTGACACCTGCTCCAACAATGTAAATGTTTGCATTTCCAGGTTCCCTCTTCCAGGCTGGGCTGACCCAGGTGTCCTCACTCCCAGCATCTTCATGCAGATCAAACACTCACCTGCACTCAGAGCATATCGGCTTTCATATCGGTGGCAAAAATACCTTCTTTTCCCTACAGAATCCAGGGAGCCCTCCAACTATGTTCTGAGATTATGCTCAGGCTAAAATGAGTACCAGGCCTCTGGGGTCCCCAGACAATTCTCTGGGTTGAGAGGCTCCTCCAGAGTCTCAAGTTATTTGGTCGTCTCTGGCCTTCACCTTGAGGATGGAGCAGATCATCTCTCTCAGATGGGCTGACAGGGCATGGCTTACACTGTGCTCTAGGCCAATGGGAAAATCCCCTCTGCTTGTGCTGCCTGGGCTCCCACTAGGCCCCTGCTGTTTGTGACAACAGCCAGCACTGGTGGTGACGCTTCAGCCATGTATGCCCTACGGTGAGAGTCTGCAGCCCTTCCACGCAACTATCACTTGCAGAATGTCTGCATCATTGCTAATAGCACATTCTGAGCCTCCTCACGTTTCTGTGGGCAACAATTTCCTTCCCAAGACGTGCACATGATACAGGAGATTTATTTACCAAATAAGTTTATTAGGAATCCAATTATAATTAGAAGATATTCATCAGTGATCGGGGGAAATACCTGGTATAATTAAAATAGAATTTGATGAAAATATAAATAAAGAACTAAATTATGAAGGTGTGGGCAGAGAGTCTGGACACCCTAAGGGAGATGGAAAACCATTCATCCTTGCCAGGAATGAATGTCTCTGGGATGCTTCTCTAACAGGAGGAACCTGGAGTGAGACCAGGAACCTGGAGAACTAGCAGCTGGGTGACTGGAAAGGAAACCATCTGGGGTGGGGTTGGGTCTGCAAGGCAGGAGGTGTCTGGGCAGAGAAAGCAGGGCTGGGGCGGAGGGTCCTGCCTCATCCCATTCTCCTGCTCACTCCTTCCTAGATCCCTGTCAGGGCAGTAACCATGAGCAAGGCTTGAGGCTACTTCTTATAAACTGTGGCCCTGGGCACATTCCTTAGCTCACCTGAGCCTCAGTTTCTTGATGAGAAAAAATCGGGACAATAGCAACCAACCTATCTCAGAGGGCTGCTGTGAGACCCTGAGCCACTGTTTCTCAAACTGCCCCTGAGATCACCTACAACAGAATGGCTGTAGGGTGAAGTTTGAGAACCGCAGTATAGGTGAGGTGGTGCGTGGGGCAGGCCCTCCCACACTGTAAAGTGCAGTGTGGTGCGGTAAAAGCTGATATTCCCGCAGGCATCCTCAGAGTGGGCCCAATTAGACTCTTGAGCACTGATTCCATTCAAGGTCTGCGGCTTAGAGAGGATGGCAAAGTGAGGCACCACCAGGAGCTTGTCCCTATGGGCTCCAGGCCAAGGACGTGCCTGGAGATGACTCCTGCCTTGTGGCGCTGTCACTGCCTCACTGTCCACATTCCATCACGCCTCAGATCCTGGCTTCCACCCTGGTGAAAGGAATCTTTCAATATCACCCACCCAGCCACAGACGCTTCTCTGCTTCTCTGGCAAGGCTGCACCCCTGGCTAGGTGGGCAGGGCCAGGGGCTCCTTGAGACAGTCTGCAGCCACTGAGCTCTCCAGCCTCCAGGGCAGAGGTACAGTCCCATGGAGCGTGGCTGATCTGAAGGCAGTTCTGGCCTAAAAGGGGTCTTGTCCCTTCCTCGTCCTCATTGCTCCCAAGGCCAGGTTGGCAGCAGTAGCAGCGGGGTTGGATGCTATTGGATGGGAGAAGGTGAATGGACTCGGAGTGCAGAATCAAGCTGCGGAAGCCAAGGGCCTTGAAGGAGGGTCACACACAAGGGACAACTGCAGAGGAAAATAAAGGAACACTTTGTGATTAGCCCTGCCTGTGGCTGAAAGCGCAGTGCAGAAGCATAGTAAGGAAGGACTGGGTGGTCTGGGTTTAAGACCTAGGAACCGTCTCTGCTCCTCCAAGCCTGAATGAGCCCTATAACCTAAGGGTCCTGGAGGTCTTGAAACCTTCTGCGGAGAAGGCTCCAGGTCCACTGGGCCCTGTGGGTGGAAGAGCAGAGTCACAGCCCCGCACTGGGGACCTAACAGGTGTGGCCTTGCTAGGGCCCCAGAATGGGACCAGAGTGGGTGGGAGGGGGCAGAAGCTCTGAGAGCACCCCCTCCTTCCTGAAGCCTGTGCTTCTGAGACACATCCCAGGACCCTCTATGTGGTTCCCCATGTCTCTGTATTTTCATTCAGCTTCGAGTAGCTCTCCAAACTGTGTTCCAGGGAACCCCCGTGTTAACCTGTGAGGGCCTCCAGGAAGGGGGTCCAGGTGGGGTATGCTTGGTGGGCTCTGGGTTTCCTTACAGGAGCTCTCATATAAGTCCTGGTGCAGCCTGGGAATCTACTACTGAGTTGGGGCGGGGGCGGGTCTGAGTCCGAAACATTCCTGACCTGCCCCTCAAAGAAAGGTCCCACTGAACAGTCTGGAAAGCTGTTTTGCTGAGCTCCCGTCATCACTCAATGAGGCACGGGCGGAGTGTGGAGGGAGTTTCCAACACACAGTGGATCCCGCACAGGTGTCTCTCCTCGGGTGGCTGGGGAGGGGAGCACAAGAAGGCACTGAGGTCAGAGGGCAGCTGCCACCAGCACCTGGCACCACAGGGCAGTCTGGCCTACAGGGTATTTTCTAAACCTGGCATGTGAATGGGTTCCATGGGGCACCCAGCTGCCTCTAAGACCATAAGGCCTTGTTGTGAGAATGGGAATTGCAGCAGGTCCTGGGAAGCTGCCAGACGCACACGGGCACCATGTACAGGGCTTCTCAGAGATGGGAGCAGGGAGCAGGGGACGGAGAAGCGTGGGGTCAAGAGCGTGGCCCTGAGCAGGGGGCTGCAGCGAAGACCAAGGGGATTCATAAGCCAGATCCAGGGAGGGGGTCTCCCAGCCCCACCTGCTCCACTAAACTCCTCTCCTGCCGGAGCCACAGCTGTCAAGGCCGCCTTCCTTAAGGCATCAGGGCCACTGCTTGTGCACACAGCTACCATCAGCAGCACGGATTGAGATGGGGTGTGAGTGCAAACTGGGTCTATTCCCCAGGGCTTCAGGGTTGGGGCATCCCTGCCCGTACTGCCAGGGTGTAGGGATAGCAGGGAGCACTCTGGGCACGTGTATGCAGGCTGAAGGGAGACGTATTGGGTTTCGGAGAGGGAAAGAGGGCCCCACAGGTGCCCAGGGACACGGTAACGCTCTGACATCGCTGCACCAGCAAAGGGGCCCCAGCTCTGGATAAGATAAAATGCATTTTAATAGTTTGAAGTGCCATGAGGTGTCTGCATGGCACTGCAGCCTGGGTGAGGGAGGACAGGGTCATCATACAAAGTAGGCGGCCAGGGCTGACATCTTGTCCTTGGGCCGTCTGGGGTTGGGCTTCCCAGGGGGCCTCCTGGCCCGGCCCCGCCCTCGACCCTGCCTTCTCCCTGGTCCACCGCGGTGCATGGGGTGGCAGGAGGCCGCATGCTTCAGCTCCACCAGCTCCTGGAAGACGGGGTCACAAAAGACGCAGCCCATGTGCTGCGCCTCATCGCCCGGGAGTGGGGACTTGGCCTTGTTGAAGTCCACATCAAGCAAGGCGGCCTCACAGACACTGCAGGTGTCGGCGGACACCCGCACGCGGTGGGCGTTCTCGAAGCAGTGCGCTACCACGTTGCACTTGTTGCAGGCCACCTTCCACTTGGGGCCCGAGGTGGGGTCCAGCACCAGCACCCCGCTCTCACATTCCACGCACTGGCCGATGCCCAGCATGCTCAGCGAGTGCTGGCAGGAGGGGTGCGTACACTCGTTGCAGCCCATGCCTGGCGGGAGAAGGGAGCCCTGTAAAGGCACGCCCACTGTGCCCACCTGCCCTCTGCTGCCTGCTCCCAATGCCTCAAGCTCCTGGATCCCTCGTCCCAGCAGAAGGAACTCTTCTTGGCCTTGCTCTTGGGGACAGCCTTGCTCATGTTTCGGCTCCTGGCTGCCATTACCCCTGTTTTCTGCTTACCTGAAACCTCCTCAACTTTCAAGGCCCCTCGCTGGCGCCATCCCAGTGGGTTTCAGCTGACTCCATCCCCCCTTTGCTTTGCTGCCAGCTTGTTACTGGTAATGCCACATGACCCTCATGTCACTGGGCCACATGGGACCACCCTGTCAGCTACTCTGGCGGCAGCAGGAGGGCAGGGATGGGGTCTCACTCCCGGGGCAGCCTGGGTGCAGACTGAGGCCTGAGGGGGCTTTCTGCAGAGCACACGGTGAATGTGGGCAGATGCCTCACTCCCGCTGATTCCTGGTCTGGCTCGGTGCTCTGTCCTGCCTGCCTGGACATGCGCTCCCTCCTCCAGTAATGAGGACGAGGATGAGGATGGAGGACAGTGGTGGACGCTGACTGGGGGTGCCCGCTCACCGGGTGGGTCCCCCGACTGCTGCATCCTCTTGCTGACTCAGCTCCAGAGGGAGCACTGCACACCTGCGCCCAGGTCCTGAGGGTGGACTAGGGTTGCCTGCTCGATTCTGACACAGAGAGAGGGTGGCACCACTGGCTGAGGCCTAAGCAGTGCCCCAGCTACATCCAGGGTCTCTCGTCTCAGTGCCAATGAGTGCAGGAAAGGCCAGGGTGAGGGGTCCCCTCAGAGTCCAGCCTGGTGCAAGGCAGGGGTTGGCACTGAACAGAGACTGCAGCTACCTGTGGACAGGAGGGAGCGGCTGCACTCACCTTGATGCTGCTGTTCAACAATGGATTGCTGTTGCGCCTAACCAACTTTAAGACTTGGTGGGCTTGACACAACTTACCTTGTGATAGGCAGATGTGAATGTGTGGTCAACAGGTATCTTATGGTCCTCCGCTAGGGCCAACAGCACTGCAGAAGTTGTTTTACAAAACACATGTAATTCATTACTGCAGACTGCACTTAGCCCTGCTAAGTGCAGGGCTGGAGGGCCTGTGCTGTGATTCTCCCACTGGAGCTCACTGCAAATTCCACATGGCATCTTTTCTTACCACCGACCCCTCCAGTCCCCTAAATTCTGCCGAGTCTTATGGCCCAAGCAGCAGGGCTGTTTTCACTGCAGCCTTGTCAGGCAGCAGATGACTTTTCTACGCCAGGCTGCATTCAAAGGTGGCAGCCTTCTGTAGACCAACGACATAGGCCAGAAGTGGAACATGCTGTTCCCAAAACCTGAAGAGTTCTGCCAGGCATTATGTTTGGACGATCTGACCCATCCTGCCTTGACCACTTAGGCACTCAAAACTGTACTCACGTGACAGTTCCCTGAATCTTCATACAGATTATCTCCTACCCTTTATAGTGCATGTTTCTTATGAAGGCCTCCAACATGCTAGCCATTTCCTACTAAACTAACTCAACTAGCATGATGTCAACAACACAGTCAATCAATGGGATATTTTGTGGGGTGCTCAGATGGCAGAATGCTCCCACATCAATAAAACTCACCCTTATCTAATCTTCATGTTCTGGTCCCCCTCTATCACCCACCCTCATGATCCAGTCCCATGCCTAGTCCCTTGACTCCTGCTGGTACCTGCTGGTTAGGTCTTATGGCTCCTCTGGTGTGTAGTCCCTTTTCTTCCCCTTTTAAAAAATGTTTTGAGACAGGGTCTTTTCTGTCCCCTAGACTGGAGTGCAGTGTCATGATCATGGCTCACTGCAGCTTTGACCTCCTGGGGTCAAGTGATCCTCATGTCTCAGTCTCCTGAGTAGCTGGGACTACATGTGTGAGCCGCCAAGCCTGGCTAATTAAAAAAAATTTTTTTTTTTTTTTTGTAGAAGTGAATGTTCCGCTATGTTGCCCAGGTTGGTCTCAAACTGCTAGGCTCAAGTGATCTTCCTGCCCCAAACTCTTAGGCTCAAGTGATCCTCCTGATTTTCCTTATCCCCGTGAGCCTCCTGAAGTGCTGGGGTTACAGATGTGAGGCACCTCACCCAGCCTTTTCTCTCTTCTCAAAATGAGCACATCTCCTGCTGTGTTGTGCTGGGACTTAACCCTAGTTCTAGGCCAAGAGGGAAATTGGGCAAGATGGTGAAGAAGGCATATTTTGTCCTAGTGAGAGAGGCCTCTGCAAACAAAGGAGTTTAGCTCTGAATAGGCTGAGTTTAGTCCACTTCTGCAGGCTCAGGGGATTAAGGAAAATCAGTGACTTAAGATTTTAGAGGCCTCAATCCAAATAACTCTATCAATATATATGAGGGTGTTGGCCGGGCACGGTGGCTCACGCCTGTAATCTCAGCACTTTGGGAGGCCGAGGTGGGTAAATCACTTGAGGTCAGGAGTTTGAGACCAGCCTGGTCAACATAAAGAAACCCCGTCTCTACTAAAAATACAAAAAAAGAAAAAAAAAAAAACAAAAAAAAACAACCCTGGCGGGGCATGGTGGCACACACCTGTAGTCCCAGCTACTTGGGAGGCTGAGACTCAAGAATCTCTTGAACCTGGGAGGAGGCAGAGGCTGCAGTGAGCCGAGATCGTGCCACTGTGCTCCAGCCTGGGCAACAGAGCAAGACTCTGTCTCAAAAACACCAAAAAAAAAAAAAAAAAAAGAAAAGAAAAAACCCTGACTTTTCTCCAGCAGTCTGGATCAATCACCCCAAACAGTCCAGTGACCCCTGATGGTTGAGCAGCAGCACTAGAACCCCAAATTTCTAGGGGAGACCCAGCTTCCAGTTTATTAAGTTCCATGCACTTAATTCTTGTTCTGCTTGATTTTGGGTCAGCAGTTACATGAACTCACGTGTTTCTCAACCAGTGTTCTGGAGATCTGGCTCAGTGCAGGGCTGTGGTTTCAAAGTTATTCAAGCAATGCCACCAAAAGCCTGTACCCCAGAATACCTGCCATAGGCCATCCTGTCTATCCCTGAGACAGTCCCTTCTTATTGAAGATGAAGCACTTTGGCCCGTAGCTGGTTGCCAGAGCTTTCAGAAAAGCGTCGGAGTAAAACAACCATCTCTGATGACAAAAGACTTAAAATGGCTGTGAAGAGCTCTATTAATTCCTCAAATATTCATTGCTCTATTTTTTATCTCCTTTTATAACTCCTACTGCCAGGCTATTGGCCTTTCTACTTCTATCCTCTCCCCGACATTCCCATCTTAGTAAATGACTCCACAAGTACTTCAGCTCCCATTCAAGGACCTTGGATTACCCTTGGGTCCTCTCTCTTACTCAACAGCCCATCCTATGCCAAGTCTCACCAATTCTTCTCTCTCTCTACACACACACATATACAAACTTATTTGTAAACAATTATTTTAAAAAATCTCTCTTCTGAGGTTCCAGCTTTCTTCTTCTTTTATTTTTTTGAGACTGAGTCTCGCTTTGTCACCCAGGCTGGAATGCAGTGACACGATCTTGGCTCACTGCAATCTCTGCCTCCTGGTTTCAAGTGATTCTCATGCCTCAGCCTCCTGAGGAGCTGGGACTACAGGCATGCATCACCACGCCCAGCTAATTTTTTTGTATTTTTAGTAAAGACAGGATTTCACTATGTTGGCCTGGCTGGTCTCAAACTCCTGACCTCAGATAATCTGCCCACCTTGGCCTCCAAAGTGCTAGTATTACACGATGAGCCACTGTCCCCAGCCTCTCTCTCTTTTTTTTTTTTTTTTTTTTTTGAGACAGGGTCTTACTCTGTCGCCCAGGCTAGAGTGCAGTGGTATGATCTTGGCTTACTGCAGCCATGATCTCCCAGGCTCAGGCCATCCCACCTCAGCCTCCTGACTAGCTGGGACCACAGGCATGCTCCACCATGCCCAGCTAATTTGTGTATTTTTTTTGTAGATACAGGGTTTCACTATGTTGCCCAGGCTGGTGTCAGGCTCCTAGGCTCCAGTGATACCCCCACCTCGGCATCCCAAAGTACTGGGATTACAGGGGTGAGCCACCACACCCAGTCACAGCTTTCTTTTTAGAGTTCACCACAGTTTGAGTGATTATTTGGAATTTTTAAGTGGCAAAAATTACAACAATATATTTGTAAATGAAAGAGAATTGTGAAATGTATTTGAAATTTTAACTTTAAGATTTTCTTTAAAATACCCATATTGAATGAAGAGTATCAAAGTAACTATTGCTTAAAAAATGGGGCTTCATTTGGGTTAAAACACAAGAATCATGAACATGATCAAAATTCTTCAAAGTGCTTGCTTGGAATGATACAGAGAGGATTAGCAAATACAAATAGTTTTTTTTTGTTTGTTTGTTTTTTTTTTTTTTTTTTTTTTTTTTTTTTTAGAGATGCGGTCTCACTATGTTGCTCAGGCTGGTTTCAAACTCCTGAGCTAAAGCAATCCTCCTGTCTTGGCCTCCCCAAGTGCTAGGATTACAGGCATTGAGTCACCACTGCTGGCCAAGATGCTGATCTTTTTGTTGTTGTTGTTGTTGCCTAGGCTGGAGTGCAGTGGCCTGATCTCAGCTCACCACAACCTCCGCCTCCCAGATTCAAGCAATTCTCCTGCCTCAGCCTCCTAAGTAGCTGGGATTACAGGCATGCGCCACCACGCCCGGCTACTTTTTGTGTATTTAGTAGAGAGGGGTTTCTCCATGTTGCCCAGGTTGGTCTTGAACTCCTGACCTCAGGTGATCCACCTGCCTCAGGCTCCCAAAGTGCTGGTATTACAGGCATGAGCCACCGCGCCCAGTGATGCTAATCTTATGAAAGACAACCAACAACAAATTCTGAATACTAAAGTGTGCGAAATGTATTTAATTCTTTTCATAGCACAGATGAGTTAACCCACGATGTGTTGTCCCAGGCACTATGGAGTCATCTTGAATTTCATGTTCTAAACAAACACCCTTGGCCTGGAGGAATGCACCTGCATATCACGACAGGACCTAGTGTCTCAGATTTAGTCCGGCAGCTTTGAATTTGGAAATCCTCTTTGGAGCTTCTTCTGACACAGCATCTTTTCTCTCTGGGAAGGTAGGTGACACCTGAGAACAGAGGCATGGTGTGGCATCAGAGATGGAGGTAAGAATTATTTTTCTACCACAATCCCAGGAAAAGACTCTCCTGTTCCTGGTGAGGGTGAGAGCTCTGGCTGAGGATGTCCTCTTTCTTCTTTCTTCTCCAGAGGATTTTTCAGTCTCTCTGCAAATGGCTGCTTCACAGCCAGGGTTCATCGAAACCCCTGGATCGTCATGGCCAGTGGTTTGCGTCTCTCCAGCGCCACTCCATACGAGGGTCTTTCTGCATCCTGCTCTCATGGTGGACTTCTGAGGGCCATGCTCCTCATTTGCAGGGCTCACAAATATTCTGTAAATATCCACCAGTGTTCTGATAACGGGGTGACCCAGGACAAACTGACCGTCTCCAGGGTTCAGGTCCCAGGCATGTCTAGCTCCCTCTTTCCTTTCACTGAAAACTAATGTCCTGTTTTTTTCCGTATCTATATGGACCTTTCTGGGTTCAGTGGTGTGGGAAAAATAGATTGTTGGTGAAGACTCATCTTCATCTCCTGAACTGCCATCATTGCAGTGTTCAGAGTGGGGATGGTGCTTGGAATCATTCCCTTGACCTTGCCTTCGACCTTGCATTAGTTTTGACTTTAAAATGTCCTTATGAAAATTCCCCCAAGTACGGAAGCCCATAGTCTCATCAGAGATCCCACCTTTTCCCTGTTCCCCTCCATTTTTTTTTCTTTTTTGAAATGGAGTCTCACTCTGTTGCCCAGGCTGGAGTGCAGTGGCGTGATCTCGGCTCACTGCAACCTCCACCTCCCAGGTTCAAGCGATTCTCCTGCCTCAGCCTCCCGAGTAGCTGGGACTACAGGTGCCCGCCACCATGCCCGGCCAATTTTTTTTATTTTTAGTAGAGACGGGGTTTCACCATATTGGCCAGGCTGGTCTCGAAATTCTGATGTTGTGATCTGTCTGCCTTGGCCTCCCAAAGTGTTGGGATTACAGGCATGAGGCACTGCACCCAGCCCCTTCCCCTCTGTTTGTGAACTCCATCCCAGGATCATGGTTGAGTTCACCCAGCAGGTTTTCTTGCCTCTCCAGTTCTTCCAGTCGAGCCCACAGTTCCTCATTTGTAAGTAAGCATCCTTGGACTTGAGATCATTTTCAAAACCTGAGGTTTTGGATTTTGAATCAGGTTTATGTGCAATCCAGGGTTTTCTCTTTAATTCAGACTTGTTTTGAACATGTTTTCTTAGGTCAACAAGATCTCCATCCCCATCACCCCATCCCTGCAGATCTGCTGTGAATGCAACTTTAGATTCAAAGTTTCTCCTGGCTTTTGTAAAGTCATGTAGTGCTTTCCTCACACACTCCTTCCTATGCTCCACTAACCCCACTGCTTGCTTTGCAGAGCACTGGCAAAACCAGTTGTCCCCGAGGAGAAGAGTGATTTTGCTGGTATCCACAAGCCTTCCTGGTATAGAAGGCAAGAGGCCCAGTTGGCACCATGAGCTCGTAAGACAGCCTATTGGGCAAGGTTTGGAGTCGCTCTTGGAGGGTATTACAGTCCCCCTTTACCTTTTGCCAGTGTGCAATTTCATCTTGGCACCTAGAGATCATCTTTTCCTGTTCTCCTTGGGGCCTCATAACCTGTTGAGGATGCAGCTGTTTGAAGGTGGCCGAGGAGGCTGCACGGTGGGGCACACGGTGGGGCTCCATGGCTCCTGGTTCTGCGTGTGCGCTGTGGTCGGCACTGCTCAGGCTGCTGCCCCCAGTCATGGCGACTGCAGTGCCCAACTTCCTCCAGCTGAGTCCTCATGAGATCCTTCCTGCAATCAGTGCTCCCAGCTCCTCAGTCCCTTCAAAAGATAAATCATTCCGGAGATGGGTGGTGGTGATGTAGCATGACAATGTGGCTACTTTCAATGCTACCGAACTGCATACCAAAAAATGGTTAAAATGCTGAATTTTATGTTATGTATATTTTACCACATTAAAAAAATATTAGCTGGGTACAGTGGCTCACACTTGTAGTCCCAGCACTTTGGGAGGCTGAGGCAGGAGGATTGCTTTTAGTCCAGGCATTTGAGATCAGCCTGGGCAACACAGTGAAACCCCCATCTCTACAAAAAAACTCACAAAATTAGCTGGCCAAGTTGATTGTGTGCCTGTAATCTCAGCATCTCTGGAGGTGGAGGTCGGGGGATTGCTTGAGCCCAGGAGTTCAAGGCCTCAGTGTACTGTAATCACACCACTGCACTCCAGCCTGGGTGGCAGAGCGAGATCCAGTCTCCAAAATAATAATAGTAATAAATAATAGTAATAATAATAAATAAATAAGTGATAATAAATAAAAATATCCACTTGGGATAATTATCACAAGAACTTTGCTGTCATGGTTGTGATTTTTTGGAACAAATTCTCATGGTTCTAACTAAACCAAATCAAATACAACATTGATTTGAACGCCCATGCTCACAGCAGCCTTATTCACAAAAACCACAAGGTAGAAGCAACCCAAATGTCCATCGACAGATGAATGGATCAACAAGATGTGGTCTCTCCACACAATTCAGCCTTAAAAAGGAAGGAAATTCCAACACATGCTACATGCAGGAACTTTGAAGACTTTATATATACTAAGGGTACCCACCCCCTACCTCACTGTATTCATATGTTGAAATCCCAACCCCCAAGCTGATGGTATTAGGGTATGGGATTATTAGATTCAAAGTTTGGGACATAATTAGGTCATGAGGGTGGAGCTCCCATGATGGGAGTTGTGACCTTATAAAAGGGATTCCAGAGGCCCCTCTTACCCCTTCTGCCATGTAACAATACAACAGGAAGTCAGAAGTCTGTGAATGAAAGAGGGCCCTCACCAGAACCCAACCATGCTGGCCCTTCATCTTGGACTTCCAGCCTCCAGAGCCATGAGGTATCAATGTCTGTTGTTTATAAACCACCCAGACCATGGTACTTTGTTATGGCAGCCCGACCTCACTAAGACACTAATCAAAACAAACCGGTCCACAAAAGGACAAACACTGTATGATTCCACTTACATGAGGTACCTAGAGTAGTCAAATTCCTACAGACAGAGTAGAATGGTGGTTTCCAGGGGCTGAGGGGAGAGGGAAATGGAGAGTTGTTTAATGGCATGGAGTTTTAGTTTTGCCAAATAAAAAAGTTCTGGATTAGTTGGACAACGATGTGAATGTACTTCATGCTTCTGAGCTGTACACTTAAAAACGGTTGCCTGGGCATGGTGGCTCATGCCTGTAATCCTAGCACATTGGGAGGCCAGGGCAGAGGACTGCTTGAGCCGAGGAGTTCAAGACCAGCCTGGGCAACATAGCAAGACTCTGTCTCTACAAAACATTTTTAAAAAAATTCACCAGGTGTGGTGGTGCACACCTGTAGTCCCAGCTACTTGGGAGTCTCAGGTGGGAGGACTGCTTGAGTCTGGATGTTCGAGGCTGCAGTGAGCTGTGATCACACCACTGCACTCCAGCCTGGGCAACACATAGTGAAGCCGTATCTTTAAAAAAAACAATGGTGAGACTGGGTGCGTTGGCTCACACCTATAATCCCAGCACCATGGGAGGCTGAGGTGGGTGGATTGTTTGAGCCCAGGAGTTTGAGACCAGCCTGGGCAATGTAGCAAGACCCTGTCTCCACAAAAAGTTAGCTGGGCATGATGGTGCATGTCTGTGGTCCCAGCTACTTGGGAGGCTGAGGTGAAAGGATTACTTGAGCCTAAAAGATTGAGGCTGCAGTGAGCTGTGATTATGCCACTATACTCCAGCCTAGGTGGCAGAGTGAGACCTTGTCTCAAAAAAAAAAAAAAAAAAATGGATAAGGTGGTAAGTTTTATGTTATGTGTATTTTATGTTTTTTTTATTTTTTAAAGAAACAGGGTCTTGCTATGTTGCCCAGGCTAGAGTGCAATGGCTATTCACATGTGTGATCAGAGTGTACTACAGCTTCCAACTCCTCAGCTGGAGTTGAGGTGATTCTGCCTCAGCCTCCCGAGTAGCTGAGACCACAGGTGTGCACAGCTTTGCCTGGCTCCATTTTACTACACTACAGTGTCTCTCTTTTTACATGGTTGTTGCAGTAAAAGAAAATTCAGTGTATATAGAAACATCACAAGCAATTGTTTTAAGATTATATGTAAAGTGGAAATAAGTTGTAGACTCATATAGTTGTCAATAGGTTTTCTAACATAAGAACTTTGGGTGGGGCACTTGAGAACTGATTCAGATGGAAGATGGTTCTAGGCTGGTGGAACAGTGTTGAGAATTCCTGAATGTGTAGTATTCCTAGACCTCTGTCCACCAAATTAAAGCAGGTCCCCCATCACCATGATCCTACAGGGGGCATCCCCCTTAGTAACGGCCTCTTTCTCTAGCCTAAATTGAGACATTCTCCTCCTTGTTTCTCTAGGCCTCAGCCACACTGGCCTTCTTCTATTTCCAAACACACACCAAGCTCTCTCCTGAAACACAGCCTTCCCACACACCGCATCTCTGCCTAGTTCATACACTGCCGGCAAATTGTGTATTGGGGCTGGGCCCTTCCCACTGTTCAGCTGTCATCCTATTTTTTTCCTTTGTCAGGGGTCCTTTGAAAACTACGTATTCCAGACCAGGTGCCTGGACATTCTCTCTTATGACACTTATTAAAACATGTTGTTGGCTGGGTGCGGTGGCTCACGCCTGTAATCCCAGCACTTTGGGAGGCCGAGGCAGGTGGATTGCCTGAGCTCAGGAGTTTGAGACCAGCTGGGCAACATGGTGAAACCCCGTCTCTATTAAAATATAAAAAATCAGCCGGGCATGGCAGTGTGTGCCTGTAGTCCCAGCTACTCGGGAGGCTGAGGCAGGAGAATTGCTTGAACCTGGGAGGCGGAGGTTGCAGTGAGCTGAGATTGCACCACTGCACTGAAGCCTGGGAGACTCTGTCTCCAAAAAAAACAACAACAAAACCAAACAAAACCAAAACAAAACAATAAAAAAAATGTTGTTGTCATTATTTTCCCGCTAGACTCCCACAAGATTCCCCACTAGACTCTAAGCTTCATGGGAGGAGGGGCTATGCACATTCACAGTGTCTGCTCTTACCAGAGAGTCTCACAGAGCAGCCCTAACAGGTTAGACCAAAGAACAGGTCATATAAAAACCCAAGTTCCAATTTCTCCTGAGATGTTTTTCTCCTAAAAACCAAGTTAAGAACTCTAGGCCTCTACTGGGAAGCTGCCTCCCCATTCAGACAGGGTCTCCCCATTACCACAATCCCTTCTAGTCCTCTCTTCTACTTGCTTCCCTAGGTGATCATTGCAGGCATCTGAGTTTGTAAACCCGAGTTTACAAAAGGGGATTAGAGAAATGCCCACATCAAATGATCTCATTCACCCATTTCTCAGATTCTAGGTCCTTATGGTTGGCACACGTTGCAATGAGTTGGATGGGGGGAGTCCAGCCAGGACCTCAGGGTAGCCACAGACTTCTTCAATTTCCACCCTCTAAGGTTTGGTCCTCAGATTGGAATTATGTTTCCTCAATTCTCTGCAGACAGGAAGTGTTGAGATCTGACTCTTAGTAGTAATTTAAATGAGAGAAAGAGAGGAGGAGGGAGGTATTTTTATATCCTATTTGTATCTAAATACCAGAAAAGGTAGGGAGTGGGAGCTTACACCTGTAATCCCGACACTTTGGGAGGCCAAGACGGGAGAATCTCTTGAGCCCAGGAGTTTGAGAATAGCTTGGGCAACGTGGCATGACCCTATCTCTACAAAAAATACAAAAATTAGTTGGACATGGTGGCATGTAGCTGTAGTCCCAGCTATTTGGGATGCTGACATGGGAGGATTGTTTTAGCCTAGGAGGTCAAGGCTGCAGTTAACTGTGATTGTACCACTGCACTCCAGCCTGGGCGACAGAGCAAGACTGTATCAAAACAAACAAACAAACAAACAAACAGAAAAACAAACAACCCGGGAAAATGGTACTTTGGGAACAAGGACCTTGGTCAACCCAATTCCTTATTGAAGGAAATAACGTATACAGTGGTCAATTTCTTTTTTTTTTTTTTTTTTTTTTTGAGACGGAGTCTTTCTCTGTCGCCAGGCTTGAGTGCTGTGGCGTGATCTCGGCTCACTGCAACCTCCGACTCCCTGGTTCAAGCGATTCTCCTGCCTCAGCCTCCCAAGTAGCTGGGATTACAGGCACGCACCACCATGCCCAGGTCATTTTTGTATTTTTAGTAGAGATGGGGTTTCACAATGCTGGCCAGGATGGTCTCAAACTCCTGACCTCGTGATTCACCTGCCTCGACCTCCCAAAGTGCGTGCTGGGATTACAGGTGTGAGCCACTGCACCCAGCCTACAGTGGTCCGTTTCTAAGACAAAATGCTTTGAATTGGCTTAGGTCAGCAACCTACAGAAGAAACATGATACACTAGGTCCCTGCTTGGATAGCCAGCCAATGCCTGCTTGTCAGCCTCCCCCTTCCCCACCTTCGCCCCTTAGTTGCCTTCACCTGAACCAAAGTAGTTTAGTCTAAGATGAAAGTTTACTAGCCTGCAAAGTAGCTTGTTTTGTCTGTTCTTAGCCTGCCCAGCTACTTAGGTCATAAGTCTAACACTTGAAGAGCCCCTAAGCTAACTAAGATTACAATGCATTGTGGGCTGCAACAAAATGCAGCAAAACGACCCTAAAATAAACAAAAAACAAAAAACTCCTGGCGCTCCCACCCAACAATCAACAGGCGAGAAGATTATGACCCCGTAGTACTCAGCCTATGAGGAACTGGGGGAGGGACCTGTGCACTAGGGGATAAACTGCTTGTTGAAAGTGTGCTGGGTGTGCCTGTCAGACACCTGATCTTGCAAGACTGTCATTAAAAGTCTCACTTTCACTGTTCTCCGGGTCTCTGAGTCCATTCTTTGGGTTGGGATGGGCGAGACTGTTTCTCACATTATGAAAAGCTGAAGGTTAAGTGAACTTGGGGAATACTGCCTCCTGCTGGCTGGATGTCATGGAAGCCTGGCCCATCAGCAGAGAATGATAAGCTGGAGTTCTGGAGGGTCTGATTTCCAAGGAATCACCCCCTTGGAAGCTCCTCTAATACACCCTGATGAGATTAACCTGATTAGGTCCATTGTTTGATAAAAAGAGGAGGAAGTTTAATCACTTCCACATTCTTTGCCCACGACTAACCCTGATTGGATTTGGGGCTATGGTTCAAATGTATGACCGATTGATTTTTTTCACTTCTTCTGTTGGACTTTTGAAAAAAAGTTCTCTGAAAAGGAATTTAGAGGAAAGAGACTTATTCCAGTGAACAGTTACAGTTTGCAAACCCAAGAGACACAACTTTTGGTACAAAAGGAAGTTACATTCCAGAGAACAAGGGGAGGCTTTGTCTTTTCTAGAGAAAATTCCCGCTCAGAATCCCACTCAGGTCTGCTTATGCAAATGAAAGATTCAAACTTTTTAGTTCTGATTACTTGGCTCTAGCTGGGTTCTGATTAGTCAAAGCAGGTCACAGTCTACTGGTGGCGTAAACAGGAACAGGCAGCTATGTAAGTCCCAAAGTTTCTCCAGAAACTCAAAGTATGTGTGTGACCTCTGGTCAGCAAATAACCACTTGTCTCAAATTTAAATTCAGGCCCAGGATTCATCTTGAGGAATCGGCTCTTTCAGGGTTCAGAGACCAATCAAAACGTCTATCAGAATGGTTGTGTTAAAAGGCAAATAATGGGCAGGGCATGGTGGCTCAAGCCTGTAATCCCAGTACTTTGGGAGGCCGAGGCAGGTGGATCCCCTGAGCTCAGGAGTTCGAGACCAGCCTCGCCAACGTGATGAAACCCCGTCTCTACTAAAAATACAAAAAAAATTAGCTGGGCGTGGTGGCGCGCGCCTGTAGTCCCAGCTACTTGGGAAGCTGAGGCAGAAGAATCTCTTGAACCCTGGGGGCGGAGGTTGCAGTGAGCCAAGATCATGCCACTGCACTCCAGCCTGGGTGATAAGAGCAAGACTCTGTCTAAAAAAAAAAAAAACAGCAAATAACGTTGTCCTGTGCCATGAGCCACATACTCAAATATTTACACAGGTCCAGGGGAAGTAAAGAGTAAATATGGCCACCAGGCGCGGTGGCTCACGCCTGTAATCCCAGCACTTTGGCGGCTGAGGCGGGTGGATCACGAGGTCAGGAGATCGAGACCATCCTGGCTAACACGGTGAAACCCTGTCTCTACTAAAAAATACAAAAAAATTAGCCAGGCATGGTGGCGGGCACCTGTAGTCCCAGCTACTTGGGAAGCTGAGGCAGGAGAATGGTGTGAACCGGGGAGGCGGAGCTTGCAGTGAGCAGAGATAACGCCACTGCACTCTAGCCTGGGCGACAGGGTGAGACTGTCTCAAAAAAAAAAAAAAAAGAGTAAATATGGCCTGATGTGAAAAAAAATTATAACCACCAGAATTTCCTAAAATGTATTTTATTGATCTATAGTGTTATTGCACAACATCCACAAATATCTATGATGACAATTGTTTAAAATTCAAGTTAAAATACAAAATTTAAAAAGTTTACCTACTTTTACGTTGTTAATTTATGACTCTTTGGGTTTGAAATGAGATTTGATATCATTGTATTTATAGATATTCCTTGACTTCTTGTGTTATGTACCAATAAGCACATTGTTAAGTTGAAAACATCATAAATAAAAAATGTGTAGCTGGGCCAGGAGCTATGGCTCATGCCTATAATCCCAACACTTTGGGATGCTGAGGCAGGAGGATCACTTGAGCTCAAGAGTTCAAGACCAGCCTGGGCGACAAAGCAAGACCCCCATCTCCACAAAAAATTAAAAAATTAGCCAGTTGTGGTGCTGCATGCCTGGGGTCCCAGCTACTTGGGAGGCTGAGGCAGGAGGATCATTTGAACCCAGGATGTCGAGGCTGAAGTGAGCTATGACGGTGTCACTATGCTCCAGTCTGGGTAACATAATGAGACCTTATTTTTAAAAGAACACACAATGTGTAGCTGAGTAGGGCTGCGGCTCACTGCCACTGCCAGTGTTTGAAGAACAGTTCCCACTGAATGCATCTCAATTTTGCACTGTAATCAAGTAGAAAAACTGTAAGTCCAATCATTGTAAGTCTGGGACCATCTTGTCCATAGTCTTATGACAGAATACTGTTTAAAAGTGTAGATCTATCCGAATGTTGATGAATTTATTGTGAAATGCTTCCCCTTGTGTTGCTTCTATGTGATCTATGTGCAGCAGTGGACTTTTTTTTTTTTAAGTGAAAAACAAATCATGCCCCTCCCTTCATTCTCTCCCCCGTGATGTTTCCCTTAGAGAACATTCCTCCCTTCCCTTCCCAGTCCCCACCTCAGAGATGGGGCAACTCCTCCCTTTTTATCACACTTCTTCCACTCTGAGGCTCTAGGCAATCAGTTCTCGGTCACTCCCACCCATGTGAAGGTTTTTTTTTTTTTTTTTTTTTTGAGTTGGAGTCTCGCTCTGTCGCCTAGGCTGGAGTGCAGTGGTGCGATCTCGGCTCACTGCAAGCTCCGCCTCCTGGGTTCATGCCATTCTCCTGCCTCAGCCTCCCGAGTAGCTAGGACTACAGGCACCTGCCACCACGCCTGGCTAATTTTTTTGTATTTTTAGTAGAGATGGGGTTTCACCGTGTTAGCCAGGATGGTCTCGATCTCCTGACCTCGTGATCCGCCTGCCTTGGCCTCCCAAAGTGCTGGGATTATAGGCGTGAGCCATCGCGCCCGGCCCCGTATGAAGGTTTTTGATGATGCTTGCTAGAATGGACCCAGATAATTTTCGTGTGGACAGAAGGTAGATTTTTAGTAGCTCTTGTTAGAGGTCATGTAGGAGATTGTCTCAGCTTGAGCTGCTATTGTAAATACCGATACTGTAGACTGGGTGGCTTGAAAACACCAGAAATGCATTCCTCAGAGTTGTGGAGGCTGGATGTCCAAGATAGGACAGGTCTGAGATCAGGGTGCCAGCATGCTTCAGTTCTGGTAGGAATCCTCTTCCAGGCTACAGACTGCCAACTTCTCGTGTCTTCGTGTGGCAGAAAAAGGGCTAAAAAGATCTCTGGGATTTTTTTTTTTTTTTTTTGAGACAGAGTCTCACTCTGTTGCCCAGGCTGGAGTGTAGTGGTGTGAGTGGCATGATCTTGGTATACTGCAGTCTCCGCCTCCCGGGTTCAGGCAATTTTCGTGTCTCAGCCTCCCGAGTAGCTGGGACTATAGGCGTGTGTGACCATGCCCGACTAATTTTGGTATTTTTAGTAGAGACCGGGTTTCACCATGTTTGCCAGGCTGGTCTTGAACTCTTGGCCTGAAGTCATGTGTCTGCCTTGGCCTCCCAAAGTGCTGGGGTTGCAGGCACGAGCCACCGTGCCCAGCAGGGCCTCTTTTGTAAAGGCACTCATCCCATTCGTGAGGTTCTGCCCTCATGACCTAATTACCTCCTACAGGTCCCATGTCTGAGCACCATCACACTGGCATTTAGGATTTCAGCTTATGAATTTTGGGAGGACACAAACATTCAGTTCATAACAGCATTGTGTTGTCACCCACTTTTTTTTTTTTGGTAGGAACAGTGTGTCGAATTCTGGTCTCAAGTGATCCTGCTGCGTCAGCCTCCCAAAGCTTTGGGATTACAGGCACGCACTGCCAAGGCCAGCCACATCCATATTCTTAATCTCCACCATGGCCTCATGAGCCTGGTCCCCTGTCAGTGGGCTAGGGCCTCGACATGGGTAATACGCATATTAGCTGAGGTTCAGGAACCCAACTGACTTGTGTAAGAATTTCCAGCTGGCCCCGCAGAACAAGAGGCTAAAGAGTGGGGAGCAGTGCTAGTGTTGCCACTGCTACAGCTCTCGGGCAGTATTCACTACCCTCACCCTGTATGTGTGCCCAGGTGCTGGGTGAGCATTTCACTCCACACGAGAGGCATCATGCATTCCTTCATTCGTTCGTTCATGCCGTTATACTACAGTGAACAATAAACTCTTGAGGAATGTCGGGTTTAGGGGAGCCAGTCCCCTGTTCAGTTGAAAATCTGCCTGGCTATGTATATATTTTGACTCCCCCAAAACTCTTAACTACTAATAGCCTGCTGTTGACTCGAAGCCTTACTGATGATATCAACAGTCAATTAACACATACTTTGAATTTTATACGTATTATGTACTGTATGCATTTTTTTTTCTTTGAGATGGAGTCTCACTATGTGGCCCAGGCTGGAGTGAAGTGGCACCATCTCTGCTCACTGCAACCTCCCAGGTTTAAGTGATTCTCCTGCCTCAGCCTCCCAAGTAGCTGGGATTACAGGCATGTGCCACCAAGCCTGGTTAATTTTTGTATTTTTAGTAGAGATGGGGTTTCACCATGTTGGCCAGGCTAGTCTCAAACTCCTGACCTCAAGTGATCCACCTGCTTCGGCCTCCCAAAGTGCTGGGATTACAGGCGTGAGCCACTGCACCCTTCCTGTACTGTATTCGTATAATAAAGTAAGCTAGAGAAAAGAAAACGTTATTAAGATAATCTTAAGGAAGATAAAATCTATTTACTATTCATTAGGTAGAAACAGATGGATTATCCTACAGGAGGAGGAGGAAGAGGAGGGGGTTGGTTTTACAGTCTCAGGGGCGAAAGAGGCATAAGAAAATCTGCAAATAAGTGGACACACGAAGTTCAAATTCCTGTTGTTCACAGTTAGTGGTACACAGGAGACACTAGGTAAGCTAAAGGTTGGGCTGGGCATGGTGGCTCACACCTGTAATCTCAGCACTGTGGGAGGTCAAGGCGGGAGGATCGCTTGAGGCCAGGAGTTTGAGACCAGCCTGGCCAACATTGTGAAATGCTGTCTCTACTAAAATACAAAAAGTAGCTGGGCATTGTGGCATGTGCCTGTAATCCCAGCTACTTGGGAGGCTGAGGCACAAGAATCACTTGAACCTGGAAGGCAGAGGTTGCAGTGAGCCAAAATAGTGCCACTTCACTCCAGCCTGGGTGACAGAGTGAGACTGTCTCAAAAAAAAACAAACAAACCAAAAAGATTAGCTAAAGGTTGAACTTTCAGTGATGAACTAAACAGAAACAATCTCATAGAGATTGTGGACAGGAGAAGAAACAAGCACAGGTGCAGTTAAAACCTGTGATAAATGCCCCGGCAGAAACAAGTGTTAGGCCAGGCGTGATGGCTCATGTCTGTAATCCCAACACTGTGGGAGGCCAAGACAGGAGGACTGCTTGAGGCCGGGGGTTTCAAGCCTGCAGTGAGCTAAGATTACACCACTGCTCTCCTGCCTGGGCGGTAGAGACCCTGCTTAAGAAAAAAAAAAGAAAGGCTGGGCGCGGTGGCTCACGTCTGTAATCCCAGCACTTTGGGAGGCCGAGGTGGGCTGACTACGAGGTCAGGAGATCGAGACGATCCTGGCTAACACAGTGAAACCCCGTCTCTACTAAAAATACAAAAAAAAATTAGCAGGGTGTGGTGGCGGGCGCCTGTAGTCCCAGCTACTCGGGAGGCTGAAGCAGGAGAATGGCGTGAACTTGGGAGGTGGAGCTTGCAGTGAGCTGAGATTGCGCCACTGCACTCCAGCCTCGGTGACAGAGCAAGACTCTGTCTCAAAAAACGAACAAACAAAAAAACAAAACAAAACAAAACAAAAACCTAAACCAAAACCAAAACGCAGCATAGTCCATGAGAGAGGAAGAGCAGGGCAGGCCTACTCACCTGGGGCTGTCGGGGAGGCTGCCCAGGAAGGGACTCTGAAGTGAGCACCTGGAGGAAGGAGGTTAGTTCTGAGGGACTGGAATTCATCCTGGCATTGGGATCACGGGCAAAGGTCCTGTGGTGACAAGGAGACTGGTGCGAGCCTGGCTTAGCACCATGTGAGAGCAGAGGGGTGGAAAGGCACTAGGTAAGCATGCCTTCGGATGTGAAATGAGGGAGACGGGGACTGGGGGACCCTGACATGAGGGAGGAGGAAAGGAGATGGGACGAATGGGTGACCAGAGGGACCACTAGACCACCGAGGGTGAGAGCTTGCTAATATCAGAGCCATGTGTAGGAGAATGAAGTGCAATCTTGGATAGACCTCCAGTGCAGGTGGTCCAGCCATCAATGACCATAACCACATGCATGATTGTAGGTGGAACCAGAAGAACCACCCAGGCAACTCACAGAACTGGGGAACTAATCAAGTCTTGTTTTAAATGACTACATTACGGGTGGTTTGCCACGTAGCAGTGGATCGCTGAAACAGTTTAAAATATCTATTCAGCCGGGCGTGCGGTGGGTAGCTCACACCTGTAATCCCAGCATTTTAGGAAGCTGAGGCAGGAGGATCTCTCGAACGCAGGAATTTGAGACCAGCCTTGAGCAAAATGGCAAGACCCTGTCTCCACAAAAAGTAAAAAAAATTAGCTGGGTGTGGTAGCATGTGCTTGTAGTCCCAGCTACTTGGGAGGCTGGGACAGGAGAATTGTTTGAGCCCAGGAGTTCGAGGCTGCAGTGAGCTGTGACTGCACCGCTACACTCCAGCCTGGACAACAGAGTGAAACCTTGTCTCTAAAAAAAAAAAAAAATCTACAAACCAGGCAGGAGCACTGAATAGCTCCTGTCTCCCCTGAGACCCTTGTAGACCTTGAGGTCTGTTACAGAGCTCACCAACCTTCTCTTGGTCTAGAATTATCTAAAAAGAGTTGAGTGCAGCCAGAAAGGACTGAATACATGGTGTTCTTCAATCCCATCAAACTGCTGTGCCCTGCAGATGATCCCTGAGTCCAGGTGTTGGTGGGTTGAGGACAAGGCTGAGGGAACAGAGGTGGGAAGAGTGGCCCAGGGCCAGGAGAATGCAGAGTTCAGAGTGCATGACCTGCATCTAACTCTAGATGCTCCAGGGGTCTGAGACCATCTCCAGCAGGGTCTGGAAGGCCCAGTCATTCCCCAGCACGCACAGTCACCACTGGATACTATCTTGCTCTGTGAGTGATGCAAAGGTCCTGGGTCAGTGAAGCCTGTGAAAGAAAGTTGGGACCAGAGTGTCTCTACGGTTGAGGGCTGGGCTTATTTGCTCTCTAAGTATAATTGTAAGAGCAAGTAGAAACACCTATCCTCTCTGAGCTTAAAAGGATCAAAAAGCTCTGACAGTGTCAGTGGTAGGGCTAGTTCAGGGACTGCAGTAGTGCTGGTGCCCACAGGTGGAACCTTCTCCTGCCCTGATTCCCAAGGACTGGTGCTCTCGGAGGGGTCTGGGAGGTATATTTCTCTTTCACAAATACGTGCACAACACATGAATGAGCTACTGGATGAGGGAATAAATGAATGAATGAGTGAAAAAAGCTTCCTTTCTCCTCTCCAGGAGTCAGCAGTCACTGGTTAGTTCCCCACTGCCCACCAGCCTGTGCAGAGGAGGGAGGAGCAACAGGTCATAGATGTGGTTGCAGCTGTTACTGGACAGAGTGGTCAAGACATCCTGTGTCTGCAGAGGCCCTCCCCAGCCCTCACCTGGGCAGTGGAGCTGTTGGCCAGAGAGGCAGTGGGAAGAAGGGTGGGGCTCCCAGAGTCGACCCTGCGGGCTGAAACTGGTGCAGCCTGCACCTCACCAGGCAGAGAATGGATGTGGGGCAGCTTGACACCGAGCAGGGGCTCATCTGAGCCTCAGGGGTGGTTGCTCTATCAAAGTGTTTGCAAGTAAACAGTCCCAGTGCACACCCAGCTGCTCAGTGCCACCTCGTGCACCCAGGGACACTTCAGCCTTGATCACAGGCCTGCACAGGTTCCAGGGGAGGAGACACTCCAGCTTTTTGAGGGAGGGTGAGCATGTGGGATCAGAGACTTTAAGTCCAAATTTCCCCTTAATTTTTTTTTAAATCTTGCAGGTAGTATGCAAACATACATTTAATGTATTATTTTTATTCTCATTTTTTTTTTGAGGCAGGGTCTCCCTCTGTTGGCCAGGCTGGAGGGCAGTGGTGAGATCTTGGCTTGCTGCAGCCTCAACTCAACCTCCCAAGCTCAAGTGATTTTCCCACCTCAGCCTCCCAAGTAGTTGGGACTGCAGGTGCCTGTCCGCCATGACCAGCTAATTTTTAAATTTTTTTTGTAGAGATGGGGTTTTGCCATGTTGCTCAGGCTAGACTCGAACTCCTGAGCTCAAGTGATCCTCCCACCTTGGCCTCCCAAAGTGCTGGGATTATAGGTGTGAGACACTGCATCCGGCTCCCAAATTTCCCCTTTTTATAAGGACACCAGTTGTACTGACCGGGGCCCCACCTCTATGACCTCATCTAACCTTCATTAACTCCTTAAAGGCCCTATCTCCAAATACAGGCACACTGGGGGTTAGGGCTTCAACCTATGGATTTGGGGGATGCAATTCAGTCTATCACAGTGCCAAGCTGCACCTGCTCGGTGAGCCAGAACAGGGGTGGGGAAGGCACCAGGCCCTGGTGCTTCTTTCCCATGCCTGAGTCACTCTACTTGGTTCTAGTAGGGAGAGGAGCATGGGCCGAAGGCAGTGCTGCAACATGGAAGGGGCAGAACATCCCAACCCGCTCTGGGCCCCCAGTGTCTTCTGCTGTACAAAGCAGGTGTTTTCACCCCCCGAGGATGTGTCCTCCCTTCCTGGCTCACCAAGCATTTAAATGTAGACAGAAAATTTATTTATCTGGGGTGCGGTTTCCTCAGGGGGAAGTTGAGGTCACGACCCCTGAGGTACCTTAACCCAAAGGCCTCCAGGGCACTGGCCCCAGAGTCTCCAGCAGGTGCTTCCTCCCTGAATGCTTCCATATGGCAAGATCAGAGCCACAAATGCTGCCCCGACGCTGTTCCGGTAACCGACGTTGCAGACCCAAGAAAGTCTGGGATGGTAGTGGCCAGGAACGGGGTGTGCCACGGCCCCACCTCTCAGAGCAGGGAGGAGGATGCTGGGCCAGCCCTTGGGGACCCCAGGCACCGTGGCCACAGGAGTCAGAGCTCTGCATGTCTGCACCATGTCCTGGGCTCCTGTCCTGCTCATGCTGTTTGTCTACTGCACAGGTGAGGGAACCCCCAGATCCCAAAGACTCCTGCCCCTTCCTTCATCCTGCCCTGCCCCCACGGCCCACATGCATCTGTGTCACCAGGTTGTGGTCCTCAGCCGGTGCTGCATCAGCCGCCGGCCATGTCCTCGGCCCTTGGAACCACAATCCGCCTCACCTGCACCCTGAGGAACGACCATGACATCGGTGTGTACAGCGTCTACTGGTACCAGCAGAGGCCGGGCCACCCTCCCAGGTTCCTGCTGAGATATTTCTCACAATCAGACAAGAGCCAGGGCCCCCAGGTCCCCCCTCGCTTCTCTGGATCCAAAGATGTGGCCAGGAACAGGGGGTATTTGAGCATCTCTGAGCTGCAGCCTGAGGACGAGGCTATGTATTACTGTGCTATGGGGGCCCGCAGCTCGGAGAAGGAGGAGAGGGAGAGGGAGTGGGAGGAAGAAATGGAACCCACTGCAGCCAGGACACGTGTCCCTTGAACTGAAGACAGCAGAGGCACGCATCCCCTTGGAGAGACTGTCATGGAAGAGGGTGGAGTCGCCGCCCGAAGCGCCGAGGAGGCTGAGCCACTCAGCATCTCCTGGTCCTGCAGTGTTGCTGTAAATCCCCATTGGAGACTGCATTAGGGAATTAAAGCTGCTTGTCACTTTTTGCTGAGTTTGGTCTGACTGTTGTGCGACTTCGTAGTACCAGCCTTGGGCAAAGGCCCGGGGCCCCGGGAGACTGGCAGATCACTGTGGTGAGCACTCACCTGAGTCCTTACTTTTGTGGGCCATGGGAGGCAAGGGGTTGACCGAAGCACCCTGGAGGGGCATCCATGCCCAGGACAGGACCCTCTGGTGTCATCTGATTCTGCCCAGCGGTTACAGGGCAAACAAGCTTAGAAAGCACCTGGTCTGGGCCTCCAGGGAGAACAGGAGCCAGGTAATAGGCCTAGAGTGGGTTCTCCACCTTGGTCCTATCGACGTTTTGGGCTGGACAGTTCTTGGTTGTGGGGCTGTCCTGCGGATTGTTGAATGGTGAGTGGTTATCTGTGGCCTCTACCCACCAGATGCCCCTTCCCAGTTGTGACAAACAAAAATGTCTCCAGACATTGCCAAATGTCCCCAGGTGGTAAACTCACACTGATTGTGAACCACTGGTCTAGATGAGCAAGTAAATGCATTTACTTATTTGTACAAGAGAGTGGCAGGTGTCGGCAAACATGTTCTTTTTTTCCTTTTTTTAGGGATAAAGTCTTGCTCTGTGGTCCAGGCTGGAGTGCAGTGGTGCAATCATAGCTCACCGCAGCTTCAAACTCCCAGGCTCAAGTGATTGTCCTGTCTCAGCCTCCTGAGCAGCTGAGACTACAGGCGTGCATCACCATGCTTGGCTATTTATTTAGTTTTATTTTTGGAGAGATGAATGTCTCACTATGTTGCTCAAGCTGATCTCAAACTCCTGAGCTCGAGTGATCCCCCTGCTTGGGCCTCCTAAAGTGCTGGGATTAGAGGCGTGAGCCACTGCACCCAGCCCATTTTCTATAAAGAGCCAGGTGGTAAATATTTTTGGCTTTGTGGGCTATGCGATCTCTGTCACAACTGTTCAATTCTGTCCTAGTAGCAAGAAAGCAGCCACAGACAAACATGTCAACAAAGAGGCATGGCTGTGTTCTTATAAAGCTGTATTTACAGAAACAGATGGGGCTACACTGGGCTGGGTATGGCGCCCAGGCTGTAGTTTGCTGAGCCCTGCTCGGGAGCACTCCAGCTCCTGTCTCCAGGTTTTAAGCAAGCCATGCTTGGTGGGATAATCAGAGTCCCCCCTCAACTTATCTTGCCTGTGACCCCAGGCAGAAGCCTCTGGACCCATGGAGATACCTAGAGGCATGAAGGACGTGGTCTCACTGAGACTGTGTTGGACTGTCTGGGTGAAGTAGCAATGGGGAGCTCCCTGCAGCCCCGGCCCACAGCAAGGCCCCCTGAGCCCGTGGGTGGTGGGTCTGAGTGTGCCTTGCGGAGAGGGACTCTCTACATTGGGTGTTCACACAACCTGTAGACATGCCTCACTCAGAGAGGTGCCGGGCAAACCATCTCCCTTGTAACCCCAACTTGCCTGGGAACGTGCATTCACCCCAGCTAAAAAGATCCTGAGGCATCTCCCCAGAGAGGTGGACACATGTCAGTATCAGCGTTCCATGTGTGGTCATGAGTCCCTCTCTTGTTAAACAGTGGTCTCCAGCACTTTGGGAGGCCGAGGCGGGTGGATCACCTGAGGTCAGGAGTTAGAGACCAGCCTACCCAACATGGTGAAATCTCATCTCTACTAAAAATACAAAAATTAGCTGGGTGTGTTGGCACATGCCCGTAATCCCAGCTACTTGGGAGGCTGAGGCAGGAGAATTGCTTGAACCCAGGAGGCAGAGGTTGCAGTGAGCCGAGATCATGCCACTGCACTCCAGCCTGGGTGACAGAGCGAGACTCCATCTCACAAAAAAAAAAAAAAAAAAAAAAAGAGACAGTGATCTCAGCTTATGCCATACTCTATGCACTGGGTTCTTCCTGCATCAGGCTTTTACCCCTGGGCCAGGCCCACATTTTAAAACATTATTATTTACTTGTTTATTATTTTATTTTAGAGATAGGATCTTGCTATGCTGCCCAGGCTGGACTGCTGTGGCTATTCACAGGTTCAATTCATGATGCTCTACAGCCTTGAACTCCTGGGCTCCAGCGATCCTCCTGTCTCAGCCTGCTGAGTGGCTGAACTACACGTGTGAGTCACTGCACCTGGCCATGGCCCACAGTTTTAAAGACCAGCTAGATGGTTCCAGAGGAACTCTGTCTTCTGCTTGTAACCCGTCCCTCTCTTGCCTCCATCCTTCATGATTCTGGGATTCCATGCTATGAGAAGAGATCTAGAAAGCCGGGAGCTGAGTTGGACTCCTGTATCATCCTCATGCCCCCACCCCACCAGCTCAATGGAAAATGAGACCTGGAACTCAGGCTTGAGGCCAGACTGAGTGTGAGTCTTAGCTCTGGAGGAGTCACTTAAAATCTAAGCCAACATTTCCAATGTTGCATGTAAAGGGGATAATCATAGAACTGATTAACTTATATAAAAAGTTTTTATCTGGCCAGGCGTGGTGGCTCATGCCTGTAATCCCAGCACTTTGGGAGGCCGAGGCGGGCAGATCACCTAAGGTCAGGAGTTTGAGGCCATCCTGGGCAACATGGTGAAACCCCGTCTCTACCAAAAATACAAAAATTAGCTGGGCATGGTGGCGGGTGCCTCTGATCCCAGCTACTTGGGAGGCTAAGGCAGAAGAATTGCTTGAACCTGGGAGGCGGAGGTTGTAGTGAACCGAAATCGCACCACATCACTCCAGCCTGGGTGACAGAGCAAGACTGTCTCTCAAAAACAAACAAACAAACAAACAAAAAGGTTTTATCCATCATGAGTGCTCAACAAAATAATAGTATCATGATTTCCCCATCAGTCACCTGCCTGGCCTTCCCTCTTGTCAAATCCTTTCCTTTAGTCTGAGTCATTTCTCACCTTGACCATTATCTGGTCTCCTTCCCATCCATCCTCCTGCTGCATGCAGTCTATACCCACCACTCCTCATCTTTGTTGCTCCTAGATCCAGCCTTGCATGCATTCCTCCTCTCTAACCCTTTATTGTCTCCCACACTCTAAAGAACATATGCAAGCCACATCTGTAATTTCCAATTTTCTAGTGGCTACATTATTTTTAAACAGTAAAAACAAATAGGTGAAATGATTTTTTAATGATATATTCTATTTAACATAATAAATCCCCAATATTACCAATTCAACCTATAATCAATATAAAAATTAGTTACTAGATAGTTTAAACTTGTTTTTCTTTTGTATTCACACTTCAAAATCTGGTATGTATTTTATATTCATGTCTTGGATAATTTGCTCAAGTGGATAATCTGGTCAGCCAAGTGGTCAAGAGCTACATATGCCTTGTGAAGAGACCACTTTGGTTGAGGGGATGCAATTCAGCCTCCTTCCCATGACACAGCCTTTGAAGGCTGGCTCAGGCTTGGTCCCAAGTCCCATTTCTTGTGCACCCTCTCTCCCTGTTTCTGCCATGTTAAGCCAACTGCAACTGATCAAACACCCGAGTCTCTTGGTTGCTTCTAAACCTTTGCCCAAGCTGTTTACTGCCAGGACTTCCTGTCCCTTTGTTGTGGCCTCCATCTGGCTGCACTGACTCGGGGCTCCACAACTGTCTCAAATCTCACTCCTTGGGCAAGACTTCCCCGAGCTCTTCATGCAGTTATTAACTTCCTCCACTGTGCAAACAGCATGTTTTCCTAACTATATTTAGCTTCTACTGCACAGTTATAAATTTATTTAGCAAAGCTCCCTCCCCTACTAATCTGCAGATTCTCAGTGGGCAGGATCTACTCAACCCATTGATGTGCCTGATAAACACTTGGCAATTAGACAGTTGAATGAACAAATGAATGAATGTGTAACTGAATGAATTTTCGGGTTCCAAGGACCCTGACATTCTGGGATCCCATTAGGTGGCTGGGGTCACCACCTTAGAGAATTGTGATTCCCTAAGAAGGGAGAACCAGCCCAGACCTTCTCGATCATATTAGTGACTGGCCACATTTCCTCTCCTTTCCGATTCTCTCTCTCCCCCACACCCTTACTGCATGACAGTGATGAGAAAATCCACTTGATCAACCAAACTACAACTTTCGGCCTCATCCCTATCCCTCCCTTGCCTTCTGACCAGGGCCACAGTCACCCTGTGGGTTCTTCCTTTTGAGTGTCTCTCACTCCCTTCCTCCTCCATATCTCTGAGACCAGCCTCCAGCCCTGCTGGCCTGCTCTGCTGCCTTCTGGCTCTTTGTTGAACCCAAGACCAGGGTTTATATATGTTAAATATAAATATATTTTTCCATATGAAATGTAAACATATTTTAAACATTAAATATAAATATACATCTTAGATATGGCCTGTGTTGGAATGTGTAATAGATTGAGTATATAATGTCTATTCAATATAAAATTTATATTTATATATGCAGTAATGATTCAGGTTGATTGTAGTTAAGAAAAACAAGCTCCAAATTCGAGAGAAATATGTAAGAAGAGAGACAGGAAGAAAAAATAATGAGGCAGGTAAATGCAACAGACAATTCGAGACCCACAAGTGCAGAGCAGGCTTCCCAGACCCGGATAATGTCTCCTGGGCTGATAGGAAGCCCTCAACCCCCCAAGTCCTTCTCAGCCATAAACCGCCTGAGCACAGAGCCACAGGGACCGTGTTGGGGCTGGGCCTCTCGACTTTAGTTCCTCTCATTCTGTGCAAAAGGAAAAACAATTCAGAATCTACAGAGGTTTAGATGTGTGTAGATGTGGACAGAGAAGTCCTGGCACGGTGGTTCACTGCCCAAGAAGACAGTGAGTCCCTGGAGGGATAGAAGAATATACATCATGCTAATATATGTCATCCCAGTACTTTGGGAGGCCGAGGCGGGTGGATCACTTGAGGTCAAGAGTTCGAGACCAGCCTGGCCAACATGGTGAATCCCCGTCTCTACTAAAAATACAGAAATTAGTTGGCTGTGGGGGTCGATGCCTGTGATCCCAGATACTCGGGAGGCAGAGGCAGGACGAACTGCTTGAACCTGGGAGGAGGAGGTTGCAGTGAGCTGAGATCACGCCATTGTACTCCAGCCTGGGGGACAGAGCAAGATCCCATCTCAAAGAAAAAAGAAAAAGAAGTTGTGAGTGCTAAGTTCTCTCTGGATTTTCAGGAGGCCAGTTCTCCAGTCCACAGTGGCCTGGGAGGACAGGGGTTCCTGAGGGTGAACAGAGCCTGTGCCCGGTCAGGTAGGATCGCATGTCCCTGAGGTTCAGAACCCAGGAGCATGGGGAGGGTCCAGGGGGTTCCTGCTGCATGGAGGGAAGACCCTCTTTCCACAGGGGCCCCGGAGAGCGAGAGGAAGGAGGAGGGCAGGTCAGTGAGTGTGACGGGGTCACAGTGGAGAGGGAAGCAGAAAGAAGTGTCCCCACAACAAGACACACACAGTGTCTACGCTGAAGCTACAGAGAGGGCCTCTCCACCTGTGTCTGCCGCAAAGCAGTGGGGCGTCTTCTGGCAGCCCAGAGTCACCTCCAGATCCCACCTGCACCATGCTTCCTGCAGGGACTGCCTGTCTTCCTAATACACTGTCTTCTGACCAGAGTCTTCCAGACAAATCACTGGTTGCTATATATATGTATATTTTTTTAATAGCTAATATCTTACACTGATATATTTATATTATATATAAATATTTTTGTACTTTATGTTTAGGCTATATTACAGATGTAGTTAGTTAGCTATTTATGTTATATATAATATAAACATGATGTAGATTCTTATATTTCTCTGGGGACTCACTGTCTTCTTAATACACTGTCTTCTGACCAAATTCTTCCAGACAAATCAGCTGTTGCTATATATATATATATATATATATATATGTGCTATATATATATGTGCTATATATTTTATTGCATAGAATATATTATATATTAATTATATAATATACATTATATATTACATATTATATATAATATACATTATATATTACATATTATATATAATATATTATATTATTATGCTATATCTTATATATTATATATGTTATATATGTATATATATTATATATACACATACATACACTCATGTATATTTTAATAGCTAATATCTTACACTGGTATATTTATATTACATATGATTATATACAAATATTTTTGTACTTTATGTTTATGCTATATATACAGATGTAATTAGTTGTTTATGTTATATGTAATATAAACATGATGTATATTCTTATTTTCCTGTGAGGACCCACTGTCTTCTTAATACACTGTCTTCTGACCAATGTCTTCCACACAAATCAGCTGTTACTATATATATATATAATATTTATATACACATATACACATACATACACACATATGTATATTTTAATAGCTAATATCTTACACTGATATATTTATATTACATATAGTTATATACTAATATTTTTGTACTTTATGTTTATACTATATATACAGATGTCGTTAGGTATTTATGTTATATATAATATATTAACATGATGTATATTCTTATATTCTTCTGGGGACTCACTGTCTTCTTAATACACTGTCTTCTGACCAGAATATTCCAGACAAATCACTGGTTGCTATATATATATTTTTAATAGCTAATATCTTACACTGATGTATTTATATTACATATAGTTATATACAAATATTTTTGTACTTTTGTTTATACTATATATACAGATGTAGTTAGCTATTTATGTTATATATAATATATCAACATGATGTATATTCTTATATTCCTCTGGGGACTCACAGTCTTCTTAATACACTGTCTTCTGACCAAACTCTTCCAGACAAATCAGCTGTTGCAATATATATATATATATTTATTTTTTAATAGCTAGTATCTTACACTGTGGCTCATGCCTGTAATCCCAGCACTTTGGGAGGCCAAGGCAGGTGGATCACCTGAGGTCAGGAGTTTGAGACCATCCTGGCTAACACAGTGAAACTGCATCTCTACTAAAAATACAAAAATTGATTGGGTGTGGTGGTGCATGCCTGTAATCCCAGCTACTCGGGAGGCTGAGGCAGGAGAATCGCTTGAACCCAGGAGGCAGACGTTGCAGTGAGCCAAGATCGTGTCGCTGCACTCCAGCCTGGGCAACAGAGTGAGACTCCATCTCACACACACAAAACATCTTACACTGATGTATTTACATTACGTGTAGCTGTATATAAATATTTTTGTACTTACATTCTGTGTACTTATATTCTATATATTATAAAACATTATATAAAATTATACATGTATAATAAAATGTTACATAAAAATTTTAATATAATACCATTTTACTACATATATTTCTAAATTTAATATAATGAAATTTTATATATAATAGTGTATAACATTTCTAAACTTATTATAATACAATGATATATAATTATTTTCTCATATTATAATTATACATAAGGTAATTTATTGTAAATAAAATTTTATATAATCTACGTTTATTATAATAAAATTTTATTACATATAACACATTTCTAAATTTAATACAATAAAATACTATGTATAATAATTTATAACATTTCAAAATTTATTATATAATTTTATTATACAATTATTTTATACATAATTATATATAGTATATAATTGTATTGATAGAAATATAATTATGCATATACAATATGTAATTTTATTTTTACATAGTATATATACATAATTATGTATTAACAAATATAATATCAATTTTATATACTTATTTACATTAAGTTATATATTATATAAATGATGTTATATGTTATATGTTACATATATTTTTGCTTAATATATTAAATTTAATCTATAAAATTATGTATTACAAATAAAAGTGTATTTTACATATACACTACATATAACTTTATATAAAAATATAAAAGTCATATGGTTAAGTTAATAAAATATATTTATATCAATCTATTCATATAAAATATACACAATGCATATTTATATAAATACAAAGTATATAAAACTTTTACCAGTAGGATGCAAAGAGTTGCTGACCGTCTGCAGAAATCCTGAACCTCTGGAAGCAGAATAAAATCTTACCTCCCAGTCTGCTTTGAAAGGAACAGTAAAGCAGTCCCGAACCCCAAACCCACCCTAAGGGGAGATGGGGGAGTTGGGATGGACGCGTTGACCAGTGAGGACTTTCCTTTGCTGGTTTTGAGGTGTCTTAGCCCAGAAGCTAAGACGGGAAGTGATTCTGGAGCAGGTGAGCTGATCACAAGCCTGAGCCAAGAATCCATGGAGCTCATAAATAGCAGAAGCCGGGACCCTGTGCAAATCCTTCTGAAATATCCCCCGTTTACTGGGCTCTTAGGGGTGGGGAAGAAAAATTCCCTGACATTTCGGCCTCAGGGAAAGAGAGAGAGACCCCACTGGCCGGAAGCCTCTGCTATTTTTCAGAAGACAGCTGGGGCATCACTCTTTCCCAAATGACGGTGATTTTCAGAGTGGTTCACTTTTTGGAGAGACATTTCTGCCCTGGAGATCCATACATATTGAACCCAAACGAATATTTTTTAATTAAAAAAAATTAAACATTAGAAAGTTCAATATTGAGGCAGCTACGAGTTTGAATTCCTCATTTTTCCTAGATGCATGTTGTCAAAATCTGTATTGCATTTAGTAACTACTTATGTGTCTAATGTATATAAGGTTACACAATGTTTTTTTCTGCTCCTCAGGGTCAGAATTTGAAATAAAAGTTTTGGAAAGAAAAAACACTCTTGTCTGTTTGTGCAAAAATAAAAGAACCCATATTTTAAGAATATTTTAAAATAAATACAAATTTTGTGTGGGAGGGTTGCTTATAAGAATTCTTCATATCCTAAATCAAAGACAGATCTTGTTATTAACCAGGAAACAAAATGTGTGTGTATAAATGTACAACACTCTTACACTCACACAAACACAGGCACACACACACATTCACGCACTCACTGATGTACTCACACAAACACAGGCATTCATGTATAAATACACACATAAGCGTGTATTTATAGAAATATAATTACACACATACAATATATAATTTTATTTTTACATAGTATATACACATCATTATGTATTAACAAATATAATAAGATCAATTTTATTATATACTTATTTACATAAAGTTATATATTATATAAATGATGTTATATGGCATGTATATATCACATATAACTTTGCTTAGTATATAAAATTTAATCTATAAAATTATGTATTACAAATAAAAGTATATTTTACATATAAACTATATATAACTTTATTTATATGAACTATAAAAATCATATGTTTATAATAAAATATATTTATTTATATCAATATATTAATATAAAGTATACACAATGTATATTTATACAAAAATTTTTAATTAAAAAATATTCATTTGGGTTCAATATGTATGGATCGCCAGGGCAGAAACGTCTCTTCAAAAGGTGAACCGTTCTCAAAATCACCGTCACTTGGGAAAGAGTGATGCCCCACCTGTTTTCTGAGAAACAGCAGAGGCCAGTGGGGTGTCTCTCTCTTTCTCTGAGGCCGAAATGTCAGGGAATTTTTCTTCCCCACCCCTAGGAGCTCTGTAAACCGGGGATATTTTAGAAGGATTTGCACAGGGTCCCGGCTTCTGTTGTAAATGAGCTCCGTGGATTCTCGGCTCAGGCTTGTGATCAGCTCACCTGCTCCAGAATCACTGACACAAATGCAACCACACACTTACACAAACACACATCAACACCAAGACAGACAGAAGCACAAAACAAACTCATAGAAACACATGGACACACAAAGACATGCACACTCACACAAACGCAGGGACACACACACAAACACAATTACAAAAATGTGTGGGTTTTTTTGCACACGTGGGTGCACATGCACATTGACATGCTCACAAAGCACACAAACACGTATACATACAAAGACACTCATAAACAGAATCATGAAAACACTCTCATATAAACACATGGATGGCTACTCACCCACATAGACACTCACATATGTCACACGCACTCATACACACACTCAGAATCACACAAGCACACACAAACACACAAATACAGTCACACACTCATGCAAACACAGTCACAAAAAGACTCACATAATCATGTGGACACACAAACATAAAAATTCACACACTGGGGCCGGGCAAGGTGGCTCACGCCTGTACTCCCAGAACTTTGGGAGGCCGAGGCGGGCAGATAACTTGAGGTCGGGAGTTCCAGACCAGCCTGGCCAACATGGTGAAACCCCGTCTCTACTCAAAAATACAAAAATTAGCCAGATGTGGTGGCGTATACCTGTAATCCCAGCTACTCAGGAGGCTGAGGCAGGAGAATCATTTGAACCCGGGAGGCAGAGGTTGCAGTGAGCCAAGATCACGCCACTGCACTCCAGCCTGGGCGACAGAGCGAGACTCCGTATCAAAAAAGAAAAATTAGCCAGATGTGGTGGTGGGTGCCTGTAATCCCAGTTACTCAGGAGGCTGAGGCAGAAGAATCTTTTGAACCTGGGAGGCGGAGGTTGCTTTGAGCTGAGATTGTGCCTTTGCACTCCAGTATGGGTGACAGAGCGAGACTCCATCTCAAAAAAACAAAAAAAAAAAGAATTTATACATTGCCATACAGATTCACAGACATACACTCATATTCACAAACACACAAATACGATAAACGCAGGGGCACACACAAACACCATCACAAAAACACACTTCCATAAAACACAGGAATGCACGCTCACACAGAAACACGCATGGAAACACACGTTATCTTACAGATTCACAGACACACTCATCATCACATAAACAGGCACACACACACACAGCCACACAAGCACACACCCACACCCACATCAACACACACACTCCCACACGGCACCCACGCGCTCACGCACATAGGTAGAACAGGCCTGCATTACCTGATAACGCAGTTAGATCAGACGTGATGCTGCCTGCCGAGGAGACCTGGAGGCTTCCCATGAATGGGCTTTCGGATGAGAGGTCTCTGGGTGCATTTGGTGACACCCCAGGCAGTGGGGGAGACGTCCAGGCTGGAAGGCCAGCCACAGCCAGCTCTGCCCAAGGATGCCACGTCCATTTGCTTCAGTAGGATATGCACCCTGGAAACCCAGGTTCCTGCCTCTCCAGGAAACCCCACTGAGGTCAGCACATCCCCCAAGGTTTAGAAGGGGTCTCTGGGTGCATTTGGTGACACCCCAGGCAGTGGGGGGGACATCCAGGCTGGAAGGCCAGCCACAGCCAGCTCTGCCCATGGATGCCACGTCCAGTTGCTTCAGTAGGATCTGCATCCTGTAAACCCTGGTTCCTGCCTCTCCAGGACACCCCATTAAGGTAAGCACACTCCCCAGGTTTAGAAGGGGTCTCTCGGTGAAATGTGGTGACACCCCAGGCAGAAGGGGGGACGCCACAGCCAGCTCTGCCCACGGATGTCACGTCCATTTGCTTCAGTAGGATCTGCACCTTGGAAACCCAGGTTCCTGCCTCTCCAGGACACCCCACTGACGTTAACACACCCTCCAGGTTTACAAGCGGTCTCTGGGTACATTTGGTGACACCGCAGGCAGAGGGGGGACGCCACAGCCAGCTCTGCCCGCGGATGCCACGTCCATTTGCTTCAGTAGGATCTGCACCCTGTAAACCCTGGTTCCTCCCTCTCTAGGACACCCCACTGAGGTCAGCACCCCCCACCCCCCACCCCCAGGTTTGTCCAGCTTCGCTGTCTGGGGAGAGACACAGAAAGACCACATTCGGTGGAATTCTGGCTATAACCTTTTGTAGCCGGCAAGAAGGATCACCAAGCTGTCCCGTTACCTTGCTGGAGCGATCACTGGTTTCACGCTTGGCCCCCGTGCAGTTAGTGCCTGGGCCAGGCTCGATTCCTGGAGCTCCGGTGAAATTTGGGCTTGGAGCTCACGCCTGCACCATCCAGAAAGCAGAAGGCAGCCGGCCCGGGCTGTACGGTTCGTAGAATCAGAGAGAACACTGCTTGCCTTCATGTCTGTACCACAATAAATCTGCCAACTGCGGTCAAAGTCTCTGGATTCCTGCCCCCTCATTTTATTTTGTCTATTACGGAGTGGAAGGAGTGAGAAAGATTTTGCTTCCTATTTTGTTTTGCAAAGCGCTTCTAAGAAAAACAACCCGTGTTCTGAAAACGAGATTCTGAGTGTCCCCTGGGCGCGATGAAAATAAACTTTGGGAATCCAAGGGCCTGAGAGGCAGAGTGAATGTCATTTGCATTTCCCTGCGAATGACAAAGTCACTTTTTATTTATTATTATTATTATAGATTCAGGGGATCCACGGGCAGCTTTGTGACCTGGGGATATTGTATGATGCTGAGGTTTGGGGTATGAATCATCCCGTCACCCAGGCACTGAGCATTGTACATTCCTGAGGTATATAATGTGTACTAAAAATAAAATGTATATTTATATATGCACTAATGATTCAACTTGATTCCTCGTAATTAAGAAAAACAAACCCCAAATTCTAGAGGAGTTCTAGAAATATATAAGAAGAGGGCCAGGCGCAGTGGCTCATGCCTGTAATCCTAACACTTTGGGAGGCCGAGGCAGACAGATCACCTGAGGTCAGGAGTTCGAGACCAGCCTGGCCAACATGGTGAAACCCCGTCTCTGCTAAAAATACAAAAATTAGCCAGGCGTGGTGGCAAGTGCCTGTAGTCCCAGCTACTTGGGAGGCTGAGGTAGAAGAATTGCTTGAATCCAGGAGGCAGAAGTTGCAGGGAGCCGAGACTGCACCACCGCACTCCAGCCTGGGTCACAGAGCGAGACTCCATCTCAAAAAAAAAAAAAAAAAAAAAAAAAAAAAAAAAAAGAGAGCGAGAGAGAAAACAAACAAGCAAGAAAATGCAACAGAAAAATCCGTGACCCAAAGCTCTCTCCAGTTGCTGCCTTCTGCCGGAAATTCAAAGAACCTCAGGGTAGTTTTTCAACCCTTGTACCCCCGCCCCTGCTTCCTGCTCTATTAGTCCTGAGGGTCTGTGGTGCCCCTTCATTGTGTCCAGGTGCAGGCAATGTTTAGCTCCCACCTATAAGCGAGAACATGTGGTATTTGATTTTCTGTTCCTGGCATTAATTCACTAAGCATAGTGCCCTTTGGCTTCATCCATGTTGATGCAAAGGGCATGATTTTATTCTTGTTCATGGCTCTGTAGTATTCCATGATGCGGAAGGACCACATTTGCTTTATCTAATTGAGAACATGTGGTATTTGATTTTCTGTTTCTGGCATTAATTCTCTAAACATAATGCCCTTCGGCTTCATCCATGTTGATGCAAAGGGCGTGATTTTATTCTTGTTCATGGCTGTGTAGTATTCCATGATGTGGAAGGACCACATTTGCTTTATCTAGTGGAGAACATGCAGTATTTGATTTTCTGTTCCTTGTATTGATTCACTAAGCATAATGCCCTCTGGCTGCATCCATGTGGCTGCAAAGACATGATTTTATTTTTTTCATCACTGTGTAGTATTCCGTGGTGTAGGAGGGCCACATTTGCTTTATCCAGTTGAGAACATGTAGTATTTCATTTTCTGTTCCTGGCATTAATTCACTACGCATAATGTCCTTCAGCTGCATCCATGTGGCTGCAAAGGACATGATATTATTCTTTTTCATGGCTGTGTAGTATTCCATGATGCAGAAAGACCACATTTGCTTTATCTAGTGGAGAACATGTGGTATTCGATTTTCTTTTCCTGGCGTTAATTCACTAAGCATAATTCCCTTCAGCTGTGTCCATGTGGCTGCAAAGATGTGATTTTATTCTTTTTCATGGCTGTGCAGTATTCCATGGCATAGAAGGGCCACAATTGCTTTATCCAGTCAAGAACATGTGGTATTTGATTTTCTGTTCTTGTGTTAATTCATTAAGCATAATGCCCTCCAGCTACATCCATGTGGCTGCAAAGGACATGATTTTATTCTTTTTCATGGCTGTGTAGTATTCGATGCTGTAGAAGAACCACTTTTGCTTTATCCGGTACCCCACTGATGGGCAACTAGGTTGATTCCATGACTTTCCTATTGTAAGTCGTGCTGTGATGAACCTTACAGGGCTGGGCACTGTAATCCCAGCACTCTGGAGGGCCGAGGTGGGCAGATCACCTGAGGTCAGGAGTTCGAGACCAGCCTGGTCAACATGGTGAAACCCCATCTCTACTAAAAATACAAAAATTAGCCAGGCATGGTGGCGCATGCCTGTAATCCCAGCTGCTCAGGAGGCTGAGGCAGGAGAATCACTTGAACCAGGAGGCGGAGGTTGCAGTGAGCCGAGATTGCGACTGCACTCCAGCATGGGCAATAGAGCGAGACTCCGTCTCAAAAAACAAAAACAAACAAAAAAAAAAAAAAAAAGGAAGTTTACCATGCATGTATCTTTTTGGTAGAATGACTTCTTTTCCTTTGGGTAGATGCCCAGTCTTGGAATTGCTGGCGCAAATGGTGGAGCAGTTTAGATTCAGGAGGTACATGTACAGGTTTCTTACATGGGTACGATGTGTGATGCTGAGGTCTGGGGTATGAGTGATCCCATCACCCAAGTAGTGAGCATAATACCCCACAGTTGGTTTTTTCAACTCTTGTCCTTCTACCTTCCTCTCTCCCCCTAACTAGACCCCAGTATCTCTTCCCTTCTCTGTGTCTACGTATACACAACATTTAGCTCCCACTTATAAGTGAGAACACGCAGCATTCTGTTAATTTACTTAAGATAATGGCCTCCACACTGTTCACAATAGCAAAGATGTGGAACCAACCCAAATGCTCATCAGTGATAGATTGGATAAAGAAAATGTAGCACATAGACACTGTGGAATACTATGCAGCCATGAAAAAGGATGAGTTCATGTCCTTTGCAGGGACATGGATGAAGCTGGAAACCCTCATGTTCAGCAAAGTGACACAGGAACAGAAAACCAAACACTGCATGTTCTCACTCATAAGTGGGAAGTGAACAATGAGAACACATCGACCCAGAGAGGGGAACATCACACACTGGGGCCTGTTGCAGGAGGGGGGGACTGGAGGAGGGACAGCATTATGAGAAATATCTAATGTAGATGATGGGTTGATAGGTGCAGCAAACCGCTATGGCACATGTATATCTATGTAACAACCCTGCATGTTCTGCACATATACCCCAGAACTTAAAGTAGAATAGAAAAAATAAAAAATAATAAAAATAATTTAAAAAGATAATGGCCTCCAGCTACATCCGTGTTGCTGAAAAAAAAAAAACACCAAAAACATGATTTTGTTCCTTTTCAGGGTTGTGTAGTATTCCATGGTGTAGATGTACGGCATTTTCTCGAGGGTGGAGGGTGGGAGGAGGGAGAAGATCAGCAAAAACAACCTGTGGCTGGGTGTGGCAGCTCACACCTGTATTCTCAGCACTTTGGGAGGCTGAGGTGGGTGGATCACCTGAGGTCAGGAGTTTGAGATCAGCCTGGCCAACATGGCAAAACTCTATCTCTACTAAAAGTACAAAAATTAGACAGGCACGGTGGTGCACGCCTGTAATCCTGGCTCCTCTGTAGGTTGAGGCAGGAAAATCTCTTGAACCCAAGAGGCGGACATTGCAGTGAGCCGAGATCATGCCACTGCCCTCCAGCCTGGGCCACAGAGTGGGACTCCATCTCAAAAAATAATCATAAAAATAATAATAATAACCTGCTAGGCTTAGGACCTAGGTTGATTCCATTACAAAAAAAGAAAAAAGAAAAAAGAAAAAACTAACTTTTTAAAAGAAGGATCTCCCTGTTCAAAAACAAAACCAATGCCCTGTCAGGAAAGATGTTCTGTGTTTCTGGTAAAGCTGGAAGGAACCTACAGGAAGGAGTCACCCCATAAAACTAGTGGAGCAGCATTGCCTTTTGGGGTGAGGGCTGCTTCTGTTAGGCCACCAGGATGAGTACCTTCCTGGGGAGTGTGGTTCATCCTATACCATCCAGGAAGCAATTCCTGCCCCCAAATCACCCGCCAGCTTCTGCCCTGTAAGTAAAATCCCCAGCAAGCGGGCAGCAAGGAGCTACTTGCCTTGGAAGGCAGCCGAAGTCTCTGTCCACCACCCAGACTGTGTCCTCTGGGCAAGGCCAGGGCTTCCAATTGGATGGTTTTCACATTAGCGGCTGCTGTTTAGAATCATCAACATTGGCCAGGCGCGGTGGCTCACGCCTGTCATCTCAGCACTTTGGGAAGCTGAGGCGGGCGGATCACAAGGTCAGGGACCAGCCTGGCCAACATGGTGAAACCCTGTCTCAACTAAAAAAAAAATACAAAAATTAGCTTGGTGTGGCTGGGCATGGTGGCTCATCCCTGTAATCCCAGCACTTTGGGAGGCCGAGGCGGGCGGATCATGAGGTCAGGAGATCAACACCATCCTGGCTAACACGGTGAAACCCCGTCTCTACTAAAAATACAAAAAATTAGCCAGGCACGGTGGCAGGCACCTGCAGTCCCAGCTACTCGTGAGGCTGAGGCAGGAGAATGGCGTGAACCTGAGAGGCAGGGTTTGCAGTGAGCCCAGATTGCACCACTGCACTCCAGCCTGGGTGATATAGAGTGAGACTCTGTCTCAAAAAAAATAAAAAAATAAAAAATTAGCCTGGTGTGGTGGTCGGCACCTGTAATCCCAGCTACTCAGGAGGCTGAGGCAGGAGAATTGCTTGGACCCCGGAGGCAGAGGTTGCAGTGAGCCGAGATCGCGCCATTGCACTCCAGCCTAGACAACAGAGCAAGACTCTGTTGCAAAAAAAAAAAAAAAAAAAAAAAAAAAAGAATCATCAACATTGCCTTGGCCCAATCTCTTGTCAAATATTTACCACTGGACCTCCATGTTCTAGTTTCAAAGCTCTGCTGGCCACAGTGGCTCATGTCTGTAATCCCAGCACTTTGGGAGGCTGAGGTAGGAGGACTGCTTGAACCCAGGAGCATGAATCCATCCTAGGCAACATAGTGATAATAGTGTCAAATCAGAGCCAGTGTCTGGTAATTCCCCAAATATCTGAGAATTTTCTTTTCTTTAAGTCATAGTCATCCTGGCAGAAGGCTGTAGGTCCCTTTGGGGAAGACTGGGAAAAAGATAAACAATGTAAATTTTTGGCAATGTAGCAGCGTACTTCCCCAAGATCACCCAGCCTCCCCTTCACTTAAGGGGTTGTGGGCCTGTGAACTGGCTCAAGTCTGGGAATTGATTGAGGGTTTTAGATCTGTGTTTCATTAATTTGAGTTAGTCTTTTATTCAGTTGACCTAGAATTCTTCATTTTTTAAAGAACAACTAAGACTTTGGTACAGCCCATTAGCTCTCCCTGTGGATACCATGGATTACACAATGCCGTGGGTGTCTGTGAGTCAAACCATTCTGACTGCTGCTTTGACACTGCTTTCCACTGTGGTGACCACACCCACCTTATCTTCGGTGATTAAGGACAGCCCATGTTCCCTGCCACCCTAGGATTCAATTATCCTCATTTTACTTAAAGATCCCAGTCCAGTGGCTGCAGTTCCTGCTGTAACATTTTGCCTACTGAGAGCACAAGCTCAAAGCTCTTCCAGGATACTGGGCTCCTCTCACAATATTCTTTCTCATGATCGTCGTGAGGAGTATGTTCTGTAGACCCTCCAGTGTGAGTGAGCAGGTCTGACATAATAAATCCAGTCTCCGTGAGTTTTTGCATACCTTTCTGTACACATAAACCAAGGAAGTTGTGGCATCTCAACTTTATGTACCTTAGGTAAACTCTGATTCTGTTTCAGCCAACCAACCAAGTCACCAAACAAATAAGCAAACAGCCAACCAATCAACCAACAAGCAAGCAACAAACCAACCAAACAACCAAGCAAGGAAGCAAGCACCAAGCAAGCAAGCAACCAACCAACCAAGTAACCGATCAAACCAACCCTTGGAGCCCTTTCTAAAGCTTTGACTTACAACCCTGAGTCCAGAATCTCTGTTTAGTGGGCCAACATTAATAAATGTAGCCGAATCCAACTTTATGTTACTTCCACCATGGTGCCACTCACTTAATATCCATTCCCACGTATATTCTCCAGATTTCCTTCTGTATAAATTGCGTGTGTGTGTGTGCGGGTGTATGTGTGTAGAAAGAGAGCATCAACTGAAAAATCACAAAATTTTATAAATTTAGAAAAGAGAGCTTTATTTCTTATAAAGGTTTGCAGTCCGCAAGGTGGCCATTATGACAGGCTGGGAAGTGTGGCCTACAGCCAAGGCCAGAGGCAGGCATTTCCAGGGAGGGAAGGAGAGGACAGGAATTTGAGCCAAATGAGTTGGCTACATATACATACTCAATAGGATATCAGAGGAGCTACATCATTTTATGAGAATACTCATAAAAGAGGTCCTAACGCATGCATATTCAATAAACATGCATGTTCATTCTGGGGTGGAGACTTGACATTTAAATGTATTATAATTAGGCCCTACACATCAAAAAGTGAAGCAGGGACATAAAGGTACTCAGCCTCTGTAAAGGCTCAGCCTCTGTAAAGGCACAGCCTCTAAAACTGGCCAGAACCAGTCCATGGAGGATGGTCTCTTATCAGGAGAAAGTTACTGAAATCAGTCCCTTGTCCAGAGAAAGCTGTCGTTAAGGTTAGTGGGGCAGGAGATCAGTTACTCAGCGTCTGTGAACTGGGTGAGTTGTAATTGTTTTAATCTTGCTTCTCTCACAGCCAGTGCTTGCTTGGCTGCTAGAGAAAAATAAAACCCATGTGGTAGTTAGAATCTAGTTAATTCTTTAAGAGTAGGGTACAAGACTTAACCCTCGCCTGGCATGGCCCTAGGCCCTGTTTATAATTTGAGGTCTTATTGCCACAAAGAGTCTGTTCTGTCAGTCTCATGATCTCTATTTTAACATTAATGCTGCTCAGTTGTTGGGTCTAAACCATAAGAGGGAGGGAGGTACAGGGAGGTATGTCTGACCTCCTGTCCTGTCATGGCCGAGAACTGAATTTTAAGATTTATTTGAGGTTCCGTTGGCCAACAGGGGGTCTGTTAAGTCGGGTGGGGGGCTTAGGATTTTATTTTTTGTTCTCAAGGGAGATAAAATAATTTAATCCATTGGCCTCTGTGACTGTGGGACTAACATGGCTATGATCTGTCGGACAGACTTCAGGCTGGCACCCAGGCAAAATTCTATGCTGTAGTAAATGCATCATGCACATTTGTAACAACACGTACATAACAATGTCACAAAATACTTTCACGGTGACAACTAGATTAGTGTTTTATTGAATAGCTGATGACATAAACTGTCTCATTTGGTGCCAAGACTGACCATCACCAGCATACCAAGGTCATCACTGATCAGAGGTCTAACCCAAGGAGGGGGTCATGTGCAGGCCCAGCGGTGGGGAGGAAAGATGCTGCAGAGGAGATGGATGCCCACAGAGGCCCCTGAGCGGATACCATGCTCACTAAGTGGTAAGTATAGACTCAACGTAGGCTGTAAGCTCTCCCCCTGTGTAAATGGGACCCCGTACACTTGAGAGTCAAGGGTCTGTTTGGGTGGCAGGGATAGCCACTTCTGAAGGTAGAAAGGAAAATAAGCCACCAAATTGGTACCTTTCTGTGAAATGGACATCGTGCTCAGAATCTCCATTTTCCCCACAACCTGGAGGAGTAAGTACTGTCATCTGCATTTTGTAGCTGAGGAATCTGACTCAACAAAATTAAATTACTCGCCTAAGCAATTAGCAATCAACCAAGTCTTTCTGACTCAGAAACCCAGCTATTGCCTGTTCATATCCAGCCCCTGTATTGGGGTCAAGATCTGGCCTGTTCTCAATGCAGCAAGATCCAGGCAGATCACACTGGACTCCCAGCACTGAATCTGGCTCGAGGGGACATCAAATTTGACTGGGTCATGGGGCTCAGGAGCATCACTCTCAAAAATAGCAGTACAGGAAGAGGCAATGGCCCTAAACAGCATTTGCAGGCAGATCCCATGTTAATCGTAAGGGTCAGGACTCTCTCACTTTTCTGTCTCTCTCTCTGTCTCTCCTCTAGGGCTGACCCCACATCGGACACCACTGCATCCATGTCCATCACAACACAGCTGCCTTTTCTTCTGCCTGCTTATGGGAAAGTCCCCTCCTCTCCTCCGTTTCCTTCTCTTCCTGCCCTATCACACTGTGCACTTCTCCCTTTCCTTAAAGAACCACCATCAACTTTAGGAGGAGGGAAAGGGGTGGCTCTGGGAGGAAAAGCCAGAATCCCCTCTAGCCAGCAGAGAGAGAGGAATGGCTGCATGTTTTCTCCCCCAATCCAAGGCACTAGGTTTTGGCTAGGTTGCAGGTTCCAAGCTGCTCTCCTGCTGTGTCGGTGAGTTCTGGTTAACCTGCAACCTCCTGATGTGGCCACTGCAGTTCATCGAGTCTTCAGGGACTCCCCATGGCCTGGAGTACTTTGCCTTGCTTACACGGGAGAGGAGAATGGATTTATAGAGAACATCATCTAAATCCAACTTGACCATTGTGTGGCCACACTTGCTAGATTGCTATAGTCTAAATCTAGCATTGTAGAAAGACGGGGGAGCTTGGAGCTGCACAAACCCAGGTCTGGAACGGGCTCCTTACCTTGGAAGGTGAATGATCCTGGTAGGACTCTTAGCCTCCCTGGGCCTCAGTTTCTTTATCTGTTTCATGGGAATGAGGATCTCGGCTGGTTGGTTGGGTGATGCGGGGGCTGTGTGAAAACAGCTTGTCAATACAAGCTGAAATAGAAATATTTCTCCACAGAGTATGAAGATCAAATGAGAGAATACATTTAAATTAAATGGAAAATTAAAATGGCAAAAAAGGCAAAGCTGTATTGAAAGTTCCGAGCTTCTCTATAAGGAGCTTTTTGACTATGTAAGAATCCTGTACTCGTTCCCCCTAAATATAAAAAAAAAATGTTGAAGGAGGCAGAAGGGAGAGTGATGCACGATGGGCGAGGACTTCACCTGCTGTTGCTGGCTTTGAGGATGGAGGAAGGAGGCCACAAACCTAGAAGCTGGAGCCCCTAGAAGCTAGAAAAGGCAGGGACCCGATTCATCCCTTGAGCCTCCAGAAGGGACATAGCCCTGCCAGCACCTTGACTTTAGCCCAGTGAGATCCTCTTAGGACTTTTGGCAACCAGAACTATAAGACAGAAATGGAAGCCACTGAGTCTGTAGCTGTTTGTTGCAGCAGCAATAGAAAACTAATGCAGAGCCCAAGAAATCACTGGTGATGAGATGGGGAAGTGGGCTCAGGAGGTCTGGATCTGTGATGAGATGGGGAAAGTGGGCTCAGGAGGTCTGGATCTGTGATGAGATGGGGGAAGTGGGCTCAGGAGGTCTGGATCTGAGTTGGGGATCTGGAGTGGAAGGGGAATTCATTTGTTCATTGTCTATCCTTTTGCATTAATTGAATTTTTTTCTATACATACATGTGAATTTTCACAATAAAAGTTTTTTCCAAAATAAAATAAAAGAAACAAAAGGGGCTTTTTGCAACCCAATTCCTATCTATGTCTGAGTCCACTTGTATTGAATGAGTCTTTCTGCTAACGTCCTTATATTTGGGTGACTATCTGAATGTCAGTGACCAATCAGAGCAGAGGCAGACCTTGGAGTGGGCAGGGCATCCTGAGGGCCCTGATTCCTGCCATAAGGCATAACCCTTTAGGTGCCAGACCATGGGGAGGTCCAGGGGTTGCAGGGGAGGGCTGTGCATCTGCAATGGCTCTCAGGGGGCTCCCGGTGGTGGCAATTGGTGAATCTGCATGGTGGTGTTTCAATATTGTCACAACCCTGCTGTCTCTCATGCTCTCAAAAAGCATTTCTCTTACCTGTGACAGACTTCCTATACCTAACAGCTTGCAAAAATGTTCCAGATTAATGAGAATAATCTCTCGGAGCCATACCTCCCTGCTTGGGGTCTCAGTTTCCCCAAATGTCTCCAGACAAGTTAGGCTAGAAGGCCCCTGAGTCTCAGCCCCTCTATAGCCCTCCTGTCACCCAGACCTGATCTGGGTCTTGCACCCTGGGTGCAGCATGACAGGGGTGGGCAGGGGCTGGCTCTGGGCCAGAGGACCCTTTCTGATGGACTTCAGCTGTTGGCCTTCCAGGGGAGACTGATCAACCTCACAAGAGTCATATGGTGAGTAGCGGTGGGCAAATCCATCCCCCTCATCTTAGATTTATGGGGAGACAGAGACAAAGAGGAGACACTCCAGGAAGACCTGCAGGTGGGAGTACCAGGTTGAAACCAAGGACACCTTCCTGGAGGAGCTGCCGTTTGAGCCAGCTCTGAGAACAGGTGGAGACAGGACTGGAGAGGAGGAGGTTGTGCCCTATGAGCAAAGACTGGCCACCACCCCATCTAACACCCCCACAGGGCCCCTGTGGCATCCCTGTCCAGTCCCTGTCACCACCCAGTTTTTCCCTCTGGACCCAGGAATTCAAAGTAAGCAAGGAGGTCCGCTGCTCCAGTTGGCTGCAAATAATTACAACCTTGAGCCCAAGCAGCACTTTGGGTCCTGGTTTGGGACCATGAAGCGGCTCGGTGAGACTGAGAGGTAAGGCCAGGGCAGGAATTGGGATAGTAGGATTGAACTCTCCCTGGGGGCCAGCCTCAGAAAGCCTGTGGCCATGGCCTCTTGGCCAACATCAGATCCTGTGGTCTGGCAATGCCTGGGGTACCCAGACCTCACTCTGGACAGGCCCTGGGAGGGGGCCCTGGTGAGATTCCTGGCAGCCTCACAGCCACTCTTCTGTCCATAGCTACAACCTGTCATGCCAGCTGGAGGCTCCATCCCAGTTGGCTGGGAGCATAAAGTCCAGGAAGATAGACATCACCCACCACAGGGGCCAGTCAGGGCCTGAACCAGGGCGGGCAGAGGTTGGCTGCCTTGGGATATGGGTGGGCTCAGGGAGTCAGACAGCAAGGGACTAGCCTCCCATCCTACTGCTGAGCAGCCCTGTGACTGGGGAGAGTCACCTTACTTCTCTGGGCCTCAGTTTCCCCCTCTGTGGAGTGACACTAAATGATCTCTCTGGAGACGGGGATCAATAGGGTACTGGTGATTGACCAGGCACTCAGCACATGCCTGGAGCACACAGTGCAGGGCTGTGGTGGGGAGGTGGGCTGAGTTCCTAGGGAGTCACCCATGTGTGCCTGCCGTTCTGACCAGCCACCAGGCCCTCAGGGCAGAGCCCACTACCAGCAGCAGCTCACACCCCAAGACCAGCTCAGAGGCGGCCCCTACCTCAGCAGCAGGGACATCACAGACACTTTGAGCTGGCACTAGGGTGGCTTCTCCAGCTCCCACGGGGAGAGGGGTCCCAGCTGAGTCCCACTCACGTGGAGTCTCATGCCCATGAAAGTGCCATTCACCACTGGCCAGGCTCATGAGGCCGCATGAGAGGGGGGTCACTGGGGAGGAGATATCGGGGGAACAGAGAGGGTGGTTGAATTTTTGTATAATAGGCAGTGCAAGTGTTTACCGTTTGGCAGGGGAAAGGTTTGTTATTATTAGCAATGCTACACTTCAATATTACACTAAAATCCAGTTTCTCTATAACCTGGGAGTTGCTCTTTTGTTCTTTCTTTTCCCATCTTAATTAAAATGAGATGCAGACTCTCACGGTCCACAGTCGATTAAGAAATCTTGCACGGCCATCAGGTTATGTCTTGGAGAGCAGAGTTTCAGTACCATCAGCCTGGCAAGGAGCTGGGCCTGCTCCTCAGAGCTCCCGGGACTGCGAGAATTGGCATGTTCACAAGGCACCGTCACAGCCTCTGAAACACGCTGTCTTTAAAGATGTTTGCAGGCTGGACGCGGTGGCTCACTCCTGTAATCCCAGCACTTTGGGAGGCAGAAGCGGGTGGCTCACTTGAGGTCAGGAGTTCGAGACCAACATGGCAAAACCCCATCTCTACTAAAAATACAAAAAATTAGCCAGGTGTGGTGGCAGGTGCCTGTAATTCCAGCTACTCAGGAGGCTGAGGTAGGAGAACTGCTTGAACCCAGGAGGTGGAGGTTGCAATGAGCAGAGATCACACCACTGCACTCCAGTCTGGGCAACAAGAGCAAAACTTCATCTCAAAAAAAAAAAAAAAAAAAAAAAACACAAAACACAAAGACATTTGCAAGGACCATGTCCTCACCCAGAATGGTGCCTGCCTTTCTACAGTTTTTCAGGAAAAGGAAACATTTTCTGCTTCTCTCGCTGAGGTTTTTTTTAACCACCCATTAGGAACCTATAGATTTCAGGATCGAACACTGGGATTCCCTCAGCACTAAAGGAGGACAATTGCAAACAGAGCTGAAAGTGCAATGTGGAAAGGTCAGGCTGAGGAAGGTTCTTAGCCAGTAGACCAAGGGCAGGAAGGACACTGCCTCCTCAGTCTCCCACTAGGGAACTTGTGATTCTTGTCCCCTGACCTCAGAATTCCTTGTCATGTTTGTTTTGTCTCCAAGGGAAGGGTTTGAATTACAGAATTTAAGGCTAGAGTGGGCCTCGTGCAGTTAACATTAACCCTCTCTCTCCTTCGCTGGCCAAGGTGAAGTCCGGAAACATGTAGTTCTGACGTCCACTCTCTCGGGGGATCACCAGTTCACCCATCTCACCCGGCAAGCTGGGACCTAGTTTGGCGACAGGCATCTTCCACCCACCTGGGAGGCAGGGTTCAACACTCTGCCTCTGACCTTGTTTCCTTCTTCTGCCACCTGCTTAGGCAGCCAGAAGGGGTTGTCCAGCCAGCACCTGGGCTTTGGCGCTCCTCAAGCAGGTGGAGGAAGTTTCAGGCACCTGGCTCCTCAGGTGTCTGCCATCCAGGTGCTCTTCAGGCCTGCCCAGCAGAGCTCTCTTGATCCAGCTAGAACTGGCCAGAACTGACTCACTCAGGAATGTGTAGACTTTGGCATCAGGGGCTGCTTTAATTTGCACAATTTCCAAATACCTCTTTTTTCTTCTTTTTCTGATGAGTCATCTTCCTAGACTTTCATTTTAAAGAGATAGATAGTTATCAGGTTCCAGAGAAGACATGGTAGAACATTTATATCTCAAAGACACAGAGCTGAGACTTCAGTTTTAGATACTATAATTTGCCTAAACCAAAAAGGAAGGTGTAGGTAAAGTTCTAGTCAAGACAGGATGGCCAGGAAAAACACCTTAAACCAAGGGATGGCTTGCTTTGCTGATTTAAGCCAATGGCTTCTTTATCATAAGACTTCCCAGTGATTTAGTCCTCCCTCTCTTCCAGTGCACAGAGACATACCCCTCCTTACAAATAAAAATGTTCTTTATAGATGTAAATTTATTTTACAAAAATGTTTCAAAATAACCAGATGAAAATCATCCTTATGCCAGAAAGACTTGTTTTTTTTTTCATTACTAGAAATGAAACAGTAAGTATTTGTTGTATTGACATACTTAGGCTTAGACCTGTGTTTAACAAGAAAGCCTAATAATAGCACTGTGGTTAGACTGTAGCCTATTTTTCCAAACCATCATTTTATTATTAAGGAAACGAAGGACCAAATACCTTTCATTCATCTGATATGATCCTTTAAAACACATTCCACTAACAAGTCCCATTTGGAACAGCTGAAAATCTTTTAATAAAACTTTTTAAAGATGAGCTCATGGCTTAGTGTAAATTTCACAAGCTTAATTAGGTCAAATGGAAGGAACTCAGATGAGTAGTTGCCCAATCAGAGCCCATTATTTGTAAGTCATCAGACCCCTCCATGACCTTAAAACTCCACTCTGACCTGATTATTGCAAACCTATATACAAAAAAGTGAAAGGATTAATTTTCATTCATCAACCTCTCAATCCCAGATTTTCAAAGAAAAAACCTATGTAAGGAATACTTACCAAAACCAGACAGGAAAATTAGAGCCTGCATACTTTAGAGTCAAATTTGTTCCACTACAGCCAGGTCGCATACAATTACATCATTTGGTTCTTCATACACTCTAGAACTGACTAGGACAGAGTTTAGCATAGAAGAACTGTAAGAAATAGGTTCTGAAACATAGAAATTGCAAAGTTCAAAAGGCTATGAAAAAAACTAATGTAAATGAGAGACTCCCCTCACTTTGTTTTAAAGAAATAGACCCATCAGAGAAATGCAAATCAAAACCACAATGAGATACCATCTCACACCAGTTAGAATGGTGATCATTAAAAAGTCAGGAAACAACAGGTGCTAGAGAGGATGTGGAGAAATAGGAACACTTTTACACTGTTGGTGGGACTGTAAACTAGTTCAACCATTGTGGAAGACAGTGTGGCCATTCCTCAGGGATCTAGAACTAGAAATACCATTTGACCCAGCCATCCCACTACTGGGTATATACCCAAAGGATTATAAATCGTGCTGCTATAAAGACACATGCACACGTATGTTTATTGCGGCACTATTCACAATAGCAAAGACTTGGAACCAACCCAAATGTCCAACAATGATAGACTGGATGAAGAAAATGTGGCACATATACACCATAGAATACTATGCATCCATAAAAAATGATGAGTTCATGTCCTTTGTAGGGACACGGATGAAGTTGGAAACCATCATTCTCAGCAAACTATGGCAAGGACAAAAAAACAAACACCGCATGTTCTCACTCATAGGTGGGAATTGAACAATGAGAACACTTGGACACAGGAAAGGGAAAATCACACACCAGGGCCTGTTGTGGGGTGGGGGGAGGGGGGAGGGATAGCATTAGGAGATATGCCTAATATAAATGATGAGTTAATGGGTGCAGCACACCAACATGGCACATGTATACATATGCAACAAACCTGCACATTGTGCATGTGTACCCTAGAATTTAAAGTATAATAAAAAAAATAAAAAAATAAAAAAATAAATAGATGTTCTGTAAAAATATACACAATTTTTACAGACAAATACATTTATAAGTTGTTTTTATCTTAAAAATTGGGGATATTTCATATTTATAACTAATTATTGAACCTTAAGTTTTCTTGGCCATTTATAGGCTAATAAACTAAGAATCATGTAAACTAAGCCAAAGTAGAATAGACATAAAAGTCCTAACACTTCAACTTCCTATCCTTCAAGAAGTATACCTCGCAAAGCTCATTTGAGAGAGGAAAAGCTTTCCTCCACCCTCTGTTTTACAGCGCTGAGGTTTCTCATCACATTTCTATGACTTATAGCTTAAATCCATGTTACATGGTCACTGGCATTGTTAGTGCTTCTCTTTTAATACTGTAGGAATTAATCAATTTGGTGGCGTATTTAATTAATTCTATCACTAGAGGATTGTAAAATTACATATATGAATACCTCACTTTAGAGACCACTTAATTTTTTTTCCAAGGGGATATTTGACTATATTTCACTTGTGTCTTATTTAATGATTTTATAATTTAAACCCTAAATTATAAATCTAGAATTTAGAGAGTATATTTCCCCACTGGATTACATTTTTGGAATTATTATATGTGCACAAATATTACAAAATCACTGTAGACACCTGAAAACTATATTATCTTTTAAAAGCAATATTTACATTAAACTGGTATAACAAAATTGTTTGGTGCATTTTTTCCAGTACATTTTGTATATATTACATGTTTAACCTTTTTTTATTCAGCAAATAATTTTTGAGTATCTACTAAGTGCTAGGTTCTGCATTACTAATTGAATTTAAAGAGTGAAATAACAGACATGGTCTCAGACAATAAAAATTAACATTAGGTCACCTATTTACATATTTTAAAATGGTAATTATGAAAACTTTGAGATTTTAAACTAGATAACATTATAATAATACACTTGATGTTGTTAATATTTGCCAGTGAGCAAAAAAGAAAATAAAAAGATGGTTTTATTCAATATACACTTTAAAATTGCAGAAAATAGTCAAGTTTCTCTGCTTTGCAGTTTAATGTCTATGTGTTTTTCTCTGCAACTTGGCTTTTGTGGAGTGAAACAATTATTCTTCCAGCCCAATAAAGGCAGAAGAGTAACAATAAATCTAATATTTTAAATGCTTATCAAAAGATAGTAAACATATTATTTCAGAATACTGAGTTCAATAAGTTGACCTACAAAAAAAGCCAAACTGACAGTATTACTGAATAAGGAAAGGCCCAAAGAGACAAAATACTTTTTATTTTGTAACCTCGGTATGATACAACTTACCCTAACTATAAAGACCCTAAATTACCAAGATGGGTGCTTATAATATGGAGAGTAAAAAAAGTCATTTCACTTTTAGCTTTTTTATTTCTCTCAGAATAAAAAGTGTATAAGGAGTTTATAAAGAAGTTGATACTATAAGTTAGTACTACAAAGACAGCACTTTTCAAGAAAAGACTTTTTTCTCTCTTACAAATATCATGTTAGCAGTATTTGTTTTCTCCAGAAATAATGAGGAAATAAAAACATAAGTATGTGGGTAATTAGTGTAGTTTCTTAAAGAAATGAGTTAGGCAACAGGCTAATAATGTATACTTCGCTGGCTTTTGAATGCCAACAATCATATTCTTTATAAGGCACAGAGAAGATTTTTCTGAAGAATAAGTATGTGAACCTGAAAAGTAATCGCCACTTGGTAGTGACAATATGGATAGGGTGAAGGGCGTCATCAAGAAGCAATGAAAAGATACATTTGCAGTTAAATTTGAAAACCATGATGTTTAATACATATAGTAATAAAGAATACTTTCTCCTATTTCAAAATTATTTTAGAATTAAGATAGAAGCTAAAATACCTAGGGATAATGATATGACTATCAAAAATTAAAAATTAAAGGACATTTTGAGTATTATAAGTTAAGAATGAGAACTTATTACCCAAAGAACAGGGGATAATTCATTATGCTCCATATCCATTGAATTAAAAGACAGGCCCATTACCTGGATAATTTGAAAGTTTAATTTTATTTAAAAGTCTTGTTTCATTCATCAAGCTAAAGGATTAGCTCCCAGAAATATTCTAGGATTGCATATCCCCAACTCTGTAGGAAGTATAGAAAGAATGTTATAAGGGCCACCATCTAAACATTATTATGTAAATAATTTAGTACCATTCCATTTGCCTTTGTAGATTTAAAAATGTAAATGGCTTTCTCATATTAGGAAACATCACTTTTCAAAACCCAGATAAACATAGTATATTGCAAGAGAATAATTATTTTCTTTATTAAAAAATACTGGATGCTAAGTCCAAAAGACATAAATTATTTTATACTAATAACTACTAACATTTTATTCATTAAAATATAAAGGTCAAAGATTTTAAAATGATCTTTAAATGATTAATAACATGTTGATCTTTTTCTTCTTTCTGTAAACCTTTTTGAGTCTTAACAATACTAAACTATACAAGCAATATTAAATAGTATATAAACGGATTAAAATATTCAAATTTACTAGAATGTGGACATTGGAAAGAATGAAAATAAACAGAAGCATAAAGCAGCAGATATAAAATTAAGAAAGCAACTAAGAGTGTTTAAAGTACATATTCATCTGTAGTCTAATGTCTACCATAAACAATGACTCTTCTCAGTAAAACACAAATTGTTCATGAAGGGAAAAAGCATGTTGTATTAGAGAATATTCAACATAATTTTTTTAGTACTAACTTGTGCCTGGAGTATTATTGGTTTTTCCATTATGAACTTATGCACTTGATAATTTTTTTCATAAAAATTGTATGTACAACTCCATTCAAAAGCAGTTTTTGGTGGGTTTTTTTTTTTTTTTTGAGATGAGTTTTGCTCTTTTCACCCAGGCTGGAGTGCAATGGTGCGAATTTGGCTCACAGCAACCTAGCAACCTTTGCCTCCTAGGCTCAGGTGATTCTCTTGCCTCAGCCTCTCGAGTGGTTAGAACTACAAGCATGCACCACCATGCCTGGCTAATTTTGTGTTTTTAGTAGAGACATGGTTTTGCCATGTTGACCAGGCTGGTCTTGAACTCCTGACCTGAGGTAATCCGCCCACCTTGGCCTCCCAAAGTGCTGGGTATGGGCAAGAGCCACCATACCTGGCCTCAAAAGCAGTTTTTAAAAGCAAACACAATATAACACCAAAGTTGAAAAATCTATGCTCACCCAAGGATGCCAGGTTTAATAAATTATTTATAGAATACTGCATCAAAAATAAGACAATAACCCAAAATATACCATTAAAGATGTATCCACTCCTACAACTAGAGATAATTAATCTATCTGGTAGCAAATGATACTTCAATCAGTTTCAGCATGTCTGAAATCTTTAAGGACAAAAGTGATAAAACATGACTTCATTCTTCATTAGACTCTTAGAACACTTGAAGGAAAATAATTTCTGAAGCACAAAGAGGTAAAGAGGTGTAATCTTTCAAAAAGATATTCAGTGTTCAAAATCCAAGAGTGCAATATCAGGCTGGGTGCGGTGGCTTATGCCTGTAATCCCAGCACTTTGGGAGGCCATGGTGGGTGGATCACCTGAGGTCAGGAGTTCGAGTCCAGCCAGGCATGGACTCTGGCTGTACTAAAAACACAAAAATTAGCCAGGCATGGTGGTGTGCACCTGTAGTCCTAGCTACTTGTGGGGCTGAGACAGGAGAATCGCTTGAACCTGGGAGGTGGAGGTTGCAGTGAACCGAGATCATGCCACCTCACTCCAGCATCAGTAACAGAATGAGATTCCATCTCAAAAAAAGAAAAGAGTGTAATATCGGTATACACAGATAATATACTGAATGAAACAAATAGAATAATTTGAAGAGGTATCTTGATGAACAAGGAGTCATTAGAAAGGTTGTATTCATGTCTTTGAAGGAAATTGCAATGTGAGAAATTAATACTTTGACTACTATACTAAAAGTTTATTGCTAACATGTATTGAGTTATTAACGTGTGTTAGGCAGAGTGCCATATAATTTACAAGTGTTATCTCATTTATTGCAGGTGAAATGTAATTTCGAACTCTGGAAGTATAAATGAATTAGATAGAAAAAAATTCTATTTAAATGGCCACCAGTAAATCGGTATCTAGGAACAGGGTGATACAGTGCCCAAGTTTTCTATTCTTACTAAATGTTGTGTTTCATTTTCAATGTTTTCTTGGATATTGCTCTTTTTTGGTGATTTTGATTTTTTTTTATTTTAGAAAACTAATAAATTGACTCTTCTTGGTACTGACTCGGGTTTTATAGAAGAAAAAGTAAATTCTGTACATTTACCTTTACCTCATCTTTTTCTCTTTTAAATTTACTATATTTTTTATTTTTTTTGTAATTTTATTTTATTTTTCTATGATTATTATTTTTATTATTATTATACTTTAAGTTTTAGGGTACATGTGCACATTGTGCAGGTTAGTTACATATGTATACATGTGCCATGCTGGTGCGCTGCACCCACTAACTCGTCATCTAGCATTAGGTATATCTCCCAATGCTATCCCTCCCACCTCCCCCCACCCCACAACAGTCCCCAGAGTGTGATATTCCCCTTCCTGTGTCCATGTGATCTCATTGTTCAATTCCCACCTATGAGTGAGAATATGCAGTGTTTGGTTTTTTGTTCTTGCGATAGTTTACTGAGTATGATGATTTCCAATTTCATCCACATCCCTACAAAGGACATGAACTCATCATTTTTTATGGCTGCATAGTATTCCATGTTGTATATGTGCCACATTTTCTTAATCCAGTCTATCATTGTTGGACATTTGGGTTGGTTCCAAGTCTTTGCTATTGTGAATAATGCCGCAATAAACATACGTGTGCATGTGTCTTTATAGCAGCATGATTTATAGTCCTTTGGGTATATACCCAGTAATGGGATGGCTGGGTCAAATGGTATTTCCAGTTCTAGATCCCTGAGGAATCGCCACACTGACTTCCACAATGGTTGAACTAGTTTACAGTCCCACCAACAGTGTAAAAGTGTTCCGATTTCTCCACATCCTCTCTAGCACCTGTTGTTTCCTGACTTTTTAATGATTGCCATTCTAACTGGTGTGAGATGGTATCTCATTGTGGTTTTGATTTGCATTTCTCTGATGGCCAGTGATGGTGAGCATTTTTTCGTGTGTTTTTTGGCTGCATAAATGTCTTCTTTTGAGAAGTGTCTGTTCATGTCCTTCGCCCACTTTTTGATGGGGTTGTTTTTTTCTTGTAACTTTGTTGGAGTTCATTGTAGATTCTGGATATTAGCCCTTTGTCAGATGAGTAGGTTGCGAACATTTTCTCCCATTTTGTAGGTTGCCTGTTCACTCTGATGGCAGTTTCTTTTGCTGTGCAGAAGCTCTTTAATTAGATCCCATTTGTCAATTTTGTCTTTTGTTGCCATTGCTTTTGGTGTTTTAGACATGAAGTCCTTGCCCATGCCTATGTCCTGAATGGTAATGCCTAGGTTTTCTTCTAGGGTTTTTATGGTTTTAGGTCTAACGTTTAAGTCTTTAATCCATCTTGAATTGATTTTTGTGTAAGGTGTAAGGAAGGGATCCAGTTTCAGCTTTCTACATATGGCTAGCCAGTTTTCCCAGCACCATTTATTAAATAGGGAATCTTTTCCCCATTGCTTGTTTTTCTCAGGTTTGTCAAAGATCAGATAGTTGTAGATATGTGGCGTTATTTCTGAGGGCTCTGTTCTGTTCCATTGATCTATATCTCTGTTTTGGTACCAGTACCATACTGTTTTGGTTACTGTAGCCTTGTAGTATAGTTTGAAGTCAGGTAGTGTGATACCTCCAGCTTTGTTCTTTTGGCTTAGGATTGACTTGGCGATGTGGGCTATTTTTTGGTTCCATATGAACTTTAAAGTAGTTTTTTCCAATTCTGTGAAGAAAGGCATTGGTAGCTTGAGGGGGATGGCATTGAATCTGTAAATTACCTTGGGGAGTATGGCCATTTTCACGATATTGATTCTTCCTACCCATGAGCATGGAATGTTCTTCCATTTGTTTGTATCCTCTTTTATTTTGTTGAGCAGTGGTTTGTAGTTCTCCTTGAAGAGGTCCTTCACATCCCTTGTAAGTTGGATTCCTAGGTATTTTATTCTCTTTGAAGCAATTGTGAATGGGAGTTCACTCATGATTTGGCTCTCTGTTTGTCTGTTGTTGGTGTATAAGAATGCTTGTGATTTTCGTACATTGATTTTGTATCCTGAGACTTTGCTGAAGTTGCTTATCAGCTTAAGGAGATTTTGGGCTGAGACGATGGGGTTTTCTAGATATACAATCATGTCATCTGCAAAGAGGGACAATTTGACTTCCTCTTTTCCTAATTGAATACCCTTTATTTCCTTCTCCTGCCTAACTGCCCTGGCCAGAACTTCCAACACTATGTTGAATAGGAGTGGTGAGAGAGGGCATCCCTGTCTTGTGCCAGTTTTCAAAGGGAATGCTTCCAGTTTTTGCCCATTCAGTATGATATTGGCTGTGGGTTTGTCATAGATAGCTCTTATTATTTTGAAATACGTCCCATCAATACCTAATTTATTGAGAGTTTTTAGCATGAAGGGTTGTTGAATTTTGTCAAAGGCTTTTTCTGCATCTATTGAGATAATCATGTGGTTTTTGTCTTTGGCTCTGTTTATATGCTGGATTACATTTATTGATTTGCGCATATTGAACCAGCCTTGCATCCCAGGGATGAAGCCCACTTGATCATGGTGGATAAGCTTTTTGATGTGCTGCTGGATTCATTTTGCCAGTATTTTATTGAGGATTTTTGCATCAATGTTCATCAAGGATATTGGTCTAAAATTCTCTTTTTTTGTTGTGTCTCTGCCTGGCTTTGGTATCAGAATGATGCTGGCCTCATAAAAAGAGTTAGGGAGGATTCCCTCTTTTTCTATTGATTGGAATAGTTTCAGAAGGAATGGTACCAGCTCCTCCTTCTACCTCTGGTAGAATTCGGCTGTGAATCCATCTGGTCCTGGACTCTTTTTGGTTGGTAAGCTATTGATTATTGCCACAATTTCAGATCCTGTTATTGGTCTATTCAGAGATTCAACTTCTTCCTGGTTTAGTCTTGGGAGAGTGTATGTGTCGAGGAATTTATCCATTTCTTCTAGATTTTCTAGTTTATTTGCGTAGAGGTGTTTGTAGTATTCTCTGATGGTAGTTTGTATTTCTGTGGGATCGGTGGTGATATCCTTTATCATTTTTTATTGCGTCTATTTGATTCTTCTCTTTTTTCTTTATTAGTCTTGCTAGCGGTCTATCAATTTTGTTGATCCTTTCAAAAAACCAGCTCCTGGATTCACTAATTTTTTGAATGGTTTTTTTGTGTCTCTATTTCCTTCAGTTCTGCTCTGATTTTAATTATTTCTTGCCTTCTGCTAGCTTTTGAATGTGTTTGCTCTTGCTTTTCTAGTTCTTTTAATTGTGAGGTTAGGGTGTCAATTTTGGATCTTTCCTGCTTTCTCTTGTGGGCATTTAGTGCTATAAATTTCCCTCTACACACTGCTTTGAATGCGTCCCAGAGATTCTGGTATGTTGTGTCTTTGTTCTCGTTGGTTTCAAAGAACATCTTTATTTCTGCCTTCATTTCATTATGTACCCAGTAGTCATTCAGGAGTAGGTTGTTCAGTTTCCATGTAGTTGAACGGTTTTGAGTGAGATTCTTAATCCTGAGTTCTAGTTTGATTGCACTGTGGTCTGAGAGATAGTTTGTTATAATTTCTGTTCTTTTACATTTGCTGAGGAGAGCTTTACTTCCAAGTATGTGGTCAATTTTGGAATAGGTGTGGTGTGGTGCTGAAAAAAATGTATATTCTGTTGATTTGGGGTGGAGAGTTCTGTAGATGTCTACTAGGTCCGCTTGGTGCAGAGCTGAGTTCAATTCCTGGGTATCCTTGTTGACTTTCTGTCTCGTTGATCTGCCTAATGTTGACAGTGGGGTGTTAAAGTCTGCCATTATTAATGTGTGGGAGTCTAAAGTCTCTTTGTAGGTCACTCAGGACTTGCTTTATGAATCTTGGTGCTCCTGTAGTGGGTGCATATATATTTAGGATAGTTAGCTCTTCTTGTTGAATTGATCCCTTTACCATTATGTAATGGCCTTCTTTGTCTCTTTTGATCTTTGTTGGTTTAAAGTCTGTTTTATCATAGACTAGGATTGCAACCCCTACCTTTTTTTGTTTTCCATTTGCTTGGTAGATGTTCCTCCATCCTTTTATTTTGAGCCTATGTGTGTCTCTGCATGTGAGATGGGTTTCCTGAATATAGCACACTGATGGGTCTTGACTCTTTATCCAATTTTCCAGTCTGTGTCTTTTAATTGGAGCATTTAGTCCATTTACATTTAAAGTTAATATTGTTATGTGTGAATTTGATCCTGTCATTATGATGTTAGCTGGTTATTTTGCTTGTTAGTTGATGCAGTTTCTTCCTAGTCTTGATGGTCTTTACATTTTGGCATGATTTTGCAGTGGCTGGTACTGGTTGTTCCTTTCCATGTTTAGCGCTTCCTTCAGGAGCTCTTTTAGGGCAGGCCTGGTGGTGACAAAATCTCTCAGCATTTGCTTGTCTGTAAAGTATTTTATTTCTCCTTCGCTTATGAAGCTTAGTTTGGCTGGATATGAAATTCTGGGTTGAAAATTCTTTTCTTTAAGAATGTTGAATATTGGCCCCCACTCTCTTCTGGCTTGTAGGGTTTCTGCCAAGAGATCCGCTGTTAGTCTGATGGGCTTCCCTTTGAGGGTAACCCGACCTTTCTCTCTGGCTGCCCTTAACATTTTTTCCTTCATTTCAACTTTGGTGAATCTGACAATTATGTGTCTTGGAGTTGCTCTTCTTGAGGAGTATCTTTGTGGCGTTCTCTGTATTTCCTGAATATGAACGTTGGCCTGCCTTGCTAGATTGGGGAAGTTCTCCTGGATAATATCCTGCAGAGTGTTTTCCAACTTGGTTCCATTCTCCCCATCACTTTCAGGTACACCAATCAGACATAGATTTGGTCTTTTCAGATAGTCCCATATTTCTTGGAGGCTTTGCTCATTCCTTTTAATTCTGTTTTCTCTAAACTTCCCTTCTTGCTTCATTTCATTCGTTTCATCTTCCATCGCTGATACTCTTTCTTCCAGTTGATCACATTAGCTCCTGAGGCTTTGCATTCTTCACGTAGTTCTGGAGACTTGGTTTTCAGCTCCATCAGCTCCTTTAAGCACTTCTCTGTATTGATTATTCTAGTTATACATTCTTCTAAATTTTTTTCAAAGTTTTCAACTTCTTTGCCTTTGGTTTGAATGTCCTCCCGTAGCTCAGAGTAATTTGATCGTCTGAAGCCTTCTTCTCTCAGCTCATCAAAGTCATTCTCCATCCAGCTTTGTTCTGTTGCTGGTAAGGAACTGCGTTCCTTTGGAGGAGGAGAGCGCTCTGCTTTTTAGAGTTTCCAGTTTTTCTGTTCTGTTTTTTCCCCATGTTTGTGGTTTTATCTACTTTTGGTCTTTGATGATGGTGATGTACAGATGGGTTTTTGGTGTGGATGTCCTTTCTGTTTGTTAGTTTTCCTTCTAACAGACAGGACCCTCAGCTGCAGGTCTGTTGGAATACCCTGCCGTGTGAGGTATCAGTGTGCCCCTGCTGGGGGGTGCCTCCCAGTTAGGCTGCTCTGGGGTCAGGGGTCAGGGACCCACTTGAGGAGGCAGTCTGCCCGTTCTCAGATCTCCAGCTGCGTGCTGGGAGAACAACTGCTCTCTTCAAAGCTGTCAGACAGGGACATTTAAGTCTGCAGAGATTACTGCTGTCTTTTTGTCTGTGCCCTGCCCCCAGAGGTGGAGCCTACAGAGGCAGGCAGGCCTCCTTGAGCTGTGGTGGGCTCCACCCAGTTCGAGCTTCCCGGCTGCTTTGTTTACCTAAGCAAGCCTGGGCAATGGTGGGCGCCCCTCCCCCAGCCTCGCTGCCGCCTTGCAGTTTGATCTCAGACTGCTGTGCTAGCAATCAGCGAGACTCCGTGGGCGTAGGACCCTCCGAGCCAGGTGCAGGATATAATCTCGTGGTGCGCCGTTTTTTAAGTCCATCGGAAAAGCGCAGTATTCGGGTGGGAGTTACCCGATTTTCCAGGTGCCGTCCATCACCCCTTTCTTTGACTCGGAAAGGGAACTCCCTGACCCCTTGCGCTTCCCAAGTGAGGCAATTCCTCGCCCTGCTTTGGCTCGCGCACGGTGCGCGCACCCACTGACCTGTGCCCACTGTCTGGCACTCCCTAGTGAGATGAACCCGGTACCTCAGATGGAAATGCAGAAATCACCGTCTTCTGTGTCGCTCACGCTGGGAGCTGTAGACTGGAGCTGTTCCTATTTGGCCATCTTGGCTCCTCCCCCTTAAATTTACTTTAATTGACATATAATAAATGTACATGTTATGGGGTACAGAGTGATATTTTGATATATTTATACGATGTGTAAAGATCAAGTCAGAGTCATTATCATATCCATTACCTAAATCATGTATTATTTCTTTGCAGTGAGAATATTCAAAATCTTTTATTTTAGTTATTTGAAAACACACAATAAATTCCCATTAACTACAGTCACCCAACAGTGCTGTAGAGAACTAGAACTTCTTCCTTCTCTCCAGCTGTAATTTTGTATGTATTAACCACATTTTTCTTATACTCTTCTTTCTCCTACTCTTTCCAGGATATGGTAACCAAAACTCTACTATCTACTTCTACGGGATTAAAAATTTTAGCTTCCATACATAAGTGAGAACACGTAGTTATGTGGTGTTTATGTTTCTATGCCAGGCTTATTTCACCTAACATAATGCCCTCCACTTGCATTCTTGTTGCCACAAATAACAGGATTTTGTTCTTTATTATGACTAAATAATATTCCATTATATATGTATGTCACATTTCTTTATCCATTCATCTGTTGATGGACACTTTTGTTGATTCCATATCTTGGCTATTGTGAATAGTACTGTAATAAACATGGGGGTGCAGGTAACTCTTTGATATACTGATTTTCTTTCCTTTGGATATATACTGAAAACCATATGATTAAATTAATAAACACAATAAAAGCGTTTGGCAAAATTAAATATTCTTACATGACAAAAAACCTCTCAACAATTTAGTATAGAAAATATATGCCTTAACACAGAAGGACATAAAGGACAAATCTACAGCTAAGATCATACTGAGTGTGGAAAACGTGAAAGATTTTACTGTGAACAAGAAAAAGATTTTACTGGAACAGGAAAAGGATGCCTATTCTCACCAATCATATTTCACATAGTGAAAGTCTTAGCCAGGACAATTAGGTGAGAGAAAGAAATAAAGGACATCTGAATTGGAAAGGAGACAGTCAAACTGTCCCTGTTTAAAGACAATGTGATCTTATACACGGAAAAAAATAAGACTCTACCAAAAGCTTCTTAGGGTGATACATGAAATTAATAAAGTTGCAGGATATAAATCAACATACAAAAATCAGTAGCATTTCTATATATTGATAGTAAACTAGCTGAAACAAGAAATTAAGAAAGCAATTCCTTTTACAATAGCTACAAAAATGTACTTAGAAATAAATTTAACCAAGGAAGTAAAAGATTTCGACAACAAAAATGACAAATACTAATGAAAGAAATTAAAGAAAACACAAAAAAGGAAAGACATCCACGTTTATAGATTGAAATAATATTCTTAAAATGACCCACTATCCTATGTGATTTACAAATTTAGTACAATCACTAGCTTGTATTTTTAAAAGCACCTTTGCTGCATATTCTTAAGATATTCAATGACAATGCCTGGATTTAAGTTTGAGGTATTATTATATCTATTTTATACTGGGCACAATATAATGTTATCAGAGGTAATGGTTTTGATTGGTCCTAGGTCATACAGTAATATATACATTGTGATTTATAGACATGCTATCTTTTAATACTCAGGCATTTACAAAGTTCATTTAGACAAAGTTATAAAAACTTGCCTTCCTTTCTGCCTATATCACCTAAAAATCCTAATTTAAGAGGTAATAACATTTTTTGATATACAATTTATCAACACAATAAAAATCTAACAATTATCATGTGCAGAGTGTGAAAATCTCATCAGATTAAGGAACACAAAGACATCTTTTTCATATTTCGAATGTAAAACTGTTTTGGAAACTGTTATTTTTAGAAACAGTTAAAAACATTTTTTCATTAGTTTTTCATGTAAAATTGTGACAACCAGCATGAAATAACTGTCATCACAGAAGCATGGTATATTCGATTCCAAAACATATTCTTTGTAAGTTTTAATATATTTATGTATTATTTATACTTACATTGTAACCCATAATGTACAGATATTATTTTTCCTTCAACTCTTAAGAATATTCTTAAATAATAAAAAATTAATGATTTATAATTTTTGTTGGTTGGGAAAAAGAATAGACACACACGTGACAGTGCATCACTTCACCTCATCATTTCATCTCATCATTTTATCTCATCATTTCATCTCATCATTTTATCTCATCATTTCATCTCATCTCATCTCATCCCATCATTTCATATCATCTCATTTCATCAAATCTCATCTCATCTCATTTCCATTTCATTTTCATTATTTCATTTCATCATTTCATTTCACTATTTCATTTCATTTCATCTAATTTCATTTATTTCATTATGTCATTTCATATCATCTCATTTCATTTCATCTCATATTTTTTATATCATTTTTCATATCATTTTTCATCTCATCATTTCATCTCAATTCATTTCATCTCATCATTTCATCTCCTCATCTCATCATTTCCTCCTTTCAACATTTCATCTCATTTCTTCTCATCTCATTTCAATTTCATTTCATTATTTCATCTCATTTCATTATTTCACCTAATTTCATTATTTCATCTCATCTCATCTCAATTCATCATTTCATCTCATTTTTCATCTCATCATTTTTCATCTCATCATCTAATCTCATTTCACTTCATTTCATCTCATCATTTCAGCTCATCATTTCATGTCACATCTCATTTCATCATTTCATTTCAACATTTCATTTCATCTCATCTTTCAATTTCATTTCAATATCATCATTTCTTTTCATTTCATCTCATTTCATTATTTCATTTCATTTCATCTCACCATTTCATCTCATCATTTTTCATCTCATCATCTCATCTCATCATTTCATCATTTCATCTCATTTCTTCTCATCATTTCATCTCATCATTTTATCTCATTTCATCTCATCTCATTTCAATTTCATTTCATTATTTCATTTCATTTCACTTCATTTCATCTCATCATTTTATCTCATCTCATTTCATCTCATTTCTTCTCATCTCATCATTTCATCATTTCATCTTGTTTCATCTCATTTCATCTCACCTCATCTCATCATTTCATCTCGGCCTTTCATCTCTTCCTTTCATTTCATCTCATCGTTTCGTCTCATCTCATCTCATCTTTCGTCTCATCTCATCTCATCTCACCTCAGCATGTCAACAAAACAAAACATCATTTCTTATTTCATCTCATTTTAGCTCATTCCGGGTGATAGGGTCAATTCAATTTCCTTGCATTATTTCATTTCATCGGATGCAGTGCGGGGGATTTCATTACATCTCATCATTTCCTCTCATCATTACATCTCATCTCATCTCATGATTTCATGATTTCATCTCATCATTGCATCTCATCATTTCAAATCCATCATTCATCTCGGCATTTCATCTCATCATTTCCATTTCATCATTTCATTTCATCATTTAATTTCATCATCTCATTTAATTTCACCTCATTTCATTATTTCATTTCATTTTTTCATTTATGTCATTTCATTTCATCTCATTACATTTCGTCTAATTTCATTTCATCCCATTTCATCTCATCATTTCATCTCATCTTTCATCTCATCATTTCATCTCATCTTTCATCTCATCATTTTATCTCATCATCTCATCAACTCTTTTCATCTTATCATTTCATCATTTCATCTCATCTCATATCTTCTCATCTCATTTCAATTTCATGTCATTATTTCATTTCATTATTTCATGTCATCTCATCTCATCATTTCATCTCATCATTTCATCATTTTATTTCATCATCTCATCTTATCATTTCATCTCATTTCAATTTTATTTCAATTTCATTATTTCATTTCATTTCATCTCATCAGTTCATCTCATCATTTCATCTCATCATCTCATCTCATCATTTCATCTCATCACTCATCTCATTTCATATCATCATTTTATCTCATCTCATCATTTCATCTCATTTCATCTCATCTCATTTCATCATTACATCTCATTTCATCTCATTTTATGTCATCATTTCATGTCATCATTTCATCACATCTCATCGTTTCATCTCATCATTTCATCATTTCATCTCATTTCAACTCATTGCATCTCATCTCATCATTTCCATTTCATTATTCCATTTCATCATTTCATTTCATTATGTCATTTCATCTCATATTTCATCTCATCTCATCATTTCATTTCATCTCATCATTTCATCTCATCATTTCATCTCATTTTATCTCATCTCATCATTTCATCATTTCATCTCATCATTTCTTCTCATCTCATCATTTCATTATTTCATTTCATCTCATTTCATTATTTCATTTGTCATTTCATCTCATTACATTTCATCTCATCATTTCATCCATCATTTCATTTCATCATTTCATCTCATGATTTCATCTCATCTCATCTCGTTATCGCATTTCATCTCATTATTGCATCTCATTTCATCTCATCTCATCATTTCATTTCATCATTACATCTCATCATTTCAACTCATTTCAATTTCATTTCAATTTCATCATTACATTTCATAATTTCCTTTCATTATTTCATTTCATTTCATCTCATTTCATTATTTCATTTCATCTCATTTTTCATCTCATTTCATCTCATCATTTCATCTCATCATTCATCTCATTTCATCTCATCATTTTATCTCATTATTTCATCTCATCTCATCTCATTTCAATTTCATTATTTCATATCATTTCATTATTTCATTTCATCTCATCATTTCATCTCGTTTCATCTCATCATTTCATCCATCATCTCATCATTTCATCTCATTTCATCTCATCTCATCTCCTTTCAATTTCTTTTCAATTTTGTCATTTCGTCTCATCATTTCATCTCATCGTTTCTACTCACCATTTCATCTCAAAATTTCATCTCATCATCTCATCTCATCTCATCATTTCGTCATTTCATCTCATCTCAAGTCATCTTATCATTTCATCTAAGTGAAATGATGTAATGGAATCATGAAATGAAATGGATAGGATGCCCTCAGTGATGTTAAATTTAAAAATTGTTTCTTTTCATGTATGCATTTTTATATTTATATGTATTTATATTTATATTTACTTATATTTCTTTTTACTTATTTTTATTTATATTTTTACTTATTTCTTTATTTATAGACAAGGTCCTGTTCTGTGGCCTAGGCTGGAATGCAGTGGTGCATTCACAGTTCACTGCAGCCTCGAGCAAACCTCCCACCTTAGCCTCCCAGGTGGCTGGGACCCCAGGTGCACACCACCACACCTGGTTAATATTTTATTATTTGTAGAGATGGAGTCTTGCTATTCTGCCCAGGCTGGTCTCAAACTCCTGGGCTCAAGCAATCCTCCTGCATTGGCAACCCAAAATGCTGGGATGACAGATATGAGCCACAGTGCCCAACCTATTTATTTATTTATTTATTTAATAAGGACAAGGTCTCACTATGTTGCCCAGGCTGGTCAACTCCTGGACTCAAATGATTCTCCAAACGTGGCCTCTCAAAATGTTGGGATTACAGGTATGAGCCACCATGCCTGGCTAAAAATAGTATTATATTTTTGTATCATATAATTTTCAATTAGGTAATATGAATATTCTGTACAGGAAATACGCCCTTAATTACATAGGAATAAACATTTGTTACACTGAGAAAAATCTAACAGAGCTAAAAATAAAAATTAATTTGGAAAGGTCATTAGATACTGACACATTCTTACGTTTATACATTCTTTCATATATTCATATATTCTTTTAACAGTATCAATGGTTTGGAGTTATGTGTACAAAACCATGACCTATATGTAATACAACTAATAACAGGCACTTACAATTCAAGGCATATTATATACAAAGCTTTAACTTCTTATCAAAATATTTTGTTTTTTTTCTTTCTGTTTTGGCAGATACTATGAATACAACATTCAACTCACAGACACCATGGAGCCCTTACTAAGCATAAAGTACTGTGAAAGGCCAGGGCTAGGACAGAACTGAGACAGGGCCAGGGATAGGACAGAACCGGGGCAGGGTCATGGCCAGAGAAAAACCAGGGGCAGGGTCACAGCCAGGGACATGAGAGGACCAAGGCCAGGGCCAGAAGCAGGGCAGAACCAGGGCCAGGGCAGGGACATGGCAGGGCCAGGGCCATGGCAGGATCAGGGTCAGCAGAAGGCCAGGGCAGGGCTAGGGTAGCACAGGGCCAAGGCAGGGCAGGGTCAGTGTAGAGCAAGGAACGGGCCAGGGTATGGCAGGGCAGGGACAGGGAGGTCCAGGGCCAGAGTCAGGTCCAGGACATGGACAGGGCAGGGCCAGAAACATGGCAGGACCAGAAAGGGGACAGGGCAAGGGCAAGGCCAGAGAAGGACCATGGAAAAAACATGGCCAGGGAGGGTCCAGGGCAAGGGCAAGGCCAGGGCAGAACCAGAGCCAGGGCAGGCCAAAGGCAGGGCCAGGGCAGGGCAAGGCCAGGGTAGGGTGGGGCCAGGGTAGGGTGAGGGTAGGGCCAGGGCGAGTTCAGGGCCAGGGCAGGACTAAGATAGCACAGGGCCAAGGCAGGGCCAGGGCAGGGCCAAAAGGAGGGGCCAGGGCCAAGCATGGCCAGTGTCAGACCTGGGGATTGTCAGGGCCAGGGTCAGGGTCAAGGCTGGGCCAGGGACAGGGCCAGAGCAAGGGCAGGGCCAGGGAGAAAGCAGAACCAGAGAGGATCCAGAGCAAGGCCAGGGTCAGGGAAGAACCAGGACCAGGATAAGGCAAAGCCAAGGCCAGGGCAGGGCAAGACCAGGGCAGGGCAAGACCAGGGCAGGGCAAGGCCAGGGTAGGGCCAGGCCAGGGTAGGAGAAGGCCATGATAGGGCCAAGGCCAAGGCAGGGCAGGGCTAGGGTAGCACAGGGCATGGCCAAAAACAGGGCAGGGCCATAGCAGTGGCAGGACTAGCAACAGGGCCAGGGCAAGCGCTGGACCACAGCATGGTGGGGACAATACAGGGCCAGGACAGAGGATGGCAAGGCAGGTCCAGGGCCATTTCATGGACTCGGTAGGCCTGGGGTCAGGCCAGGGCAGGGCAAAGGCAAGGCCAGGGAGAAGGCAAGGCCGGGGCCAAGGCAGTGCCAGGGCAGGGCAGGACCAGTGCAGGGCCAACGCAGGGTGAGGGCAAGGCCAGGGCATGGAAGGGCAGGGCAGGACCAAGGGGAAGGGCCAGGAGAGGGCCACGGCAGGGTCACGGCCAGAACAAGGGTATGGCTGGGGTCAGGAATATGGTAGGACGAGGGCTGGGCCCAGGCTGGGACACGCAGGGCAGAGCATGGCCTGTGCAAGGCACGGCCAGAGCCAGGCCATAGAGATGGGAGGGCAACACCAAGGCAGAGTCAGGGTAGATCCAGGGCTGAGCAGAGTCAGGGCAGGTCCAGAGTCGAGGCAGAGCTAGGGCCCAAGCAGGGCCATGGTAGCACCAGGGCAGAGGAGGGCAGGGCAATGCAGGACTGGGCCATGGCAGTGCCTGGTCAACTCCGGGGCAGGGCCAGAAGCAGGACAGGGCCAGGGCCAATGCTCAGGCCAGGGACAGGGCATGACAGGACGTGCCAGAGCAGGGCTGGGCCAATGTTGGGGCAGGACAAATCAGACCAGGACACCTCCAAGTCCAGCTCTGGCCCTGCCTTGGCCCTGGACCCTTCCTGGCCTGACCTTGTCCCTGGCCCTGCCCTATCCATGCCCTGTGTGTTTGACCACTGTTTTATAACCAGAATCCTACAAGAAACTTAAATTAGTTCTTTTTGTGCATTTTTAGTAGAGATGGGGTTTCACAATGTTGACCAGGCTGGTTCCAAACTCCTGAGCTCAAGCCATCTGCCTGCCTTGGCCTCCCAAAGTGCTGGGATTACAGGAGTAATCTGGCCAAGTATTTAACTTCTTTATGCCTGTTTCCTACATTTGGAAAATGGGGATGCTTTAAGTACCTAGCACATAGAATTATTGTGAGAATCAATGCCTCACATATTTACATATTGATAAAATTATACTCATAGAACACTACTGGAAACAAAGACAGTATTAGTTAAAATTTAGTGATTACTGCAAATATTATTACTATTACAAACAACATAGTATAGACATTACTACTACTATAGTTATCTTAAAAATCTAAAATAAAAATTTTACATAATAGCCTAATGTAATCTCTCCTGCTCTGCCCTGGCTCAGCCCTAGTGCTGGCTCTGCCCCTAGTCCTACTACATCCCTGGCCCTGACCCTTCCCTGGTCCAGCCGCTGCCCTGGCCCTTCCCATCTTCAGGCCTTACCACGGCCCTACCCTGGTCCTGACCCTGCCCTGGTCTGGTCCTGACCCTGGCCCTACCCCACAGAAGGGGTATGGCAGAGCCAGGGAAGGGCCAGGGCAAATAAGTGACAGGACACATCCAAATCCAGGAAAGGGCCAGGGCTATGACAGAGCCAGGGCAAGTCCTTGGCAGGGCCAGGTTCCAGGCCAGGGCCAGGAAAGGGTCATGGCAGGGTCACTGTATGGCCAAGGTCCAGGCCAAAGCCAAGGCAGTGGCAGGGTCAGGGCTGCATAAGGGCAGGACCAGAGCCAGTGATACGGCAGGGCCAGGGCCAGGGCCAGGGCTGTGCCAGGACAGAACAAGAGCAGAGCAGGGCAGGACCAGAGCCAGGCCATAGAGAGAGTAGGGCAAATGCCAAGGCAAGGCCAGGGTAGTGCCAGGGCTGAGGCAAGGTCAGGGAAGGTCCAGGGCTGAGTCAAGGCTAGAACCAAGACAGGGGCAAAGGCCGGGGCAGATCTAGGGCACAAGCAGAGCAGGCTAGGGCAGGGCAATGGCAAGACCAGGCCATGGCAGGGCCAGCCCAGGATAGAAGAGGGCACAGGCAGGGCAGGGCCAGGGCCACAGCTGGGGCAGGACAAGGACCAGGACCGGGGTCCAGGCCAGGGCAAGGGTATGGCCAGGGCAGAGGTAGGGCCAGAGCCAGGGTCTGGGCAGGACCAAGGCAGGTCTGTTGCAGGGCCAGGGTTCAGACCAGGGCCAGAGCAGGGCTGGGACAGGGCCAGGGCCAGAACCAGGAAAGGGCAATGTCAGGACAAGGGCCATGGCAGGACCAGCAACGGGGCTGGGGCCAGGACAGGGTCAGGACCAGGGCTGGGCCAGGGTATGGCCTTAAGTAGCGAAGGGCCAGGGCCAGGGTCCATGCCAGTGCCAGCGCCGGTCCAGGGCAGACGCAGGGCCATGGCCAGGTCTAGGACAAGGCTGGGGCAGGGCCAAGGTCTGGGTCAGGGTCAGCACAAGACCAGGACAGAGCCAGGGGAGGGACAGGGCCATGGTAAGACCAGATTAAATCAGGGACAAGACACCTGCAAATCCACTTCAGGGCCAGGGTCAGGGCAGGGCCAGTTCAGGGCCAGGGCCAGGGCCAAGACAGGGCCAGGGTTAGGGCTCCCAGGGTCATTGGCAGGGCCAGGGTCAGGGCTGCCAGGGTCATTGGCAGGGCCAGGGCCATGGCAGGACCAGGGTCAGGAGCAGGGGTCAATGCCAGGCCAAGGCCACACATAGGACCAGGTCTGTGCTAGGGCCAGTGTGAGGGCCAAGGCGGGGTCAGGGCAGGGCCAAAGGGAGGGCAGGGCCAGGGCAGGGTGATGCAGGCCCAGGGTAGCACAGGGTTAAGGTAGGGCACGACCAACCAGGGCAGGTCTATGGCTGGGGCCGGGGCAGGGCCAGGGCCAGGGCAGGGCCAGAGCCAGGGCAGGGCCAAGACAGTGGCAGCTCCAGGGCAGGGCCAGGGTTAGGACCACGGACATGTCCAAGGCCAGTGCCAGGGCAAGGGCAAGGGCAGGGGCAGGGCCAGGTTCATCTAAGAACCAGGGACAAAGCCAGGCCCAGAGATGGGCCAGGACAGGTACCTGGCAGGGCTAGGGTCTGGGCCAGGGCCACGGCAGGGCCAGGGCCACAACCAGGTCTGTGCTATAGCCAGGTCCAACACAGTGCCCAGGTAAGGCTAGGTAGAAGGCCAAGGTAGGGCCAGGGCAGGGTCAAAGCCAGGCTAGGGCCAAGGCAGGGCCAGGGCTGGCAAGGCAGGGCCAGGAAAGCATAGGGCCAAGGCAGGGCAGGGCCAGGCCAGTACCAAGACCTGGGCAGGGCCAGGGGCAGGGCCAGGGGCAGGGCCACGGCCACAGCCTAGGCAGGACCAGGTTCGGGGCAGGAGCAAAACAAGGGTAAGGACAGTGCAGGTTCTTGGCACAGCCAGGGTCCAGGACAGTGTCAGGGCAGGGCCAAGGCAGGGTCTGGGCCTTGATAAGACCAGCAACAGGGCTGGGGCTAGGCCAGTGACAGGACCAGAGTCAGGGCAAGGGCCAGAGCAGTGCAAGGCCAGGGTAGGGCCAGGCATTTCAGGGTCAGGGCCAGGGGAGAACCAGGGCAAGGTCTGAAGCAGGGAAGGGCCAGGGCCAGGACAGGTCCAGGGCAGGGCCATGACACGGCCAGGGGCTGCGTTAGGGCAAGGGCAGGGCCAGAGCAAGGTAAGGGTCAGGGCCAAGGCCAGGGTAGGGACAGGGCAAGAAATATGGCAGGACCAGGGGCAATGCCAAGGCCAAGGCTGGGCCAGGGCTGAGCCAGGGCTGAGTCAGGGCAGGGCAAGGCAGGGCATGGTATGGCCAGTGCAGGACAGGACAAGAGCCAGTCCAGAGAGAGAGCAGGGCTGATGCCAAGAAAGAGCCAGGCTAGTGCCGAGGCTGAGGCAGTGTCAGAGCATGTCCAGGGCAGGGCCGGGGCCAGGGACAGAACCGAGCCAGGGCACAGCCAAGACAGGGTAGGGCAGGGAAATAGCATGGCTGGGTCAGTACTGGGACAGGGCAGAGCAGGGCAAGGCGATGGTAGCGGCAGGGCAGGGACAGGCCAATGCAGAGCCATGTCATGCCGGGGCCAGGACACCTCCAAGTCCACTTCAGGCCCAGGGCTATGGCAGGACAAAGACCAGGGCCAGGATCAGGGCCAGGTCTGTGCTAGGGCCAGCTCCAGATGAGGGTCTAGCGAAGACTAGGGTGAGGGCCAAGGTAAGGCCAGGGCAGGGTCAAAGGCAGAGTAGGGCCAGGTCAGGGTGATGACACATCCAGAGCACAACAGGGCAGGGTGATGGCAAGACCAGGGGCAGACCACTGCCAGCTCAGGGCCAAGGAAAGGCCAGTGCAGAGCCAGGAAAGGGTCTGGGTCTGAACAAGGCAGAGCAGGGCCAGGGCCATGGCAGAGTCAGGGCAGGTCCTTGACAGGACCAGGTTCCAGGCCAGGGCTAGGGCAGCAGCAGGGGCAGGGCCTGGATAAGGGCAGGGCCAGGGATATGGCAGGACCAGGGCTAGGGCCAGGGCCAGGCCATAGTGAGGGCAGGGCAAAAGCCAAGGCAGGGTCAGGGCAGGTCCAGGGCAGGTCCAGGGAGCGGCCAGCACCAAGCGGGGCCAAGGCACAACCAGCGCAGGGTAAGGCAGGACAATGGCACCACTGGGCCATGACAGGGCAAGGTCAGCACCAGGAGAGGGCAGAACAGGCAGGCCCATGGTGGGGCCAGGGCAGGGATGGGCCAAAGCAGGGCCAGGACATGTCCAAGGCCAGGTCAGGGCCAGAACAGGAGCAGGACCATGACCATTGGCAGGGCCAGTGCCATGACAGGACCAGGGTCAGGACAAGGGGCAGGGCCAGAGCCAGGGCCAGAGCCAAGGTCAGGCCAGTGCAGGTTCAGGGCAGGGCCAGTGCCAGGGCAAGACCAGGGCAGGGACAGGGTAGCACAGGGCCAAGACAGGGTCAGGATGGGAGCAGAGCAGGACAGGGCCGAGAGTCCAGGTAACAGTAGAGCAGGTATAGGGCAAGGCAGGGCAGTACAGGGCCAGATCCATGGCAGGCGCAGGGCAAAGCCAGGCCCATTGCCAATGCACCAGCCCTCCCTACAAGGCTCCTACCACCTGGCCACTGCTGCAGCCCGTCCATCGCTGTAAGCCTGAACCCCAACCCTGGCTGCAGCCACCTGCCCTCCTAGTGCGGCCGCTCTCCTACCGCTCTGGCGCACTGCAATCTCCGTCACTGCCACCCACCCGCAGCGAGGCAAGCCGTGGTGTCGCAGGCTCAAGGTGTCTCCTCCTCCTCCTGGCACGGAGCAGCTGGGCAGGCAAAGCCAGAAAAGCCTAGAGGAAGATGTGAGGGGTGGAAGGGTTAGAGCCTCAACTTGTCATGCCAGCCACTGGGTGGCAGGGGCCAGTTTCAGCAAAGGCACTCACACCCACCCTCCAAAGTCCAGCCTCTCCTTTTGGCCCAAGCTGGCCGGGAACTGGGGTCTGGGGTGGGTGCTGGAGATATCACAGCACCCAGCTCCCCACTCCACAGGAACCATTGGGCCCACCGGGGCTGCACTCCTCGGGGAGCAGGAGAAGCAGAAAAATTCAGACCCAGCCAGCCCTCCGCACCCAGGTGCCAATTCCTGTTCCGGACGCCTCCACGCACAGGGCCCTGTCCCCCATGGTGTCCCCAGGGGTGCCTGGCAGCCTCTGAGGCACAGACCCAGAGTGCACAGGCCCAGGAACCACGGTGGGTGTGGGGGCTCTGCCATGCTCAGGATTCCCACGCAAACGCTGTGTGCCCTGCCGCATTCCAGTATGACCAAGAGTGGGTCGCCCTCTGGAGTGTGGAGTCAGGGAGAGGAGAACCACTCCTTCCTTGGATGCCAACTCTGTTGACCGCCGCCAGCAGTGCAGCCCCTGATAGCACCGAACTCGCCCCCGCTCCACGGCTAGTCCTGCCCTCAATAGCGCCCCCCACCTCCGTCCCCCAATGCCGCCAGTAGCGTATACCCGATAATGCCCTAACCTGTCCTCCTCCATGGGCACTGAAGCCCCAGAAAGCGCCCATAACCCACCCTCCCTGCTGTGGGCAGTGCAGCCCTGTACAGTGCTACCAACCAGTACCCCTAATGCAGGCAATGACACCCTGGATAGCGCCCCCAACCCACCCCACACTGCGAAAGGTGCAGCCCTGGATAGCCCCTGTCCTACCACTCTGTTCATGCTGCAGTCTCTGTCACCACCACCAGCAACCACAGTGAGGCAAGCCAGTGGGCCGCAGGCTCTAGCATCCAGCAGCCAGGCATGGAGCAGCTCTCGCTGATGGCCGGCTCCTACCACTCTGACCATGCTGCTGTCTGTCTCCATGGCCATCTTCTTTCACTACAAAGGAATAAAACTAGGTATCAATAAGAAAAGTAATTTTGGAAACAATACAATCACATGGAAGTTAAACACTACCCTCCTGAATAAATGACTAGCAGGTCAATGAAGATACTAAGACAGAAATTCAAAAATTTCATGAAACAAAGGGTAATGAAAACACAGTATACCAAAACTTGTTACGCAGAAAGCCATACAAAGGCAGAGATTTACAGCTACAAGTGCCTACCATCCAAACAAAAGAAAAACTTCAAATAAACAATACATCTTAAAGAACTAGTAAAGAACAAACTAAACCGAAAATAAGAAAATAAATAAGATCGTAGCAGAAACAAAATTGAAATAAAAAACACACAAGATTAAACGAAAAGTTGGTTTTCTGGAAAGCTAAACAAAATTGACAAACTTTTAACCAGGCTAAGAAAAGAGACAAGATTCAAATAAATAAAATCAACAGATTAAAAAAAGGAGACATTACAACTAATACTTCAGAAATTCAAAGGATCATAACTGGCTATTATATGCCAATAAATTGGAAAGCCTAGTAGAAATTGGCAAATTCCTAGATGCATACAACCTACTTAGGTTAAACAATGAAAACATCCAAGACCAGAACAGATTGGTAACAAGTAATGAGATTGAAGCCATCAGAAAAAGTCTCCCAGTAAAGAAAAGCCCAGGAACTGATGTCTTCACTGCTGATGGCTTCACACCAAACAATTTAAAGACCTAGTACGAATCCTGCTCAAACTATTTTGAAAAACAGGAGGGAATACTTCCAAACTTATTCTATGAGACCATTATTACTGTGATAACAAAATCAGACAAAAGCATCAAAGAAGGAAACTACAGGCCAGGATCTCTAATATTGATGCAAAAATCCTCAACAAAATACCAGTGAATCAAATTCAGTAATACATTAAAGAGATAATTCATCATGATCAAGTGGGATGTATCCCTGGGATGCAAGGGTCACTCAACATACAATGTGATACATCATATCAACCAAATAAACGACAAAAACAGTATGATCACGTCAACTGAAACCGAAAAAGCATTTGATGAAATTCAACATCCCTTCATGCTATAAATCCTCAAAGAAACGGGCACAGAAGAAACATACCGCAACATAATAAAAACTACAGGAAAGACACCCACAGCTAGAATCATATGGAATGGGGAAAAACGGAAAGCTTTTCCTCTAAGATCTGGAACATGATAAGGATGCCCCCTGTCACCACTGTTGTTTAACATAGTACCAGAAATCCTAGCTAAAGCAATCAGTACAGCCCCTGATATGGCCCCCAACCCACCCTGCCCCCTACCACCAGCAGTGTCGCCCCCCCGCAACAGCACACCCAACATACCCAAGCCGCCCCGCCTCCCCGCACCATGGGCATTACAGCACCCCATAGCGCCCTCAACCCGAAACCGCCACCCACCCCCCCACCGCCCACAGCCGCACAGTGCAGCCCCGGATAGCACACTTAGCCCACCTCACTGTTGCCAGCAATACAGTCTGGGATAGTGCCCCCAACCGGCTCCCCGCCAAAGGCAGTGCAGCCCCGGTTTGGGCTCCCAAACCATCCCCCCGTGCAGGCAGCACAGCCCCAGATAGCACACCCAACCAGCCACCCAAGACGGGCAGTGACGCCTGAGATAGGGCTCCCAACCGGTCCCAGGCCACCCGCAGTGCAGCCTGGATAGCGCGCTTACCCCAACGCCTTTCTACGCTCTGGCTGGCTGCAGTGTCCATCGCTGCCACCAACCACAAACAGGGCTGCAAACAGGAAGGATTTTATTCACCGTCGATGCGGCCCCGAGGTGTCCCAAAGCGAGGCAGTGCCCCCAAGGTCTGTGCAGAGCAGAACGCAGCTCCGCCCTCGCGGTGCCACCGGCCCGCCCGCCCGGGTCTGTGCTGAGGAGAACATTGCTCTGCCTTCGCTGTATCTCCGAAGTCTGTGCAAAGGAGAACTCAGCTCCGCCCTCGCAAAGGCACACAGCGCCGGCGTGGCGGAGAGGCGGACAGCGGCGGAGAGGCGGACAGCGGCGGAGAGGCGGACAGCGGCGGCGCGGCGGAGAGGCGGACAGCGGCGGAGAGGCGCACAGCGGCGGCGCAGGCGCGGAGAGGCGCACAGCGGCGGCGCAGGCGCGGAGAGGGGCACAGCGGCGGCGCAGGCGCGGAGAGGCGCACAGCGCGGCACAGCGAGGCGCCGGCCCAGACTCCACTCCCCAGCTGTGAAAGGGTAAGAACTGAGGGTGGCTGAGACTCGGGGTTGTTCAGGGCGGGGTGGGCTCTGGACCCAGCAGGCCCGGCACCCAGGTCAGGGCTCCAGGGGAGGCCAGGTGGGCGAAGGCCAAGAAGGGGCCGGGGCTGGTCAGGAAGGGCTCCTGGTAACCAGAGCACTTTGCGTGAGCCAGCGTGGGAGGAAGGTGGGCTGGATGAGCTAGGGAGGCGCCGGGAGGGGCCTTGGCAGAGGCGACCCCCTCCGTCAGCCCCCAGGCCACTGAACCCTGGGTAGCGAGAACCGACAGGGGAGGCTGCATACAGAGGAGTGGAGGCTCCCCGGCTTTGGGGGCTCTGAGTAGAAGCATCTAGGGGGTCCCTCAAGAGGCCCCCAAACGCCTCCCCATGGTGAGAAAAGAAAGCGCAGAGAGGGGCACGGCTGTGATTTCTTTTATTGCCCCAAATGTACTTCATCTTGGTAGATTTCTATTGGCTTTAAAAATGTGTGTGTTTTGCTGTTGGGGAGTGGGGTGTTATACGGATGTCAGATTTTGCTGGTTGACTGTTCAGATCTTTTGTAAATCCTTGCTCCTTTTCTGCCTAGTTTCACTCTGTCACTTACATTAGAGTGCGGTGGCACGAACATGACTCACTGCAGCCTTGACTTCCTAGGGTCAAGTACTTCCCCTGGCTTAACCTCCTGAGTAGCTGGTACTATAGGTGTGTGCCGCCACACCTGGCTAAATTTAAAATTTTTTGGAGAGATGAGGCCTTGCTATGTTGCCCAGGCTCGAACTCCTGGCCTCGAGCTATCCTTTGTCTTTGCCTCCCAGAGTTCTGGGATTACAGGCATGAGCCACTGTGCCCGGCCTCTGCCTAGTTTTAACAGTTGCTAAGAGGAGGATGTTGAAGTAGATGTCTTCTTGGTGGGTTAATCCTTTTGTCATTAAGCAGTTGTTATGGTCACTTCCTTTTCACCCCATTGGTGAAGGAGGGGTCCCTGCCCTAAAGTGTAGGAGATGGCTGAACACGACACCTGGCGTGGATGGATGAGATTGACAGCAGTGTTTTAGTCACATATACCCACAGCTCAGAGGAGGACACTGCATGCCACACAGGGTCAGATGGGCACCGCACTCTGTAGCGGAGTGAGGGCTGTGGGCTGAGGAAGCAGGCAGGCTTGATAGTAACAAGAGCACACAATGACCAATGGTTCCCGAGGGGGAATGCAGTTGGCTTGTTTGAATAAATTCATGGGCTGGCAGACAGGTGAAGTGAAGCTTCTTAGGCTGAGGTGCAACTGTTTGGCTGATAAAAGAACTAGCCAGGTGGGGAGCCTTTCCTGTTGGGTGGCAGGGTAGGGGGTGTCTGGTAGAAACAGGAAAACCCACGGCTAGGCCTTTGGGGCCCTGTGAGGCTCAAAGATGTCAAGGCAGCATAGGAAATTTTAGATCTTAAAATTCAGCGAAGACCCTCTCCAGCTCTGGTAAATTATTTTGCTTGAAGTCTACTTCATGAGATATTAATATATTCACTCCTGCTTCCTTAAAAAATTAATGATTTCACAGGATATCTTTCTCCATTCTTTTACTTTCAACCTACTTAGGTCCTTAAGTGAGTTTGAAGTTTCTTATGAACAGTATTTAGTTGGGCCATGTGTTTATTATAGGCTCTCCATCAATCTGTCTTTTGGTTTATTTAGACCATTTACATTTAAGGTGCTTATAGTTACATAATTGCTTATGTCTGATGTTTTTATTATTTGCTTTTTCGTTTCCTTTTTCTTTCCCTCCATCTTGATCTATTTCTGTATAATGTTGTTGCTCGTATCTCTTTGTATAGTCTTAAAGTGTTTGCTCTGGATGTTACAATATGTGTATTGTAATACAGTAGTCTACTGGTACCAGTATTTACCACTTCAAAGTGTGGAAACCTGCCTTGCATTTATGTCTCTTTACCTTTTCCACTTGTATAAATCACTGGCTTGAGTATTAGGTGGTGGTATAGTTTTTGTTTCAGTCGTCAAATGTGATTTTAAGAACTGTGGATTGTCTCGCGTATGTATCCACATTTCTGGTCTTTCCTTTGTCCCTCCTCCTATAGTCCCATATTCATCCCTTCTGCATAAGAACTTTCTGTAGCCATTTTTTTGTTTTGATTTTTTTGTTTTAATTTTTTGTATTGTGGAAATGACAGAACATATTTCTGTAGCCACTTTTTAGCATTTCTAAATTGACCAGTGACAAATTCCTATATTCTCTTCCTCTGAGAATGTCTTTATTTCTCTCTTCATTTCTGAAGGGTAGTTTCATGGGATATAGAATTTGCAGCGAACAGTTTTTTTGTTTGGTTGGTTTTTTTGTTTGGTTGTTTTTTTTTTAAACACTTGAAAATGTTGTGCCACTTCCTTCTGGCCTCCATGGCATTTGAGTTGGCGTGTCCCTACAGGCATTCTGCCATTTTTGGTCTTTGTTTTTAGTTTTGAAAGTTTAATTGGTGTTGCTTTCTTTTGGTATACTTTGAGGTTTGCTCAGCTTCTTGAATCTGTAAGTTTATATCTTTCACCAAATGTGGGAAGCCTCAGGAATTAGTTATTTGCATGCTTTCACAGCTCTGGTCTCCTATGGGACTCAGATAACATAAATGCGGGGTTATCGTCCCACAGGTCCGTGCAGCTCTGTTCATTTGTTTTCAGGTTATTTTCTCTCTCTTGTTTAGACTGGGTGAATTCTGTTGATCAGGTTTCAGCTTCTCTGATTCTCTCCTCTGTCGTCTCCACTTTTACTCAATAGGGCCCATCCAGTTAGTTTTTTTAAAATTTCTGTTACTGGATTTTATATTTCTGTAATTTCCATTTGATTCTTCAGTTTCTTTGCTGATGTTTTCAGTTCTTTGATTGTTGCCATAGGATTTGTAGTTGCTTGTTGAAGCATTTTTATACTGACTGTTATAAGTGATGAGTCAGATGGTTCCAACATCTGCCTATGTAATTTTTTTATTTTTGCAGGCAGTCCTCCTGTTTAGGTTTAGTCTGTAGGTCTTGGTCTACTTTGTGGGCTGTGATTCCAATGGCAATTTAATTTCAGAGCCTTCATGGTGTTATTTTGGTCTCTTTGGCTTATATGTATCACTGGGATTCTCCCACCAGTCCCTGTTGTTGCCCACCTGAGGGAACAGGGGAGCCGCCCTAGGCTGGGCCACCTGCTGCAGCTAGGTGGGTGGGGAATGGTGGTTGTCTTGGTGTGTGGAGCTGGTTTTCTTGTTGTGGGGAAGATCTCCTTTGATCTGCGGGGACTGAGTCTGCCTGGGTTGCCTTCTATTGCTACGTTGGGAGTTGGGAAACTCTGGGCCTGGGTCACCTTCCTATTGGATGAGGTCCAGGGAGACACCTGGCCACTATGCATTCCCTAGTCCTAGAGTCCCTCAGCAGCCTTTTTCTGTCCACCTTTTGGAATTCTCCATTGATCCTCTCCTGTCTATTATTTCTAGAGTTTGGGTTACATTTCTTAGGAGGGTATAATGTGTTATCTTCTCTAGACCAGAAATCCTTAGTGGTGGTTTCGGGTTGTAACTGTGCTAAAGGGAGAATTGGCGTATTTGTGATGTCGGGTCTTTCTTTTCAAATGAGGACATATCATTATTCAGTATATAATATTTACAACACCTACTTCCTTGGGTTGAAGAATGTGGTTAAGGCAAGGAAAGTACTTAACACAGTGCCTGGTGTGGAGAGCACTTACGAGTGTTGGTAGTGATGCTATTCCTTTTGTCCTTTGGTAGCCTATTAAAGCTTTTCTTCTTTTTTAAAAAAATAAAGTTCCGGTGCACTTCTTGTTAGGTTTATTCCTATTTTATCCTTTTTTGCTTTTATTGCAAATAGGAGCTTCCTATCTTTTATAACGTCTACCTGGTTCTTTGGCCCTTACGTGAAAATGTTTTAATAGCCTTCTAAACATTGTTCTCTCAAATGAGTTTTAATTTGCCTCTTTCTTTTGTTTTCCTTTTTTTGAGACAGGGTCTCACTCTGTCACCCAGGCTGGAGTTCAGTGACGCAATTATGGCTCACTGCAACCTCTGCCTCCTGGGCCCCCAAAGTGCTGGGTTTACAGGTGTGGGCCACTGCACCCAGCCTTACTTGTCTGTTTCTTTTAAGAGTGGGAACTATAATTGAGCCCAGAGCTCCAAAAACAAATGAAGAAATGAATGAGTGAATAAGCTCTTCCCATGGGTTTGGTGTGGTTTGGGACTCTACTCTTAATCTAAATGCTATGTTTTATATAATCTAAAATTTCCCCTAGGTGTGTTACACGATTGTGTTGTGTTGAACTTACATTGAGACTCCTTTTCACATGTGCTGGTTATCAGCGTGGGACTTTTCCATTCACTCTTTGAATTATTCGTTTGGGGGACACAGATAGACCTCTGTGTCTTTCATAAAGAGTGTCCATTGGCCGGTTGCAGTGTCTCATGCCTGTAATCCCAGCACTTTGGGAGGCTGAGGAGGGCAGATCACGAGGTCAGGAGTTCGAGACCAGCCTGGCCAATATGGTGAAATCCCATCTCTACTAAAAATACAAAAATTAGCCAGGCCTGGTGGCGGGTGCCTATAATCCCAGCTGCTCGGGAGACTGAGGCAGTAGAATTGCTTGAACCTGGGAGGCAGAGGTTGCAGTGAGCTGAGATCGTGCCACTGCACTCCAGCTTGAGTGACAGAGTGAGACTCCGTCTCCAAAAAAAAAAAAAACAAAAACAAAAGAGTGTCCATTATCTATACTAGAAAAATTGAGATTGGGATTTTGACATGAAGTGCGGAAATGTGGATTGGGTCCATTTAGTTTACCTAAACAGATGATGAAATACTAACTGTTTTACGAAGCATTCCCTAGTGCAAAGTTTTGCCTGTGTTTCTAGTGATGGGAACAGTGAGAATCAGACTTGGAACACGGAGCGCATTGTGGGCCTGTCGTGGGTGGGGCCAGCAGCACATGCATGCCGGGCTGACAGAGCAGCCTTTGGGTGTTCTTTTCCCAGAGGAGCTCTACGGTGACTTTGAAGACTTGGAAACAGGGGACGTGCACAAGGGAAAATCGGGCCCCGATACTCAGGTATGACTTTGTCGTAGCTGGCTGTTCTTGGTCATTGTGTTCTGAGAGAGGCCCGCATTGAGAAATGCAAATCTTACTTGTGATGTGTGAAGATTGCAGACTGGATGGATAGATTCCTTCCTAAAGTGTGGGGATGTGGGGACCAAAGAGAAGCTTTCTTATTTACTTGTTAAGTTTTGGACTACAGTTACTACCGTTTCTTGCCATAGTCATTTGCCAAGTCCACTGTGATTTTTCACTCACAGAAGTCTTAGCTTCTCAGACTTACATTCAACCATTGCCATCATTCTCCTCTTTTTAAATTTAAGTGTCATTTAAAAGAATGAAATCCCTGTTCTCCCTAATATTTCTTTAGAACAGGGTCTGGGAGCATCTGGGTGAGGGACATGTCTGTTATTTTTATTCTAGTTTGTGTTCCCAGCCAGCTTAAGGAATAGCAGCTAGTTGTAATGCAGATGTAACAATTTCCTGTAGCAGTACCATGTTATTCAGAGACAAAGGTTATGTTGTGTTTTGTTTTGTTTTATTGATAATGATAACAGATTTTTGCTAAGATTTTTGTTTAAATAGAACTTTAAAAAATCTAATGTTTAAAGAAAAGACCTTCATAAACATACACAAAATTTTTTCTTCTGGAAATTTAAGAATGAAGATGTAGAGAAACAAGGAAGAAATTGACCCTGACGAAGAAGAAAGTGCCAAGAAAAAGCATTTGGATAAGAAGAGAAAATTGAAGGAGATGTTTGATGTGGAATATGATGAAGGAGAAAGCACATATTTTGATGATCTTAAAGGAGAAATGCAGAAACAAGCACAGGTGAGAAACCTCAGTTCCTCTCAGCCCCTTGTCAAGACTATCACATAGTGTAGGAATCCCTGACTTTCTTTGGGTCCCTGCTTCCTATCCTGCTTCTGTGCCTTTCACTTGGACTCCTGGGTAGATGCATGTGAGTGTGTTTATTCATGCAGTGAGCTCATTGTTTCTACAGTCAGAAGGTCACCAGAAAAAGATCCATACCTATTTTGTAACAAGAATTAGGAAACCGAAATGACTGAGACATGGTCTCTACTTTTGAGACTTTTACAATGTAGCGATCTGAGATAGTGTGTTCATTTCAGTGCAAGCCAATGCTGCCTATTCCGATCGCTGCTCCCTGATTTGAATGGCAGGTGATCAGTGGCCCGTGTGGCTTATGGACACACCAGAGCTCCCAGGGGAAGTGCTCTGAAAACATCCTGGTCAGAGTTCAGAAGGACATGTGGAGTATAAGGTCAGATGCGGAGATAAGGGAGATGGTGTGGCCCTCCTGCCCAGGGGTGCTGAGCAGGTTGCTGGAGGCGGTGATCTCACTCTGAAGGAGACAGACACAGAAACGTATGTACAGTTGATGGTGAGCATCTGAGTTGCGTCTTGTTAGTGAGGCCAGGAGTGCCTGTGTAAGCTGGAACAGATTAGGTATATGATTTGTGAAACGGAGTTTCATCCTACGTCTTCATCTAGTCAAAGGACTGTTTCCTGATTAGGCATTAGCTTAGTGGTTGCTAGTCTGTGTTGACCTTTGAAAGGCATGACTAGGCTAACTCTGAAGTTGTTGCTTCACACCATTTACAATTTAAAATTACCTAGAGCCTTGTGGGCCATTGGAAAAGACTGAATGTTTCACTCTGAAATGGGAGTCCTTGGAGGGTTTTGACCAGAGAAGAGACATTCAGGTAATCAGATCACTCTGCCAAGAGATCAGTCCAGTGGCACAAACCAGAGGGCTGGCAGTGGAGATGAGACAGAGTCAAACCCGGATTGAGTTTATTTGGAAGCTGGGTCAGTAGGATTTCCTGGTGGACTGAATGTGGGGTGTGTAAGAGGAAATGAGGGTGGCGACTGGAAGTTCCTGGAAGGGTGGGTTGTTGCAGGTTAGATAGGAAACCGTCTGCAGATGCAGTTTTGGGAAGATGATGTTTGGTTCGGCTGGGTATCATGCAGACAAGCGGAGTGTCAAGTCTGGAGAGACAGGTCTGGCCAGGGACTTAGATGTACAGCCCTCAGCATGTAGATGCCACTTAACTCTGTGAGGTGGCCGGGGAGTGAGTGCAGAGTGACTGGGAGGAGCAAGACTGGCATGGGCGAGATGGGGCGATTGCGGCCGTGAGGCCTGAGCAGTGCCTAGGAGGGAGAGGGAGAAGCAGTGTGAGCATGCAGGCACGCAGGAGTCCAGTTGTACACGGAGGCGAAGCACTGTTCAGATCCCGCTGCAGTGTTAACTACGGTAAAGGCAGAGTTGACCACTGGAGGAGTCCTTCAGCGTGGAGGCCTTCAGCGATCTTGGCAAGCACCAATTTTCGTGGATGTAGGAGAATGGGAGCAGAGGAACTGGAGGCTGCAACTGCGGAAAACTTTTGTGGGGTTTTGCTGCAGAGAGAAGCAGAGAAATGAAGCAGTTGTTGGTGGAAGAAATGGAATCAAAAGGTTTTGAGATAGAGAACAGAGGGAAGAGCTGTTGGAATAAAGTCCAGGAAGAGTGGATGGTGTCTAGTGAGCAAGTGATGTGTGGCCCTGAGTAGAGGCACGTACAAATCATCTGTGCCTGAGCTGCCCTTAGAACTTTCTGTGATCATGGAGATGCACGTCTGTGCTTCCCAATATTGTAACATTGGCCGCAGGTTGATATGGACCACTTCCAGTGTGACTAGTGTGATTGAGGAACTGCATTTTAAATATTATGTAATTGTAATTAATTTTAATTTAAATAGCCACACGTAGCTCCTCTATAGGCCAGGTCAGAGCTCTGATAAGGCTGGATATGGGAGGAAACCCTGGTAGAGGGTTGACTGTAGAGGTTCTTTTGGTTTTGGAGTGAATCAGGAAACAGCCATCAGCTGAGTGAAGGTGAGGGTGGTGGTGGGTGTTTGAAGACAAGGGAAAAGTGTGAAAGAATTGTTTGGAGAGGAAGGAAAGAAGATGTGGACTGGGGATGTTTCCAATGTTCGAGCACGCAGGGCTCCACAGTTATCTACATTTGCTGTCCCTTGGAGCAGGAGAGAAGAAAACGGTTGGGACATATTCTGAGCAGACTGTAGAGGTAAAATACGTAGTTTTTTTTTGTTTTTTGAGATGGAATCTCGCTCTATTGCCCAGGCTGGAGTGCAGTGGCACGATCTTGACTCACTGCAACCTCCATCTCCCAGGTTCAAGCGATTCTCTCACCTCTGCCTCCTGAGTAGTTGGGACTACAGGCACGCACCACCACACCCAGCTGATTTTGGTATTTTTAGTAGAGCCAGGGTTTCACCATGTTGGCGAGGCTGGTTTCAAACTCCTGACCTCATGTGATCTGCCCGCCTTGGCCTCCCAAAGTGCTGGGATTACAGGCATGAGCCACTGTACCTGGCCAAATATGTAGTATTTTTAATAGGATAAAGCCTACATAATTCTGTCCACAGTTCCTTTACTTAGAAATTGCTCATTTGTTCATGTTAATGCTATGTTTATTACAGATAACAGCATACAGGTTTCCCCCCCCGACCCCGTCATGTACAGCTGAATCATGCAGAATTTGAAGATCAAGATGATGAAGCCAGAGTTCAGTATGAGGGTTTTCGACCTGGGATGTACGTCTGCGTTGAGATTGAAAATGTTCCCTGTGAATTTGTGTAGAACTTTGACCCCCGTTACCCCATTATCCTGGGTGGCTTGGGCAACAGCGAGGGAAATGTTGGATACGTGCAGGTGGGTCCCTTTGCTGCATATTTGGTGCCTGAGGCTCTGTGGATTTCCCCTCCATCAATCATCTTACCCTCTCATCCCCCTCAGATGCGTCTGAAGAAACATCGCTGGTATAAGAAAATCCTCAAGTCCCGAGATCCAATCATATTTTCTGTAGGGTGGAGGAGGTTTCAGACCATCCCGCTCTGTTATATCGAAGACCACAATGGAAGACAAAGGCTTCTAAAGTATACCCCACAGCATGTGCATCGCGGAGCAGCCTTTTGGGATAAAATATGATTACAATAACTTGCCTATTGCTGAGATTAAACCTTACAGGCTGCGTTATTTTAGCTTTGTGCTTTTCCTTTCATAAAATTCCACTCCTAAGATTTTTCTCTTTTCTGGGAGCAGGGAGGTGGTTTGGAGTATATACGTAAATCTATATCCAAATCTAAATGTCCATATCCAGTATGTTAAACTAGAATCTAAAATTTGTGGTTTGCTATATTTCTTTTTTTCCTTTTCCTTTAAGACCCTATCACTCCACAGGGAACTGGTTTCTTGGCAATACAGTCTGTCAGTGGCATAATGGTAACTATCTTGGATGATTTCTTTTACAGATTGGTTTTGAGAAATATATCCTGAATGTGGATTACTATGTACATGAGACTTTAAGTTGAAAATTACTCATTTTTATTAATATAAAGTAAATTTCCCTTTGCTTTTAATCTTCGTACATCCTTTTCAGTAGGGTGTGGGATTAGAGGAGGGGAGGTGGAAGAATTATAATGGTACATTTCCTATTTTTGTGCATCTTTTGCATTTATTTATCTAAGCAAGTACTTAAGCAGTGCTCACCATGTGCTAAGCACTGTATGAGGTTGTGAGGAGCCATCAGAGACCACCCAGACACAAGACTCCCTGCAGCTGTGCTGGGGTAGCAGTCTGTTCACTCCATTTTCATTTGACCAGTCAGGCAGGGCAGGGTTTACTGGTCCCATTTAACAGAGAAGAAAGCAGAATAATGAGCAGATGGAATCTTCCCTGGAGGTCCAAATTTTAATTTCCTAAACATTGCAACTGTATTTTTCTTTTCCATTTCGTTCCAAATAAATCATTATAGTAAAATTACATTCCTCTGAAATCACTCTCAGGAAAGTACTCAAGTAGCCTTTTTTTTTTCTTTCTTTTTTTTTTTTTTTTTTGAGACAGAGTTGCACTCTGTCGTCCAGGCTGGAGTGCAGTGGCACAATCTTGGCTCGCTGCAACCTCTGCCTCCTGGGTTTAAGCGGTTCTCCTGCCTCAGCCTCCCGAGTAGCTGGGATTACAGGTGTGCACCATCATGCCGAGCCAATTTTTGTATTTTTAGTAGAGACAGGATTTCCCCATGTTGGCCAGACTGGTTTCAAACTTCTGACCTCAGGTGATCTACCTGCCTTGGCCTCCCAAAGTGCTGGGATTACAGGTATGAGCCACTGTGCCCAGCCTCAAGTCACCCTTGTTAGTTTGGCTTACCAACTTTAAAGTTTTGGATTGCTTTTGTCAAGCCACTGGGTTGCAAGTTCAGATGGTCTTTCTTGTTTTTCTTAGCTAATTGTAAGTAAAATTCACTTTGGTAATTTATTGTGTCACATAGAATTGAAGTTTTTCTCTTGCTAATATTATTCCTATTTTCAAATTTTGGGGTTCCTGTTAGCCTGATTTTCGGATAGCTGCCACAGGAGTTGTCCTTGATCTGGATAAATCCATAAAAATTGTGAAGAAATTAAAGCTAACTGGTTTTCCATATAAAATTTTTAAGAACACTTCATTTATTAAGGTCTGTATATCTATATATTCTCATATTTATAAATCTCCATATTGTTTGAGAAAAGGAATGAAATACCTCTAAAATATGGGCCTCATATTTTTAGAAAAGTGTTTGAAATCTTTTATAAACTTCATATTTTGTTTGCTCCTTTATATTCTGTATTACTTAAATATGCTCAGAAAAGCAGTGGTAAACAGCTATTTAGGAATTGAGGCTGTTACTCCTGACTTCCATGTGAGACTGCCACAGAACTCATATTGAAAATATGTCATTTTATCCACTAGGTTTTGTTTCCTACTTTTTAAATTTGTGTTAAGAAAGGGAAAAAAATCACAAGTTTGTCTAACTCAGTAGAAAAATCGACAAAGCATTTGCAGACAACTTGGCAAGGGTACAGAGAAACGGATGTACTGTTTTTCAGTATTTGGGGAGGGTGGTTTGAGCAGCATTTATTGACAATTTCATTAGTGGGGATGTTTCTATTGAAAACAGAGTTAGGAAGTCATAAAATGTTCCTGCAATATAAGGTAATAATACCACCAGCGTTTATCTTACTGTTTTCATGTTCTAAGTGCATGCATCTGAGTAAAAGGATCTGGGCTGCAGTCCAGTCTGAGAGATGCCAGCAAAGGCTTCCTAGGCCAGTTCAGTCCAGTAAATCCCTCTTCGATCTTCTCTTCCACACAGACAGCAGTGATGAGCATGCCCATGAACTCACATGATTATTTTGGGGAAAATGAAAGAGTTGTATTCTTTTTGAGGTAGTAATTCCACTTTCAGGGGCAAATACATTTTGATTATTTTATCACCCTTCAGTGAGTTGTTTTTGTTCTTTAATCAAGGATGTATGTTTGAAGTAAGAAGTAAAGCATAAAGTATATGATTTTGTGTGTGTGTGTGTGTTTTTATCTTGCTGTACCTGTAGGGAATGTTTAATTCAGCCTTGGAAGTGGCCAAATTTGAAGGTGCTGTGATTCGAACTGTCAGTGGGATAAGGGGGCAGATCAAGAAAGCACTCTGAGCTCCAGAAGGAGCTTTCCGGGCCAGCTTTGAGGATAAGCTGCTGATGAGCGGTGAGTGTCTTAAGTAGTGTTCAGGGCAGGGTGTTACCATTCATGCTTGACTTCTAGCCAGTGTGACGAGAGGCTGGAGTCAGGTCTCCGGAGAGTTGAGCAGCTCCAGCCTTAGATCTCCCAGTCTTATGCGGTATGCCCATTCGCCTTGTGTCTGCAGCCCCCTGGCCACACCCAGTAACAGTTCTGTGATCTATGAGAATAGTTCCCTTAGCGACCTTTCCCTTCAAATACTTTGCAGCCAGGTAGAGAAGTTTGGAGTGAAGGTTTTGTTCTTTGTTTCTTCGCAATATGGATATGAATCTTCTTTTGAAAATGTTAAAGTAAATTACCTCTTTTCAGATATTGTCTTCATGCAAACTTGGTATCCTGTTTCCATCCCAGCCTTCTATAACCCAGTAACATCTTTGTTGAAACCAGTGGGTGAGAAAGACACCTGGTCAGGAACGCGGACCACGGGCCAACTCAGGCTTGCCCATGGTGTCAGACTAAAGGCAAACAAGGACTCTCTGTATAAGGTACTGGTCGTGTGTGTGTTAGTGGAGATGAAGCCTGTGCTCTACAGACAGGGAGTCACACAGACACTTTTCTATAATTTCTTACGTACTTTGAATGTTCAAGTATAAAGTCTAACATTAAATTTGATTGAACAATTGTATGTTTGTGGGATATTTTGGAGTGGAACACCAAAAAATGGTAATAGTGGTTCTTTCTGGATTGAAGACAAACTTTTCTTTTTTAAAATAAATTTTATTTTATATATTTGAGGTTGACAACATGATCTTAAAGGATACATATAGATAGTAAACTGGTTACTATAGTGAAGCAGATTAACATAGCTACCATCTCACATAGTTAGATTTTTGTTTGTGTGACAGGAACAGCTAAAATCTACTTATTTAACAAAAATCCCAAAGACAATATATTTTTATTAACTATAGCCCTCATGATGTACACTAGATCTCTAACTTGTTCATCCTACATGTCTGCTACTTTGTATTATTTTAATGTACATCTCCCCATTTCCTATTGGTCATTTCCTATTTGGCCCATTTTTCAACTGGGTTGTTTTTCTGCTATTAAGTTGTAAGAGTTCTTTACTGATTTTTGGATATTAACACTTTATCACATATGTGGTTTGCAAATATTTCTTCCAGTCTGTTGGTTCCCCTTTCATTTTGTTGGTTGTTCCTTTGCTGTGCAGAGGCTTTTTAGTTTGATGCAGTCCTCCTTGTTTATGTTTACATTTGTAGCCTGGCTTGTGGTGCGATATCCAAAAAATTATTGCTAAGGCCAATGTCAAGAGGCTTTCCCCCTATGTTTTCTTCTAGGAGTTTTATGGTTTCAGGTCTTATTTGGGTCTTTGGTCTTGTATCTGTTTTGAGTTGATTTTTGTGTATGGTGTATGATCAGGGTCCAATTTTATTCTTTTGCATGTGAAAATCCTATTATTGAAGAGACTATCTTTTTTACCATTGTGTTGTCTTGTTTGCCCTTGTCAAAAATTAGTTGACAGTATATGTTTGGATTTATTTCAAAGGTCTCTGTTCTGTTCCATTGGTCTATTTTTTTGTTTTTATGCCAGCACCATACTGTTTTGATTACTATAGCTTTGTAATACAATTTTAAATCAAGAGGTGTGATGCCTCCAACTTTTTCTTTCACAGTAATCCGTTGGCTGTTTGGGATTTTTTGTGGTTCCATAAGAGTTTCAGGATTGTTTTTTCTTTTCTTTTTTTTTTTTTTGAGGCGAAGTCTCACTCTGTCGCCCAAGCTGGAGTGCAGTGGCATAATCTCGGCTCACGGAAACCTCTGCCTCCTGGATTCAAGCAATTCTTCTGCCTCAGCCTCCCAGGTAGCTGGGACTACAGGCACATGCCACTATGCCCGGCCAATTTTTGTAGTTTTAGTAGAGACAGGGTTTCACTCTGTTGGCCGGGCTGGTCTCCAACTCCTGACCTCGTGATCCGCCCGCTGCGGTCTCCCAAAGTGCTGGAATTACAGGCGTGAGCCACTGTGCCTGGCCAGGATTGTTTTATTCGGTTCTGTGAAGAATGCCATCAGAACTTTGATGAGGATTGTGTTAAATCTGTATATTTGCTTTGGGTAGCGTGAACATTTTAACAATATTAATTCTCCTGATCCATAAACACGGGATGTCTTTTCATTCGTTCATGTCTAAATTTCTTTCATCAATGTTTTATGGTTTTCAAGTGTACACATCTCTCACCTTCTTGGTTAAATTTATTCCTAAGTTTTTGTTTTTCTTTGATGCTATCGTAAATGAGATTATTTTCTTGATTGCTTCGTCAGCTACGTTATTTGTATATAGAAATGCAACTGATTTTTATATGTTGAGTTTATACCTTGCAGCTTAACTGAATTGATTTAGTAGTTCTCACAGTTTTTTGTGGAATCTTTGGAGTTTTTTTACGTAAAGGATCTTGTCATCTGCAAATAGAGATAATTTTACTTATTTAATTTAGTTGCCTTTTTTTCCTCATCTGATTGCTCTTGCAAGTATTCTATTGAATAAAAGTGATGAGGCTGGCCATCCCTATCTTGTACTCAATCTTAGTGGAAAAGCTTTAGTTGTTCCCCACTAACTATGATTAGACTGTGGGTTTTTCATAAATGGTCTTTATTGTGTTGAGGAACTTTCCTTCTATACATAAACTATTAAGAGTTTTATCAAGAAACGTTGCTGAACTTTGTTAAATGCTTTTACTGCATCAATTGAGGTGACCATATCGTTTTATCTTTCATTTTGTTAATGTGATATATCCCATTGATTGATTTACATATTTTAAATCAGCCTTGCATGCCAGGGATAAATCCCACTTAAACACGATGTATAATGTTTTTGATATGTTGTTGAATTCTATTTGCTAAAATTTTTTTAGGATGTTTGCATCAGTGTTTAATTTATTGGAGAAGTTGACCTGTAGTTTTTGTTTGTTTGGTGTGTGTGTGTGTGTGTGTGTGTGTGTGTGTGTGTGTGTGTGTGTTTTGGTTTGGCTTAGGTATTAAGGTGATACTGGCCTGGTAAAATGTGTTTGGAATTATTTCCTCTCGCTCTGTTTTTTCGAAGAGTTTAAGAAGTAAACTCCCAGGGGATGGGAGTGACTCTGGACATGGGAGTGACATGATAGTGACTCTGGACCCTGCAGTGGTGGGACACAGCAGCATCTCTGTCTCTGTGAGGCCAGGCGCAGCATCAGCAAGGACCCCAGAATGGTGGAGCACTACTGTGGCTTGGGCCCTCGGGGGCAGGGACCAGTGCAGCAACTACTTCTCTCCCTGGGGAGGCAGGTGCCTGGGCAACTCAGATTCTCCAGAGCTAGTCCAGTTCCAAGGAAGCAGGGTTCTACAGTTGTTTGTCCTGAAGGGCAAGGTACCCCAGTTCAGCCAATGCCGTTTTCCTGGGATATGGGGGTGCCATGTTGGCTCATCCCTGGCAGGTGTGGCTGCTCAGCTCAGCCAAGACACTGATTCCCTGTGAAGCAGGGCAGCGCTTCAGCTCTCATGCAGTGGGGGGTGTGACTGCTCAGACTGGCTAAGGCACTGATTCCCTGGAAAGCAGGGCACCAAGTCAGCTCAGGCTCCAAGGGGCAGGGCGCAATGGCAGCTGGGAGGGGAGGGGCACAGCAGCGTGGCCCTGCAGGTGGGGTGTATGCTGTGATGTGGACATCATTTGTTCCCACCAGCCATTTGAAATTTCATCCATTTGAAATTTGATTCCAAATGTGGTGGTGTGGGAGGTGGGGCCTAGTGGGAGGTATTTGGGTCACAGGGCAGATCCTTTATGAATAGATTAATGCCTTTTCATGGGACTGGATTAGTTACCAGGAGTGGATTGTTATCAGAGTGAGTTCAGCTTCCTAGACTCTCGTGTTTCCTCTCTTGCCATGTGAGCCCCTTGCATACACCTGTTTCCCCTTCCACTTTCCCTATGAGATGAAGCAGCACAAGACCCTCGCCAGTTGTGCTGCCCAATCTCGGACTTTTCAGACACAAGCAGGGTGAGCCAAATAAACCTTTTTTATAAAATAAGTTACCCCGAGTCTCAAGTATTCTGTTACAGCCACACTAAATGGCCTAAGACAGTGTAACAGCGGCTCGGGGGTGGTGGGCCACTAGGTGGGTGTGATATAGAGCAACAAAGCCTGAGGATGGAAGAAGGGTGCGGTGGCAGCTCACCCTGGGTGGGACATGCTCCCGAAGTGGTCCAGGTCCAGGAGGGCACGTTGCAGCAGCAGCTGGTCCATGGGGGTGGGGCACAATGTCAGTTCCTTCTCTGAGGGGAGTGCTGGGGCTACTGGGCCCCTCTTGCTTCCTTATCCCTGCAGGGAGACATCCCCTCTGCTTCAGGCTGATCCCTCTGGGGGAATGGGTGGTGGGGGCCAGATGTTTCCTTCCCTCCTTTATGTGACCGTCCTGGTTTTCTGTGCTCTGCTGGATTTCTGCTACTCCTTGATGCACTCTGGGGCTCTCTTTTAGTGACTTTCATCAAAATATAGATGTTTGCTGCTTTGGCTGTCTTTGTCAGGGGATGAGTGCAAGGGGCTATTGATCAGCCCCTTGCTGGCATCACTCCCTCTTAAACTTTTCACTGGGTACTCTTTTGAACTATTTTTTCCCCCACCGTATACATGTATTTTTTAAACGTTAATGTGCTAATTTCTACTGAAGCAATGTGGATTTTTCTGAAAGTTTTAATGTTTTAATAAGCTTTTTATTGAAATGTTAATGTCCACACAGAAGAGTGCCCGAATCATAAGTGTGCATCTAGATGAACTGTAGCACACCAGGCTGCCACGCCCTGGACCAAGCAGTAGCCTCGCCCTGTGGCCTCTCCCAGGCACTGCTGCCCCAACCCACAGAATAGCTACTTTCCCAGTTCCTGATGTAGATTTGTTCTGCCTGGTTTTGACTTCTATAAAATACAGCACATTCTGTTTAGCCTGGCTTCTTTGGTTCAGTATTACAGAACACATCCATGTTCTTGTCTATGGCAGACATTGATTTATCGTCATTGTTGAGTTCCATTATATGACTGTGTCACCATTTTTCCATTGATGAGTAAAATGATTTCCTATTTTTGGCTGTTATCCCACGGCCCTGAACACTAGGTCTGGATATGGGACTTGCAGGTATGCAGGGGCACACGCACTTCTGCTGGAGGATCCCTGGGTGGGGTGGAGACTCCAGGGCACCTGTGCTCTGCTTCAGTATGGAGTAGTTGGAGTGTATTGCTTAGAACAAAAGAGATGAGACACTAACACTGTGTGTATATTCTAAATCATATATCAGTGAAGAAATGTGATGTTTGCAACATCTTCTCTGGGGATGCTAACCCCCTAAGTCATTATTACCATGCATGTAAGCACCTCACCTAGATCTGCACTCCATCTAGCAGTGAGAAATTCCACCATAATCTACACACCATAATATCATCAATGTGTCTAGAAGTCAGATCCTCTATGTGTGAACCAAGACAATGCCTGGCAAACAAGACAGCTGGGCTCTCAGGTCTCTGCACCATGGGGAGGTGTGTAAGGCCATTCTTGAATTACTATAAAGAAATCTCTGAGACTGGATGATTTACAAAGAAATTTACAAAGAAATGTTGAATTGACTCACAGTTCTGTGGGCTGTACAGGAAGCTTGGTGCTGGCATCTGCTCCTTTTCTGGGATGCCTCAAGGAGTTTTTACTCACGGCAGAAGATGAAGTAGGAGCAGGCATCTCACATGGCAGAACAGGAGCAGGATAGAGAGTGGGTAGGAAAGGTGTCACAAATTTGAACAACCAAATCCCATGAAAACTCACTATCATAAGGTGAAAACCAACCCAAGAAGGATACTCTCTCATGACCCAAGTACCTCCCACAAGGTCCCACTTCCAACCTTGTGAATTACATTTCAACATGAGATTTAGTTTAGCATCCAAACTATACCATTATTCCCCTGGTCTCTAAAGTCTCATGTTCTTCTCACATGGCAAAATACAATAATGTCTTCCTAACAATCCCCAAAACTCTTAACTCATTCCAGCATCAACTCAGTCGAAGTCCACAGTTCAGAGTCTCATTTGAGTTAAGGCAAGTCCCTTTCACCTATAGGCCAGTAAAATAAAAAACAAGTTATTTACTTCCAAAATACACTGGTAGTACAGACATTGGGTAAATATTCCCATTCCAAGAGAGAAAAAACTGCCATAAAAAAAGGGCTACAGATGTCATGGAAGTTTGAAACCCCGCAGGGCATTCATTAAATGTTAAAGCTCCAAAATAATCTTTTTTTGACTCCGTCTCCCACATCCAGGGCACACTGATGTAAAGGGCAAGCTACCAAGGCTGAGGGCAGTTCTACCCATTTGGCTACGCAGGGTTCGGCCCCTGTGGCTACTCTCATAGGCTGTTAAGTGCCTGCAGCTTTTCCAGGTGTAGGATACAATCTGCCAGTAGATCTACCATTCTGGAATACAGAGGACAGTGACCTCCTTCCCACACCTCCACTAGGCAGTGCCCCAGTGGGGACTCGGTCTGGGGCCTCCAACCCCACATTTCCCCTCCACACTGACCTAGTAGAGGTTCTGTGGGAGGGTTCTGCCCCCACAACAGGCTTCTGCCTTAGCACCCAGGCTTTTCCATACATCCTCTGAAATCTAGGTGGAGGTTGTTGAGGCTCCAGCACTCTTGCATTCTGTACTCCTGCAGGTTTAACACCACATGGAAGCTTCCAAGGCTTAACATGGCTTTTGCTCCCCAAAACTGTGGCATAGCATTATCTGGAGCCTCTTGAGCCAAGGCTGGAGCTGAATCAGCCATGAGGTTGCACAGGACTGTGGGGCCCTAGGCCAGACCCAGCAAGCCATTCAGTTCACCTAGGCCTCAGGACCTGTAATGTGAGAGGCTGCCTCAGAGATATCTGAAATGCCTTTGAGGTCTTTTTCCCATTGTCTTGGCTATCAACACTTGGCTCCTCTTTAGTTACGCAAATACCTCTAGCAAGTGATTGTTTCGCAGCCCACTTGGATTCTTTTCAGGAAGAGGGGATGTTATTTTCTGCCACATAGTCAAGCTGAAAATTTTTCAATCTTCTATGCTCTGCTTTCCTTTTAAATATAAATTCCAAATTAAAGTCATTTCTTTGATCTCACATCTGAGTATAGGCTGTAGACACAGCCAGGCCACCTCTTGAACTCTTTCTGCCTAGAAATTTCTTCTGCCAGATACTCTAAATGATTGTTCTGAAGTTCCAACTTCCACAGATTCCTAGAACATGAATAGAATTCAGCCAAACTCTTTCCTAAGGCATAACATGGGAGATACTTGCCCCAGTTCCCAATAAGTTACTCACTTTCCGTCTGAGATGTTGACAGCCTATGCTTCATTGTTCCTAACACCATCAGCATTTTGATCACAACCATTTAACCAGTCTCTATAAAGTCTGAAGCATTTTCTAATCTTCCTGTTGTGAACCCCCAAAATTGGACACAAGTCTCAGTTAACTCAGAAAGCTTATTTTGCCAAGGTTGAGGAGGCACATCTGTGACACAGCCTCAGGAGATCCTGATGACATGTGTCCAAGATGGTAGGGGTACCGCTTGGTTTTATGCATTTTAGGCAGACATGAGACATCAATCAACATGTGTAAGATGTACATCAGTTCAGTCTGGAAAGGTGGAACAGCTCCAGGTGAAGGCAGGACAACTTGAAGTGGGGAAGGGGCTTCCAGTCTTAGATAGATAAGAGACACATGGTTGCATTCTTTTGAGCTTCTGATGAGCCTCTCCAAAAGGAGGCAATCAGATATGTGTTTCTCTCAGTGAGCAGAGGGGAGACTTTCAATAGACTGGGAGGCAGGTTTGCTCTAAGCAGTTCCCAGGTTGAGTGGGGTCCCAAGATTTGTTTTCCTTTCACACTGTCTTCTCCTGAGCCCCCCAAACCCTTCCAACCTCTGGCCATGACTGAGTTCCACAGCTGCTTTTGTACTATCAGGTATCTTTTAGCCATACTTTATTTACCAATTATCTGTGTTAGGACATTGTTGCATTGCTACAAAGAAATTTGTTGGGAAATTTACAAACAAAAGAGGTTGAATTGGCTTATGGTTCTGCAGGCTGTACAAGAGTCATGGTGCCTCCATTTGCTTGGCTTCTGAGGACACCTCAAGGGGATTTTACTTGGTGGAACATGAAGTGGGAGCAGACATCTCTCATGGCAGGGTGGGAGCAAGAAAGAGAGTAAGGCAGGAGGTTCCACACATCTAAACAATCAGATCTTGCAAGAACTCACTCACTGTCATGAGGACAGCACCAAGCCTCGCGGAATCCGCTTCAATGACCCAACCACCTCCCACCAGGTGCCACATGCAACATTGGGGATTACGTTTCAACAGGAGATTGAGAGAGGACACACATCCACACTATATCAGGAGGTGTGTGCCTTGCAACCATCAGGGGATGCTGCAGGACTGCCCTATGGTCCCTACACAGCTGCTTAGTAAGAACCATTCACTCCAAGGAACCTGTGCCCTGTGCTCAATGATGGGGACTCAGGAGCTGTGTCCTCTCTGGCCTGGCAGAGTCCCCTAAGCAGAGACCTGTGTATGGTCTCGGCAGGTGCTTCCTCCCAGGGCCCTCCCGAGGGGGAAACCAAACCTTCCTCCTCCTCAGTCTGGAGTGTGAGCTAAGCTTCAGCTCCAGGGCTCAGGGAGGGGCTGGGCAGTCCTTGGATGGAAACATATTTGCATGAGCAGCCCCTCCTCTGGCAGAGGATGGAGAAGAAGAGGAGACCTGGGGCAGCTCAGGCCCACTGTTAGGGCTCAGGGGCTGTGTCCACCATGGCCTGGACTCTTCTCCTTCTCGTGCTCCTCTCTCACTGCACAGGTAGGGAAAGTCCTTATAAACTGAGTCTCAGTGTCCAACCTACACCATCCCCTGTGGCTCAGACCTACAAGAAGCTTTACCCTGGGAACTGCCTTATCACCCATGATGTCTGTGTTTTCAGGTTCCCTCTCCCAGCCTGTGCTGACTCAGCCATCTTCCCATTCTGCATCTTCTGGAGCATCAGTCAGACTCACCTGCATGCTGAGCAGTGGCTTCAGTGTTGGGGACTTCTGGATAAGGTGGTACCAACAAAAGCCAGGGAACCCTCCCCGGTATCTCCTGTACTACCACTCAGACTCCAATAAGGGCCAAGGCTCTGGAGTTCCCAGCCGCTTCTCTGGATCCAACGATGCATCAGCCAATGCAGGGATTCTGCGTATCTCTGGGCTCCAGCCTGAGGATGAGGCTGACTATTACTGTGGTACATGGCACAGCAACTCTAAGACTCACACAGTGCTCCAGACCCATGAGGAAGTAAGACAAAACCCTCCCCTCTACTCTCCTGGTCTAGTGAAATCACCCCTGCTGGTGGCTCTGACCAAATCTAGCTCAGGGGGTGACATCTGTTGTCTCATCGACAGCACTGGAGCTCCCACGGAGAAGTAGGTCTAACAAAGTCCTACCTTGCTCGCATTTCACAGGCAGACATCCCTTGCTCAGGGGTAAAATCTCTCAGTGTTGACATTGAAGAAGGCAAGAGGGCTGGGTTGGGGTTCATCTCAGCTCAGAGTCTAGAAGTGACTCAGAGATGCTGCTGGTCTGAGAGTTTTAATATGAGCCTTGGGATACAATACAGGGATGCAGATGGGAATTGTATTCTCTTTGTCAGTAACGAACCATCAGTAATTGAAAAGTCAATACATTGAGAATAGCATAAAGCATGAAATACTTTAGGATAAGTATGACAAAAATTGTTGTTTTACACACTAGAAGTCCTAAAACATTGTTTAGACACAGGTCTTAAAGAAGACCTGAGTAAATGCACAGATAATCCTTTTTTTTTTTTTTTTTTTTTGAGGCAGAGTTTCACTCTTGTTGCCCAGGCTGGAGTGCAATGGCATGATCTTGGATCTCGGCTCACCACAACCTCCACCTCCTGGGTTCAAGCGATTCTCCTGCCTCAGCCTCCCGAGTAGCTGGGATTACAGGCATGTGCCACCACGCCTGGCTAATTTTTGTATTTTTAGTAGAGATGGGGTTTCTCCATGTTGGTCAGGCTGGTCTCGAACACCTGATCTCCGGTGATCTGCCCGCCTCGGCCTCCTGAAGTGCTGGGATTACTGGCGTGAGCCAATGCGCCCAGCCCAGATAACCCTTTTTTTTTTTTTTTTTTTTGAGCAGGAGTCTCGCTCTGTCGCCCAGGATGCAGTGCAGTGGCGCGATCTTGGCTCACTGCAACCTCTGCCTCCCGGTTGAAGTGATTCTCCTGCCTCAGCCTCCCTAGTAGCTGGGACTACAGGCATGTGCCACCATGCCCGGCTAATTTTTTTTTTTCCTTGTGGCAACGGGGTTTCACCGTGTTTGGTCTTGATCTCTTGACCTTGTGATCCGCCCACCTTGGCCTCTCAAACTGCTGGGATTACAGGCATGAGCCACCGTGCCTGGCCCCAGATAACCCTTTTTATGTGAGAGTGTAGAGAATGTTGCTGCAGCTGGTGTGGGATGGGGGATGGCTGGGTTGAGACTGTGTTGTCACCTGCAGTGTACACCTGAGGTGACATGGTTCTGAACATCACTTTCCCCATTGAAGGCCCGAGTGACCTATCACTTGCTTCTCAAAATTCAGGAACTAGGTGACTCTAGGAGAGTGCACAGGAAGCTTTCTGCATATTCTTTCAAGAGATTTCGAGGTCACTGACTCTTTTTTCAAGACTTAAACACAAAATCCACATCCATCATTCTTGCGTAAAGAGACCATTCTTTTTTTTTTGAGATGGAGTCTCGCTCTGTTGCCCAAGCTGGAGTGCAGTGGCATGATCTCGGCTCACTGCAAGCTCTGTCTTCTGGGTTCATGCCCTTCTCCTGCCTCAGCCTCCCAAGTAGCTGGGACTACAGGCACCCGCCGCCATGCCCGGCTAATTTTTTGTATTTTTTAGTGGAGATGGGGTTTCAACATGTTGGCCAGAATGGTCTTGATCTCTTGACCTCGTGATCCACCCGCCTTGGCCTCCCAAAGTGCTGGGATTACAGGTGTGAGCCACTGCACCCGGCCCAAGATGGGGTTTCATCATGTTGACCTGGCTGGTCTCAAACTCCCAACCTCAAGTGATCCACTCACTTCAGCCTCCCAAAGTGCTGGGATGACAGGCGTGAGCCACAGTGCCCGGCCTAGTACATTGTTTAAATGGTGCATGTAAAACCTCATGGTACTACAACTGCCTGGTGACAGACTCACCAGAGTAAATAACTATCCTGCTGTTCTCCAACCACATGGGATTCCCCAAACAAAGATTTGTTGAGTCCAAGATGCATCATGCCAGAACTCTTGCAGTCATACACATAATTTGTTTCATTTTAATAAATACGGTTATCTTTTTTCTTCAGTTTATTGTTTTTAATGTATCATCTTCTAGGTTTCATTACACATCAAAGATGAATAATTTCTCTCATCTTTAGGACATGCTGAAAACACTCATTAGTGATTTTGAACAGTATTATTTCCTAAACATCCTAGTTGGAATGGTTGATCCTAAAAGCTACCATGTGTCAGGCTCACCTGAGTGCAGACTGTGGTCTAAACAAGCTAAAGTTTTAATTCTTCCATCTTCAAATACGGAGCATATTTGCTTGTTTTGCTCTTTAGCAAAACACTGCAAAGTCATTCGCCAGGATCTCCTGCAGACTGGCATTCAGTGATGGAGAACAGACTCCTAGGTGAGATCCCTGGTCACAGGATCCAGATGACTATGACTGCAAGTCTGGAAAAGAAGAGACAGAACAAAGATTTACCAGCATAACCCTCTGAGAATGTGCCCCAGCCATCCTGGAGGGAAGAGCTCCCTATTGACCCAGCACTGCAGAATCCACAGAGGAAGGACAGCTCTGGCCACCAGGGAGCAGCCACACGACAAGAGAGGACCCGGTGTCCCCACAGGTGAGGAAATGAGTCCATGGGGCTGGTCAGTGCTCTCGATTTCATTCTGCCATAACAGGACTTTGTGTAGTCACCACCTGAGTCCTATACAGTGAACAGCCAAGGAGACATGGACAGATTCACCCCTGAGGAACCCAGTAGAATGTGAAGTCTGCCCTGAGGTCACGAAGAAAAGACTCAGGGGGCTGCCTGGCCTGGCCCTGATGGAGGGGGCCATGGACAGAACAACGGGGAGGCAGGGGTGTCTCTGAGAGGCTCTGGTCACCTTGTCATACAATGGTGGTGTACAATGTCGCACCATGGACACTAGGGGGCGCCTGCGCACCATTCCTGAGAAGACTGGGTGTGATGAGAGCAGGACCAGCGCCACCTGTCCTGCTTGGTGCCCTATGCTTAGGGCTCACAGATGTCAACTCTCCACCCCCTGGGACCACACAGCCCCACCCCTGGCACTCTCTGACATCCTCAGGCAGAGGAGCTTGACCCAGGGCCCAGGGTGGGATCAGAAAGCTGGAGGGTCTGATTTGCATGGATGGACCCTCCTTCTCTCAGAGTATAAAGAGGGGCAGGGAGAGACTTGGGGAAGCTCTGCTTCAGCTGTGAGCGCAGAAGGCAGGACTCGGGACAATCTTCATCATGACCTGCTCCCCTCTCCTCCTCACCCTTCTCATTCACTGCACAGGTGCCCAGACACAGGGTCAGGGGAGGGGTCCAGGAAGCCCATGAGGCCCTGCTTTCTCCTTCTCTCTCTAGACCAAGAATCACCGTGTCTGTGTCTCTCCTGCTTCCAGGGTCCTGGGCCCAGTCTGTGTTGACGCAGCCGCCCTCAGTGTCTGCGGCCCCAGGACAGAAGGTCACCATCTCCTGCTCTGGAAGCAGCTCCAACATTGGGAATAATTATGTATCCTGGTACCAGCAGCTCCCAGGAACAGCCCCCAAACTCCTCATTTATGACAATAATAAGCGACCCTCAGGGATTCCTGACCGATTCTCTGGCTCCAAGTCTGGCACGTCAGCCACCCTGGGCATCACCGGACTCCAGACTGGGGACGAGGCCGATTATTACTGCGGAACATGGGATAGCAGCCTGAGTGCTGGCACAGTGCTCCAGCCCAATGGGGAACTGAGACAAGAACCCCCTTCTTCCTCCCCCAGGAGGGTGAGTGCCGCCAGCTGCTGCTCACGCCTGACCTGTAGCTTCTGCTGCTGCAGGTTCTCCCATGGGCCACGGGGCAGCCAGGGCCCTGCCTAGGAGTGGAGGCTCCACCACTTTTGTCCTCAGAGTCAGGAACAGGGACTCCAGGAATGAGAATATCCTGCTCCTGCAGCTTGGGACACAGGGTCTCTGCACTGACATCCTGGGCTGAGGTGGCAGGTCCAGCTGTGTCTTCACAGTCCTTCCTGTGCCTGCCCATGGTGTGGGGAGGGAGGGAGTGGGGGAGGGGGTGTGGGCCTTTGAGCTTCACTAGAGACCTGAGGGAGCAGAGGTGCTCCCCAAGACCTGGACTCCTTCCCTCACCCTCCTCCCATCACTCTCCTCACTGTAGCTATGGCCAGGTGAGGGCTCAGGGCTACTTGAGGACCTTGCTCAGCCCAGGGCCTCCATCCCAGGCATTGTTTCCAAACTCTGTAAGGGCTGTCTCTGAATCTGTAGAAACAGTTATTTCTGTGTGCCCAGGACTGGGTTAGAGGGCACCAACCCCACCCCTTGCAAACTGCTCCTCACCTCTTAGCGCCCCAGTGAGGAGAAGAAAGAGTTAGAAATCAGGAATCTACTCAGGGCTCCCCTCTCTCCCCTTTCCCAGCCTCCCCTGGCTTTCTCTTTCTACAGAAACACCAAGGAGGCAGCCACCAAGGACGAGGGGAGGCCCAGGCATTATACCAGGCAGCGGAGCCAGCCAGTCCCCCCAGATGGTGGAGGGAGGTGGTGGAGGTGTCTGGGACCAGAAAATAGTGAGGACCCTCTTACTGAAGTGAGGACGGGTGGCATAAACTGAGGCCCAGATGGTGGACCAGATCTCCTGAGCCATCTACTCATTTCTTCGTGTGTTCCAGTTTGGGTAAGAATAGGCTAAAAAAAAAAAAAAAAGGCTTTGAAGAGGTTCCTTTCCTCAGATAAGAATTCGTAGAGGATTATTGCCCACTCAGGCATTGAGGGGAGGCTGAGCCTCACTCTCAGGCCAATAGAACTGGGGGCTTTCAAGGGAATTTGATTGTACTGAGCTCCCAGACTCTGACATCTAAGATTTTTGCCCTCGTAGCCGAACCCAGCACTGATACCAAAATGGATGAAGGCTGATAGATAAGCCTAGAATATTCTAGCTGGCACCATCTCGTGGAAAAGAGAATCAAGTTAGAATATTGATGTGATAAGGTGGCATCGCACAGTGAGGGGAGGAGAGCTTGCATGGGGGAGGGTAGAGGAGCCACTAGAGGGCTGGACAAGGAGGAGACAGTCTGAGGTAAGTTTGTGAGGAAAACTCCAGATGCTTCAGAGAAGATGGACAAGGAGGTAGGCAGTGTGAAGGCCATGGGACCAGCTCTAGTCACCGGGAGAGAGTGGTCAGATTCAGCACCAGTGTCTGGGGAGGAGGTACTGAAGCCTGGGTGAGGGGAGAGGCTCAAGGCTGGCCTTAGGACCTGAGTGGGGCACAGTGATCACACTGCTGGGGGGTCCTTCAAGTGCAAGGGGGCTGCAGGAAGGCTTGAGCTCATTGTCACAATGAAAACTTAGACAACAGCTCCCCAGCCTTGTTCAAAGGTGTCACAGGACTTTTTCCTCTCCACATGGCAACGTGGAGAAGAAAACTTATCTCTGAGATATATAAGATGTTAGTTCTCCATAACCTCTCTTGTCCCCTGGCTGAATTCCTATTTGGAAACAAAATGACTCTCCAGTTTTATATATGACATCCTCACAAAAAAAAAGTTCCAGAATGAGAAAGATCTGCCCTCCCTGACCCACTGGTGAGGAATCTCAGCCTTCAGGACAACCAGACTAAATCATTCATGCCATCTCCCATGACAGCATCATGTGGACCAGGGAGCCTACCTTATGGGTTTGGGCCACACACTGCCTGTCCCTAGCATTGCAGCTGGGGACACTTACATGCTGAACTCATGGCTGGGAGATCTGAGGTCCAGACATGACAGGAAAAGGAAAAAGACCAGGAGCTCTGCCTAAGTAGCCCCCCTGTGTGAATCACTCTACCCTCCACCCTCATCTTCAGTTCGTGATGGGTATTGTCTTGTGAAAACTGAAAGCTGGGCTGGGACACAGGCAAGAGAGTCTCTGACTCACAAATCTCCATCGTGGGCTCTCTGGCCTTTCTGATATTCTTTTCACACATCAATTCTGGGCCAAGACACATCCATGCTCATCAAGAAGGCATTGATAGGAGAATCAGGTAGCCTCCAGAGAGACAGGAAGCAGATAAACACCCTCATGTTGGCCTCCTAAGCCCAGAGGAGAAAAAAAAAAGTTGGAGGGGAAGAAGTTCAAGAAGCCACACTAGAAGCCACTGATTACCATCACCTCGGCACCTGTCCTCCATCTGCCCCTCTTTCAAGTGAGGACCAGACTCGGGACAGCACCTGCACCTCCCCCTCTGTCCATGCACTGTGTAGGGAGCCTCCTTCTGCTCTCATCTCAAGGTGGCTGCTCCGCCAGGTCAGCCGTATCACTGCTGAGAGTCTTCCCTGGGTCCTGGTCACAGGGTCTGGGATCAGCAGCAACCTGGCTTTGATTCAGCTCTGACCCTGCCCCTTCAGGACACAAAGCCCATTATTAAAGGGATAACTGAACTCTCCTAGTTCACTCAACCTTAGATTTTCCTTCTCAGTGTCCTTCTAGAAAGTGCCGCCTCTACTAAATGATTTCATGTTATTTGCTCAGGTCTAGAGCTATTTGATTTCCAAAATTCTATACTCTTCTGTTCTCATTCCCGGTCATGGCTCATTTTCCCTCAGCAGCTAATGATGCTAATCATGTATCTACCCCCCATTGTCACAAAAAAGAGAGATGGAAGAGTTCCTTAGATAAATACAGGGTTAGCAAAGAAAAGTTTCATTATCTCTTAAGAATTACTCCAAGATCTGGCCAGGCGTGGTGGCTCATGCCTGTAATCCTAGCACTTTGGGAGTCCAAGGTAGACAGGTCACGAGATCAGGAGATCGAGACCATCCTGGCTAACATGGTGAAAACCCATCTCTACTAAAAATACAAAAAATTAGCCAGGCATGGTGGTGGGCACTTGTAGTCCCAGCTACTGAGGAGGCTGAGGCAGGAGAACAGCGTGAACCCGGGAAGTGGAGCTTGCAGGGAGCCGAGATCATGTCTCTGCACTCCAGCCTGGGCAACAGAGCGAGACTCCGTCTCAAAAAAAAAAAATAAAGAATTACTCCAAGATCTAAGAAAATTAATTCCAGTTCTTCAAGAGTTTACTCCTCAGAAACAACAGCATGAATACATTAGGTAGTGAATGTTCTTGGTCTTCTCAATGAATAACGTCTGAAAGGTTCAGAGTATATGTTTCAAAAAGGTAAGTGCATAACTTTCAAAAAAATGTAGTATTAACATGTCAACAATTTTAATTGGTATATATATTTCTGAAAAAAAAAGCAGTATGATGGTAAAAGAAATGTAAAAAAGCCTTTGTAAAACCCAGTGCTTACAGTCCACCAGGATAGCACCTGTGAAGCAAATTTCCTTTGCTGAAGATACACCGCCTTTTAGAATAATAGCAAGATAGTTTGAATTTGTCTTCTTCTCTCACAGCAATCTAAAAATTAACTTGATCCCATTTATATGACATATCTAGAAATATTCCTGTACATGTGGACATTCCCATCGCACACCTCCCATCCAGGCTGTCCTAAAGTGGCATCTCCTCTTCTTCTGCTCATGTTCTCCCCCTCTCCTCACCTCTCCTGCTGACACGTGGCTCCTCCCTGCCTTCCTCTCCAGTAGCCCCAGCAGATCAGGCCCAACCAGTGAACAAGCTCCTGGACTTCTTGGATTTCTGAGGACTTGCCCTGCCAGGGTGTCTTTCTCAATCACAATCTCTCCTTCCCGGGAGTCCAGTTCTCCTAGATCCTGTTATTTATCTAATGTTATACATCTGTATCTACTTGGTGGACTTCCCTACATCTTCACCCGAACCCCAGGAATCTTCAGGTCATGCCCATATGACCTTAGTTCTCCTGGAGTCCCTTCTTCCTTCTTCCCCTGTGATCCCACCAAGTGGAGATCTCTTCTCAGACCCTGGAGTGCAGCAGGGACTTCTCTGGTCTCTGCCCCAGGGATTAAGGGGGTGGAATTGAGGACTCCTGTGCCCTTCCTATGCCTGTGTTTTCATCAGGGTCAGCTGCACAAGGTAGGGATTCCCACTCTCAGAGTATGAAGAGGGGCAGGGAGAGATTTGGGGAAGCTCTGCTTCAGCTGTGGGCACAGGAGGCAGCACTCAGGACAATCTCCAGCATGGCCTGGTCTTCTCTCCTCCTCACTCTCCTCGCTCACTGCACAGGTGACTGGATGCAGATCGAGGGGAGGGTCCCTGGGAAGCCTATGGATTCTTGCTTTCTCCTCTTGTCTCTAGAAGCAGAATCATGATGCCTGTGTCTCTCCCACTTCCAGGGTCCTGGGCCCAGTCTGTGCTGACGCAGCCGCCCTCAGTGTCTGGGGCCCCAGGGCAGAGGGTCACCATCTCCTGCACTGGGAGCAGCTCCAACATTGGGGCGGGTTATGTTGTACATTGGTACCAGCAGCTTCCAGGAACAGCCCCCAAACTCCTCATCTATGGTAACAGCAATCGGCCCTCAGGGGTCCCTGACCAATTCTCTGGCTCCAAGTCTGGCACCTCAGCCTCCCTGGCCATCACTGGACTCCAGTCTGAGGATGAGGCTGATTATTACTGCAAAGCATGGGATAACAGCCTGAATGCTCACACAGTGCTCCAGGCCCAGGGGGAGGTGAGAGAAGAACCCCCTTCCTCCTCTACCAGGAGGGTGAGCGCTCAGCTGCTACTGCTCAGGCGTGGCCTGTGGCTTCTGCTGCTGCAGCTTCCCCCATGGTCCAGGGGCATCCAGGGCCCTGCCTCAGAGTAGAGGCTTCTCTTTTTTTCTGTTCTGAGAATCATGCACAGCAGCTCCTTCCTAGGAACAGGGCCTCCAGGGACCAGAACATCCATCTCTTTGTACCTTGGGACACAGGGTCTCTGCAGTGAAGTCCTGGGCTGAGGTGTCAGGTCCAACTGTCATCACAAACCTGATGCAGAACCTGTGTCTCCATCAACCTCATTTCCTGATTTCTGGAAGTTCCGACTGTTGGCTTTCTGTCCCTGCTCCTCAGGGTGAATCGCTTGGCTTCTTTCCTCCCCAGCCTACTCTTTTTAATAAAACCCTTTCCAAGGAGGAATAATGTCCATACGAGAAAACACCTATATTTATAATATACCATGACACCCATTTTGGCATGTTTCTGGATCCTTGAAAGCATCACCACCACCGAGCTATGCAAGCTGTGACCAACCCCAGCAGCTCCTCATGACCCTTTGTCATCTCCCTTTCTACCCCAATGCCCTCCCGGGAAGCCACAGATCCTCCTCTGTCATTAGTGTTTGGTTTCCATTTTCTGGAAGGTATCAGTGTTCACAAACATTCTCTTGCCATTTGTTGAGGCTTCTTTCACTCCGCACACTTTTTGAGATTCTCCCTGTTGTTGCTGAATGACATCTCATCCCATAAAGGGCTCATCAGTACCTTTGAGGGCCCCTAGCCATTTTGCCTTTCATGCCCATTCCTGCATTTGTATATACACATATAGAATCCAGGGTAGCCTATATTCCTTTTAATCTGAATTTTAAAAAATCAATACATTTTCTGGGGCCCCTAACAGCGTCGAGTCCTGTAGGCATTTGATCTTCTCTCTCCAGTGATGCTCAGCCCTACTTGCATCTCATGCGATTATACTCACTTCTCGCCATTATTCAACAATTTTGTTTTATTCTCTTGGTTTTAAATAGGCAATACACAAACAAGATGCCACATGAGAACTATGGAAACCACTTCCCCCTCCTACATCCTGTCTCCTGGCCTGTTGGTTTCTCTCAGCTGAAGTGACCAGGAATGCTTACATTTATGTTCCCTCCCAGCCAGGATCTGTGTGTAGAAACAAGGGGGTCTGTCTGTGTCTGTGTGGGCAACCACATTATGTTTTCTTTAGTACCACTACAACCTTACTATTGACAAACAACTTTTTAATTCCTGAGACTGTGACTTCATGTAATCCTGACAGTAGCCCGATTATTGCTTTTGAGGCAGTGGTCCTGATTGGAGAGGAACTGTTTGTGACCTGGGGATGGCGTTCTCTAATTTATCAAATGTAAACACTGGAGGTCAGTTAAATTTGAATTCGGTAAAACAATGATGAAGAATCAATAGGTAGGCTGGGCGCCGTGGCTCACACCTTAACCCTGGCACTTTTGGAAGCCAAGGTTGATGGATTGCTTCAGGCCAGGAGTTCGAGACAAGTCTGACCCACGTGGTGAAACCCCGTATCTCCTAAAAATACAAAAATTAGCTGGGCCTCATGACATATACCTGTAATCCCAGTGACTCAGGAGGTTGAGGCATGAGAATCACTTGAACCCAAGAGGCAGAGGTTGCAGTGAGCTGAGACCGGGCCACTAACTCCAGGTGGAGTAACAGAGTGACACTCTGACTCAAAAAAAAATACAAAAAAAAAAAAAAAAGAGTCAGTATGTGTATCCCCCAGACAATATTGTGTATTTAAATATAAACATAACTGGGTGCCCTTTAATTTATCTGGCAACTCCACACAGTGTCACAACCTGGAAGAGGCATAGCTGGGGCAGTCATCCCCTTACTGATGCTGGGTCTAGGGGCTTAACTACAAAGACAGAGCTTTGCTAGCAAAGATACACTCAAGTGAGCACATCAGTGAGCATGAAATGCATGTGATATAATTCCCAATGAATGATGCCTCCTCACTTCTCTAATTATTCTTTCTATTATCCTTCAAGTCTGCAGATTCAGGGCCTCCCCAGGGGTTGCTTCAGCCTGAGCGCTAGACAAGTGATCTCATGTCCTGTCACACCCAGATGCATGGGGCTACTCTGTCCCCACACAGAGGGGCTTCAGCCTGGGGTGCATAAGTAACATGTGAGAGAGAGAAGAGCTCAGCCTGGCTCTGCTTATATCTAGTGAGAGACCAACTTCGGGTTCATTTGATGCTGGAGGCTGGTGAGCTGAGAGCAGAGGAGAGACCAAGCCTTAGAGTGCAGGGCTTTCAGGAGAGAAATTGGGAACCTGGAAATGGGCCACACTCTTCAGTGAGGAAGAAGCAGGCAGCTCTAGGCACAGCCCTGCATTCCTAGTGGCTTCCCCTTCATCAAGCTTGACTCCCTGCTTTGATGTCTGTCAGGGAATCTACTTCAGCAAGGTGAAGATCCCAGGGCTTTACTAAAAATAGCAGTAGACCAGGCAGGTATGTCATGGTTCAAGAGTTCTGTGCACAGAAATAAATACAGATGCATATTCACAAGGGCCCTCACAGTTGTCTCTTTTGGAGTGGAAGAGATGAAGAAAGGCAGGGAGAAATTGAAAGACTCAGTCGGTCTGGGCCTGGGGCAGCACTGGATGCTGTGGACTTATCCCTGAAGGGTCTGCAGGTGACCACAGCCAGGAAGCCAGCCCCTGCTATGACCCTGTGTCATCTGCTCACTGCTCACTGAGCTCAGCAGCTGTGTCCTCACAGGAAACTGGGTGCAGCCAGCTTGGCCTTCTCCACCCCACCTGGAAAATGTGGGCAGGTGACTGTCAGCATTGAGATCCTATGAAGGGGCTGGGAGACAAGGGAAGAGGGCTGATTTGCATGAAGCAATCATTCCACACCCTTATCTTTAAACTATATCCCATTAATGGAAGCTCTGGGGCCATCCAAACCTGATCAATCTAAGAGGGGTTATCAGCTGGAGGTGGTCAGAGTGAGGAAGAAACTGGCTTCCTTGAAAGACTCATCAACACAGCCACCAACTCTGGGACAAATGGGGTGACTCCCTATAACTGTCACCCGATATTAGCCACAGGAGCCTGAGCCTAGTCCCCTCACCTTATTGCTTCTGATTCTGGTCCAGTCCCCTGTTGTCCCTGGACCCTTGCCTATGTCTGAGTCCAGGGTGGCAGGGGTAGCCCCATCTCAGTCAACATCTATAGAGAGGTAAGAGCTACTACGGCTTCAAGCAGAGTCCACAGTTTTACCCATGAGGGCCTCTTTTGCTCCCCCACCCTGTCACACAGGTGACTACTGCTGTGGGTCTGGTGGAGTGGCCCCTGGCCCCTGAAGGACACAAGGTATTCCTTCCTCTCTAACACCAGGCATATAGTGGAGAAGGTATGGGTGGGTATAGAACAGATTGGCTTTTCTAGATGCAAATCGGTAAGACCCTGGCTACAGAAAAATTATTTCACAAAACCCCACACCCTTTCGTGACAAAAACACTCAGTGAATTATGAATAGAAGGAAATTACCTCAACATAGTAAACCCTATGTATGAAACTCCCACAGCTAACATCACGTGCAATCTGAAAGACTGAAGATATTTCCTGTAACTTCAGGAACAAAGCAAGGATGCGCACTTTCACCACTTCTATTCCAAATAGTATTGGAAGACCTAGCCAGAGCAATTAGCCAAGAAAAAGAAATAAACAGAAAAGAAATTAGAAATGAAAAAGTAAAATAATCTCTGTTTTCAGATGACCTAATCTTATATGTAGAAAATCCATAAAACTTCCACCAAAATAGCAAACTCTTCTCAGCTAAGGGACCATGTTCTAACCCAATGAAGGGAAGCTAAGAACCTTGATAAAAGGTTACAGGAACAGCTAAATGGAATAATCAGTTTAGAGAGAAACATAAATAACCTGATGGAGCTGAAAAACACAGCAGAAGAACTTCATGAAGCATACACAAGTATCAATAGCTGAACCAAACCAGTGGAAGAAAGTATATCAGAGACTGAAGATCAACTTACTGAAATGGGTGTGAAGACAAGATAAGGCAAAAAAGCAGGAAAAGAAATGAACAAAGCCTCCAAGAAATATGGGACTATGTGAAACGACCAAACTTACAATTGATTGGTGTACCTGAAAGTGACGGGGAGAATGGAACCACGTTGGAAAACACACTTCAGGATATTATCCAGGAGAAATTCCCCAACCTGGCAAGACAGGCCAACATTCAAATTCAGGAAATACAAGGAAGATCACTAAGATACTCCTCGAGAAGAGCAAGCCAAAGACACATAACCGTCAGATTCACCAAGGTTGAAATGAAGGAAACAATGTTAAGTGGATCCAGAGAGAAAGGTCAGGTTACCTACAAAGGGAAGCCCATCAGACTAACAGCAGATCTCTCTGCGGAAACCCTACAAGCCAGAAGAGAGTGGGAGCCAATATTCAACTTCTTAAAGAAAAGAATTTTCAGTCCAGAATTTTATATCCAGCCAAACTAAGCTACATAAGTGAAGGAGAAATAAAATTCTTTACAGATAAGCAAATGCTGAGGTATTTTATCACCACCAGGCCTACCTTACAAGAGCTCCTGAAGGAAGCACTAAATATGGAAAGGAAAAACTGCTACCAGCCACTGCAAAAACACACCAAAATATAAAGACCAATGATGCTATGAAGAAACTGCATCAAGTAATGTGCAAAATAACCAGTTAGCATCATGATGACAGGATAAAATTCCCACATAATAATATTAATTTTAAATGTAAATGGGCCAAATGCCCCAATTAAAAGACACAGACTGGCAAATTGGGTAAAGAGTCAAGACCCATTGGTGTGGTATATTCAGGAGACCCATCTCACATCAAAAGACACACATAGGCTCAAAATAAAGGAATGGAGGAATATTTACCAAGCAAATGGAAAGAAAAAAAAAAGCTGGGGTCGCAATCCTAGTCTCTGATAAAACAGACTTTAAACAAACAAGGATCAAAAAAGACAAAGAAAGGCATTACATAATGGTAAAGGGATCAATGCAACAAGAAGAACTAACTATGCTAAATATATATGCACCCAATACAGGAGCACCCAGTTTCATAAAACAAGTTCTTAGAGACCTACAAAGAGACTTAAACTCCCAGATGATAATACTGGGAGACTTTGACACTCCACTGTCAATATTAAATCAATGAGACAGAAAATGAACAAGGATATCCCAACCTTAGAAAACCCCATCGTCTCAGCCCCAAAACTCCTTAAGCTGATGAGCAACTTCAGTAAAGTCTCAGGATACAAAATCAATGTGAAAAATTCACAAGTATTTCTATGCATCAGCAATAGACAAGCAGAAAGCCAAATCATGAGTGAACTCCCATTCCCAATTGCTACGAAGAAAATAAAATACCTAGGAATACAACTTACAAGGGATGTGAAGGACCTCTTCAAGGAGAACTACAAACCATTGCTCAAGGAAATAAGAGAGAACATGAACTCAGCTCTGGACCAAGTGGACCTATAGATATCTACAGAAAACTTTACCCCAAATCAATAGAATATACATTCTTCTCAGTGCCACATAACATATATTCTAAAATTGACCACATAATTGGAAGTAAAACATCCTTAGCAAATGCGAAAGAATGGAAATCATAACAAACAGTCTTTCAGACTACCGAGCAATCAAATTAGAACTCAGGATGAAGAAACTCACTCAAAACCACACAACTACACGGAAATTGAACAACCTGCTCCTGAATGACTACTGGGTAAATAATGAAATTAAGGCAGAAATAAAGAAGTTATTTGAAGCCAATGAGAACAAAGAGACAATGTACCAGAATCTCTGGGACACAACTAGAAAAGTGTGTAGAGGGAAATTTATAGCACTAAATGCCACAGCAGAAAGTGGGAAAGATCTAAAATTGACACCCTAACATCACAATTAAAGGAAGTATAGAAGCAAGAGCAAATAAATTCAAAAGCTAGCAGAAGACAAGAAATAACTAAGATCGGAGCAGAGCTGAAAGAGATAGAGACGTGAATAACCCTTCAAAAAAATCAATGAATCCAGGAGCTGGTTTTTTGAAAAGATTAACAATCTAGATAGACCACTAGCTAGACTAATAAATAAGAAAGAAGAATCAAATAGATACAATAAAAAAGATAAAGGGGATATCACTACTGATCTCCCAGAAATGCGAACTACCATCAGAGAATACTACAAACACCTCTATGCAAATAAACTAGAAAATCTAGAAGAAAGGATAGATTCCTGGACACATACACCCTCCCAAGACTAAATCAGGAAGAAGCTGAATCCCTGAATAGACCAATAACAAGTTCTGGTATTGTGGCAGTAATTAATAGCCTACCAACCAAAAAAAGCCCAGGACCAGACAGATTCACAGCTGAATTATACCAGAGGTACAAAGAGGAGCTGATACCATTCCTTCTGAAACCATTCCAAAGAATAGAAAAAGAGAGACTCCTCTCTAACTCATTTTGTGAAGCTAGCATCATCCTGATATCAAAATCCGGCAGAGACACAACAAAAACAGAAAATTCCGGGCCAATATCTTTGATGAACATTGATGCGAAAATCCTCAATAAAATACTGGCAAACTGAATCCAGCAGCACATCAAAAAACTTACCCACCACAATCAAGTCGGCTTCATCGCTGGGATGCAAGTCTGGTTCAACATACACAAATCAATAAATGTAATCCATCGCATAAACAGAACTAAAGACAAAAACCACATGATTATCTCAATAGATGCAGAAAAGCCCTTTGATAAAATTCAACATCCCTTCATGCTAAAACCTCTCAATAAACTAAGTGTTGATGGAACATATCTCAAAATAATAAGAGGAATTTATGAAAAACCCATAGCCAACATCATACTGAATGGGCAAAAGCTGGAAGCATTCACTTTGAAAACCACCACAAGACAAGGATGCCCTCTCTGAACACTTCTGTTCAACATAGCATTGGAAGTTCTAGCCAGGGCAATCAGGCAAGAGAAATAAAGCGTATTTGAATAGGAAGAGAGGAAGTCAAATTGTCTCTGTTTGCAGACGATATGACTGTATAGTTAGAAAACCCAATCATCTCAGCCCAAAAACTCCTTAAGCTGATAAGCAACTCCAGCAAAGTCCCAGGATACAAAATCAATGTGCAAAAATCGCAAGCATTCCTACACACCAGAAATAGACAAGCAGAGAGCCAAATCATGAGTGAACCCTCATTCACAATTGCTACAAAGAAAATAAAATGCCTAGGAGTACAACTTACAGGGACTTGAAGGACCTCTTCAAGGAGAACTATACACTACTGCTGAAGGAAATAAGAAAGGACACAAAGGAATGAAAAAACATTCCATTCTCATGGATAGGAAGAATCAATATCGTGAAAATGGCCATATTGCCCAAAGTAATCTATAGATTCAATGCTATTCCCATGAAGACACCACTGACTTTTTCTGCAGAATAGAAAAAAGCTACTTTAAATTTCATATGGAACCAAGAAAGAACCTGGATAACCAAGACAATTCTAAACAAAAAGAACAAAGCTGGAGGCATCACACCACCTGACTTCAAATTACACTACCAGGCAACAGTAACCAAAACAGCATGGTACTGGTACCAAAGCAGATAAATAGATCAATGGTACAGAGCAGAGACCTGAGAAATAACACCACACATCTACAACCATCTGATCTTTGACAAACTTGACAAAAACAAGCAATGGGGAAAGGATTCCCTATTTGATAAGTGGTGCTGGGAAAACTGGTAGCCATAGACAGAAAACAGAAACTGGACCGCTTCCTTACACCGTATACAAAAATTAACTCAAAACGGATTAAAGACTTAAATGTAAAACCCAAAACCATAAAAACCCTGGAAGAAAACCTAGGCAATTCCATTCAGGACACAGGTGTGGGCAAATACTTTATGATGAAAATACCAAAAGCGATGGCAACAAAAGCTAAATTGAAAATGGGATCTAATCAAACTAAAGAACTTCGGCAGAGTAAAAGAAACAATCATCAGAGTAAACAGGCAACCTACAGAATGGGAGAAAATTTTTGCAAGCTACCCATTTGACAAAGGTCTAATATTTAGAATCTACAAGGAACTTAAACAAATTTACAAGAAATAAACAAACAACCCCATCAAAAAATGGACTAAGGATATGAACAAACACTTCTCAAAAGAAGACATGTATGTGGCCAACAAACATATGAAAAACAGCGCATCATCACTGGTCATTAGAGAAATGCAAATCAAAACCACAGTGAGGTACCATCTCACACCAGTTAGAATGGCAATTATTAAACAGTCGGGAAACAACAGATGTTGGTGAGGCTGCGGAGAAATTGGAATGCTTTTACACTGTCAGTGGGAATGTAAATTAGTTCAACCATTGTGGAAGACAGTGTGGCAATTCCTCAAGGATCTAGAACCAGAAATACCATTTGAGACCAGTAATCCCATTCCTGGGTATATACCCAAAGGATTATAAATCATTCTACCATAAAGACACATGGACACATATGTTTATTGCAGCACTCTATGCAGTAGCAACGACTTGGAACCAATCCAAATGGCCATCAATGACAGACTGAATATAGAAAATGTGGCATATATACACTGTGGAATACTATGCAGCCATAAAAAAGAATGAGTTCATGTTCTTTGCAGGGACATAGATGAAGCTGGAAGCCATCATTCTCAGCAAAGTAACACTGAAACAGAAAATCAAACACTGCATGTTCATACTCATAAGTGGGAGTTGAAGAATGAGAACACGTGGACACAGGGAGGGAAACATCGTATACCAGGGCCTGTCCGGGGGGGCTGGGGGTCAAGGGGAGGGAGAGCATTAGGATGAATACCTCATGCATACCGGGATTAAAACCTAGATGACAGGTTGATAGGTGTAGTAAACCACCATGTCACATATATACCTCTGTAACAAACCTGCGGGTTCTGCACACATGTATCCCAGAACTTAAAGTAAAATAAACAAATAAATAAATAAATAAATAAATAAATAAAATAAGTCCCACCAAAACAAAAACTGTTAGAACTATTAAATACATTTGGTAATATTTCAGAATACAAAATCAACACATAAAACCATCTAATGGACAGCCATGATGGCTCATACCTGTAATCCCAGCTCTTGGGGAAGCTGAGGTGAAAGGATTGGTTAGGATCAAGAGAGTTCAATACCAGCGTGGGAAATGAAGTGAGACCCTGTCTCAAAAACAAACAAACAAACGAACAAGCAAACAAACAGGGTTCTTATATTTCTATACTTAATCAACCAAACAGGAAACAAGAAGACAGGACACAACCCAAAATGAAATTAAGAAAACAATTCAATTTACAATAGCATCAGAAAGAATAAAATACTTAAGAATCAAGAAGGGGACTCTTCTATACTGAAAACTATAAAACATTGCTAAAAGAAATTAAAGAATACACAAATAAATGGAAAGAAACATTGCTAAAAGAAATTAAAGAATACACAAATAAATGGAAAGAAAACATTTGTTCATGAATTGAAAAACTTGATATTGTTAAGAAATCAATACAAACCAAAAGAAATCTACAGATTCATTTCAATCTCTATTAAAATTCCAATAATTTTTTTTGCAAAAGTAGAAAAAATTAATTCTAAAATTTACATAGACTATCACAGGACTCCAAATAGCCAAAATGATCTTCTAAAAGAAGAACAGTGTTGGAGATTTCACACTTCCTGATTTCAAAACATACTACAGAGCTACACCAATCAAAGCAGAGTGGTACAGATAGACAGACAAATAGATAGACAGACAAATAGAATAGAATTGAGCACCCAGAAAGAATCTCTTAGTTATATGATCAAATGATTTTAAATAAGGGTAGCAAGACCATTGAGTGGGGAAAGGACAGACTCCATAAAAAATGTTTTTGAGAAAACTGGATATCCACATGCAATGTGGAAATGGATAAAAGACCCAAATGGAAAAGCCATAACTGTAAAAATCTTAATAGAAAACACTAGGAAGAAGTTTAACAACATTGGGTTTGGAAATGATTTCTTGTATTTGACGCCAAAAGCACAAGAAAAAAAAAAGAAAAAGAATATAGATAAATTGGATTTCATCAAATTGTAAAATTTATGTGCAACAAAGGACTCTATCAACAGAGGGAAAATGCAAATCATGGAGTCAGGAAATATTTTGCAAACATTGTATCTGGTAAGGTGTCCAGGATATAGAAAGAACTCCTACAACTCAACAGGAATAAAAAAATAGAAACAATCTGAATAAAACATGGGCCCAAGACTTGAATAGATATTTCTCCGAAGAAGATCAATAAATGGCCAATAAGCACATGAAAAGATGTTTAGCATCACTAATCATTAGAGAAATCCAAATCAAACCACAATAATACACAACTTCACACCCAGTAGGATGGCGTTACCAAAATAATAGAAAATAACAAGTTCTGGCAAAGATGAGTAGAAATTGTGGAGAAACTATAAAATGATGCATCCACTGTGGAAGCCTTATGGCAGTTCCTCAAAAAATTAAACATAGAATTACCATTTTAACAGAATTTTCACTTCTGGGTATGTGCCTAAAAGAATTCAGAGCAGGGTCTCAAAGAGAAATTTGTACACCCTTGTTCATAGCAGCATTGTTCACAATAGCTAAAAGGTAGAGGCAGCCCAAGTGTCCATCTAATGGATAAATGGGATATAGTATACACACACAAGGGAATAGTATTCAGCCTTAAAGAGAGTGTTCTGGCCCATGCTATGGCACAGATAAACCTGAAAGACATCATGCCAGCAGAAATAAGCTGGCTTCAAAAGAACAAAAATTGTTTCATTACCCTTATATGAGGTACCTAGAGTAGTAAAAGCTACCGTGACAAGAAGTATAATGAAGTTTCCCAGGTCCTTGGGGTGGAGAGTAGGGGGAGAATGGACAGTTATTTGTTTTTTGTTTAGTTTAGTTTTGCTTTGTTTTGTTTTTGAGACTGAGTCTCCCTCTGTCACCCAGTCTGGAGTGCAGTGGCACAATCTTGGCTCACTGCAACCTCTGCCTCCTGGGTTCAAGCGATTCTCATGCCTCAGCCTCCCAAGTAGCTGGGATTACAGGCATGCACCACCATGTTCAGCTAACTTTTGGTATTTTTTAGTAGAGATGGGGTTTTACCATTTTGCTCAGGCTAATCTTGAACTCCTGGGCTCCAGTGATCCACCGACCTTGGCCTCTCAAAGTGCTGAAATCAAGGAAGTGAGCCACCACACCGAGCCGGGCAGTTCTTGTTTAATGGTTGCGAAGTTTTAGTTTGGGAAGATGAAAAATTTCTGAAGATGAATGGTAGCAGTGTGATTGTACAAGTTGATTTACTTAGTGACACTGAAGTGTACACATGAAATGGTGAAGGTAACAAATTTTATGTTTGAATATTTTACCACAGTCAAAAAGAGGAAGATTTATATTTGGCACCATTGCTCTACTTCCAAGAACAGTAGAAAGATACAGTAGTAGGAGAGTGTGCACAAGTATCCAGGACGTCTTTCATTTTTTGCCAGCCCTGCAGCATCCTAACAATCCAAGAGAGCAGGAGGTGCCTCATTACAGGGGACTCAGAATAATGTGAAGAAATCTGGGGCGGGGTGGGGGCATAATGATAGCACACAGGTGCCGGACCCAGTCCAGGAGTGGCCACAAATGCAAGGGCTGCAGAAGAGGGGGAGATGAAGCTGGTGGCAGTGGTAGCAGCTGCTTCAGCTGGAAAGGGGCATCTGTTGCTTTCCAAAGTGGTTCACAGTTGAAATATCTGGCATAGATACTTCATCCTGCCTACCTTTCATGACTAACTATATTTTCATTGCAATATATGCAGTCATAGTGAGAATACCTATTTCCTCCAGATACAAGCAAACGTGAAGGAAATGTGCTTTAGTGCTTTGGCCAACTTGACATGGCAGTCACAAAAAGAGGATGAATATCCAAAGACAACCTTTTCCAGAGATAAGGTTATTATACCATTTATTGTAAATACTGGAAGTGCACAACAATCATTCAGACACCTGGGAAAATGACTTGACCAAATACAATTGTGAAAACAATGAGTAAAGAAAGTGATATATTCTTGGTAAAAGAACCACTGGATCTAGTGAGTAAAGAACCAAAAGGAGATGACCCTAGATTGGAACTTTTAGACCAGGACCTTGGTAACATTGGTCCTGTTTATGCAACAAAAACAAAGCAATACCTTGTCTACCAGTGAGAATCTGAATGAGGGAACAGCAACAGGAAGCAGCAGAAAAAAGGAAAAGAAGCTCAGTGCAAACAGCTGAATGGGGAGATCACAGGGACCACCAAGAAGGTCCAGGGTTTTCTGCTCAGTGCCTTCCCTCTCATACACCTTAGAGCACCCACTGAACAAAGATAACTACCAGTATATTCTAGCTGAGCCTGATCCCCACGCCCTTGGTCCTCAGAAGCTTGAACTTGACTGCTGGGCAAAATTCCTTATTCCTGGAGACCTCTACAGAGGCTGCTTGTATGAACAGGTTTTGTTAGCCTGACATAATTGAGCTCCCCAGTTAAAAGTCTCCAATGACCTGCTGGCTGACTGTGGTTGAACAGAAGGTCTACTCTATGGTACGGGATTCTCATGGGTTACCTTGATATCACCATGGATGAGATGCCACCAGACACTGCTGCCAGACTGGGTTGGTCCCAGTCTTTAGATAACTGTCAAGCTTCCTTAGTTTATGATAAGTTTAACTATTCTTGGGAGAATTAAAGGGAATGAAGTTCCACCAGTCCACTGGCAAACACTACTCTTCTAGCTATAGACAAGGAGACATCCTGGGATTTTATATGAATCTTCCTGAAGAAACAAAGACAGTCAAGTCATTGCCTGATACTTACAAAGATAAGGCCTTGATAAAGTTTAAGAATTATTTGTGTTTTGAGGAAAAAGACTTTGTGACTGAAGCAGAGAAGAGCCTAAAAGAGACTTCCCACAGTGAGATAAGATTTTATAAAAATGGTGTTAGTCAAGGCATGGCTTACAAAGATATTTTCAAGGGGCTTTACTTTCCAGCAATCTTACCAGAAAACAACTGCATAATTTCCATGAACATTGGACTGTGCTTCAAGTATCCTCCAAAGGATCTCACTTACTGCCCTATGAGTGACATGGGCTGGGATGCTCTGGTAGAGCACACTCTGGCTGGTGTCTTGGTGCTAGAAATGGATTCAATCACTGGACAAGAAAGTCCTTCAGGGGCAAACATAAGGACACTGAGGGTCATCTTATTCTACCTGCCTTCTCTCCTTACTTGTATCCTAGGCCAGCCTATGCTAGCGCAACTGTCCACAGATCTCTCTCTCTCTTTCTGTCTCTCTCTCGTGTGTGTGTATGTGTGTGTGTGTGTGCATGTGTGTATCAAATGATCAAACATCTTCATTCAAAAGTCCAAGCCCTGCAGCATCATGAGACAGTGCTACCACACATGAAGAAAATGTTCAAAGGGCACCAAATAGAGATCGCATGATCCAAAGTTATTTCTGATCCCAGAAAAGAATGGCACACAATCAATATGAATAGTATTAGATATCAAAATTATAGTACAATCTCATTTGTTTTTACCATAGATTCAAACTCTCTTTAGCATATTGGAAAGCAGAATCCATGTTCTACTGATGCAATTCCCCTTGACCATCATGAAAGAATTGGACTGAAAGCAGGACATTTCTGAAGTCTCTGGAGGATACGTAACATGACTGTTGGAGGGAATGCACATAGGAAGAGGTAGTGAATTATGTGTCAAGTGCCCCAACAAAAGGCTGTCAGTGTTTGTCTCTGACACATTGTTGGGGAGAAAGGTGGAGTCACAGGACACACTGCCATGGGACCCACGAGACTTGATCCTACATCCCACAGCGGGCAGCCTGCATCAACGTGGTCATGCAGGGATAGAAACACAGCCACAGAAAGCTTTCACCTGCCCAAGCAGCATCTCCCAAGAGCCAGCATGGGTGCTGTCTCTGCTCTGCTTCTTCCTGGACTGTGTCTCAGAGCCCTGAGTTCTCCCTCACCCAGTTTCCCAATCCCCCTCTTCTCCACTGGTTACCAGGGGTTAGGGGAGTGGGGAGGGGAAATAAACGTTTAAAGGGTACAAACTTTTCACTTGGGATGATGAGAAAGTTATGGAAATTCATAATGGTGATGACTGTATCACTTTTTTTTCAGAGGTGGTAACTTGCTCTGTTGCCCAGGCTGGAGTGCAGTGGTACAATGATAGCTCACTGCATCCTTGAACTCTTGGGTCTAGGCAAGCCTCCTGCCTCAGACTCCTGAGTAGCTGGGACTACAGGTGCAAGCCACCATGCCAGGCAATTCTATCACATTGTGAATATACTTAACACCACTGAATTTTACAGTTAAAAGTGATTTAAATGGCAAATTTTATGTTGTGTGTATTCTATGACAATTAAAAATACACTTGTTCAAATGTCAAAATATATATGATGTTATATTCATAAAATTTTCCTTTTCACACTTATATATTTATCCTATTCTAACTCATTCTCATCAATTAAAAAAAGTACTGTAATTACTGGTCATTATGTACTAAATTTTCCATAATTCACATTGAAGCCTTAACCCCCAATATTACTGTATTTGGAGACAGAGCATTACAGAGGGTAATTAAGATGAAATGAGATCATAAGGACCGGCATCCTTATAAGAGGAGATTAGAAAATGGACAACATAAAATGAGATGAGGACAGAGTGAGAAGGTGGTCATCTACAAGTGTGGACACATCTTCAGTTTGTGTGGAGTAACAGTTGAAGGGCTCGCCCATCCTATAATGAAAGTTGGAACAGGTGCCTTGGGCGGGCTCCAGGATTAACTGATCTAGTCACTGCATCCCACTGTGGGACCCCAGAGGGAAAGAAGCACTGTGGAGATTCCTGAGACATTAGAAATGGAGCCTGAGAAATTTCCAGGACACCCACATGGGCTCCAGGTGAAGCAGGGGCCCAGAAGGCCTTGTCTGATCCCTGAGTGTGACGCAGCACCTGGCCACTAGGGGGAGGCAAACTCTGTGAATCCTAAGGGACCTGAGCTCTTGCTCTGAGCCCTGCCCTTGTTAATCACCAGCCCTGGGAGGGAGCCGATTTGCATGGAATGTGATGTCCCTGCCCACTTCTTCACTGAGGGAATAAGAGGCTTTAGGGCCTCAGGCTCAGCTGAGAGACTGAAGAACCCAGCATTGCAGCAGCTCCACCATGGCCTGGGCTCCTCTGCTCCTCACCCTCCTCAGTCTCCTCACAGGTCAGGGTGGGCAGTGGGCTGGGCCCCCAAAGGGACCCCCACCTCCCAGCCTCCATCTCCCCATCCCTGCTCTTCCTCCTCCAACAGCTCATCAGCCACCCACCAACAGGAGCCCTCATGGGTGTCTGTGTTTCCAGGGTCCCTCTCCCAGCCTGTGCTGACTCAGCCACCTTCTGCATCAGCCTCCCTGGGAGCCTCGGTCACACTCACCTGCACCCTGAGCAGCGGCTACAGTAATTATAAAGTGGACTGGTACCAGCAGAGACCAGGGAAGGGCCCCCGGTTTGTGATGCGAGTGGGCACTGGTGGGATTGTGGGATCCAAGGGGGATGGCATCCCTGATCGCTTCTCAGTCTTGGGCTCAGGCCTGAATCGGTACCTGACCATCAAGAACATCCAGGAAGAGGATGAGAGTGACTACCACTGTGGGGCAGACCATGGCAGTGGGAGCAACTTCGTGTAACCCACAGTGACACAGGCAGAGGGGAAGTGAGACAAAAACCTCCCGGCTGATCTGCTCTGTCCACACTTCCTTCCCACTGGCCTGACTCACATTTCAGAGGGCTGTCTCTTAACTCTGTATTTAAAGTTTTCACCTTCCCAGACATTTTGGAGTTCTAATTCACAGCATATGTTCCCTGTGTGTAAATATTTTCTCAAGAGCTTTTGAAACATTGAAGTTTGCACACCAACATTTGTGGTTTTTGCCACTCACCTGTCCCCTGATGGGATTGAAGTTTCCAGGTTGTGGAACTGCTCACAGGTGCGTTTATCAGGAAATCACCGTCACCAGCTCCCACGACCTTTGTCCATATTCAACATTTGTGAGCTGCCTATTCAATGATGGGAACTGACAATTTCCCTGGAGACACAAGGCCTTCACCCTGACTCACAGTGTCACATAATCGACGTGGACTTCAGCCATCTCCAGTCACCTCCATGTGCACAGAGCTCTCATGGTACATGTGCTTGGCTGCCCTAGAAAGAGAGAATGGACACACACCAAAGATAGTAGAATGTGAGCCTGCTCTATATCTGAGATTCTGAAAGAGGCCCCCACTGCCTTCACAGAATGAATTCCTTCACATGCAGGGAGAGAGCTCTGGTGGAATCACTCTGCAATGCTTTCTGATGACAAATACCTGGATTGAGGTCAAATTTCACAGGTTAATAACCCTTTTCAAGACTACCTCCACTACAGACTCCAGTTCCCAGGCATTAAGCCTGAGGACCCTTGTAGACAACCAACATGGGGCTGTGACCAGCAGGAGCAATGGGTAACTGTCCCAGGCCCTGCCTTGGGGCTGCTCACAGCCGGGTGAGCCCCACTGGCCACAGGCTGGCAGAGGCTGAGCTGCTCCCTGTGCTCGCTGATGAAACTCAGCAGCCTAGTGCTCTCAGGGTCCAGCAAAGCCTCTTGGGCAGGGTCCTGTGCCTGTTCCCAACAGCCGCTCCTTCGAGGACCCTCCTGGGCCCACACTCGAGCAGCTCCTTCCTCAACCTCCTCTGTCCTCACATCCCCTTTTGGGTTCCTGAATCAGTGATCAGGTAGGGTCTCATTTAGCCAGAAGGGAGGGAGTAGATTTGCATGAACAGCTTCTTCTTTTCCCTGAGGGCAGAAGGAAAAATAGTCAAGCCTGGGGAAGCCCAGCCCAACTGTGAGGTCCAGAGGCTGTGTCCACCATGGCTTGTTGCCTGAACTCCTCTGGTACCCAATCCTTGGTCTATGTTTATAGACTCAATGAAAATACCTCCCTTTCTACTGGCCTCTTAATGCTAACAGAATCATTTTGTCCCCTAAGCACAAATAGCCTTTCGGGTTGCTGGGTGGGATGACAACTAGAGCAGAAGTCTAGCATGTGCAACCCCATTCCTGGCCCATACATGTCCCTGCTCTTGGCCCAGTCTTTGCTGGTTACTCCCTGAACTCTGAAACTTCAGGGAAGTTGAGTTTCTCTTTCTCTTGAGATTGTACTCTTGAGGAGCTCCTGAATTTCCAGGTATAGGGTGACCCCTCCTCATTAAGGACATGGCTCTCAGACTTATCCCTGGTTTACTTCCCCAGGTTTAGGTCTGTGAGTTCTAAACAGTTTCCCTATGTTTCTTTGGTTGATATTTTGGTTGATATTTCCCTTTGTTTCTTTAGGTTGATATTACATTGGGTAATTACATTGGTTGATTACATTGGGTAAATATATTCTTGTAGATATACACATTATAAACTCTTCCCCCATTAAGCTCTTAATAAATAAACTTGTTTGGGTGCCAATGTACCAATGTAGGTAAGAAGTCTTGACGCTTTTTTTTTTTTTCTTCTGCAGGAGCAGAGGAGAACCTGAAAAAAAAAAGAGAGAGAGACAAGTTCAGCTTATAATACTGTTATTTTCATATAAACTCTCCTACTTTAAAAAGTACAAAACTAGACCTATACTGAAAATATTTTTAAATATATCAGAGTATCTGCATCTGTCACTGTGGAGATGGTTGCTTGCTCTACCACAGAGCACAATAATACTGAGCCTCATCTTCAGCCTAGGCCCCTGTGATGGTGAGGGCAGTCTTGTCTTCAAGCACAGAGTGTGAGAATCAAGTGGGGACCCCATGCAGAGATGGGGACGTCAGACACACACACCCTGGCTCAGCCTCACCTCATGCTCCTAACATCTCCATCTTCTTCACACAGAGGCTGCTGCTGCTTCTGGCTAACACGGGCTCCTGACGCTGGTTCTCCAGGGCCCAAGAGAAAGTGGTCACATATATTCTTCTAAGCTGCAAAATTTGTATTTTTAACCCAACATGTTATTATAACAATGTGTTCATAAAGCACAATACTAAGATCTATCATCAATTGCACAGTTATGAGTTATTTATAGGAGTGGCAAAATAAAAAGTTACGCACACACACACGCAGATTCGGGCAGGCCAGAATTTAATTACAGGAGCAAAGTTTGATATTAGTGACACAACATAACAATGATCCTATGTATAATGATAAACATAGCAATGGACCATATGAAGCTTTGAAGAAACATAATGGAAACACAGAAAAAATCTCCCTCTCACCAAATTTTAGAAAATTCTAAAAAAAATTAAAAATTTTTAAAACCCCTCAAAACTGAGTTAATTTATAAAATATGATACAAAACATAAAGTTTACATAACTTTAACACTCTTCATACTCAGTAAATGCAGGTTCTTTCTCCACAATTTAATCCAGTGTACCAAAACCGAGCCTTCCTGTTTGCTGGAGGAAAACCTCAGCACCACAACAGTAGAAAAGCACCAACCTCTCTGCCCACAGTGCATCTTCCCTCCAGAGACTCCGCAGGACTCTGCATGGTCTCCTGAGGGCCCTGAAGTGGAGGTTCTGTGATGAGAAGGGGGCATGGATGGCACAGGGCAAGAATGTCTGCAGGGTAAGAGTGTTAGAGGGACAAGCTTCATTCCTCTCTGAAACAAGCCTATCTTACATGATTTATCTTTATTCTTCTCTACAAAAAAAAAAAAAGTCACAAAGATAGCTGCAAAGAAATATGTGAAATTATACAAGGCTAAGATAACAAAGAATATTGGAAGAAAAAGTAATTATGACATCTTCTATCAAAACATTTTAGGCCAAGCGTGGTGGCTCATGCCTGTAATCCCAGCATGTTGAGAGGCCAAAGCAAGAGAATCACTTGAGGTCAAGAGTTCAAGACAAGCCTGAGATCCCATTTTTATTTTTTAAAAGCAGCATTAAAAAAAAAAGGTTCATCATAGTCTCCTCTTCCCACAGTTAATAATGAGAATGGAGAAAGTTCAAAAAGTGAAAATTTAAGCAACTCTTATGTACCCATAACAATTTTTTAAATTTTAAAAAAGAAATGAAACCCGTAGCACAACTGACCACCAGCACACAGGTGCCTCTTCTTCAGCTGCCCCTCCTGAAGTGACAACCAAACCCAGGGGCTCAGCACAATGAGCTCTCCCTCTGGCCATACATTCCCTGTGAGGCCCCATCTACTCTCATCCCAACACAATTGCTCCCCAGGCATCTGGGGGCTGCTGCTGAGATTCTCCACTCATGGGGTCCTGGGCACAGCGGTGTTATCCCAGTCCCCCTCTTCCTCTGTGTCCTGGGAGCTGGAATCAGAGTCAGCCTGATCTGACCCAAAGCCTACAATTAAGAGCCCTGAGTGGCCTCTCCTGCTTTCCCCCCACATTAGACTCTTCCTTTCAGTGTCCTTCCTGGGGTACTGTGTCACTACTCAATAATATCTTATGTCCTCAGTGCTAGGCGTTTTTCACATAATATACTCTTGTTAGTTTCTCCTCACCTTTCCAAGCTCAGTTATCAACTCTAGGCTGATGATCCTAACTATTCATTTACAGCACATTGTCATATAAAGGCCAGCGATATCTAGAAAAAAAAGTGCCAATAAATGTGTGTACTGCATCTTACGAATCACTACAAGGATACCACAAACAATATCCCTGTATTTAAATAGAGTTCACTCTTCAGACACAAGAGTTTAAGTGGAGTTCAATATAATAGTTTATATAGATAATAGTTAATATAACAGTTTAACCAGTCTGTCTGTGGCTAAACCAGTCACCATCTCCTGCACTGGAAGCAGCAACAATAAGGGTCTTGGGCTTGTGTCCTGGTACCAACAATGACCAGGAAGTGCCGCCAAACCTCTGATACATATGTACGGATCCATATATTTATATCCATATCCTGCGGCGAATATCCACCTGCAGGGATCCAGGACTGAATCTCAGGCTACCGGTCTGGCAAGGAGGCATTGCTGAGCATCTCTGGGCTACAGGCTTAGGACAAGGCTGATCTCTGCTGTTGGCTTTAGGCAGCTCCATCGAGGTCCCCACAGTGCTGCAGTCTGGGGAACTGAGACAAAGGCACACCAGGTTTCCAATGAGTATGAGCTACCTGCAGCACCACCCACTGTCAGGACAACTGGGCTCTTTACCGTTTGTGTGTATGTTTCCTGGTGCTGCCACTAACCAGTGCCCAGGACTCAAGTCAGGGACAGTGATCTAGAGAATGCAGCTTTGTTCTTTCAGAGCCAGCCCACAGAGGGAGCCCTTAGCAATGGCACATTGTCAGACTGCTTCAAAAGAATCAGAAAGCCTTTGATTCCAGGAACAGGCTGCTCTGGGGACAGACCCGAGATGGGTCAGGGGAGGCAGGGACAGATTCCAGGTGGCTCTCTCTCAGGCACATGCACTAATGCAGAGGTCTAATCATCCCTATTGTCTACTGAACAACTACTATGTGCCAGGCTATGGGGAGGGCTCAGGATACAGAGTTACCAAGACAGACAAGGTTCCTGTCTTCATAGGGCTGACACCAAACTAAAGAGAGACAGTCAAGAAGTCAATGGGAATAAGGCATATTGTGGTGTATCAAAGAGGTGACACTGGCCAGAAGGGGGAGAATGATAGAACGCCTTTAGTGGGTCGTAAGCAAGGAAGACACAGCCTTTTGTTTGAGATTTAGGAGGAAAGTCCAGCTTCTTCAAGGAAGACAAAAAATGAGGGGATAGTGCGAAGGCAAAAGGTCCAGTTAGAAAGCAGTGGCATTGTGCACATGAGAGATGAGGTATCTAGCATCTGATGTAGCAGCTGAGCTGGGAGGAATGTGCATGACCCACACCATGGTGAGAAGGACTAGAGGAAAGAGGTCACTAGGTTGAGGCCCTGACCTTGTCCTTGTGATGGAAACCTGACAACAGCCTGCAGCTGCGATCAAGCATGTCACTCTCCTCTTCTCTCTGGAAAGCTCATAGGACTCAGGACTCATTGCTGCCCTTCCCTCTTATTCAGTGAGATTTATTTGAACCATCACTTTTCACACCTGGACAGAGACCTGCTTACTTTCTCTTGAGCAAAAGCACTAAGGGTCGGGACAGAGCACTGTAGAGCACATGGGATGATGCCCTACACACTCAAGGGGCTGCTGTTACTGCTGTTAAAGCTCACGATCAAACCTCCCAGAGCTCTGTCAGAAACCATGAGACGGGAGGTGTCAGTGCTGAAGTAGCTGATTTGGGGGCACACTGATTTGCAGTCTGTGCAGTCCTGATTTGGAGGTGTGGGACAGTGAGGGCTGAAGCCCAGCATCGGCAAGAGGTTCCTGAGGTGTCTTTATGTGCCAGGGTCCTTGTGACCACCTCAGTGATGTGTGGGGGTAAAGGTCAATTGAAAAGCTGGAGAGCAGTGGACAGGCAGGATTCTGTGTCTGGGTGAGGGACGGGATGTTCAGCTCCTGCCCAGGCATCCTTATTTACATTTCTGTTTACCTCTCTTCTTCCTTGTCTCCTTCCCAGGGCAGGGTTGCAGGGCTGTTGTATCTCCGCTGCTCTTTCTCCATCACAAAGAGAGCAAGAGAGACAGGTTATGTGATGACTAATTCCCTCTTCACACTCAGTTGTCTGATTGTCCTTAGGAATTCTTCCTGAGGATGGGAATGTGCTGTTTTATTTCTCCCTTACAGTGAGATCCTAGCCATTTGTGAGGCCAAGGAGATTGACCCCATCCTGTCGATGAAGGATTATTTATAACACACATGGTCAAAAAGAACATCATCAACTTCTGCACAAGTCAGTCCATTCGTCAGGGTTATAGAAGTGCACGTCTCTCAGCTGTCAGCAATGGGCTTCAAATCCCCAGGATGACTAACTTGTCAGGATGGGATCATCCACATTAAGATGTTTCTTTACAGTTAGTGACTCTATTCACTGTGTTTCCCCTGCTGAGATCCAACCTCTATGAGATTGTTTATTGGCTGTTTTCTGTCTTGTCATTGCTGAAAACACTTCCTGGCACTAAGGACAGACTCAATACATGTTTATTAAATATGTGAGTTCACCTACATTGGAATCCCAGGAAGAGGTACAAACCTGAGGTCAAGATAATAATTTTTTTAAAAATTCTGAATATTTTGTGTTTGAGATTCCAAGTTCATTCAATGGAAGATACTAAGTAATGACTTTTGCCTTTGGATTTGGTTAGCAGGAGAAGGATATGGATATAAAAATGCAAATATATATATCACACATACCTCCCCATGGCCCAGAGACCTGAAAGCCCAGCTGGTCTCTGCAGCTGCCAATTGCAGCCTCTGTTCACTCATTTATGGTCTGATTGTCATGGATCCATATATACTGGATCCCATGGGTTCATGTGGAGAAAGTGGAGAGGATGCGATGGGCTTTCCCAGTCCTGATAAAAGAAACCACAGGAAGCGAATAGATCATAAAGCAAATTCTGGGGACAGAAAACCCTCGAGAGCAAATAAACTGCTAATATGGGTGAGTTGGGAAAATGTCTGGCAATATTTATATAACTAAGAAACTTTACATTAGATATCCTTCCTTCACAATATTCATTACGGAGCTTTAAATCATCCATATGATCAATGCAATTCAAACATTAAACTCATCAACCCCAAGTCCCATAGCAGACTTTGATGAGGAAATTCTTGAAGGAAGAAGGATGGGTTTGTGAGCTCTGTGTCCACAGAAGAGATATTTCTCCACTAGGAGAACTGGGTAAAGCCAATAAATAATTAGGAATGTAGATGCCCAACTGGACTATATTCTAATCCAATATGCAATGCTGTGAGTCCTGCATCTGCAAATTGTTAACATTCATTGTGCTTCCTTCAGTTTCCCAATTACTACAATAAATTAACTTTAGACATGGATGATTACAGAACAGATCAATTAATGTGAGAGTCCTTGGAATGTGTTGCTTTAATCCACAAAAATTACGGAACACTTCAAATGTATATATTTGTTAATTTATGTACCAATTGTATTTTACTGCTTCGTTGATCTGTTGTAAAAATCACCCAGTGAGGGAGTAAGCTGATGGGTAAAATGGGTTGAAAAATTAAACAAGATGAACCACATTGATGATGGTCAAATTTGGCTGATGGGTGCAAACAATTCATTAGAAAAGTATCTGTATATTTGTATGGTTCAAAAGTTTCCATGCTATCCAGTGTTTAAAATATCCTTGTTTGTAACTGTTCTGCTTTTAACCGGTGTACAATGTGGACAAAATGTAAGCTTACACTCTGACTTTGAGTAGAAGCCCATCTTCTCCCAACAGGCAGAGGAGAAGCTGGTGTGGAGAACATGGAAAACACAGGAGCTCAGGGTTTCCCAGGACAGAGAAGCGAGTGAGCCTGGAGCCCTAAAAGCAAGGGTGGGGCTGTGAGTTGGGCTGTGGGTGTGTGCAGGGGCCACAGTGTGAAGGGCATGCTTCAGAGGCCACAGGATTTGGATTTTATAATAAGAATGATGAGTTACTGAAGGGGTTTAAGCCAGGTAGTACCTTCCCTGCCTCATCTATATGAGAGGGATCTGTCTCCAAATGCCTGGAGGAGAGCGTGCCTGAGAAAAGTGAGTGATCCTGATTCTAGATTATTCACTAAAGCACCTCGTGAGTCTAGAAACCCAAGGGCCATTTGCACAGTTAGCACAAGAGTAGACGTGGCAACATTGAGAAGTGATGGTCTCTGCCTTTGTCTCCTCTGGCATTCAATACTTGCAAAAACACTTCGCAGGTAAAATAAATACTGATATTTCAAATAACCTGAAAGCATCCAGTAAAAAAATAAAGGTGGCAATATCAAGATACAAACAAATTGTATAACATTTAGGACAAATCGTTTACCAAAAAATATGACACGACTGTGAAGAAAGTGACGTTTTACTTAGGGAGATAATGGCTAACCTCTTAAAACAGAGATATATGTCACACTGTGACAGGAAAGTCTACAAAATCTCTTAATGTTCCTACATCACAAAATTGAGTCAAATCTCTATAAAACATATGAAACCATTAGATGTATAACTTTTGCTAAATTGCTGTCTTTAACATGTATTGGATCATTTATTTTTCCTGGAAAATTCTCATTCTTCACTGTCCTTTTGAACAACCCCAGCTGCCCTTCAACCCAGCTCCTCAGCTGACCCATTTTTCATGATGCCCACCCTGATGGCACATGTGGGCAACTCGATTTTTCTAGAATGCCATGCAGGGGTGCTGACAACTTTAAAAGTTATATATGTACATGGCTGCACATCCCACAGACCAAGACTACTTCTGGGAGTGAGAAATCACAGTAATAATGCACAGCATGATAGAAGCAGTGTCTGGGAATCAGACCATGGATATGTGAATACAGACAGTGACTGGAGAGCTGCAGAGACCAGCTGGGTTCTGAAGTCTCTGAGCTTTGGGAAAGTGTGTTTCCTGGGACCAGCGTCGGATGTTGTGGGGCTGCCCTGTGGTTCTGACACAGCTGCTCAGTAAGGAGCATTCACTCCAAGAAATCCAGGCCTTGAGGCTGGGCCCTGTGCTCACTGATGGACACTCGGCAGCTGTGTCCCCTCTGGCCTTGCAGAGTTCCCTGAGCAGGGACCTGTGTATCGTCTCAACAGGTGCTTCCTCCCAGGACCTTGCAAGAAGAAAAATAAACCTTCCTCCTGCTTAGTCTGCAGAGTGAGGTGAGCTGCATCCCCAGGTCTCAAGGAGGGGCCCGGCAGTCCCTGGGTGGAAACACATTTGCATGAGCAGCCCCTCCTCTGCAAGGGTGGGAAGAAAAGGAGGCCTGGGGCAGCCCAGTCCCACTGTGGGGTAAGAGGCTGTGTCCACCATGGCCTGGACTCCTCTCCTTCTCCTGTTCCTCTCTCACTGCACAGGTAGGAAAAGGCCTCAGAGACCAGGGTCAGCCACACAGCCTGATTCTGACTCTCGTGTCAAAGATCACTAAAAAAAATATTACCTTGGTTTCTGCCTTAAAGCCTATAAATGCCTGTGTTTCCAGGTTCCCTCTCGCAGGCTGTGCTGACTCAGCCAACTTCCCTCTCAGCATCTCCTGGAGCATCAGCCAGACTCACCTGCACCTTGCGCAGTGGCATCAGTGTTGGTAGCTACAGGATATACTGGTACCAGCAGAAGCCAGGGAGTCCTCCCAGGTATCTCCTGAACTACTACTCAGACTCAGATAAGCACCAGGGCTCTGGAGTCCCCAGCCGCTTCTCTGGATCCAAAGATGCTTCGACCAATGCAGGGATTTTATTCATCTCTGGGCTCTAGTCTGAGGATGAGGCTGACTATTACTGTATGATTTGGCACAGCAGTGCTTCTCACAGTGACACACACAGATGGGGAAGTGGGACGAAAACCTCACCCTGATCTGGGTTCTTGTTCTGTAACAGTTTTTAAATTTTAAAATAACCAGCCAAGGGACAAACTAAATTTGGAAATAACTTTCTAGTTGTAAAAGGCTCTTCTCTCAATTTCCCATCCATTCTTCTGAAGTCTCAGTAAAACAAAACCAAACCAAAGCACCTGACGACCCTGAAGTGTTGGCTGGTTGTCCATATGTGCTAACACCACTGCCTGCGGAGCTGGACTTTTGTTCTTGAAAGAAGCAAAATGAGGCTTTCCTAGCTCACATCATGGTCAGAGCCTGGGGACATCCTAGCAGGTGAACAGTCCCCTACAGCATGGACTCTGCTCTTCCAGTGTACAAGCAGAGACCTCCCCTTCCATCCCCACTAGTCTGTTCTCAGGGCTGTCTGAGGCTCACTGTGTCCCAGGAACAAGGCACTCAAATATGAAATGCTGCATGAGGACACAGGTCAGGGAATTGCAGATATAGTGCTGACCTGGCTCAGTACTGGGTACCTGCATTTCAGTGGAAATGTCAGGAGATGGGATTACGTCTGAGGGTAACTGTGGACCTGAGGCCGGTAAACCTCTATGTAGGACTTGAGAGAGTCAAGGGGAGGCTCCACCATGGCTGAGGCAAGGCTGAGGCTGCTCCTTGGCCATGGGGGAAGTAGGTCCCAGGGATGTGACTTTCCTGCAGCTCATTCCACTCAGGACCACGGGGACTGCTGAGGGTGGGTTTGCTGATCCCTCAGGGCCTGTGTTCTCTTCTCCTCTATTGCACCATTGGAGGTTCTCACTGAGTCAGGTTCTAGTAGTGAGTCTGTGGAACATCTGGGTACAGATACTGTTTGCTTCAAGTGACTCCTCCCCAGGAAACTCTTGAGAAGGCCCCCATCTCAATGTCACCTTTTTCTGCATGGGGAGCAGCAGAAACATTGGGCATTCCCTCCCAGAAAGAGCCCCTAATTTTGTGACTTAGGACATCAGTGATTGTCCCTCAGGGGTCCAAGCCTGATTCTCCTGCTCTGGGTTTATTCCCACAGCCTCCTGGACAACTTCTGCGCTCCAGCCTGAGGACTGGCTGGTTATCAGTGTCACACAGCTGCATCCTGACTCCATGTTACCAAGGGTTCCTATTCCATGGGGAAATGAGAGAAAGATCTGCCCCACTCATCCTGTCTCCCCATCCCTCCTTTATCCCTGCCTGTGACCAACACCAGTTCATGCCAAGACTTTTACTGTCACTTGTGTTACTGAAAGCAGAGCAAGGGTGCAGGGATGATAACTCGTTTTCTTACTGGTCTCCCCAATGGAAACAGAATCAACTTGTTTCTAGAAGCAAAAGGAGCTGTCCACACATGGTGGGTGTGGATGAGGTGGGGATGACAAGAAAGAATCCAGCCAGTGTGACCCAGAAGTCCAGGAGCCTTCAGCCTGGTCCCACAGGTGTCCTCTCCTTTTGGTGCAGGTGTGCTGATCATTTCCTGAGCTCTGAAACTGTGGGAAAGATGACAAGAAAGGAGAATCCAGCCTGTGTGACCCAAGACCCATATGTGAGAGCGGAAGTCTGACACTTAAGAAAACGTGGGCTCAGCATTCTGAGAGGTCTGGATCTGGCTCGGCCTAGAGCTGCTCTAGAAGAGAAGCAAGAGAAATGCTCAGCCTTAGGTGGCCCAGGCACAGTGGTCCTGTCAAAGGTCTGAGCTCTCTGCAACATGGATATCCTGCAGAGACATCCTTGGGAGGCTGTGATCCTAGAATGATGTAAAAATGCTAATGGAAGTGAGCAGGGGATGGTTTATGGAGGAATGAGGAGATGGGTGTGGGGTCAGATGTGGTAAGGAGGGTGCACCCTGAAGAGGAGACTGTCCATTGTGACTCATAGGAGAAGGATGCCCGGGGCCTAGGGCAGTGACAAAAAGAGGACCTGGAAGGACCGGCACCCTGAAGACACGTAGAGACTGGGGTTTGGTTTGTCTGTGAGGGTTCCTGAGGAGAATCACATAAAAAATCCACAGTCAGTGTCTTCTGTCCAGGGCTCACTGTCGCAACTGTTGCCCCTTCCTTCCAGATCCTCTGGGTGTCCAGGTTCCTTAGCCGTGGATCTGCTCCTCTCTCTGCCCTCAGCCTAAGAGCTGATGGGGCATCCACCAGGAAGCGCATCCGTGGGCAGGGAGGAGGCCGTGGGCAGCCTTCTCCTGTATGTGAGACACTGCTCAGCCTCGGTGACCCCCTGTTCATTAAGGTGGGAGGAAAGGAAAACAAAATTCACTGTGAACATCTATGCATCATCAAAGAAAAAGCAATGAGAAGAAACAGGAAGTGAAGCCCAGCTCTAATAGTTTATTTCTACTTGGAAATAAATAAAACAATATGCCTGATGTGTTATATAAACACAATAAACTTTTTATAAAAACTATGAAAATTATGTAAAGGAGCATGGCTTACACTAAAAGGAACATTTAAAATAATGACACCCTTGAAATGCAATCCCAAAACACAGCATCCATTTTATTTCAGTTACATATACGGACTGGTTTTATTTAAATGCCTGCAATAAATCTCACTATTTTGTTGTTTAAATGGAGCATTTAAAATCTCATTGTGGCCAGGCGCGGTGGCTCACGCCTGTAATCCCAGCACTTTGGGAGTCCGAGGTGGGCTGATCACAAGGTCAGGAGTTGGAGACCAGCCTGGCCAACATGGTGAAACCCAGTCTCTACTAAAAAAATACAAAAATTAGCCGGGCATGGTGGCTCGTGCTGGTAATTCCAGCTACTTGGAAGGCTGAGGCAGGAGAATTGCTTGAACCTGGGAGATGGAGGTTGCATTTAGCCGAGATGGTGCCACTGCACTCCAGCCTGGGCAACAGACCAAGACTCCGGCTCAAAATAAATAAATAAATAAACAAACAAATAAATAAAAAATCTCATTGTATTGCAACTGCCTGATGATACATTCACAAGTATAAATATCAACATAACCATCCAGCTGTTTCCCTCCATCCACGTAAAATTCCCCAAACAAATATTTGTTAAGAGTCCAGGGTGTATCATGCCAGAACTCATGCAATCATAAACACAATCTATTTCATTTTTCATTTTGATTAACAGAATTATCTTTTTTCTTAAGATTATTGTTTTTAGTTTATTAGATTCTAGATGTCATTACAGACCAAAGATGAATAATTTTCATCATCTTCAAGCCACCCCCACAAGACTCACTACTGAATTTGAACCATAATTTTTCCCTGGAAATCCTAGTTGGGGTGCTCGATGCTAAGAGCTATCACATATCAGGCTCACCTGAGGACAGACTCTGGTCGTCAAACCAAGTTAAAATTTTAATTCTTCCCATGTTCAAAGACTGAACATCTTTGCTCTTTTTGCTCATAAGTGAAACACTCCAAAGACATTTGCCAGGATCCCCCACAGACTGGCATTCAGTGCTTGGAGGACAGACTCCTAGGCAAGATCCCTGGTCACAGTATCCGGATGACTATGACTGCAAATCTGGGGAAGTAGAGGGAGAACAAAGATTTACCAGAAAAACCCTCTGGGAATTCCTCCCCAGGGCATCCCAGAGGGAAGAGCTCCCTTTCTCCTCAGCGCAGCAGGATCCACAGAGGAAGTGGAGCCCTGGCCACCAGGGAGGAGTCACATGAGAGGAGAGGACCCGGTGTCCAACACTGGTGGGGAAGTGAGTCCATGGGGCCGGTCCCCGCTCTGGGCTTGATCCTGAAATAAAAGGACTTTGTGTAGACATCACCTGAGTCCTCTACAATGTACAGCCAAAGAGCCATAGACAGATTCACTCCTGAGGAGTCCAGTAGAGCGTGAAGACTGCCCTGAGGTCACAGGAGGGAGACACAGGTGCCACCTTACTGGGCCGGGACTTGGGAGCGGGGGCAGTGGCCAGAAAACAGGGCGGGGCGGAGGCAGCGGTGAATCTCAGAGGCTCTGGTCACCTGATCATAGAACGGTTTGCCTTAGTCTGGACACTAGGGGGCGCTTGGGGACCATTTCTGAGAAGACTTGGGGTAATCAGAGCAGAACCAGGCACCTGCCCTGCCTGATGTCCTCTGCTCAGGGCTGGCAGCTGTGTCCTGTGTCCTCCCCACCCCCTGGGACCACAAAGCTCCACCCCTGCCACACCCTGACATACTCAAGCCCAGGAGCCTGACCCAGGGCTCAGGGTGGGGTCAAAAACCGGGGGGATCTGATTTGCATGGATGGACTCTCCCCCTCTCAGAGTATGAAGAGAGGGAGAGATCTGGGGGAAGCTCAGCTTCAGCTGTGGTAGAGAAGACAGGATTCAGGACAATCTCCAGCATGGCCGGCTTCCCTCTCCTCCTCACCCTCCTCACTCACTGTGCAGGTGACAGGATGGGGACCAAGAGAGGGGCCCTGGGAAGCCCATGGGGCCCTGCTTTCTCCTCTTGTCTCCTTTCGTCTCTTGTCAATCACCATGTCTGTGTCTCTCTCACTTCCAGGGTCCTGGGCCCAGTCTGTGCTGACTCAGCCACCCTCAGCGTCTGGGACCCCCGGGCAGAGGGTCACCATCTCTTGTTCTGGAAGCAGCTCCAACATCGGAAGTAATTATGTATACTGGTACCAGCAGCTCCCAGGAACGGCCCCCAAACTCCTCATCTATAGTAATAATCAGCGGCCCTCAGGGGTCCCTGACCGATTCTCTGGCTCCAAGTCTGGCACCTCAGCCTCCCTGGCCATCAGTGGGCTCCGGTCCGAGGATGAGGCTGATTATTACTGTGCAGCATGGGATGACAGCCTGAGTGGTCCCACAGTGCTCCAGGCCCAGGGGGAACTGAGACAAGAACCCCCTTCCTCCTCTGTCAGGAGGGTGAGCCCCGGCAGCTGCTGCTCAGGCCCGGCCTGTGGCTTCTGCTGCTGTAGCTTCCCCCATGGGTCCAAGGGCATCCAGGGCCCTGCCTGAGAGTGGAGGCTCCTCCTCCCCTTCATCCTCAGAGTCATGAACAGGCTGTCCAGGAAACAGAACATCCTGCTTCCTGCAACTTGGGACACAGGGTCTCTGCACTGAAGTCCTGGACTGAGGTGGCAGGTACAGCTGTGTCGTCACAGACCCACCTCTGATGGGAAACCTGTGTCTCTGTCATCCTCCTTTTCCCATTTCCAGGAGTTTCCAGAGTGGTGTCTTCCTCCCCCTGCTCCTCAGTGTGAATCCCTGTGCTTCCTTTCTCTCCAGCCAATTCTTTTTTTAATAAAACTCCTTTCATGTAGGAATAATGCATATTTAATAAACCACCCAGATTTATAATAGGAAATTAGACAAATGTTGACATTTTTTGATCCTTGAATACATCACCACCAACACGCAGCTATGCAACCTGTGACCAACCCCAGCAACCCCTCATGACCCCTTGTCATCTCCCTCCCTCCCTTCCCCAGTGCTATCCTGTGCAGCCACAGATCTGTCTCTGTCACTATTGTTTGCTTTCCATTTTTTGGAATGTATCAGTGTTATCAGACATTATCTTCCCATTTGTTCTGGCTTTTTTCACACTGCAAACTCCTTTTGGGATTCTTCCTGTTCTCGCTGAATTGCACCCATCCCATAGAGGGCTCATTACTACCTTTGAGGGCCTTTAGGTTGATTATTCCTGATTTTGTTTATTTATTTTAAAGTTTGAATTTATCGTCCATCAAAATCAAACTCTTGGAGTTATGTTCATCTAAGGTGACAGGAGAGTCTGTGATGTCTTGTCGGGATTCTTGCTTCTTCATCTCTTGCCTCTCGTTCTGTCTATATTGGAAGAGGTTCTCATATTCTATTTATTTACTTATTTATTTATTTGGGTTTTTAAGGATTTCAGTGTTTTTTTCTCTTTAATTATTAATTTTTTTATTTTAATAGGTTTTTAGGGAATCGGTGGTATTTGGTTACATAAATAAGTTCTTTAGTTGTGATTTCTAAGATATTGGTGCACTCATCACCCAAGTAGCGTACAGTGTACCCAGTGAGTAGTCTTTTATCCCTCACCCCGCTTCTACCATTTCCTCCCAGTCCTCAAAGTCCATTGTATCATTGTTATGCCTTTGTGTTCTCATAGCTTATCTCCCACTTATGGGTGAGAATATGCCATGCTTTGTTTTCAATTCCTGAGTTACTGCACTTAGAATAACAGTCCCCAATTCTATCCAGGTTGCTGGGAATGCCATTATTTTGTTCCTTTTTATGGCTGCATAGTATTCCATGGTATGCATATATTTAACATTTCCTTTATCCATTTGTTGGTTTATGGGCATTTGGGCTGGTTCCATGTTCTTGCAATTGCAAATTGTGCTGCTATAAACATGCGTGTGCAACTATCTTTTTTGAATAATGATTTCTTTTTCTCTGGGTACATGCCTAGTCCCAGATTTTGGGACTTTGCTGGATCAAAGGGTACATCTATTTTTAGTTCCTTAAGGAATCTGTTTTCCATAGTGGTTGTACTAGTTTACCTTCCCACCACCAGTGTAAAAGTGTTTTGTTTTCACCACATCCATGCCAACATCTATTATTGGCCATTCTTGCGGTATTAAGGTGGTATTGTATTGTAGTTTTGATTGGTATTTCCCTGATCATTAGTGATGCTGTTCATTTTTCTTTATGTCTGTTGGCCATTCATATATCTTCTTTTGAGAATTTTTATTTATGCCTTTAGCCTACTTTTTGATGAGATTGTTTAGTTTTTTTCTTGATAATTTGTTTGAATTCTTTGTAGATGCTAGCCCTTAGTCATTAGGTGGATATGTAGATTGTGAAGATTTTCTTCCACTCGGTGGGCTGTCTGTTAACTCTGCTGATTATTTCTTTTGCTGTGAAGAAGCTTTTTAGTTTAATTAGGTCCCATCTATTTATCTTTGTTCTTGTTGCATTTGCTTTTGGGTTCTTGGTCATGAAGTCTTTGCCTAAACCAATGTCTAGAAGGGTTTTTCTGATGTTATCTTCTAGAATTTTTATTGTTTCAGGCCTTAGGTTTAAGTCTTTGATTCATCTTGAGTTGATTTTTGTATAAGCTGAGAGATGAGGATCCAGGTTTATTTCTTTCACATTTGGCTTGCCAATTATCCCAGCACCATTTCTTGAACAGGGTGTCCTAGAGTATAGTTTGAAGTTAGGTAACCTGATGCCTCTGGATATGCTTTTTGTTGTTGTTGTTGTTTGTTTGTTTTTTCTTAGTCTTGCTTTGGCTATGCAGGCTCTTTTTTGGTTCCATATGAATTTTAGGATTGTTTTTTCTAGTTCTGTGATAAATGATGTTGGTATTTTGATGGGAATTGCATTGAATTTGTAGATTGCTTTTGGTAGTATGATCATTTTCACAATATTGATTCTACCCATTCATGAGCATGGGATGTGTTTTTATTTGTTTGTGTCATCTATGATTTCTTTCAGCAGTGTTTTGTAGTTTTCTTTGTAGAGTTCTTTAATCTCCTTGGTTAGGTATATTCCTAAGTATTTTTTTTTTTGCAGCTATTTGTTAAAGGGGTTGAGTTCTTGATTTGATATTCAGCTTGGTCCCTGTTGTTGTATTTGTGTGCCTTAATTTTGTATCCCGAAACTTTGCTGAATTCATTCACCAGTTCTCGGAGCTTTTTGAATGAGTCTTTAAAGTTTTCTAGGTATACGATCTTATTATAAGCAAACAATGACAGTTTGACTTCCTCTTTACCAATTTGGATGCCCTTAATTTCTTTCTCTTGTCTGATTGCTCTGGCTAAGACTTCCAGAACTATGTTGAACAGAAGTGGTGAAAGTGGGCATTCTTGTCTTGTTCCGGTTCTCGGAAGAAATGCTTTTAAGTTTTTTCTGTTCAGTATAATGTTGGCTGTGGGTTTGTAATAGAGGGCTTTCATTACCATAAGGTATGTCTCTTCTATGCCAGTTTTGCAGAGGGTTTTAATCATGAAGTGATGATGGATTTTATCAAGTACTTTTTCTGCATCGATTGAGATAATCTGTGATTTTTGTTCTTAATTCTGTTTATGTGGTATATTACATTTATTGACTTTGTATGTTAAACCATCCCTGCATCCTTGGTAAGAAACCCACTTCATCATGGTGGACTATGATTTGATAGCTGTTGGATTGGGTTAGCAAGTATTTAGTTTAGGATTTTTGCATCTATGTTCATCAGGGATATTGGTCTGTAGTTTTCTTGTTTTGTTATGTCCTTCCCCTCATTTTGGTTTTAGGGTGACACTGGCTTCATAGAATAATTTATTCCCTCTTTCTCCATCCTGTGGGTTAATGTATTAGTATTCTCCAGAGGGAAAGAACTAATGGAATATATATATATATATATATATATATATATATGAGTTTATTAAGTATTAACTCACATAATCACAAGTCACACAATAGGCCATCTGCAGGGTGAGGAGCAAGGAGAGCCAGTCCATGTTCCAAAACTGAAGAGCTTGGAGTCCAATGTTCAAGGGCAGGAAGGATCCAGCACTGGAGAATGATGTAGGGTGGGAGACTAAGCCAATCTCTCTTTCACATTTTTCTGTCTGCTTATATTCTAGCCATGCTGGCATCTGATTAGATTGTGCACGCCCAGGTTAAGGGCGGGTCTGCCTATCCCAGCCCACTTACTCAAATGTTAGTCTCTTTGGCAAAACCCTCACAGACACACTGAGGATCAATACTTTGTATCCTTCAATCCAATAAAGTTGACACTCAATATTAACCATCGCAATTACTGTCATAGACTTGGTGCCAATTCTTCTTTCAATGTCTGATAGAATTCAAATGTGAATCTGTCTGGTCCTGGACTTTTTTCGGGGTTTGACTTTTTAAAATTATTATTTCAATCTCACTGCTTGTTATTGGTCTGTTCAGAGTTTCTACATCTTCCTGGTTTAATCTAGGAGGGTTGTATATATTCAGATATTTATCAATCTTCTCTAGGTTTTTCAGATTATGTGCATATTATCTTTTATATAGTTTTTTTGTTTTAATTTTATTTAGTTCTGGTCTAATCTTTGTTATTTCTTTTCTTCTGCTGAGTTTGGGTTTGCATTGTTCTTGATCCTCCAGTTTCATGAGGTGTGACCTTAGAAGGTCTGTTTGTGCTCTTTCAGGCTTTTTGATGTATGTATTTAATGCTAAACTTTTCCCTTAGCACTGCCTTTGCTGTATCCTGGAGGTTTTGATAGGTTGTATCAAGATTTAGAACTACTGCAACCTTACTATTGACCAACAGGTTTTTAATTCCTAAGAGTGTGACCTCACTGAATCCTGACAACAGCTTTATGATTGCTTTTCATGCAGTAGGCCCTGGTTAGAGAGGGGAGTGCTTGTGGCCTGGAGGTAGGATTCTGCAATTTATCAAATAAAAACACTGGAGGTCAGTTAAATTTGAATTCAGTAAAACAATGACAAAGAATTAGTATGTGTTAGTATCTCCCACACAATATTTTTCAGTTGAAATACAACTTATCTGGGTGCCCTGTCGTTTATCTGCCAACTCCTCACAGGATTCAAGGCTTGGAAGAGGGAGTGTTGGGGCTGGCCTCGTCTTACTGATGCCAGTTCTATGAGATGAACCTCAAAGGCAGAGCTTCTCTAACACAGCTACCCTCAAGAAAGCACGTCAGTTAGCACTAAATACATGGTATAAGTTCCTCAATCAATAGTGCCTACTCACTTCCCTAATTCTTCTTTGTATTATTCTTCAAGTCTGCAGACTCAGGACCTCTGCTGGGGTTGCTGCAGCCAGAGTTCTGGATGAGGGACCTCATAAGCCTTTCAAAACCAGACGCAGGGGGACTACTCAGTCCCCACGCAGCGGGGCTTAAGCCAGGGGTAAATAAGTAAGAAATGGAAGAGCTCAGCATGGCTCTCCCTTTGTCCAGTGAGACAGCAAACTCCAGGGTCCTTTTGATGCTGAAGGTGCGTGGGCTGAGAGTAGGGGGAGACCCACCCTGAGAGCCCAGAACTTCCAGGACAGGACTTGTCAGTCTGAAAAGGGGCCACACTCTTGAGTGGGGAAGAAGGAGGCATCTCTCGCCACAGGCCTGCATTTCTGGTGGCTTCCCCTTCACCAAACTGTGCTCTCTGCTCTGATGTCTATCAGAGAATCTCCTTCAGTGAGACTAAGATCCCAGGACTTTACTAAAAATAACAGCATGAACCAGATAGATTTGTAATGGTACCAGAATTCTCTGCAGAGCAATGAGTACAAATGCAGCTTAACAAAGGCCCTCACACTCATAACTGAAAGGCTCAGTAGGTCTGGGTCTGGGGCAGTACTGGGTGCTGTAGGCTTGTCCTTGAGGCATCTACAAGTAAGAACAACTGGGAAGCCATCCTGCTGTGACCCTGTATCATCTGCTCACTGCTCACTGGGCTCAGCAGCTGTGTCCTCACAGGGAACCAGGTTCAGCCAACCTGGCCTTCTCCACCCCACCTAGAACATGTATTCCGGTGACTGTCTGGACTGAGGTTCTATGAAGGGACTGGCAGACAAGAAGAGGGGGCTGATTTGCATGAAGAAACCATTGCACACCCTTTCCTTTCATCTAAAACCCATTAATGGATACTCTGGGGCCACCCACAGAAGTCTAGCTTGTCTCCTAAATTTGAGAGTTAGGAAGGAGTCATTTCTTATCAATCTACAGGTAGAGGGGCCATCAGCAGCAGAGGGCCAGAGTGAGGGAGAAACTGGCTTCGAGAGACTCATCAACACAGCCACCAACTCTTGGACAAATGGGGCACTTGCTATAACAGTCACCCCAAGCTACTCACAGGAGCCTGAGCCTAGTCCCCTCACCTTATTGCTTTTGATTCTGGTCCATGCCTCTGTTTTCCCTGGACTCTTTGCCCATGTCTGAGTCCAGGGAGGCAGGGGTTGCTCCATCTCAGTCAAAATCTATGTATATGTAACAGCTACTATGGCTTGGAGCAGAGTCCACTGTTGTACCTATGAGGGCCTATCCTGCTCCACCATCCCCTTACACAGGTGACAACTGCTATGTTTCTGATGGACTGACCCTTTTCCCCTGGAAGACACAAGGTATTTATTCCTTTCTAACACAAGGCATATAGTGGAGGGGGTAGGGGTGGGTGTGAAGCAGAGTGGCTTTTCCAGATATAATGCAGTAAGGCCCTGGTTACAGAAGATCATTTCACAAAATTCCACACCCTTTCATGATAAAAACACTCAACAAACTATGAATAGAAGGAAACTTCCTCAACATAGTAAAGGCCATCTATGAAAATCCTACAACTAACATCGCATGCAATCTGAAAGACCAAAGATATGTTTTTGTAATATCTATCAGGATCAAAGCAACAATGCACATTTTCACCACTTCTATTAAGACAGTATTGGAAGACCTAGCCAGAGTAATTAGGCAAGAGAAAGAAATAAACAGAATAAAAATTAGAAATAAAAAGTAAAATTATCTCTGTTTTCATTTGATTTAATGTCATATGTAGAATACCCTTAAAAGTCCCACAAAAGAAAACTTTGTCAGAATGATTAAATGTATTCGGTAATATTTCTGAATACAAAAATCACCATGTAAAATTATCTCATGGCTGGGCATGGTGACTCATGCATATAATCCTAACACTTTGAGAGGCTGAGGTGGGAGGACTGCTTGTGGTCAAGAGTTCAAGAACAGCCTGGGCAACAAAGCAAGGCCCTGTCTCTACAAAAAGAGAGAGAGAGAGATGAAAGAAGAAAGGAAAGAAAGAAAGACAGAAAGAAAGGAGGAAGGAAAAGAAAGAAAGAAAGAAAGAAAGAAAAGAAAGAAGGAAGGAAGGAAGAAAGAAAGAAAGAAAGAAAGAAAGAAAGAAAGAAAGAAAGAAAGAAAGAAAGAAAATCTCTTACATTTCAATACTTGAGCAAATAGGAAACAACCCAAAACAAAATCGGGACCCACACCCATTAGGATGGCTTTACCCAAATAATGGAAAATAATAAGTTGTAGCAAAGATGTATAGAAATTATAACTGTAATGCATTGCTGGAGGGACTATAAAATGATGCATCCACTGAGGTGGCCTTGATGACAGTTGCTCAGAAAACTAAACATAGAATTACCATTTTATCAGAATTTTCACTTCTGGGCATGTGCCTCAAAGAATTGAAAGCAGGATCTCAAAATTGTCCACCCTTGTTCGTAGCAGCATCATTCACAATAGCTAAAAGGTGGAGGCAGCCCAAGTGTCATCTAATGGATAAACGGAATATAGTATACACACACAAGGGAATAGTATTCAACCTTAAAAAGAAAGTTCTGACCCATGCGATGGCATGGATGAACCCTAAAGACATCATGCCAACAGAAATAAGCTGGTTTCAAAAGGACAAATGTTGTCTGTTTGCTCTTATATGAGGTACCTAGAGTAGTGAAATCCATAGAGACAAGAAGTAGAATGATGTTTTCCAGGCATGAAATTTTGGTTTGGGAGGATGAAAAATTCCTGGAGACGAATGGTGGTACGTGACTGTACAACAATATTACTTTACTTAATGACACTGAAGCGTGTGGTTGAAAATGGTTAAAATATGTGTTTTGTGTTTGAATAATTTACCACTGTCAAAAACAAAAAGATTTATATTTGGTGCAGTTACAAGAACAATAAAAATATACAGGACTAGGAGAGTGTGCCTGAGTAGCCAGGACACCCTTCCTTCTGTGCCAGCCCCACAGCATCCTAACAGACCAATAGAGTTGGAGGTACCTCATTACAGGTGACACAAAATAACATGAGAAAGTCTGAGAATGGCCATGATGGTAGGGGTGGGTGCCTGACCCAGTCCAGGAGCAGCCTCTAGTGCAACTATGGCCAAAGAAGGGGAGATGAAGCTGGTGGCAATGGTAGCAGCCTCTCCAGCTGGAGAGGGACATCTGCTGTCCTATGAAAATGGCTCATAGTTGATATATCTGGCAAAGACATGTCATCCTGTCTACCTTTCATGACCAACTACAGTTTTCATAGTGCTTTGGTTAAGCTGGCATGGCAGTCCCAAACACAGGATGAATGCTATAGCATTTATTGATAAATACTGGGAGTGCATGATGACCATTCAGACACCTGGGAAAATGACTAGGCTGGATAACATCGTTAAAACAATGAGTAAAGAGAGAGATTTATTCTTGGTAAAGGACCTCCTGGATCCAGGGAGTAAAGACCTGAAAGAAGATTGCCCAAGATTTGGACTTTTGGATCAGGACTTTGGTAAAACTGATCCTGTTTATGACAAGCAAAAGCAAAGCAGTGCCCTGTCTGTGAGTGGGAATCTGAATGGGGCAACTGAACAGGAAGCAGCAGAAAAGAGGAAGAGGAGTTCAGTGCAAACAGCAAGATGAGATCTCAGAGACCACCAAGAAGGCCCAGAGTGACCCTTTGTTTTCTGCTCAGCGCCTTGCCCCTTACACCTTTTAAAACACCCATTTAACAAGGATGGCTACTGGTATATTCCAACCGAGCCTGAGCCACACACCCTTGGTCCTCAGAAGGTTGAAGACTGCTAGGCAGGAGAAATTATTCCTGAAGACCTCTACGGAGCCTGTTTCTGTGAACAGGTTTTGTTAGTCTAACATGATTAAGCTCTCCAGGTAAAGATCTCCAATGACCAGCTGGCTGACTGTGGTTGGAAAGAAGGGTTACTCTATGATGCAGGCCTCTCATGGGGTATGGAAAGGGACCTGGGACTTTGAAATCATCAAGGATGAGTTGTCACCAGACACCACTGCCAATGGGGTTGGTCTCAGTCCTAAGGTAACCATCAATCTCCCTTAGGTTATGATAAACTTAGCTATTCTTGGCAGAGCAAAAGGGAACCAAGTTCCACCTGTCCACTGGCAAATAATACTCTTCTAGCTACGGATGAGGACAGGTCTTGGGATTTTATATTAATCTTCCTGAAAACACAGAGACAGCCAAGTTATTGCCTGATACTTACAAAGATAAGGCTTTGATAAAATACAAGAATTATTTGTATTTTGAGGAAAAAGACATTTTGGATAAAGCACAGAAGAGCCTAAAACAGATTCTGCACAGGCAAATAATATTTTATAAAAATGGTGTCAATTAATATGTTGAATAAAAGGTATTTTTGAGGGGGTTGATTTCCAGCCATCTCACAGGAAAACAACTGCATGGTTTGCATTAACTTTGGACTGTGCTGCGAGTGTCCTCCAAAGGATCTCGCTTACTCCCTTATGAGTGACATGGGCTGGGATGCTGTGGTAGAGCACACTCTGGCTGATGTCTTGTATCTCCTGGAGACAGAAGTGGATGGAGGCACAGTCCTCCATGGGAACCCTGAACAGGTCCCTCTTTCTTTTCAAATATGGACTTTCTGGGGAATGATACTGGACGGCTTCTGTAGTTGTTGTTGTTTTTTGAACTGTCTCAAATGTTTTCCCAAAGATGCTACAGAACATAGCCTATCCATTTAGCAAGTGAAAAGGCTGAATAAGACTGGGAGAGACTCCCTGCTCATCATCATTCTTCTTCCACTTCCAGTGACTGCTCATATTCTGTGCCATAAGCCAACAGCTACTGATCCCAAGATCTTGTAATCCCTCTGTAAAACTGGTGCTGTACTGCATACCTTGCCAGCTGGGACTTTTTATCTTACTGCATTTTCCAGGAATAAATAACCTTGTCCCAAAAACAAACATATTTAAAGACATTTCCTTCTGTGGACACTGATTCCATGCTATCTGTTTTCCAAGGAAGTGGTGAGCCCGTTTCTGAGAACACCTGGTATCAATGGCTGTCCCTTCCAAACCAAGCAAAAAGTGATTTCTTGTCGGTGTGGATTTGGTTTTGTTATTAATTTTAAAACATACCTTTGAAGACTTAGATCTCTGAAACTACTAGATCTCTAGAAGTGTAATTGTGAAAAAAGTTTGCTTGCATCATCAACAACATGAAAAACTCTTTCTAAATAAAATTTGTTTTGAAGTTAAAAAAAAGAATAATGCAAGATTGGAAACTGGGAGGTCTGAAGATTCCCAAGAGCACTCTCAATTCTGAAGCTAATTTTCAGCTCAGGGACCCCAAACAGCCCTTCACTTCTTATGAGTCCCTAGAAGGACTCACATGACTCACTGAAAACTGTGACATTCATTAATGTGATTTTTCTACAGTGAAATAATACAGATTAAAATAATTCAAGGAAAGAGACACATGGGCAGAGTTCAGGAGAATTCCAAGCACAAGCATCCATTTGTCCTCTCCCAGTGGAGTAATAGACAACGCTGCATTCTGCCGGCAACAATGTGTGATTCTATGTAGGAAGCATTGCCAACCAGCAAAGCTCACCCAGGCTTGGTGTCCAGAAAAATTTTGATTGGTGGGGTGGGTGAGAGTGGGGTTGTTATGTAGACCTTGATGACCATCCTCATGGCTCACTTGAGTTTCCACTGAATTGACAATAAAACTTCAATCTTCAACCTTTGGTCATTTTCTTTTAAAAAATTTTCTAAAGAAAATTATTTTAAAAAGTCTCATATAAACGAGCTGTTTATCCAATATGAGGCTCAACGCAAATAGTTTCAAAAAGTCAGTAGGTCATTAAAACAATTATTTAGTCATTCAAACTAAATATTTAGTCATTCAAACGTTGTTATCTGGTGTTCAGATAGCAACGAACACCATGTAGCACTAAAATCGCATTATAGTCACAGGGGCAGGATTTCAGCAACAGCAAGAGAAAGTAATACAAACAGGAATGAGCAAAGAATAGACAAGTAATGGGTATGAATTGGCCTGGGAAATATTGTGGCAATGTCCAAAGACAAATCAATAGTTATTTGTTAAAGAAGTGAAAGACAACACATTCTCAGTCCAGGAAAGCCACCAGGGGGTGGTCTGGGTCTCTTGGATTGTAAGAAGCTCAAGAGGTTCAAACTTAATGAACCCTGCACAGATGCTCACTGACTCATGGAAATGTTAGAGCAGCTGCTTCCTCCCACAGGACAAATCCACAGCACACAGCCACCCTGGGCTGGCCCCCCACAGTGTAGCTGCTCTCAGGGCTGTGGACCCAGGTGGTGATAAAGGCAGTAAAGATTTGCATAAAGCAGCACACAGCACACCCCCTCCGTGCGGAGAGCTCAATAGGAGATAAAGAGCCATCAGAATCCAGCCCCAGCTCTGGCACCAGGGGTCCCTTCCAATATCAGCACCATGGCCTGGACTCCTCTCTTTCTGTTCCTCCTCACTTGCTGCCCAGGTTAAGAGAGATTTCAAATACCAGCCTTTGGAGGGATCCCTTTTTCTCCCTTTCTAATTCCTAATATATGTCTGTTTTTTTTGTTTCAGGGTCCAATTCCCAGGCTGTGGTGACTCAGGAGCCCTCACTGACTGTGTCCCCAGGAGGGACAGTCACTCTCACCTGTGGCTCCAGCACTGGAGCTGTCACCAGTGGTCATTATCCCTACTGGTTCCAGCAGAAGCCTGGCCAAGCCCCCAGGACACTGATTTATGATACAAGCAACAAACACTCCTGGACACCTGCCCGGTTCTCAGGCTCCCTCCTTGGGGGCAAAGCTGCCCTGACCCTTTTGGGTGCGCAGCCTGAGGATGAGGCTGAGTATTACTGCTTGCTCTCCTATAGTGGTGCTCGGCACAGTGACAGACCCATGAGAGGAACCAAGACATAAACCTCCCTCGGCCCTTGTGATGTGGAGATCACATGATCAGACATGCCAGATCCCAAGATAGCCTACATGTGGACCAGCCATAGAAAGGGGAAGGAAAGGGTTTGAATTGATTCCTATTTCTACTTAAGTCTTGATGTGTAGGAAATGTAAGAATGATTTGGGAGTAACTGGATCAAAAAAAAAAAAGGAAAAGTTAATTGTTTTCTATTCTAAAAGGAACACTAACAGCAGGATCACATATAAAGGCTGGGTCAAAATGCATTTCCTCCAGAAAGAAGCATCTTCAGTGTATAGGCTTTCTGAGCTAAGAGCAAAGAAACTTTTTTTGCATATTACTGAAGTTTGTTTTATTGAGTTACTTTCAAACCAATACCTCCAGAAAGAAGCATCTTCAGTGTATAGGCTTTCTGAGCTAAGAGCAAAGAGAAGAAACTCTTTTTTTGTATATGACTAAAATTTGCTTTATTGATTTACTTTCAAACCAATACATGCCTATTATATAAAATAAAAATATTAAAAACCACCAAGTTCACTGCAAAGCTGTCTCATCAGAAACAATCCAATTTCTTCATTTGGATGCATTCTTTCATTTTTGTTCTCAATATTTCCACAATGGGGGTCATACCTTGTGCTTTTTCTCTCTGGTTTTACACATCTTTATGCCTCCTCCCACACCCTGTGCCTCTCTCCTGACTCTCAGGGTCCTGGGCAGTCAGGGCTCACTTGGTAGCCTGCACAGTCTGTCTGTGACAAAACCAGTCACCATCTCCTGCACTGGAATCAGCAGCAATAAGGTTCTTGGAATTGTGTCCTGGTACCAACAATGACAAGGAAGTGCCTCCAAACTTCTGATGTATAGAAGCAAATATCTGCCTGCAGGGACCCAGGATGGATGCTCGGGCTACCAGTTTGGCAAGGAGGCCTTCCCAAGCATCTCTGGGCTCCAGGCTGAGGACAACGCTGATCTCAACTGTTGGCTTCAGACAGCCCCCTGGAGGCCCAAACAGTGCTGCAGTCTGGGGGAGTGAGACAGGAACATGTCAGGTCTCCTAGGAGCACGACCTAACTACAGCACCATACAACCAGGACAGCAGGGCTGTTTACCATTTGTGTGCATGTTTGCTGGTGCTTCTGCTAACCAGGACCCAGGGCTCAGATTAGGGACAGTGATCTAGAGAATGCTGCTTTGTTTTCTCAGGGCCAGACTTCAGAGAGAGCCCTTGGCCACAGCATTGTCAGACTGCCTCAGAAGAATCAGAAAGTCCTTGATTTCTGGAACAGGCTGCCCTGGGAATACAGCCATGATAGGCCAGGGCAAGCAGGGACAGAATCCAGCTGGGTCTGTCTCAGGCATGTGCACTAATAAAGATCTCTGTTTGTCCTTATTGTTTACTGAATACCTACTATGTGCCAGGCTCAGGTCTCATGCTAAGGATACAGAGGTGAGAAGACAGACAGGGATTCTGTCTTCACAGGACTGACACCATGCAGAAAAGTGAGGGCCAACAAGTCAATAGGAGTAAGGCATATTGTGGTGTATCCAAGAGGTGACACTGGCCAGAAGGGGGAGAGCAATAGGAAGCCCTTAGGGAGTTGTAAGCAAGGAAGACACGGAGTCTGATGGGAGACTTAGGAGAAAAGTCCAGCTTCTCCAAAGAAGATGAAAAAGGAGGGGAGAGAGTGAAAGTGGAGGGTCTAATTAGGAGACGGTAGCTTTCTCCACATGAGAGATGAGGTCTCCAGCAAGTGATGAAGCAGCTGAGGTGGTGAAATATGCGTGACCCACACCATGGTGAGTAAGACCAAAGGAAAGAGGTCACTAGGTTGAGGCCCAAAGCTTGTTCCTGTGATATAAACCTGACAACATCCTCTTGCCGTTACTGAGTGTCTCACACACCTTTTTTCTTTGGATATCTCCTGGGACTCAGGACTCATTGCTGCCCTTCCCTCGTATTCAGTGAGATTCATTTCGAACATCACTTTTCACACCCAGAGAGAGACCTGGCTCCTTTGTATGGAGCAAAAGCACTGAGGGTCAGGACAGAACATTCTACAGAACATGGGATGATGCCTTACACACTAAAGGACTGCTGTTAAAGCTCGTGATCAAACCTCCCCGGAGCTACATCAGAAACCACGAGAGGGGAGGTGTCAGCGCTTAGGTGCCTGATTTCAGGGCACACTAATTTGCAGTTTGTCCAGCTCCCTCCCAGGCATTTTTATCCACCCTTCTCTTTACCTCCTTTCATCCTTGCCTCCTTCTCAGGGCGGGCCTCCAGGCCTGTGGTGTCTCTGCTGCTCTGTCTCCATCACAAACAGAGCAGTAGGGAGATTATCTGATAATGAAGTTCCCTCCTCATACTCAGTTATCTGGTTCCCCTTAGGAATTCTTCTGCATCATGGGAATGTTCTGTTTTATTTCTGCCCTACAGTAGGAACCCAGCCATTTGTGAGGCCAAGGAGATTGACCTCTTTCCGTTGAAGCAGGATTATATTTAACACATGTATTCAAATAACATCATCAACTTATGAACAAGTCAATCCATTCTTCAGAATTATAGAAATGCATGTCTCTCAGCTGTCAGCAATTGGCCTCAGATCCCTAGAGTGGCGAACTTGTCAGGGTGGGGTCAGCCACATGAAGATGTTTCTTTATAGTTAGTGACTCTATTCACTGGGTTTCCCCTGTTGAGATCCAACCTCCATGAGACTGTTTATTGTTGTTGTTGTTTTCTGTCTTGTCATTGCCCAAAATGCTGCCTGGCACTAAGGAAAGACTTAATACATGTTTATTAAATATGTGAGTTCACCTACATTGGAATCCCAAAAAGAGGTACAGATCTGAGGTCAAGTTAATAATTTTTAAAAAAATTCTGGATATTTTGTGTTTGAGATTCCAAGTTCATTCAATAGAAGATATTAAGTATGAAGTTTTGCCTTTGGATTTGGTTAGCAGGAGAAGGATATGGATATGAAAATACAAATGGATCACACATACCTCCCCATGGCCCAGAGTCTTGAGTGCCTAGCTGCTCTCTGCAGCTCCTAATCACAGCCTCTGTTCACTCATTTATGGTCTGATTCCCATGGATCCATACATGCTGGATCCCATGGGCTTATGTGGAGAAAGTGGAGAGAAGGTGATGGCCCTGCTAAAAAAACCACAGGAAGCAAGTTGATAATGAAGCAAATTCTGGGCACAAAATCTCTCAAGAGCAAATAAACTGCAGAATGTGGGTGAGTTGGGAAAATTTCTGGCAATATTTATATAACTAAGAAGGTTTACATTACATATACTTCAACAAAATATTAATTCTAAAGCTTCCAATAAGTCATATGATCAATGCAATTCAAACATTAAACTCATCAGTCCCAAGTCCCATAATAGACTTTGATGGAGAAATTCTTGAAGAAAGAATGATGGGTTTGTGAGCTCTGTGTCCACAGAAGAGATATTTCTGCACTAGGAGGACTGGGTAAAGCCATTAAATAATTATGAATGTAGTGCCCATCTGGACTTTTTTCTAATCCAATATGCAATGCTGTGGGCTCTGCCTTTGCAAATCGTAGCATTCATTGTACTTCCTCCAGTCTCCCAATTATTACAATAAATTAATTTTAAACATGAATGATTAAAAGACAAATCTATTAATGTTAGAGTCCTTGGAATCTGTTGCTTTAATGCACAAGAATTATGGAACACTTCAAATGTATATATTTGTTAATTTATGTACCAATGATAAAATACTGCTTCCTTGATCTGTTCTAAAAATCACCTAGAAAGGGAGTAAGTTGATGGGTAAAATGGGTTGAAAAATTAAACAAGATGAACCACATTGATGATGGTCAAAGTTGGCTGATTGGTGCAAACAATTCATCAGAAAATTCTCTGTATATTTGTATGACTCAAACGTTTCCATGCTAACCAGTGAAAATATCCTTTTTTGCAATGAGATGTTTATGTTCTGCTTTTACCAGGTGTACCATGTGGACAAAATGTAAGCTTACACTTTGACTTCAAGTGGAAGCCCATCTTCTCCCAACAGGCAGAGGAGAAGCTGGTGTGGAGAACATGGAAAACACAGGAGCTCAGGGTTTCCCAGGACAGAGAAGTGAGTGAGCCTGGAGCCCTAAAAGCAAGGGCAGGGGCTGTGAGTTGGGCTGTGGGGGAGTTCTGGGGCCACAATGTGAAGGGCATGTTGCTGAGGTCTCAGGGTTCAGGTTTCATAATAACAATGAGGAGTTACTCAAGGGGCTTAAACCAGGGAGTGCCCTGCCTGCCCTATCTGAGTGACAGGGATCTCTCTGAATGCCTTGAGAAGAGAGTGTCTGAGAAAAGTGAGTGATCCTGATTCTAGATTATTCGCTAAAGCACCTCGTGAGTCTAGAAACTCAGGGGCCATTTGCACAGTTAGCACAAGAGTAGATGTGGCTAAATTGAGAAGTGATGGTCTCTGCTTTTGTCTCCTGAGACATCCAACTCATTTGCAAGAGAATTTTGCAGGTAAAATACATACTGATCTTTCTAATAAACTGAAAACACCTAGTAAAAAAATACACGTGGTAATAGCACAATGCAATTTGTATAACAGCTAGAACAAATTCTTGACCAAAAAATATGATGCAACTGTGCAGAAAATGACGTTTTACTTAGGGAGATAATGGCTAATTTCATAAAATAGTGAAATATGTCACACTGTTCACTGGTAAAGGTAAGTCTAGCAAATCTATTAGTTTTCCTGTATCACAAAATCGAATCAAATCTCTTTAAAACGTATGAAACCATTGTAAATATAACTTGTGTTGCATTGCTGTCTTTTTTTTTTTTTTTTTTTTTTTTAGACAGAATCTCGCTTTGTCGCCCAGGCTGGGGTGCAGTGGCCCAATATCAGCTCACTGCAAGCTCCACCTCCCGGGTTCCCGGGTTCACGCCATTCTCCTGCATCAGCCTCCCGAGTAGCTGGGACTACAGGCGCCTGCCACCACGCCCAGCTAATATGTTGTATTTTTAGTAGAGACGGGGTTTCACCGCGTTAGCCAGGATGGTCTTGATCTACTGACCTCGTGATCCGCCCGCCTTGGCTTCCCAAAGGAATTGCTGCCTTTAACATGTCATTGATCCTTTATTTTTCCTGGAAATTTTTCATTATTCACCATCTTTTTGAACAACCCCAGCTGCCCTTCAACCCAGCTCCTCAGCTGACCCCTTTTCCATGATGCCCACTCTGATGACATATGTGGGCAAATAGATTTTTCTAAAATGCCCTGTTGGGGTGCTGACACCTATAAAAGTTATGTATGTACAGGTCTGCACATCCCACAGACCAAGACTACTTCTGGGAGTGAGAAATCGTAGTAATAATGCATAGCATGATAGAAGCAGTGTCTGGGAATCAGACCATGGATATGTGAATACAGACAGTGACTAAAGAGCTGCAGAGACCAGCTGGGTTCTGAAGTCTCTGAGCTTTGGGAAAGTGTGTTTCCTGGGACCAGCGTCAGATGTTGTGGGGCTGCCCTGTGGTTCCGACACAGCTGCTCAGTAATGAGCATTCACTCAGAGAAATCCAGGCCTTGAGGCTGGGCCCTGTGCTCACTGATGGACACTCGGCAGCTGTGTCCCCTCTGGCCTGGCAGAGTTCCCTGAGCAGGGACCTGTGTATGGTCTCAACAGGTGCTTCCTCCCAGGGCCTTGCAAAAAGAAAAGCAAACCTTCCTCCTGCTCAGTCTGCAGAGAGAGCTGAGCTGCATCCCCAGGTCTCAAGGAGGGGCCCGGCAGTCCCTGGGTGGAAACACATTTGCATGAGCAACCCCTCCTCTGCAACAGTGGGAAGAAAAGGAGGCCTGGGGCAGCCCAGTCCCACTGCGGGGGTAAGAGGTTGTGTCCACCATGGCCTGGACTCCTCTCCTCCTCCTGTTCCTCTCTCACTGCACAGGTAGGAATAGACTTCAGAGACCAGGGTCAGCCACCCAGCCTGATTCTGACTCTTCTGGCAAAGATCCCTGAAAAACTTTACCCTGGTTTCTGCCTTAGCACCCATTAATGTCTGTGTTTCCAGGTTCCCTCTCGCAGGCTGTGCTGACTCAGCCGTCTTCCCTCTCTGCATCTCCTGGAGCATCAGCCAGTCTCACCTGCACCTTGTGCAGTGGCATCAATGTTGGTACCTACAGGATATACTGGTACCAGCAGAAGCCAGGGAGTCCTCCCCAGTATCTCCTGAGGTACAAATCAGACTCAGATAAGCAGCAGGGCTCTGGAGTCCCCAGCCGCTTCTCTGGATCCAAAGATGCTTCGGCCAATGCAGGGATTTTACTCATCTCTGGGCTCCAGTCTGAGGATGAGGCTGACTATTACTGTATGATTTGGCACAGCAGCGCTTCTCACAGTGACACACACAGATGGGGAAGTGGGACAAAAACCTCACCCTGCTCTGGGTCTTGCTCTGTACCAATTTTTAAATTTTAAAATAACTGGCCTAGGCACAAACTATATTTGGAAGTACTTTCTAGTTGTAAAAGGCTCTTCTCTCAATTTTCTATCCATTTTTCTGAAGTCTCAGTAAAACAAAACAAAACAAAACAAAACCACCTGATGACCCTGAAGTGTTGGCTGGTTGTCCACATGTGCTAACACCAGTGCCTGTGGAGCTGGACGTTTTTTTCTTGAAAGAAGCAAAATGAGGCTTTCCTAGCTCACATCATGGTCAGAGCCTGGGGACAACATAGCAGGTGAACAGTGCCCTGCAGCATGGACTCTGCTCTTCCAGCGTACGGGCAGAGACCTCCCCTTCCATCCCCAGTAGTCTGTTCTCAGGGCTGTCTGAGGCTCACTGTGTCCCAGGAACAAGGCACTCAAATATGAAATGCTGCCTGAGGACTCAGGTCAGGGAATTCTGGATATAGTGCTGACCTGGCTCAGTCCTGGGTACCTGCATTTCAGTGGCAATGTCAGGAGATGGCGTTAGATATTAGGGTAACTGCGGGCCCGATGCCAGTAAACCTCTATGTAGGACATGACAGAATCAAGGGGAGGCTCCACCATGGCTGAGACAAGCCAGAGGCTGCTCCTTGGCCATGGGGGAAGTAGATCCCATGGATGTGACTCCTGTAGCTCATCCCACTCAGGACCACGGGGACTGCTGAGGGTGGGTTTCCTGATCCCTCAGGGCCTGACTGTGTTCTCTTCTCCTCTCTTACACCATTGGAGCTTCTCACTGACTCAGGTCTAGTGGTGAGTCTGTGGAATATCTGGATACAGAAACTGCCCAATATTTGCTTCAAGTGACTCCTCCCTGGGAAACTCTTGAGGAGGCCCCCACCTCAAGGTCATCTTTTTCTCCATGGGGAGCAGCAGAAACATTGGCCATTCCCATGGAAATGGCTATGAGGCCTCCCAGAGAGAACCCCTAAGTTTATGACCTAGGACAATAGTGATGGTCCCTCAGGGGTCCCAGCCTGCTTCTCCTGATCTGGGTTTATCCACACAGCCTCCTGGAGTGCCTCTGGGCTCCAGCCTGAGGACCTGGCTGGTTATCAGTGTCACACAGCTGCATCCTGACTCCATGTTACCAAGGGTTCCTGTTCCATGTGGAAATGATAGAAAGATCTCCCCACTCATCCTGTCTCCCCATCCCTCCTTTATCCCTGCCTGTGACCAACACCAGTTCATGCCAAGACTTCAGCTGTCAGTTGTGTTACTGAAAGCAGAGCAAGGGTTCAGGGACGATAACTCCTTTTCTTACTGGTCTCCCCAGTGGAAAGAGAATCAGTTTGTTTCAAGAAGTAAAATAAGCTGCCCACACATGGTGGGTGAGGATGAGGTGGAAATGACAAGAAAGAATCCAGCCTGGCTGGGCATGGCAGCTCACACCTGTAATCCTAGCAGTTTGGGAGGCGGAGGTGGGTGGATCACCTGAGGTCAGGAGTTTGAGACCAGCGTGAGCAACATGGTGAAACATCGTCTCTACTAAAAATACAAAAATTAGTTGGGCATGGTGGCTGGCGCCTGTAATCCCAGCTACTCGAGAGACTGAGGCAGGAGAATCGCTTGAACCAGGGAGGTGGAGGTTGCATTGAGCTGAGATCATGACACTGCACTCCAGCCTGGGCAACAGGCAGAGACTCCATCTCAAAAAAAAAAAAAAAAAAAAAAAGAAAGAAAGAAAGAAAAGAAAAAAGGAAAAGAAAGAATCTAGGCAGTGTGACCCAGAAGTCCAGGAGCCTTCGGCCTGGTCCCACAGGTGTCCCCTCCTTTTTGAACAGGTATGCTGGCCATTTGCTGAGCTCTGAAACTGTGGGAGTGATAACAAGAAAGGCGAATCCAGCCTGTGTGACCCACAGATGTGAGAGAGGTAGTCTGATGCTTAAGAAAAGGTGGGATCAGCCTTCTGAAAGGTCTGGATCTGGCTTGGCCTAGAGCTGGTGTAGAAGAGAAGCAAGAGAGATGCTTAGCCTTGGGTGGCCCAGGCCCAGCTGTCCTGTCAAGGGGCTGAGCTCTCTGCAACATGGAAATCCTGCAGAGCCATCCTTGGGAGGCTGTGATCTCAGTAGGATGCAAAAATGCTAATGGAAGTGAGCAGGGGATGGTTTATGGGGGAATGAGGGGACGGTGTGGGGTCAGGTGTGGTAAGGAGGGTGCACCCTGAAGAGGAGAGTGTCCATTGTGACTCACAGGAGGAGGAGGCCCGGGGCCCAGAGCAGTGACAAAAGGAGGACCTGGAAGGACCTGGGCCCTCAAGACACACAGAGACTGGGGTTTTGGTCTGTCCCTGAGGGTCCCTCAGGAGGATCACATAAAAAATCCATAGTCAGTGTCCTCTGTCCAAGGCTCACTGTCCCAGCTGTTGTCCCTCCCGGATCCTCTGGGTGTCCACATCCTGTAGTTTTGGACCTGTTCTTCTCTCTGCCCTCAACCTAACAGCTGATGGGGCATCCACCAGGAAGCGCATCCGTGGGCAGGGAGGAGGCCGTGGGCAGCCTTGTCCTGTATGTGAGACACTGCTCAGACTCGGTGACCCCCTGTTCATTAACGTGGGAGGAAAGGAAAACAAAATTCACTGTGAACATCTATACATCATCAAAGAAAAAGCAATGAGAAAAAACAGGAAGTGAAGCCCAGCTCTAATAGTTTATTTCTACTTGGAAATAAATAAAACTTAATATGCCTGATGTGTTATGTAAATACAACAAACATATTTTAAAAACTATAAAAATTATGTAAAGGCACATGGCTTACACTAAAAGAAACATTTAAAATAACAACACCCTTGAAATGCAATCCCAAAACACAGCATACATTTTATTTCAGTTCCATGTATGGACTGGTTTTATTTAAATGTCTGTATTAGGTTTCACTATTTGGTTGTTTAAATGGAGCATTTAAAATCTTATTGTATTACAACTTATATCAACATAATCATCTTGCTGTTTTTCTGTATCCCCTTAAAATTCCCTAAACAAATATTTATTAAGAGCCCAGGGTGTATCATGCCAGAACTCAGGCAGTCACAGACATAACCTGTTTCATTTTTCATTTTGATCAACAGAATTATGTTTTCTGTTAAGCTTGTTGTTTTTAGTTCATTAGATTCTAGACGTCATTACAGATCAAAGACGAAAAATTTCTATCATCTTTAAGCCACCCCCACAACACTCACTACTGAATTTGAACCAAAATCTTCTCCTAGAAATCCTCGTTGGCGGCTCGATAGTAAGAGCTGCCATGTATCAGGCTCACCTGAGGACAGACGCTGGTTAAACCAAGTTGAAGTTTTAATTCTTCCCATCTTCAAAGACTGAGCATCTTTGCTCTTTTTGCTCATAAGTGAAACACTCCAAAGTCATTTGCCAGGATCCCCTGTAGATGGGCATTCAGTGTACAGACTCCTAGGCAAGATCCCTGGTCACAGTATCCAAATGACTTTGACTGCAAACCTGGGGAAGTAGAGAGAGAACAAAGATTTACCAGAAAAACCCTCTGGGAATGTCTTCCCAAGGCACCCTAGAGGGAAGAGCTCCCTTTCTCTTCAGCTCCACAGGATCCACAGAGGAAGGAGAGCTCTAGCCAGCAGGAAGGAGCCACATGAGAGGAGAGGACCAGGTGTCCCACACAGGTGGGGAAGTGAGTCCATGGGGCTGGTCCCCGCTCTGGGCTTGATCCTGACATAAGAGGACTCTGTGTAGACACCACCTGAGTCCTCTGCAATGTACAGCCACAGAGCCATGGACAGATTCACTCCTGAGGAGTCCAGTAGAGCGCGAAGACTGCCTTGAGGTCACAGCGGGAAGACACAGGTGTCACTTGAGCTGGCCTGGACCTGAGAGAGGGGGCAGTGGACAGAACAGAGGGGAGGCAGTGGTGTGAATGAGAGGCTCTGGTCACCTTATCATAGAATGGTTTACCTTGGCTGGACACCAGGGGACGCTGGGGGACCATTTCTGAGAAGACGCGCGGGGGGCGGGGGTGGGCGGTGATGGGAGCACAACCGGCCACCTGTTGTGCCTGTTGTCCTCTGCTCAGGGCTCACAACTGTGTTCTCCCCACCCTCTGGGACCACAGAGCTCCACCCCTGCCACACCCTGACATCCTCAAGGCAAGGAGCCTGACCCAGGGCTCAGGGTGGGGTCACAAAGCTGGGGGGGTCTGATTTGCATGGATGGACTCTCCCCCTCTCAGAGTATGAAGAGAGGGAGAGATCTGGGGGAAGCTCAGCTTCAGCTGTGGGTAGAGAAGACAGGACTCAGGACAATCTCCAGCATGGCCAGCTTCCCTCTCCTCCTCACCCTCCTCACTCACTGTGCAGGTGACAGGATGGGGACCAAGAAAGGGGCCCTGGGAAGCCCATGGGGCCCTGCTTTCTCCTCTTGTCTCCTTTTGTCTCTTGTCAATCACCATGTCTGTGTCTCTCTCACTTCCAGGGTCCTGGGCCCAGTCTGTGCTGACTCAGCCACCCTCAGCGTCTGGGACCCCCGGGCAGAGGGTCACCATCTCTTGTTCTGGAAGCAGCTCCAACATCGGAAGTAATACTGTAAACTGGTACCAGCAGCTCCCAGGAACGGCCCCCAAACTCCTCATCTATAGTAATAATCAGCGGCCCTCAGGGGTCCCTGACCGATTCTCTGGCTCCAAGTCTGGCACCTCAGCCTCCCTGGCCATCAGTGGGCTCCAGTCTGAGGATGAGGCTGATTATTACTGTGCAGCATGGGATGACAGCCTGAATGGTCCCACAGTGCTCCAGGCCAATGGGGAACTGAGACAAGAACCCCCTTCCTCCTCTGTCAGGAGGGTGAGCCCCAGCAGCTGCTGCTCAGGCCTGGCCTGTGGCTTCTGCTGCTGCAGCTTCCTTCATGGGTCCAGGGGCATCCAGGGCCCTGCCTGAGAGTGGAGGCTCCTCCTCCCCTTCAGTCCTCAGAGTCAGGAACAGGACATCCAGGAAACAGAACATCCTCCTCCCTGCAGCTTAGGACACAGGGTCTCTGCACTGAAGTCCTGGGCTGAGGTGGCAGGTCCAGTTGTGTCATCTCAGACCCACCTCTGATGGGGAACCCGTGTCTCCGTCATCCTCCTTTTCCCATTTCCAGGAGTTTCCAGAGTGGTGTCTTCCTCCCCCTGCTCCTCAGTGTGAATCCCTGTGCTTCCTTTCTCTCCAGCCTATTCTTTTTTAATAAAACTCCTTTCATGTAGGAACTATGCACATCTAATAAACTACCCATATTTATAACAGGAAATTAGACAAATTTTGGCATTTTTCTGGTTCCTTGAAAACATCACCATCCCCGGGAGCTATTGTGACCATCCCGGCAGCTCCTCATGATGCTTGTCTCCTCCCTCCCTCCCCTAATGGCCTCTCAGGAAGCCACAGATCTGCCTCTCTCACTACTGTTTGGTTTTTTTTTCTGGAATGTATCAGTGTTATCAAACGTTATCTTCCCATTTGTTCAGGCTTCTTTCACTCTGCACACTTGCTTTGAGATTATCCCTGCTGTCGCTGAATTGCACCCATCCCTTAGAGGGCTCATTACTATCTTTAAGGGTCCTTAGGCCATTTTTTTCTGATTTTATTCATGTATTTCCTTTAAAGTTTGAATTTATTGTTCATCAAACAAACTCTATGGGTGATGTTCATCTAAGGTGACAGGACAGTCCGTGATGGTTTGTCAGGATTCTTGCTTCTTCAGTTCTTTTCTTGGCTCTCTCTATAGTGGAAGAGGTTCTCATCTTTTATTTATTTATTTATTTATTTTGGGGTTTTTTTAAGGGTTTTAGCGATTTTCCCTTTTTAATTATTTTTAAAATTTGTTATTTTATTTTAATAGGTTTTTGGAGAACAAGTGTTGCTTGGTTACATATATAAGTTCGTTAGTGGTGATTCCTGAGATTGTGGTGCACTCATCATCCAAGCAGTGTACACTGTATCCAATGAGTAGCCTCTCATCCCTCACCTCCCTCCTATGCTTTCCCCCGAGTCCCCAAAGTCCATTGTATCATTGTTATGCCCTTGGGTTCTCATAGCTTATCTCCCACTTATGAGTGAGAACATACAGTGTTTTGTTTTCCATTCCTGAGTTACACCAGTTAGAATGATAGTCTCCAGTTCCATCCAGGTTGCTGTGAATGCCATTATTTTGTTTATTTTTATGGCTGTGTAGTATTCCCTGGTATGTGTATGTATACATCACATTTGCTTTACCCACTTGTTGATTTATGGACATTTGAGCTGGTTCCATGTTTTTGCAATTACAGATTGTGCTGCTATAAACATGCGTGTGCAAGTATCTTTTTTTGTATAATGACTTCTTTTTCTCTGGGTAGATACCTAGTCGTGAGATTGCTGGATCAAAGGGTACGTCTATTTTTGTTTCCTTAAGGAATCTCCACACTGTTTTCCACAGTGATTGTACTAGTTTACCTTCCCACCGCCAGTGTGAAAGTGTTTTGTTTTCACCACATCCATGCCAACATCTGTTATTTTTTTATTATAGCTATTCTTGTGATAGGAAGGTGGTAACACAGATTGTGGTACCGATTTGCATTTCCCTGATTATTAGTGATGTTGAACATTTTTCTATATGTTTGTTGGCCATTTGTACAAGTTCTTTTGAAAATTGTTTATTCGTGTCCTTAGTCCACCTTTTGATGGAAGTGTTTATTTTTTTCTTGATAATTTGAGTTCTTCGTACATTCTAGATATTAGTCATTTGTTGGATGTATAGATTGTGAAGATTTTCATCCACTTTGTTGGTTGTCTGTTAGCTCTGCTGATTCTTTCTTTTGCTGTGCAGAAGTTTTTTTCGTTTAATTAAGTCCCATCTATTTATCTTTGTTCTTGTTGCATTTGCTTTTGTGTTCTTGGTCATGAAATATTTGCCTAAACCAATGTCTAGCAAGGTTGTTCTGACGTTATCTTCTAGAATTCTTACCGTTTCAGGCCTTAGATTTAATTATTTGATTCATCTTGAGTTGATTTTTGTATAAGGTGAGAGATGAGGATGCAGTTTCATTCCTCTACATTTGGCTTGCCAATTATCCCAGCACCATTTGTTGAATATGGTGTCATTTTTCTACTTTATGTTTTTGTTTGCTTTGTCAAGCATCAGTGGGTTGGAAGTATTTGGTTTCATTTCTGGATTCTTTATTCTGTTCCTTTGGTCTGTGTGCCCATTTTTATATCAGTACCAAGCAGATTTAGTGACTATGGAGTCAAACTTTACTGGAGTTTGAAGCTGGGTAATGCGATGCCTCCAGATTTGTTCCTTTTGCTTAGTCTTGCTTTGTCTATGCAGGCTCTTTTTGGTTCCATATGAATTTTAGGATTATTTTTTCCAATTCTCTAATGAATGATGGTGATATTTTGATGGGAATTGCATAGATTTTGTAACTTGCTTTTGGCAGTATGATCATTTTCAATGTATTGTTTCTACCCATTCATGAGCATGGGATGTGTTTCTATTTGTTTGTGTGTGTCATCTATGATTTCTTTCAGCAGTGTTTTGTAGTTTTCCTTGTGGAGGTCTTTCACCTCCTTGGCTAGGTATATCCTAAGTATGTATTTTGCAGCTATTTGCGAAAGGGGTTGAGTTCTTGATTTGATTTTCAGCTCGTTTGCTGTCATTGTATAACAGAGCTACTGATTCGTGTGCCTTAATTTTGTATCTTGAAACTTTGCTGAACTTATTTACAGTTCTAGGAGCTTTTTCGATGAGTCTTTAAGGTTTTCTAGGTATATGATCATATTATCAGCAAATAGTGACAGTTTGAATTCCTCTTTGTCAATTTGGATATCTTTGATTTGTTTCTCTTGTCTGATTGCTCTGGCTAAGCCTTCCAGTACTATGTTGAATAGAAGTGGTGAAAGTGGGCATTCTTGCCTTGTTCCAGATCTCAGGAGAAACGTTTTCCACTTTTTTCCGTTTAATATAATGTTGACTGTGTGTTTGTAATAGAGGGCTTAATAGAGGACATAAGTTATGTCTTTTCTATGTCAATTTTGCAAAGAGTTTTAATCATGAAGTGATGCTGGATTTTGTCAAGTATTTTTTCTGCATGTATTGAGATAATCATGTCATTTTTGTTTTTAATGCTTTTTATGTGGTATATCACATTTATTGACTCACATATGTTAAACCATCTCTGCATTCCCTGGTTTGAAAACCACTTGATCATTGTGGACTATGTTTTTGATAGCTGTTGGATACATAGAATAATTTAGGAAGGAGTCCCCCTTTTTCCTTCCTGTGGATTAATGCATTAGTCAGCGTTCTCTAGAGGGACACAAATAATGGAATATATATATATGTTTATTAAGTATTAACTCACATGAACACAAGGTCCAACAATAGGCTGTCTGCAGGCTGAGGAGCAAGGAGAGCCAGTCCGAGTTCCAAAACTGAAGAAGTTGGAGTTCCATATTTGAAGGCAGGAAGCATCCAGCATGGGAGAAAGATGTAGGCTGGGAGGCTATGCCCATCTCTCTTTTCATATTTTTCTACCTGCTTATTTTCTAGCCATGCTGTCAGCTGATTAGATTGTTCCCACCCAGATTAAGGGTGAGTGTGGCTTTCCCACCCACTGACAAAAATGTGAATCTCCTTTGGCAGCACCCTCAACAGACACACACACCAAGGATCAATACTTTTTTTCTTTTTTTTTTTTGGAGATGGAGTCTTGCTCTGTCACCCAAGCTGGAGTGCAGTGGCGCGATCTCCGCTCACTGCAAGCTCCGCCTCCAGGGTTCAAGCAATTCTTTGCCTCAGCCTCCCGAGTAGCTGGGACTACAGGTGCCCACCACCATGGCCGGCTAATTTTTTTGAATTTTTAGTAGAGACGGGGTTTCACCGTGTTAGCCAGGATGGTCTCGATCTCCTCACTTTGTGATCTGCCCGCCTTAGCCTCCCAAAGTGCTGGGACTACAGGCATGAGCCACTGCGCCCGGCCAATACTTTTTGTCCTTCAATCCAATCAAGTTGACGCTCAGTATTACTCATCACAAGTCCACTCCTTGTCAGCATGAACCCATATACAACTTGTGATATCGTACATAATCTTCAAATAAAGACAATAATAAAGTCATAATTACGCCTAACATAATACAATTATCCTTCATACAACCAGAACGCACGAATCCCTAACACAAATACTATTACATCAAGTTACTGATACTTAAATGCTGATGTGACGTCAATAAATCTTATGTTATATGATAAAGGAGAAAGGAAATAAAATGAAGATATTTTCTTAGTACGAGTTTATAGATGCGCAAACATGTTTTTAACAAAAGAAGGAGGAAATACTCTTGACAATTACACTCCTCGTTTCTGCCGCTGGCCATAGCTGGTATTGATGACTACCTTCTTCTACTACCCATTCTGTATTCCCTTTGCCTTCAGCAAGCACCTCAGTAGGTTGTGTTTTTTTTCCTGGTGGAGTGACCCAAATCTTCATTCCTGAAGGGTCCCATTGACCTTAATCACAGGGCATGGTAATAGCAAGAAATGCCCTAATGCATCTCCTGTATTCCATGCATGTTCTTCAGTAACTCCATTGTGGAGTAGTAAACTGATTTCATTTTGATAGTCTGGGTCAATCACCCCAGCCGACACTGTAACTCCCTTCTTAGCCATTGACTTAAAGGTAGGAGAAGCCCAAAATGTCCAGGTGGCAATCTTAACTTCCAGTTTAATGGAATCATTGTTGTGTCTCCAGGTGGTAGTGTTCCTTCCTCTGGAAGTAAATCCTTTGAGCCAGCAGAACATAATGTCTCAGGAACAGGAAGGAAAACATTTGCTAGTGGATCACTAGGGTTGATGGTGAGTGGTGCCACTTCCACTTCCACCCCTTGATTCCTGGATCCATGAATCCTGGCTACGGGAGGGACAGTACCATATATTGGATGCTGATTTAAAGCATACACAGCCATCTGGAGAACTTTGCCCTGGCCCTGCAAAGTATTGTCACCTAGTTGGCAATGTAATTGTGACTTCAAAAGCCATTCCACTGTTCTATCAATCCAGCTGTTTCAGGATGATGGGGAACATGGTAAGACCAGTGAATTTTGTGAGCTTGAGCCCACTGCTGCACTTCTTTAGTCATAAAGTGAGAGCCTTTGTCAGAGCATTGCTGTGTGGAATATGATGACAGTGAATGAGGCATTCCAAGAGTACACGGATGGTAGTCTCATAGGCAAACCAATATCTAGGATAAGTGTCTATTTCAGTTAAGACAAACCTCTGCCCTTCCTGTGATGGAAGAGGTCTGTTGTATTTCTCCTCACACAGGGCACCAGTTGAGATATTGCTCCTCAGAAGACAGCATTAGCTGCGGGGGTCTGCCTGCAGACCCTGACTCAAACGACGGATGAATAAAAACGGACACTGACACACAGATATTCTGTTTGGCCAGTCCGGCTGGGTTCTTTGATTCTGAGTGTCCGACAACATACACACCAGGAGAGGTTTGTCACTGTGGTGGGTCCTGAGCAGCTGGTACTCCAGGCATTTATTTAGTATACAATTAACAACAGAAGCTTTGAGTAAACACACTTGTGGATAATTAACATGGTTAAGAGAGTAGTTCTACGAATGACTAAAGCTCAGTACCCTGGTCTAAAGTAAATACCATTACGGGGCAATATCCCTGGTTGACCTCCCACCGAGAGGGCCATCTGGCTCAAAGGTTAGTTAATGGAGATAGGGTAAACAGGCTTAACTGGGAAAGCCTCCATTGTCCCTAGCATTTACCCTATGACCTAATGCTCTAAGGTAAGAACCAGCTGCCTTCAGCCTGTACAATTATTACAAGCTATGTAACATTTTAGCCTTCCAAAATGTTTGTGATTATTCCCTATAACTTTCCCTAATATTTCCCTTTGATATTTCTGCCACCATCCTGAGTGAATCCCAACAGAGGTCCAATATAATCAACCTGCCACCAGGTAGCTGGCTGATAACCCTAAGGAATGGTGCCACATCGAGGGCTCAGTGTTGGTCTCTGCTGCTGGCAAATTGGGCACTCAGCAGTGGCTGTAGCTAGGTCAGCCTTGGAGAGTGGAAGTCCATGTTGATGAGCCCATGTGTAACCTCCATTCCTGCCAGCATGGCCACTTCCCTCATGGGCCCATTGGGCGATGACAGGGGTGGCTGGGGAAAGAGGATGCGTGGTGTTCACAGAACTGGTCATACTCTCCTCTTGATTATTAAAATCCTCCTCTGCTGAGGTCACCCGTTGGTGAGCGCTCACATGGGATACAAATACTTTCACAGTTTTTGACCACTCAGAGAGGTCCATCCACATATCTTTTCCCCAAATTTCTTTGTCATCAATTTTCCAATCATACTTCTTCCTAGTCCCTGTGACAGTTACTACAGGACAGAATGAAGGGGGACTAACACAGAAATGAAGACAAAGACAAAGGGATCTGTTTTAAAGAAGGGGTCAGGGGGCTCCTTGCTTCTAGTGAGCAAGGGCCCTGAGCTACTGCAATCCTTCATATTTATTAGGTAGAAAGAACAGGGAGGAGGAGTTAACAGTTGGTCAGCTGCTTGATTTATCACAGGTTCACAGGATTGCTTTCTTTATACAACATACTTCAGATGTGCTGCAGATAATCAAAAGAAACACTGTGCTTGGGGCGTGACAGCTCTCAGCATTCGTTCTGGTGGTAGATGCAGTTTGTCGTTTGCCAACAACCTGCATTCATGAGAACAGCTTGCTGTTTGCTCCAGTGGTATACTGAGTTGGTCACAACCCTCATTCTTTCGGCCTCCAAGAAGTCCCTGATTGTCCAGCCAAACCGTTGGCTACAGCAAATAAATTCATATATAATCACACATCTGGAGATTTCTCCTTCCATGCAAAGAGCACAACCAGGTGTGCTCCTCAAAGTTCTGCCCAATGGGAAGATTTCCCTTCACCGCTGTACTTCAGGGATGTCCTGGAAAGGGGCTGTAGTGCTGCAGCTGTCCACTTTCCGGTGGTGCCTGCATATCATGCAGATACATTTGTGAACCAGGCCCTAGTCTTCTTTCTGTCAGCTGATCATAGTGAACTGCCCCTGAGACCACCAGTGCAGGCTGGGGGATAGTGCAGGCTGGTGGCAGGAGTGGAGGTCATGGACATTTGAGCCACTTCCCCATGTAATTTACTTGTGCCTTCAGCCCAAATACGTATATACCACTTCCACTGAATGATGGAATGCTGCTGTGCATGATCCACTTTATGGCTAAATGGGTTAGAAAGCACCCACTTCATGACAGGCAGTTCAGGTTGCATGGGGACTTTAAGACGCATAGTCAAATGTTCAGTTTCCACCAAAGCCCAGTAATAGGCCAAGAGCTGTCTCTCAAAAAGAGAGTAGCTACCTGCAGAAGATGGCAGGGCCTTGCACCAAAATCCTAGAGGCCTCCACTGTGATTCACTTACAGTGGCCTGACAAAGACTCCAAGTAGCTTTGCTATCTGCCGCTGACACCCAAATACCACTGGGTCTGTTGGGTCATACGGCCCAAGTGGCAGAGCAGCTTGCACAGCAGCCTGGACCTGTTGCAGAGCCTTCTCCTGTTCTGAATCCCACTCAAACCTGGCAGCCTTTTGGGTTACTTGATAAATGGACTGGAGTAACACACCCAAATTAGAGATATGTTGCCTCCAAAATCCAAATAGGCCCACTAGCCATTGTGCCTTTCTTGGTTGTAGGAGGGGCTAAATGCAGCAACTTATCCTTCACCTTAGAAGGAATGCCTCGACAGGCCCTACACCACTGGACACCTAGAAATTTTATTGAGGTAGAATGCCCTTGAATTTTAGTTGGATTTACCGCCCATCCTCTTGCATGCAAATGTCTCACCAGTAAGTCCACTGTGTTTGCTACTTCTTGCTCACTGGATGCAACCAGCACAATGTCATCAATTTAATGGGTCAGTGTTATATCTTGCAAAAGAGACAAGCAATCAAAATTTCTTTGAATAAGATTATAACACACAGCTGGAGAGCTCATATACCCCTGAGGTAGGACCGTAAAAGTATATTGCTGGCCTTGCCTGCTGAACGCAAATTGCTTCTGGTGGGCCTTATGGACCGGAATGGAGAAAAAGGCATTTTCCAAGTCAATGGCTGCATATGAGGTGCCAGGAGATGCATTAATTTGCTCAAGCAAGGAAACCACATCTGGTACAGCAGCTGCGATTGGAGTCACCACTTGGTTAAACTTCCGATAATCCACTATAATTCTCCAAGATCCATCTATCTTCTGCACAGGCCAAATGGGAGTGTTGAAAGGGGATGTTGTGAGAATCACCACCCCTGCATTTTTCAAGTCCTTGATGGTATCACTAATCTCTGCAATCCCTCCACAGATGCAATATTGTGGGTTTATTTTTTTTTAATAAAGTTTCACTCTGTTGCCCAGGCTAAACTACGATGGCAGAATCATGGCTCACTGAAACCTCCATCTCTGGTTTCAAGCAATTCTCCTGCCTCAGCCTCCCAAGTAGCTGGGATTACAGGTATGTACCATCACACCCCACTAATTTTTTGTATTTAGTGTAGATGAGGTTTCACCATGTTGGTCAGGCTGGTCTCGAACTCCTGACCTCAGGTGAGGTGATCCACACTAAGATCCAGCTTATGTGGATCTTTTCTCTTCTTTTCTTGGTTAATCTCACTAGTGGTATATATAATTTTATTTATCTTGTCTAAGAATTGGTTTTTGTTTCATTTATCTTTTCTATCATTTTTTTGTTTGAATTTTATTTAGTTCTGGTCTGATATTGCTATTTCCTCTCTTCTGCTGGGTTTGGGTTTGCATTGTTCTTGATTCTCCATTTCCATGAGGTGTAACCTTAGATTGTCTATTTGTGCTCTTTCAGACTTTGTGATGTACGTATTTAATTCTAAACATTCCTCATAGCACTGCTTTTGCTGTATCCCAGAGGTTTTGATAGGTTTTATCAAGATTTAGTACAACTGCAACCTTACTATTGGCCAACGGCTTTTGAATTCCTAAGAGTGTGACCTCATTTAATCCTGACAACAGCTTTATGATTGCTTTTCATTCAGTAGGTCGTGATTAGAGAGGGAGTGCTTGTGGCCTGGATGGAAGGTTCTCCAGTTTATCAAATAAAAACACCGAAGGTCAGTTAAATTTGAATTCAGTAAAACAATGACAAAGAATTAGTATGTGTAACTCCCACACAATATTGTTCATTTGAGATACAAACTTACCTTGTAGTTCATCTGCCAACTGCACACAGGGTTCAAAGCCTGGAAGAGGCAGAGTTAGAGCTGGTCTTCTCTTCCTGATGCCAGGTCTATGAGCTGAACCTCAAAGACAGGGCTTCTCTAACACAGCTACCCTCAAGTAAGCACATCGGTTAGCACTAAATACACAGTATACGATGCCCAATCAATAATGCCTACTCACTTTTCTAATTCTTCTTTCTATTATTCTTCAAATCTGCAGACTCAAGACCTCCCGAAACATTGCGGCAGCCAGGATTTTGAATGAGGGTCCTCATATGTCTTTCCAAACAAGATGCAAGGGTGCTCCTTGGTCCCTACACAGAGGGGCTTAAGCCAGGAGTGCATAAGTAACATGTAAGAGACAGAAGAACTCAACCTGTCTCTCCCTCTGTGCAGTGAAACACCTAATTCCAGGGTTCTTTGATTCTGAAGGTGGGTGGGCTGAGAGAAAGAGGAGCCCCACCCTGAGAGCTCCGAGTATTCAGGACAAGACTTGGCAGCCTGAATAGGGGCTATACTCTTGAGTGTGGAAGAAGCAGGCATCTCTGGGGCACAGGCTGCTCTTCTGGTGGCTTCTCCTTCACCAAACTGGGCTCCCTGCTGTGATGTCTATCAGAGAATCTCCTTCAGTAAGACCAAGATTCCAGGATTTAACTAAAAATAGCAGCACAGACCAGAAAGGTATGTCATGGTACTTGAATTCTGTGCAGAGCAATAAGTACAAATGCAGCTTAACAGGGGCCTTCACAGTTGTATCTTTGGTGAAGGAGAAAATAGACAATGGCAGGGAGAAACTGAAGGACTCAGTAGGTCTGGAACTGGGGCAGCACTGGGTGCTATAAGCTTGTCCTTCAGGGGTCTACAGATGCTGACACCTGGGAAGTCATCCTGCATCATCTGCTCACTGCTCACTGGGCTCAGCAGCTATGTCCTCACAAATAACCAGATTCAATCAACCTGGCCTTCTCCACCCAACCTGGGGAATGTATTCCAGTGACTGTTTCAACTGAGGTTCTATGAAGGGGTTGGGGGATAAGAAGAGGGGACTGATTTGCTTGAAGAAACCATTGCACATCCTTTCCTTTCATCTAAAACCTATTAATGGAAACTCTGAGGCCACCCATAGAAGTCTAGCTGGTCTTCTAAATTTGGGAGTTACGAAGGAGTCATTCCTGATCAATCTACAGGATAAGGGGCCATCAGCAGCTGGTGGTCAGAGTGAGGGAGAAACTGGCTTCCTTGAGAGACTCATCAGCACAGCCACCAACTCTGGGGAAAATGGGGCACTTGCTATAACAGTCACCCCAAACTACTCACAGGAGCCTGAGCCTCGTCCCCTCACCTTATTGTTTCTGATTCTGGTCCATGCCTCTGTTTTCCCTGGACCCCTCGCCCATGTCTGAGTCCAGGGTAGCAGGGGTAGTTCCATCCCAGTCAACATCTATACAGAAGTAACAGCTGCTATGGCTTGAAGCCGAGTCTACAGTTCTACCCATGAGGGCCTCTTTTTCTCCCCAATCCCCTCACACAGGTGACCAGTGCTGTGGGTCTGGTGGAGTGGCCACTGGCCACTGGTCCCAGGCGAACACAAAGTATTTATTCCTCTCTAACACCAGGCATATATTGGAGGGGGTTTGGTGGGTGTAGAACAGAGTGGTTCTTCCAGATGCAAAGCAGTAAGACCCTGTCTACAGAAAGTCATTTCACAAACCTCCACACCCTTTCATGATAAAAACGCTCAGTGAACTATGAATACAAAGAAACTACCCTAACATAGTAAAAGCTATCTATGAAAATCCCACAGTCAACATCATACATAATCTTAAAGACCAAAGATATGTTTTTGTAATATCAGGAACATAGCAACAATGTACACTTTCACTGCTTCTATTCAAAACAGTATTGAAAGTCCTAGCCATAGCAATAAGGCAAGAGAAATAAATAAACAGGATAACAATTAGAAATAAAAAGTAAAACTATCTCTGTTTTCAATGGATTTAATGTCATATGTAGAATACCCTTAAAAGTTCCACAAAACAGCTTTTGTCAGAATGATTAAATGTATTCTGTAATGTTCAGAATACAAAATCACCATGTAAAAACATCTCATGGCTGGGCATGGTGAATCACGCCTATAATCCTGGCACTTTGAGAGGCTGAGGTGGGAGGATTACTTGGGATCAAGAGTTCAAGGACAGCCTGGGCTACAAAGCAAGAGCCTGTCTCAAGAAGAAAAAAGAAAGAAAGAGAGAAACAAAGAAAGAGATAGAAAGAAAGAAAGAAAGAAAGAAAGAAAGAAAGAAAGAAAGAAGAAAGAAAATCTCTTATATTTCAATACTTAGAAAATCTCTTATATTTCAATATTTAAACAAGGACACAGGAAAAAACCCAAAACAAAATTAATAAAACAAATCAAATTTCAACATCATTAGAGAGAGTAAAATATGGCTGGGCACAGTAGCTCATGCCTGCAATCTCAGCATTTTGGGAGGCTGATTTGGACGGATCATCTGAGGTTAGAAGTTCAAGACCAGCCTCAACAATATGGTAAAGCCTCGTTCCTACAAGATAAAATAAAATAAAATTGCTAGCTGTGGTGGCACATGCCTGTAATCCCAGCTACTCAGGGGTCCAAGTCACAAGAATTGCTTCAGCCTAGGAGGGACAGGTTGCAGTGAGCCAAGATCTTGCCACTGTACTCCAGCCTGGGTGACAGTGAGACATTGTCTCAAAGAAACAAATAAATAAAAATGAAACAGTAAAATACTTAAGAATAAAGTTATTCAAAGAGGTGAAAGACTTGTAGATTGAAAAGTATAAAACATTACTAAAAGAAATTAAAGAATACACAAATAAATGGAAAGAAATCCTTTGTTCGTATACTGGAAAACTCAGTATTGTTATGCTAGCAAAACAAACCAGGAGGAATTGACAGATTCATTTCAATCTCTGAAAACATTCCAGTAATATTTTATGCAAGAATAGAAAAAAATTAAACCTAAAATTTATATAGAGTATGAAGGGAACCTAAACAGTCAAAGTCATCTTGTAAAAGAAGACCAGTGTTGGAGGTCTCACACTTTCTGATTTCAAAACATACTACAAAGCTACACTAATCAAAACAGAGTGGTATATATGTAACATACATACTGACAAATAAAATAGAACTGAGTGCCTAGAAAAAAAACTCTTAGTTATACAGTCAAATAATTTTAAACAAGGTTGTCAAGACTTTTCAGTGGAAACAGTACAGTCTTTCACAAATATAGACGTTCTGGGAAATAATACTGAATGGCTTTTGCTGTTGTTGTTTTTGAATGGTCTCAAATGTTCTCTCAAAGATGCTACAGAACATAGCTTATTGATTTTGTAAGTTAAAAGGCTGAGTAAGACTGTGAGAGACTCCCTGCTCATCATCATTCTTCTTCCACTTCCAGTGACTACTCTTATATTCTGTGCCATAAGCCAACAGCTACTGACCCCAGGATCTTTTAATCCTTCTGTAAAACTGTCATTAAAAAAAAATTGTCTAAAGTAAATTTTTTAAAAAATTCTCACTTAAACCAGCTGTTTATCCAATATAAGGCTCAACACAAATAGTTACAGAAAGCCAGTAGGTCATTAAAACAATTAATTTAGTCATTCAAATAAAAATGAACACCATGTAACACTAATATCAAATTATAGTCACAGGGGCAGAATTTCAGCAACAGCAAGAGAAAGTAGCACAAATAGGAATGAGCAAAGAATAGACAATTAATGAGTGTGAATTGGCCTGGAAAATATTGTGGCAATGTCCAAAGATAAATCCACAGTTATTTGTGAAACAAGTGAAAGACCACGCATTCTCAGTCCAGGAAAGCCACCAGGGGGTGGTCTGGGTCTCTTGGACTGTAAGAAGCTCAAGAGGTCCAAACTTCATGAACCCTGCACAGGTGCTCATTGACTCATGTAAATGTTAGAGCAGCTGCTTCCTCCCACAGGACAAATCCACAGCACACAGCCTCCCTGGGCTGGCCCCTCACAGTGTAGCTGCTCTCAGGCCTGTGGACCCAGGTGGTGATAAAGGCAGTAAAGATTTGCATAAAGCAGCACACAGCACACCCCCTCCATGGAGAGAGCTCAATAGGAGATAAAGAGCCATCAGAATCCAGCCCCAGCTCTGGCGCCAGGGGTCCCTTCCAATATCAGCACCATGGCCTGGACTCCTCTCTTTCTGTTCCTCCTCACTTGCTGCCCAGGTTAAGAGAGATTTCAAATACCAGCCTTTGGAGGGATCCTTCTGTCTGCCCTTCTAATTTCTAACATGTGTCTGTTTTTTGTTTCAGGGTCCAATTCTCAGACTGTGGTGACTCAGGAGCCCTCACTGACTGTGTCCCCAGGAGGGACAGTCACTCTCACCTGTGCTTCCAGCACTGGAGCAGTCACCAGTGGTTACTATCCAAACTGGTTCCAGCAGAAACCTGGACAAGCACCCAGGGCACTGATTTATAGTACAAGCAACAAACACTCCTGGACCCCTGCCCGGTTCTCAGGCTCCCTCCTTGGGGGCAAAGCTGCCCTGACACTGTCAGGTGTGCAGCCTGAGGACGAGGCTGAGTATTACTGCCTGCTCTACTATGGTGGTGCTCAGCACAGTGACAGACTCATAAGAGGAACCAAGACATAAACCTCCCTCGGCCCTTGTGATGTGGAGATTGTGTGATCATACACACCAGCTCTCAAGACAGCCTACATGTGGACCAGCCATAGAAAGGGGAAGGAAAGGGTCTGAATTGATTTCTATCCCTCCTTGTGCCCTGAAGTGGAGGAAATGTGAGAGTGATTTGCAGTAATTGAATGAGACAAAGCAAAAGTTATTTGTTTTATATGAAAAAAAAAAACCAGAAACAGCAGGATCAGATCTAAAGGCTGAGTCTAAATGCATTTCCTCCAGACAGAAGCTTCTTCAAACGATGGGCTTTCTGAGCTAAGAGCAAAGAAAATAAACTCTCCATGGGTATATTATTAAAGTTTATTTTATTGAGTTACTTTCAAAGCAATCCATGACTATTATATAAAGTCAGAAAGTATTAAAAATCACCAAGTTCTCTGCTAAGCTACCTTATCCCATGCAATCAAAATAAGTACTTTTCTTCATTTGGATGCATTTTTTATTTCTGTTTTTAATATTTCCACAATGGTGATTAAACCTGGTGCTCATTCCTCTGGTTTGATCCACCTTTATGCTCTTGTCATTTAAAGTTAATGTAAGTAGTGTTCCATTTATTTAAAAGGATAAAATATTTTAATAGTTGATCATTGCATTTTGAACTGAGTACCAGTGAAGTATTCTAGCTTTTAGGTAATTTCAATTGTTTGCTAGTCAATGATGTTATACGTTGTTGTCATTAAACCATTCCTGGTCATTTCTGTGGATTTTGTGAGGTCAGAGAAAATGTCTGTGCTTTTCAATGGAAAGCCTTGGGTACATTATTCCTGACTTCCCAATGCACAAAATAGAGAAACACAAATTTCCTGCTCATGTTAGTTAGAGCATAAGAGATTCAGGTACGAGGAACAATTTATACCCCAAACTACATACAGTGTCTTCAGGCATGTATTAGAAGTGTACTTCTCAAACTCTCTGATACCCTTAGTTCTGAAGAAGCTCAAAGTTGGCTAATACTTTTATATTTATCTTTTTATTTTTTTTACCTCAGCCAGCACTTTCTCCTGATTCCTGGGGTTTTCTGCATTTCCAGTGAATCCAGTGAATCACACAAATAGGCTAACTGATTCTTCCCAAACTCCAGCACTCTCCCTTATGTGCTGATCTAGTGAGGAATCACATGGGAAGAGAGACCCATGGATTTCTGGCGGCCTGGGAAGTGAGTTCATGGCTGGCCTCAGCTTGCAAACCAGACACTTGTCTCCTTGTTTCCCTTTACTGTTCATTGGGTTCAGCAGCTGTGTCCTTCCAGGTTTCCTGGACAGTGATGGACCACACTCTCCCAACTCCCAACCACCCGCTCCTCAAAAAGAATAACCAGACTCAGCAACTTATGTGAGGGGCACAGCCAGGGGTCAGGATAGATTGGCATTAAGTCCCCTCAATTAAGAGAGGCCAGGGAAGGGGGGCTGTTCCCCCTAATCCGTGTGGCTCAGGAAGCAGAGCTCTAGAGACATCTCTACCATGGCCTGCACCCCCTCCTCCTCACCCTCCTCAGTCGCGGCACAGGTGGCTGGAGACAGGGAGTCAGGGACTGGCACTGGCAGGACCAGGGCTCTGCTTTGCTCCCCTGGCTCACTGAGCTGCCTCCCTCACCCTGTGTCTCTCTCCCGACTCTCAGGGTCCCGGGCAATCATGGCTCATCAGGTAACCTGCACCGTCTGTCTGTGGCTAAACCAGCCACCATCTCCTGAACTGGAAGCAGCAGCAATAAGGTTCTTGGAATTGTGACCTGGTGCCAACAATGACCAGGAAGTGCCTCCAAGCTTCTGACTCATAGAAGTAAATATCTGCCCGCAGGGATTCAGGACAGACGCTCAGGCTACCAGTCTTGCATGAAGCCCTTCCTAAGCATCTCTGGGCTTTAGGCTGAGGACAAGGCTGATCACTCCTGTTGGCTTCAGACAGCCCCCTGGAGGTCCAAACAGTGCTGCAGTCTGGGAAAGTGAGATGAGAACACGCCAGGTCTCCTAGGAGCATGACCTTCCAATGGCACCACCCACAACCAGGACAGCTGGTCTGTTTACCATTTGTGTGGATGTTTCTTGATGCTGCCGCTAACCAGGGCCCAAGACTTAGTTCGGGGACAGTGATCTAGAGAATACAGCTTTGTTCTCTCACAGCCAGCCCTCAGAGGAAGCCCTTAGCAACAGCATTGTCAGACTGCCTCAAAAAAATCAGAGTCTTTGATTCCAGGAACAGGCTGCCCTGGGGACAGACTCAAGATGAGTCAGGGTAAGCAGGGACAGAATCCAGCTGGGTCTGCCTCAGGCATGTGCACTAACGCAAAGGTCTGTTCATCCTTATTGTCTACTAAACACCTATTATGTGCCAGTCTCAGGAGAGTGCTCAGGATACAGAGTTTACAAGACAGACAGGGTTCCTGTCTTTACAGGGATAATGCCTCACAGAAGAGTGAGCACCAACAAATCAATGAGAATAAGGCATATTGTGAGGTATAAAATGGTTGACATGGGCCAGAAGACAGTGAGCAACAAGAAGCTATTAGGAGGTTGTAAGCAAGGAGATACAGACTCTGGTTTGAGATTCAGGAGGCAAAGTCCAGCTTCTCTAAGGAAGATGAAAAAGGAGGGGACAGAGTGAAGAAAGATGGTCCAGTTAGGACATGGTGGCTTTGTACACATGAGAGATGAGGTTTCTGGCAAGTAATGTGGCAGCTGAGCTGAGGCCTGTGCTGTGGATCCCAGACGGGAGCCACCTGCTAGGCCTAGGCTGGAGCCCTCTGCCTCTGCTCACGAGGACCAGCAGCTGTGTCCTTACAGGTCCTTAGGGAGCCACAGAACAGCCCCACCCTGGTCCACCCCATCCCAGGCTCAGCTTTCTAGGCAAGGGTCAGAGTCAGGGCCTAGGGTGGGACTTGGCCAGCCCAGGGGAGGAGGCTGGTGTGCATGAAGAGACCCTCCTTCATCCTGGGCTGCTGGCGAAAGTAATAGGGACTGGGGGAGCTCAAGCCCAGCTGAGTGTCATCAGGATGCAGAGCTGTGTGTGGGTCCCCACCAAGGCCTGAGCTCCTCCCTTTCTCCCCCTTCTCATTCACTGCACAGGTAACTAGGGCTAGGGATCAGGGCTGTGGGTGAATGGAACGAGGACCCTGCATGCTGCCCTCTCAACTGACCCACCTCTCTCACCCTCTGTTAGTCCAGGTGTCAAGGTTCTGGGCCCAGTCTGTGCTGACTCAGTGGTGTGAAGAGTTCCTGTGGGTGGGGTAAACTGCCGCCATCTATCACACTTGAAGCAGAAGCAAGGCTGGGTGTGGGCCTGTGTCCTGGTATCAGCAGTGTCCCCAAACTCCTCATCTATGACAGCAGTCATTGGTCTGCACAGGTCCCAGCGAAGTTCTCAGGTCCCAGGTTGGGGATCATGGCATCCCTGAGCATCTCTGGGCTCCAGGCAGAGAATGAGGCTGATTCTTTCGCTCATCTTGAGACCCAAGGATCCATGATTAGGCAGTGCTGCAGGCCAGTGGGTAGCTGGGAGGAAAACCTTCTGTCTCCCCAGTAATGTGTCTTCCCTCTTCAGCCTCCACCCCTTCAGCACAAGTTTCTGGGGAGGAGGGTCTGAAGCCCGGGTGAGAAAAAGGGTCAAGGCTGGCCTTAGGACCTGGATGGGCACAGTGACCCCCTGCTGAGAGGGCCTTCATGAGCAAGAAGGCTGGGGGAGGTCCTGAGTTGATTTTTACAATGGAAACAGACACCAGCTCCCCATCCTTGTTCAAAAGCATCTCAGGACCTTTTCCTCTGCAGATGGCAAGGGGGAGAATCTCCCTCTGAGATACATGAGAATTCCCTTCCCATGACCTGTCCTGTCACCTGGATGAATTCGTATTTGGAAACCAAATGACTCCCCAGTGCCAGGCATTACATCCTCACAGAAAACCTGCCAGAATGAGCAAGATCTTCCCTCCCTGACCCACTGGCCAGGAATCTCGGACATCAGGATGGCTGGACTAGATCACTCATGCCATCTCCCCTGACATCATCATGGTTACCGGGGGGACTCTCTGATTAATTTGGGCCACACAGTGCCTGTCCCTGGCATTGCAGTTGGGGACGCTTACAGGCTAAGTTTATGGCTGGGAGACCTAGGGTCTAGAAAGGAGAGGAATAGAACAGAAGCTTTGCCTACATGGCCCCCTGTGTGCATCACTCTTCCCTCCACCTTTATCCTAAGTTCATGATGGGTGATGTCTCCTTGAGGCTGGAACCTGGGCAGTGACATGGGCCTGTGTGTCCTCATCTCACAATGCTTCATCTTGGGCTCCCTGACCTTTCTGATATTCCTATAATGGATCAATTTCAGGCTAGGACACAGCCATGCCCATACAGGAGGCAGTGATCTGAGAATCAGGTAGTCTTAGAAGAGACAGAAAGCAAATAAACACCCTCATGTTGGCCTCCTAAGCCCAGAGGACATAAGGAAATGAAAGGAATTCAAGAAGAAACATAAATGGTCACTGCCCACCATCACCTGGGCACCTGTTCTCCACCTGCCCCTCTCTCAGTGAGGACCAGACTCAGAGGCCTAGAGAAACACGTCTTCATCTGTTCACACCGTGGGGTGCCTCCTTCTGGACTCATCCCAAGACTGCTGCTCCCCCAGCTTACCTGTGTAACTGCTGAGAGTCTTCACAGGGACCTGGTCACAGGGTTTGGGATCAGGATCAGCCTGGCTTTAACTCAGCTGTGACCCTGCCCCTTCAGGACAAAAAGTGAACTATTAGGGCTCTAACTGAACTCTCCTGATTTACTTAAATCTTATATTCTCCTTCTCAATATCCTTCTAGGAAGTTCTGTCTCTACCCAATAATGTCAGGTCATTTCCTCAGGCCTAGAGCCATTTGATTTCCAGACTTCTATACTCACACTTATGCTCTCATTCTCTGTCATGGTTCATTTACTACGCAGCAGCTAATGAGGCCAACCATGTATCTACAGCCCATTGACATGAAAAATGGGGAGGAGAGGGTTCCTTAGATAAATACAGGGTTAGCAAAGGAAAGTTTCTTAGGAATCACTTCAGGATCCAAGAAAATTCATTCCAGAGCTTCGAGAGTTTACAACTCAAAAACAACAGCATAATATATGAGGTGGTGAATCTTCTTGGCCTTCTCAATGAATAACCTCAGAAATGGTCAGAGAATATGCTTCAAAAAGGTAAGAGTATGACTTTCACAAACATATAGTATTCACATATGTCAACAATTTTAATTGGTTTATGTATTTTGGAGAAAAACAGTATGATGATAAATAAATGTTAAAAAGCATTTTTAAAAACTCAGTGCTTATACTCCACCAGGATAGAACCTGTGAAGGAAATTTCTGTGTTGAAGATACACTGTCTTTTAGAATAATAGCAACATAGCTATGAATTTTGTCTTCTCATCTCACAATCTACAAATTAAAATCACCCCATTTATGTGAAATATCTAGAAAAATACAGGTACATTTGGACATTCCCATCTGCCACCACCCATCCATCTTCTCCTAAAGTGGAATCCCTCTGCCCCCATTCTGCTCCTCTCCACACATCTACCTGCTAACACGTGACTCCTCCCTGCCTTCCTTTCCAGATCCCTAGCAGATTGGGCCCACCAGGGGAACAAGCTCTTGGACCTGGGGATCAAAAGTGCATCTTGTTGGACTTCTGAGGACTTGCCCTGCAAGGGTCTCTTTCTGGATCACAATCCCTCTGTTCCTGGGCATCCCCTTTTGCTGGATCCTGTTATTTATCTCTGTGTTACTCCATCTAGGTCTACTCTGTGGACTTCCCTGCATCTTCACCTGAACCCCAGGAATCTTCAAGTCATGCCAATATTCCCTCAGTTCTCCTGAAATGTCTTATTTTCTCTTCTCCTGAGATCCCACCAAGTCATCCCTTCTGAGACCCCTGAGTGTAGCAGGGCCCTCTCTGGTCTCTTTGCTTCAATTATGAATGAGGAGAATGGGAGGTCCTCTTTGCCGCTCCTACCCCTGTGTTGCCATCAGGATCAGCTTCATGAGGCAGAATGAGGCTGTCTAGATCAACATGGCTTTCCCAACATTGAGCTCTGTGCCCAGCACAAGGTAGGTGCTCAGTAACTATTTGAGAAAACCTACATTTCATCACACTGGCCACATTACACTGAGTCCAGGATGGGGATGAACTGGGAGAAGCAGTGGTGGAAATATTCCTCTCTCTGCTTTCAGGCTAAGAACTGATGGGACGTTCACCAGGGAGAGCATCCCTTGGCAGAAAGGGGGCCATGGGCATCCTTGTCCTGTATGGGAGACACTGCTCAGCCTGGGGGAACCTCTGTTCATGAAGGTGGGAGAAAAAGATAAACAAAATTCACTGTGAATGTCTATGTATCATCACAGAGGAGGCAATGACAAGAAAATAGGAAGTGCAAGCCCAGTTACAATTGGTTTCTACTTTAAAAGAAATAAAATTTAATATGCCTGGTGTGTTATGTAAACACAACAAACATTTTTCGAAAACTATAAAAATATTTAAAGTAACATGGTTTACAATAAATAGGAACATTTGAAATAATGACACCCTGGAAATGCAATCCTAAAATACAGCATACATTTTATTTCAGTTATTTATCTTGACTGGTTTTATTTAAATGTCTATATTAGAGATCACTACTTCATTGTGGATTTTTGTTTGTGTGCTTGTTTGTTGTTTTTGAGATAGAGTCTAGCTCTGTCACCCAGGCTGGAGTGCAGTAGCACAATCTCGACTTATTGCAGTCTCCAGCTCCCAGGTTCAAGCACTTCTCCTGCCTCAGCCTCCCACGCACCTGGGACCACAGGTGCGCACCAGTATGCCTGGCTAATTTTTGTGTTTTTAGTAGAGATGGGGTTTCTTTTTTTTTTTTTTTTTTTTTTTTTGAGACCGAGTCTTCCTCTGTTGCCAGGCTGAAGTTCAGTGGCGCAATCTCGGTACACTGCAACCTCTGCCTCCCAGGTTTAAGCAATTGTCCTGCCTCAGCCTTCTGAGTAGCTGGGACTACAGGCACCCGCCACCATGCCCAGCTAATTTTCACATTTTTAATAGAGATGGGATTTCACCATGTTGCCCAGGATGGTCTTGATCTCTTGACCTCGTGATCCGCCCACCTTGGCCTCCCAAAGTGCTGGGATTACAGGCGTGAGCCACTGCACCCGGCCTAAGATGGGGTTTCATCATGTTGACCAGGATGGTCTCAAACTCCTGACCTCAAGTGATCCACTCACCTCAGCCTCCCAAAGTGCTGGGATGACAGGCGTGAGCCACAGTGCTCGACCTAGTACATTGTTTAAATGGTGCATGTAAAACCTCATGGTACTACAACTGCCTGGTGACAGACTCACCAGAGTAAATAACTATCCTGCTGTTCTCCAACCACATGGGATTGCCCCAAAAAATATTTGTTGAATCCCAGGTGTATCATGCCAGAACTCTTGCAGTCATATATACAATCTGTTTCATTTTAATAAATAGGATTATCTTTTTTCTTCAGTTTACTGTTTTTAATGTATCATATTCTAGATTTCATTACACATCAAAGATGAATAATTTCTATCATCTTTCAGACATGCCCAAAACACTCATTAGCGATTTTGAACAGTATTCTTTCCTAAACATCCTAGTTGGAATGGTTGATCCTAAAAGCTACCACGTGTCAGGCTCACTTAAGTACAGACTCTGGTCAAAACAAGCTGAAGTTTTAACTCTTCCATCTTCAAATACTGAGCATATTTGCTTGTTTTGCTCTTTAGCAAAACACTGCAAAGTCATTTGCCAGGATCCCCCGCAGATTGGCATTCAGTGATGGAGAACAGACTCCTAGGTGAGATCCCTGGTCACAGGATCCCGATGACTATGACTGCAAGTCTGGAAAAGAAGAGACAGAACAAAGATTTACCAGCATAACCCTCTGAGAATGTGCCCCAGGCATCCCGGAGGGAAGAGCTCCCTATCGACCCAGGACTGCAGAATCCACAGAGGAAGGAGAGCTCTGGCCACCAGGGAGCAGCCACACGAGAGGAGAGGACCCAGTGCCCCCACAGGTGAGGAAATGAGTCCATGGGGCTGGTCACTGCTCTCGATTTCATTCTGACATAAGAGGACTTTGTGTAGTCACCACCTGAGTCCTATACAGTGAACAGCCAAGGAGACATGGACAGATTCACCCCTGAGGAACCCAGTAGAATGTGAAGTCTGCCCTGAGCTCACGAAAAAAATGACTCAGGGGGCTGCCTGGCCTGGCCCTGATGGAGGGGGCCATGGACAGAACAACGGGGAGTGAGGGGTGTCTCTGAGAGGCTCTGGTCACCTTGTTATACAATGGTGGTGTACATGACCAAAATGGACACCAGGGGATGCCTGCGTACCATTACTGAGAAGACTGGGTGTGATGAGAGCAGGACCAGCGCCACCTGTCCTGCTTGGTGCCCTATGCTTAGGGCTTACAGATGTCAACTCTGCACCCCCTGGGACCACATAGCCCCACCCCTGGCACTCTCTGACATCCTCAGGCAGAGGAGCCTGACCCAGGGCCCAAGGTGGGATCAGAAAGCTGGAGGGTCTGATTTGCATGGATGGACCCTCCTTCTCTCAGAGTATAAAGAGGGGCAGGGAGAGACTTGGGGAAGCTCTGCTTCAGCTGTGAGCACAGAAGGCAGGACTCGGGACAATCTTCATCATGACCTGCTCCCCTCTCCTCCTCACCCTTCTCATTCACTGCACAGGTGCCCAGACACAGGGTCAGGGGAGGGGTCCAGGAAGCCCATGAGGCCCTGCTTTCTCCTTCTCTCTCTAGACCAAGAATCACCGTGTCTGTGTCTCTCCTGCTTCCACGGTCCTGGGCCCAGTCTGTGTTGACGCAGCCGCCTTCAGTGTCTGCGGCCCCAGGACAGAAGGTCACCATCTCCTGCTCTGGAAGCAGCTCCGACATGGGGAATTATGCGGTATCCTGGTACCAGCAGCTCCCAGGAACAGCCCCCAAACTCCTCATCTATGAAAATAATAAGCGACCCTCAGGGATTCCTGACCGATTCTCTGGCTCCAAGTCTGGCACCTCAGCCACCCTGGGCATCACTGGCCTCTGGCCTGAGGACTAGGCCGATTATTACTGCTTAGCATGGGATACCAGCCTGAGAGCTTGCACAGTGCTCCAGGCCAATGGGGAACTGAGACAAGAACCCTCTTCCTCCTCCGCCAGGAGGGTGAGTGCCTGCAGCTGCTGCTCACACCTGACCTGTAGCTTCTGCTGCTGTAGCTTCCCCCATGGGCCTCGGGGCATCCAGGGCCTTGCCTAGGAGTGGAGGCTCCACCACTTTTGTCCTCAGAGTCAGGAACAGGGACCCCAGGAGACAGAATATCCTGCTCCTCAGCTTGGGACACAGGGTCTCTGCACTGAAATCGTGGGCTGAGGTGGCAGGTCCAACTGTGTCTTCACAGTCCTTCCTGTGCCTGCCCATGGTGTGGGGACGGAGTGAGGAAGTGTGGGCCATTGAGCTTCACTAGAGGCCTGAGGGAGCAGAGGTGCTCCCGAAGACCTGGACTCCTTCCGTCACCCTCCTCCCATCACTCTCCTCACTGTAGCTGTGGCCAGGTGAGGGCTCAGGGCTACTTGAGGACCTTGCTCAACCCAGGGCCTCCATCCCAGGCATTGTTTCCAAACTCTGTAAGGGCTGTCTCTGAATCTGTAGAAACATTTATTTCTATGTGCCCAGGACTGGGTTAGAGGGCACCAACCCCACCCCTTGCAAACTGCTCATCACCTCTCAGTGAAACAATGAGGAGAAGAAAGAGTTAGAAATCAGAAGCCTCCCCAAGGCTCCCCTCTCTCCTCTCAACCAGCCTCCCCTTGGCTTCCTCCTTCCACAGAAATAAAGAGGAGGCAGCCACAGAAGGCAAGGGAAGGTCCAGGCATTATACCAGGCAGTGGAGCCAGCCAGTCCCCCCAGATGGTGGAGGGAGGTGGTGGAGGTGTCTGGGACCAGAAAATAGTGAGGACCCTCTTACTAAAGTGAGGAGGGGTGGCATAAACTGAGGCTCAGATGGTGGACCAGATCTCCTGAGCCATCTACTCATTTCTTCTTGAGTTTCAGTTTCAGTAAGAATAGGATAAAAAAAAAGTCTGAAGAGGTTCCTTTCCTCAGATAAGAATTCGTAGAGGATTATTGCCCACTCAGGCATTGAGGGGAGGCTGAGCCTCCCTCTCAGGCCAATAGAACTGGGGGCTTTCATGGGAATTTGATTGTACTGAAGCTCCCAGACTCTGACATCTAAGACTTATGCTCTCGTAGCAGAGCCCAGCACTGATACCAAAATGGATAAAGGCTGATTGATAAGCCTGGAATATCCTAGCTGACACCGACTTGTGGAAAAGAGAATCAAGTTAGAATATTGATGTGATAAGGTGGCATCGCACAGTGAGGAGAGGAGAGCTTGTGTGGGGGAGGGTAGAGGAGCCATTAGAGGGTTGGACAAAGAGGACACAGAATCTGAGGTAAGTTTGTGAGGAAAACTCCAGATGCTTCAGAGAAGATGGACAAGGAGGTAGGCAGTATGAAGGCCATGGGACCAGCTCTAGTCACCGGGAGTGAGTGGTGAGATTCAGCACCAGTGTCTGGGGAGGAGGTACTGAAGCCTGGGTGAGGGGAGATGCTCAAGGCTGGCCTTAGGACCTGAGTGGGGCACAGTGATCACACTGCTGGGGGGTCCTTCAAGTGCAAGGGGGCTGCAGGAAGGCTCGAGCTCATTGTCACAATGAAAACTTAGACAACAGCTCCCCAGACTTGTTCAAAGGTGTCACAGGACTTTTTCCTCTCCACATGGCAACGGGGAGAGGAAAACTTATCTCTGAGATATATAAGATGTTTGTTCTCCATAACCTCTCCTGTCCCCTGGCTGAATTCCTATTTGGAAACAAAATGACTCTCCAGTTTTACATATGACATCCTCACTAAAAAAAAAGTTCCAGAATGAGAAAGATCTGCCCTCCCTGACCCACTGGTGAGGAATCTCAGCCTTCAGGACAACCAGACGAAATCGTTCATGCCATCTCCCATGACAGCATCATGGGGACCAGGGAGCATATCTTATGGGTTTGGGCCACACACTGCCTGTCCCAAACATTGCAGCTGGGGACACTTATATGCTGAACTCATGGCTGGGAGATCTGGGGTCTAGACATGACAGGAAGAGGAAAAAGACCAGGAGCTCTGCCTAAGTAGCCCCAGTGTGTGAATCACTCTACCCTCCACCCTCAACTTCAGTTCGTGATGGGTGTTGTCTTGCGAAAACTGACAGCTGGGCTGGGACACAGGCAAGAGAGACTCTGACCCACAAATCTCCATCGTGGGCTCTCTGGCCTTTCTGATATTCTTTTTGCACATCAATTCTGGGCCAAGACACATCCATGCTCATCAAGAAGGCATTGATAGGAGAATCAGGTAGCCTCCAGAGAGACAGGAAGCAGATAAACACCCTCATGTTGGCCTCCTAAGCTCAGAGGAGAAAAAAAAGGGAAAGAAGTTCAAGAAGCCACACTAGAAGCCACTGATCACCATCACCTCGGCACCTGTCCTCCATCTGCCCCTCTTTCAAGTAAGGACCAGACTCAGGGGACAGCACCTGCACCTCCCTTTCTGTCCATGCACTGTGTAGGGAGCCTCCTTCTGCTCTCATCTCAAGGCGACTGCTCCGCCAGGTCAGCCGTGTCACTGCTGAGAGTCTTACCTCAGTCCTGGTCACAGGGTCTTGGATCAGCAGCAACCTGGCTTTGATTCAGCTGTGACCCTGCCCCTTCAGGACACAAAGCCGATGATTAAAGCCTAACTGAACTCTCCTAGATTTCTCAAACCTTAGATTCTCCTTCTCTGTGTCCCTCTAGAAAGTGCCACCTCTACCAAATAATTTCATGTTATTTCCTCAGGTCTAGAGCTATTTGATTACCAAAATTCTATACTCACTCTTCTGCTCTCATTCCTTGTCATGGTCCATTTTCCACTCAGGAGCTAATGATGCCAACCCTGTATCTACAGGCCATTGTCACAAAAAAAAAAAGAAATGAGAGGGTTCCTTAGATAAATACAGGGTTAGCAAAGAAAAGTTTCATTACCCCTTAGGAATTACTCCAAGATCTAAGAAAATTAATTCCAGAGCTTCAAGAGTTTACTCCTCAGAAACAACAGCATGAATACATTAGGTAGTGAATGTTCTTGGTCTTCTCAATGAATAACCTCTGAAAGGTTCAGAGTATACGTTTCAAAAAGATAAGTGCATAACTTTCACAAAAATGTAATCTTAACTTATGTCATCAATTTTAATTGGTATATATATTTCTGGAAAAAAAAGCAGTATGATGGTAAAAGAAATGTAAAAAAGCCTTTGTAAAACCCAGTGCTTACAGTCCACCAGGATAGCACCTGTGAAGCAAATTTTCTTTGCTGAAGATACACCGCCTTTTAGAATAATAGCAAGATAGTTTGAATTTGTCTTCTTCTCTCACAACAATCTAAAAATTAACATGATCCCATTTATATGAAATATCTAGAAATATATCTGTACATGTGGACATTCCCATCGCACACCTCCCATCCAGGCTGTCCTAAAGTGGCATCTCCTCTTCTTCTGCTCATGTTCTCCCCCTCTCCTCACCTCTCCTGCTGACACGTGGCTCCTCCCTGCCTTCCTCTCCAGTAGCCCCAGCAGATCAGGCCCAACCAGTCAACAAGCTCCTGGACTTGGGGAACAAAAGTACATCTTCTTGGATTTCTGAGGACTTGCCCTGCCAGGGTGTCTTTCTCAATCCAATCTCTCCTTCCCGGCAGTCCACTTCTCCTAGATCCTGTAATTTATCTAATCTTATTCATCTGTATCTACTTCGTGGACTTCCTTACATCTTCACCTGAACACCAGGAATCTTCAGGTCATGCCCATATGCCCTTGGTTCTCCTGTAGTCCCTTCTTCCTTCTTCCCCTGTGATGCCACCAAGTCGAAGTCTCTTCTCAGACCCTGGAGTGCAGCAGGGACTTCTCTGGTCTCTGCCCCAGGGATTAAGGGGGTGGAAGAGTGGACTCCTGTGCCCTTCCTATGCCTGTGTTTTCATCAGGGTTAGCTGCAAAAGGTAGGGATTAGGCTGTCTAGGTAGGGATTATGGCATTAGGTAGGGATTATGGCATTTCCAGAGCTGAGCTCTATGCCCAGCAAAAGATACGTGCTCAGCAACTACTTGACAGAGACCTACCTCTTATCACATGGGACACATTATACTGGACCCAGGATGGGGCTGAACTGGGAGAGGTAGCTGTGGACCTGCTCCTCGCTCTGCCCTCACCCTAAGAGCTGATGGGGCATCCACCAGGAAGAGCATTCCTGGGCAGGGAGAGGGCCATGAGCAGCCTTGTCCTGTATGTGAGACACAGCTCAGCCCGGTCACAAGATCCAGATGACTATGACTGCAATTCAGGGGAAGTAGAGAATGAAGATTGACCAGAATAACCCTCTGGGAATGTGCCCTGGGCCTCCTAGAGGGAAGAGCTTCCCTTCTATTCAGCGCTGCAGGATCCACAGAGGAAGGAGAGCCCTGGCCACCAGGGAGGAGCCACATGAGAGGACCCGGTGTCCCCACAAATGGGAACGTGAGTCCATGAAAGTCGGTCCCTGCTCTGGGTTTGATTGTGACCTATGAGGACATTGTGTAGTCACCACCTGAGTCCTCTACAATAAACAGTGAGAGCGCCACGGACAGATTCACTCCCGAGGAGCCCAGTAAAGTGGGAGGACTGAGGTCACAGGGAGAAGACACAGGCACCACCTGGCCTGGCCCTGACAGGGGGCAGTGGACAGAACAGTGCGGAGGCAGTGGGGTCTCTAGAGGCTCTGGTCACCTTGTCATACCATGGTTTGTCTCGGTCTGGACACTAGAGGGCACTTGGGGATCATTCCTGAGAAGACTGAGGTTGATCAGAGCAGAACCAGCCACCTGTCCTGCCTAGTGTCCTCTGCTCAGGGCTCACAGCTGCGTCCTTTACACCCGTGGGACCACACAGCCCCACCCCTGCCACCCCCTGACATCCTCAGGCATAGGGACCTGACCCAGGGCCCAGGGTGGGATTAGAAAGCTGGGGGTCTGATTTGCATGGATGGACCCTCCCACTCTCAGAGTATGAAGAGGGGCAGGGAGAGATTTGGGGAGGCTCTGCTTCAGCTGTGGGCACAAGAGGCAGCACTCAGGACAATCTCCAGCATGGCCTGGTCTCCTCTCCTCCTCACTCTCCTCGCTCACTGCACAGGTGACTGGATACAGGTCCAGGGGAGGGGCCCTGGGAAGCCTATGGATTCTTGCTTTCTCCTGTTGTCTCTAGAAGCCGAATAATGATGCCTGTGTCTCTCCCACTTCCAGGGTCCTGGGCCCAGTCTGTGCTGACGCAGCCGCCCTCAGTGTCTGGGGCCCCAGGGCAGAGGGTCACCATCTCCTGCACTGGGAGCAGCTCCAACATCGGGGCAGGTTATGATGTACACTGGTACCAGCAGCTTCCAGGAACAGCCCCCAAACTCCTCATCTATGGTAACAGCAATCGGCCCTCAGGGGTCCCTGACCGATTCTCTGGCTCCAAGTCTGGCACCTCAGCCTCCCTGGCCATCACTGGGCTCCAGGCTGAGGATGAGGCTGATTATTACTGCCAGTCCTATGACAGCAGCCTGAGTGGTTCCACAGTGCTCCAGGCCCGGGGGGAACTGAGACAAGAACCCACTTCCTCCTCTGCCAGGAGGGTGAGCCCCGGCAGCTGCTGCTCAGGCCTGGCCTGTGGCTTCTGCGGCTGCTGCTTCCCTCATGGTCCCAGGGGCATCCAGGGCCCTGCCTGGGAGTGGAGGCTCCTCCTCCCCTTCTGTCCTCAGAGTCAGGAACAGGGAATCCAGGAAGCAGAATATCCCTCTCCCTTAACTTGGGACACAAAGTCTCTACACTGAAGTTCTGGACTCAGGTGGCAGATCCAGTTGTGTCACCTCAGACCCACCTCTGATAGGGAACCCATGTATTCATTATTCTCCTTTCCCCAATTCCAGGAGTTTCCGGAGTGGTGTCTTCCTCTCCCTGCTCCTCAATGTGAGTCCCTGTGTTTCTTTTCTCCCAGGCCTATTCTTTTTTTTTTTTTTTAACAAAACTCCTTTCATGAAGGAAAAATGCACACCTAATAAACCAGCTGAATTTATAGCATTAAATTCGGCCCATTTTGGCATTTTTCTGGATCTTTGAAAATATCACCACCACTGAGCTATGCAACCTCTGACTAACCCCAGCAGCCCTTCATGATGCTTTGTCATCTCCTTCACTCCCCGAATGCCCTCCTGGGCAGCCAGGAATCTGCCTTTGCCACTACTGTATGGTTTCCATTTTCTGAAACTTACTAGTGTTATCAAACACTATCTTCCCATTTGTTCGAGCTTCTTTCACTCTGCACACTTCTTTTCAGATTCTCCCTGCTGTTGCTGAATTGCATCCCATTCTACAGAGGGCTCATTACAACCTTTGAGGGTCTAGGACATTCTCTTCTGATTCTATTTATTTACTTATTTATTTTAAAGTTTGAATTCATTGTCCATCAAATCAAACTCTACGGGTGATGTTCATCTAAGGTGACAGGAGTCAGTGAGGGCTTCTCAGGATTCTTGCTTCTTCATCTCTTCCCTCTAATTCTTTCTATAATGGGAGAATTTCTTATCTTTTTAAAGTTTTTCTATTTATTATTTTATGTTGGCTTTTAAGGTTTTTAGTGTTTTTTAAAATTTTTTTATTTCAATAGGTTTTTGGGAAACAGATGTTGTTTTGTTACATAAATAAGTTTGTTAGTGGTGATTTCTGGGATTTTGGTGCACTCATCACCCAAGCAGGGAACACTGTACCCAATGTGTAGTCTTTTATCCCTCACCCCATCCCACCCTTTCTCCTGAGTCCCCAAAGTCCGTTGTATCATTCTTATGCCTTTGTGTCCTCATAGCTTAGCTCCCATTTATGAGTGAAAACATATGATGTTTGCCCTTTTATTCCTGAGTGAATTCACTTATAATGATAGTCTCCATTCCATCCGGGTTTCTGTTAATGCCATTATTTCATTCCTTTTTAAGGCTGAGTAGCAGTCTACATATATATATATATATATATATATATATATATACCACATTTGCTTCATCCACTCATTGATTGATGGGCATTTGGGTTGGTTCTATGTTTTTGCAATTGCAAATTGTGCTGCTATAAACATGAGTGTTCAAGTAATTTTTTCATGTAATGACTTCTTTTCCTCTTGGTAGATACCTAGTAGTGAGATTGCTGGATCAAATGGTAGATCCAGTTCTTTAATGAATCTCCACACTCTTTTCCATAGTGGTTGTACTAGTTTACATTCCCACCAACAGTGTAAAAGGGTTCCCTTTTCACCACATCCATGCCAGCATCAATTATTTTAATTTTTTTATTATGCCCATTCTTGAGGGAGTAAGGTGGTATTGCATTGTGACTTTGATTTTCATTTCTCTAATCGTTAGTGATCTTGAGCATTTTGCCATATGCTTGTTAGCCATTTGTATATCTTCTTTTGAGAATTGTCTATTCATGTCTTTAGCCCACTTTTTGATGAGATTGTTTGTTTTTTTCTTGCTGATTAGTTTGAGTTCTTTGTAGATTCTGGATATTAATACTTTATTAGATGTATAGATTGGGAAGATTTTCTTTCACTCTGTGGGTTGTCAGTTAACTCTGCTGACTGTTTATTTTGCTGTGCAGAGGCTATTTCATTTAATTCAGTCCCATCTATTTATCTTCGTTTTTAATGCATTTCATTTTGGATTCTTGGTTATAAAGTCTTTGCTTAAGCCAATTTCTTCTAGAATTTCTAAGGTTTCATGTCTTAGATTTAAGTCTTTGACCAATCTTGTGTTAGTTTTGTATAAGATGAGAGATGAAGATCCATTTTCATTCTTCTACGTGTGACTTGCCTATTATCTCAGCACCATTTGTTGAATAGCGTCTCCTTTTCCCACTTTATGTTTTTGTTTGCTTTGTCAAAGATCAGTTAACTCTAAGTATTTTGCTTCATTTCTGCATTCTCTATTCTGTTACATCGGTCTATGTGCCTATTTTTATACCAGTACCATGCTGTTTTGGTCATTATGGCTTTATAGCATAGTTTGAAGTCAGGTAATGTGATGCTTCCAGATTTGTTATTTTTGTGTAGACTTGTTTTGGCTACCGGGGCTCTTTCTTGGTTTCATATGAATTTTAGTTCTATGAAGTTCTGTGAAGAATGATGGTGGTATTTTGATGGAAATTGTATTAAACTTGTAGATTGTTTTGGCAGTATGGTCATTTTCACAATATTCATTCTATACATCCATGAGCATAAAATGTATTTCCATTTGTGTCATCTGTGACTTCTTTCAGCAGTGTTTTGCAGCTTTCCTGGTAGAGGTCTTTCACTTTCTTGGTTAGGTATATTTCTAAGTATTTTAGTTTTTTGGCAGCTATTGTAAAAGGGGTTGAGTTCTTGCTTTGATTCTCAGCTTGGTTGCTGTCGTTGTATAGCACTGCTACTGATTTGTGTCCTTTAATTTTGTATCCTAAAACTTGCTGAATACTTTCACTAGTGCTAGAAGCATTTGGGGTGAGTCTTCAGGGTTTTCTATGTATACAATCATATTATCAGCAAACAGTGACAGTTTGACTTCCTCCTTATCAGTTTGGATATCCCTGATTTCTTTCTCTTGTCTGATTGCTCTGGCTAAGACTTCCAGTACTACGTTGAATAGAAGTGGTGAAAGTGGGCATCCTTTTGTTGTTCCATTTCTCAGGGGAAATGCTTTTAACTTTTCCCCATTGAGTATAATGTTGGCTGTGGGTTTGCCATAGATGGCTTTTGTTGCCATAAGGTATGGTCCCTTCTATGCTGATTTTGCCAAGTTTGAATCATAAAGGATGCTGGATTTCGTTAGATGCCTTTTCTGCATCTATTAAGATAATCATGTGATTTTGTGTTTTAATTCTGTTTATATGGTGTATCACATTTATCAACTTGTGGATGTTAAACCATCTCTGCATTTCTGGTATAAAAGCAATTTGATCATGGTAGATTATCTTTAAGACAGCTGTTGGATTTGGGTAGCTAGTATTTTGTTGAGGATTTTTGCATCTAGATTCATCAGAAATATTGGTCTGTAGTTTATTTTTGTTATGTCCTCCCTGGTTTTGGTATCAGAATGATACTGTCTTCACAGAATGATTTAGAAAGGATTCCCATTTTCTCTATGCTGTTGAATAGAGTCAGAAGGATTGGTACCAGTTCTTCTTTGAATATCTAATAGAATTCAGCTGTGAATCCATCTGGTCCTGGATTTTTTGTTGTTTGCAATTTTTTTTATTACCATTTCAATCTAGCTGCTTGTTATTGGTCTGTTCAGAGTTTCTACATCTTCCTGGTTTAACCTAGTAGTGTTGTATATTTCCAGGAGTTCATCCATCTCCTTTAAGATTTCTAGTTTATGTACATAAAAGAGTTCATAGTAGCCTTTAATGATCTTTTGTATTTCTGTGGTATCAATAGTAATATCTCCCGTTTCATTTCTAATTGAGCTTATGTGGGTCTTCTCTCTTCTTTTCTTGGTTAATCTCGTTAATGGTCTGCCAATTTTATTTATCTTTTCAAAGAACCAGCTTTTTGTTTCATTTATCTTTTGTATTTTTTTTTGTTTTGACTTCATTTAGTTCTGCTCTGATCTTCATTATTTCTTTTCTTTTCCTGGGTTTGGGTTTGGATTGTTGTGGTTTCTCCAGTTCTGTGAGGGGTGACCTTAGATTTTCTACTTGTGCTCTTTCAGACTTTTTGATGTAGGTATTTAATGCTATAAACTGTCCTTTAAGCACCACTTTTGCTGTATCCCAGAGCTTTTGACAGGTTGCATTAAGATTTAGAACAATTGCAATCTTACTATCAATCAACAGCTTTTTAATTCCTGAGGATGTGACCTCATTTAATCCTGACAATAGCTTTATTATTGCTTTTCAGGCAGTAGACCGTGATTGAAGAGGTAATGCTTTGTGGCCTGGAGGTAAGGTTCTAAAATTTATCAAATATTAAATTGGTGCACAAGTAATTGCAGGTTTTACAAATAAAAGTAATGGCAAAACCCACAAGGACTTGTGCACCAATGTGATATAAACACTGGAGGTCAGTTAAATTTGAATTCAGTAAAAACAATGATAAAGAATCTGTATGTGTATCACCCACACAGTATTGTTCAATTGTAATACAAACAACTGGGTGCCCTGCATTTTATCGGGAAACTCCACACAGGGTTCGCAGCTTGAAAGAGGCAGAGCTGTGGCAGGCCTGCCCTTCCTGATGCCAGGTCTAGGTGCTTAACGTCAAAGACAGAGCTTCTCTAAGAGAGCTACCCTCAAGTGAACATGTCAGTTGGCACTAAATACATGTGATATGATCCCCAGTCAATGATCCCCACTCACTTCCCTAATTCTTTCTATTATCCTTTAAGTTTGCAGACTCAGGGCCTCCCCAGAAATTGCTGCAGCCTGAGTTCTGGACCTGGGACCGCATGTCCTGTCACAACCAGATGCAAAAGGGCTCTTTAGTCCCTACACAGAATGGCTTCAGCCAGGAGAGCATAAATAACATGTAAGATTAGAAGAGCTCAGAGGGGCTCTCCTTCTGTCCCATGACAGATGAAACTTCAGGGCTCTGATGCTTGTCAGGGAATCTCCTTCAGTGAGGCCAAGATCCCAGGACTTTACTAAAATTAGCAGAGTGGACCAGACAGGCATGTCATGGTACAGGAATTGTGTTCAGAACAATAAGTGCAGATGCATCTTAACAAGGGCCTTCACGTTCTATCTTTGGTGAAAAAGGAAATAGACAAAGGCATGGAGAAACTGAAGGACTCAATGGGTCTGGGACTGAGGTAGCGCTGAGTGCTTTGGGCTTGTCCTGGAGCAGTCTGCAGATGATAACAGCTGGGAAGTCCACCCCTGCTGTGACCTTGTTTCATCTGCCCACTGGATCAGTGGCTGTGTCCTCACAGGAAAGCTGGCTGTAGCCAGACTGGCCTTCTCCATCCCACCTGGGAAATGTATTCAGATGACTCTCTGGGGTGAGGTTCTACTAAGGGCTTGGGAGTTATGAGGAGGGGGCTGATTTGCATGAAAGAACCATTTCACCCCCTTTCCTTCATCTAAAACCCATTAATAGAAACTTCAGGGCCATTCATAGAAGTCCAGCTGGTCTCCTACATTTGTGGGGCATAAAGGATCAATGCCTGATGAATGCCTGATCAATCTAAAGGAAGAGGGGCTATCAGCAGGTAGTGGTCAGAGTGAGAAAGGAACTGACTTTTTTGAGAGATTCATCAACACAGCCACCAACTCTGGGACAAATGGGGTGACTCTCTGTAACTGTCACCCCAAATTACCCACAGGACACTGAGCCAGTCCCCTCATTCTATTGCTTCTGGTTCTAGTCCATTCCCCTATTGTCCCTAAACACGTTGCCCATGTCTGAGTCCAGGGTGGCAGGGATACCTCCATCCCAGTCAACATCTACAGAGGGCCTCTTCTGTTCCCCTCTCACCTCATGCAGGTTACTACTGTTGTGGGTCTGGTGGAGTGGCCCCTGGAGAACACAAGGTATCCCTTCCTCTGGAAAGCCAGGCATGTAATAGACATGGTATGGGTTGATGTAGAGCAGAGTGGCTCATCCAGATGCAAAGCAGTAAGACCTTGGCTACAGAAAATTATTTCACAAAATTCCACACCCTTTCATGACAAAAACACTCGATGAACTATAAATAGAAGGAAACTACCTCAACATAGTAAAGACCATCTATGAAACTCCCATAGTTTACATCACATAAAATCTGAACAACCAGAGACATTTTCTGTAATATCAGGAACAAACCAAGGATGCATACTTTCACATCTTCAATTCCAAATATTATTGGAAGACCTAGGCAGAGCATTTAGCCTAGAAAAAGAAATAAACAGAATAAAAACTAGAAATAAAAGTATAAAATTATCTCTGTTTTCAGATGACATAATGTCATATGTAGAACGCCATTAAAAGACCCAGAAAATAATTCTGAAAGAATGATTAAGTGAATTTGGTAATGTTTCAGGATACAAAATCACCACTTAAGAACATCTCATGGCTAGGCATGGTGGCTGACGCCTATAATCCCAACACTAGGGAGGCTGAGGTGGGAGAATTGCTTGGGGTCAACAGTTCAAGAACAGCATGAGCAACAAAGCAAGAACCTGTCTCTACCAAAAATAAAAAAATAAAAAGGAAGGAAAGTCACTTGTATTTCTATACTTAACCAAACAGGACACCACCCAAAATGAAATTAAGAAAACAATTCAAGAGGACCCACAGACCCTCTGAAGGAAGGGGACTGCACCCGCAGGACCCGGGAGACACCGCAAATACTGTGAGTGCCTCAACTGCGGAAGTGGGAAAAGGAGACCCTCCTCTCCCAAACACACACCCCTACTGAAGAATGTGAAAGTCTGTTAGCAGGAGAAGTTCTCAACTTTACCTGGAACGGAGTTAAGTTAGACAGCCAAGCTCAGTGAAATACACAGGTGTAGGAGGTAGCGGGGAGGCCCTGGGAACTTGCTGAATCCCCAAGCAACCCATTCCTTTCTGGCACCACAGGAATACATCAGGAAGGAGGACAGACAAGCAGCGGGTAAAACTCCACGGGAAGAAGGACTTCCCTAGCTGAACTTTGCAACAATTCGAATCGGGTGAGAGGCCTCCTGGCTCTAGTATCCATGGCACTAGTATCCATGGCTGAGAGGCCCATGGATAGTTCACATCACAGGACTCTGTGCAGAAACCCCCAGTACCAGCCCAGAGCCGGGTAGACTTGCTGGGTGGCTAGACCCAGAAGAGAAACAAAAATCACTGCAGTTCAGCTCGCAGGAAGACATCCACAGGAAAAGGGGGAGAGTGCTACATCAAGGGAACACCCCATGGAACAAAAAAAATCTTACCAGCCTTTAGCCCTAGACCTCTCCTCTGACAGAGCCTACCAAAATGAGAAATAACTTGGGGGGAAGAGTGGGAGAGGGGCGAGGAGTAAAAGACAACAAACATGGTACAGTGTATACTGCTCAGGTGATGGCTGCACCGGGATCTCACAAATCACCCCTAAAGAACTTACTCATGTAACCAAACACCATCTTCCCAATAACTTACAGAAAAAAAAAAAAGAATATTATAACAATGGAATCATATATTATGCAGCCTTTCAGCATTGGCTTTTTTCACGGAGCACAATTTCCTTGAGATATATCTGAGTTGCGTTGTATCAATTATATAGTTTGTTTCTTTTTATTGCTGAGTAATGTTTCATGGTACGGTTGTATCAAGCTTGTTTAACCATTCGCCAGTTGAGGAACATGTGGATTATTTCCAGTTTATTTTTTTGGCTATTAGGAATAAAACTACTATGAACATTCTTATACATTAAAAAAAAAAGAAAACAATTCAAATTTCGTCATTAGAATGAGTAAAATGCGGCTGGCACGGTATCTGGTGCCCATAATCCCAGCACTTTGGGAGGCTGAGACGGGGGATCATCTGAGGTCAGGAGTTGTTAGAGACCAGCCTGGCCAATATGGTGAAACCCTGTCTCTACTAAAAAAAGATTAAAAAAAATTAGCTGGGTGGGTGGCACACTCAGTGATTGCAGCTACTCATGAGGCTGAGGCACAATAATCACTTGAACCCAGGAGACAGAGTTTGCAGTGAGAGGAGATGGTGCCACTGCACTCTAACCTAGGTGACACAGTGAGACTCTGTCCCAAATAAATAAATAAATGTAAAATACTTAAGAATAAACTTAAGAAGGTAAAACACTTGCACATTGAAAACAATAAAACATTGCTAAAAGAAATTGAAGAATACACAAATAAATGGAAAGACGTTTTTGATTATGTATTGGAAAACTCAATATTGTTAAGATACCAGTAGAAACCAAAATAAAATATACTATAGAGTCATCACAATCTTTATCAAAATTCCAATACTACTTGGTACAAGAATGGATATAATTCTAAAATCCAGATACCCAAAATAGCCAAAATAATCTTGTAAAAGAAGAACGTTGTTGGAATCCTGACACTTCCTGATTCCAAAGCATACTAAAAAGATACACTAATCAAAACAGAGTGGTACATATAGACAGACATACAGACAAATAGAATAGAATTGAGTGCCTTGGAGAAAACTCTCAGTTATATGGTCAAATGATTTTCAACAAGCTTGCCAAGACCATTCGTGAGGGAAAGAACAGTCTTTTTAACAAATGCTGTTGAGAAAACTGGATATCCACATGCAATCTGGAAGTGAATCAAAGACACAAATGGGAGAGCCACAACTGAATCTTAAAAGAAAACATTGGGAAGTAGGTCCACAACGTAGGGTTTGGAAATGATTTCTTGGATATGGCACAAAAAAGACAGGGAAAACATAGAAAAAGAAGAATATAGATAAATTGCATTTCATCAAACTGTAAAACTTATGTGCAGCAAAGGACACTACCAACAGAGTGAAAATGCAGATAATAGAATGGGAAAGATTGTTACAAACTTTATATCTGATAAGGCATCCAAGCTATAGAAAGAACTTCTACAACTCAACAGTAACAACAAAAATAGGAATAACCCGAAAAAAACAAGGACAAAGGACTTGAGTAGATATTACTACAAAAAAAGATCTACGAATGTCCAATAAGTACATGAAAAGATGTACAGCATCACCAATTATTAGTACACTGCAAATCAAATCACAATAATATACAACTCTATACCCATTAGGATGGCATTAACCAAATAACAGAAAATTAAAAGTTCTAGCAAAGATGTTTAGAAATTGCAACTGTTACGATTTGCTGGAGAGACTGCAGAATGATGCTTCCACTGTGGATGCCTTATGGCTGTTCCTCATAAAATCAAACATAGAATTACCATTTTATCAGAATTTTCACTTCTGGGAATGTGCCTGAAAAAATTGAAAGCAAGATCTCAAAGAGAAAATTGTACATCCTCGTTCATAGCAGCATTGTTCACAATAGCTAAAAGGTGGAGGCAGCCCAAGTGTCAACTAATGAATCAACAAGATATATTATACACACACAAGGGAATATTATTCAGCCTTAAAAAGAAAGTCTGACCCATGCGATGGCATGGATGAACCTTTAAGACATCATGCCGTCAGAAATAAGCTGACTTCAAAAGGACAAAAATTGTTTGCCAGCCCTTATATGAGGTACCTAGAATAGTTAACTCCACAGTGACAAGAAGTAAAACGATGTTTCCCAGGTATGAAGTTTGGTTTGGGAAAATAAAAAATTTGTGGAGATGAGTGGCAGTACTGTGGTTGTACAACAGTGTTAATTTACTTAATGTCACTGAAGTATACATTTGAAAATTGTTGAAATAATGTATTTTGTGTATGAATATTTTACTACAGCCAAAAAGAGGAAGATTTATGTTTGGTGCAGTTTCTCTACCTCCAAGAACAGTGGAAACCTACAGGACTAGGAGAGTGTGCATGAGTATCCAGGACACTCTTCCTTTTATGCCAGCCCCACAGCATCCAGGACACCCTTCCTTTTATTCCAGCCCTGCAGCATCCTAACAAGTTAAGAGAGTCAGACGTACCTCATTACAGGTGACTCAGAATAATATGAGAAAGTCTAGAGGTGGCCATGATGTTAGCGGTGGGTGCCCAACCCAGCCCAGGAGCAGCCGCAAATGCAACAGTGGCCAAAGAAGGGGAGATGAAGCTGGTGGCAGAGGTAGCAGCCCCTCCAGCTGGAGAGGGGCATCTGCTTCTGTACAAAATGGTTCACAGTTGATAAGTCTTGCATAGATGCCTCATCGTTTACCTCATGACCAACTACAGTTTTCATTGCAATGTACGTTATCATAGCAGTAATGTCTATTTCCTCCTGTAGCAAGCAAACATGAACGAAACGTGCTTTACTGCTTTGTCCAACAGGACATGTTAGTCCCAAACACAGGCTGAATGTTTAAAGGTAACGTTCTCTAAAGATAAGGATATTATACCATTTATTGATAAATACGGGGATTGCATGATGACCATTCAGACACTTGGAATAATTACTTGGCTAAATAACATTGTTTAAACAATGAGTAAATTTAGTTATTCTTTGCAGAGCAAAAAAGATCCAAGTTTCACCAGTCCCTTGGCAAACACTACATTTCAAACTATGGAAGGGAGACATCCTGAAATTTTGTGCTACTCTTTCTGAAGACACAGAAACAGTCAAGTCATACCTAATACTTATGAGCATAAAGCTTTGATAAAATTCAAGAATTATTTGCATTTTGAGGAAAAAGACTTTGTCGCTAAAGCAGAGAAGAACCTAAAACGGACTCCTCATAGTGAGCTAATATTTTATAAAAAGGTGTCAATCAAGGTGTGGCTTACAAAAATACTTTCAAGGATGTTTACTTTCCAGCCATCTCACTGGACAAGAACTGGGTGGTTTTCATTAACTTTGGACTGTGCTTTAATTTCCTAAAAATGATGTCACTTACTGCCCTGAGTGACATGGGATGGGATGCTGTGGTAGAGCACACTCTGGCTGATGTCTTGTACCTGCTGGAGACAGAAAAGGATGGGAGACACAGTCCTCCACAGGAAATCTCAAATGGGTCCCTCTTTCTTTTCAGATATGGACTTTCTGGGGAGTAATACTGTAGGGCTTTTCTTGTTGTTGCCTTTAACTGTCTCAAATGTTCTCCCAAAGATGCTACTGAACACAGCCTCTCCTTTGAGCAAGTTAAAAGTCTGGGTACGACTGCGAGAGGCTCCTGCCTGCCAACACTCTTTCTCCACTTTCAGTGACTGCTCTTCTTCTGAGGGCCGTAAACCAACAACTGCTCATCCCAAGATCCACTAAGCCCTCTGGGAAATTGGTGCTGTACTGCATACCCTGCCTGCTGGGACTTGTTACATTGATGTATTTTCTAAGGAGTGAATAATCTTGTCCAAGTAACTAACTTATTTAAAGACATTTTCTTCGGTGGGCACTGACTCCATGGCACCCGTTTTCCAAGGAGTTGGTGAGCTTGTTTCTGAGAATGCCAGAAATCAATGTACATTCCAAATCATTCTAAAAGTGATTTCTTTTTGGTGTGGGTTTGGTTTTGTTATTAATTTTGAAATATATCTTTGAATACTGAGATCTCTGAAACTACTAGATCTCTAGAAGTGTAATTGGGAAAGAAGGTTGCTTGCAGCTTTAACAAAATGAGAAACTCTTCCCAAATACAACCTGTTTTGAAGTTAAAAAAAAATGTGACATTAGAACCTGCAAAATCTAAGAGTTTCCAACAGCAGTCTCAATTCTGATGCTAACTGTAAGCTAGGGACTCCCCCAACAACGCTTCACTTCTTATGATTCCCAAGAAGGACTCACATCACTCACTGAAACTTGTGACGTTTGTTGATATGATTTTTTACAACAAAAGAATGCAGATTAAAATAATTCAAGGAAGGAGGTACATGGGCAGAGTTCAGGAGAATTCCAAGCACAGGCATTCAGTTGTCCTCTCCCAGTAAAGTAATAGACAATGCTGCATTCTCCTGGCAGCAATGTGTGATTCTGTGCATGAATTATTGCCAACCAGGAAAGCTCGCTGAAGCTTGGTGTCCAGGCAGGTTTTTTTGGGGGTGTGAGTTGGGGATGGGGTTGCTTATGTAGACCTTGTTGATCATCCTTATGGCTGACTCCGACTTGAATTTCCACTGAATTGACAATAAAACTTCAACCTTAAATATTTGGTTATTTTCTTTTTAATAAATTCTCTAAAATAAATTATTTTGAAAATGCTCGCTTTAGCTAGCTGTTTATCCAATATGAGACTCAACATAAATAGTTTCAAAAAGCCAGTGGGTCATTAAAACAATTCCTTTAGTCATCCAAAACATTCAGATAAAAATTAACACCATGTAACACTAAAATCGAATTATAGTCACTGGGGCTGGATTTCAACAACAGGAAGAGAAAGTAGTACAAATAGGGATGAGCAAAAAATAGACAAGTAATGGATGTGAATTGGCCTAGGAAATTTACAGTGGCAATGTCAAAAAGGTAAATCAATAGTTATTTGACAATACATGCTCAGTCCAGGAAAGCCACCAGGGGGCGGTCTGGGTCGTCTGCATCATAAGAAGCTCAAGGAGTTCAAACTGAATGAACCCTGCACAGTTGCTCACTGGGTCGTGTAAAATGTTAGAGCAGCTGCTTCCTCCCGCAACACACGGCCACTCTGGGCAGTCCCCTCACAGTGTGGCTGCTCTCAGGGCTGAGAACCTGGGTGGTGCTAAAGGTGGTGAATGTGGTAAAGATTTGCATAAAGCACCACACAACACACCTCCTCCACACAGGGATCTCAGTAGCATCTTCAAAGGATGGGCTTTCTGAGCTAAGAGCAATAAGAAGAAACTTTCTAAACTTACTAAAATTTATTTATTGAGTTATGTTCAAAGCAATACATGCCTATTACATAAAATCAGAAAGTATTTAAAATCACCGAGTCCTCGGCAAAGGTTCTTTATTCCAAGCAATCAATATGACTATTTTTTTTTATTTGGATGCATTCTTTCATTTTTGTTCTCAGTATTTCCACAATGGTGATCAAGCCTTGTGCTTTTTCATCTGCTTTTATACCCCTTTATGATCTAGTCATTTCAGGTTAATGTAAGTAGTGTTCCATTTCTTAAAAGGGATAAAATATTTAAATAGTTGCTAATTTTATTTTTATTTGAATACCAATGAAATATTATCATTTTTAGATAATTCTTATTGTTTGCTACTCAAACGAAGATATGATATTATCTTATTATTAAAACACTCCTGGTAACTTCTGTGGATTTTGTGAGGTCAGAAAAAAAATGCCTGAAATTTTCAGTGGAAAGCCTTGAGTACATTACACCTGACTTCACAATGCAGTAAATAGAGAAACAAGAGTTTCCGATTCATGTAAGAAGGAGCATAACAGATTAAGGTATGAGGAATAATTTATATCCAAAACTACACCAGTGTCTCCAGGCATGTGTTAGAACAGTACCCCCCAAATTCTGTTGTGCATATGCATCTTCTGGGGATTTTACAAAATGCAGATTCTGATTCAGTGGCTCTGGAGTGAGGACACAGTCTCTGCATTTCTAGAAAGTTCCTACCACACAAAATCCACATATATGTTTGAACAATAACAAGGCCAGCCAGGAGAAGAGGCTCAGGTGTGTAATCCTAGCACTTTGGGAGTTTGAGGCAAAAGAATTACTTGAGGCCAGGAGTTTGAGACCAGCCAGGGTAACGTCACAAGATCTTTTCTCTACAAAACATGTTTTTAAATAATAAAAAATGAATTAGCCAGGCGTAGTGTGGCATGCTTGTCATCGTAGATACCTAGGAGGCTGAGGCAGGAGGGTCGCTTCACCCCAGGAGTTCAAAGCTGCGATGAGCTATGATTATGCCACTGCACTCCAGCCTGGGTGACAAAGTGAGACCTTACCTCTAATAACAAAAACAGCCATAACAAATTCATAAGAATAGTGTAAAATAAGGAGAAACCTTGGCAGACAATAACCTAAGAGATATCTCAGACATAGTGAACTAATGTGTTTGGATGACAGAAGAACCCCACACTTGGCTGGCTGTGGTGACTCAGGCCTGTAATCCCAGCACTTTAGGAGGCCAAGGCGGGCAGATCACCTGAGGTCGGGAGTTCCAGACCAGCCCGGCCAACATGGAAAAGCCCCGTCTCTACTAAAAATGCAAAATTAGCCGGGCGTGGTGGCGCAGCCTGTAATCCCAGCTACTCGGGAGGTTGAGCCAGGAGAATCACTGGAATCCGGGAGGCGGAGTTTGCGGTAAGCTGAGATGGAACGAGCCACACTCCATGCAGGAAGACGACCAGGGAGGACAGCTGCAAAGCAGGGAGAGGCTCCCCTTTCTTTAAGAAACAAAACAAAAGCAAACAAACAACTAACCTGACCTCCCCTCTGGCTCCCATCCAACATTCTTACTAGCTTCTCATCTAGTCTTTTCTGTAGTGTAGCCCATCCTTACCCTCTCCCCTCCCACATCTCTGATTCCTGAATTCCCTTCTTGGGTCTCTCTCCTTTTCCTGTCAACCACTTCTCCCCTCTATCATCCTGAGTTAATTATCAAGAGCTTTATAGCAGGAAGCCTATTGGTATTTTTCCAGATTTTTTTTCTTGGAATTGGACATTCATACATTTTCTCTCTTTTTTTGGGGGGGTAGGGTGGGGTGGGGGTGGGGGTAGGGACAGGGTCTCACCCTGGTTGCCCAGGCTGTGGTCTCAACTCACTGCAACCTTCACCTCCTGACTCAAGCAATCTTCTCAGCTCAGCATCCCAAGTAGCTGTGACTATGGGCACGCACCACCACACCCTGCTAATATCTTGTATTTTTGGTAGACATGGGGTTTCCCCATGTTACCCAGGCTGGTCTTGAATTTCTGAGCTCAAGTGATCCACCCTCCTCAGCCTCCCAAAGTCCTGGAATTACAGGCATGAGCCGCTGTGCCCAGCCTATTTTTTCTCTTTTACGAGCCTCTCTGATTCCCTAGTTCTGAAGTAGCCCAGAGTTGGCTGATTCTCCTATTTTGCCTCAGCTAGCACTTCCTCCTTCTCCTTTTTTTTTTTCTCCTTCTGATCCCTGGAGTCCTCTGCATTTCCACTGAATCCAGTGAACCACACAAGCATGCTCATTTATTCTCCCCAAACTCCACCACTCTGCCTTATGTGCTGATCCAGTGAGAATCAAGAAGGAAGAGAGACCCATGGATTTCTGTGCAGCCTGGAAAGTCAGTTCATGGCTGGACTTGGCTGGGACACCAGACACCTGTCTCCCTGTCTCTATTTAGTATTCATAGGGCCCAGCAGCTGCATCCTCCCAGGGTGCCTGAAGAGTCACTGACCATGCTCTCCTACCCAGCCTCAAGAAGCCACCCAGTCCTCGAGAAGTATAATCAGACTCAGCATCTTATGTGAAGGGAACAACCATGGGGACAGGTTAGACTTGCATTGAGTCCCCTCCTCTAAGAAGGGCCAGGGAAAAGGGGCTGTTCCCCCTAATCTGTGTGGCTCAGGAAGTAGAGCTCCAGAGACTTCTCTACCATGGCCTGAATCCCTCTGCTGCTCACCCTCCTCAGTCTCTGCACAGGAGGCTGGAGATAGAAAGGCAGGGACTGGCACTGGGAGGACCAGGGCTCTGCCTTGCTCCCCCGGCTCACCGAGCCACTTCCCACACCCTGTGTCTCTGTCCTGACTCTTAGGGTCCTGGGCAGTCAGGGCTCACTTGGTGGCCTGCACAGTTTGTCTGTGACTAAACCAGCCACCATCTCCTGCACTGGAAACAGCAGCAATAACGTCCTTGGAATTGTGTCCTGGTACCAACAATGAACAGGAAGTGTCCTTAAACCTCTGATCTGTGGATGTAAATATCCACCTGCAGATCCAGAACTGATTCTTGAGTGATCAGTCTGGCAAGGAGGCCTTCCTGAGCATATCTGGGCTCCAGGCTGAGGACAAGGCTGATCATTAACGTTGGATTTGGACAGTTCTCTGGAGGCCCCCACGGTGCTGCAGTCTGTGGGGAAGTGAGATGGGAACATTTCAGGTCTCCTAGGAGCACGACCCGACAGCACCACCTACAACTGGGAAAACTGGGCTGTTTACCATTTGTGTTCATGTTTGCTTGGGCTGGTGCTAGCCAGGGCCCAGGTCTCAGGTCAGGGACAGTGATTTAGAGAATGCAGCTTTGTTTCCTCAGAGTCAGCCCTCAGAGAAAGCCCATAGCAACAGCATTGTCAAATTGCCTCAAAAAAAATCAGAAAGTCCTTGGTTCCTGGAACAGGCTGCCCTAGGAACAGAGCCCAAATCGGTCAGAGCAAGCAGGGACACAACTGTGCAGAAAACAACAAGTTTTACTTAGGGAGATAACGGTTGACTGTATAAAATGAGAAATATGTCACACTACTCACTTGTAAAAGTAAGTTTACCAATGCTATTCATTTCCCTATATCACTACGTTGAGTAAAAACTCTAAAATGTATGAAACCACTGTAGAGATAACTTTTGCTGAATTGCTACTTTAACATGTCATGGATCATTTATTTTTCTTGCAAAATTCTCATTATTCACCGTCCTTTTGAGTAACCCCCAGCTGCCCTTCAACCTAGCTCCTCAGCTGACCTCTTCTCCATGATGCCTACCCTGATGGCACATGTGGGCAGTTAGGTTTTTCTAGATTTTAAAAGTTATATATGTACATGTCTACATCCCATGGACCAAGACTCACTCTGGGAGTGAGAAATCACAATAATCATGCATAGCCTTATGGAATTAGTGTCTAGCAATCAGACCATAGAGGTGTGAATAGAGACAGTGACTAATGAGCTGCAGAGATCAGCTGGGCCATCAGGAGGTAAGTGTCCTCTAACCAGCATGGGATGCTGGGGGACTGCCCTATGGTCCCTACACAGCTGCTCAGTAAGGACCATTCACTCAAAGAAATCCAAGACTAGGGGCTAAGACCCCGTGCTCACTGAGGGGTACTTAGCATCTATGTCCTCCCATGGCATGGCAGAGTCCCCTGAGCAGGAAGGTGTGTATGGTTTCAGTAGGTGCTTTCTTCCGGAGCCCTCTCAAGGGGAAAAGCAAAACTTCTTCCTCCTCAGTCTGCAGTGTGAGCTGAGCTTCAGCCCCAGAGCTTAGAGAGGGGCTGGGCAGTCCCTGGATGAAAACACATTTGCATGAGCAGCCCCTCCTCTGCAGAGTATGGGAAGAAAAGGAGGCCTGGGGCAGCCCAGTCCCACTGTGCATGTCAGGCTGTGTCCACCATGGCCTGGACTCCTCTTCTTCTCTTGCTCCTCTCTCACTGCACAGGTAGGGACAGGCCTCAGAGATCAGGGCCAGCCACCCAACCTGATTCTGGCTCTTCTGGTAAAGATCCCTGAAAAACCTCACCCTGAACCCTGCCCATCAACCATGAGTGTCTGTGTTTGCAGGTTCCCTCTCCCAGCCTGTGCTGACTCAGCCACCTTCCTCCTCCGCATCTCCTGGAGAATCCGCCAGACTCACCTGCACCTTGCCCAGTGACATCAATGTTGGTAGCTACAACATATACTGGTACCAGCAGAAGCCAGGGAGCCCTCCCAGGTATCTCCTGTACTACTACTCAGACTCAGATAAGGGCCAGGGCTCTGGAGTCCCCAGCCGCTTCTCTGGATCCAAAGATGCTTCAGCCAATACAGGGATTTTACTCATCTCCGGGCTCCAGTCTGAGGATGAGGCTGACTATTACTGTATGATTTGGCCAAGCAATGCTTCTCACAGTGACACACACAGATGGGGAAGTGGGACAAAAACCTCACCCTGCTTTAGGTCTTGTTCTTAAAAAATTTTAAATTTTAAAATAACTGGCCTAGGCACAAACTACATTTGGAAGTACTTTCTAGTTGTAAAAGGCTCTTCTCTCAATTTCCCATCCATTCGTCTGAAGTCTCAGTAAAACAAAACAAAACCAAAGCAACTGATGACACTGAAGTCTTGGCTGGTTGTCATATGTGCTAACACCACTGCCTGTGGAGCTGGACTTTTGTTCTTGAAAGAAGCAAAATGAGGCTTTCCTAGCTCACATCATGGTCAGAGCCTGGGGACATCCTAGCAGGTGAACAGTGCCCTGCAGCATGGACTCTGCTCTTCCAGCGTACGGGCAGAGACCTCCCCTTCCATCCCCAGTAGTCTGTTCTCAGGGCTGTCTGTGGCTCACTGTGTCCCAGGAACAAGGCACTCAAATATGAAATGCTGCCTGAGGACACAGGTCAGGGAATTCTAGATATAGTGCTGACCTGGCTCAGTCCTGGGTACCTGCATTTCAGTGGCAATGTCAGGAGATGGGGTTAGGTATTAGGGTAACTGGGGACCTGAGACCAGTAAACCTCTATGTAGGACATGACAGGAGAGTCAAGGGGAGGCTCCACTGTGGCTGAGACAAGCCAGAGGCTGCTCCTTGGCCACGGGGGAAGTAGGTCCCATGGATGTGACTTTCCTGCAGCTCATCCCACTCAGGACCATGGGGACTGCTGAGCGTGGGTTTCTTGATCCCTCAGCGCCTGTGTTCTCTTCTCCTCTCTTACACCATTGGAGCTTCTTGCTGAATCAGGGTCTAGTGGTGAGTATGTGGAAAGACCACCACATCTCAAGGTCACCTTTTTCTGCATGGGGAGCAGCAGAAACATTGGGCATTCCCGTGGAAATGGCTACGGAGGCCTCCCAGAAAGAGCCCCCAAGTTTATGACCTAGGACAGCAGTGATGGTCCCTCAGGGGTCCCAGCCTCATTCTCCTGCTCTGGGTTTATCCACACAGCCTCCTGGAGCACCTCTCGGCTCCAGCCTGAGGACTGGCTGGTTATCAGTGTCACACAGCTGCATCCTGACTCCATGTTACCAAGGGTTCCTGTTCCATGTGGAAATGAGAGAAAGATCTCCCCACTCATCCTGTCTCCCCATCCCTCCTTTATCCCTGCCTGTGACCAACACCAGTTCATGCCAAGACTTCGGCTGTCACTTGTGTTACTGAAGCAGAGCACAAGTTCAGTAAAAATAATCCCTTTTCTTACTGGTCTCCCAATGCAAACAGAATCAATTTGTTTCTAGAAGCAAAAGGAGCTGCCCACACATGGTGGGTGGGGATGAGGTAGGGACAAGAAAGAATCCACCCTGTGTGACCCAGAGGCCCAGAAGCCTTTAGTCTGGTTCCAAAGGTGTCTCCTCCTCTTGGTGCAGTTATGCTGACCATTTCCTGAGCTCAGAAACTGTGCGAGAGATGCCAAGAATGAAGAATCCAGCCTGTGTGACCCAGAGACCCAAACGTGAGACAGGAAGTCTGATGCTTAAGAAAACGTGGGTTCAGCATTCTGAAAGGTCTAGATATGGCTTGGCCTAGAGCTGGTGTAGAAGAGAAGCAAGAGAGATGCTCAGCCTTAGGTGGCCCAGGCACAGCGGTCCTGTCAAGGGGTTGAGCTCTCTGCAACATGGATATCCTGCAGAGACATACTTGGGAGGCTGTGATCCCAGAATGACACAAAAATGCTAATGGAAATGAGCAGGGGATTGTTTATGGGGGAATGGGGAGACAGGTGTGGGATAAGATGTGGTAAGGAGAATGCAGCCTGAAGAGGAGACTGTCCATTGTGACTCATAGGAGGAGTAGGGCCGGGGCCTACAGTAGTGATAAAAGGAGGACCTGGAAGGACCTGGGCCCTGAAGACACACAGAGACTGGAGTTTTGGTCTGTCTGTGAGGGTCCCATGAGGATAAAAATCCATGGTCAGTGTCCTCTGTCCAGGGCTCACTGTCCCAGCTGTTGTCCCTCCTGGATCCTCTGGGTGTCCAGATTCCGTAGCTGTGGACCTGTTCTCCTCTCTGTCCTCAGCCTAAGAGCTGATGGGGCATCCACCAGGAAGCACATCTGTGGGCAGGGAGGGGGCCATGGGCAGCCTTGTCCTGTATGTGAGGCACTGCTCAGCCTCGGTGATCCCTGTTCATTAACGTGGGAGGAAAGGAAAACAAAATTCACTGTGAACATCTATGCATCATCAAAGAAAAAGCAATGAGCCAAACAGGAAGTGAAGCCCAGCTCTAATAGTTTGTTTCTACTTGGAAATAAATAAAACTTAATATGCCTGATGTGTTACGTAAATGCAATAAACATTTTTTGAAAGCTATAAAAATTATGTAAAGGAACATGGCTTACACTAAAAGGAACACTTAAAATAATGACACCCTTGAAATGCAATCCCAAAACACAGCATACATTTTATTTCAGTTCCATATATGGACTGGTTTTATTTAAATGTCTATATTAAATCTCACTATTCCATTTTTAAATGGAGCACTTAAAATCTCATTCTACGGCAACTGCCTGGTGATACATTCACCAGTGGAAATATCAACAAAACCATCCAGCTGTTTTCCTCCATCCCCATAGAATTCCCCAAACTAGTAATTATTAAGAGCCCAGGATGTATCATGCCAGAATTCATGCAGTCATAGGCATAACCTGTTTCATTTTTCATTCTGATCAACAGAATTACAATTTTTCTTAAGCTTGTTTTTAGCTTATTAGATTCTAGTTGTCATTACAGATCAAAGATAAATAATTTTCTATCATCCTTAAGCCACCCCCATAACACTCACTACTGAATTTGAACCATAATTTTTCCCTAAAAATCCTAGTTGGGGTGCTTGATGTTGAGAGCTAACACGTATCAGGCTCACCTGAGGACAGACTCTGGTTAAACCAAGTTAAAATTTTAATTCTTCCCATCTTCAAAGACTGAGCATCTTTGCTCTTTTTGTTCATAAGTGAAACACTCCAAAGTCATTTGCCAGGATCCCCTGCAGATGAGCATTTAGTGTACAGACTCCTAGGCAAGATCCCTGGTCACAGTATCCAGATGACTATGACTGCAAATCTGGGGAAGTAGAGGGAGAACAAAGATTTACCAGGAAAACCCTCTGGGAATTCCTCCCCAGGGAATCCTAGAGGAAAGAGCTCCCTTTCTCCTCAGCGCCACAGGATCCACAGAGGAAGGAGAGCTCTAGCCACCAGGAAGGAGCCACATGAGAGGAGAGGACCTGGTGTCCAACACAGGTGGGGAGGTGAGTCCATGGGGCTGGTCCCTGCTATGGGCTTGATCCTGACATAGGACTTTATGTAGATACCACCTGAGTCCTCTACAATGTACAGCCAAAGAGCCATGGAAAGATTCACTCCTGAGGAGTCTGAAGACTCCTCAGTAGAGCGTGAAGATAGCCCTGAAGTCACAGGGAGGAGACACAGACACCACTTGGCCTGCCTTGGACCTGAGAGAGGGGGCAGTGGACAGAATGGGGGGAGGAAGCCATGTATCTGAGAGGTTCTGGTCACCTTATCATAGAATGGTTTACCTTGATCTGGACACCAGAGGGCGCATGGGGATCATTCCTGAGAAGACAGGGGTGATCAGAGCAGAACCAGCCGCCTGCCCTGCCTGGTGTCCTCTGCTCAGGGCTCACAGCTGTGTCCTCCCCACCCCCTGGGACCACAAAGCTCCACCCCTGCCACCCCCTGACATCCTCAAGCCAAGGAGCCTGACCCAGGGCTCAGGGTGGGGTCACAAACCTGGGGGGGGTCTGATTTGCATGGATGGACTCTCCCCCTCTCAGAGTATGAAGAAAGGGAGAGATTTGGGGGAAGCTCAGCTTCAGCTGCGGGTAGAGAAGACAGGACTCAGGACAATCTCCAGCATGGCCTGGTCCCCTCTCTTCCTCACCCTCATCACTCACTGTGCAGGTGACAGGATGGGGACCAAGAGAGAGGCCCTGGGAAGCCCATGCGACCCTGCTTTCTCCTCTTGTCTCCTTTTGTCTCTTGTCAATCACCATGTCTGTGTCTCTCTCACTTCCAGGGTCCTGGGCCCAGTCTGTGCTGACTCAGCCACCCTCGGTGTCTGAAGCCCCCAGGCAGAGGGTCACCATCTCCTGTTCTGGAAGCAGCTCCAACATCGGAAATAATGCTGTAAACTGGTACCAGCAGCTCCCAGGAAAGGCTCCCAAACTCCTCATCTATTATGATGATCTGCTGCCCTCAGGGGTCTCTGACCGATTCTCTGGCTCCAAGTCTGGCACCTCAGCCTCCCTGGCCATCAGTGGGCTCCAGTCTGAGGATGAGGCTGATTATTACTGTGCAGCATGGGATGACAGCCTGAATGGTCCCACAGTGCTCCAGGCCCAGGGGGAACAGAGACAAGAACCCCCTTCCTTTTCTGCCAGGAGGGTGAGCCCCGGCTGCTGCTGCTCAGGCCTGGCCTGTGGCTTCTGCTGCTGCAGCTTCCCCCATGGGTCCAGGGATATCCAGGGCCCTGCCTGAGAGTGGAGGCTCCTCCTCCCCTGAGTCCTCAGAGTCAGGAACAGGGTGTCCAGAAAACAAAAGCAGGGTGTCCTGCTCCCTGTAGCTTGGGACACAGGGTCTCTGCACTGAAGTCCTGGGCTGAGGTGGCAGGTCCAGCTGTGTCATCACAGACCCACTTCTGTTGGGGAACCTGTGTCTCCATCATCCTACTTTTTCCATTTCCAGGAGTTTCCAGAGTGGTGTCTTCCTCCCCCTTCTCCTCAGTGTGAATCCCTGTGCTTCCTTTCTCTCCAGCCTATTCTTTTTTTAATAAAACTCCTTTCATGTAGGAATAATGCACATATAATAAGCCACCCATATTTACAATAGGGAATGAGACAAATTTTGGCATTTCTATGGATCCTTGAAAACATCACCACCACCGGGAGCTATACAACATACAACCTGTGACCAACCCCAATAGCTCCTCATGACCCTTGTCACCTCATTCCCTCCCCCAACACCCTCCTTGGAAGTTGCAGATCTGCCTCTGTCACTACTGTTTGGTTTCTCTTTTCTGGAATGTATCAGTGTTATCAAACATTATCTTCCCATTTGTTCAGGCTTCTTTCACTCTGCACACTTCTTTTGAGATTCTCGCTGTTGTTGCTGCATTGTACCCATCTCGTAGAGGGCTCCTTACTATCTTTGAAGGTCCTTAGGCCATTTTTTTCTGATTTTATTTATGTATTTATTTTAAAGTTTGAATTTATTGTGCATCCAAATCAAACTTTAGGGGCAATGTTCATCTAAGGTGACAGGACAGTCTGTGATGGCTTGTCGGGATTCTTGCTTCTTCATCTCTTGCTTCTGATTCTCTCTATAGTGGAAGAGGTTCTCGTCTTTCATTTATTTATATATTTATTTATTTACTGATTTATTTGGGTTTTTAAGGGTTTTAGTGATTTTTCTCTTTTTGGTTATTTTTCAATTTTTTTATTTTAATAGGTTTTTGGGGGACAAGTGTTGCTTTGTCACATAAATAAGTTCTTTAGTGGTGATTTCTGAGATTTTGGTGCACTCATCACCCAAGCAGTGTACACTGTACCCAATGAGTAGTCTTTTATTCTTCACCCCCCTCCTACCCTTTCTCCTGAGTCCCCAAAGTCCATTGTATCATTGTTATGCCTTTGTGTTCTCATAGCTTATCTCCCACTGATGAGTGAGAACATACAATGTTTTGTTTTCCATTCCTGAGTTACTGCACTTAGAATAACAGCATCCAGTTCCATCCAGGTCGCTGTGAATGCCATTATTTTGTTCCTTTTATGGCTGGGTAATATTCCATGGTATGTGTATGTATACATCACATTTGCTTTATCCACCTGTTGATTTATGGGCAGTTGGGCTGGTTCCATGCTTTTACAATTGTGCTGCTATAAACATGCGTGTGCAAGTATCTTTTTTGTATAACGACTTCTTTTTCTCTGGGTAGATACCTAGTCGTGAGATTGCTGGATCAAAGGGTACATCTATTTTTATTTCCTTGAGGAATCTCCACACTGTTTTCTGTAGTGACTGTACTAGTTTACCTTCCCACCACCAGTGTAAAAGTGTTTTGTTTTCACCACATCCATGCCAACATCTATTATTATTTTTATTTTTTGATTATGGCCATTTTTGTGGTAGTAAGGTGGTATCACATCGTGGTTTTGACTTGCATTTCCCTGATCATTAGCGATGTCAAACATTTTTCTATATGTCTTTTGTCCATTTGTATATCTTCTTTTGAAAATTGTTTATTCATGTCTTTAGTCCATCTTTTGATGGGACTGCTTATTTTTTTTCATAATTTGTTTGAGTTCTTTGTAGACTATAGACATTAGTCATTTGTTGGATGTATAGATTGTGAAGATTTGCTTCCACTCGGTGTGCTGTCTGTTAGCTCTGCTGATTCTTTTGCTGTGCAGAAGGTTTTTAGTTTAATTAAGTCCCATCTATTTATCTTTGTTCTTGTTGCATTTGCTTTTGGGTTCTTGGTCATGAAGTATTTGTCTAAAGTAATGTCTAGAAGGGTTTTTTTAATGTTATCTTCTAGAATTTTTACAGTTTCAGGCCTTAAATTTAAGTCTTTGATTCATCTTGGCTTGATTTTTGCATAAGGTGAGAGATGAAGATCCGGTTTTATTCCTCTACATTTGGCTTGCCAATTATCCCAGCACCATTTGTTCAATAGGATGTCCTTTTTCCACTTTATGTTTTTGTTTGCTTTGTTAAAGATCAGTTATTTGGCTCCATTTCTGGATTCTCTATTCTGTTCCTTTGGTCTACGTGCCCACTTTTGCACCAGTACCTTGCAGTTTTAGTGACTGTGAGTCAAATTATGCTAGAGTATAGTTTGAAGTTGGGTGATGTGATGCCTCCAGATTTGTTCCTTTTGCTTAGTCTTGCTTTGGCTATGCAGGTCTTTTTTGGTTTCATATGAATTTTAGGATTGTTTTTTCCAGTTCTGTAATGAATGATGGTGATATTTTGATGGGAACTGCATTGAATTTGTGGATTGCTTTTGGCACCATGATCATTTTCAACATATTGATTCTACCCATTCATGAGCGGGGGATGTGTGACATGATTTTTTCAGCAGTGTTTTGTAGTTTTCCTTGTAGAGGTCTTTCACCTCCTTGGTTGGGTATATTCCTAGGTGTATTTTTTTGCAGCTATTTGTAAAAAGGTTTGAGTTGTTGATTTGATTCTCAGCTTGTTCACTGTTATTGTATAACAGAGCTACTGATTTGTGTGCCTTACTTCTGTATCCTGAAACTTTGCTGTATTTATTTACCAGTTCTTTTTTTTTTTTTTTTTTTTTTTTGAGATGGAGTCTCGCTCTGTCGCCCAGGCTAGAGTGCAGTGGCGCAATCTCAGCTCACTGCAAGCTCCGCCTCCTGGGTTCACACCATTCTCCCACCTTAGCCTCCCGAGTAGCTGGGACTACAGGTGCCTGCCACCATGTCCGGCTAATTTTTTGTATTTTTAGTAGAGACGGGGTTTCACCGTGTTAGCCAGGATGGTCTCGATCTCCTGACTTTGTGATCCGCCTGCCTCGGCCTCCCAAAGTGCTGGGATTACAGGCGTGAGCCACCGTGCCTGGCCATTTATTTACCAGTTCTAGGAGATTTTTGGATGAGTCTTTAAGGTTTTCTAGGTATATGATCACATTATCTGCCAACAGCAACAGTTTCACTTCCTCTTTACCAATTTGGATGTCCTGGATTTGTTTCTCTTGTCTGATTGCTCTGGCTTAGACTTCCAGTACTATGTTGAATAGAAGTGGTGAAAGTGGGCATTCTTGTCTTGTTCCAGTTCTCAGGGGAATTGTTTCCAACTTTTTTTTCCTTTCAGTATAATGTTGACTATGGGTTTGAAAGAGTGGGCTTTTCTTACCATAAGGTATGTCTCTTCTATGTCAATTTTGCAAAGGCTTTTAACCATGAAGTGATGCTGGATTTTGCCAAGTGCTTTTTCTGCATGCATTGAGATAATCATGTGATTTTTGTTTTTAATGCTTTTTATGTGGTATATCACATTTATTGACTTGCATATGTTAAACCATCCCTGCATCCCTGGTATGAAACCCACTTGAACATGGTGGACTATGTTTTTGATAGCTGTTGGATTTGGTTAGCTAGTATTTCATTTATTATTTTTGCATCTATGTTCATCAGGGATATTGTTCTGTAGTTTTCTTGTTTTGTTATGTCCTTCCCTCATTTTGGTATGAGGGTGACACTGGCTACAAAGAATAATTTAGGAAGAATTTCCTCTTTCTCCTTCCTGTGAATTAGTGCATTAGTCAGGGTTTTCTAGATGGACAGAACTAATGGAATCTGTATATATATAGCATGATCACAACATCCCACAATAGGCTGTCTGCAGGCTAAGGAGCAAGGAGAGCCAGTCCGAGTTCCAAAACTGAAGAACTTGGAGTTCCATGTTTGAGGGCAGGAAGCATCAAGCATAGGAGAAAGTTGTAGGCTGGGAGCCTAGGCCCATCTCTCTTTTCATATTTTTCTGCCTGCTTATTTTCTAGCCATGCTGTTAGCTGATTAGATTGTTCCCACCCAGATTAAGGGTGGGCATGGCTTTCCCACCCACTGACTCAAATGCTAATCTCCTTTGGCAGCACCCTAACAGACACACCCAGGATCAATCCTTTTTATCCTTCAATCCAATCAAGTTGACACTCAGTATTACTCATCACAAGTCCACCCCTTGTCAACTTCAACCCATATATATCTTCTGAGATCATACATAATCTTCAAATAAAGACAATAATAAGGTCATAATGACACCTAACATAATACAACTATCATTCATACAAACAGAAACACATCAATCCCCAACCCAAATACTGTTACATAAAGTTAACGATACTTAAACGCTGATGTGAAGTCAATAAATCTTATGTCACATGATAAAGGAGAAAGGAAATAACATGAAGATATTTTCTTAGGACAAAGGTATACACGCACAAACATGTTTTTAACAAAAGAAGGAGGAAATACTCATGACAATTACACTCCTCGTTTCTGCAGCTGGCCATAGCTGGTATTGATGATTACTTTCTTCTACTATCCATTCTGTATTCTGTATTCCCTTTGCCTTCAGCAAGCACCTCAGCAGGTCGTGGATATTTTTCCAGATGGTGTGATCCAAATCTTCATTCCTGAAGCATCTGGTTCATTTGTAGTCCTGCCTGGATAGGGCTGTTTTAGTTTTCCATGGACCTTAATCACAGGGCATGATAATACTAAGAAATGCCCTAATGGATCTCCTGTATTCCATGCATACTCTTCCTTACCTCCGTTATGGAGTAGTAAACTGATTTCATCTTGATAGTCTGTCCCAAACACCCCAGCCAACACTGTAACTCCCTTCTTAGCCTGTTGACTTAAAGGTAGGAGGAGCCCAAAGTGTCCAGGTGGCAATCTTAACTTCCCCAGTTTAATGGAATCATTGATGTGTCTCCAAGTGGCAGTGTTCCTTCCTCTGGAACTAAATCCTCTAAGCCAGCAGAACATAATGTCGTGGGAACAGGAAGCAAAAATTTTGCTAGTGGATCACTAGGGGTGATGGTGAGTGCTGCCACTTCCACTTCCACCCCTTGATTCCTAGACTCATGAATCCTGGCTATGGGAGAAACAGTGCCATATATTGGATGCTGACTCAGAGCATACACGCCTTCTGGGGAACTTAGCCCCAGCACTGCAAAGTATTGTCACCTAGTTGACATTGTAATTGTGACTTCAAAAGGCCATTCCATTGTTCTATCAATCCAGCTGCTTCAGGATGATGGGAAACATGGTAAGACCAGTGAATTTTATGAGCATGAGCCCACTGCTGCACTTCTTTATGAATAAAGTGAGTGCCCTGGCGAGAACAATGCTATGTGGAATACCAGGATGGTGAATAAGGCATTCCATGAGTCCACGGAGGATGGTAGTCTTACAGGCAAACCCATATCTGGAATAAGTGTCTATATCAGTGAGGACAAACCTATGCCCTTCTCATAATGGAAGATTTCCAATATAATCAACCTTCTACCAGATAGCTGGCTGATCACCCCAAGGAATGGTGCCATATCAAGGGCTCAGTGTTGGTCTTTGCTGCTGGCAAATTGGGCACTCAGCATTAGCCATAGCTAGGTCACCCTTGGTGAGTGGAGAGCCAGTTCGAGTTCCAAAACTGAAGAACTTGGAGTATGATGTTCAAGGGCAGGAAGCATCCAGCACAGGATAAAGATATAGGTTGGGAGGGTAGGCCAGTCTCTCTTTTCACATTTTTCTGTCTGCTTATACTTTAGCCATGCTGGCAGCTGATTCGATTGTGCCCACACAGATTAAGGGTGGGTCTGCCTTTCCCAGCCCACTTACTCAAATGTTAATCTCTTTCAGCAACACCCTGAAAGACACACCCAGGATCAATACTTTGTATCCTTTAATCCAATCAAGTTGACACTCGGTATTAACCATCACAATTAATGTCATAGGATTAGTACTAATTCTTCTTTGAATGTCTGATAGAATTCAACTGTGAATCTGTCTGGTCCTGGCTTTATTTTGTTGATTTTTTTTAAATTACCATTTCAATCTTGCTGCTTGTTACTGGCCTGTTCAGAGTTTCTATATCTTCCTCATTTAATTTGGGAGGGTTGTATACATTCAGAAATTGATCCATCTCCTCTGGGCTTTCTAGTTTATGTGCATAGAGGTAATCAGAGTAGCCTTGAATAATCTTTTATATTTCTGTGGTATCAGTATTAATATCTTCTGTTTCATTTCTATTTGAGCTTATGTGGATCTTCTCCCTTTTCTTGGTTAATCTTGCTAATGGTCTATTAATTTTATTTATCTTTTCAAAGAACCAGTTTTTTGTTTCATTTGTTTTTTGCATTGCTTTTTGTTTCAATTTTATTTAGTTCTGGTCTAATCTTCGTTATTTCTTTTCTTCTGCTGGGTTTGGGTTTGCCTTGTTCTTGAGTCTCCATTTCCATGAGGTGTAACCTTAGATTGTCTATTTGTGCTCTTTCAGACTTTGTGATGTACGTATTTAATGCTAAACATTCCTCATAGCACTGCTTTTGCTGTATCCCAGAAGTTTTGATAGGTTGTATTAAGATTTACTACAACTGCAACCTTACTATTGACCAATAGCTTTTTAATTCCTGAGAGTGTGACCTCATTTATGCCCAAAAACAACTTTATGATTGCTTTTCATGCAGTAGGCCATGATTAGAGAGGGAGTGCTTGTGGCCTGGAGGTAGGGTTCTCCAATTTATCAAATAAAAACATTGGAGTGCAGTTAAATTTGAATTCGGTAAAACAATGACAAAGAATTAGTATGTGTATCTCCCACATGATATTGTTAAATTGAAATACAAATTTACCTGGGTGCGCTGTAGTTTATCTACCAACTCCTCACAGGCTTCGAGGCTTGGAAGAGGCAGTGTTGGGGCTGGTCTCCTCTTACTGATGCCAGGTCTATGAGCTGAACCTCAAAGGCAGAGTCTCTCTAACACAGCTACCCTCCAGTGAGCATGTTAGTTAGCACTAAATACACCATATACGATTTCCAATGAATAACACCTACTCACTTCCCTAATTCTTCTTTCTATTATTCTCCAAGTCTGCAGACTTAGGACCTCCCCAGGGGTTGCTGCAGCCAGAGCTCTGGATGAGGGACCTCATAAGTCTTTCAAAACCAGATGCAAGGGGACTACTCGGTCCCCACACAGTGAGGTTTAAGCCAGGGGTGCATAAGCAACATGTAAGAGACAGAAGAGCTCAGTATGGCTCTTATGGCTCTCCTTCTGTCCAGTGAGAAAACTCCAGGGTCCTTTTGATGCTGAAGGTGGGTGGGCTGAGAGTAGGAGGAGACCCACCCTGACAGCCCAGAGATTCCAGGACAAGACTTGGCAGCCTGAAAAGGGGCCACACTCTTGAGTGGGGAAGAAGGAGGCAACTCTGCTCACAGGCGTGCATTTCTGGTGGCTTCCCCTTTACCAAACTGGACTCCCTACTCTGATGTCTATCAGAGAATCTCCCTCAGTGAGACCAAGATCCCAGGACATTGCTAAAAACAGCAGCATGGACCAGACAGGTATGTCATGGTACAGGAATTCTTTGCAGAGCAATAAATACAACTGCAGCTTAAGAGGGGCCCTCATAGTCATAACTTTGGTGAAGAAGAAAATAGACAAAGGCAGGGAGAAACTGAAGGGCTCAATAGGTCTGAGACTGGGGCAGCACTGGGTGCTATAGGCTTGTCCTTGAGGGGCTGCAGATAATGACAGCTGGGAAGCCATCATCTGTTCACTGCTCACTGGGCTCAGCAGCTGTGTCCTCACAGGGAACCAGATTCAGCCAACCTGGCTTTCTCCACCCCACCTGGGAAATGTATTCCGGTGACTGTCTGGACTGAGGTTCTATGAAGGGGCTAGGAGACAAGAAGAGGGAGACAGGCTGGTTTGCATAAAGAAAGCATTGCACACCCTTTCCTTTCATCTAAAACTCATTAATGGAAACTCTGGGGCCATCCATAGAAGTCTAGCTGGTCTCCTAAATTTGGGAGTTATGAAGGATTCATTCCTGATCAATCTACAGGAAGGGCCATCAGCAGGAGGTGGTCAGAGTGAGGGAGAAACTGGCTTCCTTGAGAGACTCTTCAACACAACCACCAACTCTGGGGCAAATGGGGTGACTTGCTATAACAGTCATCCCAAACTACTCACAGGAACCTGAGCCTAGTCCCCTCACCTTATTGCTTCTGATTCTGGTCCATGCCTCTGTTTTCCCTGGACCCCTTGCCCATGTCTGAGTCCAGAGTGGCAGGGATGGTTCCATCCCAGTCAACATCTACAAAGAAGTCTACATCTACAGCTACTATGACTTGAAGCAGAGTCCACAGTTGTACCCAAGAGGGCCTCTTCAGCTCCCCCACCCCTTCACACAGGTGACCTCTACTGTAGGTCTGGTTGAGTGGCCCCTGGACCCTGGTGAACACAAGGTATTTATTCCTCTCTAACACCAGGTATATAGTGGAGCAGGTCTGGGTGGGTATAGAGCAGAGTGTCTCTTCCAAATGTAATGCAGTAAGACCCTGGCTACAGAAAATCATTTCACAAAACTCCACGCCCTTTCATGGTAAAAACACCCAATGAACTATGAATAGAATGAAACTACCTCAACACAGTAAAGACCATCTATGAAAATCCCACAGCTAGTGTTGGCCGGGCTGGTCTCCAGCTCCTAACCTCGAGTGATCCGCCAGCCTCGGCCTCCCGAGGTGCCGGGATTGCAGACGGAGTCTCGTTCACTCAGTGCTCAATGTTGCCCAGGCTGGAGTGCAGTGGCGTGATCTCGTCTAGCTACAACCTCCACCTCCCAGCCGCCTGCCTTGGCCTCCCAAAGTGCCGAGAGTACAGCCTCTGCCCGGCCGCCACCCCGTCTGGGAAGTGAGGAGCGTCTCTGCCTGGCCGCCCATCGTCTGGGATGTGAGGAGCCCCTCTGCCCGGCTGCCCAGTCTGGGAAGTTAGGAGCGCCTCTTCCCGGCCGCCATCCCATCTAAGAAGTGAGGAGTGTCTCTGCCCGGCAGCCCATCGTCTGAGATGTGCAGAGCGCCTCTGCCCCACCGCCCCGTCTGAGATGTGAGGAGCGCCTCTGCCCGGCCGCGACCCCGTCTGGGAGGTGAGGAGCGTCTCTGCCCGGCCACCCCGTCTGAGAAGTGAGGAGCCCCTCCGCCCGGCAGCCACCCCTTCTGGGAAGTGAGGAGCATCTCCGCCCAGCAGCCGCCCCGTCCGGGAGGGAGGTGGGGGGCCAGCCCCCGCCCAGCCAGCCGCCCCGTCCGGGAGGGAGGTGGGGGGTCAGCCCCCTGCCCGGCCAGCCACCCCGTCCGGGAGGGAGGTGGGGGGGCGCCTCTGCCTGGCCGCCCCTTCTGGGAAGTGAGGAGCCCCTCTGCCTGGCCACCACCCCGTCTGGGAGGTGTACCCAACAGCTCATTGAGAACGGGCCATGATGACAATGGCGGTTTTGTGGAATAGAAAAGGGGGAAAGGTGGAGAAAAGATAGAGAAATCAGATTGTTGCTGTGTCTGTGTAGAAAGTAGACATGGGAGACTTCATTTTGTTGTGTACTAAGAAAAATTCTTCTGCCTTGGGATGCTGTTGATCTATGACCTTACCCCCAACCCTGTGCTCTCTGAAACATGTGCTGTGTCCACTCAGGGTTAAATGGATTAAGGGCAGTGCAAGATGTGCTTTGTTAAACAGATGCTTGAAGGCAGCATGCTCGTTAAGAGTCATCACCACTCCCTAATCTCAAGTACCCAGGGACACAAACACTGCGGAAGGCCACAGGGTCCTCGGCCTAGGAAAGCCAGAGACCTTTGTTCACTTGTTTATCTGCTGACCTTCCCTCCACTATTGTCCTATGACCCTGCCAAATCCCCCTCTGCGAGAAACACCCAAGAATGATCAATAAAAAATAAATAAATAAATAAATAAATAACAAAAAAAAAAAAAAAGAAAATCCCACAGCTAACATCATATGCAATCTGAAAGACCAAAGAGGTTTTTGTAATATCAGGAACAAAGCAATAATGCACACTTTCACCAGTTCTATTAAAAGCAGTATTGGAAGACCTGGCAAGAGTAATTAGGCAAGAAAAAGAAATAAACAGAATAAAAATTAGAAATAAAAAATAAAATCTCTGTTTTCAGATGACATAATGTCATATGTAAAATGCCCTTAAAAGTCCCACAAAAAATTATTAGAATGATTAAATGTATTCAGTAATGTTTTATAATACATAATCACCTTGTAAAAACATCTCATGGCTAGGCATGGTGACTCATGCCTGTAATCCCAGCACTTTGAGAGGTTGAGGTGGGAGGATTTCTTGGGTTCAAGAGTTCAAGAACAGCCTGGGAAAGAAAGCAAGGCTCTGTCTCTAAGAAAGCGGTGGGGGGTGGGGGGAAGAGAGAAAGAGAGAGAAAGAGAGAGAAAAGAAAGAAAGAAAAAGAAAGAGAGAGAAAGAAAGAAAGAAAGGAAAGAAAAAGAAAGAAAGAAAGAAAATCTGTTATAATTCTATACTTAAATAAGCAAACAGGAAACAACTCAAAATGAAATTAAGAAAAGAAATCAAATTACAACATCATTCGAAAGAGTAAAATACGGCTGGGCACGGTGGCTCATGCCTGTAATCCCAGCATTTTGGGAGGTTGATTTGGGGGTATCACCTGAGATTAGAAGTTCAAGAGTAGCCTGGTCAATATGGTGAAACCCTGTCTCTACTAAAATAAATAAATAAATAAATAAATAAATAAATAAATAAATAAATAAATAAAATTTAAAATTAGCTAGGTGTGGTGGCACATGTCTGTAATCCCACCTGCTCGGGGTTGAGGCACAAGAATCACTCGAGTATGGTAGGCAGAGGTTGCAATGAGCCAAGATCCTGCCACTGTACTCCAGCCTGGGTAACAGAGTGAGACAATGTCTCAAATAAACAAATAAATAAAGATAAACGAGTAAAATACTTAAGAATAATATTAATCAAAATGGTGAAAGACTTGTACATTGAAAACTATAAAACATTGCAAAAAGAAATTAATACACAAATAAATGGAAAGAAATCCTTTGTTCATTTATTGGAAAACTCAATATTGTTAAGCTAGGCATACAAACCAAAAGGAATCTACAGATTCATTGCATTCTCTATCAAAATTCCAAGTTAGTATGGAGATCATTAAAAAGTCAGGAAACAAAAGATGCTAGAGAAGATGTGGAGAAATAGGAATGCTTTTACACTGTTGGTGGGAGTGTAAATTAGTTCAACCATTGTGGAAGACGGTGTGATGATTCCTCAAGGATCTAGAACCAGATATACCATTTGACCCAGCAATCCCATTACTGGGTATATACCCAAAGGATTATAAATCATTCTACTATAAAGACACATGCACATGTATGTTTGTTGCAGCACTAGTCACAATAGAAAAGACTTGGAACCAACCCAAATGCCCATCAAGGATAGACTGGATAAAGAAAATGGGGCACATGTACACCACGGAATACTATGCAGCCATAAAAAGGGATGGGTTCATGTCCTTTGCAGGGACATGGCTGAAGCTGGAAACCATCATTCTCAGCAAACTAACACAGGAACAGAAAACCAAACACTGCATGTTCTCACTTATAAGTGGGAGTTGAACAATGAGAACACATGGACACAGGGAGGGTAACATCACACACCGGGGCCTCTTGGGGATGGGAGCTAGGGGAGGGATAGCGTTAGGAGAAATACCTAATGTAGATGATGGGTTGACAGGTACAGCAAATCACCATGGCACGTGTATACCTAGGTAACAAACCTGCACGGTCTGCACATATATCCCAGAACTTAAAGTATATATTTTTTAAAAAGTGCAAGCCAAACAAACAAACAAAAAGAATAGAAAAAAATTAATCCTAAAATTTATATATAATATTGAGAGAATCTAAATAGTCAAAATCATCTTGTAAAAGAAGAACAGTGTTGGAGATTTCACACCGATTTCAAAACATACTACAAAGCTACACTAATCAAAGCAGAGTGGTACATATAGACAGACATACTGACAAATAAAACAGAACTGAGTGCCTAAAAAAACCTCTTAGTTATACAGTCAAATAATTTTAAACAAAGTTGTCAAGACCATTTAGTGGAAAAGGACAGTCTTTTTCACAAATACTGTTGAGAAAACTGGATATTCACCAGCAATCTGGAAATGGATGAAAGACCCAAATGGAAGAGCCAAAACTGTCAAAATCTTAAAAGAAAACATTAGGGAGAAGGTTCATAATATAGGGTTTGGAAATGACTTCGTTAATATGACACCAAAGGCACAGAAAAAAATAGAAAAAGAAGAATATAGATAAATTGGATTTTATCAAATTGTAAAACTTATGGGCATCAAAGGACACTATCAACCGAGCAAACATTTGAATCATAGAATAGGAAAGATTGTCGCAAATTTTGCATCTGATAAGAGATGCAGACTATAGAAAGAACTCCTACCACTCAAGAGTAACTACAAAAATGAAAACAATCTGAATTATATGGGCAAAAAACTTGAGTTCGTATTGAGTAGACTCCAAAGAAGATCTACAAATGGGCAATAAGCACATGGAAAGATGTTCAGCATCACTAATCATTAGGCCAGTGAAAATCAAACCACAATAATATACAACTCCACACCCATTAGGATGGCATTACCAAAATAATAGAAAATAACAAGATCTAGCAAAGACGTATAGAAATTATAACTGTTATGCATTGCTGGAGGGACTATAAAATGATGCACCCATTGTGGAGGTCTTATGGCATTTCCCCAAAAAAATTAAACGTAGAATTGCCATTTTATCGGAATTTTCAGTTCTGGGTATGTGCCTCAAATAATTGAAAGCAGGATCTCAAAGAGAAAATTGTACACCCTTGTTCATAGCAGCGTCGTTCACAATAGCTAAAAGGTGGAGGCAGCTCAAGTGTCATCTAATGGATAAACGGGATACAGTATACACACACAAGGGAATAGTATTCAACCTTAAAAAGAAAGTTCTGCTATTCTGAATAATGCCGCAATAAACATACGTGTGCATGTGTCTTTATAGCAGCATGATTTATAGTCCTTTGGGTATATACCCAGTAATGGGATGGCTGGGTCAAATGGTATTTCTAGTTCTAGATCCCTGAGGAATTGCCACACTGACTTCCACAATGGTTGAACTAGTTTACAGTCTCAGTAAACTATTGCAAGAACAAAAAACCAAATGCCGCATATTCTCACTCATAGGTGGGAACTGAACAATGAGAACACATGGACACAGGAAGGGGAACATCACACTCTGGGGACTGTTGTGGGGTGGGGGTAGGGGATAGGGATAGCATTGGGAGATATACCTAATGCTAGATGACGAGTTAGTGGGTGCAGCGCACCAGCATGGCACATGTATACATATGTAACTAACCTGAACATTGTGCACATGTACCTTAAAACTTAAAGTATAATAATAATAAATTAAAAAAAAAAAGTTCTGACTCATGCGATGGCATTGATGAACCTTAAAGACATCACGCCAGCAGAAATAAGCTGGCTTCAAAAGGACAAATATTGTTTGCTTGCCCTTATATGAGGTATCTAGAGTAGTCAAATCCATACAGACAAGAAGTAGAATGAAGTTTTCCAGGTGTTAAGTTTTGGTTTGGGAAGATGAAAAATTTCTGGAGATAAATGGTGGTACTGTGGTTGTACAACAGTGTTAATTTACTTAATGACACTGAAGTATACACTTGAAAATGGTTAAAATAATGAATTTTGCATTTGAATAATTTACCACTGTACAAAAGAGGAAGATTTATATTCAGTGTAGTTTCTCTACCAAGAACAATCAAAACATACAGGATTGGGAGAGTGTGCCTGAGTATTAGGACACCCTTCCTTTTATGCCAGCCTGCAGCTTCCTAAGAGGCCAATAGAGTTGGAAGCGCCTCATTACTGGTGACTCAAAGTAATGTGAGAAAGTCTGGGAGTGACCATGATGTAAGTGGTGGGTGTCTGACCCAGCCCAGGAGCAGCCGCAAATGCAGCAGCTGCCAAAAAGGGGGAGATGAAACTGATGGCAGCAGTAACAGCCTCTCCAGCTGGAGTGGGGCATCTGCTCTTGTGCAAAATGGTTCACAGTTGATACATTTAGCACAGAATCTCATCCTGTCTACCTGTCATGATCAACTACAATTTTTATTGCAAAGTATGCCATCAGAGTGGCATATTTTATCCAGCAGCAAGCAAACATGAAGGAAGTTTCCCTTAGTGCTTTGGTCAAACTGGCATGGCAGTCCTGAACACTGAATGAATATCCAAAGACAAGGTTCTCCAAAGATAAAGATATTATACTATTTATTGATAAATACTGGGAGTGCATGATGACCATTCAGACACCTGGGAAAATGACTTGGCTGAATAACATTGTTAAAACAATGAGTAAAAAAAGAGATGTGCTCTTGGTAAAGGAACACCTGGATCCAGGGTATAAAGACCGGAAAGAAGACTACCGCAGATTTGGACTTTTGGATCAGGACTTGGTAACATTGACCCTGTTTACGACAACCAAAAACAAAGCAGTGCTGTGTCTACAGTGGGAATCTGAGTCAGGAAACTGCAGCAGGAACAGCAGAAAAAAGGAAGAGGAGCTCAGTGCAAACAGAAGGATGGGGAGACCACAGGGACCACCAAGAAGGCCCAGAGTGACTTTTTGTTTTCCGCTCAGGGCTGTCCTCCTCACACCCCTTGGATCACACATTTAATGAAGACGGCTACTGGTATAGTCTAACTTAGCCTGATCCTCACACGGTTGGTCCTCAGAAGCTTGAAATTAACTGCTGGGCAGGAAAACCTATTCCTGGAGACCTCTACAGTGACTGCTTCTATGAACAGGTTTTGTTAGATCAACATGATTAAGCTCCCCAGTTAGAGATCTCCAGTGACTGGCTGGCTGACTGTGGTTGGAAAGAAGGTCTACTTTATGGTGCAGACCTCTCATGGGATACGGAAAGGGTCCTGGTACTTTGAAATCACCATGAATGAGATGCCACCAGACACCACTGCCAGACTGGGTTGATCTCAGCCCTAAGGTAACTATGAAGCTCCCTTAGGTTATGATAAATTTAGTTATTATTGGCAGAGCAAAAGGGAATCAATTTCCACCAGTCCACTGGCGAACACTACTGTTTTAGCTATGGGCAGGGAGACATCCTACGATTTTATATTAATCTTCCTGAAAACCCAAGAGACAGCCAAGTTACCAAGATAAGGCTTTGATAAAGTTCAACAATTATTTTTATTTTGTGGAAAAAGACTTTGTGGCTAAAGCAGGGAAGAGTCTAAAACAGATTCCATATAGTAAAATAATATTTTATAAACATGGTGTCAATCAAGATGTGGCTTCAAAAGATATTTTTAGGGGGTTACTTTTAGCCATCTCACTGGACAAGAGCTTCATAGTTTCCATTAACTTTGGACTGTGCTCCAAGTATCCTCCAAAGAATCTCACTTACTGCCCTGTGAGTGACATGGGCTGGGATGCTGTGGTAGAGCACACTCTGGCTGATGTCTTGTATTTTCTGGAGACAAAAGAGGATGGGGGCACAGTCCTCCATGGGAACCCTGAACAGGTCCTTCTTTCTTTTCAGATATGGACTTTCTGGGGAATAATATTGGGTGGCTTTTGTTGTTGTTATTGTTTTTGAACTGTCTTAAATGTTCTCCCAAAGATGCTACAGAACATAGCCTATCCATTTACCAAGTTAAAAGGCTGAGTAGGACTGTGAGAGATGCCCTGCTCATCATCATTCTTCTTCCACTTCCAGTGACTGCTCTTATATTCTTTGCCATAAGCCAACAACCGCTCATCCCAAGATCTCATAATCCCTCTGTAAAACTGATGCTGTACTACATACCTTGCCAGCTGGGACTTGTAATCTTACTGTATTTTCTAAGGAGTGAATAATCTTGTCCAGGTAACTAACATATTTAAAGACATTTTCTTCTGTGGACACTGACTCCATGCCACCTGTTTTCCAAAGAAGTGGTGAAGCTGTTTCTGAGAACACCTAAAATCAATGGTTGTACATTCCAAACCAATCTAAAAGTGATTTCCTTTTGCTGTGGGTTTGGTTCTATTACTGATTTGGAAATATACCTTTGAACACTGAGATCTCTGAAACTACTAGACTTCTAGAAGTGTAATTGTATAAGAAGTCTGTTTGCAGCTTTAACAAAATGAGAAACTCTTCCCAAATTAAAGCTTTCTTTGAAGTTAAAAAAAAAAGAATAATGTGAGATTGGAACCTGTGAGGTCTGAGGATTCCCAAGAGTACTCTCAATTCTGACGCTAATTGTAACCTAAGGGCTCCCCAACAGCCCTTCACTTCTTATGATTCCCTAGAAAAACTCACATAACTCCCTGAAACCTGTGACATTTATTGATACAAATTTTTACAGCAAAATAATACAGATTAAGATAATTCAAGGGAAGAGGCACATGGGCAGAGTTCAGGAGAATTCCAAGCACAAGCACCCAGTTGTCCTCTCCCAGTGGAGAAATAGACAGTGCTTCATTTTGCTCACAGCAATGTGTGATTCTGTGTATGAAACACCTATTTCCTGGGTGAGCCAACCAGGAAAGCTCACCCAAGCTTGGTGTCCAGAGGGCTTTTAAGGGGTGGTCTGGGTGAGAGTGGGGTTATTATGTAGACCTTGTGGATCATCCTCAAGGCTCACTTCAGTTTCCATTGAATTAACAATAAAACTTAAACCTTCAATCTTTGGTTATTTTCTTTTTAAAAATTCTCTGAAGTAAATTATTATTAAAATTCTCACTTAAGACAGCTGTTTATCCAATATGAGGCTCAATATAAACAGTTTCAAAAAGTCAGTAGGTCATTAAAACAATTTCTTCAGTCATTCAAACCATTCAGATAAAAATTAACACCATGTAATACAAAAATTGAATTATAGTCACAGGGACAGGATTTCAGCAATGGCAAGAAAAAGTAGTGCAAATAGGAATGAGCAAAGAATAGACAAGTAATGGGTGTGAATTGGCCTCGGAAATACCATGGTAATGTCAAAAAGATAAATCAATTGTTATTTTGTTAAATAAGTGAAAGGCCAGGCATTCTCAGTCCAGGAAAGCCATCACAGGGCAGTCTGAGTCTTCTGCATCTTAAGAAGCTCAAGAGGTTCAAACTTAATAAACCCTGCACAGTTGCTCACTGGTTCATGTAAAATGCTAGAGCAGTTGCTTCCTCCCACTCAGCAAATCCACAGCACACAGTCACCCTGGTCTGGCCCTTCACAGTGTAGATGCCCTCAGGGCTAAGAACCTGAGTGGTTCTAAAAGTAGTAAAGATTTGCATAAAGTACCACACAACACACCCTCTCCACATAGGGAGCTCAGTAGGACATAAAGAGCCATCAGAATCCAGCCCCGACTCTGGAGCCAGGAGTCCCTTCTAATATCAGCATCATGGCCTGGACTCCTCTCCTTCTCCTTCTCCCCATGTACCTCCTCACTTGCTGCCCAGGTTAATAGAGATTTCAAATACCAGCCTTTGGAGGGATTCCTGTGTCTCCCTTTCTAATTCCCAACATGTGTCTGTTTTTTGTTTCAGGGTCAAATTCTCAGGCTGTGATGACTCAGGAACCCTCACTGACTGTGTCCCCAGGAGGGACAGTCACTCTCACCTATGGCTCCAGCACTGGAGCAGTCAATGGGGGTCATTATCCTTACTGGTTCCAGCAGAAGCTTGGCCAAGCCCCCAGGACACTGATTTATCATGCAAGCAACAAACACTCCTGGACCCCTGCCCAGTTCTCAGGCTCAGTCCTTGGGAGCAAAGCTGCCCAGACACTCTTGGGTGTGCAGCCCGAGAGGTGAAGCTGAGTACTACTGCTTACTGCACCATAGTCGTGCTTGGCACAGTGACAGACTCAGAAGAGGAACCGAGACATAAACCTCTCTAGGCCCTTGTGATATGAAGATCATATGATCACGCACACCAGCTCTCAAGGCAGCCTACATGTGGACCAGCCATAGAAAGGGGAAGGAAAGGATCTGAATTGATTCCTATCCCTGCTTAAGCCCTGAAGTGAAGGAAATGTGAGAATGATCTGGGAAGAACTGGATCAAAAAAAAAATCAGAAGTTTATTGCTTTGTATTCTAAAAGGAGCACTAACAGCTGGATCAGATCTAAAGGCTGAGGCTAAATGCATTTCCTCCAGAAAGAAGCATCTTCAAAGTATGGGGTTTCTGAGCTAAGAGTAAAGAGAAGAAACTCTACTTTTGTATATTTCTAAAGTTTGTTTTATTGAGTTACTTTCAAAGCAATACATGCCTATTATGTGGAATCAGAAAGTATTAAAAATCACCAAGTTCTCTGCAAAGCTACCTTATCCCAGATAATCAATAGAAGTACATTTCTTCATTTGGATGCATTCTCTCATTTTTGTTGTCAATATTTTCACAATGGTTATCAAACCTTGTGCTCATTCCTCTGGTTTTATACAGCTTTTTGCTCTGTCATTTAATGTTAATGTAAGTAGTTTTCCATTTATTTGAAAGGGTAAAATATTTGAGTAGTTGCTAATTTTATTTTTATTTGAATACCAATGAAAAATTATAATTTGGGGTAATTCAAATTGCTTGTCAGACAAAGATGTGACATTGGGCTATTATTAAAATGCTCCTGGTCTTCTCTGTGGATTTAGTGAAGTCAAACAAAATGCCTGCAATTTTCTATGGAAAGCCTTGAGTACATTATGCCTGACTTCACAATGCAGAAAATAGAGAAACAAGAATTTCCTGCTCATGTTTGCTGGAGCATAATAGATTCAGGTACGAGGAACAACTTATATTGAAAACTACGTCAATGTCTCCATGCATGTGTTAGAACAGTACTTCCCAAACTCTATTGTGCATACAAATTATCTGGGGATTTTATAAAATGCAGATTCTTATTCAGTGGGTCTGGAGTGAGGACACAATCTCTGCATTTCTCACATGTGCCTGCCACACAAAATCCACATATATATTTGAATAATAACAAGTCCAGCCAGCAGTGGAGGCTCATATGTGTAATCTTAGCACTTTGGGAAGCTGAGGCAAAAAGATTACTCGAAGCCAGGAGTTTGAAACCAGCCAAGAGCAACATAGCAAGATATTTTCTCTATAGTTTTTTTTAAATAATAAAAAATGAATTAGCCAGGCATAGTGCTGTATGCTTGTAGCCCTAAGTACTAAGGAGGCTGAGGCAGGAGGAGAGCTTCAGCCCAGGAGTTCAAACCTGCAGTGAGCTATGATCATGCCACTGCACTTGAGCCTGGGTAACAGAGTGAGACCTTGTCTCTAATAATAATAAGAAAAACGACAACATATCCATAAGACTAGTATCAAATAAGGAGAATCCTTGGCAGGCAAGAACCTAGGAGAAATCTCTGACATAGGGAATTTACCAGCTTGCATGATAGAAGAACCCCACACTCCATGGAGGGAGATGACCAGGGAGGACAGCTGCAAAGCTAGGAAAGGCTCCCCTTTCTTTGAGAGCAAAAACAAAAGCAAACAAACAACAAACCTGACCTTCCCTCTGGCTCCTGTCCAACACTCTTACTGGCTCCTCCTTCAGCCTTTCCTATAATGTGGCCCATCCTTACCCTCTCCCCTTCCACATCTCTGATTCCTGAATTCCCTTCTTTGTTCTCTTTCCCTTTGCTACCACCCACTTCTCCCCTCTAATCTCTTGAGTTAATTATCAAGGGCTTTATAACAGGAAACTCATTGGCATTTTTTCTGCATCTGTCCTTGAAGTTGACACTCATACTTTTATCTCTTTCTTGAACCTCTCAGATATGCTTAGAACTGAAGAAGCCCGAAGTTGATTGATTCTGTTTTTTCACCTCAGCCAGCACCTTCTTCTTCTCCTTTCCAGGAGAATCTGTATTTCTCTGTATTTCCAGAATTCTCTGTATTTCCAGTGAATCTGTCAGACACAGTAAGTACCTCTTCAAAGGTTTAATTTCTGACTTCATTGTTCTTTGTTCTCGAGATGAACTTCCTTGTCCCTTCTCCTAAGCTACCTGCTCTGTAAACAACTTCTCCCACCAGTCCCAATCTGTAACTCACATCTCCTCCTTATTTAGAAAGAGTCCTCTTTTACTCCTTGCTACCCATTCTGTAAACTGCCCCTCCCACAAAACTACCCTTCCCACATTTGCCACGCCCTGACATGCCCAAACATACCTTGTACCATAATGGACTGCCTCTCCCTTCCCACCTAATTAGCCATACTCAATTTTAAACAGTAGCCAATCAGGTCAGTTTAGATTGTGTGGTCCAACTCCAGCCAATGGGGACAGGACACAGAAGCAGGGACTAACCACGTTAGGGATGAAAACCCCTTCCCTCCTTTGTTTGGTGTGCTCTTGCAGTGGTCAGAAGTGCAAGCGGCACTCTTCTGTAGAAATAAGTTTGCCTTGCTGAGAAATATTTTGTCTGAGTGCTCATTTTCCTTGCGACTCTGAGCTCTTGTTTCTAACAAAATAGGGGGTCATCTGGGATTCCCATTCTCCTCTGAGGAAGGGCCTCTGATCACCTCTTAGGAGGAGATGCATCCCACTGCTTCATTGCAGTGGCCTCAGGGGTAAGGAATCAGGACCCACCCAGCATGATAAATAAACCCAGACTCTCAGCAACACAGGAAGAAAAGGCCTACAGTTACCGTGGCGACCAGGTAACTGTGCACAGACAAAGGTAAGAAAAACCACTAGGGCAGTGAAGTACTTCCTTAGTGGTCAGGACATTCTGCAGGTTGAAAATGTGTGAATGAGATGCACAATTAAGTGCAAAGTGAGTGTGGAGTAAAGTAAAGGGTGCAAGAAATCTCTAGTAAGAGAGGTTGAGCCCCAGGGAAATGGTGCAAGAAATCTCTAGTAGGAGAGGTTGAGCCCCACGCACACTCAGCAGGGAAAGGAGAGCGAGAAACCTCCAGTAGCGGGGATTGAGCCTCCAGGGAAAAGGGTGCAAGAAATCTTTAATACGAGAGATTGAGCCCCCATTAACCTCCAAGACGGGAGTGCAAGAAATCTCTAATATGAGAGATATGAGCCCCCATTAACTTCCAGGATATGAAATACCCTAGTAAAACAAGAACTACAAAGGGCAAAGGAGATAACACAATTCCCTCTGATAGCCTTCTAGGTCTCATGTTAAAATATTGGAGGGATAATGAAAGGACTAAACACAAGAAAAAGCAACAAATGATCAAATATGGGAATTGTTTTATTTGGACCAAAGAACCTATTCTCAAACCTTCAGTTTTCTGGCCAAGGTTTGGATCAAATGAGAGTTGGATTTGTCAACTTTTAATAGAGTATGTAAATGACAAAAGTCCTGCTTCCCAAGAGGAAATAGACTCTGCTGTGTCTTGGTGGCAGGGGCCGGTCCTCCTCTACCCCCTTAAAACTAGTAAGGATAAGCCAGAAACTAATTCCCCTGTAGGAACTAAGGCCCCACCCCTGAGCAATCCATGTGGGATCCCTTAGACCATCTGCCTCCACCAGATACCCCTAACTTCTCTCAAGCAGCCACCCAGACCCTTCCCCTGCTCACATTATGCCCTCCCTCCTTATAATCCTGACTGTTAGGGCTGTCCCCAACCTGAACGCCCTCCTGCAAGAAGGCTTCAACGTGAGATAGAGCAATGTAAAAAGGATATTCAAAACTTCCCTTTCCCCTCCTCCTCAAAAGAGTCTGCCCCAATCGTTTTTCCCTTAAGGGAAGTGTTTCTAGGAGGAGAGGGAGTTGGCTTTGTAAATGTCCCCTTAACTAGTTCAGAGGTCAGAAACCTGAGGGAAGAACTTAAACCACTATTAGATTATCCTTTTGGGGTCGTGGATCAAATTGACCAATTTGTAGGATCACAAGTATACACTTAGGCTGAGCTAATGTCCATCTTAAGTGTTCTCTTTCCGGGGGAGGAAAGAACCATGATACAGAAGGCTACTATGATAGCCTGGGAGTGCAAATATCCTCCCAGTCAAAATACCCCTGCAGCAGAACAAAAATTTCTGGCCCAAAACCCCCAATGGGATAATAACAATGCAGCCAACTGAGAAAACATGAAAGACCTTAGGGAAAAGGTAGTTAAAGGGATTCAGGAATCAGTGCCTCAAACCCAAAATATTTCCTGAGCATTTAATATACAGCAGGGAAAAGACCAGGGAGCCATGGAGTTTTTAAACAGACTCAAGGAACAGATGAGAAAATAGGCAGGCTTAAACATAAAGGATCCCCTTAGGCAGGGATGTTAAAACTCCATTTTGTTACTAATAGTTGGCCAGATATCATGAAGAAATTACAGAAAATAGAGACCTGGAAATATCGGCCTATAGAGGGAACAAGAGGGCAGGGAGAGGAGAGAGAAAGACTGACAGAGGGAACGGAGGGAGCCAGGGAGAGAGGGGGGGAGATACAAAGGCAGAAAGAGAGAGAGGGAGGGAGAGACAGAGAGGCAGATAGATGGAGAGGCAGAGAGACAGTGAGGAAAAGTCAGAGACCCAGACAGAGAGGGAGAGAAAGAGAGGCAGAGGGAGAGAAAGAGGACGAAACAAATGTTTCAAATGTGAAAAAATAGGTCACTTCAAAAGAGAATGTCCTGAATGGGAAAAAGAAACAAAAGTCATATATAAAAGCAGATCAGCTAATATTAAATTTCTGTTAATTCCAGAGGCAGGAACATATCTATTAGGGAGAGATTTAATGCTAAAATTTGGCTTAGGCCTTTATATTAATCAGGGAAAATTTCTCATCTCCTTAAACCTACTCACCACCACGGATGAAGAGCGTATCCATCCTGACACATGGTCAAAAGAAGAAAATTGGGGGAAATTACAGTTCCTCCAATCAAGCCCAAATTAAAAACTCCTGGGGAGGTAGTAAAAAACCAAAATCTTTCTTTTGAAAGCTGAGGGAATAACCTCACAGACCAAATAGCCAAACAAGCTGCCATTTCCTCTGAAACGCCCATGTTTCACCTCACCCCTTGCCTTTCTCCCCCAACCGCCATTGCCATCTTCTCCCCTGCTGAAAAGGAGAAATTAATAAGAATAGGAACCAAGGAAAACTCAGAAGGGAAATGGGTGTTACCAGATCAAAGAGAAATGCTATCCAAACCTCTCATGAGGGAGGTTTTATCTCAGCTGCATCAAGGAACCCACTGGAGACCTCAAGCTATGTGTGATGCAGTTCTTAGAGACTATGGATGTATAGGAATTTATACTCTAGCAAAACAAGCTACAGATAGTTGTTTAATATGCAAAAAAACTAATAAGCAAACCCTAAGAAAACCATCCTTTGGAGGAAGAAACCCAGGAAATTAAGGCCATTCCAAAGCATCCAGATAGATTACACCAAAATGGCCTCAATAGGTCACCTAAAGTATCTACCAGTAATAGTGGATCACCTTACTCGCTGGGTAGAAGCTATTCCCTTTTCAAGTGTAGCCACCAGTAATGTAGTTTAGACATTAACTGAAAATATTATACCTAGGTTTGGATTAATAGAAAATATTGATTCAGATAATGGAAACTATTTCCCTGCACATGTCATTAAAAAGCTAGCCCAAGTATTACAAATAAGATGGGAATACCATATCCCTGGCACCCACCTTTATCAGAAAGAGTAGAAAGAATGAACCAAATCCTAAAAAGCCACCTAATCAAACTAGTTTTAGAGACTCGACTACCTTCCTATTGCCTAATTGAGGGTCCGAACTGCCCCTCGGAAAGATATTGGCTTATCTCCTTAAGAAATGCTATACGGGTTGCCTTATTTACACTCCACTGCTGACATTCCTACATTTGAAACTAAAGATCAATTTCTCAAGAACTATATAATTGGTCTGTCTTCCACTTTCTCTTCCCTCAGAACTAAAGACCTTTTAGCACTGACACCACCCTTGGAGCTCCCAGCACATCAGCATCAGCCTGGGATCACATTCTCATCAAAAGCTGGAAAGAAGGAAAACTCGAACCGGCTTGGGAAGGACACTATCTAGTGCTTCTAACTACAGAAATTGCTGTCCGCACAGCTGAAAGGGGATGGACACCCCACACACAAGTGAAAGGAGTGATTTTCACAGCGAGAGAAAAATGGGCCGTCACCCCAGGGCCCACCCGCACCAAATTAAAAAGGGCTGAATAATCATTTGTTTATTTTCCCTTTTCTTTCCAACAGAAAGTCACCTCATCATCAGTGTGCCTCAAACTAATCGTCCCTTAACCCTCCAGTTCGATGCTTGTTCAGTCACCTCATGTAGAGATGAACGAGCTCAAAGGCAGCTATCAAATGTAGATAAGTATCTGTGTCCGTACCGTAGTGAGTCAACCAAGTATAAGTATAGAGCCTTAAAAAGTCCCTGTGGTGACTGGACAGATGTTTGGTGGACCACCCAATATGGAGGGTGGACAGCCAGGCCCCCTTTTTCAAACAATTCTGAGGACTGAAACAGAAACTCCAACTTATTCGTGGTACCACCCCACCAAATTGTAAGTCATTGCAGTGTAACCCCTTATTGCTAATTATAGATAATCCCCAAACAATGACCCAAGAACCCTCCATATTCGAATGATATGGGTTAGGAGCAGATGTTACAGGACAGGACCCCATAGGAATCTTCTTTCTGAGGTTGGCTAGACCATCAGTTAAAAACAATAAAGAAATCCAGACCCAGAGTCCAGGGAACCTATGGGAGCCAATGCTCTCCCCAAACATATCAGGCTCAGCATTCTCTTCTCATCTCCAGAATGACCCAACTAAGGTAATGGTTGTGGAGGTAAAAGATTTAAAGCAGACTACAGCTCTAGAGACAGGGTACAAAGACGCAAATGCCTGGCTGGAATGGATTAAATCTCCTGTCCACACTCTAAACAAAAGCAATTGTTACACTTGTGCACATGGCAGGCCAGAGGCCCTGATTGTCCCCTTTCCACTTGGAAGGTCCTCCAGCCAACCAGGCATGAACTGTATGGTAGCTGTCTTCCAACACCCCACAGCCTGGGGTAATGAATTATGCTGAACTCTCTCTCTGCTATTTCCTGAAGTCCAGCACCCTGTGGGTCAGCCCCTGAGGGCCATCCAGCTTCTGTCTCCTGATGCAAGTTTCACCCCATGTCTCTCACGACAAGGGGAAAACTTAGCATTTCTTGGAGACCTAAAGGGATGCAGTGAGCTTAAGCCATTCCAAGAGCTGATCAATCAGTCTGCCCTGATCCATCCCTGAGCAGATGTATGGTGGTATTGCTGCGGACCATTACTAGACACTTCCAAGTAACTGGAGTGGCACTTGCACTCTGATCTAATTGGCCATCCCTTTCACTCTGACATTTTGTCAACCAAAAAGGATAAAGACAAAGCATCATAAAACAAAAGATGCTCCTCATGGGTCCTTTGACTCTCATGCTTATATAGATGTCATTGGAGTCCAGAGAGGAGTGCCAGATGAATCTAAGCCCCAAAATCAGATAGTTGCAGGGTTTGAGTCCATACTATTCTGGTGGTTGACTGTAAATAAAAATGTAGATTGGATAAATTACATCTATTACAACCAGCAAGGATTTGTTAACTATACTAGAGATGCTATTAAAAGGATAGCTAAACAGTTAGGACCCACCAGCCAAATGGTTTGGGAAAATAGAATAGCATTAGACATGATACTAGCAGAGAAAGGTGGAGTCTGTGTTATGAGTGGAACTCAATGTTGTACTTTTATACCTAGTAATACTGCTCCTGATGGAACCATAACAAAAGCATTACAAGGTCTTACTGCTTTATCCAATGAAGTAGCTAAAAATTCAGGAATAAACGATCCCTTCACTAATTTAATGGAGAAATGGTTCAGCAAATGGAAAAGACTTATGTCCTCAATCTTTACTTCTCTTGACATTGTAATAGGTTTGCTTATTCTTGTAGAATGTTGTATCATACCCTGCACCTGAGGCCTACTACAAAGGCTTATTGAAACAACTCTCACTAAAACCTTTTTCAAATCCACCGCCCCCCCACCTTATTCAGATAAGCTCCTACTTTTAGAAAACCAAGCAGAACAACAGAGTCAAGGCATGTTAAAAAGGTTTGAAGAGGAAGAATTATAAAAATCAAAAGGGGGAAACTGTCAGATACAGTAAGTTCCTCTTAAAAGGCTTAATTTCTGAATTCCTTGTTCTTTCTTCCTGAGATCAACTTCCTTGTCCCTTCTCCTAAGCTACCTGCTCTGTAAACAACTTCTCCCACCAGTCCCAATCTGTAACTCACATCTCTTCCTTATTTGGAAAGAGTCCTCTTTTACTCCTGGCTACCCATTCTGTAAACTAACCCTCCCACGAAACTACCCTTCCCGCCTTTGCCACACCCTGACTTGCCCAAACGTACCTTGTACCATAACAGACAGCCTCTCCCTTCCCACCTAATTAGCCATATTCAATTTTAAATAGTAGCCAATCGGGTCAGTGTAGATTGTGCAGTACAACTCCAGCCAATGGGGACAGGACACAGAAGCAGGGACTAACCACATTAGGGATGAAAACCCCTTCCCTCCTTCATTTGGTGTGCTCTCGCAGCAGCCAGAGGTGTGAGTGGCACCCTTCTGCAGAAGTAAATTTGCCTTGCCGAGAAATCCTGTTTGAGTGCTCATTTTCCTTGTGACTCTGAGCTCTTGTTTCTAACAAATCCAGTGAACCACACAAATATACTAGCCAATTTTCTCCAATCCCCACCATTCTGCCTTATGTGCTGATCTAGTGAGGAATCAAATAGGAAGAGAGACCCATGGATTT